>NC_000014.9:98361713-99611713 GCF_000001405.40 Homo sapiens
TATACGTGTGGCTGAATGAAGTTCTATATGTTTCTTACGTATGAACCACACCTTCTTCAGATCAGCATTTGGCTTTTTAAAAAATCTTAATTTCTTTTAATTAGTGTGAGAAACTAATTTGACAAGGAATCTGAGGGTAGAATCTTCCTAATATTTTACAAATGTTTCATTCCTTTATATATGTCTTACATTTAATTAGACAGCATGATTATGATACTTCTTTCATATCATTCAATGTGGTTTTCATGGAAACAACTCTTTTTCCTTTAGCATTCATATTGGTGATTTGTGGGATATTTAAATCATACAGTTTACCTCTGGCATAATCAGTTTTGAGGACAAACATGACTCTTGTTACGCTCCCAGTGTCCTTCGTGGGAGCAGGAGAGCCAATGTGTAGAAGGGGTAATTTGCCTGAACTGCAGTGGACCCTGGGCTGTAAACTTTACAGACAGAATGGGAAACACAGCCAAGATGACAACTCAGCTGAGCGTAGGTCCTCCGCTGGAGCCTCTGCCATCCCGGCGTAGTAGCAACAGTACTAATCATTATCAATAAATTGTACCTTGCTGTGTTTAACAGTAATCTGAAGCTAAATTTTAGGAAAAAATAGCATGAGATCCTAGAAGGCAGAGGCCGGTGGGAAAAAGTAATAGATTACAGTCTCTGTCTTCATTAAGTACAAAGAGGGTAATGATACAGTTAGGCATTTTCAGGAAGAAAAGTTAAATATGGGTGTTAAGATACAAGAATGGCCATACAAAATTTATAAAATCAAAGTATATCTTCTACACCAAAAGAAGAAAAAAAAATGTCAAATACAAGACTGGAAAAAAAACTAATAGCAGGATATGAAACAAAGCAAAAATAATAATAATATGATCTTTATATGTCCAAGCATATAAAATGCAATCAAAAACAAATTAAACTCACCTATTTAAAAACGAAGACAATGATTTGATTTTTCACTTAATCCAACAATGCTTACTGTTACGTGTCATAAAATGACTAATTATATAAAAGTGAAATGATATGTCTTGGATTTGCTTTAAATTATTTCAACTAAGACAAGCAAAGGGGAGTAGATGAAGTAAATACAGTACAACATTAATAATTGTTGAATTGGGGTAAGTGGACATCAGAAGTTCATGGTACCATCACCTACTTTTGGTGTGTTTGAATATTTTTAGTAAGAAAAATCTTGAAGGATTTAAAGTGGTGTTCAGAAGGAAATGTAAGGCTGTAAAGCATTTATTACAGATCAAGGAAGGTTGAAAATTAAGCAACTGTGTCCTCAGTTCTATCAGTTTTTTTTGGTCAGCTTTACTAAAATTTACCATTTAAGAGCGTACTTTTAATAAGATGCATACAGTCTTATAACCACCACCAAAAACATAATATTAAACATGGGAAATTAAAAAAATTTTTTAATGTTATCTTCCAATTAATCTATACGTTAACAATTTACTAATACAATCTAATTGAATCCCAGTAACATTCTTCATGGTATATGACAAATTGATTTTTAATTTCACATGGATGAATACCAACGTCAAAAATGTTTTTAAACGGGTGATTTTTCTACTAAATACGGAGATGCATTATATTTTATAGAAATTAAAATGACAAAGTATTATCCAATAAATGATAACAGATCACTGGACTGTAAGGATGAGTGCAGAAGCAAACACTTGCATATAAGGGCACTTAGCATAGGATAGAGGAAGGATGGCTAACCAGTGGGTATGACAGAGCCTCTGCCAAACAGTAACCAGATCATTTTATTTTTTTCCTGGGAACACAGGGAAGCTACGTTCCCCATCTTTCTTTGTGTCTAGAAATGAGCCAATGGAATATAGATGAAAATGATATAGAGCATTTCCCTATCTAGTCCCTAAAATGTCCTGAGTGGTTATTTCCATTTACTTCGTGCAGCATGATTAGAAGTAAAGGAATCCAAGATGGTACAAGGTCAAAATGGAGTGAGCCAGATTTCTGTGGCCTTGCATGAAGGAGAGCTGTCCAGGAGGACAAGCCGACCCACATTGAATTGTAGAAATTGAATTGTGTAAGTCAAAGAGGAATAAGGAGTGTTACAATAGTTAGCATTAAGCCCCTAATTAACAGCCAGGAAAACAATGAACATTTAATATGTAGCTTGGGGAAAATGGCTATGTTTAATAAAGTAAAAATGAAACATAATTAGTACTTGGATTCCTATAAAAGAGAAGAATGAATTCAAGAAGGAATAAATACCCAGTAATTAAAAATACACTTAAAAGTATAAGAAAGTAACATAGGAGAATGTTTTGTTGATTTGGGAATTAAGAGGACTTTCTCAAACAAAATGGATAACAGAATGAAACAGTGATCTTAAAGAAAAAAAAATGACAAATTTAACCAGATCAAAATTCCAAAAAGGAATCTCATACCAAAATATCAGAAAACAGAATACAATATATAATTTGACACTAGGAAGGAAAACATTCACAACATATAAAGCAGTATTATGATTCAATATATGTAAAGCATATCTACAAATTAATATTTAAAAGTCAAATGATGAAAAGGGAAGTAAATGAAGGCTGTGAGTAGAAGAGGAATTTCGAATGGCCTGTAAATTGATGAAAAGATGCTCAACTTCTTTAATTGTCTGGAAATGCAAATTAAACAAGAATAAGATACCATTTATCATATGTCAGATTGGCAAAGATAAAACAGTTTGATAATTCCAAGTGTTGAAGAACCCACCCACCAGTTACAGGAGGGGAGAACCCTGGAGACATCTGGGAGCACAACATAGCATTATCTGGGAGAACTGTGCATGCATCCAGCACCTGGCAGTACCAATTATAAGGGCTCCCCTAAAGCAATATCAGCCCTTGTGCAAGCACAACTGTGCAAGATGTTCAATGCCTCATGGTTTGCAAGAACAAGGGACTGGCGATCACTTTGAAGTCTATCAATATAGGACTGTTTAAATAAAATACAGAGTCTCATATGATGAAATAATATCGAGAGAAACAAACTAGATAAATGAGTTTCAGGCTTAATACATACCAAAAGATAAAATACTTTTTGAGAACAGCATGTTTCAGAACAATTTCTCTAGAACTTTTCCATTTCTTTCCATGTTCAAATGTACATGCATCATAAATAATACATTTTCATTTGGATAGCATGTCAATGTAAAAATATAACATGGGGATTATAAGAGTACACACAGTTGTTAGAGTTTCACCAGAAAATACATGACACACCAAAACTGCGAGAATTTCAGGGGAGTTTAGTGTTGAGACAGTTTATAAAAAGTATGCTTGCTTTGGGAAAATCATGAAGTGATGTTGAAGCACCTGGTCTTGAGGCTATGGAAATCCTGGAGCACCCTAGAGTTGGATAAGTGCATGTCAGGAGGAGTTGCCAGATCCTGGCAGGAGGCCATACAAAGGGGGATGCAGCTGGACCCTGGTAACCCTGCAAGGATGGAGCTGGCAGACTAAACATTACACAAATTAGTCTCCTTTGTTTCAGAAGACTTATTAGAGTTCCCATCTTCACTTCCTCTGCCTCTTTTCCTCCTTCCCCATACCTCTTTAATATGGATGGTGGCTATTCCTTGTTCTGATTCATGATGAAATTTCTATTTTGGAATCTGAGAAATCAATACTTTCCTGCTGTTGCATTCTGATCTGATATTCTTGCATCCTGTTATAATGGAAGGACTGGGAAGCAGAATGTGAGTTCTTCTTTTCTTGTGTCTGCTTCTCATTGAACATGAGAAATTGACCAAGTCACATTCTCTTTCTTGACCTCAGTTTTGTAATCTCTAAAGTGAGGATGATAATACTACCGCAAAGGGTCCTTGGCAAGATCAAGTGGGATAGCATCTCACCGTTGTCTGATGCAGTGTTTCTGGAACTTTAATGTGCTTATGAGTCACATGGGGATGGCCTTAAAATCAATACTCCAATTCATTGCATCTAGGGAAGAGCCTGAGATTTCTAATGCCAGTGATGCTGGGTGCCAACCACACGTTGCATAGCAAGATATTAGACATCGAGATTAAAGTGCTACATACTAAGGTAAGTGTAGGAAATTCTAAGGGCAAGCAGACTTCTTTACTGCAGGAATCCCCAACAGCTCTTATCTACTCAGTGTACACAGGGGTCTGTCAGGAGTCTGTAATGTGCAAGACAGAATCTGAGAAAACTGATCAACAGAACAGATCCTAACATGGGACTTACCAATATCCATGATGTGAAGCCTCTTTACCTGGCCCGACTCAGAAGAGTCAAAGCAGAGAGGAGCATATTAGCCATGCAGTGAATAGATTTTATCATTTAATAATCAAGCACTTAATTAAAAATAAGTAATTCATAACAGTGATTAACATAAGGTGGCTAAGTAGGTTGGTTTGACACCCATGGCATTTAAATAGAGGATAGGAATCAGTATCTCTTTCTTCTTCTGAAACGTATTTCTCTAAAAAATGGGTCTTAGATGAGCAAGTGTAATTTTTACTAAGTTTAAAGAGAGAAATAATCCCCACACTGAATGTTACCATGATGCAGGTGACTTGTACACATATCCTTGAAGAAAACATCTTTAAGGATTTACTTATTTGGTAGACAAGTACTTATTTAGGTTCTGCTCCATCCCAGACACTGTGTTACCTGCCAGTTAAGCTGTAGCAAAGTGGAGTGTGGTATCACCCTCAAGAAACTGATATGCTAGTGGCCAGGAATGTACAGGCGATGCTATGAGGAGTTCCGTGAAGGAAATAAGTGGGACCCAGAGGGAGTGACGGAAGCTGGTCAGTAGGCTACTTGATTCAGAAGGTCTCTCCAAGGTGGCGCTCTTTTAAAAGAGACCTGCAGGATGAAAGGCAAGGCCTGGGCAAAGGGGCCAAGGTAAGAAACAGCCTGGCAGTCTCAGGGAACAAAGTGAGTGGAATTGCAGAAAGTTGGAGAAGTACATAGCAGAGACCAGGTGCCGTATCCTGCAGGTCCCTGTGCATCACAATGAGGGCTTTGAGTTTTACTCTTACTTTCCTGGGAAACCATTGGAGTCTTTTGGTTTGTTTTAGTGATTTACGGATTTTTGTTGTTATCTTTGTTGTTCTTTTTCTTTGTAGAGACAGGGGCTTGCCCTATTATCCAGGCTGCAGTGCAGTGGAAGGATCATAGCTCATGGCAGACTCAAATTCCCAGGCTCAAGTGATCCTCCTGCTTCAGCTGCCTGGGTTGCTGTGATTATAGCCATGCACCACTGCACCTGGCTATTTTTTAATTACTTTTTGTAAAGACTGGGGTCTCACTATGTTGCCTAGGCTGGTCTTAAACTCTTGGCTTCAAATGATTCTCCTACTTTGGGCTCCCAAAATGCCAAGATTATAAGCATGGGCCACAACACCCAGATGTTTTACTGATTTAGAGATCATTCTGGCTATCTGATGAGAGGGGCAGGCTGGTCAGGGAGTGAGCCTGGAAACAGGAAGCTGAGCAGAGCACGATGATGGCTTGGACCACCTGCCAGTATCATGGCAGTACAGTTGGGAGCTGGGGGGTATTGGAGATGTAAGTGGAACCGGAGTCATCAGGAGGTAGTGATGAATTGGATTGGGGTCTACTCTTGAGAGAAAGGAAACAGTCCAAGGGACCCTTGGGCTTCTAGCAGTAACAATGTGGGGAGCTGAGGAGAGAGAAAAATTTTCCTAGTCAGGGAAGACTAGGAGGAAAAATAGGTTTGGAGTGGAAGTAGACTCATTTCGAACACATCATTGTTGAGGGTTTCCATTACTTATCGAAATGGATATGACAAATGTCTGGACTGATAATCTATATTCAGGAGTTTTTAGCTTACATTTAAAGCCATGACAGAGAATGAGAACACCTGGAGAAATGATAGAGAGATGAGATAGAAGAGGACCCAGAAGTTATTCCTGAGGCATCAGCACATTGGAAGATGGAAAGGGCATTCTCACCAAGTAGGAGGAACACTAGTGAGAAGAACAGGGTCTGGAGACAGGAAACCTAAGGCCAACCCACAGCTGCCTTCTTGAAATTAGACTAAGAGAAAAACCTCACCTTTCTATAACCAAGTAATGAGAGGTCAAAGGCCCCTCCCTCTTCAAACCTCCCCTCCGTTACGTCACTAAAGGGAAGGTCTGTAAACGGTCCATTCTGAAACCTTCATTTGCATATACATCATAGGTGGGATGCCTCTGATTGGTCCTGGGCAGAATCCTTCTTTTGTATAGGGTGTAACGTATCAGAGGCTTCTAAAGTGTACGTAGGGGTGTTACCGTGCTCTTTGAATTCAATAAAAACTTCAGGGAATATTACCATCAGGGCTCTTGAGCCACTTGCTGGAGCCTACTCCCACTCTGTGGAGTGTACTTTCGTGTCCATAAGTCTTTGCTTTTGTCGTCCATTGCTTTGTCTGTGCATTTTTTTCAATTCTTTGTTGAATATGCCAAGAACCTGGAAAACTTGCAGTCAAGACTTCCCATCCAGTAACACTAGGAGAAGGTGGTGTCAAGGAAGTTCAGTGAGGAGAGAGTTTCACAAGAGGGGAATGGATGGAGGCATGAATGATGTCAAAGGGCTGGATAAAGAGCAAGCAGAAAGGTGTTCTAGCCCCAGGCTGAGCTAGGCACTGGCATGTGAGTGTTGGGCAAGATCAGTCTCTGCCCTCCCAGGACTCAAGGTCTGTGTCACTAGGGGATGAGTTATATCTGAACAGGCATGGCGAGGCACTCACAGAGGCTGCTGGCCAGGCAGCCCACTGCACCTGCTTCTCTGATAGCACTGGGGAGCACACACTGTCATGTGTCCACTTCATTCTGCTTTGAGTGTGTGTGTCTGTGTTTAATGTCTCTAACACTAGAATGATAAACTCCCCTGTGACGCCTATAGGAGTTCTGGTAGTGCAAGCATTCAATGGATGTTTATGGAATAATAAATAAAATATGTGAAAACTCTACAAACACTTTATAAAAATACCATACACAGATTTTTATTTTTATTATTGCTGCTGTGAGAACTGGTAAATTAACTTCCTAATTAGGTCTTGTACAATTTTATAACAGGAAGCAGGTGACAGGCACCGCTCCACTCCCCACCCCCAAAAAGATACAACAACATTTAAAGTAAGAAGGAAATGGCCATACTAAACTTTCCCCTCATCATCTCCTCATTTTTTCACTTTTGTTAATTTCTCCTCTAGTCTTGCTACCTACCACTCTGATGACAGAAAACACAGAAGGAATTGAGAGACATAGTCAAAAAAGGAATGTGGCAGGAGAAGTTAGCCAGGAGAATCCACAGGACTTTGCATCTGTTCTGAGGACTGAGGAGTGGAATTCAACAGGCCCAGGGAACAGGAACCACCCCCGTGAGCCTCTCCTACAAATGCTGCTTCCAGTCCAGACCTGCTTGCCGGCCGGCTCTTGTGTCAGCACACCTTGAACTCCTGCTGTACTCAATCCTTCCACTTTCCAGGCAGCAATCAGAGTGGCCTCAGGTGACCTTAAGCTTTAAGTTGAAATAACTTGTTTTCAGGTTGAAATGACATATTTGACAGTAGAGGGTAAATTCAACTACTTCTAAAGCACAAACCCCCCAAATTCATGCCAAAGAGAACCATTCTTACTGCTTCAAGACATGTGAAAAGCCTGAAACCTGAAAAAATACCACTCTGCTGATTTCAGGAAAATTGCAACCTGTGTCACACCAAGGAGGGGGTTAAACCTACAAGAGGGCTAAGTAGACGAGTAGTCAGGGTGACCAGGAGATGCACTTACTAGCTGCAGAGTGTCTGTGGGGGAAAGTCAACAGCAACAATAGCAACAACGACAATGACTTTATAGCATTTTTAACCACTTCCTTGCATGCCATTCTAGGACATACTTTGGATAGATTATCATCATCTCCATCTGCATATTGAAAAACTAAGTAAAAATGAAGAATGAACATAAAACTCATTTAAGGCTTCCTCTAACTTGGTCTGTTGTCTGCCCTGTGGTATTAGTTCATTTTCACACTGCTGATAAAGACACACCTGAGACTGGGCAATTTACAAAAGAAAGAGGTTTAATGGACTTACAGTTCCTCGTGGCTGGGGAGGTCTCACAATCATGGCAGAAGGTGAAAAGCACATCTCACATGGTGGCAAACAAGAGAAGAGAGCTTGCACAGGGAAACTCCCATTTTTAAAACCATCAGATCTCATGAGACGTATTCACTATCAGGAGAATAGCACGGGAAAGACCTGCCCCCACAATTCACTTACCTCCCAGTAGGTCCCTCCCACAACATGTGGAAATTCGAGAAGAGATTTGGGTGGCGACACAGCCAAACCGTATCACCTACCCAGCCCTATCACAGGCTCCTGGCATCAATTATACCCTAGCTTCAGGATGAGAATGGACGGAGAATCAATATGAGACCATGAGATAAACTGACAAATAGAAACAGGAAAAAGGAAAAGTAAAAAGTTTTAAAGGTGTTCCATTGGTTATTGCAAACCAAACAATAATAACCAGATCTAAAATCATAATAGTGTTCATAGAGTTTTCTACTCAAAAGTTCTAAGAAATACCAAAGCTGTGCCCCTTACATAACAAAAGCTAAATTTCCCTTCAGTGGGAAGAGCTGAAGGAACACTGGCTGGCTTGTGGCAGCTCGCCCTAGGACTTTGCAAATCCATGAGTAAATTGGCTGTCCTGTGGGGCACTACTTTATCCTCAAATCCTGACCCAAGAAAACTCAGATCTCAGTGGTGTCCGCAAGCTGTGTCTCTCCTTCTGCCTCTCCAACTTGGCTTATGCAAACAATCTCATTAATCCCTGGTCAAGTGCAAGCATGCAAAGCCCTGTTGAAAGAGGGTGAGAGGGAAATGAAAGAAAAGACGATCCTTGGATCAACAGAAACACTGGGATTACCAGGCTGCGTCTCTTCCCATCTTAACAATAGCCGGCGAGTGCCCCACAGGCAGCCCACCCCAGTATGACATTTGTGGTGGTCCTTGTCTGTGCCCCCACTGCTACTGGCCAGCAGCTTGGGTTTGGAAAGAGCCTCTGGCATACTGATCTGATGTCATTAAGGGACCTCTGCTTTCTAGTGCAGAATGCATTCAAAATTGTTTGTGACAGTGGTGCCTCCACCCCCGTAATTATTTAATTTTTCTGGAATGTAGAGATTTGGCATAAGGCACTGGACTGGGAGCCCACGGCAATCAGTCTTCTTCTCTCTTGCACAGGACACCATCCTATCTGGAGCTGCAAGAGGGTCAAAGGTCCATTGGAAAAGAGCTTGTTCCTTTCAGTTGGATCTGGAATTAGATCTGACTGATGTGCTAAGTGCTAAAATTACTTATGTCTACTTGGGAAACAGTCAATGGACAGCCACCAAACTAAATGAGTTTGTGACATTTTTTCTCTCTGCCTTTCTCTCTCTCTCTGTGTCTCTCTCTGTCTCTCTCTCTGTCTCTCTCTGTCTCTCTCTCTCAACACTAAAACTGAAAAGCCAAATCCATTAAACGATTCATACTTTGATTTGCAAAAGACAACAAACATATTCTCTGAGCAAGGGAAGCATGTCTTTTCTTGCATCTGAGTTCAGGAACACTGAGTCTTTCCATTCAGGTCCGTCAAGGTACATGAAGTTGAAGGGTGATCTAATAGGTTTTCAAGGCAAAAGGAGTATTCTTTGTCCACGTTACTCTATTCAATAATTTTTCTGCCATTGAACACACATACACTGATCATTTAGCCTTGATTCCCACATCTGCAAAAATAAAGAATTAAAAATCCTATTCACAGAGCGATCACAGGCAAACTGGGTGCTCCCAGCACAGACATGACCCTGGGTAAATGCTGAAAAAGTTTCTGTTAAAAGAAAGAGTGAGTTTTGCTTATGTGAACAAACAATGAATCATAGATGTGAAAGCAGGAAAGGGAGTAACAATAAACAAAGTTTAGTGCTGCCACTTCACAAAGAAAAAAACGAGACCCTTACTGGGGTGGTATCTGACCCAAGGCCATGTAACCATGTCATGGCCGAATAAGCACTAGAGCTAGTTCTCCAAACTCCTAGGCCAGTGTCTTTCAACTGTAGGTCAAAAATGAAGTTGCTACTAGCTAAACAACAACTGGAAATTCCCCTGTCTCTTCCCTCTTTTTAAATTTTAGTAATAGTAGTAATAATAGTATTAAAAGAGTAGTCTTGACCACTCCTTGTGTTTTTACCTTCCCAAGAAACAATGAGGTCAATGGTACCAGCAATGATTCTGGGCCAGTGCTGTTTAAAGTATCGGAGGACCAGCAGGCTCAGGGTTCCTGGGTAGCTTAGCGGATCCTACACATCTGGATTTTAATAAACTCTCCTGGTGATTCCAATGCACACTGCATTTTTAGGATCACTGAGCTAGACAAAAGCAATCAGATGACTGGATGACTGCAAAGGCACCCACAGCACTTAGCGGCACCGTGGGAACTGTGGCCACTGTTATTGGTTGACCACTTATATTCTTTTCCCTTGCCTATACCCCAATACAGAGACTTAGAAAGTCAGACATTCTCTTTCCCACTCTGACAGCTAAAGGTGGCCATGAAACCAAATTCTGACTAATGAGATGTATGGGGAGACCCACTGAGGATTTTGGGGAAAAGATTTTTCTCCTCAGCAGAAAAAAAAAATAGGAGAAATTCCAAGGGAGTCTATGTCCACCTACATTCCTGACTTCCAATGCAGTGTGTAAGGGTGAGATTGCAACCCAGAGAAGAAACTCAAAAGGACCACAGAGATGCTATCCCAGAACAGTGGTATCACTGAAACACTCAACTACAACCGTGTATCCTTGATAGGGAAGGAAGATGACATTTCTGCTTATACATCTATTATCAAAGCGATCATTTTGCTAAGAACTTTTGTCTCCCTGATAACCATGAGCAACTTATAAAACAGCACGGAATGTACATTTCTGCTTAGCATTTTAAAATGAAATAGAATCAACTCATAGATGGAATGCTGCCACGTAAGGAGGTGATGACCATGCAACATGGGAGAAGAGAGAGGGAAGGAGAGACCAACAAGGCACAGCCTTGGTAAGGTGTGTGTGTGTTTCCTAGGACTGCAATAAGAAACTCCCACCAACTCAAAGCTGAAAACACAGACAGTCATTCTCTCATGGTTCTGAAAGCCAGGATTCCTGATATCAAGATGTCAGCAAAAAGAATCTGCTTCACACCTCCTGTTGTGGATTGAATTGCAGTTTCTCAAAAATGTTGAAGTCTTGACCCCCAGTACTTATAAATGTGATCTTATTTGGATATGAGGCTTTTATAGGTGATCAAGTTAAAATGAGGTGATTAGAATACATCCTAATCTGATATGATTGTGTTCTTAGAAAAGTTTAAAAATTGGTCACAGAGACAGACATGCTGGAGAGAATGCCGTGGGAAGACACTGGGAGAAGGTCACCTACCAGCCAAGGAATGCCAGAGGCTACCAGAGGCTGGGAGAAAGAGAGAGAACAGATTCTTCCTCACAGCCTTCAGGAAGAACCAATTCTGCCTACATTAACCTCCCTCCTGCCTTTTGAAGGCTGCCTGCAGTCCTTGGCATCCCTTGGTTTGTGGACCCATCAGTCCAACCTCTTCCTTTATCTTCACATCGTCTCCCCCTCTGTGTCTCGGTCTCAGAGAAGGACAATTGTCAGCAGGTTTAGAGCCTGATCTAAATCCAAGATAATTTGATTTTGAGATCCTTAATTATATCCACAAGAACTATCTATAATAGGGTCAGTTTCACAAATACCAGAGTTTAGGACATGTACATAACTTTCTTGGGGATACGATGAACAACAATGTATTAATATACTAGTGGGAAAATATGATGTAATGGTTATTAAGAAATCTGCAAAAGTCATATTTTAAACCTTACTGTATACTCAATGTGTGTCAGCAAGGGAGAGGGGAAAGAAAAAATGGGATGGGAAAAGGAGTAGTTGAATTCTGAGTTTATCCCAACCTAGATAACCCAGAAGAAAAAGCACGAGTTCTGTTTTGTTAGATTCTGGAAAAAGTTTTTGGTATCTATGTTTTTATTCCACCTATGGCTTTACTTAAAGCAATAATTGGCTCTGATTTTGGGGAGACAAAAATCAGCACAACATGTGAATTTGCTAATTATTCTCCCTTGCTGTGGACATAGCCAGTTTCAGTTTTTGGTCCCATCCTAAGTATGACATGTCAGTGACAAATTAAATCAATTAGGCTGAGAGCTCCTAGAGGGTGAATAATAGACTGGGATAAGAGATTCTGAGGTTGCAGTAAAAACTCTGCTTCTAATTAGCCATAGGAGCTTCAGCAAGATCCTGTGCTTATCTGGCCTTTCCCTTCTTCATCTGTATAAAGCAGAGGTTGGTCGGGCTCATCTCTTAAGTTCCTTCCACACCATGATTCCTTGCACACGCTTCCTTCAGCATTTGGACAAGAGTTGAATTTTTTTTTTTTTTTGCATATGATCAGTATGGAGATTTATGGAGATGCTTGCTTTTTCTACAGCTAAAGAGGGAAATACACACACACATTATACACAATAGCAGCGAATGAACCTTCGCCAGGCTCACACACATTTATACAGCAACAGCAGACATAGTGACACCAGACTGCAAGTAGAGAGAGTGAGTCTGTCAATATTTACCGAGACAAAAATGGTAACGCGTCCTGTTTTTCCTTCCTTCCTTCAACAAACACGTGTGGAAGCCGTGTCTCTGCCCTGTGTGCCAGGGCCTGGGTCTAGGCACCGGAGAGAGAGAGAGCCATGAATCAGATGCAGGACCTGCCTGGAGGTTGCTCTGGGTTCCTCTGAGAGATGGACAGAATGACATAGCAGAGTGTCCCACGTGCTTTGGCCAAACACCAGGTGCTGTGGGAACTTGAAAGGGTATCAGCACCATCCCCAGCCTTGAGGCTGTCAGGAAAAACTTCTGAGCTGTGCTTCCCAATGAAATTCTGATGGACATGTAGCAAGGTGGGGTATGGTTTGCCTGTTGCTAACTTCAAGTCACAAGGCAATTTGGATTCTATGCTTTAGTGACCTTTAAGTGGACTGCAGTGAAGTAGGAAGTAAGTGTCCAGTGCATTTCTCTTGGCTGGATTAAAACTTTCTGGGTCTCTCTCAAGGTATATGATTATCAATTAATTCCACCAGTTATCTTATTCAGCCACAGTCTAGATCAAGCCATACAAGTCCTGCAAAACACTCAGCCAGCCATAGAATAACATCTGCAGGCTCAGTCTTCCTGCTAGTCAAGGCCCCTCATCCTTGGTTGATGTTTGCAACATTGCCTCGTACTCTAAATCCTGATAAAACATGGCACATCAAATTTGGAAGCAGCTTTACCTATTTTAGTTGCAGGAGGTGCCACAGGTATTATGAAATTCATCTCATTCAAACTGATCTGTGTGACTGAGGGTTTACAGTCAGGGGATGAGCCCCAAGATATTGGCTCCAGAGATTTTGGAATAAGACCTTGCTCTGCTACCTGTGGCCTTTGCAAGCCTCCATTTTTCCATTTGTAAATTGCAGTCGTCAGTTCCTAGTCTGGCTGCTTTCTGGGAGTGGAAAGGAAAAGCAACATGGAGCCCTGTGTGTACAACCCTCTTTGTTGAGGCTAAGAGGGCTCATTGTATACTATGAGCCTTGATTATAATGCCAGGAGGCCTGATTTCTGGTCAAGGCCTTCAAGCTTCCCTTTAACTCTTTGTCTTACATTGCCAGGCCCCTATTTCTCATCAATATACATGTGAAGTCACACCTAGTTGTAGGCCCTAGTTGATCTTTCAGTACTCCAAGGCATAGTAGGGTATTCTGTGATTCTATCCATATCTTTGCCATTAAGGACTAACACCTCCTCTGTGTAAGTGATGTGAAATCCTTTGAAAGTGTACGCTCACCAGAGAAATCATCATGCGGCGTCTCTGGTCTATGCATGCAGCTGTTGCTGTAATTGCTGATTTCTCATGGCCAATGCTAGACATAGAGCTGGAAAGGATATCAAATGTCCTGCAGCAAGAACAGCACTGTTTGCGCCAAGGATACTTGCCTGGGTCAGTTTGCTCTAAGGTATACATTCCCCACTCCTTGCCGGGACAAATGGGCAGCCATGGGTGGAGACATCATTATGTTTGAGACTAAGACTTAGAACTGGGACTTTGCAGAGGTGTGTCTGGACCTTGTTCCTCTAGAGCCCAGATGCAGCTTCTCTCCAAGACCACTTGTGGTAGCCTCCTGGAGCCCTCACTGTGGAAACTGAATTTCTCTCTGAACACAGGCATTCTCCTAGATCAAACATTTTGAGCAGACTAAACATCTCTGACAATAAGCCCAAAGTTTCATAGCAAAGCAATTTCACTTGGTAATTTGCTCGATACTAAATGCTTTTAGTTCTTCTAAGTTCATCTCTCACTAAATTATTTTCCCAGGACCATTCATTTTTAACATGATAAGGCTAGCGTGCCCGCACTATAATAGGACCTTTGCAAGGCGGTGCATACATTACAATGCTTTATTTTCTGTCATGGAGATTTAATCAAATTCACAAAGTTGGAGCACTATAATAGAGATTTTCAATAATATATGTTAAAAGGGTTTTTATGTGATGTCTTGCAACTTGTGAATAAAATCAGAGGGAGTGTGTGTTTGGTACTTCCACTAGATGATGAATTAACTGACCCAAGGGAGCCCAGATAGTTCCTCCTTCTCCAGATCCATAAGTCCACATGGTCTACACTCGTTTATTTGATGAAGTTTCCAAATAGAAGTACATCTTATCACAGGATAGAAATATACATCTTTCTTTGGATTCTCTAAACTCTAAAAAAGAATATGAAATAAGCATTGATTGCAAAAGGACTCCTTTAACCATCCCCATTGCCATTTGCAACATCCGATCGATGTGGCGCTCTTGTTTGTTCTTATTTTGGGGGAAGCAGTATAATAACTCAATCGGGTTTAAAATGCCTATAATTTATTCCAAAGAGACTCACTTAATAATTAAGCTAATAGAAAATGGCCTGGCTCCCCCGTTTCAAACTGAAATGGTATCTGTGCTCATTTTTCAGAATGGCCTGTTAGCTTTATATACATGATGCACCCACAGTTTTTCCTCACGACATACATATTTTTGTTCTCTGCCCCTTGTTACTGTTTTGTCTTATCCTATATCTTACATGTTAAAGTGATGCAAGGTAAAGAGGCACTTTTATCTTTAGGGAGGAGAGAGGAACGAGGAACTCTGGAGTGACCTACTGAAAACACTCAATACGTAAAGAGGGTGACAATCTCTTCTTGCCTATCTCCTTATTCTAGCAAAATTAAATTGCTCAAGCTATTTTCAACAGGACAGATCAGAAACTGTCACTATATTAAGCCCAACATTTTTAAGTTGTGACAACACATGTACACACAATTCCATCGATATGTACATCTTGTTTTGACACCATTAGAATGACCTCCATCAAGACATCTGAAGCTCTCACGTCGCGTTTTGTTCCTTACTTAAGTGCTTTAATACTGATTTTCCACTTACATGATCATGTAGAGAGTCACAGAATCACAGCAGACAATTCGATGTTCTGTTATTTTATTGCTTCCTTTGCAGTAATTTACTAAATACTTACTAGATTTGTACTCCATGCCAAGTGCCTTGCTCAGCTGACACCACATCAAAGCTGGGTTGTGACTATAAGTTCCCTGAGGGCAATGATTCTGCCTCATCCTAGTGATCTCTGAGCCACATCTGACTCTGCCTAAGAAGTGAATTAAGCTCAGTGAAGCTCAGTTTCCTCTCTGTGCATTGAGATAAATAATAATACATATATCCCCATAACAAAGTGGAAAATAAATTGGAAATCACAGATATCATAAAATGCTATTATAAATACTTACAACAGATCCAAATACAGGGCTATGGACCCATAAAACAGCAGATTATGATGACAGTCACTGAAAAAAGTGTTTATTCCATTGACAAATAAGAAATTAATCCCTAATACCAAAAAGTAGGCTGTTTCAAAGGGAGATGAGATGTTCAAACTATGGCATTAAGTCCTTGATGGCAAACTCAACTGGACCACATTTTAATGGTGTGTTTTTGGTCATAGGAAACTGTCCTTTTCTTCAAGAAATTTAGCATTTAGGAAAAGAGTCAGATAAGATATTCATCCCAATCCACCCCAACTGGTGATCCTCATGCTTTTGTTCTCTCATTCAATCAATATTTATTCAAGACTTAATATGTGCTAGAATCTGGTCTTTCTCCAGAGAAACAGTAAAAATAGGACAAAGTCCATGCCTTCATGTGCTCAGACACAGAAAGTGAGCAAGCAAACATATAAATAAGGAAAAGTAGCTGAGGCCAGGCGTGGTGGCTCACACCTGTAATCCCAGCAATTTGGGAGGCCAAGGTGGGCAGATCACTTGAGGTCAGGAGTTCAAGACCACCCTGGCCAATACGGTGAAACCCCATCTCTACCAAAAGTACAAAAATTGGTTGGTTGTGGTGGTTTGCACCTGTAGTCCCAGCTACTTGAGAGGCTGAAGCAGGAGAACCCAGGAAGTGGAGGTTGCAGTGAGCCAAAATCACGCCACTACACTCCAGCCTGGGCAACAGGTTGAGGCCCCCTCTCAAAAAACAGTAGCTGAAAGTCACAGCTAATGGACATAAAGCTTGGGGACTAGTGATGTAGATGGACAGTGCTCAAGGGAAGTTTAGACTGAATGATCAGAAAAGGCTTTACTGAGGAGGTAACATTAACCTGAAACCTACATGGTGAAAAGGAGCCAGGTATCCGAAGATCATGGTGAGAAGAGGGTGGGGAGTTTACACTAAGCAGAGGGTTAGCAAATGCCAAACCACTAGTGTGGCCAAGAGATGGGCAGGCTGGAAGAGGGAAAAGAAGACCAGCTTGGTCAGAGCTTAGTAAATGAGCAGTCACTTGTGGAAGATGATGTTGAGGAGGTAGGAAGAAACTGGATGAATTAGGGCCCTTTTGGTAAGCAGTTATTGTCAAATATGAGTACAAATGTAATTTTGCTGGAATGATTCAGAACCAGAGTGGACAGCTCCATGGATGAGATAGAGCATTAGCCAGAATTCACGGGATGATAAAATGTATATATGTGAAATCATTCATACTGCAGGCTTGTTGACTCCAAGTACATCAGATGTGTTTCAGAATCATGCTTGACTTTCAAACAAAGTAATCAGCCATTTTGTTTTCCAGTCCACATTGCTGTTGACCTGGGAAGATGATTTTCATACTCACACATAGAAAGTTATCAAGAGCTCCATGCCACTCACCTCTCCAACAAGGAGGGGAGATACTTCCTGGAAGAAAAATGGCAGCTGTAACAGAAAGTCTGTAGACTTCAGAATCAGATAGCCCTGCATTCAAATCCCAAGTGCTGCCCCTTGTAATGTGAACATGCCTGATTGACTCCAACTCCTGCCAGCCTTGGCATGCTCATTTGTGAACCAGAGAGAAAACTTTCCTAGCCAGGCACAGTGGCTCACACCTATAATTCCAGCACTTTGGGAGGCGGAGGTGGGTGGATCACGAGGTCAAGAGTTTGAGGCCAGCCTGACTAACATGGCAAAATCCTGTCTCTACTAAAAAATATAAAAATTAGCCAGGCATGGTGGCATGCGCCTGTAATCCCAGCTACTCAGGAGGCTGAGGCAGGAGAATCACTTGAATCCAGGAGGCCAAGGTTGCGGTGAGCCTCCAACCTGGGCGACAGAGCAGGACTCCATCTCAAAAAAATAAATAAATAAATAAAAATAAAAAATCCTGTTCTATTAAAGTCAGCCTTCATCTATATTCCTTCACTTGGTTAACTCTTGCTCATCGTTTAAGACTGAGTCCAAAAAATCACCCCCTACCACTCTACCTACACCCACAAATGAAGATCTCTCCCAGGCTGGGCTAAGCCTCCCTACTAGGCTTGTACAGATTCTTGGGGTTATTGCTATGGGAGGGCATTGTAAGGTCGTTAACCAGTTGAATTTTTGGTAGCAGTAAAGTGTCTTCTCTCTAGCTTGATACTTTCTGGCCTAGAATAGGCACTGAAAACATATTTGCTCAACAGAATTGAACTAACTTATAAAATCTTGGAAGTACACATTTTCAAAAACTGTAATTTGTACTCAGATCGGTGGTCTAGCATTAAGTCAGGAGTGAAAACACCATCATTTTGAATTGGCATCACATATCTCGTCATTTCTTTTGAATATTGTTATTTTAAGCGTATGTCAGCATTTTAATTATAAGAAATGTAATGTACATGAATATTTGACAGTGCTTGATTTCATTAATAAAAAAGCACTTAGGATTAAATTGTATAGCTTGTACTTTTATTTCTCTAGAATAGATTTATAGATAGCTGTTCTGGTTTTTCTATTGTTCAGAGTTTTTAATTCATTATGTCTGTGTGTGCAAAAAAAAAAATCTGTAGTAAATATCTCTTGTTTGATTCTATCTCCTTAATTGCATGAGATAGTTCCTGCCTGGAACTCTAGGGATTTGTTGGAAAGAAGGCGGATCTTTAGCATCATTTAATGGATTTAATGTAAGAAGGATTTCTCAGCCTGTGAAAAGACATTCTCAGCCTTAAAGCAGGTATGTGCTGCTCCTAAAATTGAGCAGCTGTGTGAGACCCCCAGTACAGCCCCATCCAAAGTACAAGAGGTCACCTATGTCTTCGTCCTGGGGAAAGGGAAAAAAGAGTGAATGACTTTGGCTAAGTGTGGGTCCCTGAAACTGGGACTATAAACCTGAACACCTAGCACTGCATTGCACAGTACCTTGTCATAGTAAAAGCTTGCCCAATATTTGTTTAAAAGAACAAAGTTCCAATGCACCGGACAACGGGATTCTTCAGGGCAGAGGCAGATGTACCTCCACTCCTCAATGCTGCCATTTCACTTCAGCAAGTGCCATGGTTTATTTTCATGAAACTGGACTCAGAAACACTGTATCTTCTATCTGCTGCCATAACAATTCTATGTAACAAATAACCACAAACCCCAGTGGCATACAATAATAAGCAATGAGTATTTTCCAGGGGTCTCCTGGCACCGGGCAGTTCTGGGCATGTGGCTGGGCTGGTTTCTCTCAGTTGGGCTTGGGCATAAATCTTCGCCCATCCGGAGGGTATAGGTCATGACCTGACCTTGAGATGGTCTCAGCTAGGACAGCGTGGTTATACTTTGAGTGGTTTTTCTTGCTGCAGCGGGCTAACCTGGGCGTGTTCTCCTGGCAATGGTAGGGAGAGGGAGAAAGTCTGCAAAGCCTAGACCTGAACTGGCCCATCTTCGCTTCTGCCATATTCTAATGGCAATTCACAGGCTGGCCCAACTTTTATCAAGGGAATGGGAAGCAGACTCCACCCCATGGTGGGAGGAGATGAACAATCAAGTTGCAGAGGTCTGGAATCAAGAAGAGTGGAGCTCGGGGGCATTTTTGCAATCTGCCACAGTCACAAAGAAAAGCTTAGTTTATATTTTCCCATCTCATCTTTCAAAGAAAGCAGGAAGGTTTGTGAAACATTTTAGAGAGTTTTCATACAAATGGATGAGAGAAATTCAGCATGAAGCATCAGCTATCTAGAAAATTCAAGATGTGAAATGAGAACGTGCGCTTTTTTAATATAACCAATGGAATGCATGTTTACCGTATCAAATTTGAAAATTCCTAAAAGGCACGAAAAAGGAAAAGTCACCCAATTCCCAATTCTCAAAGATAATACTGTTAACCTTTTTTTTTTAATCATGAAAATGTTCATACGTGCAGAAAAGTACCCATGGGCGCTTTGCCCAGCTTTAACAGTTATGGAAAATTTGTCATTCTTGTTTCATTCTTCCTCTTCCCATTTTTTTTCTTATGTTAGAATATTCTAAAGCACTTCTCAGCTATTGTACCATTTTATTTACCAGGCATACTTCTTCAGTGTGCATTTCTAACAGCAAAGAAAAAATATACACACTCACAAACTCACAAAACAGTGTCACAGTTACCATTATTAACAGCAATTCCTTAATATCATGGACCAGCTAGTTCATGCAATATAACTCCTGTTTGGTTTTCTCCATTGTCTCAAAAATATATACACTTTTTCCAGTAGGTTTGTTTCAATTAAGGGTCAAGCAAAGTTCACACATTGAATTTGTATTATTATTATTATCTTGGCACAAACAATAATAATTTATTCTCAGGAAGCTTCGGATTGGCTGAAGTTTGGCTGATCAGGCTGGGCTCAGCAGTGACTCTGTTTGGGTTGTGACAATTGAGGTGGTTCTGCTGCTCCCTGGAAGTCCACAGTCAGTTGTGGGGTGGGGGGTGGTCTAGAGAGGACATGTCTGAATCATCTAGATTGGAATGGAATAGAGCTCCAGAATCCATTCACAGAGTGGCATTACAGAGAGAGATCATTCACCAGATCTCAGGTTGCTCTTTCTGAACAACTGATTGGGATGGTACCCACATGGCAAGGTGTTGTGAGGACAGAAGGATGGCATAGGTGTGACAGTGCCCAGGACGTAGTGCCGAGTCTTTCCTTTGTTTGAAGCAGGGTTCGGGAGATAGTGTTGGAGTTCTGGGTTTTCCAGTCCCTTTGTATCAACACACAGGGTGGTCCTTTGGTGGAATGTGGAGGGCCCATGAGGACCTCATTCCCAGCGCTGGTGATCTCATGGATGAGTCTGCTGGAGACTCTCCTATTTCACCACTCTCACTCGCAGGCTGTTTTCCAGGTTTTGAGCCCCAGAGGGTTGGATGCTATGTCTAAAATGGCTTTTGTTCCTCAGAACAGAGCATATATTTCACAGGGTAAGGTCCAAGCTCAAGCTAACGCAAGGAATTTGCCCTGAAGGAACAGCTCTTGGGTGGCTCCCGAGACTTCCCCTTGCAGCCCAGATTTGCTCCCCTAACTGATGAGATGTGCCTGAGGAAGTCTGTGCAGGAGCACAGTTTATGAGTCTAACGAGTAAAAGAGGGCAAAGACACCTCCTGCCAGCTCCCTGCCTCCTGGCATTCCAAGGGTATAAACACTCACCCACCAGCAGGCACGTAGGCACTTCCTCTCTGTCCATACCTTTGACAGTCCTGACGTTCTTTGTGGAACTGCCAAAGAATGTTGCTGTACAATTAGTTCTGTTGGCAGGACCTGCATCCCAGACTTCTGTGCTTGCCTATTCTTGGCAGCAAGGAACTTCCCCAGGTTAGAATGAAGCACCAGGGGCCCTGGATCACAAAAGTTTACCAAGCTGGGGAGGGGAGTGGGCCCATGGATGGTAGATGGTTTGACCCTTCAGTGGCAAAAACTGCTCCACAGTATGGTAATCTCCTGCTTATCAAGGCATTGGAAAACTGAATTTCCTGTTGTATCTCATAATCTTCTTTAAGTAGGCTCATAGGAGACTCAACCAATCTATTTATTTACTACAAAATGTGTTGAGTATCCTTTTGCAAGGTATAGGGCTAAGATACTGAAACAATCCCTTACCCCTGCAAGAGCCCCCGATCTGGTAGCAAGTGGTAGAAGTCATCAATTTCTACAGAGTACAATAACAAGGATGTGGGGGGTGGGGTTGTGCATCTCTGCAAAAGTCCTTTGGGAACAGAGAAGTGGGACACCTAACCTGGAATGGAATACGCAGAAGTGGCGTACCAATAGGAAGAGGAAAATCCTCACTTGAAATTTAAGAATGAAGAAAAGTTATCCAAGCAAAGAATGGAGGGCACAGCAGGTCAGCTTAGAGAGAGGGAAGAGCATGTATACAAACTTGGGGCCAAGCAAAAGTGATGCCATCCTTTTCTGAGAATTGTGAGGAGTTCATCAAGGGAGCATGAAGTGGTAGGGAAGTTTCAAATGATTACTCTGGGATGTAAGGTAAGGGTAGTCCAAGAAGGACTTTCTACTTTATATCAAATTGAACTCTCCTGCTGTGGATAATGAGTCTATATAACAAAGAAAGAAACCAGATTTTCCATTTAAAGTGGATTTTCCCATTTAATAAGTGAGAAAATGGAGACTCATAGAGCTTAAGTGAGTTCTAATGTCAAGTTGATATTAAGTGCAAAAGCCAGGATTTGAATATGGATTACCTCAAATGGGAAAGATTAGGTAGGCAGAACCTCATACAAAAGATTAAATACAACTGAGTAACCACCGAGTGATGGAGGAAAGATCAAATTCATTCATCAGCAATAAGACAGAAATTTAAACAATGAGCAACTATTTTAAGCCTATGAAATTAACGAGTAAAATGATAGGTTTCAATGGAACAAACATCCTCGTGCATTAGCGATGGCAATATACTAGGTGTCACCCTTCTGGAAAGCAATTTGGCAAACGCGTTAAAAGTCTTAAATATATTTATTCTTTGACTCTCAAGGAAGTCATCTGAGATGAGAGGGAGAAAAAGAGAAAAATCACAATCTGTGCATGGAAGCCTCATGGCAATGTGATTTAGAGCATAAAGTTGGAAATGAAATATTTTTAAATTGAAGATAATTTAAGAAAATTTTTCACATCTGCAAAATAAAATATTTTGCAGCTAACTTTGGTTGTGAAGACTTTTAATAATATGATATGGCAGTAGACGTGTAATATAGGTGGCCAATGCAGGATATAAAATTAAATATAAAAGAAATGCCAAGTTGGCTTAGGGTGAGTTGGCACTGGCAATAAGATATTTAAAGTCATCTATTTGAAAACAGAGATAACAATTTCATAGTCAATAGTGGAATAAACTAAGTTTAGTTGGCAATTTATCTTGAAAAAATAAAAATATCATTATGAAAATAAATGTATTGTGCATTACAGATTTGTATTCATACACACATATAGTTTATAATTATAAATCTGAATAAATTTTTAAGTGAGAAAAGAGTAAACATGGTGATTTGTTTTGCAATTTTTAGTTATAGAATTGATTGATAGCATGGTACAACAAGATTTATATGATATTTCACTTTTGTAAACTGTTCATAAAGAAAGCCTTTTTTTTTTTACAAAAATACTCAAGATTTGTATTAATTTTCCCAAGGGTTTCTCAGTTCTTTCTTATTCAAACCTTGTTCATTGGAAGCATGTGTTGTTATTTATTCAACAGCTGTCTATGGAGTGCCCATTGTGAATCAGGCATTTTTCAATGACCTGGGGTGGAGAAGTAACAGCAACAGCAACAACAACAAACAGACCAAGCCCTCACCCTCGCTAACATCCTAGAAAGGAAAGAAAGACATTCACTAATTGAATGAATAAATATTGCTAGAACATCTATGTCTACTATGTTCCATAGCACACTGCTAGGTGCTTGGAATTTATCAGAGAACAAAAAAAGACAAAGATATCAGCTGTCATGAAACATCCATTCTAACAGGGCCAAAACATAAATAAATAGAATCTAATGTATGGTGACAACTACTCTGGAAAAAAATACCATATGGTAATGACGGCAGTGGCTGCAGGCTGCATCAGGGAGGCAGGGCTGGGGCTGCACAATCTATAGAGCCAGTGGGAGCCCTGCCCTGTCTGAGTTAGGGCACGAGCTCCCTGGGTGCAGTTGCAGCCACCCCAACCAAAGTGCAGACCCAGGATTCTTGCTCTAAGGAGCAGGCAAGAGCCCTACCCTCCTGGGCAGGGCTACAGCCTCCCAAACTGTGGCTGTGGATCGGAGCCTTCCTGTGCTCTTGGGGTGGGGCGCAGGATCTGCTCTCCTGGGTGCAGCTGCAACTGCCCAACCCGCAGCTGCAGACCTGGGCCTCCAGCTCCATGGAGCAGGCAGGATCCTGGGACAAGCGGGAGCCCTGCTCCTTCTGAGTTGGTGGTGTAGGAGCTCCCAGGTGCAACTGCAGCTGCTCTTCCAGGCACAGAACCCCAGCATCTCTGCAGCCTACACCCTCAGGGACCCCAGGTAGGACCCTCCCACCCATTCCCGCAAGCTCGGGGATCTGCTCTTGCTGCCTGGCCTCTCTCCGCTCAGGGCACCTGCTCTGATCTTGGAGCAGGGGTTGGGGCCGAGCCCCAGGGGCCATGAAAGGCAGCTGAAGGCAGCCAGGGAGGTCCTGAAGGTTGGGAGCTGAGCTGCCAGTCCTGCTGACCAGAGTGGGGACTCATGGTGCCTCTTCCAGGCCTGCCCATGGCCACCCATGAACCAATCACAAGCACTTCCTCCACTCTGGGGTTCATAAAAGCCCCAGGCTCAGCCAGAGCACAGGAGAGGATGGCCAGAGGAGGAGGAGAGTAGAGAGACAATGGGATGACCAGCTGCAGAGAGGAACACTCTCTCCGCTGACAGCTGGAGATGATGGGACAACCAGCTACAGAGAGGAGCTACCTTCTCTGTCGAGAGCTGCAGAGACAACCTGCTGGCAGAAAGGAGCCACTCTCTCCAGCGCCTCCTCTCAGCTGAGAACTGAATACTCCATGCATGACCTGTCTACAGAGAGGAGCTATCCACTGCAGGTCTCTTCTGAGCTGTTGCAACACTCAATAAAGCTCATCTTTGTCTTGTTCACTTTTCACTTGTCTGCATACCTCATTCTTCTTGGATGCAGGACAAGAACTGGGCAAAGACACCATGGCCACAGAGATTTCCAGCCAGAAAACTGACAACCCACAGATCCTGTAACAGTAAGTCTGTAATGAGACTATTGACTTATCTTTCCTACCAGATACTTATTAATCAGTGTCTTTAGACGTAATTTGAGCCATTCTTCCAACACTTTTGTCAACTTTATGAAATTCTACATCTTTTGCAACACGTGCAAATTCATTTTACAAATGATGTGCATCTCTTTTTCTTTTAATTGAGAAATTCAGAAATAATCTCTGGTGAATCAGTAGAAGATTGGCCAACAAGGAGGGGGACTGGCCATTGTCCAGCTCTTAAATAGAGAGGTATGTTTGAGTAATGTTATATTTTGATCAAATGTTACAAATATAACATGTGTAACATCACAAATAAAAATACTTAAACATTTTTATTTTAGTGATGGTTTTTCTTCCCCAGGGTACCTAGGAGGCATGGGAAATGACAATATGACTATCTCTATAGGATGGGTGTGGGTGCAAAAATCCAAGCATGCTTGTATAAATCATTACTGTATACCTCATGAATGGAAAGGCAGGAAAATCATACTCCAGGTAGCTTTGGTTTCTTACCATAAATGCACCATATACATTTGAGATATCCATTGGTAAACAAATGACAGAAGTCTCATTATGTCCCCAGGGAAGCTCTCCAAAACTCACTGGCTTCCTTCAGGAAGTCTCCACATTAGTGAAGATAGGCTTTCTAACCTTCTTAAAGGGAATTTCAAAAAATGAAAAAAGCCACTACTTCCAAACTATGGTAATATATAAGTTTTATCTTCAAAGGTATCCTGTTCAATTCATGGAGTGGAGGAGCAAATCCAAAGACCTCTTTTTCTTGGGGTTTAAATGCTTCTAAACAGAATAGGTACATTTTCCGCTCATCTTCCAGCTAGAGATCTGGAAGTTTCCCTTTGGTATCAGAAGATTGTTTTGCAACACTGTATTATTTTTAAAGGTGTGTATTCCTCCTCTAGGGATTGAGAGTGGAAAAAATTTATTATGTCTTAATTGGAATCATAAAATATTAAGGGAAATTAGAATAACCCCAAACTCTGTCATTTTCATATTTAAGTACACTGTAAAATTAACAATGCTTTATGTAACTGCAAGCATTTTTTTCTTTCTTTCTTTTCTTCTTTCTTTCCAACCAATAGTGGCAGGAAACAAATAGGGAACAAGTTTATAAGACTGTCAAATGATAAGGCAGCCTTTATTACTTCAGACATATTTTAAAAGTTTTAGGAAGTTTAGAAATGGCTGAACTGTGCACTGTAACTCTAAACAACAAAGGAGAAATGCCAACACAGCATTAGAGTAGAGGTTGGCAAAGGGAAAGAAAGATAAGAGCTTTGGGGAAGAGAAAAAGAGAGACAAGAGCTTTGGGGAGTAAGGAGAGTGGAATACTGCAAAGTCCATCAAACGAGCACTGAACGTGATTAACCAGTTTTGTAGACAAGAAGACGATAACTTAGAAAAGCAGCGTGGTTATGAGGATACTGCTTCAAATCACGCATGCTTCTCATTTTGTCTGACAGCAATATGCCTCTCATAGTAAAAAAAAAAAAAAAAAAAAAAAAAAGACAATTTTCACATGATTTTCCCCTCCAGTGATCTCCAGTACGCAGTGGCTGGAATTTTGCAGCCTCCACTTCTACCTCCTGAAACCTGTATTTAATCATAGACTAAAGGCTACTCTCTTGGGAGGTCAATCATTAGACTAATGATTGCAAGTGACAAGAATCAGTGCGTGTTTGCAGTAAAATATATGAAAAAATAAGTAAAATACATTAATATTTTATTAACAACCATTAAGATCTACTAGAATAGAGTATATTACACTAGCAATAAAAGGGATCATAACATTATTGCAACAACAATAAAAACAATTGCACTCATACATTGCTGGATTTCTCCATGTTGTGCATGGTGATGGTTACCTACTGAGCATTGTTTTTTATCCTAATAACAAACATGCAAGGGAGGTGTTTGTTTTGGACAGCTTCCCTTTTTCTGTTTGCTCAGTGCCTTTTAGATACTCTTGCTCTTTGGGGAGAAATGTCTGGCCTGCTGTGAGCTTGGTTTCTGCAGTAGGACCCAGGATATTTTCTTCCCCTACCTTCACTACAGCCAGGGTGCAGACTTGGAATGTATTCCTGCAGACGTGCCCCTGGGATGCCAAGACAGGAAGCAAGCAATGTGTAGAGAGCAGTATCATACCCAGTGCACTTTGCTAGTGAGGCTGTTGGCTGACACTAGGCATCAGATAAGGAAGCTGCTCTAAGGTTTGGGTGTCCGGCGCAAGAGTGGCCTCATGGTGAGAGGACCAGCTTCATGGCCCCCATAAGGCAAGGGCACCAGCAGCAGAGGCTGCAGTTGCTGTTTCCCACCAGGCCAGTTCTGGAAACTTAACACAGAACCTAATTCTGCAGACCTCCCAACTGTTCTGCAAGACACACAATAGCCTTTACTTTTTTAAAAATTGTGGTAAAATACATGTAACATAAAACTTAGCATCTTAACCATTTTTAAGTGTACAGTTCAGTAGTGTTGAGGACTTTCACCTTACTGTGCCATCATCACACCATCCGTCTCCTGATCTCTTACCTTTCCAAACCAGAACTCTGTCTCCATTAAACAACAACTCCTCATTCCTCGCTCCTCCTAATCCTGGCAACCACCATTTTCTGTCTTTATGAATGTGACTACTGTATGTAACTCATGTAAGTGAAATCATGCAGTTTTTGCCTTTCTGCGAGTGGCTACTATGTGGTAGCATGTGACAGGATGTCCCTCTCTTTTAAAGCTGAATGAATAATATTCCATTGTATGGATAGACCTCATTTTTCTTATCCATTCATCCATCAATGGACACCTGAGTTTCTTCCACCTTTTGGCTATTTTGAATGGTGCTGCCATGTTTGAGTGTTTGAAGGCAGTTAGACTTGAGACATCCTCTCTTACTTTCAGCAGTCAGACATTTGTTCTATATTGGCCTTCAACTGATTGTATGAGATCAACCTACTTGAGGGAGGGAGATTCTCTTTACTCTGTCTGCTAATTTAAATGTTAGAAACATTTAGAAGTACCTTCATCTCTGGACTCAAGCTAAACATCAACTATTCCTGGGTCTCAAGACTAGTGGTCACTGGGCAGGAGGTCCACCCTCGACTCTCCTGGGTCTGCAGTTTGCCAACTCACTCTGCATATCTTGGGACTTGCCTACCTCCATGATCCTGAGAACCAGTTTCTTATAATATCTCTCCCTCCCTCCCTCCCTCTCCCACTACTCCCTCCCACTCTCTCTTTCTATATATACACAGCCACTCACATCTGTATATGTATCTCCTACTGCTTCTGTTTCTCTGGAGAACTCTAACACAGCAGCCCACTCTGTGGTTCAGTCATAGCCCTTTTCTTGGCCCATAAAGTCTTGAGGTGAAGACACAGTGAGTAGAGGAATCAGAGGCAAAATGCCTGGAGAGTGTCTCCTTGCAGGATGGCATTGCCAAGGTTCTGGGAGGTAACTCTCCCAATACACCTGCTTTGGTGTATTCCTTTGCTAGTGTTGCTGTAACCAAGCACTACAAACTGGGGAGTTTAAACAATGTAAATTTATTGTCTCACAGTTCTAGAGACTGGGGCTCTGTGATTAAGATGTCCACAGGGTTTGTTCCTTCTGCAGCTGTGAGGTAGAACCTATTCCCTGCCTCTCTCCTGGCTTCTGGTGGTTGCTGGTGATATGGTTTGGCTGTGTTCCCACCCAAATCTCATCTTGAATTGTAGCTCTCACAATTCCCACATGGAGGCACCTGGTGGAAGGTAATTGAATCATAGGGTGGGTCTTTCCCATGCTGGTCTCATGATAGTGAAAAAACCTCATGAGATCTGATGGTTTTATAAAGGAGAGTTCGCCTGCACAAGCTTTCTCTTGTCTGCTGTCATATAAGATGTCCCTTGGTCTTCCACCATGATTGTGAGGCCTCCCCAGTCTTGTGGAGTTGTGAGTCAATTAAGCCTTTTTCCTTTATAAATTACCCAGTCTCAGGTATGTCTTTATTAGCAGCATGAGAAGACACTAATACAGCTGGCAATCTTTGTCCTTCCTTGGTTTGTCAAAGCATCACCTGATCTCTGCCTTCATCTCCATGTAGTGTTCTTTCTGTGTCCAAATTTCCCTGTTTTATAAAGACACCAGAGGCATATTGGATGAGGGCCTCACCTTACTCTGGTATAACTCATCTTAACTAATTACATCTGTAGCCACCCTTTTTCCAAATATGATTGTAATCTGAGGGGCTGTGGGTGAAGACTGAAATGAACGTTTTTTGAAAGGACACAATTCAACCCATGACACCTTGGTTAGTGTCATTTGTTTCTGAGTGTGTGCCACTTACACTATCTGGGAAAACACACACACACACACATTTGCACTTAGGGAGTCATCTCTCAATGAACCAATCACAGACATGACCTCTGCAAGGCTCAGAAGTAATACAACCTCTTCCCCCCATTCCCTCTCCTGGCCTGGGTGTTGATGAAATGCTGCCCATGAATTATTGATAGACCCCTAAGCTTGCCAAGCATGTTCTTTGTGTGTGTGTGTGTCCTGTGTGTGTGTGCGTGTTTGAGACAAAGAGAGAAGGGAAAAGACAAAAGGCATGAGCAAGGAACGCACCTCTCATTGCTAGGGATTCTTTTATTAAGAACGTTTTCTGCCTGCTTTCCAAGGGTGCCCTCTGACAGTGGCTGTGGAGCAGTGGAGGATGGGGAGTGGCTTTTGAACTCCAGTGGATAAATAAAAAAAAAATAGTGTCCAGGCCCTTGGTAAGCTGCTTTCAAAGTACAACTCAGCAGTGTCCTTCCTGCCTCCTCTCTTGCCCCTACATCACCTAGACACAGCTTTGTGGCCCCATGTTGTCATATTCATCTCTTGCTCCCCCCGACTCCCCACCTACTTTCCCCTTAATGCTCGCAGGTCCTCCTGGAAGACTCAACCACTTACAGTTGTTGAGTGATTAAATATTTATAATCAGGGCAATGAGTGAGGTGTTGAATAATAAATGCTTCAGTTGAAGCGGCCTTAGATAATTTCTGCAGATTTCTTCATCCATGGGCCCTTTGATTCCAAAGCAAAAAAATAAAAATAAAAATAAAAATAAAATAAAATAAAAAATATATATATATATATAAATTAACTTTTTGGGGGTACAGCTGTGACAGTTGATAGGTCTTTATCATGGTTTGGCTCATGAATCACTGCCCTGCCATGGGGCTCATTCTGCTATCAAGTCCTCCAACCCCATAGCCATGCAGATAGCACATGGTGAGGTGGATCCTCCCTTGTCTGTGTCTGAACACTCAAAGCAAATGCATTTTTTGAAAAAAGTTCAAATCCCCAGACCACAAATGCACTATAGACATTTCTGAATGTGGAAGAAAGTTTTTTAAGCTCACTACCAACAGAGATACAGCTTTCTTTTCACCGACGTGCAGCAAGAATTTCCTCTAACATTCTATACACTATTGCATCTGATTCTCACCACAACCCTATGTGGAAGATACTGGTATTATTCTGATTTTTGTAGCTGGGGAAGCCAAAAAACAAACACAGTAATAATTTGTTTGGGGTGCAGAGCTGGTAAACCTTGGGGTATGCACTGGGACCCTGGATTTCATAGCTCATTCCTCATTGTCTATGCCAGGCAGCATTCCAGCAATGAGGGATAGAGGGATCAAGAGGTGGATCAGAAATAGTCCTTGCTCTGGTGGAAAGTTCAGAGCAAGAAAGAAGAGATGCTCAAGATCTCAGCAAAAAAGGTTGTTGTAGACTGAATGTTTGTGTGACCCCCAAATTCATGTTGAAACCTAATCCTCAGTGGGATGCTATTTGGAGATGGGGGCCTTTGAGAAGTGGTTAGGTCATGAGAGTGGAGTCCTCATAAATGGGATGAGTGCCCTTATAAAAGAAGATCCAGAAATGTCCCTCACCCCATCCACCATGTAAGGACACAGTAAGAAGACATCTATGAACTAGGAAGCAGGTTCATACAAGACACCAAATCTCCTGGTGCCTCGATCTTGGACTTCTCAGGCTTCACAACTGCAAGCAATACATTTCTGTGATTTATAGATCACCCAATGTACGCCAATATAGAATCAGCCAGAATGCACTAAGATAGAATTAGTCCTGGGAATATTGTACTGTTGAAACAAATACCTAAAATTGTGGAAGTAGCTTTGAAACTAGGTGACAACTAGAGGCTAGAATAGTTTTGAGGTGCATACTAGAAAAAGTTTACATTGCCAGGAATGGACCTTCAAAGGTTTTTCTGGTGAGATATAAGGAAAAGGAGAAGAGAGTTACAGAGAAAGTTTCACTCTTAGAGAATATCCAAGTAATCCTGAACAGAATATTGGTAGAACTACTAGCCATCCTGATAAAGTCTCCAGTAGAAATGAGAAACATGTTATTGGACAATGTAGCAAAAGAATCATTCTCATAAAGTGGCAAATAATTTGGCAAATTGTGTTTGTATTCAAGTGTTTTTTGAAAGGTAGAACTTAGGAATAATGGAATTGGATATTTGATGAAGGAAATTTCTTTTTTTTCCCAATTTTTATTTTAAGTTCAGGGGTGCATGTGGAGGATGTTCAGGTTTGTTATGTAGATAAATGTGTGCTATGGTGATTTGCTGTGCAGATCACGAAGGATGAAATTTCTAAACAAAGTATTGAAGAAATTGCCTGGTTTCTTCTGACAATTTACAGTAAAAATATGAGAAGAAAGAAATGATTTAAATGAATTGTTAATCAAAATGGAAGCAGAACTTAAAGATTTGAAAAATTTTCAGACTGTATTGGAAAAATGAGAAAGTCTATTCAGGAGAGAACTTTCTGGGGTAGCCAAGGTACCTGTGATAAGGAGATTAGTCAGTTATCTCCTTATCTTCTTGATTCAGAAGCTATTGTTGAAGGCTATGGAAGAAAGACCCTGAAGGAAGTTCAGAAACCATCAAGGCTGCCCTCTATCACAGGCCCAGAATGTAAAGGCCCTGGAGGCAGAACAGTTTTAAAGAAGGGGCTGCTGGTATCTGTGGGGTCTCAGGGTGCACTGCCCTGCACTGTTCCTCAGCCACCTGAGGTGCAACTCTGATGGATCCCTGTGTGTCTCTGTAGGGCCCTGGAAATGTGTGAGCTGTGTTCAGCAAAGTCAGGGGGGAACAGCTGCCTCCACTAGATTTCAACTGGTGGGGCCTCCTGCAGAGCTGCAGGCTCAGAATCTCAGCCCTGGAGAGCCTCAGGGCCGGGCGGTGAACGGCTGCTTGGTGGGGCCAAGGCACAGAACACATATGGGGCTGATACCACCCAAAAGCATGGGTCAGGGCCAGCTGGAACCTTGGGGACCCAGCCACAGGCTGGCAAAGCTGTGGGGGCAGGACCACGATCCCAATGGGTCCAGAAGAAAAGGCCTCTGCTCCAGGAAACCTGGAAGGCAGAGCACTCAGTCAAAGAGGATTACTTTCAAGGCCTTAAGATCTCATGGAATATATTCTGTTGCATTTTGGACTTGCTTTGTTACAGTAGCTAGACAGACTAAGACAAGGGTGAACAACCACAATGAAGGTAAATAGAAGAAAAATGTCTGAACACAAGAATAAGTGGCCAGCTTTGCATGGATGGGTCTGGGCAGGCTTTACAGGGCAAGAGACTCAAGCTGGAACTAAAGCTGTGAAGATGTTTGCCTGAGGATGAGCTTGGGGATCGGCCAACTCTTGTATTTTCTGAGTGGTTCCAACCTGTCCATTTGAAATTCCTTCAGAGGGAACAGGATCAAGAATGTTGCAGTCAAACCATCTTTCCTTTTTGGAATAGCATTGTAGAATTGTATTCTAAAAGCACAGAATCTGAAGGTATTTGAAGGTAATTTATGCATGTTCATATTGACTAGAAGAAAACTTTCATTATCCAACCTAGATAGTGATAATATCAGAAATCACTTATTTTTTTTCAAGTTAAAGGCATTATCCTTACAGAAAACGACACTGGGGAAAGAAAGCCACCTCATCTCTTCTCTAATGCAAAAGGATAATGATATTGATGTCAAGAGCCAAATACTTAGATAAATATATATATATTTGCATGTTTGTTTTTTGTATCTATTGTGATTGAAAATAAGTCACTTTTTCACAGCATGTAAAAATAGGAGAATCAGGTTTCACCAGGTCCATAAATGGGACCATTACCTATTGTATGCCATCCAATAGATTATGGTCCCATTTATGGACCTTCTATCAGATGTTCAACAATGTCATGTTCTTCTCTTTTTTCATTTCTCCTTAAGGACATTGGTACATGTTTGGGGAAGCTCCGATGTACTCTTGGGTAATTGATGGGGGACAACCTGTAGCAACACAGAGTTCTATTTTCTATGTTTCCTAAACATTTTACTTATTTGGGGGGGGCTAGGAAGTTATTGCTTTTGGCATTAAAAAACAAAACAAACAAACAAAAAAAAACTTCTTTTCCAGCTCCCTTGAGGAAGGACATTGAAAAGTTACATTCTGAGTGTCATAGAAGCATTTTCTAAGCAGAAGGAGATCATAAATTTACATGCAAATTGTACTTATTGAATGTCTCTCCATGCAAGGCACTTTCTCAGAAGTATCTCTATCCCTTATAGCATTTACTTTCTCTACAAAATTTTCCAGGTGAGAAATTTGAATCTCAGAAAAAGTTAAGTGACAAGCCCAAGGTCACAAAAATGGAAATGGTAACCTCAAGATTAAACCTCAGGCTCCTGAATCCAACTTTTATTCCTAATTCTAACTAAGATCCTCCTTATATCTATTATGTATTTATGTTAACCTAAGACATAGTAGTGTCAATGAACACTCAAATACATTTATCTTTATAGTAAATTTTATAGAAATTTCTATTTCTCTAGAGCTGTATTTTCCTAAGCTTAGTTTTTTTTTAGAATATTAGTTTCATAATGAATTCACGGAAAAAGAGTTCTCTCAAACAAGTTTGGAAAATGACGGCTTAAACAAAGTTAAGTCAGTTTATTTGTTGTTGGCATTCAGGGAGTTTTAAATATACTGAGGCTCATTGTGAATTTCCAAACACATTGTCAGTGTTAAATTTGTTTAACAAATGTGTATTGTGTGCTGGATAGTGATAGAGGCAGTCTATCACTGGCAACACAACCCCGCCCAGAAAATTTTCTAACAGGACATAGGAGTGTTGAACAAGCAATTATACATCAGCCCACTTCTGATTTCTGCTCCAATTGCTTTTTACTTCTGCTTCCTCCAAGAATTTCTGTCCCAGAACATCTATGGCCACTAAGGTTAATTTTTTTACAGTTATTGAGATTTTAGCTTTTAGGAGGCCATGTGGCCACTTCTTAAACCTATTCAGCTCCTGAGTACCAATCACAGAGCTAATAAAGAGTAGACTATGCATTAAATTTATTAGGTGGCAGTTGAGAATCACAGTTAAGAGCACAGATTTCAATACTGGCCTGAGTCTTGCTAGCTGGATGGAGCACATTATTTAACTTATTTGAGCTTCAGTTCCCATCCCTATAAACTGTGGATAAAAACCCACCTTTATAGGGCTCCTGGGAAGCAGGAAGTCAGCAGGTACCTGTTCTGCAGTGAGCAGAGGTCTCCTTCATGAGGTCTTCTCAACCTCTCCACACAAAATGGCAACCCTCTTCACTCCCCACCCCCAATGTTTCTTTAAAAAATATTTCAGCCTTTATCACTTTCTAACATCCTATATGATTCATTTCTTTATTGTATCTATTGCTTGTTGTCCGTATCCCTCATTAACATGTTAGCTTTAGCAGGCAGAGGCCTCTGTCTGTTTGTTCACCAATGTATCCCATGGGCCAAGACAAGAGCTGGGCATATAAGAGGTGCTCAAAAGCATGTGCTGCATTCACCTGTACAAAGTATAATTGTTCAGCTAACAGTGAACCATTACCATACAGAGGCATTGTGGTGGGCATCTGGGAAGAGCACAAAAAGGCCAGAGTAGAGAAGATCTCTGAGTACCTGTGTCCAAGGCCCTTGGGAACCTCACATAATAAGGACTGATCATACACACCTGTCCCTCTACTATAAGAGATAAGACTGGGCTTACGCTGTGGTTGAGAAAACTGAGACTCAGAGAGAAAGATTAAATAACATGCCTGAGTCAATACCACAAATCCTAACCCAGGTCCTGGACTTGAGAAGCCATACCACATCATGCTGTCCTGAGTGCTGATAAATGGTGAGTAGATGTAGAAGAGGAGGAGCATGAGGAACAAAGAGTGACAAGAGACCCACCCATGTGATTGGTGGGAAAAGGCTTTAAAAACAGCACGAGGTTGCCATTGATGATGGCTGCATGCTTTCTTTTATCCGGAGTTCTTGTCACGTAGGCTCTTGGTATTTGGCTGTGTTAGTTAACCTGTAGGAGATAATAAACCCAAGGCATCATACTTGGAAAATCAATACACAGGTCAAAGCTGTAGCATGCCGGAGAAGAGCCATTCTTTTCAAGCACAGTTTGCCAGCTATGCAGTGGTATTTCTAAAGCCTTGTTCTTGCCCCTGGGTGCCCGGAGAAATAGCCCACACTCCCAGCTCACAGCAAGGCAAGGGGCATGGTGGTGAAGGGCTCTGTATAACCACTGTCTCTGTTTAATCCTCTTCCCAACAAAGGAAAGAGAGTAATTGCCAAGACAGTGAAGGCTGCAGAGATTTATCACCAGTTGCCAAACCTTGCTGATAAGTTCAAGGCATCCTGATCCTAACAGAGACCACCGCAGAGCATTAAGCAGGAAGCCCAGGATGGTAGGATGAGGGCAGGGCAGGAGCCGGCACCAGGTAAAGATGAAAAATGCCTCTCTGGGAGATTAATCCTTCCTGTAGTCCACTGGTAAAGTAATAAAAGGTTTATGATTCATTTCTTTCTTGATAATGGAGGAGACAATTAAGTAATTACTGGACTTACGGTATTGGTTGTGTTAACTCAACCAATAAAGTATCTAGCCAAATTGTGCTTTGAAGTACCCTTATAGAATAATACAATGAATGCTTAAAAAAAGAAATCAGCTGCACCATGCATCACCTACATTTACAGGCAGGCGGAGGTTTAGACAATGACCATCTGAGACCTAAAAATGGTGTTTTTCATTACTAGTTTCCCCATTTCATTCTTTCTAAAGTTAAGTCAAAGAAGTAGGATCCAGCATCTAATACCACAACTTTCCCTTAACTCGCTTTCTCAGAAACACGTTTTCTCGGCTCCATTGCACCATGGATGGCCCTTGTAGGCCCTCAGGACCTTGAATTTTACATGTACTTGTGTGACTGATTGACATGTCTCCCACCTTCTGCCAGTTGGCCCTTCCTGTCTACCTGCACCAAGCTGAGTGCAAGGCATATTACTGCTCCTCAGGGAATGTTTGTTGAATAAAATGGATGTTTTAAAAAGATCCAGCAAACAAGGGTTTCCCCTGCTGTCATCAGAAATGTTTAAATTCAATGAGTATGACTATAGGTGTATAATTTAGAGAAAAATCTTCAAATATCTAACAATAGAATTATTTAGACAGATCTCAGTGACTATCAGGCCACATTAATAAATGCAACATATGAGTGCTGTAGAAATATAGTCAAATTCTTACAAATGACATAAACAAATTAATGTAGATAATAAAGTATATACTTGGATAAGTATGCATGTGAATTTAAACCTAATGCCCAGCCCACGTGTTTGCAACATAGTAGATGCTTAATAAATATTTGTGGGACAAATTTAAAAAGTACAGGAAAATGAAAATTAGTATTAAAAGGAGAGAATACATGTGTATATGAGTTTAACTAATATTTATGTTGTTGTAAAGACACGTGCATTAAAAATAAAATGCTTAAGCCCCGTGCGGTGGCTCACACCTGTAATCCCAGCACTTTGAGAGGCTGAGGCAGGAGGATTACTTGAGCCCAGGAGTTCGACACCAGGCTGGGCAACGTAGCCAAACCCCATCTCTACAAAAAATACCAAAAAAATGTAGCCTGGCATAGTGGCTTGGTACCAGCTGCTTGGGAGGCTGAGGTAGGAAGATCACTAAAGCCCAGGAGGCAGAGGTTGTGGTGAGTCATGATGGTGCCACTGAACTCCAGCCTGGGAGACAGAGCCAGACCCTGTCTCAAAAAATAAAATAAAGGCCAGGAGCGGTGGCTCCTGAGTACCAATCACAGAGCTAATAAAGAGTAGACTATGCATTAAATTTATTAGGTGGCAGTTGAGAATCATGGTTAAGAGCACAGGCATGAGCCACCATGCCCGGCCGGGAATAGGCCTTCTTAACACGATATCACTTCTCATTTTCTTTCCAGTGCTGCAGCACAGTAGGCCTTGAGAGTCCTCTGAGTTTCAACAAGCATAAACTTACATCTAAATTTCAGGCCCCTCGGTCAAGACCCAAGTGATAAACAAACTCAACTTAGAGTCCAATAACTTTCTCAAGGTCAAGCAGTCTTGATGATACCCTTTGGGCACATACATTTTTGCCTTCATTGAACTTGGAGAGTCTAGAATTTTCAGAAAGGTCAAAGTCCCATGGTTGGAGCACGGCACGGTCTGTTTTTTTTTTTTTTTTTTTTTTTTTTTGAGTCGGAGTCTCGCTCTGTTGCTCAGGCTGGAGTGCAGTGGCGTGATCTAGGCTCACTGCAAGCTTCGCCTCCTGGGTTCACACTATTCTCCTGCCTCAGCCTCACGAGTAGCTGGGGCTACAGGTGCCCGCCACCGCACCCGGCTAACTTTTTTGTATTTTTGGTAGAGACAGGGTTTCACTGTGTTAGACAGGATGGTCTCAATCTCCTCACCTCGTGATCCACCCGTCTCGGCCTCCCAAAGTGCTGGGATTACAGGCATGAACCACCACACCCGGCTGGAGCACAGTCTGTTTTGAAGTAAAAATGTTGACTATTATTTTTAAAAACTCGTAAGAACAGAACAAAGAGAAATGAAATAGCTGAGCTGATTTACTGAATGTCGAACTGCCCCAAGAGCAGGGTGATATATTCCCCACTCTGGCTTACATGGCTTAAAATTGCTGAAAAGCTGTTTAAATGATCAACTTCCACCCGCCTTGGTTCAGGTCCTCTGAGGCCACCAACTTGGCTGTTAAATTCATTATGAACTAACTGTGAACTGTAGGTTAATTCATGTTGAGCAACAATGGAGAAACACATTAAAAAATGTGTCTGTCATAAAGCTAGAGTCTGTTCAGAACAAACATATCCATAAAATGTTGATCTGTTAGTATTTTGTTGTTCAAAAGTCAATCTAAGAAAGTAGCACTGGACTTGAATTCAAAAGACTTTACTTAATTGTAGTCATTGGCTTTGGGGCCAATTGCTTTGAGTCTATAAATCTCAGTTTAGTCATCATTAAATGAAGTAATAATGGCATGTACCCTGTCTATAGCATAAGTGAAGACTATACAATTTTTACTATTTAAAATTGATCATTTCCATAAGTTAAAGCTCATTGGTAGGAGCTAGAATTTTAAATCTAATTTTTCAAGGAAGAAACAGAGAAGTTCAAACTTGCACACCAGTTCAGCCAGTGAAAAATAGAAGGCAAAGTAATCAAGTGGTAAGACATCAAACCAAAAAGCTTCTGCAACGAAAAAAAAAAGAAATAACCAAATAAAAAGATAGCCTATGGGTTGGGAGAAAATATTTATGAACCATATATCTAATAAGGGATTAATACCATAAATATATAAGGAACTCACACAATTCAATAGTAAAAACATAAATAACCTAATTTTAAAAATGGGCAAAGGACCTGAATAGACATTTCTCCAAAGAAGGCACAGATAGATGAAAAGGTGCTCAGAATCACTATCAGCAGGGAAATGCAAATTAAAACCACAATGAGACATCACCTCACACCTGTTAGGATGGTCATTATCAAAAAGACAAACAAGTGACAGTGAGGGTGTGGAGAGAAGGGAATCCTTGGACAATGGGTGGGAATGTATATTAGTGCAGCCACTGTGGAAAACAGTATGGAGGTTCCTAAATAAAATAAATAGAACTACCATATGATGTAGCAAATCCCCATTAAAACATGAATGGATATAGAAATTGTGATATATATATATAAGTTAATATATAGAACATATATACAATATTCCATTGTGTATGTATGTGTATATATACACATATATACATGTATATACGTGTGTGTATATGCATGTGTGTGTATGTACGTATATTTTAAAAAGGAGATCCTGCCATTTACAACAACATGGATGAACCTGAAGGACATTATGCTAAGTGAAATAAGCCAGACTCAGAAAGAGAAATACTGTATGATCTCACTTTTATGTGGAACCTAAAAAAAATTAAATGGAGTACATAGAAAGGCAGTTACCAGTGGTGGCGAGGAGGCAGAAAATATAGGTTAAAGAGTACAAAGTTGCAGCTATATAGGAATAAATAAGCCTGGAGATCTAATGTACAACATGAGGACTAGAGTTAATAATATTTTATTGTATACTGGAAATTTCCCAGAGGAGCAGATTTGGGATGAAAGAAAGAAAGAAGACAGAAAGAGAGAGGCAGGGAGGGAGGGAGGAAGGGAAAGAAAGAAGAGAGAAAAAGAGAGGCAGGGAGGGAGGGAGGAAGGGAAAGAAAGAAAGAAAGGAAAAAGAAAGAAAGAAAGAAAGAAAGAAAGAAAGAAAGAAAGAAAGAAAGAAAGAAAGAGGAAGGAAGGAAGGAAGGGGAGAGAGAGAGAAAGAAAGAAAAAAGAAAGAAAGAAAGAAAGAAAGAAAGAAAGAAAGAAAGAAAGAAAGAAAGAAAGAAAGAAAAGAAAGAAAGGAAGGAAAGAAAGAAAGAAAGAAAAAGAAAGAAAGAAGAAAGAAAGAAAGGAGGGAGGGAGGGAGGGAAGGAAGGAAAGAAGGAAGGAAGGAAAGAAGAAGGAAGGAAGGAAAGAAAAAGAGAAAGGTGCAGGGAAGGGAAGGGAAGGGAGACTATATAAGATAATGGGTATGTTAATTTGCTTGACTGAAGTAATCACTGTGTATGTGTGTATTAAACATCATGTTGTACATCTTATATACTATAAAAAGAAATATATACAAGAAAAAATGGAAAAGATTGAGTTATTTGCATAGTAATTCCAATAATTTTGCTTGGCTGTGCATGGCTAAAGTAAATACTTGGTGTTTCATCAACCTTCAGTCACCCACCTGGGCCAATGGGATATTTCCAGAATAAGGAAGAGTAAAGAATGGACTTGGCAGTTACAGCTGAGACACCAAGAAAAATGGGTATGGAGGGGATCAAAATTTGGTGCTTCCTCTTGAGCAAATGTCCAAACTCACTTTAGTTCTTGCAACAATGTTGGGAGGTAGATGTGACAAGATAGTGAACCTGATGGATTTTGTTTGGCTTTCCAAAGTCACTCATCTAGCAAATGTGCAAAATGCATTTGACCCATATCTCTTTGCCTTAAAACTTGTTGACCTTCTCTTCCAGCCCCAAGAGTGAACTCCTGAGTGTATTTCAGTTGCCCGTCACTGTGATGCGAGCTTTGTAATTCTGTGTCATTGAGCTCCTAGTGGTGCCCTAGACCCCTCTATCCTGATGAACTCCAGCGTGGCTCAATTACCTGCTTCTCAGCCGGGGTCATGTTCAGTCACTCAGCCTAATATGAATGTCTCAAACCCTCATTTGACTATAACAGAAGATGTGAAAGTTTTTTTTGAGTTTTTTTTTTTTAATGAAAGTCATTTTGTAATAGTGAAAAACATGACAACATGGGCTTTGAAGCACTTGGTTTGAATCCTGCTTTACCCTTTTCCATGATTCTTTTCCTGGCCAACTAATTCAGCCCCCTTCTCATCATGAACTTCAATTGCCCCCTCTAAAATAATTGTTAAAAAGCATAATAAGTGATTTAAATGATTCCTGGCACATAAAAGGTGCTCAAATTTTATTATAAAAATTTGTTTTTTATCTAATATTAGGAGTGAATTTAGGCATAGGCTAGAAAATCTTTACTTTTCTGCAGCCTTAGAGGTCTGATTTGAAATAAAATACTTATTTTTTTGGCACAAGAATCCTTATAGAGTTAACGCATACCTGTGTCTTTAATATTGTTCAGTTGGGGAATCACAGCACAAAATATTTCGGTGACTTTACGAAGTGTCTCTTCCCAAATCATCTGAAACGGAAGAGGATTAGCACGAGGCAGCTGATACTGCAAAGTGCTCTGGCTGAACTGAGCCCTGCGGAACATGAAGCCCTGGGGGCTGAGAAATCTCTAGACTAGCCATGTTTGCCCCCTGCCCTTAGGGTCAATTGGTGGTATTGTTTAAAGCTGTCTGACCCCAGACTCCCAAACAATCCCTTTTGCTTTGCTGACATAAATATGATTCCCAGGACATTATAGTAAAGACTAGAAAAGTTGCAAAGGGAGAAAAGTTAAAAGCCAGTTTTTTTCTCCTTTGAAATTTTTATGTGCTGAAATGCAAAATTCACTGTCAAAAAAAGTAACACTTTTACACGGCCTCCGGCATCAGAACATCCTAAAAATAGTCCAGTAACAGGTAAGTGTGAACAACGTGCCAGGAGGCCTCTAGCACATTTTAGCAGAAATCTGCACATCTATTCTCAATGCTCACAAACACTCCCCGCCCCTTGGGAAGAGGCCCGGGTTGGCTTTGCTCTCATTCAGTGTTGGAGACCAGCTGATCCCGAATCACACAGCATCCAGGTGGAGGCCATGGAAATAGGCTCCAGGAAGCCTTGTGTCAAGCCGCCCCCTCTGACTATGTACAAATAACTTTCTCCCCTGAGCCTCACATGTAAGGAAAATAGTTCGAGTGATGGATTTTCATGTCGTTTTTAAAATCAAAATGAGAAAAACATCCCCAGTCTGAATTGATGTATGTGTGTGCATGTATTTGTGTGTGACAAGGAAGGACAGTGGCCATCCTGCTGGGACCCTGTGGAAAATAGACACTGGGGAAAACCTCCCAAATGCAAAGCGCAGAGTAGAAATCGATTGAGTAGACACCATTCTCTCATCTGTGGTCTCTGGCCATTCCACTGTTTCACAGGTAAAGCAGAAGAGTGATGAGACTAACATTTCTTGAACGCTTACTATGCCCTGCACTTCGTATCATTAGCCCCTTTAATCCTTACATCCACCTTCTGAATTAGGCTTTCTGACCCCCTTTGAACAGCAGAGGCAGTGCAAGCTCAGAAAGGGTAAGTGAGTTTCTCCAATCGCAAAGCTGGAAAATGGTAACATTAGGAATGAAAATTAGGCCTGGCATGGTAGCTCACGCTGGTAATCCCAGCACTTTGGGAGGCTGAAGTGGGGGGTTCACTTGAGACCAGAAGTTCAAGACCATCTTGGGCAACATAGGGAGATCCCATCTCTACCAAAAAAAAAAAAAAATTAAAGTTAGCTGGACATGGTGGCCCATGTCTGTGGCCCCAGCTACTCAGGAGGCTGAGATCGCAGGACTGCTTGAGCCTGGGAGGTGGAGACAGCAGTCAGCTGTGATTGCACCACTGCACTCCAGCCTGGGCCACAGAATGAGACCATGTCTCAAAAAATAAATAAATTGAAATGTACACATCCAGTTCTATGACTCTAAGCTCTGTGCACCCACTATTATGCTTTTGCTAACACCTTAGAACTATAGAGATCACGAGGTCCCTCTGGTCAACTCTGTAGAGTTCTCTTTCCCTTGTTGCTGTGCTTGCAGTCTGCCTGAAGTCCCCCAGGGATGGAGATACTATCTGTGACTCTGTAACTGACTGTTAAACCAACCCTCCTAGTTGTGGACCAAAACTCACCCCTCTGTTTTGCCATCCTGAGTCACACAGTGTGTATCTGTCAGCCATAAAGATAGGAGGCCTTCCATTTACTCATTCTCTAAAAATTGATTAAGCCCCTGCTATATGCCAGACCCTGGGTGTGTTTCTGGGGACATAGCCATGAACAGAAAGACACAAGCCCTACCCTCATGGATTTTAATCATTCCATATTTCAAGACACATCAAGACAGTGACAGTGACCAGAGCATGGACTCAGGCTTGTAGGATGCGACAGGGATCCATGGTAAGAGCAAGGAAGCCTAGAGGGTGGGGGCTAGTCTCCCAATGAAGAAAGAAGCTCTGCTGCTGGAATATTCATCCAAAGCTGTCCACTGGCTGAGCCTATTTTCTGAAATGTCTCCAATTTACATCAAGATTGACTGCACCCTTGGGGACTGGTGGGGGCTGGACTCACAGGGAGGATTTTGAGAAGCCAACTTTGAAAGGAGAGGAAGGGAAGCCAAGCCTGGGAGTCAGGTCAGCTTTGGAAGCACCGTTTCTATTCATGGCACTGCTCTTTTTGTCCATGCACTGTCCCTCTGGTGCTGGGTTTGGATGTGACTTCTATCTCTTTACCAAGATAGATGCTGTGGGGAGACTGAGGATAAGTTGCATTGGACCTGGAATCTTAGCTGTCATCCTGGAATGCAGTTACTTAGCCTTGCCCCAGTAGCTTCCTCCAAAGGCCCATCAACTAATCCTCTCTTGAAGCTCTGCTAATCTGCAGAGATTCTTATCTCCCTCCAGAGGTTACACATAGAAGAGACCAGAAGGCCACAGCCCTACTCAGATATTGCTGCAGTAAAGCCTCTCCCCAGTGGATGGACAGCTTGTCCACTGCTGATACCCCTTGGGAGAATAAGAGATTAATCCAATTAAGCAATTAAGCTTATTTAAACAATTAAGCAGTTAAAGCAGAAGGGAATCCCTGCTGATGATAGAGGAACTGCCTTTCTTCTGTTTAGAAGAGACAGAGAAGGGAGAGCATTTCCTCTGAGCCTGGGGAAGCACAAGAGCCTTCTCTCAGTGTCCATAAATGAAACTCTTTGGCAGGTAGAATTCCAGGTGATCAGCCCTCTCATATCCCAGATTATGATGGACTCTGGCCTTGAGTTACAGCCTCAACTTGCCCTCATGTCCCTACACAACAGGCTTCACAAATACCCCTCTGTGAGCCCAGGCCCAGTCAGTCTCCAAGGCTGCAGTCAAGCCTGATGTAAGTTGGTGACATTTCAGGAAATAGAGCTTAGCCAGTGGAGAACTTTGGGTGAATAATTCAACAGCAGAGCTTCTTTCTTCACTGGGAGACCAGCCCTTCCCTCTGGGCTTTGCACTCTCCAGTGTCTCCCAGCTGGCCCCTTCTTTGCACCCCCTCTCTAGTTCACAGGACTTTACCCTCTCTTTCTTCTAGGATCCAATACACTCACCAGCCTCAACTGTTTTCCTCACCACCAGCTGTGCACAGTCAACTTTCGTCCACACCATTCCCTAATCACAATCCTGATCCGCAGCTCCTGTGCCTCCTAAATTAATTACAGACGGCCACTTCATTTAGGAGTGTAATTGCTTTCAGTACTTAACCTTTCTGCAGTTCAAGTGGGGTGCAAAGAGAAATGCTCAACCTCAACGTGGTCCTGGGAACCCCAGAGAGCTCTGTCCAACAGGTAGAAGCCTCTGTAAGAGCTCCATGTTAGAGAGGGGTGTGGAGAGGCATCAATAGTCATTCAGCCTTTAATGGGTTCACTCAGCAAATATTGGTTAGGCTCCCATTATATGCCAGGCAAAGTGTCAACCACTCTTTCTATTCTCTCAGATTTTAAATTCCAGCAGAAAAAAAAAAGCTATACATTAGGCAAAGAGTCACAAAACCAATTGATTGATTAGCTACAAGTGAGATGCTACGAACATGCAGTTATCAAGGTGGGCCTCCTAGGGAAATAAAGGACTGGATGGCTGAACAGGAATCAACTAGAAAAGAGGAGAACTTGTAGGCAAATCAAAGATTGCATCAGGGTCTAAGGTAAGGGTCCAAAAAGTAGATGACACTGGCCTCAGAGGGATAAGAACTGCAGTTGTAGAGAGAGACAGCCTCAAGGTCCCCATCAGATTAGCTGGAGAACATATAGGGAAGAGGATCCAGGGCCAACTGGAGAGGGCAGGCTCTCCCAGAACTGACCTGTTCCAACCTATCCCCATCCTCCGGGAGCTAGCATCACACAGCAGGAAGGAGGCTGCCTCTTCAAGCCAAAGCGCTTGAGCTTGAATTCTAATTCCTCTACATTTTAGCTGTGAAACCCCAATTAATCCATGCCAATTGCTGTCATTTTCATTATCTGTAAGATCATCACAATTATTCTTTCCGAGAAGATTAAACAAGGCAATGCATGTGAAAGCTAGCTTTGTATTGTCCACGAGTAACAACGAGGATTCCTAGAACCCAGATTTTGAATTTTAAGTATCATTCTATGATAAAAGGAATTGATCTGGAGAAGTGGGTGATTCTAGGACTAAGGCAAGAGAAGTATAGGATGAGCCTGGAATACCTTGTGGTGTCTGAAAGTAAGGATGTGCTCAGGAAAGATGGAAAAGATGGGGGAATGTTGGAAGGACATGGAAGCCAACTTGAAGGGCTCCTGATGGCCACACCTTGGACAATTTAAACAACAGGATATATGACAGTCATGACGGGCTCTATCGCCTAAGCAAAATAAGAACCTGTGGGTTCATATTGATATAAATATTCAAATAAGTAAATAAAGAAAAGGGGAAGGCTCTTCCTTGTAGTAGAATCTCAATTTAGGAATGTATAAAATAATGTAAACCTTTTTAAAATCATTGTTTGGCAAACACTACAGTACAAATTCTTTCACTCAAGTGTCATTGATGCTTGCCAAAATGAGTGGGTGAAAGAATAACGAGAAGCAGGATATTCACAGTCTCGAAATTTGGTGCCATAAAACCCTTAATGATTACAAAGAAAAAACATACTAACTTTATAGTGGATAAACCAGGCAGACACTAGGTGACTTTCACAAGAGTGAACATCACTGGCAATGACACATGGCGTGATTCTGGGCTCTTGATATCAAGAAGGACACAAAATCACTTTCATAATATTTCTTCAAGGAATGTATAGCTGGAATTTAATCATGAAGAAACATTAGGCAACCCAAATTAAGCGGTTCTTTACAAAATAACTGACCAGTCCCCTTCAAAAGTGTCAAAATCATGAAAAAATGGGAAGGACTGGAGGGCTTGTTCCAGATTAAAGATGAGGGATCTTGCAAGCAAATGCAGACTGAGATCTCGAATCAGATCCTAGACCAGAGAGAAAGGAAGATTGACAGATCTGAAAGAGGGCTGGAGATGAACCAACAGGACCACGTGGATGTAAATGTGCTGCCTGTGAACCTTGTTCTGTGGACACTCACAGTCGGGGTAGCTGTGAAGAGTATAAGGGGTAGGTGAAGAGTACAAGGAAATTTTGCATTCTTTTTGCAATTTCAATACATCTAAATTATTTCAAAATTCAAATTTGAACATTTTTAATTAAATAGGAAAACAAACTTGGCTTTGTATTTGACATACAAGAAAGATGCTCAGCAAATGGCGTTCATTATTCCTTTTAACAAGAAGAACTGATGGCTGGGGGTGCTTTTAGCCCATTGTCCCTGAGAAAGCATGCCTTGGCCTCGGAAGGGCAGAGTGAGGAAGCAAAGTTGTTTTTATAACTGCTTCAAATTTCAAGGTTGCTGAGGGACTCTGTGGAGGAGAAAAATGTGCTGGATTCTGGAAAGAATGATCTTTTTTCTTTTCACAGAAAAGAAAAACTGCAGTGCACGAAACAAAATTCAGAGAGCACAATAAGTCTTCCACAGCCTGTTGCTATCAGGCAAGCCATTGTTCAGGCCTGGGTGTTCAGGGCCACAGCCTGGAAAGAGATGCAGCTTCCTCACTTCCTGGGCAATTCACTCGGAATCGCATTGCCTCTGTGAAAAGAAAAACCCAGATCCTGGAAGGGGAAAGCCAGCTCCTGCCTGCTTTGGCCGCCCACTTAGCTTAGGGTGGGCGTATTCTGATGAGGGGGCACCATCACCCTGGCATTGACTCACGATCCCAGCACCAATGAATGCAGGAAGGCACTGCTCTCCTCCTGTAACTCCATGGTGCCTGAGATGACATTCCTTTAATAAACAAACAAACAAACAAACAAACAAACAAACTCCAAAATGTCATCCTGATGCTATCATATATTTGATCTTGGTATTCTCTTCCAAAAAGGATGGGGAAGGCAGGGTGGGATATATTTCAGCAGCCACCTTGGATTTTTAGCTTTCCTTGCTCTGCCTCCAATGATTAGCTGTGAGGAGCCCTCAAAATATATTTTAAAGGACTTCGTGTGGCTCACAGGGGCTTCTAACCCAGATCACCTCCTGTCTCTCCTACCTTGAATGTTATGATCCAGGAATAAGTAACTACTTACAGTTTTATGGGCACATTTTAAAATCCCATGCCCCTGTGACATTTCAGTTCAGAAACCACCTCTTCCTAGAAGTCTCTCCCATACCTCACATCAACCACTCTGGAGAGCATAAATCATTTCCTGCTCTGTGGCTGCCTCTCTCTTCCCTGTGCTACACTCACTCAGCACAAGTCATCGTCGGCGTGTCAGTCTTCACCCACAAACTGTGAGGTCCTCCAAGTCAGGGACCTGAACCAAACCCGTCCCTGTATCCCCAGTGTCAAGAATAGAACTGGGGTCAATAAAATGTTTTCCGATTGAATTGAGAAGTACTTGACGATCAAATGAATAGAGATTTAATGAACAGTATTTTGGGATGCACGCATAAGTAGTTAAAATGTACTTATTGATAAACTATAAATTCATCTTTCTTCCATTTCTCAAAGGATAAAGTATGTGATGATGAAATGTTTATAAAATTTAATGACAATACAGCACATAATAAAGAAATGCCTAATAAAGAGGGAATATTTCACATTTAAAAATATCATTTATTACTTTCCATAAACATACATCTGCTCAGATTGATTTTCTTACTTTTACTGAATACCCTGGCAGCAGTAATAGACTGAATTTTGGTGTAACATTCTCTCATCTTGGGGGAGCCAGGGCTGATGTTATGGGCTTTATAAACTCCCATAAACAAAGGAAGGTTAAGCCCTAATCAAGTATAAATGTATATGAATATGTGCAGCTATGTCTATGTATTTTTTAATTTGAATTGTAAATCTAATTATATTATTAATGTGGGTGAGAAAACCTAGACTTTTCCTTTGCAACCCAAAATATACAATCTTCATGTGATTCTGACATGAAAAACAGTATGTTGCTCAAAGAATTTCATGTAGCCAACTTTATTTTATGAATGAAACAAATAAATATATTGTCAGACTGACAAGGTCTCATAAAGAAAATAAATCTCAACCTAATCAAAACCAAAAGAACTGCAGATTGTGATAAATAAAATTAATGAATTAAAACTCATAGGCAACTGAAAGACAAGCAAATGCTCTGAAACCATGTAACTCACAAATCCTTGAGTACCAAAAAAGCCACTCAAGTCAACTGATAAAATATTAATGTGATTATGAGATCAAATGTGCATATCCAAAGTAATTCTGGAAAGAGTCCTTACATATTTTAAAACAGTTTTCCATTTTATTAAGTACTGTCTCCATCTACCCAGTTGTACGTGGCAGAGATCCAGAAGTCATCCTTACCACCCATGACCAAATATTCACCAAGTCTTGTTGATATTGGCCCTAATTATCTTGCTTGTTTGTTAACTTCTTTTCATGCCCTCATCTGGCCACCACTGTGTCTTTAGTGGATTCCTACAGCTGCTTCCCCTAGACCTTCTGCATGGGTCCCTCTAAGCCCCACCCTTGTGACTACATTGATCTCTCCAAAGCAAATCTGTCACTCTCTCTTGTAAGCCATCCAGTGGTTTCACTTCACCCTTGGAGAAAAGTCCACATTTTTACATAGGATCAACCCCCTTGACTCCCAGTCCTGCATTCATTCCTCCATTCATTCATTCCCTAATAAGCTCCCCCAGTATGTATGCAATATTGTCTGTTTGCCAGAAACTATTAAAAAAGACTGAAGTAAAGCTCCTGCCCTTGATGATTATTTAGCCTCAGGAGAGGCCCAGACCTGCAGAAAATAAGTAGCTAATAATTTAATAAATGCTATAACTTTTGCTTTTGCATTTGTCCATGGCAGCGTGAGGAGATAGTAGTTTGGGAAGTGTTCTTTGCAGAAATGGACACAAGCAGACATTGTTTGGAGAGGAAAGTGATAGAGCTAAATAAAGAGGCAGGTTGGTGCTAGATTGAATAAGATACCTATTACTGTGCTAGAGGTTTGGGTGTCTTCTTGTTGGGAAAAGTGATCCTACAGAAGTCTGTAATCAGGAGAACCATAATAATCAATTTACTTTTGAGCAACCCATTATCTCAAGGTCGTTTTGTCAGTCCCTTGCTAAAACCTCTTTGGTGAGACTGAAGTTTGTCTGTTTCACTAAAATTATTCAGTATTTAACTTCTGTTGACTTTTGAAGCTACTCGTCTCAAAATAGGAAGGGCTGAAATAGCCCAGGATAGTTACAAGAAAGCTGGGAGAAGGGAGGTCCCAAAGTCACCTTGTCATTAGTTCTATACAAGGTGATCCTGAAGGTCCAGTATAAATCCAAGCACTAAATTAGACTTCAAAAGAGATTTTAGTGCCTGTTTTCCAGGGACCACGACTGCAGGCCTTGAATGACCTAACATGTCACAGGCTTGTGTCACTCCATTCTGGAGAGGGGACACTGTTGCAGTTTGATAACTGATCTAACAGCAAGTCAGACATCCCTCTGTTGCCCTGGGTTCATTATACTCTATCACCTTAATAAACACCCTCATCCTCTGCTTATTCAGCCATAGCCTGGTTCTCTGACTTGAATTATTTGGGACAGCCAGGTCTCTCGTGAGTGACTTGTCGAGTTATATTACGGTACGTGACCTACTTTGTACAGGTCTCAGACTGCGGTACAAGCAGTGCACAAACCACATCAGTGTCCTCGGAATGTCTCAGTAGAGACAGCATAGACTCAGAATCTCTGAAGAAATCTTCAGGGTCAGTCATGCTAACCTCTTCCTCTTCCGCACCACCTATGAGCTTCACTCAGCTGCAGGGTCATTGAAGAGTGGCCAACTGGCCGACACTCATGCATCCTTGGTCATGGGCAACTTCCTACTTCCTCCATTTATCCACTCAGCAAATATGTATTGATCCCTGGTTCTGAGCCAAACTCTGCCTTAGGCATTGGCGCTGTAACAGGGACAAGATAGACATTGTCCCTGCTGGCCCAAGCAACACTCTAGATAGTTAATCACAGGATTATGTAATCACAAACAGTAATTATGCTTTAAAGGGACAGTATGGAGAATAATGACAGCATGGACAGACGGACTATACCTTGCCCTGAGGTGCAAGGAGTTGCTTTCTTTAACAAGAGACTCTAAAGCTCAGAGCTGGAGAATAAGTTGGATGTAAGCAATGAGCTGTACAGGGAAGAATTTGCAGCAGAGGGTATATAACTGCAAATTCAGAGTAAACAAGAAAAATGTGAAGGCCGTAAGACCAGTGTGGTTGGATCAGCAAGTGAGGGAGTAGTGTGTACTGGGTCCTGCAGGGTCCTTCAAGGCCCTGTGGGCCACACTGTTCTTTGCACTGAGAACAATGTGACAAGTTTTAAGCAAAAGAATGGTGTGATAAAAAGGACCTTCAACAAATATTTTAGCCAACTGAAAAGAAAATCATCAGGTCTAATTGTTAGAATATGCAATTTATGTTTTTCCTTACATTACATGAAACACTGTGTTATCTGAGGTCAGTCGTTGCTACGTCTGAATTCCAACTAAGTCTCTTACTAGGTGAATAATCCGAGGCAAGTTTTTCTGTAATTTTAGAGTTTCATTTCTTTCTTACACATCCGTGTACCAAGTTACGTTTATCTGACTGAGCCAGGAATCATTCAGGGTGGATCAGAACTTGCACAGCTGGTGTTTTCCAAAGCTCCCCTGGGAAAGTGTGATTTGATTCAACCACAAACAATTCCCAGACATCTACTCTGCACCAAGCCCTGTGGACTGGAAAATAAATAACACATCATCTTGCCCCTAGGGACCTCACAGACAGAGGTCATAATGGGAGACTAGTGGGCCAGATCTATCCAACAGAGGTGTTCTGTTTGGGTGGCTCAGTGTTTCAGAAAAACAAAACAAAGAATTGGAATTCCTTCATCAGGCGTGTGCAGTCTAGATGCTCACAGGCCCCACCATGCCCTTATGTTGTAGCCCTTCCCAGATTGATGGCGCATGCATATCACTGGCCTGGCCCAGGGAGGTTTTTGAGTCTGTGACCCTGAGCTAGTGAGTATTTTTATAGAAGGAAGCACAGATTGTTGCACAAACAGAACAGAAAGGGAGAATGGTGCAGTGAAAGAGCACACTAGGAACATATCAAAAAGTGTTTGGATCTGCAAATGCACAACTGCTGGGAATTCAGCGAGTGTCATAGCAGGAAGACACCCAAGCTTGGACTAGGTTTATTGAGGAGCACTGAAGAGGAAGCAGACACTCCTGGTTGTTCTACAGTTCAGGCCAGGAAACGAAACTTGTATATGTAAAAAAGAGCTAGAGAGTAAGTCAAGGACAAATTATAAAGATGCCCAACTTCAACTTGCAAATACATTTACACTTGATTTTCACCCACCTAGCACAACTTTGTTTCTGCCTTGCTTTTCTAATTCTTTAGGTCTTGGCTTAGTTGTCATTTCATCTGGGTAACCCTCCAAGACTACTGAGATAGGGTTAAGGGCCTGGTTCTGTACTCTCCAGGCACATCAGACTTGGCTCATTTTATGCATTTTGCATTGCCTGTTTACATCTCTGTCTTCCTCAACAGCCAGAGCTCATTGAGAACAGGGACAACGTTGTTTCTGTTGCTATTGTAACCTTACAGTTTATCAAGGTGAGGATCACTATTATTTGTGCATAATAGATCAGTGATAACATTGAGTGAAAGAATGGATGAATGCTGCCTGCAATGTTTGTTATGATATAGGGCTAGCATTTTCTAGAATAAAAGCTAAAAATAACTCTAACCAGATAATCTTGAATGGGTTTAACATGGCACTAATTTGCTTGCTCAACAAATTATTTACTGCTCAAGGGTTGCAGTTTGTCGCTATACCATTGGAATATAAAAGTTCATGCAAGCCACACCAATGGGACGCTGGGGAGGTGGAAAAGACAAATGAGGGGGGAAATACGGCAAGATTTCCCATGGAAAGAGACCAAACAGCTGAGACTGTTAATACTAACCAAAAACATATATTGATGACCTTTTTGAAGAGAAATTTGACAAATTTCATAATACATTGTGAGGTAGTAAACTATTTCTACAAGTAATTTCTTTGCAAGACAAGTACCCTGCAGGACTATAATCCTGCAATGTTTCTGCAAAAGGGGAATTTTAGAAAAAGTAGGCAGACAAACCACTTTAGGTGCTTGTTAAAAATGCAGATTTGTGGGTTCCGCCCATAGGATTTCTTACTCAGATTACCTGAGGCAAGCCAGAACCTGCATCCAGGTGGTCACTGGAGTACACCTCTGGAAACAGCCTTAAAGACTATGAAGTCAAGTGTCCTCTCTGCACACAGATGGGAACTGAGGCTTGGGAACTTTGTGTAACTTGCCTGAGTTCATATGGCTAATTAGCAGCACATTGCTGGCTCCAACCTAGGATTTCCAGCTCAAAGCCACGTTCTCCTGTAACAGCACAGTTTGCTCTGTGATCTGGTTCTCGTTTCTCTGTGAAGCAGATGGAGGAGATGTTACTTAGGAGAAATGAACAAATATGTATTTAACAAATCACCACATGGAAGAAATGTATCCACCTTTCATGATCCCAAAAGAAAATGCGCTAGAGAATGTATCTTACAATGCTGCTATTCATTCATTCCTACCTTCAACAAAAAACATGGTCACCTCTTCTCTTGGGGTACCCGGAGGTACAGAGGGAGTTAAGAGTAATTTAGCGTGCGAGGCTGAGAAGTAAGGAGGCAGCACGAAATCCAAACATGAAGAATACTCAAAAGCACAGTCTTCCATGAGACAAAAAAGTGGAAGCTACTTTATCAGCTTATATTCTCAGTGATGGGGACATAGTACATGCAGGTCTGAGAGATCAGGGAACACTTAAGATTTAGAATAAGAGAGCCCTGGGGCCATTTAGTTCCAAAAGCAAAATACGGTCTATTAAATTACAAGCCCCTAGGATCTGTGAATTGGGCATAATGTACATTCTGTCCCAATAAAACCCACCCTGAAAAAGGGTTGGGAGGAGTCAGCCCAGACACCAACCACTGTTGTTGGTATTGGAGTTAGTAGGTCATTTGAGATGGAAAATGAAGGTGTCAGAGTTGCCCCATAGGTCTGTGTATTCCCCGCCCCTTAATGCCAGAAGCCATCATTAAGTTTCACTTGTTTGTTTTCTGTACTTTTAAGTCAAGCCTTTTTATGTGCTGTACTTCATACTGAGGATTTTATTTACATTATCCATTTAATCCTCAGGATTATTCTCCTAAAGTTTGTTTCTGCTGTTTTGCATTTTACAGACAAGAAAACTAAGCTAGAGAAGGAAGGTGGCTCACCTAACATCATACGGCCAGTAAATATCAGAATCAGAATTCCGGCCCAGCCCTGGTAGCTTACACACTGTTCAATATTTGTGCCTATTTTCTTGACCTTTATTACCCTGATCCCAGACAGAGAGATGTGGGGTATGAAGGACTCAACAACTCTTCTCATATGATTGCAAATATAGGAGAAGAGACCCACCACACAAGCCTAGAACATGAAATGCCACCTTGTAGATGGTGAATGCCTGGACCTCAAGCAAGAATAAACTCTGTGTGTGTGTGTGAGTGTGTGTGTGTACATGCAAACATATATGTGTATATATTAAATATTCATATCTGACTTGTGAAATATGAAATATATATTTTAAAAATCTAACAAGGAATACACATTTCATAAGTTATATTTTTTAGAGAGAAGGTATTATTTCTTTTGCTTGTATTATACTTCCAGAATGTAGCACAATGTAAACAAACAGTATTTCCTGATTGTAGTAAATATAGTGTAGTAACTAAAGAACAATATAATATAGCATAGTGTATGTCTGTGTATAAATATCACCTTAAAATATGACATTAAAATGTTACAAAACATTTCTTTTCTGGCTGACAAATGCTGAACATAATAATAATGAATGTAGATAGAATGACTTGAGTACCTGCGATAAGCACCACAGTGAAAGCTTTCAATACGTGTTCTCATACAATCCTCACAACCCGCCACACTGTTGCTGACACAACCCCTTTCATTTGTCTCCTGACACTCAGCTAAAAAATTTCCCAGATTCCTCTGCAGAAAGGTTGGTCCCTGAGATTAATTTCTGGCCACTGGAACATGGCTGAAAGTGACACACGCCACTCCCAGTCTTGTCCTCTAAAACGAGTCTTCTGTTTGTCCATGCCCTCCTGTTTTGCATATCGGCTGGCTGGAGGAGAGGACCCAGTGGGGGACTCAGGCTGTACCACAAGGCAGAACTCAGGAAAGGATGGAGCTTGGATAACGAAACAGCTCTGTGAAGCAGAATGTTCTGTCCCACCTCCTGCTGTGCTCACCCCCATTGGATTATGACATGAGCAAGAAGTAAAGCTTGTATTAAGCCGCTGACATTTGAAGGTTGTTTGTTACCGTAGCTAGTATTACTTCCCTGGATAACACAGTATTATTAGCCTCATTTTGCCAATAAGGAAACTGATTTGTTCAAGACCTCGCAGCTAGTAATTGCAGAAGCCAGGCCTGACAGGCTGCACCCCCATGCTCCCTGCCACACAGCAAGTTGCCCCACCACACCCTTGTGCTCCCTACATGTTTCAGATGAAATGACTGAGTAGCACCAAGAAGATGAACCTTGCCATCCCATCTGGGAACCCTGAAGATTCTCAGTGGCACAAAGGGAAGGAACTGAGGTGAGTGTTGCTGGATTTCTCCTTGGCCAATGATTTTCTTGAACTATTCCAGAAACTCCTTTCCCTCGCCCCTGGGCCAGCAGTGGATGGGGGAGGCTCCGCTGGATGCCAGCCGCAAAGCATTCCAGTGGCCTTGGACATGGCTCAGGGAAAGTCGGACGCCTGGCAGGGAGATGTCACTGGGAACCACACAGACCAATTTCTTGGAAGGACATGCTATATTGAGAGTCCAAGGACAGGAATGGTTATGTGTTTATGCAGTCTGGCCCATAAGTACTATCACACGTTTACATATGAACTCATGTGTGGATGTGTGTGTACATAATATGTCCATATCAGTTTGTACGTAAAGCATTGCTGTATTGTGTGTGCGTGCACACATATATATAGAGTACATCCCTTCTACTTAATATATACACATGCAAAGATATAAACTAATGTATATCCGCATACTTTTATATATTTGTGTGTATGTCTGTAAGCATATTCGAAGTATCAAAAACTCCTCAAAGCAAATGGAAACACATTTTGTTCCTCTCACAGTTTCTAGAACCACCAAATATCCACATGAAAGTAGAGATCAGGGACTTCAAATAAACACCAATGTGCTGTAAAAGCAGTTGCTGGTGTGAGAACGGTTTAAAAACCCAGTGACTCAACAGTACATGCTGATTCCCCCTTAATTTGGGCGAGAACTGGGCAGGAGGATGCGTGTGGCTGCCAGGAACTGCAGTCCATCCCTGGCCAGCGCCCCTGTGACCACCCAAGTCTACTCTCCGCACAACTGATAGATATGTTTTGACAAGTTCTATTAAGTACAAAGACGGCCACTGGGGCAACATGTGGAGTTGATAGAGCGAGAGGCAGAGAGGCAGAGCGCAGTGTGAGGCCTGCTCATGTTGACAGAATTTGCCGTAACGAAATGAGTCCGTGCTCCGTGTCATCTATTACCGAATTTCAGTAAGGTCTCTGGCACCCACGACGCCCAGGAGGGTAAGCCTCTCCTTGGTTTCCTATTTCTGTCTCCTGATTGCCAGCACATCTAGGATTTTTTGAAACTCTAATTGGTTGTCTTGATTTACGCAGAGTTCCCAGCGATGCCAACGGAAGAAGGCCTGTAGTTGCTGAAGCCAGAGTCACCAGTGTGGATCTCCACTTCTTCCCACCTCCTCAAGCCCCTCCCATACCTGTGTTTAGAAACTTCACAGGAAGCAGAGTTGGCAAGCATACCTGAGCTGATTGCTCTCGCCTCTCTCACCATCTTGAGTACATCATCGTCACCCTCCAGAGCCCTCCTAAACAAGGTTTGGCAACAGCAAAAACAAACACTATTTTACAACATCTTTGGATGCACTTCCAAAACGCAAAAGCAATTAATCAGTCATCTCCCTGAGACTCTCCTCAAGGTGGCTGCTGCCTTTGACATGGAGCTTGGCTTTGATGGGAGCCGAAGAAGCAAGTGAAGACAGCCCAAAAAGTGGTAATGGGCTTCAATTATTTATTTGTTTAGAAGACTGGGGAGTAGAACTTGAGCTGTAAGCACATGGATAATCCATCTAAGATGCTCCCAACAGTGAGGTCTTTAACTCCCTGCCAGAGCATTCTGCTTGGAACGGAATGGGTATTTTCACCAAGTCTGGCATGGATCCAAAGGTTTCCTCTGTGTGTGTGCATGTGTGTGTGAGAGAGTGTGTGTGTGTGTGTGTGTGTGTGTGTGTACATATTTAAGAAAGCTATATTTGTGATATCTGAATATCTTTGAGCCTTGTAGAAAGACTGCTGTTTCTAATTACTAGACATCCAAGCTGTATTGCTAGTTTCTAATGGATAAGATTTCTGTGTGCTCGATTTTTGTGTAATTTTATGGAAAAATCATGACTGTACATTCTCTGAGAGATTCTTTCATTTAGCAATGTATTCTCAAGACATGGTGTAATCATCTTAATAATTGATTGTGGGAAAGTAAGTCACTTATAGCCCAAGTTACTCTCAGTCTTGAACTTTGTCCTTGGTAGTTTATTATACACATGGAAATATCTTGATGGATCCCTCATCCCAGGAAATTTACAACAGCAGACACCATGACCTTTATATTCTGTGGGCAGACAATAGGAGAAGTGGTTGGGCACATTTGCTCTTCTGAAAATACTGATGTGTGAAGGAAAATGTTACCATCCAACTGCACACAGAATTTTCTAAGAAACAAACTTTGTTCAGATAAAATAATGAGATACTTTTTTGACCCAAGTTTACATAGATCTCAGTCATTGTAGTTCTTTTCTCCTAAGCCCTTTTTATATGCTTATAAATCTTGAGATGATGTTCAAAATGCATCTCTTCCACAAAGTCTTACCTCATTTATTTTGCTGGATGTGGTCGCTTCCTGGCCTGAATCCACATCACACCTGATTTGTGGCCATCTTCTCTTGAAACGCTTTTGGTTGTTTTCATTGCTTATCACTAGTTCTGAACTATAAATATCTTGAGAGAAGGGTCTAGGATTGCTGGTTTTATTGGTATAAAACTGTACTTTAGTCCATAAGTATTGTTTAACAAATATACATTGGATAGATGGATAGATGAATAGATGGATGGATAAATGAAAACTTTCATCCTCTCCCACCCTGTATATATACCAGTATCCCAGAGTGGTCATCTTATGTGATGTAAGTATTGGTATCTCTCTGTATTGGATTGAACAGTGCCTCTCCAAAATTTAGGTCTATCTGGAACCTCACAATGTGGCCTTATTTGGAAACAGGGTCTTTGCAGTTATAATCAATTAAGTTAAAATGAGGTTATACTGAATTACAGTGAAGAGACACACAAAGGGAGACGCCATGTGAAGATGGAGGCAGAGAATGAAGCCAAGGAACACCAAAGTTTACCAGCAACCACAAAAAAAGTGAGGAAGAGGCAAACAAAACAAAACAAAAAACTATCCTCTATCACAGTCTTCAGGGAGAATATGGCCCTGCCAACACCTTGTATTCTGACTTTGGGCTTCCAAAACTGGGAAAGAATAAATTTCTGATGCTTTAAGACACCAACTTTCTGGCACTGTGTCATTACAGCCCTAGGAAACTAATGCACTCTCCAAGAACCCACCTTGCAAAGAAGGGACTAACCACATCTAGCGAGGCTTTAACCAAGAACCCAAAATAGGAGTGTTCCCTCTAGCAGGGGAGCCTAAATGCTGTATGAAGCCCAGAGAGTCCTGGAGCTTTACAGTGAGGCAACGAAGAACTGATTTGTCAAAAGCAGGGGAAATGGTAGCAAACATAATCAAAAATGGGGAGAAGACAGGCCTGGGGCCCAGGTTCAGGTCCCAAGCCACAAGATGCGGGCCACAGTGATGGGCTGAGGTCATGCTGGCCGGGTTCCACAGGCAGGGGATGAGCAGGGAGCTCCAGGAGTGCCTTGGACAGCAGAGATTTCTGACTTGTTTGTAATTATTGGCTGAGCATGAGACACGGGTGGAGTAGCCTTGGTTAGTGGACCAACGACGAAGCAGAGAGAATCCTAAAATTGCCTAAAACTCAAATTCCATTTGGGCATTTTCCTTTCCAAGTATTTGGCCATCTCTTGCTTTTTCCCCTGTCATACTTACTTTCAAGTAAAACCTCAATCAAGGCTACAATTTAAGCTCTTCCAAATAATCCGTAAGTGGTGCACAATTTGGGAGAATGCCATCACAGATTCGCATTTCTTCAATTGGTGAGTTCTGGGCAACGTGAATAAGACATTAAAGCACAGTGACCACAAAACCTCACCAATTCAGACTCATTATCTGAAGGACCTTCCCACTGAATGGTGAGAAATTGGATCTAGAAAATATCTTTAAAGAAATCCAATTTTATCTCCTTCAAGGACACACACTAGCCAGAAGTAGGCCAGCCTACGGTTAAGTAGCAGCCTTCAGAGGATGAGGCTTAATGAACAGATAAGAATGGCTTGTAATTAGTCCGTCATTTGTTTGGATGGCAAAGGATGCTTGGGAAGTGCTTGAGGATGCTTGAAAACAGTGTGTGCTCTTAGGTAGTTTAAATATTTTCCCTGAAATTTGGTTCTACAACTAATTTGTTTAGTACAGCCATTGCTTCCACCAGGCCTCTAGTCTACTTATTCCAATGTTGCCATGAGAAATGTACACAGCAGTGAGGTCTCTCCTGGCTTATAAATCAGTGTGAACAGACACAGGAGTGCATGTCCAGGGAGGACTTCATCTCCCTCAGCCATAGAGGTTGAGGGATGGACTATTGGTCTTTGATGGACACAGTGCCTCTCAGTGAACTGAGCATCACGTGGGAAATGTTGGACTACGTCAATCACAAACAATATTTATTTACTTTTCATGATCCAAAAATCAACCTTGTCTCCAAAGGTGAACATACCATCTGCTTTTATACTGTGAAAAATGATGGCTGAACTCGGAGTTAGAGGACCTGATCTTGAGTCTGAATCCCATTATCAGCTGTGTGTTTCTGGAAATAACATGTAACTCCTCTCTCCGTTTTCTCTGCGAAGATTTAATAAGATGATATATATGTTCTTTTTAAACCATACATCATATGCAAATATGAGGAAGTATTATCATCCAATCATTAACAACAAATCTGCTGGATATGGAGTTTCAATGACTTGAAATTTAAAGAATCATGTTTAAAGTTCGAAAGTTTGAAAAGCAGCATTTATTTCCTGGGTCAAACACATCTGGTCTGAATCCCAGTTTTATTTCTTGCTGAGGGTGGTTTTGTCATGGTCCTAAAAGCCTTCACTCCTTAATTACATGAATGTCAAGTGGAGTTGGAAAAATAAATGCTTAAAAGAGGTGGAAAGTGCTTTACACCATGCTTGGCACATAATGCATGCTTAATAAATGCCATCCCAAGATATTATGGCCCAAATAGATTCTTACAACCCGCAAGGGGACTGGCCTGCAGACATTCACCCCAGCAGCATGTGTACTGGGAAAACACTGCAGGCAGCATGGGGCCATCACAGGCAAAGCAGACCGTCAAGAGGGGCTGTATAGACTGTAGAGGACCATGAAGCACTTAAAACCAACAGGTTGGACGTACACATGGGAGGACACCTTAAAACATGAGTGAAAAAAAATAGAAAATGTTTTAAAATGCAACATTTATGCAAATTAAAATACACGCACAGAAAGCAAAATTCATTTTACAAGAATTCGTTGAATACACTGAAGATGGATGGGGATTCTGAGAATGGAGTATGGGGATGAAATAGATGAATGAATGAATGAATGACAGGTAGCAGTAATGCACCATGAACATACTATAGGGTATGATTACCTTAGCCTCCCACTCTCGAAGTGCAATTGAAAAATAAAATGCAATACAGTAATGGCATAATATTCTTATAGTAGCTGGTGAGTCCACCTTAACAGGAATATTTTTAAATGTCACCTGCTATATTAATTTTCAGAAGTTCCTGTAACTAATGACCACAAAGGGGTGGCTTAAAGCAACAGAAATTTATACACGCAAAGTGTTGAGGCCAGGAATCAGAACTCCACATGTCGGCTGGGCTGTGCTCACTTCTCTGTGGAGGCTCTAGGAAAGAAGGAATTCTTTGCTTCTCCCAGCTTCTGACCTGTGGCCTCATCCCTCTGATCTCCACCTCCGAGTTCAGGCTGCTTGCTCGTCTTCCGCATCTAACCTCCTGCTTTTCTCTCTGATAAGGACACCTGTCATTAAGTTAAGGGGCCACCCAGATAATCGAGGGTAATCTCCTCATCTCAGAATCTTTAACTTAATCACTTCTGCAAAGATCTACTTTTCCAAATAAGATAGCAATCAAGGTTCTGGGAATTCAGCCACTACACTGCTTAACGGGGTCCCAAAGCTGCCCACACTAGCAGGTGATCCAATTCTCTCTTCCATTTAGGGACCTCCTTTATGGAATGCCGAGGAAATTCCCAGAGGAGCTGATTCAGCTCTCAGTGCCAATCCTGGCTCCTCTCCTCAAGCTCCTGAGGCAGAACAATCGAGGAATTCCTGGGATGCCCGCCAGTGTGCTGCACATAAGCGTGTGCTGCAGGGAAACCCAGGCCCTCCCAGACTCAAGGTGGCTCCTGCTAAAGTCACTGCACCTGCCGCCACCTCCAAGACCCAGATTATTTCATCAGTTTCCAAACTACCCAGATGGCCATTGCCACTGTCCGCACACAGATGCCATGCTCTCATGGAAAACTTTCTTGATGGCCACATTCAGTCCACCCTCTGATCTGCTCCCTCCCAGGTCCTGGCAGTTCCCTTCATTGCTCTTAACGCTATTTGAAATATACATATTGGATGTGTAACTACGTGATATAAGCTCCATGAAGACAAAAAGAGAATGAATATCTGCTTTGCTCAAAACTGCATCAGCAGCAGTTAGCACTGTGCCCAGCACACCGTCAAATTGTCAGAATTCCTGGAGGGTATCCTGTGTTGCACCCCTGTAGTGTTCAGCGAGAGCAGCTCTTCCCACAGACCTACTGTGCCTGAGCATGCTCTCCAGGCCCCGGTGACTAGCGACTGCCCTGCTCACTTCTCAGTACACTATGTCACAGTGGGATCTAGGACAGAGACTTTAGTGGCAAGGCACTCAGCAGGCCTGGGTTTGAATCTTGCCTTGGACTTCAGTAAAGCCGCCCACACTGGACAAGTCACTTAATTCCTCTCAATCAGCAAGCCTTGCCCTGCACCTGTCTCATTCTGGAAAAAGGTTAATAGTACCTCCACATGAGGGCTTTGGAGAGTCGATTGTAAATAAAGCATTTAGCACAATTAATTAGCATCTACAATCAATATTAACTCTAATCATTGGCTATTCATTTATCATCATTTACATACTTACATTTGAAAATGCATCTTATCAAAAATTCTTAAAAATGCCCTGGCTGGTTTTTGGCACTGAAGCGCTCATTCATTTAAAAACGTAAGTGGCCATGAACAAATCAAATCACTTCACCTCTCTAACACTAAGTTTCCTCACCTACAAAATGAGAGGATTTGACTAGATGAGGGATTCTCCATGACTACAATGGCAAATTGTCCACCCAAAATGCATAATGCCTCTGTTCAAATATATATCCTCTTATACCTCATAGGGATCTCATTACTATTATCTTATACCTTCTATTAATCCCATTGATCTAATCCTTGGGGAAGATTGATAGTCCTAAGTCTAAAAGACTAAGAAAATGAGCAAGTTGTTTTCCAAGTGACATCTTCCAGGGGAGTGAGAAATGATTCATTTCATCAATGATTGTAGATCCTGCAGCCAAAATTGGGATCTCAATCTACTAAACAATTCAGTAAGGCACCTTCAAGTATAACCTTTCAAATTACAAAATGAGCTTTTTGGAGAGTGAACTACATGGGTAAAAGTAGAAAATGATTGGTCAGTTAGGAGACTTCTCACTTCTGAGTTGTGCAACAATGTCTCCGCATGAAGCCCAAAAGAGAAAATCAGTACCTTTTCATGGTAATTTGGGAATTGTATTCATTTTGACTTCCTGGTGTCAGTTCTTTGGGATGCCCATATTTGTGTACAATATAAAATTACCCATTTATGGTAACTGTACCTAATGTCATCTTAGGCATTTCATGTTTCAAAAATAAATGGGTAAATGAATGAAAGAACAAATAAATAAATTGTAGCGGTTATTGATAATATCCACTCACACTTGTAGAGCTTACAAGAAGTCACACATGCATTACCTCACGGGCACTTTGCAACAGTGTGAGTTTAGAAAGTGCAGGTGAGAGGATGAGAAACCTGCCCAGGTTAAGTGGCTGCTCAGGTTAATTCCAGTGCCACCTGTGTGACAAGCAGAAGAGGCCAGCATTGTCCATAAGCTCTGACCTCTATATCTGTGCCCCATTTATTCCTTACCTTTTGTGGGGTCCAACTCAATTTATTTTACTTATTTAAAGTTCTGATCAAATTATTGCACAGACTCTTTTTAAAAGTTAAATTGTGTTTTAAACTTAGTAACAACAAAGCAGTCCATTTTACCGCGTTTTGCTACCCATAATCAGCTCCTAAGAACATCCACTTACCATTTTGTATCTGTCCCTGCTGGTATTTATACCTCTGTATTTAATTTAATTTAATTCAATTAATTAATACATTTATTTTTGAGACAGGGTCTCACTCTGTCGCCCAGGCTGGAATGTAGTGGCGAGATCTTGCCTCATTGCAACATCCCCCTCCCAGGTTCAAGTGATCCTCCTGCCTCAGCCTCCCAAGTAGCTAGGATTACAAGCATGCACCACCATGCTCGGCTAATTTTTGTCTTTTTTTTTTTTTTAAGTAGCCTGTTGGCCAGGCTAGTCTCGAACTTTTGGCCTCAAGTGATCTGCCCTCCTCTGCCTCCCAAAGTGCTGGGATTGCAGACGTGAGCCACTGCACCCAACCGTACCTCTGTATTTTAAAGTAACATACCTTATATCACTGCCATTTCTTTAAATGCTTTTCACTTTTTTGACATTTTCTCCCTTACGTGGTCCTTCCTGTACACAGCTCTGTTCTCTACATTTTCAAAGTAGTATTATAGCATAATTTGGGGTTATTTCAATACAGCTGACCATTGACCAACCCAGGTTTGAACTGCCTGGGTTCACTTACACATTGACTTTCTTCCTCCTCTGCTACTCCTGAGACAGCAAGACCAACCCCTCCTCCTTCTCCTCCTCCTCCTTCTCAGCCCACTCAACATGAATGTGAATGAGGATGAAGACCCTTATGATGATCCACTTCCACTTTGTAAAAAGTATATTCCAATAGCAAATATATTTTCTCCTTATGATTTCCTTAACATTTTCTTCTCTCTAGGTTACTTTGTTGTAAGAACAAAGTACATAATACATATACAAAAAATATGTGTTCATCTGTTATTGGTAAGACTTCTAGCCAACAGTAGGCTAGTAGTAGTTAAGTTTTGAGGGACTTAAAAGTTATACATACATTATTAAGTGTGTAGGGGGTCAGCACGACAACTTCCATGTTGTTCAAAGGTCAACTATATTTGGTGTTCTCCTAAAGACTGTAAAAATAATGTTCACAGCTGAGTCACTTAGAATCCTATGATTACATTTTCTTTACAGCCTTTTGTTGAGTGTGATAATTGCCTCATAATTTGATTCCATTTTTCTTGGTTTTTAAGTGCCAACCACTTTTTCACAAAACTATGAAACTCTTCTCTCTATGGTCAAATACCAAATGAAATAGATCAGTACTATTTTTATTTTTTGCAAGCGATCATTCTAGAGCCCTTCATTCTTCTCCTGCAACAGACTGATTGTTCTCAAGAGCTACTTCATAGCTCTCCACCTGGGACCTCTAACACCTTCATTCTGGGAAATCTCTTTACTTATACTTTATGTTAGATCTCACATGCTGAATTCTGCATATTCATCATTCTTTGTTTTTTTTATCATTTAAAAAAGTTTTTTAATCATCCTCAAAAATCTTCTGAAAGGTGCCTATATTTATACTACATGTATTTATTTGATGGTATAGCTGATTATAGAATTGTAGGTTACTAATTATTTTTGGTCAAAATTTTCAAATTACTTTTTTATTCTCTTTTAGTCCAAATACTTCCATTATGAATCCCAATAACATTTTGATTCCCGAAATGTTGGAGGTATCTGAGTTTTTCTCATCAGAAGCCCTCTAGAAAAACCTTTTTAAATGTTTGGGAGTTTTGAAAATCATGTGCCTCTGTTGGGTCTCTTCTCACTCATTGTGCTCCATCTTAGTGAGCCTTTCCATCTAAAAGCTTATGTCCTTCCTTTCCAGGAAATATTACTGTCTAACTAGCTGATTATTTTCTCCCCTTTATTGCCTTGGTTCTCTCTTCTTAGAGATTGTATTATTTGGATGTTTGATCTTCTAGATTGATTTTCTCTACTCCTTATTCTTTCTGATCACATGTATTTTTGTCTGTTCTGCTTTCTAATAGAAATATTATTAATGACAGCTTTATTGAGATATAATTCATATGCCACAAAATTCATCCTTATTCAGTGACTTTTTGTATATTCCGAGATATGCTACCATCACCACTACATTCTAATTTAAGAATACTTTTATCATTTCCTAAAGAAACCCCATCAATACCTAATAGTATTTGCTCTCCAAGCCCTTGGCAAGAGGCAATCTCCTTTTTTTTCCCATAGCTTTGCCTATTTTGGACTTCTCATATAAACAGAATCATACCATGTGTGTCCTTTTCGGCGGTGTATTTTATGTAGCATATGTCTTTGTGGCTCAAGTTACTTCCTTTCTTTCTACAGCCAAACAATATTCCATTTTACAGATATGCCACATTGTGTTTATTGATTCTTCAGATGATGGACATGTGGGTTGTTTTCACTTTTTGACTATTGTGAGTAATGCTGCTATGAACATTCATGCACAAGTTTTTCTGTGGACATTCTTTTTTTCAATTCTCTTGGGTATACATCTGAGAGTATAACTGGGGGCTGAATTAATCTGTTTTCATGATGCTAGTAAAGACATACCAGAGACTGGGTAATTTATAAAGAAAAGAGGTTTAATTGACTCACGTTTCAGCATGGCTGGGGAGGCCTCTTACAATCATAGTGGAAGGCACCTCTTCACGAGGCGGCAGGAGAGATAATGAGAGCCAAGCAAAGAGGAAAACCCCTTACACAACCATCAGATCTCTTGAGAACTCACTTACTATCATGAGAACAGTATGGGGGAAACTGTCCCCATGATTCGATTATCTCCACCTGACCCCACTATTGACGCATGGGGATTATTCAATTGAAGGTGAGATTTGGGTAGGGATACAGAGCCAAACAATATCAGAGGCCATATAGTAACTCTATGTTAAACATTTTCAAACCATTTTCCAAAGTAGGCAAACTATGTCATAGCTCCAACATGCTCCACATTCTCAACAACACTTCTTATTGTCTTTTTAAAAAGTTCAGTCATAAAGTCAAGGCAAAGCGGCCTCTTATTGTGGCTTTTATTTGCATTCTTAAGCGACTCATGGTGTAAGAATATTTTCATGTTTTCACTGTCAATGTGTATATCTTCTTTGAAGAAACTTTTTTCTTCTGGGAGAATTTTTAACTGTTTTTCAATCCTTCTATTGAATTATTAATTATTTGCTTTATATTTTTAATTTGTAAGGACTCTCTATTTCTCAATAGTTTTAGACAAACAATAGTTTCTCTTAGGAAATTCATTATAACTTTATTTGTAGTTTTATTAAGGTGTTTTTCTACTCACTCTATTTGCTCTATTTCCTCTATGCTTTTTCCTTTATGCTTTGTTCTCTGTCTTTAACATTAGCCAGTTTCTTAAAATGTTTGGAGACCCTGATTGTTCATTCATATTTAAGAACAGGGCACTGAAATATTGACTGAAACCTTGTGTGTGTAAGCAGGGCTTGCAAACTGGGCTTTCACTATGCACAGTTGGGAGATGCTCAAATATCCTTAACTGCAGCTCTATTCTCTCAGGCTGGTCAGTTTTCTAAAGATTAATTTCTCCAATTTCCTGCCTAGGTATACAAGTCAGGCTTTCAGTTGTCTGGGAGTTGACAGGAAAAATCTTGCCTGGGGTCTCGTAGTTCTGTAGTGGTTTTCACTTACCTATCCTGTCCCTTTTTATTCAGCTTGACACCTGACCCCTGTGGCTGGAATCCTACAATCCTGTACTGCTGTCGCTCCATCTTCTCTGAGGGTGGGTGGAGAGAATGGTCGAGAGAATGGTCTGGCTGTATAGAGTAAGGAAGGAGAATGAGGGGGCTGCTGCTATTTTCTCAGTTACAATTTCATTCCAATTTTCAAGCCCACCCCACATTCTGGCCTCCAGAGGTAACTGGACAATCACATTTCTCTTCATTTCTTCTTCTTGTTGCAAGAATCTGCCTGTTTCTGAGTGTCATCCCTGTGCAGAAAGTGAGGCTCTCCTCTCTGCTTTGGAGGAGCAGCAGCCACGTGTTCATCCTCCATGTTTGAACACATCGCATTTGCTGACACTGAATTTCTAATTCTCTCCATCTTTTGACTGTATACTTTTGATATTATTTTTACTCTTCTTTTCTTGGTTTTCAGGAAAGCAGCAGAAATGCATATTTTCAACCCACCATATTTAAGCAGAATTCGCTAACAACATCTCTACACTCATCAGCTCCATTCCTTTGATCATGGAAGGAATGAATAAACAGAGTTTTTGCAGTGAGTCCCAAACAGTAAACCACACAGCAGATCACAAAGAACTTTACTATTTTTTAAAACAGTAAGAGCTCATGCTATTACTCCAGTGTTTCAAAGATGTGTTCTGTGTAGTCAATTAAGAAATGCATCTTATCTCTCAAGTTATCTTGGTAACTTTAGTTTGTTATGATGACTTATCTCAGTTCACCACATACAGATGACTACTAAAAACTGGTAAATATATATGTGTGTATCCACCTATATATTCATCTATCCATCTATATCCTGATAGGTATGTTTATATTATATACATATGATATGTGTATATATAGACAGATACGTATATATATGTATATATGTATGTATGTGTATATAACTGAATTCATATATGTATATTTTTATTTGTATTTATGTATTTTTTCTTCTTAAGAAAAGAAAATATCAAGAACAGACCAGACAATTTTGTGAAAGCCATGTCTATTCTCTGCTTCCCTAAGATTTATATGCAACATGAAATTACTCAACTAAGGTCTGAATTTCCACCTTAGGTGTGCTAGGACATTTCATACGTCACCACTCATATCCAAGGTATTTTAGAATTATGAACAGTGAACAGTGAGCAAGTTCACAGGCCCTTTTTATTTTAGCACTTCATTTAGTATCTGGATTCTTTGACAACTGTTTAGTCTTGGCCACTGAGGAGACTTGATGACAAAGTCAAATTGCTAATATATAAGATACTCTAAGGATCTCAATATCTTTTTGTCTTTCTCTCTCTCTCCATATATATATAAACATACATATACACAAAAAATAATGCAACTTTAGGTAGATGTAGACTTAGAGATAAAATGAAAGAAATACATAGGTATAGCATACAAGTTTTAAATGCATTCAAGATAGGAAATCTCTCTTTTTATTCTCTATTGTGGAAAAAAGCCTATCTGCCCCAATTTTGTCACCCGATTCTTTCTGTATACTAAAGATCTGTAAGTGCACTGATTTCATTAGAAGGTGGTATTTCCATGATGCTTTAATTAAAAAAAAAAAGCCTGGTATAATAACCACCCAGAGTTCTATTTAAGTTGTGGGTATGATGTTTCCTGGTGTGAACAGCAGTAACCGTCATGTGTTTCCATGAGGAAATTTACTTCGACAACTTTCGTTAGATAACAGGTATATAACACACATGTCTCCCAACTTTGGAATCAGATTTCAAACGCAGTCTTTGCTAAAGTGAAGAAAGTCGTTCAACCCCTATAACTGCATCGAGTGACAAGTGCTGGAAACTAGGTAGGATGGGGATGTGAATACAGAGCTGGGCAGGGGTGGGGGCACTGACCACACCTCGCTTCTGTCCCATCTCTCCTCTCTAGCCATTCCCTCTTGCATTTACTGCAGGACTCAGGGGCCAACCTGCTAGGCAATAAGAAGGGCCAACTCAGTCTCTAGACACAGTTTAATCGTTTTCAGCCTCAGAAGGGACCATGGAAGACGCATCTCTTTCCTCTTTACTCCTGAAAACAGTTAGGAGGGCTCTTCTATGGGGGATTTTCTCCGAGGGTCATCTATATATGCAAAGTGAATTCATTGAGGCCTTAAAAATCATAAGCAGTCTGGGACTGCTTCTATAATTTAAAATAAAGTGATGACATGAATATTTACCGGAAGATTTTGTTTAAATAAATTATGGTATATATATTCAATGGACTAATATGTAGTCACTGAGCAGGCAGATATAGCTCTACAATGACAATGAAGATTTCAGTGACCCATTGTTGAGGGATAGATTTGGTTATAAAACAGCATTTAAAAAATATAGTATGGTTTCATTGATATAAACACACAGATCACAAAAATATATTCCTGAAAATATGTTCAAAATGTTAAAGCATACCTTTGGTTTGTGAATTGTCAGGTGAATTTTCTATTTTTTCCATATATTTGATTTTTGACATAAACATATATTCATTTTATAATCAGAAAACAACAACAACAAAAGCTATATTTTTGGATGGAAACACAAAAGATAGCATTAATTTGAAGGCCAGGTGCAATGGCTCATGCCTGTAATCCCAGCACTTTGGGAGGCTGAGGCCGGCAGATCACCTGAGGTCGGGTGTTTGAGACCACCCTGACCAACATGGAGAAACCCTGTCTCTACTAAAAATACAAAATCAGCCGGGCATGATGGTGGGAGCCTGTAATCCCAGCTACTCAGGAGGCTGAGGCAGGAGAATCGCTTGAACTCGGGAGGTGGAGGTTGCAGTGAGTAGACATCATGCCATTGTACTACAGCCTGGGCAACAAAAGGGAAACTCCGTCCCAAAAAAAAAAAAATGTATATATATATATATACACACATATATACATATATATATATACACACACACATATACATATATATATATACATATACATATATAGAGAGAGAGAGAGTAGAGAGAGAGAGATAGAGTATGGTTTCATTTATATAAACACACAGATAAAAAAATATATTCCTGAAAATACATTCAAAATGTTAAAAGTCATACCTTTGGTTTGTGAATTGTCAGGTGAATTTTCTTTCTATTTTTCCATATATTTGATTTTTGACATAAACATGTATTCGCTTTATAATCAGAAAACAACAAAAAAGCTATAGTTTTGGATGGGAACACAAAAGACAGCATTAATTTGAAAGACTGCTGACATTCATGTCTCAGAGTTGTTAATTTTATCAGTTAATGCCCAACCAAGAAGTCCTCACTCCAAAAATCTTCATTTTGCTCATCTACAAAGTAGAACTAACAATAATGCCTATCCTCCAAGAATAGGTACGCAATGGGAAAGTGTTTGTGAAAATATGAGATGCAAGATAATGAGGTGGTGAGTACAGGCTCTAGAGCCAGGCTTCCTGGAGATGAACCTCAGTGCCATTGCTTACTAGTTGCGTGACCTTAGGCAAGTTACTTAAATTCTCTGAGCCTCAGCCACCTAATCTACAAATCAGGTAAGTAAATGTATCCTCACAATGACTGTGTTAGAATGATTAATTCAGCTGACAAGCTAGATTCATGATAAACACTATATGCATGTTTAATAACTAAGTAAAGTCTATGTAGCACACTCAGCTATAGAATTACAACCTTTACCTGCCCAGGTAAAAATCTTCTTTAAAGAATCATATGCTGGAGTTACGTGCTTCATATAGCCTTTTCTTGTTGTTCTATTTTGTATACATGTATGAGCAATACACCAAAGGTACCAATGAGGCCAAGGATGTGAAACTCATCATGGAAATAAATGTGACTACTAGGTAACAACGGAAGACAATCGATTTGCTCTTTTTTCTTTTTCTTTCTCTCTCTCTCTTTTTTTTTATAGACTGTTTTAAGCAGGTCTGCTCAAAATCAGTACTTTAGTTTGAATAATTTTTCTGGAACTTGACAAATGTATACATTGAAAGCATCTGCCATGTTAATTGAAAGGTCTTCATTACTAGCTGTCCATACCTGTTAGAGGCCATCTTTTCAACTAAGATGGCTTCCACCTAAATCAAGAATCAATTAGCAACATTAATAAAACAACCCTGTCAACTCCCATTAGGCGTAGGCCAGACCTTTTTCTTCTCTATTAACCAAGCAATTGCTAATCACTATTTTTATCAATATCTCAGAAACATGATTCGTAATTTACCTCTGCTAAATAAATAGTACCGATTGGTTACTGACTTTGAGCTTAAAAGACTCTCCCAGGGGGAAGGGAAGTCCATATTCCCTGTCATTTCCTGCTTGTAAGGGGCAAGAGGACCGTGACTGGGACAAAACAAACAAACAAATGTTTTTTCAAAGGATAGAATATGCAGGATAGATTATGTGTGAAGAAGTGAAAGAGAAACTGATGAGAAGATATGAGAGGAACATTTGGTAAAATAAACAAAAGCATGTCAAAAAGACGCCGAGTGAGTTTGCTCATTGTCAGTTCAGCCAAGAAGTTCAATTAGTCAGCAAGCATTTTCTTAGAAAGAACATCCTCAGTCCTCCATGGGAAGTGCTGGGGGTACAGGATATGTTAGAGGGACCCCTGCCATCTGAGATCTCACATGTAGTGCGAAAAACGGGCAGGTAAAGACAATGATGTGAAGTATGGTAAGCTGCTTTCATAGAAAATGCACCTGTAGAAGTTCGGGAGTGGAGTAGGAATAAGCCTGGGGAGAATTAATAAGAAAAGAATTCATTCCTCCATTCTCCTTCATAGTTTGGTGTTGAGGGGAGGGCAGGGAATGGGCTGAGTGTTTAGCATTAGATTATGAGGTCTGAATTATAAATAGTATTGCAAATTATTTGGTCCCAACTTCTGTGCTTTTCATGTATCTCTTTTAACCGTTCCCCAAGACAATTTTCCTGGCTTCTGTTTAAAATCCTCCAGTGGCACAGAACTCTCTACTTCTAGAAACAGCCCATGCCCACTCTGACAGTTATGATTCTTGGAATATTCTTCTCCCTGAAGATTCAGAAATTGTCTCTTTCTTTAGTTTCTGTAACTCTAATGTCAGCTGCATGGAGTCAAGTCTGTTTGATCATAAGGAGTGGTGGAACCAGGCCTGGAATTGGAAATCCGGGATGTGAGTCTTAGTTTCCCCACACATAAGTGTTGTGTCTTTTGGTTGCTTTTCTCTGGGAAATAATAACCAAATCTGTCATTGCCCACAAGGAAGGTAGAATAGTCACATGAGACAAAGTATGTGAAAAATAACTTGTGAAATTGTTAATTGTTAAGGGTATTGTTATCATCAGTTTCTTTTCAACAGTACAGTTCTGGAAATTCGAAAAACAAAACAAAACAAAACAAAACAAACAAACAAACAAAAATGCTGTTTCATTTGTTTCATTTCTGTTCTCAAGATCTTGATTTCTTGAAACTGTTCCCACGTGCAGTGAAACGCCCTTCCTGGAATTTAGAGTTTTGACTGTAATTTTTGTCTCAAATGAGTGGATCCAAATACAAACGTAGCTCTGGTTTGTCGTGGTTGTGATCTGCAGGGTTTGCCAGTTTCATCTAGGTAGTATGACACAGGAAATCACTGAGATAGTCCACTGCCAAAATCCATGGCCCCAGTGACCCCACTTCATCATTTTGTATTAAAACAAACAAACAAAACTTAAACTGTGAAAGTTCTGTCTCTCAAGGAGAGTATCAAGAACATGGTCACAGGAACCAGTGTGATGAAGAAATCCTGAAAATTACAGCTGGAAGGAGCCATTAAGATCATCCAGGCTAATGGTCTCATTTTACATAAGAAGAGACATTACAGCTTGCTTAAGACCACTAGCTTTGCGATAAGTGAACACCAGGCTGCCGCCCATTTGTCTTAGAACAATGCCCCCAAGATAGGGAGTGAATTTTGAGCAGAGATTATGAACATATGAACATAGACAGAAATTTTTATGGTGGAGTTGCCAGACAAAAATATAAGATACTCAGCGGAATTTGAATTTCAGATGAACAATAAATAATCAGTATAAGTATGTCCCATGCAATATTTGGGACATACTTAGACTACAAAAAAAAATTATTTCTTAGTGAATCGAGAGGCAGGCGCATTGTTAAATTTGATGGCATTGCTAAATTCCCTCCAAAGGGATCACTCCAATTGGCCTTTCCGACTAGGTATGCTTGAGAGTGTGTTAGTATAACTTCATACATTTTTCCAATCTGACAGGTAAAAAATGGCACCACAGTATAATTTGCATCACTGTTTCTGGGATTATGAGTGAGTTGTGATTCTCGCTGTTGCTGCAAAGGGTTTATTCATATCACTTTTTTGACATCTTGCTTTTTTTTTGAGACAGAGTCTTGTTCTGTTGCCAGGCTAGAGTGCAGTTTAATAACGTGATTATTTTAACTTACATATTTGATTGTGAGAAAGTAGCCCTTTATCTATAATGTGACTTGTAAACATTTTTCCAATTTTGTTATCTATCATCTGATTTTCTTTTGATGTTTTTGACCCCTAATAAATATTTTATTTTATTTTCAATGTGATTGAACCTATCAATCTTTTTCCGTGTGCTTAGTTTGTGGACTTTGAATCAGACAGATACAGCTTTGTGATACCACGGTTATAAAGAAATCTACCTGTTTTTTATTTTCTTTTTATACTTTCATATTTATGCTTTAAAGCTTTAATGTATTTGGATTTTCTTCTGGTAAATGGAGTGAGGTAAGAATTCAACATTTTTTTTTTTTCTGATCACTACTCAGAAGTTCCAACATCATTTATTGAAGAGATCTTGTTTGGCTAATTGAGATTCCAACGTCATATGCTACATTTCTGAATTTATCTGTGCCTATTTTTGAACTTTCAAATCTTTTCCTTTGATTACTCTATACATTGATGTGCTGATGTCATATGTTTTAATAGTCTTTAAAATATAGTTTTATATCCAATATGGTCAATCATTATTCACTCTTTTATTTTTTAAAACATTTTTACATTTATTTTGTGTGAATTTTAGAAGCACCTTTGTCTAGTTCCAAAAGCAAAACAAACAAAACAATTTTAGTATTTTTAAATTGCAATCTCATTTAATATATAAATAAAATAAAGGAGATTTGATATCTTTATTATGTTGAGTTTTCCTTTCTAAAATCTTTTTCTGAACTTTTGTTTTCATTTGTTCAGAACTTACTTATGTCCTTCAACAGCGTTTTAAAGTTTTTTTGTAAAGGTTTTGCATATCTTTTATTAACTTTAGTCCCTGGCATTTCATCTTTTTTGGTTCTGTTATTAATGGGAGTGATTTCTTTCATTATCTTTTCCAATTATTCATTGTTTGTACATATTGATTTATGTTTATTGGGTTCAAAGCCTACTATCTCACTATTATGTCATTATAGAATTATTATTTGTAGGCTTTTTTTTTAACTTGACTCTCTTGGATTTTCTGGTAATCAATTATATACTCTCACTGCTGTAATGAAAGTATTTGCTTCCCTTCCTTTTATTTTTACTCCAGTACAGTGTTGAAAAATAGTGGTCACAGCGGGCATCCTTGTCATATTTCAGAATATAGTGATGTGACTCTACTGCCTCTCCAATAAGTTTATGCTGGTTTTTGGGTAGAAGAATGAGTGAACTTACTGTAACTCTCTATCTACATAATCTATAAACCTATATATGTTTACATTTATATCTGTATCCATAGCCAAAAATATGTATGTATATCTTATATATAAAGCTATATGTCTATATCCATGTATCTATTTGTAATTATCTATATTTCCAATATTTCTATGTCAATATCATATTGAAGAAGGGTTTATATATTGCAATATTATTGAGGATTTAAAAATTTCTTTTATAACTTTATGGAGGTCTAATTGGTGTACTGCACATATTTAAAGCGTACAATTTGATACATTTAGATGTATTTATACTATACATTATCCCAATAACACAATAAATATACTCATCACCCCCAAGTGTGTACTCAAACACCTTTGGAATTGCTCCTTCCCCACCCTCTTCCCCACGTAATCAAGGCTTTCTATCACTATAGGTTACTTTGCCCTTTACAGAATTTTATCTGAAGAGAACCATTCAGTATGTGCTTTTTTGGTGATGGGGGGAGTCCAACTTCATTTACTTAGCATAACTTTGAGATTCATCTGGGTTTTTATGTTGTGTACATCAGTAGCTTATTACTTTTTATTGCTGAGTAGTTTTCCATTCTACAACTATATCACAATTTATTTATCCATCTATCTCTTTATGGACAGATAGTTTCTAGTTTTAATTATTACAAAGGAAGTAGTTATGAAGAGTTTTGCACAAGTCTTTATGTCAACGTATGTTTTTATTTCTCCTAAGTAAATATCTATGAGTGCAATTACTGGCCCATATTGTAGGCATAGGATTAATGCTTTGAGAAACTACCAAAATGTTTTCCAAAGTGGTTACCCTCTTGCATTTCCATCAGCTATGAGTAAAAGTTAGTGTCTCCACATCTTCATCAACAGCTGGTATGTCAGTCTTTCAATTTTAACCTGTCTAGTGTTGTCTTATTACAACTTTACTTTGCATTTTCGCTAGTGATTTATGATGCAGCAATTTCTTCCTATGTGCTTTTGCCATTCATATATTTTCTTTGGTGAAGTGTCTGTTCAAATGTTTTGCACATTTTTAATGAAGTTGTGAGTGTTCTTATTAATTTTTGTTGAGAGTTTTAAAATAAGATCTATATGTTAAATTTTTTCAAATTTATTTCAACATTTATGGAGATGACTACATAATTTGCATCCCTTAGGCCCATTAATATGATGAATTTCCTAATAATGGAGGACCTTTGCATTCCTGGAATAAATGCTACATATCATGCTGCTGAAATCAGTTTTCCAACCCTTTGTTTAAGATAAGTACATCAAGTTTGATAAGTAACATTGTTAATTTATATTTTTGTCCAATGTATGTCATGTTTTGCCAACAGTCTTATTCACTTGTCAACTAGTGAGTTATTCATTTCCAAAATAATTGGGACATTGTGCTTCTTTTAATATTATCAGAAACAGTTTAAGTAGTATGAGGCCTTATCTGCCGTTTAAAAATTGCCCTGCTCCTTGGAAAAGTGAGATTGGTTCAGGAAATATATAAGATGAGCCTGGAATAAATTGTAGTGCCAGAAAGTGTGCTAAAAAAAGAATTGCGCAATGATGAAAGTATGCAAGACACAGAAGCCAGTGGAAAGTTTTTCAATAGGCAAAGCTCTAAAAATTTAAGCAACAAAATAAAGTAGCATTGAATTATACTGATATAAATAAGTGATTAAATAAATAAATAGGGGCAGAAGAGGCAAATACATGATGCATATGAGTTTCAGACAATTTATGTAAATATTCTACCCATAAGTAGGTGGACCATAGCTCCCGGCTCCTCAAGGACAGGGTGTGCACAGGGACTTTCCTTCTAAAGAGTGCAGTATTAAAAAGTAGGGAAAAAAATAACTTCATAATGGGAAAACCTGTCAAACACTACTTCAGCCAGGTGATCAAGGTCAGCATCAGCAGTCGTAAGTTATGTAGATAGTAGGTACCCCTCATATGATGTGATAAAGAGGGCATTTTACTTTCCTGGTCTTCCTCCCCAAATCTCATAACCTCAATCTTTCCACAGGAAGACATTAGACCAATCTCAATTGAGGGACAGTCTGCAAAATACTTGAAAACTACTCTTCAAAACTGTTAAGGTCATCAAAAACAAGGAAAGTCAGCCAGGAGTGGTGGCTCACACCTGTAATCCCAGCATTTTGGGAGGTCAAGGCAGATGGGATCACCTGAGGTGAGGAGTTCAAGACCAGTCTGGCCAACATGGTGAAACCTTGTCTCTACTAAAAATACAAAAATTAGCCAGGCCTGGTGGCGTGTGCCTGTAATCCCCAGCTACTCAGGAGGCTGAGGCAGGGGAATTGGAGGTTGCAGTGAGCTGCGATAGTTCCACTGCACTCCAATCTGAGCGACAGAGTGAAACTCCATCTCAAAAAACAAACAAACAAACAAACAAAAAAAAACAAAAAACAAGGAAAGTCTTAGAAACTTGCACAGCCAAGAGGAGTCTAAGAAAAATGAAAACTAAATGTAATGTGGTGTCCTGGATGGAATCCTTGAGTAGAAAAAGGATATTAGGTAAAATGCAAGAAAATCTTAATGAAGCATGGCCTTTAATTAATAATCATATAACAATATTGGTTTATTAATATATCATACTAATGCAAAGTGTTAATAATAGGGAAAACTGAGTGTGGGGCATGGAGGAATTTCTGACCACATATGCAATTTTTCTGTAAATCTAAAACTGTTATAAAATTAAAAATATATCCAAAATTCCACAGAGGAAAAAATTGTTATCAATAGATGATGTCCAAAGTGATCAATCAAGAATTAGCAATATAAACATGCTAAGCATGAGAAGATAAATGTCAGAAGAAACCGGTGAAGAAGTTAATCCTACTTTATATATAAACACTTGCATATATTTATTTGACAAAAATAAAATATTAATTTAAAAATGTTCTCTAACAGTTTATTTAGGTCTGCTGCTTTTCTTTGGAGCTTTGATAACTTTCTCTGTTTCTTCTACGGACATTAAGTCCTTTACATTTTCTCTCTTCTGCACTGGGTTTAATAAATGATATTTTCCTGAGAAATTATCTACTTTATTCAGGTTTTCATGTATATTTGACTAGAGTCCAGAAATTCCTGCTTTATGAATGTTGCTAACATGCCATTTTGCATAGATATTGAGAATGGTTATATCTTTATTATGAATGGTAATCTTTAGCATCATAAAAGGCAAAAACTTTCCAAGTATTCTGGTTATTTATAACTATGTAAAAACCACTCAAGCTTTAGAATTGTAAGACAGCAAACATTTTATTATTATTATTATTATTATTATTATTATTATTATTATTATTATTATTACAAATCTCTCATGGGTCTGGGTTTGACAAGGATCTGCTGGGTAGTTCTCATTCAGGGTATCTCTTCTTACTGAAGGCAGAGAGTGGTTTGGGCTGCTAGCATTTCTCCCATTCCAGAGGTTGCCATATTAAAAGTAGAGAACAGCCTGCAACAGACACCGAACCTGCAAGCAAGTTGATCTTAGACTTCCCAGACTCCAGAAGGGGGATAGAGTCATCTCAAAAGCTTCTTTATTCATGACTGGCAGTGGATGACAAAAGTTGGCTGGACCTCACCTGGAGGTCTCAGTGAGAACACCTGCACATTGCGTCTACATGTGGCTTGGGCTTCCTCAGTGCATGGCATGTGGGTTCCAAGATTAGGGGTCCCAAGAAACAGCCAAGCAGAAACTATATTTCCCTTCATGAATTTCCTTCAACAGTCTCCCAGAATCCTTTTTTCCTAAATTTTTCACAGGAAGTAAGTTACGAAGAGTAGACTGTATTAGATGAGTCAGCTATTGGGCTTCATATCTTGATGGAAGAAGTATCAAATGCTTTACAGACATGCTTTAAATCTACCACAGCAAAACCTGCTTTATCTTAACTTATGTTTCTCTGGTATACTTTTGCCTAATCTTCTGATTTTGACCTTTCTAAATCAGGTTTAGTGATAAATACCCCTCAAAATTATGTGATGGAACTTGAGATAGAGGAAATAATACCAGATGGAGGGCTGCATGGCAAGGATACTGTGCTACTCTGGGGCCCATGGGACCTGGGTAAGAAAGAACTTTCCAGGAAAGTAATATTAAGCTGACATTTTAGAGATGAATAGGAGTTAACAGATGCAGGAGTTGAGAGTGGGGAGGGCTGTCATATAAATGGGTTTCTTCCAAAATCCAGATGTTGAAACTTAATGACCAATATAATGGTATTAAGAGGTAGGACTTTTAAGTGGTGATTAGGTCTTTAGGGCTTCTCCCCTAATGAATGAGATTAATGCCTGTATAAAAGAGGCTTCATGCAGCCTTCTGCTGGCTTGCCTTTCTACTTTCTCTAACATGAGGATGCAGCATTTCTCCCCTTCCAAAGGGCACCATATTGAAAGTGGAGAGCAGCTATATTCGTCCTCTTTCTCACACTGCTACAAAGAAATACCCGAGATACTTGAGACTGGGTAATTTATGAAGAGAAGAGGTTTAATTGACTCACAGTTCCATATGGCTGGAGAGGCCTCAGGAAACTTACCATCATAGTGGAAGGCAAAGAAGCAAGTAACTTCTTCACAAGGCAGCAGGAGAGGGAATGAGAGCACAGGAAAAACTATCATTTATAAAAACCATCAGATCTCATGAGAACTTACTCACTATCACGAGAACAGCATGAGGGAAATCTGCCTCCATAATCCAATCACTTCCCTCCCTTGACTTGTGAGGATTATAGGTACCCCCCTTGGCACATGAGGATTAGAATTCAAGATGAGATTTGGGTGGGGACACAGAGCCAAACCATATGAGCAGCCTTCACCAGACACCAAATCTGCAAGTGACTTGATCTTGGACTTTCCAGCCTCTAGAAGTGTTTGAAATACATTTCTTTTCTTTATAAATTACCTAGTCTCAGGTATATTCTTACAGCAGCACAAAACAGACTAAGACTGAGGGCAAAGGAGGATGGAGAACTGTAAGCAGAGTACACAGAATGTATGACTGTCTAGAGGCCCATCGGAATAACAAAGTATGGGTGTGCAGGAGTGGGAGAGTGCACTAAAGAGGGAGGTGTTTAGATTTTTGTCTCAAGAGCAATAAGGAGCTAGGGAGAGATTTTAAGAGAGGATAAATATGATTGTAAATGCAAGGGAATGGGCACATTGTTCCAATATGGTATTTCCTCCTGGTGATGGGAACTAAATTCATATTTATATGTTCCATCTTATGAGTAAGTACCTACACATAGCTAGGGACTATAATAAAATAAGACGCAGTCCACTGCAGTTACTGATGGAAACTCAAAGGAGGGGAAAGTGATCACTAATCTCCTTCCAATTGGTGATCCAAAGAGGAATGTTTCCTATCTGTATGACCATTGTATCTGACAATAGAACTAGGTTATTTTGCTGAGATCAGGGTTCCCTCTGACCACAGTGATCTCTCAAATCCTCTGATCAGACTTCTCTGCTATAATAAGGTGACAGGCAAAGGTGACATAATGAAAATTAGATAACATTAATTTAATGCTTACTATTTGCCAATGTTTATCATCATTAACATTGATTATCATATTAAATCTTTACAACTACCTTCTAAGAGAGGTACTTGTTTTCATCAGTTCAGGCTGCTGTAACAGAATACCATAAACTGGGTGGCTTATAAAAACACACATCAATTTCCCACAGTTCTGGAGACTGGAGAGTCCAAGATCGAGGTGCTGGCAGATTCACTGTCTAGTGAATGTTTCTTTTCTGTTTCATAGATGGAACCTTCTCCCTGTTTTCTCACATGGCAGAAGGGGCAAATGAGCTCTCTAGGGTCTCTTTTATAAGGCCACTAATCCCATTTTCAAGGTTCCACCCTTGCAAAGACCTCCACCTCCTAATGCCATCACATTAGGGGTTAGGATTTCAACATACAAATTTTAGAGAAATGTAAATGTTTAGTTTATAGCAGTATTCTTATTATTCTCCCATTTTACACATAGAAAGCTGAAGCTCAAAATAAGCAAGTTGTCAAGAACTGTGAAACAGCTAACAAGTGAGCCTGTCGCAGTTTCATGGATGCTGGCGGAAGACACAAGCTTCCTGGGTCAGAGATACAGAACAGTTTTTTAATCACAGTTATAGAAGTAGCCAGAGCATCAGTATTTCTTGCACCTTCCCCATAAGCTCCAATTCTCACAGGATGACACAAAGAGAGCCAAGTGACACCTTCATATGCAATTCCCCGTATTACAAGAGAGGATCTCTGAGCTTAGGAAACCCAAATGTTTTATAATTAACAGTAAGGCTGCTAGCTCTTTCCTCTAGAGGGAAACACTATCCTATAAACAACTTTAGACAGATAGACCTGAACAAGGAGCAGTCAGTGCCTTATTCATAAGATGTGCAGAAACACAAGAAACACATAACCTTTTCCAATATAAGGCATGTATCTAAGGTCATGAATGGCAAGATTGGACCCAAATTGGGATACTGTAGAGCCCACATGCTAACCACCAGGCTCTGCTTTCTCCCAAGCTCTCAGGGCACCTGAAAGATGAGGGTGGCTAAGAGAGGACTCATGCAAAGTCAGCGGCTCTCTGGGGCCATTGGTGTCTTGGGCTATGCATCTAACCTGCCTCTCATTACCCCAGGGGCAGAGGGTCTGCTGCAATTAGCAGGCCAGAGACAGGAGTTTGGGAGTGAACTGGGCTATGAAGGAATAGAAATTGAGACCCAGAAGAACGATGGCAAGGCATGGTGACAGGGAGCAGAGAGTGGGAGTGAAGACAGGGCTGGGAAACCCTTCTGCTGGAGTCCTTCCCCTACATCTCAGTCCGAGCTGCATGGCTTGTGGAAGGCCCCTGGGTTTGAAGGGTCAGGTCTGAGAAGACCACTGTGAAATACAGGTGAAATACAGCTGATTAAAGGTGAAAGACCTGTCAGGCAAAGAGCATCATAGGATCTGCAGGTTTGGGAACTGAGGGCACAGCCTGACCCTGGCTGTCCATTCCTTCAATGGGTGAAATCTCGGCTCTGGTGACACTGGGTGTGGGTACAGCTCAGGAGGACCTTTCAATGGCTGGGGCTCAGTGTTTAACAAAGTTCTAATCTAGGTTAGGGCTCAATGCTGAGGGCTCTTTGGAGTAAAATCATCTCTTTATTAATGAGATCCAACCCTATCTCTCTGATAGAAATGATGGGAAAAGGTGCCCCTTTGGTGCTATTCAAATGAAAGAGTGAGAACAGTGGGTGTTTTTAAAACTCTCTCCCTATCATAGGAGGATGGAGCTCATTAGTGAGGGGAATGATTTTGCTGGGGAAAGGCTGTTACAATAAGAAAACATAACCTACTCAAGATGAGCCAGATCCAAGTCAATTAGGCTGGGAAAAAGATGGTAGGGAGAGGGAGAGAGAGAGAGAGAGTGAGCTTCAAAAATACCACCTCTTTCCTTCCATTCATTTGAATAACAGCAAGGGGACACTTTAGTTTTTTAATCATTTTTTTAGTTGAATCACTCTGGATCTCATTAATATAGAAATGATTTCACTTAAAAGACCTGGTGTTAAATTCCTGTTCAACTGAGATTAACCAAATCAAACATGATTTGACCAAAAAAGAAAAGTCTAAAGTATTCTATCTATTGCTAATACATTACAATCTGACTTTAAACTTATAAAAAGGATACACATGATATTTTTCATTCAGCTCCTTTTGATGTATCTGGAATACATTTTCCTAGGTAAACTGGTATTGAAATTCACAATGAAATGTGGTTAGCCACTTGAAGTTACTGAAAAAGAAGGGATTCAAATAATTTACATATGTGTGAGAAGGGGATCTGGCACATAATGTAAACCATAGAGGAAGAATATCTTCCACTGGGGACATATTTTCCTGGACTATTCCAGGAATCTTCATTTCATTAACCTTGCCGGGCCACAATTACTTTATGCTGTCAGGTGAATACTCTGAATCTGAAAGTGGCTCAACCTCAGCACTATTGACATTTGGGGCCCAAATGCATGGAACCCTTTGCTGTGGGGCCTGTCCTGGGCATTACAGGATGTTTAGCAGTATCCCCGACCTCCACCCATTAGGTGCTAGTAGCAGCACCCACCCAATGTGACAACCAAAAATGTCTCCAGACTGCAAAATATCCTCAGGATTGGGGGCAAAACTGCTTCCCCACCCCCGGGGACATCACCCCCCGCCCCACCTCATTGATAACCATGCTTTGAAGGTCATCTTGGCAAGGAAGCTAGAAGCTAAAGGAAGCACAGTGCATAGAACAATACATGTGCCTGGGTGCAACTGATGGTCCTAACTTTGTTCCAGAAGTTCCTCTGGAGAACCTTGACTTGCCTCCTTGCCTCCAACCTGCATGCTGCTCTAGTTTGCTTTCTACTCTCCCTCCATGGTAATTTTACTAAAGGGCTCTTTTCACCTCACCTTTGCTGGGTACCTCTGGGCAGGAAGTGGGGGTGGCATTCTGAGGTCACTCACTCTCTGAAAAACAACCAGGTGTGGCAAAGAACAGAGCCTTTAAAAACAGCCATGGCAGAGTTGGAGTCTCGGCTCTTTCATTTCCTAGATAGAAAGTCTTAGACGAATGCTTAACCTGCTTGAGAGTAAATAAAGCTGTTACCACAGATATACCCAAGGCAAAGAGACAGAGAGAAAGAAGAGAAGTAGTCTAGCTTCTCCCTTCCACCTGCTGCCAGGTTGCTTGCCCAGGGCTGTCAATGGCCACATTCAGGTGGAAAGCAGCTGACCAGTGTAAAACCTGGAGAAGAACCAGCAAAAGTCAACCCTCCCAGAGAGAGAGCTCAATGAGGCCCAAGCGAGGACTGGGTCTGAACACAAAGTGGGCCTAGAACCAGTGCCAACATCCAACAACAGGGATATGTGCTCGTTTTACAATTTTGTCTTTTTATAGTGGTTTCCCTGACTCTTCTGAGTTATGAACTGCTGTTGATAGTTGAGTCCAATACACCATCAGGAACAAACCATGGTAGTCACAGCATTATTAGTTACTGGATGTTCTGAGCCAACTAGAACCAGAACCAGATTCAAGAGAGCCTTGGACACATCCTCGTATGATTCCACTGGAAGAGCTTCCTGGGATGGAGAAGGGACCCTGCTGACATAAGGCTCTAAGGCAGGGATGGGCAAACTTTCTCTGTACAGGGCTAGCTAGAAATACAAGGCTCTGCCAGCCATACTATAGCTGCTGCAACTACTCAGTTCTACTGTTGTAACGCAAAAGTAGCTGTAGACAGTACCCAACCAAATGGATGTAGTTCTGTTCCAATAAAACTTTATTTACAAAAACAATGGGCTGGACTTGGCCCGATGGATGTAGTATGGCCATCCCTGCTCTGTGGGGCTAAACAATGTAGTCCTACGGCTCCAAAGATAGCAGCTTAATTGGATTGTCTTGCTTGCATGAAATCACTTATTTGGAGCCATTATTTAAGGGAAGGTAAGTTCCAGTTTATAAAATACTTTTTGTTCAATGGTTTATGTTTAGTGTAAATGTAGAGTTATATTATTCACAGTTAAAAATACAGCACTGATCAGGAGATTATTAAAAATGATTTAAATGGAGAGACAGACCTAATTGCACAGGAAAAAAAATAATTTTCCACAGGGTATATACTTCTTCTCTTGTAGAAAAGCACGCCAGTTTCCTTGGCAAATTCACAGCCCGGCACTCCGACGTTCTTAGCATTCATGCACGCTACCAATGGATTTACAATTGCAAATCAGCCCTGTATGGGAGCTGGTGATATGTTAGACTGTGTTTATTACATCTCTTGTGTGCCTGTACATTCGTGTGATGCTCACTCTTTCTCCTCCCAGAACAATTAGCAATGGGTCGACCTCCTATTGTTGTATTAGCGTAGGGTCTGTAATGTGGGAAGGAACTGGGCTTCTTCTCACTCTCCCTCCACAGTATCCCCTGTCTTTCCAGCTAGCAAGCAGCTTTCTCTCACAGGAACACAAGAAGAGCAGCTTTCTTTTAGATCTGTCTCCACCTAGGATGTTTAAGGAGCTCTAAATCAGTGCACCATGCACCAGCTGGTCTGAGAAGGTACACGGAATCCACAGCCATGTTCCCATCTCTGCTTGCATAATGCCTGTCCTGCAGCTCCTCCCACACCCCTGCCAGCAATCAGCATTCAATTCCCTTTATCTCCTGTCCTCTGGGGCCCATCTCAGCTTTCCCTTTAAAGATTCAAGTTGGGTTGGCTGCCCTGACTTTGCCTTATTCAGGATGAGCGATACAGCTTGGAGGGTGGGGTGTGGGTTTTGGTCTCAGACAGATCCAGTTTCCAATCCCAGCTCACTGTGTGACTTTAGGCAAAATACGCTACCTCAGTTTCCTCATTAGTAAAATGGGAGTAATGACACCTGTTATAAGCTGAATTGTGCCCCTGCCTCTCAATTCATATGTTGAAGAAGATGACCTTAGAGTGTGCCTGTATTTGTAGATAGGGCCTTAAAGATGTAATTAGGTTAGAATGAGGTCCTCAGAGTGGGCCCTAGGTCAACCTCACTTGAAGACATGTGAGGACATGAAGACTTGAAAACCATGTGAAGACACAGACAAAAACACAGCCATCTACCACCCAAGGAGAGAGACCTCAGAAAAAAATCAACCTTGCTGACACCTTAATCTTGAACATTTAGACTTTGGAGCTACAAGAAAATCAATTTCCATTGTGTAAACCCCCCAGTCTGCTGTACCTTGTTATGAAGGTACCCTTATTATGAAGGTTCCCAATAAGATTCAGTTTCTAGGATCTTATTGGGTAGTTGTTGCCCACAAGCTCAAGATGTTTCCTGTTTCTCAGGAATTTTTCCCCCAGTTGTGACCACTTACCTTATAATGCCTGAGGAGCCCACCTGACAATCACAAGACAGTCATCTGGGAATCATCTGATCTTCTTCGGGGCCCTTTCTTGTCCTGCTCTTATCTGCCAATCTACCTATTATAACAGTGGGAAGCAGGACCAAGCATGGTAACTTTCACTCGTGTCCATGTGAAGAGACCACCAAACAGGCTTTGTGTGAGCAACAAGGCTGTTTATTTCACCTGGGTGCAGGCGGGCTGAGTCTGAAAAGAGAGTCAGCAAAGGGAGATAGGGGTGGGGCCATTTTATAGGATTTGGGTAGGTAAAGGAAAATTACAGTCAAAGGGGGTTGTTCTCTGGCGGGCAAGGGTGGGGGGGTCACAAGGTGCTCAGCGGGGGAGCTTTTGAGTCAGGATGAGCCAGGAGAAGGAATTTCACAAGGTAATGTCATCAGTTAAGGCAGGAACAGGTCATTTTCACTTCTTTTGTGGTGGAATGTCATCAGTTAAGGCAGGAACCAGCCATCTGGATGTGTATGTGCAGGTCACAGGAGATATGATGGCTTAGCTTGGGCTCAGAGGCCTGACATTCCTGTCTTCTTATATTAATAAGAAAAATAAAATGAAATAGTTGTAAAGTGTTGGGGTAGCGAAAATTTTTTGGGGGTGGTATGGAGAGATAATGGGAGATGTTTCTCAGGGCTGCTTCAAGCGGGATTAGGGGTGATGTGGGAACCTAGAGTGGGAGAGATTAAGCTGAAGGAAGATTTTGTGGTAAGGGATGATATTGTGGGGTTGTTAGAAGAAACATTTGTTGTATAGCATTATTGTCGATGGCTTGGATACAGTTTTGTATGAATTGAAAAACTAAAAGGAATAAGAGAAGGAGAAAAACAGGTATTAAAGGACTAAGAATTGGGAGGACTCAGGACATCCAAACAGTAAGTGCCTAAGGAGGTTCAGCATAGCCCTGCCAGCAAAGATTATTTATTTACTTTAAGAGTGGCGGTTTGGGGAGAGCACCAGAAGATATCAGCTGTGATGGCTTGGAGAAACAGTGTAAACTGGCAGTGTAAACAAGAGCAGGGCATTTATGAGTAGTTGAGAATGGGAGAATGGTGAATAGGAGTATGACTAGACAGAAGATAGTACGGATGACAAGTTTTTTGGGGTGCAGTCTAAGTTGGTCTGGTGTCTGGAATGAGACTGGGGCCTAATAAAAAGGAGCATCCATACAGGAGCTCAAATGGGCTGTACCCTGCAGCACTCCAAGGACAGGCTGGAATTCTGAGAAGGGAAAGTGGTAAAAGTATTGTTTAGTCCTTTTTAAGTTCGTGGCTGAGCTCGGTGAGGTGTGTTTTTAAAAGACCATTAGTTCACTGAATACCAAGAACCTGAGAAACTGCTTGGGTGATTTGACTAATAAAAGCTGGTCCGTTATCAGACTGTATAGAGGTGGGAAGGCCAAACCGAGGAATTATGTCTGACAGAAGGGAGGAAATGACCGCGGTGGCCTTCTCAGACCCTGTGGGAAAGGCCTCTACCTATCCAGTGAAAGTGTCTACCTAGACCAAGAGGTATTTTAGTTTCCTGACTTGAGGCATGTGAGTAAAGTCAATTTTCCAGTCCTGGGCAGGGACAAATCCCCGAGCTTGCTGTGTAGGGAAGGGAGGGGGCCTGAGAAATTCTTGAGGAGTAGTAGAATAGCAGATGGAACACTGATTTCCTTGAGGATAGATTTCCACGATGGAAAGGAAATGAGAGGTTCTAAGAGGCAGGCTAGTGGCTTGTAACCTACATGGAAGAGGTTATGAAATGACGACAGAATAGAATTGGCCTGTGAGGCTGGAAGGAGATATTTTCCTTGGTCCAAGAACCATTTGCCTTGTGTGGGAAGAGATTGATGGTGGAAGTTTCAGTGGGGAAGTAAGTGGGAGTGGCCAGATGAGAAGGAGAAAAACTGCCGTGAGGGATAGAAGTTGGAATGCTAGCTGCTTTTTTAGCTACCTTATCAGCATAAGCATTGTCTCGAGCAATGGGATCTGATGCCTTTTGCTGGCCTTTGCAGTGAATGACTCCAGCTTCCTTTAGAAGTAAAGTGGCTTTGAGAAGCATTTTTATTAAAGAGGCATTAATGATGGAGGACACTTGCATAGTAAGGAAATTTTTTTCAGCCCATATAAAAGCATGGTGGTGCAGGATATGGAAGGCATGTTTAGAGTCAGTATAAATATTGATGTGTAGTCCCTTTGCAAGAGTGAGGGCCCAAGTTAAGGCAACGAGTTCAGCTTGCTGAGAGGTAGTGGAGGGGGGCATAGTGATAGCCTCAATGATAGGTGTGGAAGATACTATAGCATAGCCTGCCTTTGCTGGTGAGTGGTGATTAGGCCTGGTGGAACTGCCGTCAATAAACCAAGTGTGTTCAGGGCGAGGAACAGGAAAGAAGGAAATATGGGGAAATGGGGTGAATGTCAGGTGGATCAGAGAGATACAGTCACAGGGGTCATGTGTGGTATCCAGAATAATGTGGGAGGATGGATAGAAGTCCAGTCCAGGAACAATGGTAACTGTGGGAGACTCAACAAAGAGTGAGTATAGCTGAAGGAGCCGGGGAGCAGAAAGTATTATGTCAGGTGTGAGGAAGAAAATAGATTTTGGAAGTTATGACAACTGTAGAGAGTGAGTTGAGCATAGTTTGTGATTTTTAGGGCCTCTAAAAGTATTAAAGCAGTGGCAGCCAATGCACGCAGACACTACGGCTAGGCTAAAACAGTAAGGTCAAATTGTTTGGATAAAAAGGCTACAGGGCACGGTCCCGGCTCTTGTGTAAGAACTCTGGCTTGACTGAAGTAATGGTGGCTGTCTGTGAAGCCTTGCGGCAGTACAGCCCAGGTAATTTGCTGAGCCTGATGGGTGTCAGGGTCAGTCCAAGTGAAAGCGAAGAGAGACTGGGATGAAGGGTGCAAAGGAATAGTAAAGAAAGCATGTTTGAGATCCAGAACAGAATAATGGGTTGTGGAGGGAGGTATTGAGGATAGTAGAATATATGGGTTTGGCACCATGGGGTGGATAGGCAAAACAATTTGATTGATAAGGCACAGATCCTGAACTAATATGTAAGGCTTGTCTGCTTTTAGGACAGGTAAAATGGGGGAATTGTAAGGAGAGTTTATAGGCTTTAAAAGGCCATGCTGTAACAGGCAAGTGATAACAGGCTTTAATCCTTTTAAAGCATGCCGTGGGATTGAATATTGGTATTGAGCTGGATAAGGGTGATTAGGTTTTAATGGGATGGTAAGGGGTGCATGATCGGTCGCCAAGGAGGGAGTAGAGGTGTCCTGTACTTGTGAATTAAGGTGGGGAGATATGAAGGGAGGATGTGAGGGAGGCTTTGAACTGGGGAGAAGGGAGGCAGTGAGGTGTGGCTGTAGCCAAGGAATAGTCAGGGAAGCAGACAATTTGATTAAAATGTCTCAGCCTAATAAGGGAATTGGGCAGGTGGGGATAACTAAAAAAGAGTGCATAAAAGAATGTTGTCCAAGTTGGCACCAGAGTTGGGGAGTTTTAAGAGGTTTAGAAGCCTGGCCATCAATACCCACAACAGTTATGGAGGCAAGGGAAACAGGCAGTTGAAAAGAAAGTAATGTGGAGTGGATAGCCTCCATATTGATTAAGAAGGGGATGGACTTACCCTCCACTGTAAAAGTTACCCAAAGCTCGGCGTCCTTTATGATCCAGGGGCTTCCGAGGCGATCAGGTAGCGTCAGTCTTCAGCCGCTAAGCCGAGAAGATCTGGGAAGGAGTCAGTCAGAGAGCCTTGGGCCAGAGTTCCAGGGGCTCTAGAAGTGGCTACCAGGTGAGTTGAACAGTCCGATTTTCAGTGGGGTCCGGCAGAGATGGGACACGGCTTAGGAGGAATCCCAGACTTTGGGCATTCCTTGGCCCAGTGGCCAGATTTCCTGCACTTGTAGCAAGCTCCTAGGGGATGAAGTTCTGGAGGAGCCCCTGGCAGCTGCGGTTCAGGCATTTGGAGTTCTTGTGTGCTGGAGATGTGGCTGGGGTTTGTCTCACAGTGGAGGCAAGGAATTGCAACTCAGAAATACATTGCTACTTGGCTGCCTCTACTCTATTATTGTACACCTTGAAGGCGAGGTTAATTAAGTCCTGTTGTGGGGTTTGAGGGCTGGAATGTAATTTTTGGAGTTTTATTTAATGTCAGGAGCAGATTGGGTAATAAAATGTATATCAAGAATAAGACGGCCTTTTGACCTTTTAGGGTCTAGGGCTGTAAAGTGTCTCAGGGTTGCTGCCAAATGAGCCATGAACTGGGCTGGGTTTTTCATATTTGATGAAAAACAGCCTAAAAGCTAACTGATTTGGGAGAGGTCGGATAAAGAAAAAGGAGCATTCACCTTGACTATGCCTTTAGCTCCAGCCACCTTTTTAAGAGGAAATTGCTGGGCAGGTAGGGGAGGGCTAGTCACGGAACAAAACTAAAAGCAGGACTGGGTGTGAGGAGGGGAGGTGATAAAAGGATTATAGGGTAGGGGAGCGGAGGCTGAGGAAGAATTGGGACCTAGCTCAGCCTGGCGAGGAGCAGCTGGGGAGGAGGAGAGAGGTCAGATGGGTCTGTAGTAAAGATTAGCAAGACTCAGCGATGCTTGGGGTCAGGACTGAGGGGAAAGGCAGGAGGGAAAGAAGGAAGATTTGAGATGAGTTGCATTGGGAACAGAGACTAGGGAGGGACCGATGTGTAAAAGAATGCCTAGACGTCAGGCACCTCAGGCCATTTGCCTATTTTATGACAAGAATTATCTAGATTTTGTAGGATGGAAAAATCAAAAGTGCTGTTTTCTGGCTATTTGAAACCACTGTTGAGTTTGTATTGGGGTCAAGTGGTGTTGCAGAAGAAAATAAGACACTTAGATTTTAGGTCAGGCGAGAGGTGAAGAGGTTTTAACTTCTTGAGAACAGAGGCTAAGGGAGAAGAGGGAGGAATAGAGGGTGGAAGTTTGCCTATAGTGAAAGAGGCAAGTTTAAAAAGAAGGGTAGAGACACGGAGAAGGGGGTGGGGAGCAGCCCTGGGCTGCAATGTGGGTGAGCAGCCAAAGCAGGCATCCCCGCAACTGACTTGCCACCAAGGGAATGTAGGTGAATGATCAAGGCAGGCGTCCTCACGGAGATCAGACACCAATGGAATGTGGGTGAATAATCAGAGAGGTGTCCCCGCAATGATTAAACACAAAGGGAAGGCTGCCTTCCTGAGTCAGTGACCGGCACCGGAGTTTTGGGTCCATAGATAAAATGCATCTCCTTTGTCTCTACCAGAAAATGAAAGGAATTGAAATTAACGGAAGAGAGAGATTGAAGTGTGGCGCCAAGATTGAAAGGAGAAAGAGGTTGAGGGATAGTGAGAGGGGCTGGAGAAGACAGTAAAGAGAGGCTGCTTACCGGGTTTAAAATTGGTGAGATGTTCTTTAGGCTGGTCGGTCTGAGCACCAGAGGTCGTAGGTGGATCTTTCTCATGGAGTAAAAAGCAGGAGGACAGGGGAGTGATCTCCTAAGGGAGGTCCTCCAATACAAGTCACAGCACCAAATTTCACTTGTGTCCGTGTGAAGAGACCACCAAACAGGCTTTGTGTGAGCAACAAGGCTGTTTATTTCACCTGGGTACAGGCAGGCTGAGTCCAAAAAGAGAGTCAGCAAAGGGAGATAGGGGTGGGGCCATTTTATAGGATTTGGGTAGGTAAAGGAAGATTACAGTCAAAGGGGGTTGTTCTCTGGCGGGCAGGGGCGGGGATCACAAGGTGCTCAGCGGGGGAGCTTTTGAGTCAGGATGAGCCAGGAGAAGGAATTTCACAAGGTAATGTCATCAGTTAAGGCAGGAACCAGCCATCTGGATGTGTATGTGCAAGTCCCAGTGATATGATGGCTTAGCTTGGGTTCAGAGGCCTGACAGTAACCTGCTCACAAAGTGGTCAGGCCCACCAGAGACAGCACACTTGTCACCCAAAAAACTGGGGTTGGTTTGCCTGGCGAGTAACAAAGACTCCATGAGAAGGCAGAATTGATGGAGTTTTATTACTTGGCCCAAAGTAGAAGGACAGTGGGAGTATTGTTTAAAGCAGTGTCTCACCTAGGGAAACTGACAGGAGGATCTCATGGGATGATGGGGAGGGGAGAAAGTGCAGCATCAAATGTAGAGCAGGATTCCAAGTTGGGCAGAGGCAGTGGGTCATCATGCCAGCATACGGGTCACATGTTATGGTAATGAAGCTGTCTTAGTCCATTCTTATGCTGCTAATAAAGACATACCTGAGACTGCATAATTTATAAAAGAAAGATGTTTAATTGACTGACAGTTCTGCATGACTTGGGAGGCCTCAGGAAACTTACAATCATGGCAGAAGGGGAAACAAACACGTTCTTCTTCACATGGCAGCAAGGAGAATGAGTGCCCAGTGAAGGGGGAAGACCCTTATAAAACCATCAAATTTCATAAGAACTAACTCACTATCATGAGAAAAGGATGGGGGAAACTGCTCCCATGATTCAAGTATCTCCACCTGGTCCCTCTCAAGACACATAAGGATTGTGGGAACTACAATTTAACATGAGATTTGGGTGGGGACACAGCCAAACCATATCAGAAGCTATAGCTCTTCCAGGGGTAGATACTTTATTATGGTCACAAGGAAACCTTATTCAGGTTCATCTATAAGCTGCCAGGGTCTGTCAGGAGCTGGTTCCAACTAACAAGGTGACCACATTCCACACAGGCTTTTGGAAAAACAGGCTGCAGGGCAGAAGGTTGTAAAACAGGATGATGGCTTAAGTTGATTAACTTCCTATAATCCCTGGAGACCCTCCCTCTCTGCTTACACACTCACTTCTGGCAACATAGCCTTCAAGAATTGAGCAGATTCCACTGTTAGAGAGTTCTTCGTTAGTCTACACTACACTGATTTCCTGCACCTCCCTTCTATGGCTCCTATTTAACCTTCAAAGACTTAGAAAACAAATGATATCATTGATCATAAGTGCTTCTGAGTCTGAGTTTATCTTCTTGAGGCTAAATGAGACCAGATCTTTAACTGATTCTTATGTGGTATGATTTTAAATCCCTCTGCCTCTCTCTTTGATGTCTCTGAATGACTTGGCCTTTCTATTTAAACAGTCCATGTAGCAAGGGTGACCAAGACAACCATAATCCCATACTTGCGTTTACTCTTTGTGCTCAGGATGACTCTTTCTGTGGGGTTTTTTGCACTTACGTATCAGACCTCACGAAGTTCATCAAGATAGAAAAGACACTCCTTAATTAGGTTAATATTTTATTTATGTTGCATTCAGCCCCTGGTCATGTCTGACAGAAGTTCTATTTACAATCTCACCAAATACCACAGAGTCAATCAACAGGACATAAATTTACTTTTCCAAAAGATGCTATTTGAACGAGATTTACATGTAAAAGTTTGTGTTTGCATTTCTTTGCAGCCTCCCTTCCTGATTCATTCTCTCAGGATGACCCTCTACAAGAATATCAGCTTACACAAGCTTCCCCAAGGTTTCAGGATGTTACTTTTTCTGCCCCTTCTGTGCAGATTAATAGTCTTAAAAAAAATAAGAAGCAGCGTGTCTGGAAAATGACTGAACCAGAAGTCAGACAACTCATTATTGCAAAACTACAACTACTACTTATCCTCCTAAAAGGAATAATGGCATAGTATGAATGAGAGCCAGAATTTAGGAAGGCTCTACTAAGTGTTTGACACCATTAAACCCTTTATATTTCCTACCTCCAACCACCAAAACAACCTCATTGGGATAGATGATGATTTGCTTCTCTATGAAGCATATTCATAAAGCAGGAATGAGTAAATAGGAAAGCTGTGTGTGTAAGGCACAAGAGAGAATTGGTTCATGTGAGATTTAATTTTCTCTCTGTATTAGATTTTACACAGTGAGTAACAGCAGCTAAAAAAGTGCACTAGTCCAGTGGGTCACAGCAAGCTGGTGAAGAGAACAGTCCTGTACTGATGCTTGCTCTCACCCTGGTGTTTGTCTTGACTCAGTTTCCGCATATGCTCTTTCTTGGAAGGGCTTATGTCCAGGTTCTCCCCAATCTTGAAACATTTTGTCCTTATCTCAATTCAGCAGCCATAATCTTTCCTTACACCTGCTTTCATGAGGAACTTTCTCTGTGTGTTACAGGTAATGAACTAAAGTTACTGTAGAATGCTTTTATTAACATTTAACACCTTTCTTTAAATGGCACTATCATTTTTGTTCATATTTTTAGGGGGTTGGCGGCAATGTTACCTACCTTTTGAGTTGTTAGGTCTCCGTGTTGTTTCTGCCATAAGCCCTGTTATTTTTGGTGTGTGATTTTGCAGAATGCAAGCGTTTTCAGGAGTGCATATATCATGTCATAGCAGGAAGCTATTCAGTGAGGACACTGCTGCTCTCAGAGGTCAGGGAACATCACAGGACCACACAGCTGGGAAGTTCTTTGGGCTTGATCTAAGCCAGGTACTTCTATGTGTCCATGCCGTCTCTGCAACCCTCATGGCCAGGGTCATCCAATGGTGTTGTTACTTTTTTATGCCCTATGTCCTCAGGCAAGAAGACATTTATCATACTGAATTTATAAAACAGTAGCCAGTACTTCCATTTCCCTGAAGCCTCAAACCAAATTATGAAAGAAAAAGAATTATGTAAAAATAAATACTTTAATAGTAATATAAATAAAATTCAGACAGAATGCAATACCTTGTAACTTATCTCTTCCTAGATGCTTAGTTTATGGGAAACATTGTGTAAAATATGCTGTGGGCAGAGCCTAGTACATAATAGATGCTCAGTAAAATAGTATTATAACTAACATTTGAATCTAAGAGACTCTACTGATACTTAATACTTGAAATAGGAAGTAAATCAACAGTATTCCTCAGTGTCCCCCAGATTCTGTCTTGGCTAACCCAGTGAAAACTGCTTTCTTCAACACACATACACTCACACACACACATACATATACACACACTTATTTACTTATATTAATGCTAAAAATTATCGATATAAACCTCCCCTGATTACTGTGACCCTGCTTTGTGAATGACACAAAATAAGCCTCAACCTTTGCATTGGTACCTCCTAAATTAAGAGGCATTTTTTAGTCTTAGAGGAGAATGTGTCTTAAATGTCTTAAAATGTGTAGCTTATGTTTGCCTGTTTTTGCATGTTACCTGTAAATGAATGACTGTATATATTTTCTCCCCTGTCTAGTGCTTCAAACCTCACACATGAAGCCAAATGTGACTTTCTGTGTGAATGGACATGTGCCTCGAGATTACGATCCAGTGAAAAGAAGCAGGACTTCTGGACAGAAGGACTCACAAGCAGCGTGGGACCAGCTGTTGGTTGCTGGGGCCAAATCCTGCTTTCAATTTTTGCCAGCTTTTCTGCCTGGGGTACATTCTATCCCATCCTTTCTCAAAGCCTCAGTTTCCTTGCCTCAACACAGAGACTCATTGTCTCTTCCCTGCAGCAATTTTTGTGGATTAAGTGAATGAAAGGACGTGAATTAAAGAACATTAAAGGATGTTCTTTGGGCTATGGAGGGCTATTGGAACATAAGGGATGAGGGTGAGAATGAGATAAACAATCATTATGTAGAGTCATCTCCCCATGCCATGGGCACGTGTGATGTGGTTTCAAGGCATCATCATGTAGTCACTTGTTGGTATGTGCTGGAAGGGAGTGCTGTCACCTGCTTCTGTGTGAGCATGTGTTAGGTATAGCGTTATTCTTTACAAGTGACATGGACACATGTCCATGCAAGGAAATTAATGTTCTCATCACAACTGACTCCTCTGGCAGGAACAAGTGGTTCACATGCCAGCAAGAACAGAGATGGCAGAGAGGGGTCACAACAGGGGGTGACGTGATCTCCATGGAACTACGAATCTATCTCAGCACCACGTTTCAGTCAAGAGAAACACGATGAATCTCTCTTGCTCCACAGTGACCCAGGAAGGCAGGGAAAATCCACCAGTGAAGGTGGCAAACATTCCAAATCCAAGGATGCGTCCAAAGATATGCCCCATCCTCTAAGTCCTCTGGGGACTGCTTTCATACTGGCAGGTCAAGTTAATAAACTCTTTGGAGTCTTTGCAAGGGTTCATGAGAAAAATGACTGTGGAGCATCCCAGGCCACATCTTGGGTGCTTGACATAATGGTGACCCTGTCAAAGTTACATGTCTCCACCGCCAGACACCTCCCTTCCTTTCCAAAAGCCCCTCCTCTCTTCCCCGTTCATCCTTTCTCAGCCTACTCAGCATTGACTGGGCCTTGGGAAGTCCCTACCTCTCATAACCTTGAGGCTCATTAAATAGGACCCAGTTGGTGGGTCAGAATGCCTCGTCCTGTTAATCAGGAAGACAACAACTGTTTATTGTCAGGCTACTATATTAGGTGTTGATAGAGTCGATGAGTAGGTATTAGCATTGTTATTTTACAGGTAAGAAAACAAGGGCTCAAGGCAAAGTCAAGGTTAAGGCTCAGGTCACAAATGAATTCTTTATGACTGTATTTAGTATTTATATATGAGTATCCACCACGTGCTGACACCTGTGCTGGGTGCTGGGGAGTCAGCAGTCTCCATGCTGGTGGTGCCACACCCCAATGGAGCTGGCTTTCAAATTGTCCTTGAAGTGCTCCACAGGCACCACGGTCAACACATTCTGTCTCCCATGGGTAATATTTGCTTCAAACCGGCACCATCTGGTTGTCCAGGAAGTTCTCCAGGAAAAGTAACTCTTATAAGAACACTAACCAGCATCTGACTTAATCCAAGGCTTATGAAATATTAGAGTTGGAAGGAGCCTTAGAAGTAATTTAATCCACTGTTTTGTGTTGGTTCTCCCAAACTATCCTACTCTGAACCACTGGGGTTTCTTGGAAGCCCTCGGGCATCTTGAAAGCAAGTGATAGTGGTGCTACAAGGTAGGGAGCTGGGCCAAGAGCAAACCCCACCTCAGACACATCCTCACATGCACAGCCCCCACTTCAAAGAGAAGAGTCCTACTGTTATGTGGCTCTCAGGTTAGTCTTCCAGGATTGCCTTCTTTTGAACCAGCCTTCTCTACCTTTCTACCTTCTCTACCTTCTACCTTCTGTACTCTTACACACCCTGAAAAAAGTTCGACACCACTGATCTAACCCCACCCTTTTTTGGACTGATGACTCAGCTGAGGCCAGAGTTTTTATATGGCCCTCCCCAGGCTATACAGTGGGTTCACTGTAGAGCTGGGGTCCTCATCCCCTGACAGCTGTGTTTCCACTGCAGAGCATGACCTGTCATCAGTGAAAGCTTAAAGAGCAATTACGAATCCTCAAGTCATATCATAGAGCTCACAGTGGCCTTCCCCAGGCCCAGAGGGCCAGGGCATCTCATTCCATCAGCCACTTGGCCAGGCACAATAGTTCAATGGCAGAGAGAACTGGTAGAACAATAGACTCTGTCAAATAAATGAAGTGGAGATGGATTTCATGAGATAATGACCTTATTCTCCTTGGGAAGATTAAAAAAGTGCCTAAAAAGCTTGGCTGCAGACCCAGAGGCTCAATGTTATTTCATTTCAATGTCTTGTCCACACCGTGTGTCATTCCAGGCCACTGAATGAGCTCAACAATCGTTTATGTTTCCAAGAATCTCAGTGTCTACTGGAGCAAACAGGCTTGTCAAAAGAAGACACTGAAGAGGAGAGGTTAAGTCTTTGGGGAAAGGGAGCTGGGAGATCTTTATAGAAGGGGAGTATCTCCACTGGGTTATGTTAGAATAAGGGGAAGCTAAATGAAATACACACACAAATGCACACAATCAGTAAACTTTGTTGTTCTTTGTTCGTTGAGTCTTTGCATCTGCAAAATTGGTTTGGAAATTGCAAAACCACAGGGACCGAGCATGCAAAACCATGGAGACTAAGCATGCAACCCCACAATCAGCCTATGGATTCATTCTTCATGGATGATCAGATGGTGTGGCTTTCACAATTTTTAGTAGCAAGTACCAAAGCCCTTCCTTTCTTGTTGTGAATCTAACTGGGGCTTTCTATGTGCCCCCAAAAATCTTAGTCTCTTATGGGGAGGTGGAACCTAAAGAAAGCAGATGTCTTTTTTTGAGCCAGCAGTTTCTTGGACAAGGTGAGAGTTTGTCCCAGGGAGCTGAATGTTCCAAGGAGACTGCATTCATCACCCACCCCTCTGAAACCAGAGCTGTTTGTCTTGAGTCAGCATTATATGGCTGTGCTTGCTATACAGTTTTGCTTTAAATAATAGTTCTAGCATTAAAAATAATTTAACATTTTGAAATTGCAAAATTATCTCCTCACAGCATTTGACTTTGCATTCAACAATGTTCAGGCATTTACCAAATGCCAATAATTGCCACTTCATTACTTCCTTAATTCTTGCTCCATCTCTGGGGCTCAGACAAAATCCATCCTTTTATCAGAGTTGGAGACTGGGGCTCCTAGAGGAAATGGTTTCATTGATGAATCTCAACATCACAAGTGAGAGACCCCAAACCCCAAATCTTTGATTCAGAAGTCCCTGGCCATGCCACTCTGCCATTAAAACAAACAAGCAAAATCCCAAGGAAGCAGTATATCTCAAACAAATATGTAGCATCCCAAAGTGGCTGTGTTGAAGGGTGGTAGATATTTAGATGGCCAGGTATTAAAGTGTTCATTAAAAATTATTAACTGTTATATTATTGTATAGTCTCAGGATGTGCATATTTCTTTTGAACCAAAAGAAATCAAAGCATTTGAACCAAAAGCATAGAAGGGAAAGAATGATACAACTCTAGTACATAAAAAAAGAAAAAAGAAAAAAGACAAGAAAAATTCTCCACAATCTTTCTAAGGAGAGCCTACCCTGGACCCCATAATGGAGAATGTCTTCCTGGGGAGGCATTGTCTGGCTCCAGCTAAAGCAAGCAGCCTTGTTCTTCCAGAGAAGTCTCCATCAAAGAAGAATGCCCTGAATGAACAGAGTATCCCAATGTGGTCTCTGGGAGGGACAAGACAGTGCTGCTAGAGGAAATCTAATGGATGCTCAAGACCATGACAGGGAGGCACATACAAAAGCACCATCTGCCAAAGTCACCTGTCTTAGGGCAGCGTGTGTGTGTCTGTGTGTGTGTGTGTGTGTGTGTGTGTGTGGTCTTTTTAACCATTTTCATCCAAGACCTTGGTGGGTCATCTGCCAAGTGACATTGATGGCACCAGTCATGGCCTCTCATCTCCTACCCCACTTCACTCCCACATATCCAATGAGTCTAGGCTTAAACATCACTTCCACTGGTAAGCCTTCACTCTCTCTCTAGATGAGCCTCGACATTCCTCTTGGAATTTTTCATCATCCAAGATGGGGGCATTAAAAAAAGAAGTTTTCAGCCAGGCATGGTGGGCGCGGTGCAACGCCTGTAATCCCAGCACTTTGGGAAGCCGAGGTGGGCAGATCACAAGGTCAGGAGCTCGAGACCAGCCTGGCCAACATGGTGAAACCCCATCTCTACTAAAGATACAAAAACAAATTAGCCGGGCCTGGTGGTACGAGCCTGTGACCCCAGCTACTCCAGAAGCTGAGGCCAGAGAATCGCTTGAACCTGGGAGGTGGAGGTTGCAGTGAGCCAAGATCGCTCTATTGCACACTAGGCTGGGTGACAGGGTGAGATTCCATCTCAAAAAAAATAAAAAGTTTTCATATTACCCTGTTCTCCCCCAATCATTGGACTTGATGCAATGCAATGTAATTGCCTGGTTTCTGGTCTGCATGTTACTTGCTCCACCACTTACTGTGAAATTATACGTTTTTAATGACAAAAATATTGTGCCATATTAAATAAGAAATCCACAGACTTCCCCACAGTGTATATAATAATCAGTTGGTAAAAGTAATTCAATGATTTTACTTAGTGAATAAGTAGACATCAGGTAAACAGGACGATCTGGAATATTTTAGCATCTTAGGGATGGACCTGGGAAAAAGGCCATGGTAAAGAGCACAGTGTTTTCATTAACCTTGCATTATGTATATATTAATATTACACATTTTCTGCAGGTGAGAAAGAGAGAGATAGGTGGACCCTGACTTCTCTCCCATCATTAGCATGTCCGTGCTCATAAACCCTGCTCAGATTATCAGTACCTTCTTTCCTTGTTGAGGAGTTTCTCTGGCCATCAGAACCCACTTGGACCATGTGGGCAGAGGACCAGAGGGCCTGGGGCTGCCCCTTCAGCAGCACCCACCCACATCTATAGCCATTGGGGAATCCATACCCCACCTCCCTTGCCACCTCTGTGGGATCTTAGATGGATTAAGCTCCTGTTGCCTTGGTGGTAAACAGCTTGTTAACACGCTCTTCTCTAACTCACTTCCTCATTCTCCTACAGGTATTTTTGGGTTCATGACCGATATAGTTTGAATATGTGTCCCCTCTGAATGTCATGTTAAAATGTGACCTCCAGTGTTAGCAGTGAGGCCTAGTGGGAGGTGTTTGGGTAATGGGGGTGGATTCCTTATGAATGGCTTGGTGCCATCCCTATAGTGATGAGGGAGTTCTCACTCTGGTAGTTCACACAAGAGCTGGTTGTTTAAAGAACCCGGCACCTCCCCTTTCTCTTGCTTGTATCTTCTCACCATGTGATACATCGGCTTCTCTTTGCTTCCTGCCATAAGTGGAAGCTTCCTGAGGCCTCACCAGAAGCAGATGCTGGTACCATGCTTCTTGTACAGCCTGCATAACTGTAAGCCAAAATAAACCTCTTTTCTTTATAAATTATTTTGCCTCAGGCCTTCATTCATAGCAATGCAAACAGACCAACACATGGCCCAACTAAACCATCTTTGTATTAATGTTTTTTCTCTAAGCACAGACGAAAACAAAGAAGTCATGCTGGCTGTGTGAAGCTCCATACTCCATGATTTAAGTCCTGAGCTTGTCCTGAGGGCTAAGTGGCAGCTTACAGGGAGACATGGTCAGAGTTGCCTTCTAGAAAGTTGGCACTGGTCACTGCATGGAGTAGACAGAGCAAATGTGCGGTAAGGGTGATGAATTAGAAAGCTGGATTTACAATCCAAGGGACCCACAACCTGGCCTGCCCTTCTAAATGAGGCTTTTCTTTAGAAGATGCCAGTTCCTCACCTCACCGTGAGATATCACACACAGGAATGCCGTCCAGCTTGGACGTGAAGGCATCCCTCCAGCACTTCTTAAGAAATGTGCCCCATCACCCCTTGCCTGAAAAGAGACAATCTCTGTGTTATTTGAGAGGATAAGCAGTGTGGTAGCTCAACTTCTTTCTGCCTGCTCCAAACTGCATTCTCAGTGCTTCTTAGCAAATAAAAGGGGGCCTTTTGAATGTGAATAATTGGGGAAAAAAATAAGCAAAATATTCAAAAAATGCCAAGTCCTTCCCCTGAGAATCAGGTCAAGGGCCATCTCCCTCTGCCCCTATTTAAATCTTGACCATGTAGCAATGTCTATTACTGCCCCTGTGGACCTTGAACACCAACTAGTGAAGCCATGAAACAAGTTGGGGAAATGAAGACAGGCACAATCAATGGGAACTTAATTACCTTCCTCATATGAACTTGCCTGCCTCCCTCACAATGCATTTAAACTCAGAGGAGGAAAACATGCAGTGTCAACTTACTGCTCCTGACAATCATCAGACAATGGAAGCCTCAGCCTCCAAAAACCAAACCATAAAGGGCACTTCCAAGAGTAGCTGAAGACTGGACATGGTCATGCCTCCAAGTAGGCACATGCTGCCTTGGCCAAAAGGGCTCCCTGCCCCAAAGTGATGCCAGATCTTTCCTCAAAGAGAGTTTCTTCTACGGCAGTACCACTCTTTCTTCTCTAAGTACCTGCTCATTGTAAGCAGAGAGAAGATGAGATGACAGATGTTTTGTCCTTGTAGATTACAGGGACAAACTTGCTTGTAGTCTACTGCTTTGGCCCTGTAGACTACACTGATGCTTTTAACGTTCCAAATAGCCTGAGTATTCACAAATTACCAGTCTGAGAGTTTGAGAGGTTAACTAATAGACTCAGGCTTATTCAACCACTAAGAAACAATGAGACACTGCCCATCTCCAAAGCAATTTTTCCAACTGATTTCAGGCATTCTGTGATGACAGAGAGAAATTCACTTGGAGGACCACAGTTTATGGCTTATTGAAATGTTCTTATTTCAGTACTGTATTACTTAAAATGACCTACGCAAGCCTTGACTTTTGATCAAACAGGCCAACCCATTCTCTGAGGAAATTGGAGGATCTGAGTTGGGCTTTTGATGGGTCTGAGCTTGAATTCCACGTTTTGGTGAAAGCTCCTCTGGTTGCATGTAGAGAGAACCACTTCAGTGAATTTCTACAAAAGCATACACTTGAAGGACGGCGAATTATCTTACGCAATCAAAGACAGAAAGTGTCAGATAGCCATGTAAGAGACTGGAAACAGGTTGAAAAGCTGTTGAGAAGCCAGAAGGCTCCCCTCCTGACTTGACCCCACTTGGCAAATGGGCTCTATTCATCCCTCTCTCTGCAGCTAAATCTTCAGACAAGTGCATAACAGGCAGGACAGTCGTGAAGCTCCTAAGGTACACGGTACCAATCCAAGCACCCTGCCCTGAGCGAACAGCACTTCTCAACCCCTTGTACAAACTCTCTTTTCCATAGATTGTAGACTTTAACTTCACGACAAGATGACTTATGAAGCACATATTAATACCATCCTTCCTGCTCTGAACACATGGAAATGTTAGGTGACGTAAAAATTATCAAACATGTATTTAGCTGTGGTTCAAAGCAAGCAAGAAGATATGCAGGGACCAGTCATGTAGAAGAAACTCAGGATTCTGAGTATATGGCCCAAACGGGGGGCTCTGGACCAGACATGTGGAGCCATGGAAACCACTCCTTTACCTGCAGGTATAAGAGTTGCCTTCTAGAAAGCTGGCACTGGACACTGCGTAGAGTGGACAGAGAAATCATGGAGTAAGGGAGATGAATTAGAAAGCTGGAGTTAGAGTCCAAGGGACATAAGCCCAAGAACAAAAAGCAGAGGACCAGGGCAATAAGCATGAAGCCATGAGTCTTTTGTATGTTGACTCTCTGTGAACTGGAACTAGAAAATCTTAACCTCCTGTCCAGAAGCTTGCTGCCGACCCAAAGCCTTGGTGAAAAAGATGACAAACCAAGAAGTGCACAGCAGTAGGTTCAGATTTCAATTAGAGTAACTCATGAAATACAGAAACCCCAACCCAAGGCCCCCGAAATTCATTCACAGCCAGTGAACTCTGCATCGTCTAAGCAGAGGCAAGTTCCAAATTTCTCAAAAGGACAACTTCATGCTCAAGAGAAGGGAATGTCCATTGAAGATAATGCCCTTGAGAAGTGACCTTGAACTCAAGAACTGCAAACATACACCACCAGAAATAATAGCCAACAGATCGAAAGATGGGAAACTTAGACCCATGGGGCCATATAAAATAGAGGAGTCTAAAAGTTATTTACAATAAAAATATTTAATATGTTCAAAGATAAAAGGAAACGTCATACATAAAGCAAGAACCAACAAAGGAAGCTAGATAGTAACAATAACCAGTTAGGAAGCCTAGATATGCAAGTAATAAAATAAAAATAAGAATTTAATTTTAATTTCAATAACTGAGTAAAACAGTAATTGTAGCACAGAAAATTAGAGAATTAGCAAATTGGGAGATAAATAAATATAAAGTATATCTGTCAGAAGGGTGAAAAGATGGAATATATGAAAGGAAGTTTAAAGATACAGAAGCTCAAACTTCCCTATAAGACCCAGGTGGAGAGAAAACAGAATTGCAGGAAAACGATTTTTGAAGTGTCACCGGCTGACTGGCGTGTATGCAGCAACGAACACAATCGTTAGTAAAGCGCAAACAGAATCTGCTTGCAAGGGTCTGAGGCAACAGATACTGTCATTTTTGCTTTCTACCTTTCCCTTTGGTTCTAACTGGAACTTCAGAGAAGGCTGGAGCTTCAGCCACCAAATTATGAGCATGAAGTGACCTGGAAGCCATCGAAAAGGAAACAGCAGGGCCAGATCCCTGTGTATGTTGCACAATTAGCACACAAGCCACAGTTGGCCTTTCTGATTTTTATTTTATTTTATTTTATTTTACTTTATTTTATTTTTGAGACAGAGTCTCACACTGTCACCCAGGCTGGAGTGCAGTGGCGCGATCTCGGCTCACTGCAACTTCCGCCTCCTGGGTTCAAGCAATCCTCCTGTCACAGCCTTCTTTTTTTTTTTTTTTTTTTTTTTTTTTTTTGAGACAGAGTCTCGCTGTCGCCCAGGCTGGAGTGCAGTGGCGCAATCTCGGCTCACTGCAGGCTCCGCCCCCTGGGGTTCACGCCATTCTCCTGCCTCAGCCTCCCGAGTAGCTGGGACTACAGGCGCCCGCCACCTCGCCCGGCTAATTTTTTGTATTTTTAGTAGAGACGGGGTTTCACCGTGTTAGCCAGGATGGTCTTGATCTCCTGACCTCGTGATCCACCCGCCTCGGCCTCCCAAAGTGCTGGGATTACAGGCGTGAGCCACCGCGCCCGGCCTGTCACAGCCTTCTGAGTAACTGGGATTACAGGTGCGCACAACCACGCCAGGTTAATTTTTGTATTTTTAATAGAGATGGGGTTTCACCATGTTGACCAGGATGGTCTTGATCTCTTGACCTCGTGATCCACCCGCCTCGGCCTCCCAGAACTCCCAAAGTTCTGGGATTACAGGCGTGAGCCATCACACCCAGCTCTGATTTTCTTTTCAAATGAGGAAAATAAAACTTGGATGGGTTTAAATCATTGTTTTGAGGAACACTCTACTATTCATAGTTGACATAACCTTTAACAGATTCAAAAAAACAGATTTTCAGGTATCTAAAAACTAAGAGAATTCTATCCACAGATCTTCACTTGAAAGATCCTTTCAATGGAAGAAGAAACTTCAGTAAGAAAGAAAATTAGGCCAGAAGAAAGTAGCGGGAACCAAGAGGCAATAATGAGTAAACACGTCGGTCATACATGATGGAAATGCTGAATCAGGATTGACCTTATATAATAATAATCATTATTATTTTATTACTGCTAATCTTTTGTGCATAAAAATGATTCAGAACTGAAATATTAGATGATAACTGTGAGTTCAGAGAAATAAGTGGAATTCGGAGTGAATTAAAGGACTTTAAGGTCTTTGCCTTCTTTGTGAAGAGAAAGGAAGGAATGATTTGTTTTAGATTTTGTTTAAAGGTGCAAATTTAGAAATTGAGGGTAGTTGTAGCAGAATGGTCAGCATCCCTTTTTTTTTTTTTTTTTTTGAGAGACAGGGTCTCGCTCTGTCACCCAGGCTGGAGTGCAGTGCTTGATCTTGGCTCACTGCAACCTACACCTACAGGGTTCAAGCAATTCTCCTGCCTCAGCCTCCCAAGTAGCTAGGACTACAGGCACACGCCACCATGCCCAGCTAATTTTTGTATTTTTAGTAGAGGCGGGGTTTCACCATGTTGGCCAGGATGCTCTCGATCTTTTGACCTGGGGACCTGCCCACCTTGGCCTCCCAAAGTGCTGGGATTACAGGCGTGAGGCACTGCGCCCGGCCTCAGCATTCCTCTTTAATTCTTTCTGATCATTTTACCATTTCCATGCACACCTGCAGAGATTTGTTCAGGTGTGCAGGACCTGGCTCACCAAGCAATGGCCAAAGAGCAGGACCATGGAGTAACACTGTAGTTGATAGAAGTCTGTTCTTGAGATGGCCATGGAGGTGTAACTTAAAGAGAAGACGGTGAGTGTCTTAGCAAGCATCATGAAGGTGACCTTCCCCGTCTGGGACCATAGGCCAGTCATCTCTCTAGTTGAGTGACTTTGGATAATTCACATCCTTTTAGTGGCTTTTTATCCCCTCTTTCATGCAGTGGGGCTTGTTAACACTCATTTCCTATTCACAGGGTTGTTTTGTGAAATGTGGTAACGTGTGCAAACGCTGTTTATAAAGGCGTGCTGGACTAACTCCATAAGTTGTCATTTTTATATTCCAGTGCTTTTTGGGAGTGTTTTCCATCCTAGAAATCAGCCTTCCCTCCAGAATAGAACCAAGTATTTGCCTTTGTACAGAGTTTTTGCGCTTTCCTCTTGAGCTCAAGTAGACACTCAATGAACTTCGGTTGAATCACTCACATTCGTGATAATAGAGAGAAATCATTGGCAGGGAATTGCTGGCTTCCCTTGAACTAAAGAACTCCTGAGGACAAGAATAATAGACTTTAGGCAGCGTGAGGGATGGGGAGTGAATCACAGAAAAAAATGCATTGCCGAGAGAGGGGCGGGTGTGGCTGTGTCTGGCACACTGACTAGTGTGTTGTCTCACTGTCTCCAGAAGACAGACATGGGGGATCTTTCTACTTCATTTTTCCTCCTGATACGTTGCTTATTTAAAGTGACACAAATTCCACTCACTGTCTTTGAGGATGATTGTCTAAGAAAAAAACAAAACAGCTTGTTTTACTTTTTGTACTTTAAATCCTCCTAATCCACTCTCTCTGCTTGGCGTGCCTTCTGGAACAGAGAAGGTGCCAGGCGCCGGCTCCTGCCTGTCTCTGCCAAACCCAAGTCCCTGGTTTGCTCCTGGGGAGAAGGGACCCACACACTCCCTAAGCCCACTCGGGGCCCCCTAGGGACAGCAGCCTCCGCTCCCCACACTCCTGCGGCTGCCTTTCACGATTTCCTAGCAGCACAGCTCCCAAGTCTTTCCTCCCTGTGCCTGTGTGGGGTTTGCTGAAGGTCCTCTCTCTTCCTCATGCCGGTTTTTGTCCATGAAAGTCTCTGACAGGGTTTAGTAATTTCTTCCACGGCCTGGCTGCCCTCACTTAAGTTGGATCAGTGACCCAGTTCCCATCTTTTAGCTCCTCTGAGGGAAAGTGCTGTCTATGGTCACAGGTACTCTATTTAATCTTTACAGGAACTCAAGGAGAAGAGGATTTGCACAAATGGGACAGGAGTTTTGCACCCCCTGACCTATACTGTTATTTCTAAACTTCCCAACAACTCTCTCAGGTGTACGATCCATGTTTTGGAGGTGAAGACAATGAGGATGGGCACCACATTCTTTAAATGATGGGACTGGATTTCAAACAAAAGTTCCACCCCGAAGCCCCCAACCAGTCAATTTTCTAATGCCTCTCTGCATAGATTTCCTCCTTTAACTGGATAGCAGAAGCCTCAGGTAATAGCTAAGTCTAAGCACATGCCTGCTTTGTGCCAGAGTTGCACTAAACACTACTCCCTGCAATGAAGGTTAGCACTGTTATTACCCCCATTTAAAGATAGGGAAACTGAAACACTGATAAATTAGGTTCTGGGAGCCCCAGACCTAAGAAGGTGAACCCAAATGGTCTAACCATCAAATTTGTCTTTTAACCACAGCCCACCCAGACCCTCCTCCCCTGCAATGTAGGCCATGTAGACCATGTATAGGTCCAGGTTCCACATCATCCCTACTGGATACAGAGTTGATCAGTTTTCTGTATGATTTCAAACACACACACACACACACACACACACACACACACATTGATCAGTTTTCTGCATGATTTCAAACACACACACACACACACACACACATACATATTTATACATATAAAATTCATAAAGCTCTCAAGGAGGTAGGGAGAGCAGAAGAGGAAGTCCATGTGGGAGGATGGCCCAGGAGACTGTTTTCCGAGCTGCTGGGCCCTGGAGTCAGACACTAACCCTGTTTCCTCTCCAAGGGTCCAGGAAGATAACAGGATTTACTTCCTCTTGTAGGGCCAGTAATCACCAGTGACCCCAAGAACTTTATAAAATCCTGGACCCTATTCATTCTGGTGCAGCTGAGTAATGGGAGAAACAAGAGGGCTTTTTCTGTCAGAGAGGCTGCAGTAGGTCTGACGTTGGGGCCCTAGATGAGGTGGCCAACTCCAAGCCCTGTGGAAGATTAAGTTCAGGTGAGTTGCACAGGTGTCTAGAAGGCCCCAGTCATGTAAGTATGTAGCCTTACTGTGCCTGGAGCATGGATCAGTCCTACATGTCTGTGTTCCTTTTCCCCTCGTGTGAGGCTTTCAGCTCCTACCAAAACGCAGTGATAGGACATAGAGAGCCACCCAGTCAATCTGTGGGGATTTAGGGATAGCTTCCAGAGAAAGACAGCAAGCATGAGAGTTAAGGAAACTGCAGGGTGTCCCAGAGAGAAAAGAAGGAATGCATATGCAAAGGCCAAGGGGAAAAGGAAAATATAGACATGTCTGGGAAACTCATAGGTTTAGCATAGTTGGAAGTTGGAAGATAAACAGGGAAAGAAGAATCTGGGGACAGAAGTGATACCAGGTGCTAGAGGACATTGGATGCCATGATGCTAAGGAGTTTAAAGTTGAGTCTGAGGGTAGTGGGGGTCATTGAGACAAGGAAGGAATTTAAACTTGAGTCTGAGGGTAGCAGGAGTCACTGAGGCAAGGACATCAACATCACTGAATCTATACTGTAAATGGAGTGTGTAGTTTGGGCTCCAGGAAAACAAGTCTGGCCACTGTGAGGGAGGTCAGGTGGGAACACACTTCAACAGTCAAGACACCAGAGAAGGAAGGCCAGAGCCAGAGCAGGATGCTGGGGAAGGAGAAGTTGGGAGTGGATTTGAGAGATGTCATTGAGGTGACTTTGAATGTAGGGATGGAGGAAGCCTGGGGAATCCAATTTGATGGGTGAAGGTGGATACCGATCAGATATAGGTAGGGATCTGATGGGCCTTACAGAAAAAGCTGAGTTGGTCAGGATGATGAGAGCTCTCATTGATGGAGTTTTCATATGTGACAGGTGTGTTTTGAATGTAGCTCCCATGCTCAATCCTCACAATAATGGAGGCTTAAACACCTTGGCCAAGGCGTCAGCAGCCAGGAAGTGGTGGAAGCCAGAATCCAAACCCAGGCATGTGGGGTTTCAAAGCCTCACTGTTAACCACCACAAAATTGCTGCCACCGAGTGAGCTGTGCAGATGTTGGGTTTCGGGGGCTTAATGTACACACGAGTGATTCCCAATAGTCCATTGGGTTGAGAGTCCAAATTCAGAATGAAAGAAGAGGCAGCCAGATGGATTTGCATGCTTTCCAACAATTACAAATGTAGAAGTGGTACCCAGTAGGAAGAGATCTTAGAGAAGGCCTGAGGATTTGGCAATAAAAAATCTGTTCACTCATTCTTCTGCTGAATCATTTATGCATTCCCTTAGACTACTCATTAGATACTTCGTGTGGGCCTAGCCCTGCATCAGTCTCAGGCCAATTAGCAGAAATGTTATTTAATAGATTTAGTAAATGTTGACTCAATAAGAACATAAAAAGTTCTGTGTGTTATACTGTGTATAACAAACACAAGTACTATCTACATAATAAGCATTTTTAATTAAATCCATTTTAAATGAGCCCACACAAGGGGTAGTGAGAGAGAATAACAAAAACATTAGGTCCATTCCATGTTACAAACACTATCCACTTCTCTATGGCATGGCAGTGGAACAAACTCCTGGACAGCTGAGAAACTCTTTGAGGAAGGGAGATTGAGTGGAAGAGACGTGAGTGACGGAGGTAAACAGAGCTGCTGTGACATCCTGGCTCCACTACTCAATGTCAGTGAGCTCTCAGGTGAATCATTTACCCTCTCGGGGACTCAGTTTCCTAATATGTCAACAGGATTAACAATATTCAACTCAGAGGTATGTAGTCAGGACTAAATAAAATAATACAGGAGAAAATGCCCAGCATCATTTTGATTTTGAGATTTTATTGAAATACAGTTGGATGTGAATTTAAATGCAGTAAGAAAATAAAATTCAATGTCAAGTTAACCCTAATTAGGTTTATCCACTGTAAAAACTTGTGGGCGGGTTTTGGAACACTTATGAACAATTTTTGAAGTTGTTGGTGACATACTTATCAGTGGGCACTCACACATTTCTCTTCAGAGACAGAGTCCATTGCTTTCATCATTGTGAGGGGTGTTTATGACCAGCTGATGCAAAGTCATACCTGCAAGGAAGTGTGGAAGTCATAAGAGGCTGAGTCGCTGACCTTCCCCTTGAAGTCCAGACTTGCCTGCCCAGGAGTAGGGAGTGTGGTCTGTAAACAGCATTTGGCTGTCAGCTCCTTCAGCTTCCACCCGCCCTGCAGAGAACTGCTCTGCCTGCAGTTCTCCTGTCCTTCCCAGGGCCAAGGCATTTTGTGACTGAGCCAAGTGGCAATAAACACCTGCCCATTTTACTGTGACACAGGACACGCTGTTAGGTGTGATTTGTCCAGTCCTCCCTCCGGAGATCCTGGGGTTACTGAGGCATGGTTGTTCCCACGAGGAAGTTCACCTTCTTCCTCTATCTCCTCTTTTTTCTCTTCTGCTCACAGAAATTCATCCTTAATCAACACCCCACACTCTAGATGTTATTTCTGCATCTGCTTCTGGAGAACCTGACCTGTGAGAGAAAAGAAATACGAAAAAAATTAGACGACTAGGTGAGAATAGAAGCTTATGATAGAGTTCCAAGAAAGTAGAAGGAGTTATCAGAGTTAAGTATAGCAGAAAGGTCAAGATAAGGGCAGAAGTTGTTCAGCTGGACCAGCAACTAGCCATGGAGCCCACGGAAACCACAGTTTTGCAGGACCAATAGAGAAGCTTTGGGGTAGATATTTGGTAAGTCATTGGAGTATGGCCAAAAGGAGACAACCAGTTATAATCTTTCCTTGGAGGCAAAAATACTGGAAGAGGGAGTGGGTGGGTCAAAGGGTCAAGGTGAGATCTGAACATGTTGATCTTCCACAGAGATTATTTTCAAAAATATTTTCTTACAAATCATGTCTTGTCCTTAGACAAATGTCTGAAAAAACCTTGGCAAGAGCAAGCCCTGAAATCTCCCCCAGATTATTAAGTCAAATAATGGGCTTTCAGAATATAGGAAGTTCAAAAGGCTGTCAGGTTGGAGCCAGACATCTGAGGAATGTGCCTGCTCCTAAGAAGAGGTGTGCATCCATTAGGATGTATCAGGTGGCTCTTATCAGGGAGCCACATCACTAGTCAAAGGACAGGTTATTGTGTGTGCCAGGTTGCTCAGAAATGACCCCTCCAAAGTTAACTGAAAGCAGTGAACCCAGCCCTTCTTTCCAACCTTGTTGGAAAACAAAGCACAGAACTCTGCAGTTAGGGCAGAAAACAGAACTCAAAAAGATTCAACATTGTAACAAGGCAACTGGATCAATAAGTCCCAAGGAGTCATAATCCTGTGCCAGCAATTTCTAAGTCACTCTGAAAAATCAGATTTTCCAAGGACAAGACTCTGCCTCATCAGGAAGAGTCCTCGTTTGAGCAGACACCCATCTTGCCTTGGTTCCTCCAGTGCAACTGAGATATACCAGAATTTTCCAAATTATGTTAGGCCAAATATTTGTGGTAGAATGCAAAAATACCAATGGTCTATGTAACAAATTGTACAAAAATACTGAAACTCACAGTTAGCCAATCTTCTGCTGAAAAAGCTCCATTTCAGCTACACAGGGATAATACCATAGAGAGACACCATATTTGTCTTCTCTTTACCATCTTTCCTACTGACCACCCAACGTGGCCTCCAGTCATCACCTTGCTTCCTTGGTTTCACAAGTGGTGGGTTAATGGAATTTAACGTTCCTACCTAGAAAAAGCACTTAAGCATATATATCAGGCTCAACTCCTTTTTTTCCCTTTTCTCATATAGACCCACCCCCTCAAGGCCTTCTCACTTTGTCTTTCCCTGAAACAAAGGCTTTTGACATTGGGCAAATTCTCTTTAGACTTCAAATAGATAGGGTGAACTAAATGATCTGATCTTTCAGAGCTTGACATATACTGACAATTCTATGATCCCTGATATGGTTTGGCTGTGTTCCCACCCAAATCTCATCTTGATGTAGTTCCCATAATCCCTATGTGTCGTTAGAGGGACCCAATGGGAGGTAATTGAATCCTGGGGGTGGTTTTCCCCACGCTATTCTTGGGATAGTGAGTTCTCATGAGATCTGATGGTTTTATAAGGAATTTCCGCCTTCACTCATCTCTCATTTTTCTCTCTCCTACTGCCTTGTGAAGAACATGCTTGCTTCCCCTTCCACAATGATTGTAAGTTTCCTGAGGCCTCTAGAGCCCTGTGTAACTGTGAGTGTTTCCTATATAAATAACCCAGTTTCAGGTATGTCATTATAGCAGTGTGACAACTAATACAATCACTGATGCAAATGTAAGTTCTAGGTTTTACACAACTGACAGTGACATTTCACCTCTCTAAAACCATGATTTATTTTACTAGGATATTCTGTGGAAAACAAGCAATCATTTTGGATAATTTGTTTTGTGATAATAATGATCATATCTGTATGACCTTTCAGAATGTACAAAGTACTTTCACATTTGTTATTATCTCTTTTGATACTTAAAATAGAGCAGACAGCACTTATACCTAGTTGATAGATCAGATTATTGAGGCTTCTGAAAATTGATAAAGCCTCTCCTGCTCCAAACACCTAGTCCTCTGTAAAATCCAGACTGTTCCATTCCTACTCCTCGGCTGCTCTGAGAAAATTCATTTCTTAACAACATCCTATATAATTATTACTTCAGCAACCTTTGCAAACTGTTGTAAAAGAACTGCTGCCGATATACATGCTTTCCATAATGGATGTTTTCTTCTGTGTTTTGCTCCTAGTTTAAAGTGCTCCCAGAACTACTAAACTTCCACAGAAATGAATATTTTAAGATTTGTATTGATATATAAAAATTGTACATATTTATGGGGTACATGTGATATCTTGATACATGCATACAATGTGTAATGATTAAATCAGGGCATTTAGGATATTCATCATTTGGAACATTGATCATTTCTATGTGTTGGAAACATTTTAAATCTTCTCTTCTGGCTATTGTGTAATATACACTACATTGTTAACTATAGTCACCCTACCGTGCTATTGAACACCAGAAGTTGGTTCTTCTAATTGTATGTTTATGCCCATTAACTAACCATTCATTCCCACCTCCTCTCCCCAAGTTCCAAGCTTCTGATAACCATCATTCTAGTCTCTACTTCCATGAGATCACACCTACAAAACATGATTTTATGAACAGTTTCACTAATGAGCCAGAGGTTTGGGACACTGGCAACATGGTTGCTTCAGAATGGATTTCTCCCAAGAATATCCAGCTCTGATCACATGACCTGCACATACCAAAGCCACATGACCCAGGCTGTCACTCAGGAGCCCCACAATGGTTGGGTTTGTAATTTACAATGTGAGGCCAACCAGCAAATTCTATTACTCAAACATGTGAAGCAAACCCAAGGAGAGGAATACGTTCAACTAATCTTTTGCTCAGAAGCAACATTTGCAGCTCTTTTCACTTACTTTTCATGATTTCACCACAGGAGAACCATTTCCAGGAATTATTACGTTAAGCAGTATTTTAAAAAATGAGTCTTGGTATTTTTTGCAATAAATAACAGCTCACATTTATCCTAAGAACAGAAAAGTTCACCAGAACCTGCTTACATTGTCTGCTTTAAGAAATACAGACCTGTTAAAAACTATCTAGAACAATGTCATAGGAACATTAGCAATAATGCAAGCCCTCAACTATTTGATCAGCATTGGCCTGTCCCTGTGGAAGGCACTAGGGTTATACAGAGAAATAAGACACATGCCTTGCCTTCAACAAGTGCATAGCAGGTATGGGTCCTGGAAGAGATGTCACTGCAGAATAGAAAGAGCAATTGCTTTGGAATCAGAGAGCTGTGACTTCAAATGCTGGCTTTGTCCCATTCGGCTGTAAGAACTTGACCAAGTTTTATAACAATTCTCAGCCTCAGTTTCCTTAAAGTAAAATGAAAATATTAATGTCTCTTATTCAGGGTCTTGGGAATGAGGAAATAAATAGACCACCCAAAGAAGAACAATCAGAGGCTATTGATTCAGAACTTGCTATAGCAAAGGACTCAGGCACCATCGCTTATGGCAGGCAGGGGAATGGAGGAGCTTTATAGTCAAAACAGGGATGGCTTAAAGTGTGTCCTGATTGGAGACTGTTTGCAATGGGGAGCTCAAATAAACTACGAGCAGCATCTTACGTCATTTGTTTATGGGGTACATTTGGTTTTTTTGACTGGGTCTGAGTTGGAAGCAGGGCAGCAAATAGGAAAACTTGTATATTTCGGCTCCTCTAACTATTCACACTTCAGCACTGATACAAAGCAGGCTCCACATGAAAGGGAGTTGCCAATCCATGTGCTGCATTTGATCTTGGGCCTGACCATTTTATCTTGACCCATTTGCACTCCACCTGCTAAACAGCTGGGGATTTTCCTAGCTTTTGACTTGGCAATTCTATTAAAACCGTAAACTGATTACTAACTGCTATGATATGACTCCAAGCTCCATGAGTAACTTTCTGAGAATACATTAGTTCCCAGACATCCAACCTGGAGACTGAAATTATGCTGTTTTCATGATTCTATGACCTAATCCCATTCATTAACAGTCACATTTCTCATTTAAAGTTGATACGGTTTCATTCATGTTTATAGATCATTCTTTATGAGCAAGTTTACTCCCAAAAGAGAAGACATTGTCATACCTACATGTCAGATTTCTGAGGACAAGCAGTGGAACATTTTCCAAAGGTGTTGCCATATTGTAAAGACCCATCTTCCTATCCACTGGCTTTTGTTAATGGTCCCATAATGGTGCACCCCTTCCTTGAATTCCATGTCTCCCTTCTATCAGTTAGGTTGCAGCACTTCAGATTCCAGTGGCCCGTGACTATCTTGAATGGATTTACTTGTTCTTTTAACAAACATCTATTGAGCACCTCTGAGGGTACTCTATTCTAGCACTAGGAAGAGAGCTATAAGAAGTCAGACACTGCTGGGTGCGGTGGCTCATGCCTATAATTCCAGCACTTTGGGAGGCTGAGGTGGGCAGATCATGAGGTCAAGAGATCGAGATCATCCTGGCCAACATGGTGAAACCCCGTCTCTACTAAAACTACAAAAATTAATTGGGCATGGTGATGTGTGCCTGCAGTCCCAGCTACTCAGGAGGCTGAGGCAGGAGAATCACTTGAACCCGGGAGGTGGAGGTTGCAATGAGCCGAGATGGTGCCGCTGCACTCCGGCCTAGCAACAGAGCAAGACTCCATCTAAAAGAATAATTAAAAAAAAGTCAAACACAGCACCTTCTCGATGAAACTTAGAGTGGGAAGATGATGGACAAATAAACAAGAACATCGGGCAGTGACCAGTGCTATAGAGAGGCTATTCTAGACTGGGTGAGCAGAGGAGACTTCTCTGAGAAGACAACTTCAATGACATCAGAGGAGAGAGCCACAGACCAGATCCGATTGAAGAGCATTCCAGCCAAGGAAATAGTAGTGGAGAAAACCAACGCACTAAATACACCAAGGACAAGAAGAAGGCTGGGGCGGAAGACTGGTGGCAAAGAGGGGTCTGGCTTAAAGGGATTTTGGAGATACAGGCATGAAAGAAGAGCAAAGAGGTTGCAAAAAAAAAAAAAGTTGAATGCTCTTCTAAATTCAGTTGAAGCCATGGGGGATTTTAAGGAAGGGAATCTTGTAATCTAAATTCCATTTCAAAAACATCATTTAGTTTGTTGGGGAGAATGTGGACGGGACCACCCAATGCAGGGAGACTACTTGGAAGGCTATGTCCACAGTCTAGGTAATGATGGAGGCCACATAGGAAGCAACAGGGAGAATGGAGAGAAGTGGACGAGTCCAGGGCACATTTGGAAGAGGTGGGTGGGGAATGAGTGCTATTTCTCTCTGTGTCTCTGGGTCCTTGCATGACACTACATATACAGTAGGTACTCAATAAGCTTTAATTTATGTGGAATGCACTAGATTGAATTAAATTGAAGAAAAATGACCCAATCAAGTGAGGCAAAAGCTGAGCGTATCTTTAATTTACAATTAAAATATTGAACATTTTGGATAAAAGAGAAGTGACTCTTTTTCACTCTGCATGAAGTTCAGATCTAAATCATATTCAAACCCCTCATATAAACGTATATATCACAGAACTTATCTGTCATAAAAAGGCTCTTTAAACAAAGCAATCCCAAAAGAAAGATGCCAGTACTTCATATAACTTCCATTTGCAGCCTATTTGTTTAAATTCTGGACAGAAACCAAGTCAGGAAAGAAAACGAAAAGAAAGCTCCATGGTTGTATCATCATCTGCTCCAGCCATGCAAGTTTCCAGGAGGGAAGAAGCAGCCTGAGACTTCTAAATTTCTTGTGTCCCTATTTCAGAGGCAGGGAACCCCAGAAATCAAGCCATTGACAGTCTGACCCAGGTCTTAGTCCAGTTATTAATTGCATTCATCATATTTGGAATAGGGTGACATTAGGTAGAAATAAGCTGAGGAACCCAAGAATATTTGACTGCGGGTTTCCGTAGAGAAAACAATATGCACAAAGGACTATAACTAAGGGAAAGAAAGTGATGTTTGATTTAAAGACTGAGCTTGGACCCAAAACTGTAGTACAGAGAACTGAGTTCACTTAGTTAGGCTGTATCTGGCCTATATTCTCAACTAAGCCCTGAGCCAGGCATTAAGTATTAGATCATATTCACCTGACCCTGAATTCATTTCCATTTTACAGATTAAGAAATCAAGGAGACAAGAAAGTAAAATAATTGTGTGGCAATTTAGACCTAGTTAAGTCGCAGATCTGGGATGCAAACCCAAGTCCAAAGCTTGTACTCTTTCCGCTTCATTGTACTTTCCCCACAAAAGTGTTACTGTTTCACCCCAAAATCGTGCCCAGAAGCAATTACACTTAGTTCTCCTGAGGCAGCAGCCGGGGATTGGGTTTAATTCTGAGCATCTTGGGAAGAAAGTGGGAGCTTGCCCAATAGCAACTAAGTGGCCAGGTATGCTGAACCATGCTTTCTTATCCCTGATTACCCACCCATAATGTAGAAGAGTGTTTCCAATTGTTTCAAGGAGTATCAGGATATTCTGAAGAAAAGAAAATCACATTCACTCCATGTAGTTTAAGAAAATAATGGCTAGCCAATTTATGATTTACATTATCATTGTTTAAAAAAAAACACTGCAACACCAACCCTAGGACTTTTCAACTTCTTAGATGCTTGGGAACAGCTCCATTCGCCTGTCCCAATGTCCACATAACTTGTCTAAAATTGAAATCATCAACTCCTTCCCCTACCAATTCCCAAGGAATCTCTTACACCAACTTCAACATTTCTGAAAATGGCAATGTGCCTGCCAATCCACTTGTTTTGGGACGGCACAGCCTGTGAAGCATTGTCAAGGCTGACTCATGTCTGCAGCCTCCAGATCCTTGCATGGTACAGGGACAACGTCAGGCAGTACTGAACATTTTTTGAAGCCGGACATTAAGACATATCCATTGTTTCATCCTGAGTGTGTAGCAGATTATCTTCCACAGGGTGCGTCCTCAATGGATGCTTGCTTAATTGCTTTTCTGAGTTCAAATGATGTATTTTATTTGTATAGATGAACTATTATATTTTACACCTTCTCATAACTCGAACTAATATAGAGGAAGACAGGCAGAAAGGAAGGGTAAGGTATAGAAAAAGGAAGAAGCTGACTTTGATCTCTTTCAATAATAATTAAAAACTAATTTAACCCATGTTGACTGAATGCACAGCTGGTAGCAGACCCTGTGCCTGGTTGCTGCCATGGAGAACTATAGATGAAGTCATCCCAGAAAATCACGCAGGACATGCTGAGGTAGGGCCACATTGTATTTGAAAGATTCGGCCTGAGATTGAGACTTGCAGCATACATAGCTTTGTGCTTTTGATCATTTTTCATAAATCCCCATTGTTTCATTTGCTCTACCCTAAAAAGTTATTGTTCTTTACTCCCCTCCCACCCCATCCAATAAAATAAAACTAATATTATGGTGTCATTTGAAAATATATTTATGTTTGTTTTCTCTATAAAAAGAGATAATAATGTTATGTTCCAATAATATTAAGTTGCAATGTTATTTGCAAGATTGCAGAGCTTTTAATTTTCTGATTATTTCCACAGTGGGAGTTTCAGCTCAATTTCAATGAAGACACTTCTATCTGTTTCGGTTATTTTTTTTATTACAGCTAGAAGCAACAATAATTGCCTTTAGTGTAGGAAAACATCAAGGAGGAGACAATTGTTGTCCCCAAAGAATAAGATCATCAGGGCAAATTTTGCTGTAAAAAATTTGTAAATTAATTGCAGAGTCCTATAAATATGATATTTACTAAAATTGCATCGACTGCTGTCTTCAAAAACTTCATCTTTTTCATATGTCTTTTAAATAAATAAATTTCTTGAGGTCCCCAGAAACAAAAAGGGATTACAGCCAACAAAATACTAATAATTCATATACGTACATTATCCACATGGATGGAGTTAATGCTACTAGAGAGAACAAACCCAGAGACAACTGGGACTGAGCCTTGGCTCTCAACTTTAGTACCTATTTGATCTTTAATTAGCTATGTAACCTCTCTAAACCTCAACTTCTGCCACTTACTAAAGGTTACCATGAGATTAAATTAAATAGTGTGTATGAAATGTCCTATTACACAGTCTGGCATAAAATATGTGCCAAATAACTGGCAGCTGTGTTAATGACGATAACGATTTTGTTACATTGCTTCATTCATTCAACACATATTGAGTACCTACTATGTAACTGTTCCAACCACCGTTCCAGGCACTAAGTGTTGATGATGATGATGATGATGATGAAGAAGAAAAAATACTCAGTCATTTTGTTGCTATACATGCGCTGACATGAGCTGGTCAATCTATTGCAAAAGACCTCACAGTGGGCTCTTACAGAATTCTGGTCATGTTTACAAAAAAATGATATCACAATTATTCTTTGCATGCCCACAGCTTGCCAAGTGTTTTCTCACTCAACACACATTCCCAATACCCTTTTATCCCCCACTTTTCTTTTGCTTACCTTACTTTAATACAGAAGTTAGGAAACTTAAAACAAATTTTTCAGCCTCCCTTGCAGCTAAAGTCTGCTAGGTGATCACGTTCTTGCCCTTGAAATATAAGATACCTGCTGAGAATTTCCATAGAGCTTTTTATTTCATTTTCTAGGGATACCTTTTCCAGATTTTCTCAACCTATGCAACATTTATCTGAGAAATGGAGAGTGACTGAAGACAAGCACCAAGCATTATTCATCTACATCTTACCATGATTCATTTACATCTTACCATGTGCCTAATACAGAGTGGATGCTAACAAAACTGCATGGAAGCTGACAAGATATGAGATGTAGATATGATCTGGACATGACCCAAAACAAATATGCTTTTTTGTTGTTGTTGTTCAGAGTCAGAGTCTTGCTCTGTTGCTCAGGCTGGAGTGCAGTGATGCAATCACAAACATGCTTTTTTAGATTATTATTATTACCATCATAATTAGGGTCACTACTATTTACTGGGTAATTACCACAGTTATTCCCTGTGTTATCATATGTCTCTTCTAGACAGAATATAAGGTTTTAGTGGAGAAATGGTTTTTTTTCAAGCTCCATGGGGACTTCAGAAGAGTTCTATGTGCACATATGTAGGTGGAAGACTACTCCTTGTGCAAGAGATAGCACCTATGAAAATGAGTCAGGCATAAGGATGATATATGAGCAAAACATTTTTGGAAATAAATAAATACTACTTTTAGGGATAAGGAAATTAGTTTCTTCTATCTTCCTTACATAATCTAGTTCTTTATAAAATAGAAGTAATTCATAAAAATATTTTTGGAATAAAAAATTAGAAGATTTAAATAAGACTCAAGGCCAAGTGTGGTGGCTCATGCTTGTAATTCAGCACTTTGGGAGGCTGAGGAAAGGGGATCCCTTGAATTCAGGAGTTCAAGACCAGCCTGTGAAACACAGGATGACCTTGTCTTTGCAAAAAAAAAAGAAAAGAAAGAAAATGAAAATATTAGCTGAGCATGGTGATGCATGTCTGTAGTCCTAGCTACTTGAGAGGTTGAGGTGAAGGAATTGCTTGCAGCCAGGAGTTTGAGGCTACAGTGAGCTATGCTTGCACCACTGCACTCCAGCCTGGATGACAGAGAGAGACCTGTCTCTTAAAAATGAATAAGATTTAAGTCCTTTGCAAACAGTCTACCTCTGCCCCCAAGTTAATCGCTGCTATATTTTAAATGTATCTTTTTAGACATTTTTCTATGCATCTGCTTATTTTTAATATGTTGCCGTTGGAAACACATCAGTGTGTGCACGTGTGCGTACACATATTTATGTGTGTGTATGATAGTTTCACATAAATAGTATCATAGGTTACATAGAAACCTGCACATTTCTTTTTCATTTCATAAGATATATTAAAGTGCTTTCCTAATCTCTGCAAACAGTAAACCTCACTAGTTTTAACTGATGTGTATGGTGTATGATTCTATTATGAGGCTACCCCTTAGTTTGAATATGCCCCTTCTTATAGGCATGGAGGTAGTTCAACAACTATTCCGACCTAATATCTTACTAGCAATTTAATGATGTCTCCTCAAACTGTCACCCATGCTTGATACTCTTTACTTTTTATTTTTTTCTGATCTAATGTGTGATAGTATATAATTGTTGTCATAATTTACATTTGCTTCATGTTGTTTTATAAAGAGTATCAATTTTCCCACGTTTATTGGCCTTTTGAATTTCCTCTACTCTTCATTGCCAGTTTACTTATTTTTTCTTCTTTATTATGTTATTACTACCCTAATTATTAACACGCGTCCTACATATATTTAGATATTTGATATCATTTCTTTGTATATTTTCTACATATGCAAGAAGGTTTTTCTCCTGAATTGTCATTCACATTTTAACTTTTTTAAATAAATACTTTTAAATTTTGATATTTTCAGGGGAAATCAATCTTTCCTTTAATCCCTTATGATTTTGTGTCTTGTTGAAAAGACACATCAATATTAAGAACATATTAACCTAAATTTCCCTATGATATAAATGAGAATATAAGAATAACTTATCTGAAACATATTTTCCTAAATGTCTTGAGGTCAGAACTGATGATATCTTTTAAAATATATAGACAATTCACCCAATACCATGGAAGATACAGTCTACCCTCTTCTCAGCCATTTGCAATGCTACCTTTAAGGTAAACCAAATTATTTTATCTGTGTGAGTCTACTTCTAGATTCTTTGTTGAATTTGAAATATAATTTATATTGTATATATTTTTTTCAAAATTGTTCTAAAAAAAATTATTTCTTGATTTTTGTTTTTGAAAATTGTTTGGAATTTCTACACACCAAAACAAATTTAGAATGAATTTGTTAGACTCCCTGGACAAAAAAATCCTGTTTGATTTTGAGTGGATGGCATTCAAATAATAGACTGATTAAATTAGCTAAATAATAGATTGATTTTGTAAAATGTTAATATTGATTCTTTTCACTTATAACCATATTTTCTCAGTTTATTTGAATTATTTTATATCTCTTATTAAAATGTTATAAATTTCTTCAAAAAGGCTGAACACATTTCTTTTTTTTCTTTTCTTTTCCTTTTTTTCTTTTTTGAGATGGAGCTTTGCTCTTGTTGCCCAGGTTGGAGTGCAGTGGAGCGATCTCAGCTTACCACAACCTCCGCCTCCCAGGTTCAAGTGATTCTCCTGCCTCAGCCTCCCAAGTAGCTGGGATTACAGGCATGAGCCACCACAGGCAGCTAATTTTGTATTTTTAGTAGAGACAGGGTTTCTCCATGTTGGTCACCATGGCTGGTCTTGAACTCCCGACCTCAGGTGATCCGCCTGCCTCCGCCTCCCAAAGTACTGAGATTACAGGCATGAGCCACCACACCCGGCCAGGCTGAACACATTTCTATTTAAATTTGGCACTACACACAGTATTGAAGTTATAGCTACTGGGAAATACTTTGGCTAACTTTCCTAATTGATAATTGATATACCAATAGGAAAATGTAACATTTGAATGCTAAGCTTACTCAGGTCACCTTGTAGAACTCCTTCACTAGCACTAGTGTTTGGTCAGTTGATTCTTAAGAACCTCACTTGCCAATTATGACAATATTATTGCTTTTTAATAAAATATAATTAACTTATTTTCTTTTGTTATTTAACATCAAAATCTAGGGCTTTATTATCTACTCTGCTATATCCCTATATCTAAAACAATGTTTAGTTAGAACAATACATTAATAAGTGATTAATATATTTTTACTATAGGAATGGAAAGTGAATGCTATTGGTTAATAGTTTCACTGCTAAGTATGGCACAATGAAGATTTCTGATAATTATAATTTAGAAAGCTATTACCTCTAGTATGCTAGAATTCTTTTCTTTATTCAGGATTATAAGATGTTTTCTTAAACGACTTTTGTTGTCTATTGAGGAAATATAACTTTTCTATCTTAAACTATTTTATAGCAATTATTTGTACAGTTTTCCAATATTGGCCAGTTCTTACATTCTTTAAATAAACCCTACCTGATTAGGATATATAATTCTTTTAATATATTACTGGAATCTCTTTACTAAAATTTTACTTAGGACTTTTGCTATTATAGTCATTAGTGAGATTGGTATATAATTTTATTTTACGTTACTATCAATATCCATTTTTGACATCAAGTTATAGTGACATTGTAAAATGAGTTTTAATTTTCATTTTTGGCAATATAGCAAACTACTTACAATTTAAAACCCCCTCATTACAAAAACACATAAAAATGAAACATACACTATAACAAGCATCCCATATATGCTTAGATAAACCACCAATAACATAAAACAAAACAAAACAACAAAATACAAAGAGGGAAGAAAACCTCAAATCATAAGAAAAGCTGACAATAAGCTATTAATGTAATTTCCATTTTCGTAATTTAGATACTTCAATTTGAATGACTATACAGAGACAGGGGACATACTATTGTGTATTTAAAATAAGGGTAATTGAGACTTACCTGATTTTATGCCAGAAAAAAAATTCCTCAAAGAAAAGTTAGAAATAAATTTACCTGTAGTTACAATAAGCCAACAATAAAGTTATGTTTGTTTCAAATAGGAATCAGAGACTAGGGAAATGTTGGTTTTGAGGATTTGTAAACATGATGCTGTTATGGATATATTGAAGGCTTATATTTATAGAATCAACTTAATGTAGTATTAAACATTCACAAGCTAAGAATATGTGTGTATGCATATATAAATTGTTAATACCTTTTGTATTTATGATGAAAATAAAGGCAGAGCCTCTCTGAGGGACTCTCCTCTTCCTAGGCCATGCAATGTTCTCAAATAATCCCACTAAAGAAGAGTTCACGATCTAAAACTATAAAATAAAAAAGTAACAATTCACTGTGAGTTAAGAAATACAAAAATGGCTAGATTTAATAACCTAAAGGTTTATAAAATAGAAAATCTAGATTATAGAAATTATAAAATAAATGCATTATATATTCTAATTGATTAAAGACATTAAAAACAAACTAAAACTACAGGAAAATAATAAGATGCTCTATTAGTCACCTCATGTTGCCCTAACAAAATAGAAGACTAAGTAGCTTAAATACTGACATGTATCTTCTCATAGTCCTGGAGGCCAGAATTCCAATATTAAGGTGCCAGCATGTTGTGTCTGATGAGGGCTCTGTTTCTGCCTTCTTGCTATGTTCCTACATGGACAGGAGAGAGAGATAGAGAGAATGCTCTCAGTGTCTTTTCTTATAAGGACAGAAATCTCATTATGGGGGACCCCACCCTTACAACCTCATCTAAACTTAATTATCTCCCAAAGTGCCCATCTCCAAATATCATCGCATTGCGGGGTTGAGGCTTCTACATATGAATAGGGAGTGGAACAGAAAAGACATTGTGCATAGCAAATGTTATGGAAAAGGAAAAATTAGTTAAAAGCAAACTAACTAGAACTTCCAGAAATGAAAAAATACTATCAATAAAGTTAAAAACTTAATGGGAGGAATTGACAGCATACTATACACGGATTAAGAGAGAATCAATGAACTAGAAGATATGTTGGAGGAAATTATCTGGAATATAGCATGGAGTAGTAACAAAATTGGAAATGTGAGAAAGACATAAAAAGACATAGAGAACAGAATAAAATGCAGAAATATACTCCAATACAAAGTCCAAACAAATTGTATATATAAAATAAGGAAACAATAATATATAAAGCAATCACATATAATAATTTCCCCAATTGTTGAAAGATGTGAATTTTCAGATTAAGAAAACAAAGACTATCAAACATGAGCAATTAAATGCAAAAACACATAGCCTTCTTCTCATGTAAGACAGCAGCTGCTGGAAAGACTAGGGCAGAAAGCATGGCTAAGACAAAACCTTTAGAGATACTCCAGGTTTTAATGAGAGCAGTGAAGCAGCCCTATGAAGACTGGAGACAGAACATCAGGTATTAAGAAATCTCTGAATGCAAAGAAATCTTGAATGAAGTTGGGAGCAAACAGAACTCCATAATGTTCCTGAAAGCTAGTAGCCAAAATTTAAAGCAGAGATCTTCAGAAATCTGGAGGCTGAATGATAAACATAAACAGATCCTCAAATTTTGCAAATTTTTAGATTTCCTGCCTGCTGAACATAAAGTTCAAAGCTAGTGGTAAGAATTAAATTTAAAAATAGCTGCAATAAAACCCAAACTACACTTACCTTCATGTTAGATTTGTGTAACCCTGGCCAGTGGTAGTCTGAAAGAAGAAAAATCTTTTTGGCTAAAAAATATTCTAGAGGTAATTTAGCCTCTATCATGTCCAACATAGAATTTAAGTTTATGAGAAATATGAAGAAGCAAGAAAAGGTGATGTGTGATTGAGAAGAGAAACAAAAAATAGAAGCATACTAGAGAGGGCTTAGATGTTGAAATGATAAGAGAAAAATAGGAATTGTAAATACATTAAAGAATCTGGCAGAACGGTATATAACATGTACAAACGAAGGGAGAATTGCAATGGAAATAGAAATCATAGAGGAAAAAACAAATAGAAATTCTATAAATGAAAAGTATGATATCAGAAATAAATGACTCATTGGATGATATTAAGCACAGACTGTATAGCAGAGGAAACAAATCAATGACCTTGAAGACAGCCAATCGAAATCATTAAATCTGAAACACAAAAAGAAAACAGAGTAAAAAGAAAAGAACAGAATGTCCTAAATCTGTGGAACACTATTAAGTAGTCTAACGCAAGTCTGATTTGAGTCCCAGAAGTAAAAGAGATAGATAATTAAACAAAATACATATGTAAAGAGATTGTAAATAACACTGATGTAAGTATCAACTAACAAATTCAAGAATAACACCAAACCTTAAGAAGCATACATTGAAGAGAAACCACATTTAGGTACATTGTAACCAAAGAGCTAAAACCCTAAAATAAAACAAAAATCATAAAACAAGTAGAAAAAAGGACATATACATACATGAACAAGTATAAGAATGATGTCTAACTTGTAATTAGAAACAATGGAGGCCAAAAAACATTGGAATATTTTAAAGTGCTGAAAGAAAAACAAATCAATCAAACTAGCATTCTATATCCAGCAAGAATATTCTTTATAAATGAAGATCAAGCAGACCTATTTCCAAAGATGCAGAGGCTGAGAATATTTTCCTTCAATAGACACGATCTTTAAAAAATATCACAAAAAAGTTCATCAAGTTGAAGACTTGATCCAGATGAGACTCTGGATCTTCAGAAAGGAAGGTAGAGCATTGGAAAGACTAAACATACAAATAAATGTAAAGGCCTGTAAAAAAAAAAATGTTGGAAACTTAGAAAAAAAAAGGGGCATTAAAAAGTACTACTTGCAAAAGTTTTTACAAGAAGAAATAGAAAGCCTAAAAAGCCCCACGTCTATTAAATACATTGAATTTGTTCCTAACACTTTCTAATTAGTTTTCTATTGCTGCTTATAACAAATAAGCACAACCGTAGTGGCTTAAAACAACACAAGTTTATTATCTTAATCTGCTATTCATTCTCTGTCTCCTTTGAAGCTTATGTTTTATTATTCAGCCATTAGATTTTGGAGTTCTCAGGTCTGGCAGTCAGGAGTCCAAAGGCTAGATCACATTCTTTCTGGAGGGTATTGGAAAGAATCCAGTTCCTTGTCCTTTCTAGCTTCTAGAGGCCTTCCACATTCCTTGGCTTGGCCTCATCTTCCATCTTTAAAACCAGCAGTGTGGTATTTTCAAATCTTTCTGACTCTGATTTCCTCTTCTGCTGTTTATCCACTTTAAACAACCCTTGTAATTACATTGGATTTACCTGTGTAATCCAGAATAATCTCCATATATTAAGGCCAAAAATCAGCAACTTTAATTGTATCTGCAACTTTAATTCCTCTTGCCATAGTTACATATTCATATATTCAAGTGGCACATAATATATTCACAGATTCTGGGAGTTAAGATGTACATATGTCTTTGAGATGCCGTAATTCTGCCTACCATACCTACACACTAAGAAAACTCCAGGCTCTGAGGGCTTTATTGGTGAGTTCCAGAAAATGTAAGGAAGAAAACTACCAATCTTACAGTCTCTCAGAAAATACAGAAGAAACCCTTCTCATCTTGTTTATATCAGAATAACTCTCATACCAAAACTTGACAATGACATTTTTACAAAGAAAATTATAGACTAATGTTTTCATGAATGTAGATGCAAAAATCCCTAATATGATATCATATGATATTTTTATATATTGAATCCACGAATATGTACAAATAATATTAAATCCATCATAATTCTATGACATTTAGTCTAGGTTGGTTATTATTTGACTATTTATATTTGGAAAGCAATTAAAATAGTGTACCACATAAATTAATAAGAAAAATTATAAGATTATTTAGTATTTGATAAAATTCAACATCCATTTTTCTGGTAAAAATTCTCACAATTACTTCCCTATTCCAATAAGGGACACTTGGGAAAATCCTACAGCTTCTATAATAGTAGATGACAGGACATTAAACACTTTTCCCCTAAGACCAAGAGACAGGCAAAAGTGTCTGCTGTCATCGCTAGTGCAATAAGGCAAGAAAAAGAAAGAAAATAAAATATTACATTAAATATTGAAAGGTAGCTGGGTTTGGTGGCTTGTGACTGTAGTCCCAGCTACTTGGGAGAATGAGGCATGAGAATCCCTTGAACCCAGGGGGCGGAGGTTATGGTGAGCTGAGATTGCACCACTGCATTCCAGCCTGAGCAACAGATCTACAGTCCATCTCAAAAAAATAATAATAAATGAAAATAAATAAATGAATGAATAAATATTATAAGGATGAAGTAAACCATCATTATTTAGAGAGAATATAAGTGTGTGCATAGAAAATCTTGTGGGATATACATAAATATTACTAAAAATAATAAATAAATTTAGTAAAGTTGTAATATACAAGGTTAATACACAAAACTTAATTGTATTTCTATGCGCTACCAAAATAATTTAAAAATGAAATTTAAAATGTATTACCATTACAATATCATCAAAATATCAAACAAGGAATATATGTAACAAAAGATGTGGAAGATTTCTATGCTTGAAAAAGAAGGTTTGAGCAGAGGGAAATTAAAGAAGACCTAATTAATGGGGATATAGACCATATTTATGAATTAGAAGATTCAGTGCTGTTAAGATGACAATTTTTCCTAAATTGTTTATAGACTTTTTGTAATCCCAATCAGAACCCCAGCAGCCTTTTATTTTTTATTTTTATTCTTTTTTTGAAATTGACAGGTTGATATAAACATTTATAGGTAAATGCAAATAATCTAGAATAGCCAAAATTATCTTGAAAAAGAAAAAAATTACCTGGTTTCCAAACTGCAAGTAATTAACAAATTGTGTATGGGGGAAAATACCTTAGTAATTATTACTATGTAGATCATAGGTTTGAACTCAAAGCATAAAACTTTCAGAAGGAAATCAAAGAATATCTTTGTGACTTTGAGTTAGGCCAACATTTCTTAGAAAAGACACCAGAAATACTAACCACAAGAGAAAAAAATAATAATTACATGTCTTCAAGATGAACATTTGTCTCACCAAAATACACCATTAATAAAATGAATAAGAAAAATACAGAGTGGGAGAAAATAATTGTAGCATATCTGACAAAGAACTTATATCTGGAATATATAAGGAACATCTGAAAATCAGTAGTAATAGTAATAATAACAACAAATCCAATAAATAGGACAACAGCTTTGGGCAAAAACTATACAATGAAAACATAGAAATGACCGGTAAGTACTCAGATATAAGTTAAGCCCTGTTAGCCATTCAAAAAACATGATATGAAAACACAGTGAGATACCACTTCATATCCAGTAGACTAACTAACATTAAAGCCACTGACAATACCTAACATCTGTGAGGATGTAGAGTCATCGGAACTCTTACGCATTGCTGAGGGAAGTGTAAAATGACACAATTACTTAGAAGGATGTTTTGACAGTTTCTTATAAGGTTAAATGTACACCAATCCTATGACTCAGAAAATGCACTCTTAAATATTGATCCAAGAAAAACAAAACGTGTTTAGATAGTCTTATACAAGAATGTTCATAGCAACCTTATTCATAATAAAGGAAAGTTGTAAACAACCCCAAAATCTGTCAACTCTTGAATAGATTAATAAATTGTTATATGGTAATACAGCAGAACACTATTCAACTGTAAAAAAGAAGAAACTACGGATACATGCAATAACATGATAAATCTCAGATATATTATATCATGTGAAAGAAGTTGGAGGCAAAATCATTTATGCTGTTTGACTCCATTTACATGAAGTTCACAAACAAACAAATCTAGTCTATCATATTAAAAATCGAAAGTATCTCTGGAAATAAGGGAACTTCTTAGGGCAATAAAAATGTTCTCGTGTGTGTGTGTGTGTTACAAAAAGTTGTATAAAATTGACAAACTTCATCACACTGAAAACTTATGATCTAAACATTCTATTTATATAAAGAATACCACAATAAAACAACTTTGTACCTAAACACATCATAATAAAATTCTAGATGCCAAAGACTCAGAGAAAGTCTTCAAAGAAACCAGAGAGAAAAGATAGATTCATTACATTGCACTGTCAGATGTTTGTTAGTGGATTCAAATGGCAATATGATGTCAGGAAAAAAGAAATTCCTTCCACACGTTCCATAAAAAAATATAAAAACTCACTGCACAATACCTTCTGGAAACAGACCAAATAAAGCAATCAGAAAAAGATTTTAATTGTATTTTTAAAGTATAATTGTATTTTTAAAGTATTTCAATTCATTTTAAAACTTAATTTTGTTAAATTTTATGTAATAAATTATAAAATTAATTATTTAAAAATATTAATATTAAATTAATCATTTAAATGCATGTATACTGCCATAAAAACAATTGAATTACAAATTCAATCAGGTTTAGAAAAGATAATTACTCGAGATTCCTTAAATGAAATCTCTAATGATTGAAATGAAATACTTCTGTAGAAATGTTAAAAAGCAAACTGGATGCAGAGAAAGACTAAGTAACAAATGTTGGAATATTAATTTGAGACATTTCTCCAGACTATAGCACAAACAGATGGAAAGTTCGACAGTACAGCTGTGTTTCATGTGGAATAAATCCAGAAATTTTAACATCCATCTCATTGAAGCTCCAGTTGAACAGGCAACATTTAAAGACAAGATGGCTGAGGATTCCTAGAATTAAAGGAATTCAAGATACCCCAGAAAGAAAGAGCTCACCAATTACCAAGCAGAATTAATAAAAGAACATAAATAACCATACCTATATGCTTTCTACTGAACCCATGAAAATCAAGCATTAAGAGAAAATCCTGAAATATTACCAAGAAAAAGATTATATTATTCACAAGGAACTGAGAACACAATTTATCTCAGACTCTCATTAGAAACACTGCAAGGCAGGAAGACACTGGTGCAATGCTTTAAATATTGTTGATAAGAAAAGAAAATTAAAGCCTAAAATTTTATACCCAGGAAAAATACCATTTTAAAGTAAGTGTAAAATAAATATACTTTTTGGACACAAAATCATTCAGAAAGCCACGGCCTCTTCTGAACTTTCTGTAGCAAGGAAAAAAATTCACCAGAAGGAAATAGTGGAATTTGGGATGAAAAAATGAACTAATAAATCAGTTAGACATTGGTGATTATAAATAACTACTGGCCATAAAAATTATAATGTACAAGTTATACATTATAACTATAACTATAATTTATACATATAAAAATTATAAATGTATAAAAGCTAAAGCTACTGGCAAGAGTAATGTGGGGAATTAAAATATGAAGCTGACCGTGGGGGAGGATAAATGGAAATAAACATGCATGAAGATTATTGTCTTAGGATGAAAGTGAAACTATTTCAGCCATTCTAATTTATTTTATCTATTCATTTTAAAGAGAATCCATTCCTATATTACCTGACTTATTTATTTATTTATTTATTTATCTTTTGAGAGAGAGTCTGGCTCTGTTGCCCAGGCTGGAGTGCAGTGTTGTGATCTTGGCTCACTGCAGCTTGGACTCCTGGGCTCAAGTGGTCTTCCCATCTCAGCCTCCTCAGTAAGTAGGAGTACAGATGCACGCTACTATGCCCAGCTAATTTTTTTATTATTATTATTTGTAAAGACAAAGTCTTGTTATGTTTTCCAGGCTGGTCTTGAACTCCTGAGCTCAGATAATCCCTGCACTCGTTAGCCTCCCAATGTGGTGGGATTATAGGTGTGAGTTGCCATGCCCAGCTGACACATATTTATGGTAGGAGAAAAGGCTGGAAAATGTGCCTCAGTGTTTATAGAACATGGCCAGTTGTTGTTGTCATCTTGGAAATTTTCTATATTTTTCTGACTTCTTCCCAGAATAATTAAATTTTCAGTACAAATAAATGTATGTATTGTAATCTCATACGTTTTTTAAAAACATGGAACAAAAGCATAGAAGAAAAAGGTAAAAGTGTATTTCTCTAAGTGGTGGAATTATTGGGGCCTCATTGTCTTTTCCACTTTTCCTAATTTTCTACAGTAAATATGTTAAACAAAGGAATGAATACTTAGACACCAAAGTACCTCACAACTAATCCCCAGGAATCAATACTTAAAAACTTGACACAGTATATGTAGTTAGTAGAACTCTTTCCAAGATTATAAAGTTATTCTTACAATTTCTGTTTTTAGTTTTCCAAACGCATTTCATTATGTTTTATTTTCAAGAGCTTTTTGAAATCAGTTTGCCTTTGGTTGATTCATATTTTAATAGAGATAAACTTATCTCTGTCCCCAAAGAGTTCACAGTGTGAGAGGAATGTCAACAATAATTAGACCCAAAGATTGGGAAAATGGGAAATGAAGACACTATATCACTTTCTGATGGAATCAGCTTCTCTGGTTACATCATAGATGACATTTCTAACTGTCCAAGAGGTGCGTTGAGCTTATAAAAGTTTCTACTTCTTCATATTTTGCCAGTGCTTTTTCCAGAGTCCTCTTGTGCTCTCCAGAGAAATATAAAAGAATTTCTGGACCCTGTGCTTCAAGACTTAGGGCAAATTATTAAAAAGCCAGTCGTTTCAAAGAGCTTGAGTTTTTCAAATAGGGCAGACCAGAAATGTATGTCAGCCTCCACCACTGAACAGTAAGACATGAGTAAAATGGGGATGATGTTACCCGCTATTCACTCTGTCGTCAAGGAAGGTAAATCTCAGATGCACTGGCAAGATGTGTCCTCCACATATAGCCATCGTTACGTGTGATATCTCATCAAACCAAGAAGGAAAAATATGTGATATATGGGCTTTATAGAGTTAAAACAAAAGGTTGGATGACTCAAGTTTCCACCTTTCAATCCCAAATCCTGCAAACAGCCTAAGAAGCTCAAAAATCGTCCCTATGTTAAACAGCATGAGATGCTGGTAAAACTGGACTTTGAAGTCAAATAGCTCTTGTTTCAGTTTTAACTTCTGAAATGTCTCTGATAATGCCTTAGAAAAAAATAGCTTAGCTTTTGAACCTCAGTTATTGTCATCTGAAAAATGGATACAATCAAACCTATTCCGCAGTTTTTTGGTGAGGATTAGCAGGAATCAGTAATTGTTATCATTATTCACACGTAATAATATATTGTACTTTCTGAGTACTTAAAAAGCACCAGGCACCATGTTATGTATGTTTTATCCAAATCATCCTCACACAGCTCTGCGAAAGAGGTGCCACTCCCATCCCTGCTTTACAGATGAGGAAACTGAGGCACAGAGGGTCTAGGGAGCTCCCACACACCTCACTGAGCTCATCACTCATGGCTTTGTAACAGAACAGCCAGTGTTTGGAAAATGTAACCAAAGTCAGCACAAAAAGATAAGGCCTGTGTTAATTTTGCTTGCATACCAAGTTGTTCTACTGGGTCAAAGCTTCGGAAGCTACTTTTAAAATGGCCTTTTCCACTTGCAGAGATGGGTGTCCCACTAGCAACCATTCTCAGCCATTGACCAGGAGTCAGTGGGTTTCCAGCTCCTCTGTTTTCGCAGGGGCTGGTGCAATAATGCAAAGCAGTTGGCTTCACTTTAGATTGGCCTCTTCCTGCTCTTGCCCAGTATCTGACCCTGTCACGGCTGATCAACCCCCCATGGCTGGCCAGTCTGTAAGTCTGTGCATGCAGAAGTCATAATCTTGTATCTTAATGCAAGTCATGCAGGGTTTAGTAATGTGGAATTTGGAATTTTTTTTATTTTAAAAAAAGCCGTTTTATAGATGCAAAGGTAAGCTGAAAATTTCTTTTTTTTTTTTTTTTAATAAGATGATTCAAGATGCCAAAACAGGGGAATGTGTTGACTTGAAGATGGACATTTTTATTTTTAAAGTCTAAAAATGAATTCTTCTGCTTCTCATTGCCAAGTTTAAGATTATGTTTCTCAGTAGCTCTGATTGCTGAGCTTTTTCCAATATCTGCTGTAAAATGCTAGGGGCCCCCTCAAGTTTGTAGCCTGTATGCTCTGGGGGCAAGTTGCATTCTGAGATAGATGTTAAAATAAGAACTAAGAAAGTTTTAGAGATCTACTGAAAGAGATTTTGATTGGTGGCCAGTCTATTACTAATAAGATAAAAGGAAAAAAAAGATAGATTTCTTTATAAGTGGCTTATTTTAAAGACAAAACAAAATAGTTTGGGGGCTTGGACTCCATTAACCTACATTCAAACAGCATCGCATTCATACCTTTTAATACAAATAATTATTACTTTCTCTCTTCTTCAGGATACCTTGCACATAGCTTCATTTTAGCCATGACCTTATATCATTTTTGTTTGGTTTGGTTTGTTGTTCTTGGAGTTTTTTGGGGTGCATTTTCTAATCAGTGGATCTCCCCACCAGACTATGAACACTTTCAAGAAGACACGGAATTAAATTATTTCTGCTTCTCCAGTAACTATCTTAGGACCTGACACATTCTATTTCTGTACAGCATTCATTAAATTTCCCAAGTTCAAAAGATGGCCTGTTAAGTCACAAGTAGGCTTTCTGGACTGTGTCTTCTCTGAGCTCTACTCAAACAAATAAAAAGACAGAGGAAATTTTTTAGGATTTCACACATTCAAGCTTCTCAGCAGAGTTTCAGGTCCCATTATTTCTCACTGACCTGCTCTAGGTCACACTTTTTGCCTATTCAGTGGCACAGAAACAAGCAGCCATGACCAGTATTGGTCAGAAGCTCCTGTGTCCTTCTAGAACCAATTCAGCCCTTTGTGAGCTGCAAGGCCCTGAGAACTGCATGTCACTTCCTTGAAGCCTTGATTTCTTCACTCTTAAAATGGGAATCCCAGTCATGACCATGCCTGCCTCATGAGGGTAGCACAATCATCTGATGAGTCACCGTTGAAGAAAGTGCATAATGACGATGCAGCAGAGGGCCAGAAAATGACACACATCCGCACGACTGACTCTCTTTTCCACATAGAGGTAAGGGACGGAAAACCACAAATAATTATAAAATGTGGCCCACACTGCTGAAACAACTCTGCTTTTCAGGTAAGGATACTGTAGCTCTATAATTATATATAATTAAAATGCCTTGGCTAAGGTTTAAGCCATAGTTTCTGACAGCTCCTAGATTAATCCTTTCAATAACAACAATAATAGTTATTCAAAATGCTTATAGAGTCATACACTCTTGCTCCCAGATATACTATCAACATTGATGCTTTCCAAAGGTGGGCATGGGCAACACTGATGCTGAGTGAGATAATTTTAGGTGGTACACAGACTAATATTTAGAACAAAGATTAATAAATATCTCTTTTTTTCCACAGTAAGAAATTTCTTTACAGTATGGAATATGAGTTCTTCACAGATAACAGTGACAGAATGTCTTCTTTGTAAATATATTTGTTTAAGTACTTTATCAAATGAAGAAAAGTTCATTTAGAAAAAAAATGTTAAGTGATAAGATTGCAAAGGCATTGGATGAATGACTAAAGTTTGGCAAATGTTGCTCAAATAGATCTTCACGAAGTTGTCATGAAAACTTCAAGACATGGTGCAGTGGCTCAGGCCTATAATCCTAGCATTTTGGGAGACCAAGGCAGAGGATGGCTAGAGGCCAAGAGTTCAAGACCAGCTTGGGAAACACAGCAAGACCCCTGTATCTACAAGGAAAAAAAAATTTTTAATTAGCCAGATATACTAGTGTGTACCTGTAGTTCCAGCTACTCGGGAGGTGGAAGTGGGAGGTCACATGAGCCCAAGAGTTGGAGGCTGCAGTGAGCTATGATTGTGCCACTGCATTCCAGCCTGGGTGACAGAGCAAGACCCTGTCTTAGAAGAAAAAAGAATAAGAATAAGAAGAAGAAGAAGGAAGAAGAGGAAGAGGAAGAGGAAGGAGGAGGAGGAGAAGAAGGAGAAGAGGGAGAAGAGGGAGAAGCAGCAGCAGCAGCAGCAGCAAGAAGAAAATAAACTTGAAGGCATTCAAGACATTACTAACATCATCTTTTAATTAGAAGACCACATTCAGAGAAGCCGGAGATGGCAAAAGGCTCTCAGTTATTAAGGCCCAAAGTCAAGAGCAACAGTAATTAAATCCAGGGTTTCTAACTTTAAAATTTTGTTTATGATATCACCCTTCTCTAGACTGCTTTCATTCATTTATTCATCTATTAATTCATTAATCCAATTGGTTAATCCTTACTGCACATGGATCGCCTTCAGCAACATAAAAAATAAACCCAAATGACCCAACATGAACTGTACCTTAATTCAGCTCATCTTGACCAAAAGATCCTGTTTAAGGGCCATCACCTTTTTCTTTGCAAGAAAAGACACAAAGTGGTTTCATTTGAGAGCCCATCTCCCAAGCCTCACAAGTTCAGGACTGAAAATATCCTCTATACTGTTGAGAGTTAAGTTTCTATTTTTGGGAAAGTCAATCTCCTCGGTTCAAAGAAAAACATTCAAAAAGAGGGACCAATACACACAGTACAGGCGGCATCTTGAACATCAGATACCCTACAAAATGAAATGCTGATCTATGAGTAAAGAAATCAGAACCATATGGCTTTTCCTCCCTTAATAGACATATGGGCTTTACAAAATAAGGAGAAACATACTTGGCAAGATGCATCTCAAATTTTACTCAAACCACAAAACTTTAAAAATATCGTAACATGTCTAATGAACCCAAAATGTGTCCTTGTTCACCCAAATTAATCTAACACCATTCTAGTAAACATTTATACCTACTATGTGCCAGGCACATAAACACACACACACACACACGTTGAGAGCAGGAGATGTGAATGGATGCAAGCGTGTAGTGCAAAATAATGTATTGATACACGTTTGTGGGATATACCATGAGAACTCAGAGGAGAAAGAAATAAATTGTGTCCCAGAGTAGAGCATTGGTCTAAGAAGGCTGCTAAGAAGAGGTGACGGCTGAGCGCAGTGGCTCACGCCTCTAATCCCAGCACTTTGGGAGGCCAAGGTGGGTGGATCTGCTCAGGTCAGGAGTTTGAGACCAGCCTGGCCAACATGGTTAATACCTTCCCTTCCTTCCTTCCCTGTTAATACAAAAATTAGCCGGGCATGGTGGCATGTGCCTATAATCCCAGCTACTCAGGAGGCTGAGGTAGGAGAATCACTTGGACCCATGAGGTGGAGGTTGCAGTGAGCAGAGATTGTGACATCGAACTCCAGCCTGGGTGACAGAGCGAAGAGGTAACATTTGCATCAGGCCTCTTTGGAAAAGTCAGAGCCTTCTAGGCAAGAAAGGAGAGGGAGAAAGTTGCCGGCCAAGTGATGAATAGGAATAAAAGTCCTAAAAATACAGGTAAGTGATGAATCCAAGGAGTTTTCCAGGAAGCTGCAGCCTAGCGAGCTGGAGCAGATACAGGAGAACATCGGCAGGAGAGGAGACTGACGTGGTTGGCTATCTGTGGGAAATAACAACTTCTTTATTAATCATGAAATAATATATACTGATGGATTTTTTTAAGATAGAAGAGTGAAAAATGATGTGTTAAGTTGAAAGTACCTCCTCAATCCTCCCTTCCCAGCCAAAATTTTGTTGAGGAGGAAACAACAGTTCCCTGGGTAAAAAGTTCTACACAGGTGTCATAGAAGATGTGTGTGTGTGTGTGTGTGTGTGTGTGTGTGTGTGTGCATGCACGCTTACAGATATAAACCTTATTATATTTAATGTTGTGAGGGGATGTTTAAGCACAGGTGTGACATAATCAGAGATGTACTGTAGAAAATTCTCAAGGGTCTCAAAAGCCACTGAACAAACAACACACAGGAGCTTGGGTGGAGACTCGCGGGGCACTGCAGGAATGTCTGGTTCTGTTAAGCCCTGTCCTTGGTGCTTGTAATAGCTTTCTCAGACCCAGAGTTTTATGAAATGTCTCTTACTCGTCTTTTTTTTCCTGCTGTGCTATTTACTTTCATTCATAGAGTAGCTTCAGTTCAATAAATGATGTGTTTGCCATCAGAACAATTTGATTCTCGTTCTAATTATAGCAACAAGCTGCTTCCCCTAAGCATATTATGGGTGTTTCATTATTTTAAATTGTTATCTTCCATATTAATTACAGAAACAGTTGATCTTTTCTGATAAGCAGGCAGCTGCAAATTCCCTTTTTATGTCTCATTGTAATAGGTGAAGCATCAGGTAAAAATTAAATCAAATCCTAATGCAAGACATGCTGAAAGCACATTTGGGTTGCAATCCATTGCCTCCATTTGGCTGGGACTTGCTGTTTTCCAGAGGCACAGAGCTGCCTGGCTCAGCCCTCAGGCAGGACACACCCTCCAGCTAGCTTGGTGCTGCTGACCAAGATCTCATAAAAGCCTCCTCCCCAAGGAAAATGAATAATTGATACAAGGAGTAAATCACCTCCTGAAATGGGGAAGGCCAGAGAGACAAATGACTCCCTGTTTTGACCCATAATTGGGGCTGTCACTCACTGGAAGGAGAGGGCAGGGTGGTGGGACATCGGTGTTCTGGGAAAGCCACTCCCTGCAAGGAGAGAGGCCAAAGGCTCAAGTGACTCAGCTTAGATGTTCCTGATTATGATCAGAAGTGGGGACAGGTGGGGCCATCCCAATTCAGATCCCAGAAGCTTGAATTGCCCAGACACGTCTCCAGCCTTCCCCTTCCTGGTGAGGACTGGTCACGTGTCAAGGCCAGCCTCAGGGGCAAACGCAACATGCTTCTGAAGTAGTGGCCTTTATTTGATGTGGAGTGAGCCGGGCCATTGTTCGCCCTGCACTTCCACCTCTGACTTATTTATGTGTACTCCATCTCAAGGTGTTGAAACCAGATACCAGAAAGGTAGGAGAGAGGAAGAAAAGAAAAAGGACAGACACAGAAAGATGTAGAAAAAATAGAAAGATGAAAGGAGGAAGGAAGGAAGGAAGGAAGGAAGGAAGGAAGGAAGGAAGGAAGGAAGGAAAGAAGGGAGGGAGGGCGGGCAGGCGAAGGGAGGGGAGAGAAGAAGAAATCCTATAATACAATGGGATGAAGAATAGATAAAGAAGGCAAAGTGAAGGAAGACAGACAGGAGATTAGTGAAATAAACAGAGAGAAAAATTAGTTCACAGAAACATATGATAGTACTTCATAATTGTTAAAGTTGAGTTAAAAAATTAACTCTGAGCTCTCTAGTAGCTAAAGTAAAGAAGAAAACAATCAGTTGTGAGAACCAGATAGGAAATATATAACAGAAGTCACCCAGAAGAATTCAAGTCTAAAATAAATTTATTAAAGATGTCCTCATAAAAAGGTGTGAGTTGTGAGTAGAATCAATGATATCCCCAACTGTCAATTCTACAAGATAAGCCTATTTCTTAACACACCTATGTCAAGCAGAGGTTGTAATGCAACGTTCAGCTACATTAAAGGGCTTCCATGAGGAAAATGCTGCAGAACCCTTAGTGGTCTGAATTAATTTGACTTTGAATAAAGATGAAGTCCAGGAGGCGTTTGTGGACCATTTGAGATACTTCTGCTGCGTAGAATCACCAGAACATGCAAAAGAGATTCATGGAAAAGCCTGCACTTCAGCGTCTTTGGAGAGCAATGGGAGAATACCTTAGTTCAATGTCAGTGTGTATGACATGGTGTATGTATTAGTTCAGTGTGTATGTATTAGTCAGTGTGTATGTATTAGTTCAATGTCAGGAAAGCAATGAAAAATATTCTTCCTGCATAATGTGAATAAGCCCTCACTCTGCTGCAACGCTTTACAGTCTAGCTGCAGTGCTGTTCAAATGAACTTTCAGTGATGATGGAAATGTTCTATATCTGTATTGTCCAATCTGGCAGCCACATGTGACAACTGAGCACTTGAAATGTGGCCAGTGCAATGGAGAAACTGAGTTTCTAATTTCATTTAATTTTGACTTAAAAGTGTTTAAAAAGCCATGCGTGACTAGTGACTACCATATTGAATAGCACAGGAATTCACTTTCTCCACTGCACTGTGGTTTTTCCTACTGTCTGCTTCCCCTTCCTGTGTGGACAGGGTTTACTCTACTCATAATTCAAAGACAAACACACAGTGGGAACCAGGGGAGAACTCATTCTGAGGGAAGCCTGGTGAAAGAACAGGAGTCGGGGTCACCAGAGCCAGGTTCAAATCTTGACTCTTAAAGACCTTCAACTTAGAAGATCACTTCCCTGAGCCTCAGTTTCCCTATCTTTTAAATAAGGAAAGTAATCCCTAATTTCCTAAAAGCAGGTGGAGATACAGTTGTAAATACAGACAGCCACATAAAAGTCCTAGCTATGTATATGTAAATGTGGAGAAACAGGCTTAAACGGTGGATGCCAGAGTGAGAAGAGAGGACCCTCAGAAAACAGCGCCATGAAGAAAGACTGTCTTGGTCTTGACTTTCATAATGTCAAGAAAGGACTAACATTGTACTTGTGAAATTTTTTAAAAGCTAATTTAAGAAAAAACAAAAAAAAAAACCTGGAATACATTTGTTTTAATTTTCTTCTCCCCCAATATACTATGTATCAATGAGGTGAGAGAGATCATTAATTCATTTGTTTATTCATTCATCCATTCATTCATTCAATGAATATTTTCCAAGTGCTCACCATATATCTGGCCTTTGAGATCCTTCATTCTGGAGGACACCCCATGGGGCATGCCTTTCTCTTCTCTGGCAGAAATGAGTCCCTTTCCACCCAGCTCTCCCTTCTGGGAAACATCCAATCCAAACCAGAGACTCCACACCGCTGGATGTTACTGAAGTGATGCTTTCCACAAGCATGGTATATGGCTGGCAGCAACGCCTGGATCAGTCTTACTTGAAACAACAGCTGTTATCTCTTTATAAAAATTCAAGCAACCCTGAAAAGCAATGTTTTGCAATGTGTGATGTGTTGAATGCATAAAAGATACTAAATAGAGCTAAACAACTAGCAGGGGCAAAGGCCAGATGCTGTTCCAGAGAAATCCCGGACTTCATGACACCTGCTTCGCCTTGTCTCGCAGAGAGGTTTGTCCAGTCTTCCTGTTTGCAAGCACCTGAGTGTGGATGCTTAAAAAACACTTCCTCTAGCCGAATGGTATGGTGTCGTTCCTGTATTCTTTTTTTTTTTTTTTCCTGAGATGGAGTCTTGCTCTGTCGCCCAGGCTGGAGTGCAGTGGCGCAATCTCGGCTCACTGCAAGCTCCGCCTCCTGGGTTCACGCCATTCTCCTGCCTCAGCCTCTCAAGTAGCTGGGACTATAGGTGCTGGCCACCATGCCCATGTAATTTTTTTTTTTTCGGTAGAGATGAGGTTTCACCGTGTTAGCCAGGATGGTCTCAACCTGTACTCTTAAGTCACACAGAGGCCCCTGACCACCTATAGAGGAAAATAAAATCTCTTCAATGCAACACTTAAGGCTCTTCTTATTCTAGGCTCAGCTGGACAACTCCAGATCCATCCTCCCGGCTCCTTGTAGCCCTCCCTGGCTCCAAGCTACCTGTCTGTCTGTGGTTCCCAAGCATCCCTGACTACCTTCTTGCTCCTGTAATCTCTACTCTCGCTAAGGCCTTCGCTACTGCCTGCTCTTCTTCCCACAGAGCTTCCTCAACCTGCAGGCCCTGACCAAGCCTCACGTCACCTTCTCTGTTAAGTCCTGAGTCACCTGGGTGGGGCCAGTCATACTACAAGCTGTTCCAGCAGCCCTGGATTAACCTCTGTCTCTGCACGTGTTTTACTCCATTGCAGTGGTCCATTTCCTGAGCACTGGATAATGAACAGTTTGGGATTGAGGTCCAGGCCTTATAAAAAACCTTCACGCACATGTATGAAGTCTACGTTTTGTTCACAACCCCCCACTCACAAAATGCAATGGGGCAGCCACCTTTATGATTTCCATTTTTCAGATGAGAAAACTGAGATGAAGATAGGTTAAGGAATGTGTCCAGGTAACACATTTTCCAAGTGACGGATCTGTGGTCTGACTTTAGGCAGAATACATTTAGAATCTGAGTTTCAACATCTCTCTGCTCCCAGGACCTAGCTCAACTACTGGCACGTAAGAGATCAACACATACGGTGGGTTGGACCCTAGGTCTGAAGGGATAAGAAGCCTAAAGGCCCCATGGCCAGGCTTTTGAAGACCTGACTCACCCACCACATGGGATGACTCAGCTCAGAAACATGGACCCTCAGCCCAGCAGAATCCAGAAGCTTGATGCCCAACCTGTCCCCATCCACATCCCCAACTGGATGTGTGCTGTGCAATTCACCTAGGACATCACCCTGCCCCAGGCCTGTTTGCATCTTACTTTTTTCTCTGAGAAGTCCAGCGATATCTTACTTTCTCAATGACATCTCTCAATTACTCAAGGTCTCAAAATTCTTCCCCCAGCCCTCTGCATTTTCAGATTTAACTAACATGTATTACCATCAGCCATGAGCCACAACCACAGGCACTTTTCTGCACTTTGTTCATCTAGTCCTCCCCCAAATCCTAGGAGGTCAATGTTATTGTCTTCATTTTGCAAAAGTAAATATCAGAAGGATTCACGCCATGCAACAAAGGTACGGTAAATTAAGGATTCAGTTTCATGCTTGCATTTCTGCACCAACACGCATACAAGAGACAATTGCCAAGGTGCTAATGGCAATCAACACATTAGACCAGGATGGATTTTTTTTCACCAATTTTCACTTGTGCTTTTCTTCATGCATTTTTCCCTTACACCTGTGTTGTTTTGCAATATTTTATTTTGTAATGAAAACTTATGTTTTATTTTCATGACACATAAATCTTTGTTGGTTTAGATGTTACTCATATAAGAATGATGTTTCTTTTAGTCCATTATGCTCTCTTCTGTTTTCCTTGAAACACTTTCCTGGAGCATGGTCTGTTTCATTTTCCTCTTAACTCTACTGTGACTGAAATGACAATGCAGGTCAGATTGTAAGGGGCACCCCAACTGGAGAGACAGCAGGGGCTGGTGGGGACTGCACCAAACTAAAGATAATATATTAACACTTCATCTAAAGGGCACAGCTGGGACTAAAATTCAGTGGATTGTTTCCAGATTTCTTAATTATTCCCTTTTTAAAGATAATTGGGCAATAAAGATTTTTAAGTGAAATCTGAATTTACAATTTTGGCAACTAAATCAAATGGTTTTTCTTCCTTGTTTTCATATTTTATTTGTTTATTTGTCAAGAAAAACCAAATAGCACTTGTTTACAGTCCTGAACTAGCCTGAAATTGCTAGCTGGTGACCTGTTCTACAACATTGATAGCCACCTCTAACACACTACAGTACTTGAGTAACCTACCTTATCTACCTGATACATTAACACATATTTCATTAATTTCTTGCCTCTAACTACATCAAAAACTCCTCCAGGGCAGAGATGCTACCTGACTCAGCTTTGACAGCCCACAGGTTTTGCTTCCCGGGAAACTGAGCCATGAACATTTGTTTCTGATGCACTCTGATTAATTCACTTCATTCTCTCCACATAAAATACCAGAACAAAAAGAAACTATTTCCAAGTTAATTGTCAGGCGCTGATCATCATACTAACGATCTGATTTGTGCATTGTCTGATTTGATCTTACAAGTTCACTACAAGGCTCTCATAACCCCCAATTTAAAAGGTAAGGAAACTAAGGTGCGTCAAGGTTGAGAAATTCCTGTGTCAGATGTCAGCAGACAACTCATATCTGATTCCAGAGAACACCTTTCTGGTACTACCTCATACTCACACAAAAGCCAACACTCTCCCAAGGATTTTGTTTGAAAAGATGTGTTCCAGTTAAATGGCCTTTAAAAATGCAAACATAGAAAGAATGAGTCAAGTACTGCCGCTGTGATTAGAGTTTGTATGACTGCAAAATGCCAGTAGACTCCTCATAGACAGAGGGGCCGCTGATTGCTTAGGTATACGAGTGAAAATGCCTCCCTTTAAAATGCTGAAAGGCAAATCAAACCCTTTTTGGATGATTCTAATTCAAAGATGCTTTAAAGAGAATTTCTCCGCACCAGCCAGGGCATGTTGAAGAGACACGCAGAGAAACTATGACAAGCACCAGCCCCACTGGTCAGTTGAGACTTGTCCCTCAAGAGTATGTGAATCGAGGTCACTGCAGGTCAGAGAGGGTTCTCAGGAACCCGTGAGCTTCTGCCTTTAAATCAACATAACCCATACTCATGAGCCCCACCCAACGCCTTTAACCCTCCAAGAGCAGCCGCCATAAAGCAGAACTTGTTCCAGAGAGTAATGGAAGAACCTTGATCTTATCTCGAGCAGTGTATTATTGCTGTGTGGCTTTGGACAAGTCATTTAGCTTCTTTGGAGTTATTACCCATACAACCTGCACCTGGTGAGGAAAGAGATGCTGTCTAAGGCCCCTTTCCAGCTCTGATGGCTGAAGATTCCGTTAACTCCTCCCAGCCCAAGTTCTGATTGGTGGTCTCTCTATATTGGTGGTATTTTTCAGCATGTTCTTCCTCCTGGACACCCAGGCACAGAAGCCAGGGGTCCCTGTTTTGTTAGTTGGTTTATTGCTGTTTTAAGAAACCAATAATGGCAAACACTTCTAAGTGCTTTATAATTTATTCTTTAATCTTCACAACATCCCTGTGGAGTAGATGCTATGGAGAAACCAAGGCAGAGAGTGATCAAGCATTTTGCCCAAGGTCACACAGCTAGGAAGTGTAGAATCTGGGATTTGAACTTAGGTCTGTGGGCTTCGGAGAACTTGTTCTTTATGACTTTACCAGTATTTCCCAAGCTTGTCTCAAATTAGGATCACCTGGGAATCTGAAAATTTCCAAAGCTAAGGTCATACCCTGTACCCATTAATTCACCATCTCTAGGGTAGGATACAGGCATGAGTGCTCTTGGGAGCTCCCTTGGTGCTCCCAGTGTGCCGACAAGTTTGGGAACTTCTGCATCAGCCTATAAAGCTCCCTCTAGTCTAGGGTTCGGGGATGAGACGATCAGGGAGTGGAGAGAGATAAGCCTCTCCACTCTGAGTTTACGTCCTGGCTCTGCCTTTTAATGGCACCTGCAAGCCTTTGCAAGCTACCCAATGGCTCTGGGACTGTGTCTTCTCTCTTGCCCCAACACTCTTTGCTTCGTTATTTGTTCAGTGATCTTGAAGAAGCCACCCAATATTTCTAAGGCTCTGTTTTCTTTCCTTTAAAATGGCTTTCTAATACTTATCCAAGGGTTCTTATGAAGAGTAAAGGAAATAAACTATGTGAAAATGTCATCTGTTAAAAAAGTACGCTGAATTAAAATGACCACCTACCTCCAGCAATCTCAGATAAACACACACATGCACCAGTTCAGACAACACAAGCAGACACACACACACACATGCACCCACCTCAGACAACACAAGACACACACACACACAGTTCAGACAACAGAGGCACACCCACACCCACACACATACACTCAGTTCAGACAACACAGGCAGACACACACATACACACACACACACATCCACCAACGGCAAGAAAATACATCTAATCCGATACCTGTATTAAACATTAACAGCTTAGTTTTCATTTGCATTTTATAAAGACATCATCAAAATCTCCCATTCTCCTTATGCTTGATAGCTGTGTGTCTTTATTTAAGTTCAGAGAAGAAAAGGCTACATCGGCTAAAGATGTTTTCCTGCCTAGAATGACAGTGGTGGTGAAGGCTTTTTCATAAATTTGAAAAATAAAAGTGTTTTCATTTTCTTGTTGCTATAATAACCTTGCAAGAGATAGAAATGAGAGTCTATTTTCTAACTGAAATTGTTTTCCTCAAGCGTAGGCTCACTCTTCACACTGTTGGCTATTATTGTGGGGTTGCTAATGAATGTTGACCTACTAGCACTTGCAATAATGCATTCTTTTAAATACGACAGTGATGTCTTAAATTACAGGGAGGTTTCAAATAAGAGGATAATGTCTGTTTTACTTGGGTGGCACCATTCATTAGAATTGTTTTTTACCAATATAGTTAATAGAATAATCCTTATTCAAGTTTAGTATTTTATCACTGCAAGATGCCAGAATATCATCACTCACTCTAATATTGGCTCCTTGCTCCATCTAAATTGGTCTCTTCACGCTGAAGTGTCACTCTTTTAAGAATCCTTTAAATGTATCCCCAACTCTAAAACCTCTTTTCTCCATCTCTCTCTCAAGCTTCTCCCGCCTATCTCATCTCCCTGTCTCACTACACCAATGCACCCTCCCACTGCCACCAGAATTAGCTTCTAGAAGCACAGATCCAATATCATCCTTTTGATTTAAAACTTCTTCTGGCTTTCTGATGTGTATGAGAAAAAAGCATGGTACCTGGATGCCTTAGGGACCTGGATCTCCTACAAGTCTCCACTAGTCTCCTTGAGCTCCAGGCCACGGAACTTTTCTGCATTGTCTAACAATGCCATGATCTTTCACACTCTGATGTCTTTGCTCCTATAGTTATTTTTGCTTATATTAGGAAAGAAGTGAGAGAAATTATCATTTCTTCAGCAATTAGTATGCACTGTGGGCTTGGTAGCACTCCACATACATCATCTCTTTCCTACTATCCTCACTCCAACACATCCTTCAAGATGAAATGCAATGCCCCTAACCCAGTGAAGCCTTCCCAGATGTCTCAAGGATAGCCTTCTCTTCTCCCTGCCCATCATATCCTGAGCTATAATAGCACTGTGTTTTAAGACACGATTCCTAACTACACAGCCTGAATGAAGATTCTTTTGTATGTAACTTATTGAGAGAGAGCTCTCAGGTAAAACCTGTAAGAAAAGTGAATAGCAAGATGGTGCTGGGGAAGAAGACATGGTTTCAGCTGAAGTCTAGCCTTACCCTGATCCCAAGGGGAGCTCTGAGGCATAACCTGTTCTGCTTTGAAATCAGTGGCAGGCTTCTTTGCTCCCTATCAGCCAGTCATTGGCTATAGGCCATGTTTTGGATAATGGATGAGGAGACAGGACCTCCTGAGCAGCACTGGGCTGGGTAAGGCTGCCCCACTGGCCATGTTAATTTCCTGGGAAGTGTAAATCTATGAGCCACTGGCAGCCGACACTCAGCGGCTGAAAGATGACTGCAACAGTCTGGTTGAAGTGATCTGAAGGTTTATTACAAACTGTGCTTCCTTTATTTTATTTATTTATTTATTTTCTACAAGGCTCCCTTTCATTAGCCTGGGAGACTCATGGAAATTGTGAATATGTCTTCTTTATATTAAATCCTGAGAGCCTAGCTCAATATTAGAAATGTAGTAGGAGCACTATGTTGTTTTAAATAAGTGACTGTATTACTTTAAATGAATGGCCTATAATCATTAGAGAATAGTTCTAGACTCTAAGAATTTAATAAGCTACCGGATAGGATTCTAGACTTCTGGAAATTTGCTGTCCACTTGGGGAGATGAGGAACACTCATACTGAATAACTGGAACTCTTTCCAAGGTTGTATGAAAAGAATGGCATGTACAGTATTGAATTCCAGGCACTGTGCTAGGCATTTGGCACATGAGATATGTGCAAAAATCAGTTGGTTCTTTGACCAAAGTTGTCGACAGATGAATAATTACAGTATTACTCACTCCTCTGACTTCTGTAAGAGAAAGATCTCTGCATGCTAGTTCAGGTCAAGAGCTTTCCACTGCTGTAAAGAATTTGGGAATTAAGCAAGGAAGAGAGAAAGTTAAAAAAAAATCCATAAAGACCATAGTATCCATGCAATAGAGAGAAGAAAAAGAGGGAGAAGGGAGAAGAATAAACAGATAAGCTAGGAGTTCTCTGTTTGGAATTGCAAGCAGAGAGTAAAAGTGTTGAGAATTAGGTATTGGGGATTTTAAATGTGACAGAGATCAGAAAAGAGGAATTTTTAGATGGTTGATGTGTATTAATTACGTATTCTTCCTCTTTCTTTGACATTTCTTTCACAAGATAAATACGTTGTTAAGTACTTTCAGCTACCTTTTGGTTGCTGGAATGTATCTGTTTGAATGCAGTGCTATGTTGAGATAGTAGCACAGGAGGCCCGGGATTTATTTGGGTTATACACAGAATATCTCATTGCTGCGGTGATGATGTTTGTGTCCCCCTAAACCCATATGTTGAAACCTAATCTCCAATGTGATACTTTAAGACATGGGTCCTGTGGGAGGTGATGAGGTCATGAGGTTGTGGTCCTCATAAATGGGATTAGTGCCCTTATAAAAATAGCCCAGAGAGCTGCCTTGCCTTTCCACCACTTGAAGACACAGCTAGAAGGCCCCATCTGTGAACCGGGAAACAGACCCTCACCAGACACCAAACCTGCCAGTGTCTTGATCTTGGACTTCCCCAGCCTCCAGATCTGTTAGAAATAAACTTTTGTTGTTTATAAGCCACCCAGCCTAAGGTATTTTGCAATAGCAGCCTGAACAGACTGAGGCACTGATATAATGGGTATTAAACTCATTTTAATCGTAAAGTGACTAAGGCTCAAATAGGTTAGATAAGGTGTCCAAAAGGCATGCACATTTCAGAATTTGACTCCAAGTTTTTCAGACTTCCAATGCATACTCTGGTGACTCTGCTACACAACATCCCTGGTAAAGAATACATTGAAGTTCAGCCCCATGAGAAACTCCTGGGGAAAACTCACATGAACCTTGACTCCACCTTCCTGAGGACTTGACTTGAGGTGGTGCAGCGTCGAGAGAACTCTCTGTGACATGGGATGAAAAGGACAGCCTTATCAGGAGAAATGGACCTTCAGCTGGGCCTGGAGTCTGGATCTGATATCTCCATCCAAGCTCTCTAATTTCAGAGACTGCCCAGGCCCATTTGGTAATGAGCAAATTGAAGATAGGCATTAAACAAAAGAAAAAACATCACCCTGCTATTTCAGGCAAAACTATTGAAGTTATTTTTGTAGACTCAAACCAGATTGGCCGACTTCTGTGCTAAAAAATTAATTCACTTCAAGAATTACTGAGATTTGTTCTTTCTTATTTGCCTTAGATGACACCAAATAACTGGTGAGATGGGAATGCTTCCCTCTTCCCTCTTTGTTTTTGAAGTTGTATTGATACAGCCATCAAGCTGTCATTCAAAGCATCTGAAAGAAGCAGTATTTTCCCTTCCCTAAACTCTCTTGTTTTGAGAGACACTACTCACCTGTTTCAACAGCTTAAAATTATGTCGAGAGCTAGATCCCACTTGCAAAATGAAATTTTTTCATTCTTCACTTGCAAGAAAACCCCAATGCGTGATAGAAAGGCAAAACTGAATTTGGAGTCGCATGCTGAAAGCTGCCAACTGAGACATTGGGCACATCATGTCGTGTCTTACAACCTTGGTTTCCTCCTCTATCATGTGAAGGATGATTAATTCTTGGCCTTGCCCCTTTGTAGGATGGTTAAAGAGATGAAATTAAATAAGAGATAAAAGCAAAGCTTTCTATACTGTGAACTATTGTGCACATGTAAGTGGTTATTATTAATTAGTTTGGTTTAGAGCATAAAGTGGTTTCCTAAAGCTTAAATAATAAGCACGTAAAGAACCAAGAGGAGAAATATTTATAGAAAAGATGTTTGCTTTCCCTTGCATGAATTATCAATTGCTCTCATCTGGTGTTTTAATTAACAAGGTGTGTGATTTTTTAATTTAAATAAGATTAAGTCTCTGGAAAGAAGAATAGCAGAAGAACATGAATTATATAATAAAAAATACCTAACAATGGTTGAGATGAAGTGATTATCTAGAAACAGAAAGAATCTTGTTAAACTCTTGGAGGGGACTATACTGATTAGTTCTATTGTTGAGGTTGCATTTTTTTTTCCACTTCAGATAACATTCACCTATTTTCAAATTCCTTTTCGGACTTTATATCTTTCTCACATCCTAATACATTTTTCTGACACTTCCCTATCAGGTTCTATGGCATAATCAGAAAGCAAAAGGCCCATATTGAAGGAAACAGTGACGTCTATGGCTTTTCCCAGAAGGAAGCCCGTGAGTTCCTTTAGAATCCTGCAAAATCAGGAGATGATTCGTTGGGTCACCGGGGACAAAAGACTGGGAGCACCTGTATTTCTTCTCACTCATTATTTACATACACTGCATCACAAAAAGAGGCTAATTTCTTAGTATTTCAGGTTCCTTTCCCGCTTGCCCTTCCCTATGTCTCCCAGCCTAAGGCAAAACTTCCATCCCTGGGAAGACATCGCAGTGGTCTCCAAAGGATGTCCAGCCTCCAGCCTGACAATCCCAGTCCCGGATGTATGTCCCAGTCAGAGACTATTCACAAACAACATGAGAAGACTCCCACTTCCAGCTAACTTGTACTAACAGGGACCACACATTCATTCTCACTTGAGTCAATTGAAAAACAACAACAAAATATTTAGAACAACAGTTTTAATCAAATTAACGTGAGGCAAAAAAGCAGGGTTCCCTGAAATATGGGCAGCGCATGAAGTAAACCCTATCATTTCCCCCCAGCTTACTGCTTAGACAGAGTTTTTAGAACACTGGGGAATAGAGGCAGAGCCCAGTGTCTTCCTGAGGTGAAGCAATGCAGCTGGGAGGCCATGGAGGGAAGGACTGCAGGAGTTTTCAGAATGAAGTAGCAGAAAGGAAAGAGCTACACAGGAAGAAAAACTCTGAGAAAGGCTTTTCTCTAATCTTCAACAGAATCCAGTAGTCTCTCTTACCCGTGGTTTTGCTTTTCACGGTTTCAGTTACCCGAAGTAAAGTACAATAAGGTATTCTGAGAGAGAGAGAGAGATCACATTCACATAACTTTTATGACAGTATATTGTTATGTGTTCCATTTTTATTATTCTTGTTAGTCTCTTACTATGCCTAAGTTATACATAAAACTTCATCATAGGTATGCATGTATTAAAAAGCATTGTATATACAGGGTTTGGTAATACTCAGGGTTTCAGGCACCCACTGGGGGTCTTGGAATGTATCCTTTAAGAGTAAGAGGAGACTATTGTACTGGTCATTGCATCCATGCGAGAAAACTCCTCAAGGAGAGAGCTGCCTGAAAGGATAACAGGGAACTGTCTTTAGATACCTCCAGAAATAATTTCTGTTCTCTCCAGCCAGAGTGGAAAACACACAGCTCGGAGTATTGGGTAGAATTCTCAAAGCAGTGTTACCTCTGTTGCAGAGAAAAATTAGCTCTAGACTAAATACTGCTCTGGTCCCTCCTAACAAAGCTTAAAAGCAAGATTTAAAAGACTCAAACTATGTTTAAGTAACTTAGCCAGGACCTGAAACAAAGTTCAAAAATACTTTTTCAAACACAAAAATGTCTAGCACCCAACAAGACTAAATTTACCATGTTTGGCATCTAATAAAAAATTACCAGGCATCCGCACAAGGAGGAAAATACAGATGGCAATGAGAAGAAAAACCAGTCAAAATTAACCTAGAAACTACACACATAATAGAATGAGTAGACAAAAAGTAAAGTAGATAAATAGAACATACAAAAAGACCAAATTAAGCTTTTAGAGGTAAAAACTACAGTGCTTAAATTGAAAAATGCACTAAATAGGATTAAGGAAAGATTAGATATTGAAGAAGGAAGTATTACGAAACTCGAAGTCAAAACAATAGACAGTTTTCAAACTAAACAAAGTGAACAACAAAATGGGGAAAAATTAAACCAAGTATCAGTGAGTTGTGTGATGACTTCAGTCTAATATATGTCTAAAGAGTAGAAGGAAAAGAGGAGTACTTTGATTATGGTGATGGTTTTATAGATGGTGTCAAAACTCATCAAATCATGCACAAAAAAGATACAGTTTAATTCTGGTCAATTAAGTATCCATAAAGGTGTTTTTAAAAACACACCAAATATGGCCCTATTCCTCCCAGTCTTATTCTTTCAGTGGCTTTCTATAATTGTCAGAGTGAAGGCTGGGCTTTGGGGGAGCAATCTGACCATTCCCTACAACCATTTCTGGGCTGCTCCTCTATACCCCTTCACTTTCAACCTATTTGAAACTCACTCACTCATCAGGTCCTGGACCATGACTTTGCTGCTCTTCCACCATTGCTTTATTGTTCCCTCTTAGAATGCGCTTTGGCCATATCCTCCAGTTAACTCCTACATACTTTCAGACTTCACTTCTAGTTTCCCTCTGCAAAATTGTCTTGAATCCCCTTCTCTCATTCCTGCCTTGACTCTTCACAGTGGGAGATTCATACCTCTTTCCACAGCTTGTGCATTCTCCCCATCTGTCCCGTCCCACTCTACTGTGGGTTACATGAGAGAGGGATTTTATTTATCACTGTGATCTTCAGTAGCAGAAGTAGTGGAGGTAGTCATATTTCTTTCTGGTCCTGCTGTGCTTAGCATAGTATTGAGTACACAGTAGGAGCAATGGATATTTTTGAAATAATATATGAAAAAGATAATTTGGAGAGTTTACCCAGAATATGTCCTAGCCCAGGGAATCTCAAATCCACAAAGAAAGGGTCACATTTAGATTCTTGCAGAGAGCAAAACAGGATGGCCTGTGGAAGTTCTACGTTTTTACTCCCGGGGCTCACAGATCAATCTAGAGATGGAGAATCTTTGTTAATGGAAGAAGGGGTGGAAAGAGAGAGAGAAGACGAGGAGGTAATCTCGGTCTTCCCAAGGCAACTTAAAGCAAACAATGCTTTCTAATCTTCCAAACAGCTGTCAGGTTAAAAAGACGTGGTTTATATTCAAAATGTCTATTTTTAGCACACTGGTGGAGATGAGAGTTATGCTTAGGTGATTAATAGCAAAACTCTCATCTGATAAACCAAGCTCATGCTATCGCTTTCATTTTCATGGGGGAAAACAGGGAATTTCTCAGGTCCCTTTACCCCAGGAAATCTCAGTACTTTTCCTCTTACCTTTTCTCTGAAGGTGGCTCTGGCTGTGTTGCAGAACAGAGACACACTTGTGAAATATTCAGGAGCTGAAGTCCCCCAGTTCTGTCTTTTTCTCAGTTTAAACAGTGAGCAGGTAAAAAAGGTGTAAGGCAACGTGTCTGTGAGTCTCTTTTGAAATCTTTGCTTGAATTACATTGTTATCTGCACTTCTGAGCAACAGACAACTGGGCCATTGAGCATGAGGAAGACCGAATGCCAGGCAGTCAGCACCCCACGCTGCTCTGCTGGGGTTTAGGCTGCTGGGGGAGGCAAAGGGAGGAGTCCCAGGAAGGCAGAGGAGAAGATGATTTTCTCCACCAAGGACTTTCAGGAAGCTTAGAGCTCCCTGTGCCGTCTGAGCACCGAGCTCCCCTACGAGATTCAACTCAAAGTTTGGCTTCAAAATAAACTCCAGGCAACTGAAAGACAGTACTTAGGCACTTAAATTAAAATCAAGCGTGAGATGAGTGGTTTTGTTTTCTATGGGGAGGTGGGCAGTTGAATTTTTAACATCTTTTATTGTTGTAATCTTCAAACATACGTAAAAATAAAGAGGAAAGCATAAACATTCTTATTCATTAATCACTTAGTTTCAACAACGATTAAACTTTATTTTTTTAATTAGAGGGAAGGAGCAATATATATGACTAACATGTCATGGGCACCAGGGGGTTGGAGGTAAAGCAACGTGGGCTTTGCAGGGATCGACTTTGGATTCAAAATCCTCAGCACCCTCTCACAGGGTATGACTACAGCCAGTTTCCTAATTTCAGAGTCCCACTTCACTTATTACACAATATAAATGAAGGTATCTATGTGACAGAATCATATTGTATACAAATTGAATAAGAAGTATAGAACCAGTCCCAGAGCAGGTGCTTAGTACGACCACGATGATCACTGTCTTGAGATGCATCAGTTAATCATCTCACAGGAATAAAAGCCCAGGGGAAAGTCAGAATATTTTAACCCAGGCCAAGTCAGGCAGAGGCCTGAATCTGGCAGGTAGGGGATTTTCCCAATATGTTTTCATGGAAACAATCTATGCCAAAAAGCCTCAAGTTCGCACATGTTACAAATAAGACAGATGCATTTCTAATGGCAGAGGAAGGGAAAGACTACATAGAATTTATTTCTTTGTCTTCTAATTTCATAGCAAACAGTTAACCATTTACAATCTCTGTAAGGTCTGTGGGGTTTCAGTGCTGAAACTCTAACACATATTGCCTAGGTGAATGGCCCTCAATCATGGGCAATTTTGCCCTCCAGGGGATATTTAACAATGTCTGGAGACAATTTTGGTTGTCATAACTGGGGCTGGGCAGGGTGGCTAGTGGTAGCTAGTGGGTAGAGGTCATGGATGCTGCTAAACATTTTACAGTGCACAGGAAATACCCACCACCACCACAGCATAAAATTACATAGCCCTAAGTGTCATTAGTACTGGGGCTGAAAAAACCTTTGGATAGCCCCAAACAGATCAAGCTTTGAGGTCAGCAGAATTGTATTGAATCTTGACTCTGTAGCTTACTAGCTTGGGCAACTTTCTGTAAATTTCTCTCTGTATAATTTGGGGAAGAGAATACCTTTACAGGTATGTCTGCTTAATCTAAGATAATATGTAGAATGTGTTGAACTTTGTACTTGACAACATGTAGACACTCAATAAGTGGCAACTACTGAAATTGCTCATTCATTGTTGTAGTTTGTGATATTGTCAATAATAATACTCAATTTATTTTTTAGAAACTTTGATAAACCAAGTGAAGATCTAGATCTGCAGAGAAACACTAATCCTGACTTAGGAGCCTGGTGTGAAAAATCAGAAACTGCCAAGGGAAACTGTACTCAAAAGAGCACTGGATATGGGGTCATTGAGGAGCAGGTGGACTCTCCACTGGGAAATGGAAAACATCAACTTTTAACCCTAGTTTTTCAACCATAGCACTATTGACAATTAGGCCTAGGTAATTCTTTGTTGCCATAGGGGTCTGCCCTGGACACTGTAGGATATGCGACAGCATCCCTGAACTCCACCCACTAAATGCCAATAGCATCTCCATGCCCTTAGTGTGATAGCCAAGATGTGTCTTCAGACATAATCAAAATAACCCCCAGTTGAGAACTAGTGATTTGAACAAATAATGGCAAATACAGAGTATTCTGCCAACAACACCACACACTGTCCTTTCAGCCTCCACCCCCACCCCATCCCTAAAGCAGGTGCCACTCATCACTCCTGGCACCATATGCTGCTGAGCCCAACATAGACCTAGATATTGTGTCCACCCAGCATACCAGACAACCACTGTAGATCTATTCTTTTGAAACTTTTTACCCATTCAAATTTAGACTCCTCCTGTCCATGCCTTAATTTGCTTCTCTGCAGCATATGAAGTATCTTCTACTTCTCAACAAAGTCTCCTGGCTGCCCCCACCTCCCGTGCCCTAATTACCGATTGTCTTGAACATCCATTCCCGCTATCATTCCACTGGTCCACCTTCGACAGTCCTTCCAATGCACTGGATACCATTAAGGTGCTTTCTCAGAGATTCCTGAATTTCTCTCCTGTTTATTAAAATGCAGGTTTCTCCAAGATGAAAGGGTTAGTGATTATTTTTCGATATTAATGTTATTGTTTTCCTGAAGCTTCTGTTGTTCCGTAATTCAAGGACCCCTTGTCGAATCCCATATGTAGCATGTTTATTAGATGTAATATTTTATCTCTCGGACTCAGTGCCTGACACTATCATTTCCTTCTTATTTCAATAAAAATGATCTCCCTCCTCGTGGTTCTGACAGGAGCTAATGGTTTTCTTTATCACAAGAGAAAGTAAGAGTGGGCAGTGCTAAAAGACAAAATGAACTGTATATATTTGTGCCTTAATTCAATTTATACCATAAACTCCAATCTTAACAAAGTAACTTCCTAGTATTAGATAGAACAAAAGAAAAAGCCACTGTGAAAGTCTAGGGGCTGCCAATTTTTCTGGATTTGCAGATGGTAGATTTGAAAAACAATATTTAAATGTAACTTTGTGGAAATAGAAGGCACCTGCCCCAAATGGCTCAAGTGATTTCTGATTTTCCTTCCTTTTTTTTTTTCTGTCTTTTTACTTCTTGGTGTATATGGGGGTGTGGAGAAGCTTTCCGTCCCTGTAGCTTAATCAAGTGCTAATAGAAGCAAGTACAATGATAATTGACAGAAGCACAATATTAGCTGTTTGATGAGAATTCCTCTCTGCATGTAAATTCCAGGTGGATTCTGCCAAGCCTTGTAAATTTGTTACCAAAAAAAAAAAAATAAATAACCTTTTTTCAGTGCACAGTTGGGTCATGAACATTCCCGTAGGGAGCTAGGAGTTTTATATCAAATGCCAAACCATTGTGAAAATAGGATTGTTTGAAAAGCACTTCCTAGATACTATGTGGAGATGAAGATATGAGACAAAATTTGGAGCTTTACAAGTGCCGGCAACAGCGGGTCACCCCATTGTGTAGCGATCTCTCCATCTGTCTACGTTTGTGCAGAGAACCAATGTCTTTGAGTGCTACATGAAGGTCAAAAGCTCCAGGCATAGCCCAACTTGGTTTGGGGTTCAGGGTCTGTAACTACCCAGCTGTGTAATCCCAACAAACATGTCTTAACCGGGGCAAGTGTTTGATCCTATAGAATGAGGACATGAGAATCTAGCCCCTTGGGTTACTGTCAGAAATAAATGACACCTCTGTTCAGTGTTCAGTCATTCCTGCTACACACTAAGAACTCAATAAATGGCTACTCTACTCTTGCCCTATTATCCTGTTGCTCTCTTCAGTCAACATTGTTACATTCAGCCCTGGGGATTCTGACACGGAGTGGGCTGGAAGTCTCCATTCAAATGTCAAATCCACCAGTACTTGCAAGGCGCCCACTGGGACAGTATCCTGGAGTAGGTGTTGTAGGGAATTCAGAGATGAGTTTGACATGATCCCTGACTCCCACGGGCTCATTAGCTCTGGGGGAAGTATTTGTAAACACCATCCATTGCATATTGATGGCATGTCTCTACACTGACAGTAGGTGCATTGCTGCAGACCGGTGTGCTGTTGTTCAGGTAGAAGTGCTACTTCACAGAGTTTGAGTCCCTTTAGGGTAAGGCAAGTGCCGCTGCTGAATCACTTTTGCATCCCCAGTGTCTAGCACAGAGCCCAGCTCATTCACTCATTCATTCATCATGTGTTCATCAGCAACATGTTTACTGAGGACCCACCATGTAGCAGATGATGATAGGGATGCATTGATGAACAAGGCAAACTTATGATCCCTGAGCTTATAGACTTTGCATTTTGTTCAGGACAAAAGGCAGTAACCAGGCTCTAGCATCACACCTAGCAAAGAGACTTGAAACTGAGTCTTTGTTAGGTGAATAAATGAAAGTAAACACATACATATACACAAAGTCAATTCAGGTAGATGGTGTCATGAAAAAAGGAGCGAGGATGCTACAAGAGAGTAGTGCAGGAGGATGTGAGTTGATGTCAGGATCAGTGGGAAGTTTCTCAAGGAAGGATAAAGCACTGGAATCTTCTATTGACTTGGTATGCAGGACTTCCAAGGAAGACTTCCCTTCGGCTTGGCTGTGATGCTTCTAGCCTTCCTAGCTCATATTTCTCCCTTCTTACTGTACAAACTCTGTGTTTTCTTTGGGATGCCTGTCATCTGGGTGTGCAGTGGAAATGTGAAGTCTTGCCCTTTGAGAAAGCTAGGAATGAGAGTATATGCATTATCCTTCTTCAGGGAGTCATACAGTTTGCCATAGAGGGAGTTCTTAGGAGACTTGTTCAAAGGGAATTCTGCCAATGAGATCACACTTGGAAATGTTAACACATTCCATGCCTCTACTAACTTATTCACTGATTTGACAACTAATAATCTGGTTCTTCCATGTGCCAAGCTCTGTGTTAGATCCTAGGCTACAAGGGTGAGGAAAACAGCAGGTGCCAATACAGTTCAGCCAGTCCAGGTCAGCAGCCATTCAATACTTCTTCTGTTCCATGCACGCTGCTCAGTAGAGAGATTCTGAGAGGACCAACATAGAGTCCTGCTGGTTGGACAGTCCTTCTAGTGATAGAGACAGAGGCATTAGCATCCAAGTTCAATATTCTGAGATAGTAACAATTTTTTGCTGTAATCCAGGGTCTGTCCCTTGCTAGCAGAAGTGGCAGCTGGTGGGCCAGGTACCACCTGCTTCTCACTGAGGAAACATGACTGTATCACCTCTCCAAGCACAACCTAGCCATTATTAGAATTCTGTGGAATTAGAATGGGACTCACTTCAACAAATTACTGCTGCATTCTAGTTAGGACCTCTGAACCCCATCAAGGGACGAAGGACACACAAAGGAAATAAATCCAACCTCTGGCCTCAGGAAGCTCTCAGGCTAGTTTATCCACCGACTGCAGGTACATTTATTCCTCAATGCTTTTAATTCTCCCATTTTTAAAAAGATCAATAGCGTCTCCTAGCAAGACCCACAGACTAAAAGAGCAGGGATTACTTCATAAACAGCCATCATTTGTTCATGCCTACAATACCCTGTCTATTTCCCTACTTACAATCCTTGCTCTGCATTGTCCTGGATGAGTGGCCTTGGGCAAGTTACTTCCCTTTGTGAGCCTTGATGTATTCATCTGTACAACGGAGACAATAACAGTTCCTACCATGTGGCATTATGGTGAGGATGTGTGATCATGCAAATGAAATTCTTAGCATAGTGCCTGGCTCAGGTAGCCACAGAGTCCCTACAAAGGAGGATGTGGCCACTTATGATTTATCATTTTACATTTAAAAAAACCAATCTAAGACTATTTTAATGGCATCAGATCATCAGTAGAAAAGATTCTTGAAAATTACATAAGGGCATGGGTGAACATTTAGAAGGTGAATAGAGATGTCATATGGAAAGTTTACCATTAGAATGTACAGGAACCTAGTGGCTGTTCTTTATTTCAAAACTCCGATTCAGTATGTCTAGGTGAGAGCCTAAGCATCAGTATTCCTTTTTAAAAAACCCTACAGGTAGGGCTAAAACATTGAGCTTGCCTTTCAGAAAACAACTATTGAAAGCATGTACACACGTACTATTTATCCATGCGCGCTATCCACATGCTCCTATAAATAGGAGACGTGGATAAAAAGAAAAAAAAAAACAAAACAAAGAATGAAGGGGTAGTGCGGGCATTTAAAAAAATGAAATTGATGAAAAGCTATTAGAATCAATTCAATTATATAATTCTTATCTTTAAAAATCAGATATGCATAAATTGCCTTCTCATAGCATTTCATCCCCAGCGACCTTGGTTTTCTTCAGTCTTTGTCAAACATTTCATAATAACTTGCACTGCATATTGGTAAGATCACAAAGCATGTGTTCTGTGCAACAGGTTTTCTAGGTATTTTTACATAATGTTCCTAAATATGTATTTTTCCCAAAAGTGTACCGTGAGGGGAAAAAAAAAAAAACAACTATAGATTCTTCAGATTATTTGCCTATTTTCTTGCAGCCTAAACCATAAAAACAGTCAATTAAAATGTTTGCAGAAAATCATCAGCACTGTGCCTTGATTATATTCCTAGTTGCATGCAATCCTTGGATTTATTTACTTATGGACTCTGGATTATACTGAAAGATGAATTGAATACTCAGTGTCCAATTTTTCTCTATTTGCAAATTTATGTTCAGTGCAAAGTATAAACTGATTTATGTTCAAAACAACGTATAAACTGAAGACCTCATTTCCCCCAGCGTGTTCATGTATAAATTTATTAAAGCAACTCCCTTCCGCCCACCTCAGTGATACTATTTATTATAGAAAAAGGGAAGTCTCTTCTTCTGCATCGTTCCTATCTCTATTGACTTGATGCTTCCTCATTTAGCAAATTCATGTGAGTTGAACAAGAAGGACAGAAATGATGTGAAATCCATCTTTTTTTTTCTTGGTTCTATCAACATAAGCACAAATGAAGAGAGAGAGAGAAAGAGAGGCAGAAACATACAAGAGGGCAGGGGGAAGGGAGAAGAAAAAAACAGGGACCCAGAGAGAGACCAAGGGACAGAGAGTGAAGGAAGCATGCCAGGAGAGAAAGCTCCATTGCAGTAGTGATGGATAACTGAAGTGAAGGTTTCAGGATGGAATTATGTAAATTACCAAGACAGCCAAGCCATGCACTGATGATTATAGAGGATGTGAACAATGTTGTGGTCCCCAGACACCCGTGAGCCTTGTTATTTTTCTTCCCTCCAACTACCCTTGGGGTGGATTCTTCCTGACCCTGGTCCTTGGGAAAAAAAAAAAAAATCTCGAGAAATAACTTCTTTCTAACCAACACACATATCTTAACTCCCCCAGCCAAGAAATTTTAAAAAAATGTAGAAGGAGGGATGTGACAAGTCTCTCCAAGGATCCTCCCCCTCCCTGGATGCCAACTAGACATCTTCAAACTGCCTTTTGTTTAGATCAGTGAAGCATTTGACTTTATCAAGCGCCCTGATTGTGCCTTAGTTTCAAGGACACCACTTGAAGGAGAGAGTTTGGCAGCACAGACAGTGGCTCTGAGCTTATGAGATGATGAGGGGTAGCTTTTATTTTATATATATATATATATATAAATATAAATACCCCCAACTTAGGAATGTATATTTTAAAATATGCTAATTATATGCCATCTGCACTCTTACTGTGGGATGAGAGCTGGTCAATGGTACTCTGTTGATCGTAGTTGAGGGCTTAGCAGCACAGAACTAAACTTTGAAATTTGTAGACTTCCTCGAAATTAAAAACATATACATAAAATAAGCAGGGATACTTCAACTATTACTTAATATTCCTAGATTTTTATTTATTTATAGTTATTTAATTATGTGTAAAATATTTATTGACAATTCATGTTGTGCCTGGTCCCTACAAGGTTTTGGGACCACAGAGATTAATACCAAATAGTTCTGGCCCCTGAGGAGTCATCAGCCTAATGGGGAAAACAAGCATGGAAAGAGATCATTACAGAACAACATAATACCTAGTTTATTAGAGGGGCTGTGATTAGTGGAAAAAACTACTGTCCCTCCCATGAAAAACACATTTGCCTGTCTTTCTTCCCTATTTCACATGTCAGTGCTTGGAGTAAACTGATCATGCTTGATCTCCCGGTTCAGCCTCAGATGCCTGGGATAGTGCTTCGTGCATGCCATAGTCATGAACTGGCTGATGTTAGAAAAGTCAGCTTGTTTTATAATTATAAAATTTAATAAGCTAAAGGTTTAATTTAAGTATCAAGCTCGTTCAATTATTCTTCCTTTTCATCAACCCACTTTTATGGAATGTTTGCTATTTGTCAGGCTCTGTGCTGTGAGTGGGGGATGCCATAGAGAATGAGATAGACAGTGTCAGCCATCAGGGAGCTTACTGCCCAGTGAAGAAAAGTGACGTTGATCAAATAACCACACAGATTAACAAATATGCACTGTGAAAATACAGTTTGCTATGACAGTCTCCTGAGACCTTATCTAGTCTCACTATTGAAGAAATGACAGCCCAGCTGAGATCTTGACATGAATAGGAGACTACTTGGTGAATGAGAGGGGCACAGATGGGTCAAGCACTCAAGGCAGAGCGAACACCATGTGCTAAGGCACTGAGGTGAGCAGGGATGTACCAGACTCCAAGAATTGAAAGAAAGTCAATTCTCTGGAACAGAAAGAGAGAAGGGAGAGAATAGCAAGATGAGGCTGGAAAGGTGAGAGATGTCCAGATCATAATACAAGGCCTCAAGTTTCACTAAGAGGAAGCTACTGAAAGTTCTTCAGTGGTGGAGCTATGTGATCAGATTTGTGTAGATTGTAGATACTAGGGTGGGCCCCTGCCATCATTGAGAAAACTCAATAAAGAAGACCACCAGTAACATGACTGTTGGTTTCACAGGGACAAAGATAGCCTGGTCTACCAGGACATTGGAAGAATGCAGAGAAAGAGATGAATTCAAAATATTTTTAGTGTATGAAATTGACAGAAGTTGGTAAATGATTGAAGTGGGGGAAAGGGGACTAGGGAGGAAGAGGTTTTAGGAACGTTTTCTAGATTTCTTATTTGCCCTGTTGGGTGAATGACTCACTAAGAGAGCACATCATAAAGCAAACTGAAATATTGGCTTTTTAAGCCAATCTATTATATTCCATATAGATCTGTTTTTGTTGATACATAATAACCATACATATTTATAGGGCACATGTGTTTTCTTGATCCATGCATACAATGTGTAATGATCAAATCAGGGTAATTGGGATATCCATCACCTCAAACACATATTATCTTTTTTGTGTTGGAAACATTCCCTATCTTCCCTTCTAGCTATTTTGAAATATACTATAAATTCTTGTTAGCTGTATTTGCCCCACTGTGCTATTGAACACTAGAACTTACTCCATCTATCTAACTGTGTTTTTCTACACATTAATTGATCCCTCTTTCTTCCCCCACACAACACTTACTAGCCTCTGGTAAACACCATTCTACCCCTACCTTCATGATATCAACTTTTCACCTCAAATATATGAGTGAAAAGATGTGATATTTGTCTTTCTGTGTCTGGTTTATCCCACTTAACACAATGTCCTCTAGTTTCATCCATGTTACTGCAAATGATAGGATTTCATTCTTTTTTATGGCTGAACAGTATTTCATTCTATATATGAACTACAGTTTCTTTATCCTTTCATCTGTTGATGGACACTTAGGTTGATTCTGTATCTTGGCTATTGTGAGTACTGCTGCAATAAACATGGCAGTGCAGGTAACTCTTGGATGTAGTGACTTCCTTTCCTTTGAATATGTACCCAGCAGGGGGATTGCTGGATCATATGATAGATAAATCTTAAATTGACCCCTTTATATCTAGCAAATATTTGCCACACACTCCATCATTTTAGGCTTATTGCTATCTACATATAGAGTATCTATTTTATTTGGAGTGTGAGATTTTGTTTCAATTACCTGGGACTCCAAGACTGTCCAATGAGCTGCAGAGGCCCACATATGCCATTTATTGGAACATAAATGAAAAAGTGAATCCTTCATAGACACCAGTCAGAAAATCATGGGCCAACTTTGGACATAGATTGTACTTTGAGTCTGGGGCTAGAAGATCCCATTGATCCCATCAAGGCTCCCACACAGCTGCAAGAGCAGGTAAAGAAATGTAATTTCCGCATTCCTTGGAAATTAAGGTTTATCTTGAATATCCCTACTCTTCCCCCGCCCCAAACCCCCATGATGGCACTCCTCCAAGAGGTGGGAAACCTCTTCTTTTAGAGCTGAGAGCTCAGTCCAGACCATCAGTGTTTTCTACGTGGTCACCTGCTAATCTTTAGCCCTTTCAGTAGAGGGGAGAAACTCATACAACACAACCAGCTTGTCCAACGCAATCAGTTTGGTTGAACCTCAACGGCCCAATGTCAAGTGTCAAGAAGGTCATCTAGGATTTGTAGGTAATGTGACTTTTCTGATTTTCTTTCTTATGATCTTTCTTATGGTTGGGCTCAAACTTATGATTTCAGGACCCTGGAAACCCAGCTCTTTTCCTCATTCCCCTGCTGAGACATGCTCTGCACTGTGTTCTGGGCTCACACACTGATGGGCTGTGTGCCTCACAAGGTAACACCCATTTCCCCCAGGTTTCCTTTCCACAAAGGTGAGCACATTATGTGTGATGCTTTAATAAGATCTAAATTAGTCGAGTTCCACCTATCCTTTTATGGAAATGAAATATCCTCACACTTAATCCGGAAAGTGCCATTGAGTGCTTTCCAAGTTTTGTTCCATTTACTTCCAAGTGTCCCCCTGCCCCCCAAAGCTTGGTGAGTTTCTCTGCAGCAGTATGTGAAAGGATTGGGGCTAAAATGTTCTTTTTGAAGTGTTTTTTTCTCAATGTTGTTTATTTTGTTAGAGAACATCAGCTGTAAATCCTCATTTGTTTTCCAGTTCCAATCATTTCTAAGTAGCATAGTATAGAGTCACAAGTGGTGTCACCAGTGAGGGTATCTAGCAGTGAGTGGTAGGTACATAACTTTCCATCACCAGAATAAGAAAGCACATGATCAAAAGCTTTACAAACAGGTGACTGTTACTGTGACTCCCATACCTCCCTTCTCAAACTTAGAAGCTTAATATTTTATTTTCTCTGCATAATGACCCCAGATACTATAACTTATTTTTACCTGTAACATAGAACATGCTTAAGACATTCTATTTGATTTGAATGACAATAATTATACTAATAAACTACTAATAGCCAATAACTGTTTAAAGGAAATGTGTTTAGAAATCTTGTATTATTATTCACTGCTTACTGTATGTCAAGCACTAAGGGCTGATTATGCATCACGTCACCTAAACCTCATGGTCACCTTAGCAAGCAGGTTCCATTATAAGCCCCATTCTTCAGTGGAGGACTTTGAGGCTCAGAAAGGTCAGATTATTTGTCCAAGTTCACACAGCCAGTTAAGTAGCATAACCAAGATTCAAGAGCAAATGTTGTCTCCAAAGTCTAGGATCTTAATCATAATGCCAAATTTGATCTTCCTTATTATATCTTATTAATGTGATTTGTTAACTCAAATCCAATAATGATTCATATGAGTTACTATTAGCCATAAGCATGGCATTAAAATAGATGACACTTTCAAACATGAAAAAACTCAGGGAAGATAGGATCAGAGTGAGCCTCTTGAAAGACTCAATGATAAAATCCATCAAGGCAAGAACAGAATCAAAACAATATATTCAGGAAAAGGGAATCTTAAGAAAAACAATTGAAAATGAGTACTGAATTCATTTAAATAAAGAACCCTGGACAAAGAGCTAGGGGAATTATGATGGCAGGAAGGCCTGCACAGCACCTCAGCATTGACAAAATAATGAACTTTACCTCCTATGGAAAGGAGCTAAGTAATACAGCTAAAATTAACAAATAGTTAAAGAGAAAAAAATGGTTCCCACATTTTAATATTTTGGGAGATTTACTCAAAGAGAGTAATCTAAAGATGAATAAAAGTTATGTTCACAGGCTGGGCGCGGTGGCTCACGCCTGTAATCCCAGCACTTTGGGAGGCTGAGGCGGGTGGATCACGACGTCAGGAGATAGAGACCATCCTGGCTAACACAGTGAAATCCCGTCGCTACTAAAATTACAAAAATTTAGCCGGGTGCGATGTCGGGCGCCTGTAGTCCCAGCTACTAGGGAGGCTGAGGCAGGAGAATGGCGTGAACCTGGGAGGCGGAGCCTGCAGTGAGCCGAGATCGCGCCACTGCACTCCAGCCTGGGCGACAGAGCGAGACTCCATCTCAAAAAAAAAAAAAAAAAAGTTATGTTCACAGATATTTTCACTGAAGTATTATTTGTAATAAAACGAAGACAAGGAAAATCTAAACAATCAATCATAAAGCAAACAATAATTAAATTCTGGTAGAATGAATGATAATTATTGAAACTATGCTACCACATGGAAAACTCTTATGCTATTAATGTGAAATGAGCAAAACAGAATGCCTCAACATGTGTCCACCATCTTTGAAAGTATATGAAAAGTGGTATGCATAGAGAAAAAAGGTTTAAAGAACACCCCTTCACGCATACATGCTCACTCCAAGGCTGGTGGCAGCCTTGCTCTTCATTTTTTCTGCTCTATGTTTTAAATGTTCTGGCTGAGCTAGATGGCACAAACATTGGCAGCACAGAGCAGATTTTCAATGAGCACTTTTAAATGAATGAATGAATGAATGAATGAATGAGTTGTTTTCTTTTTTTTTCTTTTAAGTTATTATGTTTTTGCTACACTGCTTGCTAAACCTGGAACTCAGTAGCTTTCCAATCTCCCTATAAACATTTTCTGAGCCTCCTGGTTCAGTGAGTACTTGCTTTGCCTTCCAAGACTGTGGCATGTCTTCTCCAGATGGAAAACAGGTCTTTTTCAAGGAAATCATTCTACCAACTTAAAGATCTTCATCCAAATCTTGTACAGAAAATTACACCCTATGCCATGGGTGTCAGATAGGAACTCCATAAAGATTGCTATTTTAATTTTGTTTGCATTAATAGCATATATCCCAATTCTTGTGGAATCAGAAAAAGAGAATCAAGGACCTGGAAGAGATAAGATCTATTATTTAATCCAGTCCTCTCATTTTCCAGATCTGTAAACAGACTGAAGGTTTTACCTGGTATATCTAAAGCAACTCATTGTGTCAATGGGTCATTCAAACCTCTACTTTTTAAAGATTCAAAGTCTTCTTGCTATGTTTGCTTGAAAAAAAAATTAAGTAAGGTGTATTTGACAGTTAGATTCCAGAGTACAGATGGAGAGATCAGCAGTAAGCACAGATAATACCAGAAGAACACCCAGGGCCGGCTAGGTGAGCCATTGCATAATGCAGAAGAAGGAAAGAATCCATTGATAGAAAAAGCCAGGGTCCAGGCCAGCTTCCAAATCCAAGCTGATCTCAACAATACCTCACCTACTTAATATCTACGCTGCACCAAGCAGTACACAGTCATTGGGAAAGTAGAGACAAGTTAGCACAGTCCCTCCCATGAAGGAGCTCATGGTCTAGTACACAAGTCAGCTTCGTTCTGGCTGTGCTAAGTGATATGGGTGGTAAACCTAGGGTCTATAATAACCAGAATTGGAATGTGAACACCGGGCCAAACTCCTAGGCATTCAGGTTTGGAAGAAAAGCAAGTCCAGAGAAGAAAGAGTCGCAGGTAACAGTGTCAACTGATAAAATCCGCTGTGAAAGCTTCCCTTGCTACCCAGGCTGGTACCTCAACTGAGTTTAAGGCTGCAGTATCAGGTTCTTGGGGGCTGAGGATCCAGCCAGAATTCTGAGTTCTGAATATGTCAACCTTTTTCTATAACTGTTTTCAATTTTTATTCTTATGCTACCTTTTAATCTTGAAATATCCTAGGTGGGTGTTTATACGTATACGTCAGTATGTGTATTAGAAAATAAAAAATAACATAAGCAAGAAGAAGGATATGAGAAATAAATCTATCTCTCAGGGCCCAAACATGTGCTGTGGTTGTGCAGTATATAAAATATTAAACTTATTGCTGGCTTTCATTTTAATAAGAATCTCTTGGACTAAATAATGGGAACCAAGTACAGTAATATACTTTCCAACAGTGCTATGGGCAGCCCCCTGGGACTATCGGGGGGGACTTGGTAAGTGACACTTGTACAGGTTTAAATTTGAAATTGCATTTAATTTGTATGTCCTATTACTTAGTTGAAAACATATACCTCTAAGGCAAATGCAGACAGAAATGGGCATCGAGCTAAAAATATTTGAGAGGCAATAATTTGCCTTAATGGCATCCACACCTAGATGGGGAAAGTAATGAAGCATCTCAGGGGAGGTATTTCTTTTGCTTAATTTGTTTTCACGCTGTTACTGAGTTGTCAACCTAAGGACTGTACTGAGCAACTACTCATGAACTTTTCTTTTGTTTCAGCTGCTAGGAAGCATACTCCGTCTTCCTGTACTTTCTTCCATTTGTTCATTTCATATTCAGTGCTGTGACATGCAAGTATTGTTCTAGAAACAGAAAGACACAACACTGGACAAGACAGGCCCAGCAATCCGTGGTCAAGCTTGTCTCATCCACATGGTCTTACCGTGTTCTCCCTCTCTGTACCCACACTGGTTGAAATGAGGACTGAGGTCCCAGAACCTGTGGCCAGTAATAATGTTATCTAAAGGGGATTAGGAATTGGAAAAAGAATGGAGAAAGGCAAGGATTTGCAAAAGAGATGTCCTGAGAAAGTAGCAAGGGTCAGGCCAGGCACAGTGGCTCACACCTGTAATACAAACACTTTGAGAGGCCGAGGCGGGAGGATCACCTGAGGTCGGGAGTTCGAGACCTGCCTGACCAACATGGAGAAACCCCGTCTCTACTAAAAATACAAAATTAGCTGGGTGTGGTCTTGGGTGCCTGTAATCCCAGCTACTTGGGAGGCTGAGTCAGGATAATCACTTGAACCCAGGAGGCAGAGGTTGCATTGAACCGAGATCACACCATTGCACTCCAGCCTGGGCAACAAGAGTGAAACTCTGACTCAAAAAAAAAAAAAAAGAAAAAAGAAAAAGTAGCAAGGGTCAAGGCCACGGGAGGTGAATTCTGCAGTCAAGTATAAGGGACAAGACAAGAAAGATAAACCCAAGGGCCCAAGTGGAAGGAAATGGGAAGTGAAGACAACGGCCAGAGCTTCGTATACATACATAGCCCCACTCCTCCTACAGGGCAGGCGTGCACACAGCTCTGTTTAAGAGGCTGCCAGCCATGTGGAGTGAGGGAGGTCACCTGAATTCAATGCACAGATTGGCTTGGAAGATGTTTGTGGTTATCAAAGAATCAACTGAGCACTTAAAAATAAGTCTTCTGGCCAGGCGCAGTGGCTCATGCCTGTAATCCCAGCACTTTGGGAGGCCAAGGCAGGGGGATCACGAGGTCAGGAGATCGAGACCATCCTGGTTAACATGGTGAAACCCCGTCTTTACTAAAAATACAAAAAAGTTAGCCGGGTTGGTGGCGGGTGCCTGTAGTCCCAGCTACTCGGGAGGCTGAGGCAGGAGAATGGCATGAACCCGGGAGGCGGAGCTTGCAGTGAGCCGAGATCGTGCCACTGCACTCCAGCCTGGGTGACAGAGCGAGACTCCATCTCCAAAAAGTTAAATAAATAAATAAATAAGTCTTCCACGCTGGACTAAAATTAAAACCAAGCTAAATGTTCCCTTCTCTCATAAGCATGCCCTGATGGGTAGATTTGCAAGAACATCTCTCCAACATTTCCCATCTACAGTTGGCTAATTGTTTGTGACCATCCCAGCTGGCCCCATGGAGGTGGACACTTCATGAGGATGGAGAGCAGGTCGCATCCTACAGTTTCCTTCCCAGATCCCCTCAAGGGTTACTGCTCAAGGTTATGTTGGGCAAGGATCTGCTCAAGGTTATGTTTGGCAGAAGCTGGGAAAACACAGAATCTCAAAATGACAGAAGTATCTAGCAGTGAGTGGCAGGTACATAATTGCAGACAGGAGGGTCTTCACTAGCAGGAATCCATAGGGAATACCAAGGGCCAAGCAAGGGGTTCAAAGCCATGAAGGAGAAGGAGAAGGAAACCAAGGATAAGAGGATGGGATGTGCATTCCATGATCTCCAACACATTGACTGGGGTGCCTCTCCCAAACAAGATGCACTTCCATGTGTATTACACACACAGCCACTCACAGGCACTTTATCCAATAAACATGTGTGCTGGGTTTTCTTTTCCATTGAAAGTTGAGACCAATTGTTCATGAATTGTCCTCCAATAACATGAACTTACACTTTTTACATTCTAGGCCCTTATAGTCCAACCTCTACCTAACTAGGAGATGAAAGAACATGTATATATATACTAAAAATATAAATCACCATGTCACCCCCCCTTGCATGGAACAAACCTTGCATGGAACAGGAAAGATAAACCCAAGGGCCCAAGTGGAAGGAAATGGGAAGTGAAGAAAACGGCCAGAACTTCGTATACATAGCCCCATGCATCAGTGGGGCATCAAAGGTGGTATGTCATCAATGGGGCCTGGACAGCCAGATTAGTCTCTGGCGGTAGTGTAGGGGTGGGACCTGAGCTCTTTAGTTGCTTGGTCATGAGGGCGGTTCTAGGAGAGAGGAGAGGGTCCAGGGGTGGGAGATGGCTGCACTCAGAAGTTATTTCTCATTACGTTTAAATATTTAACCACAGGGACAGCCATCCCAGTGCATCCTCATTGAAACAGACCTGTGGGCCTCAATCATATTGTACAGTAACACCAGACCAAGAAACACTGAGGTTCTCAGAACCAACCCAAATTTTCCTTCTTAATGTTCCTTCTGAAAAAAAAAATCCCCTTTTATTCATTTCTATCATCCTTCATCAAGAATCACTTCAAGGCTGAGGCTTCAGTGCTGTGCTCTCTGATGCTTTGAGAGAGATGGGCTCAGGAGGAGACCCTGGGGTAAGGAAATGCCAGAACAAAGTGACGTAAACCGGGACCTGAAGAACAAAGGGGAGTTATCCATGCCAAGAGTGGGGCTTCTTCTGCCCCTGTAGGTCTCCAACCCTACAGCCTCCCATGGAGTATACATTTCTTTTTACTTAAGCAGGTCACCTGGGGTTGCTGGGGTATCCACACTCAGAAGAGACCCAGTGCAGACCATAGACACAGAGACATTTTTGATGTGCTACAGCCATGGTCCAGCCATCCAGGATGCTGAAGCATTCATTTTCTCACTGGTCTGGGATCACAGATGTCACCTCGATGTATTTTGTGAGAGCAGGTGCCATAATTGCTTCTCCACATGTTCTTCAAAGAGTCAGTGCAGAGCTTGACATAGGCTGGCCGCTGTTAAGTTCATAAGATTACATAAATGTTGCTTTTAACTTGATTGATAAGTATTCCCAAATGGAATCAAGTGATTCCTAGGTTCTGTGCAGACACAGAGGAAGAAGAAGAGAGGTTCCAGTCTAGAAGGCAGAGCAATGTCACAGCATAACAGGGGATGGGCTTTAATCAGGAAGACTCAGCTCCTAATCCATCTCCCATCATCCAGCAGATATGTGACCCAAGCAATTCACTTTCACAATGTGGGACTTCTTCATTTGTAAGTGAAGATGACCTTATCCACTTCTTAGTATTTGGGTAAAACCTGAGTAAGATCATCCATATTCAACTCTTAGCATAATCCCAGCTCACAGTGAGTAGACAGTAAATAGCAGCTATTATCAAGAGTGGCAGGAGTATTTAATATTCAAACATAAGGTAAATTTTATTAAGATAATACCAGTTCTAATTACATACTAAAACTCCAAATTTCAGTAGCTCAACACCAGATAAATTCTTTCTCTCTCACTTAAAGTCCAGCCAGCAGTAGGGTAAATATGAGAGAGAAAACTGCTCCATGCAGTCATTCAGGGATCTAGGTTTAATATGTGGCTTCCATGGTTGCTCTGGGGCAAGAGCATTGCAAAGGAGGCTTATAAGGACTGGTCCTGGATATGACATTCTTTACTTCAGCTCACATTGCATTGGCCAATGTGGTTACTCCTAGCTGTAAAGGAGACTGGGGAATGTAGTTCAGTTGCTATATGGAAAGAAGATAAAAGGGGTTTGCTAAACAGACAGAAAAAGTCTCTGCCACTCAGAATCAACCCACCATTCTATAAAAATCAGGGCTTGAGGCCAAACATCCGTATCCTAAATTATGAACTCTTGTATAACAAAATTCCTGTTGTGCCATGCCTTCACTGTTTGGACATAGAATGGAAAGCCTGACAGGAATGATGGCGATGAGGTAGGGGTAGGAGTTTCTACCTGAGGAGGAGGTGGGTAGACCAGATGCCCGGAAGAAGCCCTTCCACCAGCTGTACTGTACATTGGTTTCTCCAGACAGGAGGAGTTTTTGTGCAATTGTCAAATGCCAGGAATTGTAAGATAAATATTTACTAGAAGCAATTACTGACCTTGAGATATTAACAAATGATCTCAGGTTCATATTTTCCTTATCTGTAAAATAGAGTTGCTATAAGAGAAAATGACTGCAATGTGTCTGGTTAGGGCTGGTGGATAGTAAACACTCAAGAAATAGAGTCATCATTCTTGTGTTCTTATTTATCCCTGAGGTGAACAGAAAGAAAAATGTTCTTTCTCACTTTCCTCTTGCTGGTAGAAATTTAACCATGATGGAGCTCTGACTTGCTGTGTAAAATCTGTTCTTGGCCCTACCCAGACCTAGGCACAAAACCAGATTATTTCTGGTCCCAACTCTTGCCTCTATTCACGAAAATTGAACTTACTCCCTTGTGTTCAAATAGACTTTATTGATTCCAAGTCAGAAAATATATACTGTGCACCCAGCTCGGCAGGTGCTTCACATAGGTTGCCTGTGGCTTCTTTTACGTGCTATATAAGTCTCAGCTGTTCTTGGTTGCACGTGCCAATTTTGAAGCAGAATTCAAAAATCTATTCCTGTTCCCCAGAATGAATCCATTTGCACCAAAGGCATTAATGAGAACTGTAGATTGTGCTGAAGCTTTCATACCCAATAATAAACTTAAAAAAAAAACCACATCAAACATGTCTATTTGTCAAAATCTCCTCTTCTCTGCTACATCATCAAAAGGTTTCTTTTGTCCTACCCTTCCCTCCCATGTTACTCAGCCTTGATTATTGCTGTTTCCTTTTACTTGCATCTTCTCCTTGAAAATCCTAATTGGCCCACCCTCCATCGTGAAGAGTAATGCAGCACTTTCTCTGACCCTGTCTTGAAACTGCCACACCCACACCTTCCTAAGAGTCCTTAGGAAACAAAAGGCTTGCCAGTCTTCATGATCTACCTACTTTAGAAGACATCAGGTTATTAATAAAAATTCTATGTATATAAAAGAACCACAATTTGAGAGATTTAGTATTTGGAGCAAAGTCATCAATTTCTAAGCGTTATCTCAATCTAAATGGGTTTCTACCCCTCAGGTAAATCATTCGGCCCTTGCTTTGGAAATCAGAAATGAAGGATCTATTTGTTGTGTCTAGTTCAATACTATAGAGTTGGGTTGGTCAGATGCTGAGTGGATCTCCTCCCAGAGAGGGTTTTGGTGTCCTGAGTCCAATCACTTTCACTGCTGTCAACTTTTAATTATTGCTAATTTTTTTACTTCACTGGCAGATTTCTTTTTTTGAAAATCAATCAATCAAAAAGAACATGTCTCTTAATAAGAATACTTAAAGCATTTTAAATGCACACCTTCAGGTTCTGAAAGCCCACAGTGTACATTTTTAGCTCCATGTATTCCAGCTTAGATGGTTTGAATTTTCTCCCCAAAAAAGTTTTCCCACGTGGGAAAACTTCATCAATTTCATCATTTTAATTCTCTGAGAACGTGAACAATTTGATTGAAATAGCTGGAACCATGTACTGAAATGGAAGGATGTAGGTATTTATGTCTTTATTTTAATTAAATTTGTAAATACTGGGATATATTAGGTAGAGAGAAACCAAAATTAAATCACTGAAAATGCTTATGTACAGGTTATTGATGTGTTAAAACTCAAAGTTGCATTGAAAATTTCCCAGCAGTCTGAATATTATGGAAGGAACTCTCAAAAGATAAAATTCAAGAGCTCCAAATTTCCATCTCACCTTACTTGTTGATACTCATAACTGTTTAGTTTAATTCTTTAGGTAGTTCATAAATTGAACTTGACTGACAGGGGGGATTATCATGATGCTATGAAAAATGGTTGTACAACTAAAATCTAGTGTGGGCCACGGACCCTAAGGTCCTTGAGACATTTTCAAGGGATCCATGAGGTCAAAATAATTTTTTTTAGACAAGGTCTCTTCCTGTCGCCCATGCTGGAATGCAGTGGTGTGATCATGGCTCACTGCAGCCTGGAATTCCTGGACTCAGGGGATCGTCCTGCTTCAGCACGTACCTGGGACTACAGGGATGTACCACCCTGCCGGGCTAATTTTTTTTTTTTTTTAGAGATGGGGTCTTGCTATGCTGCCCAGGCTGGCTTTGAACTCCTGGGCTCAAGCAATCCTCTTGCCTTATAAACTCAGCCTCTCAAAGTGCTGAGTTTATAAGTGTTAGCCACCACACTCAACCAAAACTATGTTTATAATCATACCCAGGCATTATCTGCCTTTTCCTCTGTGTTGACATTTGCACTGGCAATACAAAGCACTGGTGGGCAAAACTCCTGGAGTCCTAGCCCTGATCAAGGCAGTGGCCCCAAAATGCATTGGTAGTCATCTCTCCTCCCAGATTTACTTAAGAATGTCTTTAATAAAACAGTAAAAATTATTAATATTATTATATCTTAACCAAGGAGTACAGGTCTGTATTAATTTTCTGCCACCGCCACACAAATTACCACAGTGGCTTAAAACAACACACACTTATTTATCTCACAGTTCTATAGGTGAGAAGTCTAACAAGGTCTCATTTTGTGTTTTGAATCAAGGTGTTAGCAAGGTGACCTCCCTGCCTGGCAGCTCTACGGGAGAGTTCATCTCCTGGTCTTTTCCAGCTTTTGAGGCTGCCTGTACTCCTTGGCTCATAACCTCCTTCTTCCATTTTGAAAGTCAGCACCACTGCCTCCCTCTGGGTCTTTCTTTTGTGGTGACATCTCCATCTGTGCTCTGAATACAGCCATAAAAAGTTCTCCATTTATAAGGACCTACGTGATGGGACTAGGTCCATCTAGATAACGTAGGATCATCTTCTCATCTCAAGGTTCTTAATTTAATCACACCTGCAAAGTCCCTTGTGCCATCTAGGTAACATTCACAGGTTCTGGATATTAGAATGTGGATATCTGTGGGGGTCATTATTCTTTCTAGCACAGTTTTTATGGGATTCTGATTGACACGGTGAGATGTATGCCCAAAGCCCTTCTGCTGCATACAGAAATACAACAGTCTCATCAATCCTAAGAACATGCCTCTTAATGGGAAGACTTAAAGACACTTTAAATGCCCGCCTTCAGGTTCTGAAAGCCCCAAACAACAACCGATTTTATGTGTCACCAATAACAAAATTAGAGCTTTCAAGTTAACATTAGAATTTTGAAAAACTTGTATCTACTATCATAATCCTGACAACTTCACAATACTTAAAGACTTTTCTGATGAGATCACTGAAAATCATCTTTAACGAAGGTGAATTTTTTTTGGTAATGCATAAAGAAATGTGTCAGCATTTGGATGATCTGTATAACTCCATGAACCAACGTTGTACTTTCCAAATGACAGATATATGGTACTCCAAAATTATGTATGAGTCTATCATTAATTACATTTAAACAGACCAATAGAATTTAATATAACAGAGCATAAAAAGCTCTTTGATATGGTTTCAAATTTTACATTACAACTAACCTTGAAGAAACTACCACTTGTTGAATTTTGTTGTAGAATTAAAGAAGACTATCCCTAAGTATCTGAAAAAGCTATTATAATGCTTCCCTCACTTCCAACTACATAACTATGTGAGGCTCAATTTCCTTCATACACTTCAATCAAAACAACAGATCATGACAAATTGAATACAGAAGCAGACATTAGAATCCAGCTGTCTTCTAATTTAGGCATTAAAAAAGATTTGCAAAAACATAAAAAAGAATATCATTTTTCTCAGAGGTTTTTTTGGGGAGAACACTTCATTATTTTTTATTATAAATATCTTATTTTCATTATCAAGTAATGAGTATGTGGTTGTTATTTTTAAATGAATAAAGACGTATGTATTCTAAACATTTATTTTAGTTGCTAATATGGTAAATACTAATATATATAACCCACATGAGCAAAGCTTTCTGAGTTGTCAATAATTTTTCAGACTGTAAAGAGAGATCCCAAAGTGTGAAAACCACTGCATTAAATAATATACCAGGTAGTTAATAGAAATTTCTCAGAAGTTGTTTCAGCCCAGGAAATAGTGAATGATGTTACAGGAGAAATGGCGCCCTTGTTTCAGCACAGTGAGGAATCCATTGAAATGCCGATCCCAAATCAGGAAGTGACCCTACCCATCATAATAATAAGAATTTCTTTCTTTCGACGAACAGTGTAGTGGCTGAACTCTGACCTTGCCAGTGGTGCTCCTGGGTTTTCTTTGTCAGGTCATGCACCAAGCCACAGCCACATCAAGAGGAAATTCAGTTGGGTATTGTCATGCCTGGCACCTCTGCAGTGAAAGAACCTCCTTCTTAATCCTTTCAGCCCTTGCAAAGTGGAGGTAAGAAACGTATAAACATATTTAGTCCCTAGGTTGCTAACTTGTCTTGAATGGGAAAAACCCTGGCTCAGTACATGGCACAGAAAGCTCAAAGCTGGGTGTCACTGAACCACACGGAGGTAGTGACCAGGGCCCAACATTTTATTCTGTATCTGTGGGTGGCCAAAGGGTCCATGAAAAATTCACAGTGAATCTCCAAATGGTATTCCTTGTGTACATGCATCCATAGTTTTCATCGAGAGTATCCATAGTTCTCATCAAGGTCTGACAAAGACCTATACCTTCCCTCCAAAGGGAGTTTAAGGACCATTGAATTAATGTTTCATTTAAACAAGTATTTTCAGCTTATTTTTGCTCCTTCAGAGCTTTGCCTGCTGGTCCATCACCACAGTTAACACACTCTGAAGAATGCACTGTTAGAACTGGTAAGCCTGCCCCATTAGCCTGAGAGCTCTGGTAAGGTCAGAGACTATGTCCTACCTATCATTAATCTTCTGTTTTTACAAATTGTTTTAGATATAAGTACTCAACAGATTCTGTCAAATTAAATTAAATTATCTCATTTACATTTAATCATATGTACAAGCAAAATGTATCCTTTAACTAGGTCTTCCACAAATGACATATGCTCACACAAATATGCATATACAAATCACTTTTATATATGTAAAGCAATTGGCCTACATTTATTCATTATCTATCAAGCCTGCGTGTCAAGCCCTGGAGACTGCAGCTAAAAAGGAGAGATCCTCTCTGCCCTTGATGAGCTCATCATATAGTGGAGGACACAGGAGTAAGAACTCATAAGCACAATGCATTGGGATCCGTGTGCTTTGGGAAACGCAGGGGACTGTGAGAGCACCAAGTGGAGGAAGTCACCCAACCTGTGGATGCAAGAAGTCAATGGAGGCTTCTAAACAGGGAAACCCAGAAGAGAGGCTTACAGGGCAGGGAAACTCATAGAAAGAGAACAAATGGAGAATGACTTTCAGAAGCCAAAGAATCACTAGCATGCATAAAAGGAATAGCACAAGAAATCACAGTATACATTCACACACACACACACTCCTTGCTTTCACACCACCACACATTTGCATTGTATCCTTAGGCAAGTCCTTTCTGCACATGGATCCATATGTAAAATTAAAGGGTGGTATCAAATCAATGGTTCTCAAACCTGGTTAGACACTAGACTTTCTCGGGGAACCCAAAAGTATTTTTGCTCAAGCCCCATGCCCAGAGATTCTGATTCTGTTGGTCTATGATGGGGTCCAGGCACCACAGTTTGTAAAAAGCTCTGCAAGTGATTCTATCATGATTCTGTTGAGAACCACTGGACTAGTTAGAATGATTTTCCTGCTGGCTTCCTACGTTTCTTCATCCAAGCTTTCAATTATTCTTCTATCCACTAATCACAAAAACTTCTAGCGTATCAGGCATTCTATTGGATATTTTCTTAACATAGTAAATTCAGCAGTCCATTCCTGTGCTTGTAGAACTTACAATTTAACACCTGCTTGGACAGATATGTCTCTCACTTGCCTTTGCCCATTACCTTGTCTTTCCTATACCCTCCTACTACTACCACCTCAGGGTCAGATTATTCTGAATCCTTTAAAGTAGTTATCCAATCTCATACACGCCCATGTGTGTCTGTGTCTGCACATGTGTGTAACAAGATCCCCATTATACACACACAGGCACACAGATATATGTATGGTTCAAATTGGAGCTGAGGCCACACTGTCTTCTGATTAATTTGGTCTCCATAGCAATGTTAATCTTTTATTTCAATTTATGTCTTAACTCTCTTCTAAATGCTATAGGCTTGAAATCAGCTAGACTTGCAGCCTCCTGGCTGTGTGGTCATGAGGGTAGATCGCATTGTCTTTGTGCAATTTTCTCATCAACAAGATGAGTGTGGTGATGCTGGTACCACATCTGACTGAAACAGCTCAGGACCAAGTGAAATCGTGCCTGTGGAAGAGCTTTGTGCACCACAGTGCATTGTGAGAGCACCAGTTACTACAAAAATATAAACAGGTGCCATTGACGTAGCCCGAGGGAGCACCGTGTTAAGCACGTCACATAGATTATCAGATTTAACTTCCATAGTAGCCCTGTGATGTAGGTAACAAGATCCCCATTTTATAGATGAGAAAACCTAGACCTTAATGGCTGAAAATAACTTGCTTAATGGTATTGAGCTTGCCAATGGCAGAGTAGAGATTCCACTGCAGATAATCTAGTTTCAGTGGCTCTTTGCCTCACCGCCACATGGTAGTGCCTCCCTAGATAGGGTTACTAGTGGTCATTTTTTAATTTATAGTTTCTAATGTTCCTGGGATAGATCAAAGACTCTACATACCACTTGGGCTGCCAGACTGTGGATTCCAGCTAAAGGTTTTATTTTTCAGATCTTTGTTTGATATACTTATATTCATGTCTAAACACAATAGCTTTTCCAAATTATGGAAATCACCAATCTTTGTTATTTGTCCAATTTCCTACATTTTGATGTTTACCAAACTGGATTTTATAGTTGTAGCCCCATGGGGTAGAAAGGGAGACCACCTGGATTAATATCCAGAATCTTGCATTCACTGAGTGACCTTGAGCAAATCAATTGGTTTCTCTGTGCATCAGTTGACTTAAAAACCAAGTTGGTTTTGAGGTTTAGAAATAACAGTATAGCAAAATACTTCAACTCATAGTGGAAATTCAATACAATTTCATAGGCATTTTTTATCTTTGTTTATTAGTATGTGTTATATCTAATGTGCATTAATACTGACATGATTTTTTTCTTTCTTCTACTTTTTTACTTTCTTTCTTTCTCTCTCTCTTTTTTTTTTTTTTTTTTTTTTTTTTTTTTTTTTTTGAGACAGAGTTTTCACTCTTGTTGCCCAGACTGGAGGGCAAAGGCACGATGTCAGCTCACCACAACCTCTGCCTCCTGGGTTCAAGTGATTCTCCTGCCTCAGCCTCCCAAGTAGCTGGGATTACAGGCATGCGCCACCACCTCCAGCTGATTTTGTATTTTTTTAGTAGAAACAGGGTTTCTCCATGTTGGTCAGGCTGGTCTTGAACTCCTGACCTCAGGTGATCTGCCCGTCTTGGCCTCTCAAAGTGCTGTGATTACAGGCATGAGCCACTGTGTCCAGCCTGTTTACCTTCTTTTTATCATGTTCATTCCATATATCTTGTTACTGGCTTTAAATTTTGGAAAAAGGTAATGTGCAAACTGATATGGCTTGGCTGTATCCCCACCTTAATCTCATCTTGAATTGTAGCTCCCACAATCCCCATGTGTCATGGGAGGGACCTTATGGGAGGTAATTGAATCATGCGGGTGAGTCTTTCCAGTGCTGCTTTTGTGACAGTGAGTAAGTCTCACAAGATCTGATGATTTTATAAAGGGCAGTTCCCCTCACACACTCTCTTGCCTGCTGCCATGTAAGACTTGCCTTTCCTCCTCTGCCTTCTCCCATGATTGTGAGGCTTCCCCAACCATGTGAAACTGTGAGTACATTAAACCTCTTTTTCTTTATGAATTACCCAGTCTTGGGTATTTCTTCATAGCAGTATGAAAATGGACTAATACACCAACAAATAAGTTAATTGGTTAATAGTTAATTGATGAGTCTTAAATATAGCTATAAAATAATGCTGCTATTTTGTTAAGCAAACTAGACTCATTGACATTGGCAATATGTTGTTTCATAATGTTAACACATAACATTCATCCACATTTACCTACCATTTATCAGATGTTTATGGAGCACTTACCATGATGTACAAGACGAAGATCTATAGCCTTGAGATACAAACAACATGAGCAGATTGTTCAGAGGCGGAGCTGTTCTGATGGCCTGAAACAATAGGTTGCTAGGCTCCAAGCCTTGGCGAGATGCTTCTGCCCCATCCATATTCTTGGGTTTAGAGGAGTATCTTGTCTCTTTGAGGGTGGCAATGAGGAATGGCTAGTGTGCCACTAACCAGGCTCCAAATGCAAAGACCAGTGTGAAGAATCAAGGCCCTCAATAAAGGAGGAAAGCTTTGCTCAAAAGCATACACTTTGCACACAGGTTCCCCATTCTAATTAAAAGTGAAAGATATCAGGGAAGGGATTATGGACAACCTGATGAATTTGCCCACATGGGATCCCAGGCTTGGAATATGACCCTCCACTGGCAGCATCCTGTTCCCTGACTCATATTGCTATCTGCCAATGCATGCCCTGCAGAAGTTATGGCTGATTTGCCATTTCATGGAGGGCTAAGCTTGCAAATGGAGGTCCTAGAAGCCCAGAAAAACTTAGGTGGTCAGCAGAAAGTATGTAAATATGAACCAGGAGACACCCACCTCCTCTAGCTCACCCCACAATTAAAAAAAAAAAAGCAACCCAGGTGGGTAGTTTTGTGCTTGGTTTTGTGTTCCAGTGATTTTAAAAGTACCGTTTCACTTTTGCTTTTTACTATACACTGTTTCATAAAACTTTTTGGAGATCTTGTTATGCCTACAAAATTTTTAAGTTCATATGAACAAATATGTTTTAAGCTTCTGTTCTAGACGTTTTTTACAATGTTATCTAATTTAAATTTCAGAAAAAAAAAGAACTTAAGGAGTAAGTGTTATTTCTTCTGTTGTGCATGAGAAAGTTGAGACCCAGGGAGGTGTCAGATTTGTGTCTGGAATCCAGATGAGCCTAAAGCAAAGGTCCATAGGCTTTTTCTATCATGCTTATTTCAATAACTTTGCCATCACTCAAAACAAGCATGAAACTTCTTTGGAATTCCTTTAGTCAATTTCCAAGCAGGCCATTACCTTAGGAGCATGCCTCATCTTTGATTAATAGCTGCATAACTAAGCTCCCATGTTTCAACAATGGCAACCTTATTGAAATGAATATCTGGCTTCCCTTGGTGACTACTTTGAAAGGCATAAACTCATTTAGATTAATGCAACCTAAGCCAGCTCTGTCCTATAGAATTTTCTATGATGATGGAAATGTTCAATGTCTATGCTGTTTAATGCAATACTCACGAGTCACAGGTAACTGTTAAACACTTGAAATTTGGCTACCGAGACTACAGAGTTAAAATTTTAAATTTTACTTAATTTTAATGAATTTAAAACTTAAACAGCCACCTTTGGCTAGTTGTTACTAGACTGGATAACACATAGTATAAGCTATGTGTTAGTAACAGTAGCAACTGCAACAAAAATAGCCCATTCTGTAATCTGTTTTTGGTTTTTTGCATGTGTGAAATTATTTTATCATGGTAATAACACTTATTATGAGATCCACCCTCTTAAAGTTTTAAGTGCACATTACAGTTAACTATAGGCACTATGTTGTACAGCAGATCTCTAGAACTTAATTATCTGACTTAACTGAAATTTGATTAGCAGTTCCCCACTTCCCCTCCACCAGCTGTTGGCAAACACTCTCAGCCTATTGACTGTTGTGGATACTCCATATATATGGAATAATGCAGTATTTCTCCTTTGACTGGCGTATTTCACTTGGTATATTGTCCTAAAGGTTCATCTATGCCGTCCCATATGGCAGAATTTCCTTCCTTTTTAAGGCTGAATATTATTCCATTGTATGTATACACCACATTTTTATCATCCATTCATTCATCAGTAAGCAGTTAGGTTGTTTTCATATTTGTCTGTTGTAAATAGCGTTGCAACAAACACAGGAAGGCTAACAGCACTTTAAGATTTTAATTTCAACTCCTTTGGATAAATACTCAGAAGCACATGTGTGTGTTCTGAGAATATGGACTTAGCCACTAGGCTTATTGTCACATATCGTACACAGGCCACGTATTGTAGAGTGTTAAAACGCATCTCTAGGGGAAATGAAGACCCTCAATACAACGTTAGATTTGTTGCAGAGAACTATAGCATGATGGCCGGGAATAGCCTTTTATGGTTTGGAAAGTGAGGCACAGAGAGACACGGCTATGCCCTGGACCAGTCAGTGAGTCAGGATCTCTAAGGATAGCCTATACCAACAAAATACATCAGGCATCACCTTTAGGAGTATATTTTTTCAACTCAATTGTTCATTCAAACAGAAACACACACACACACACACACACACACTCTCTCTCTCTCTCTCTCTCTCTCAGGCAGAGCAATCAAATCGCAATGGATCTCAAACACCTGGCCTGGTCCCTCCACTGTCATTGTTCTTGATGTCACAATCCTGTCACACTCTGCTCCAGTCTTCCTGCAGACAAGGAGGGACTCACACTTTGGGCAAATTCTAATAAAGCAGTATTCGTTTTCATTGGAGAATTTGGGGAGGAGCTTCCTAGTAGTCTCAGAGAAATCAGGAACCACACTGGCATTTGAGAAGCAAAGATCCTGATTTCTAAGGTACCCTTGCTAGCACAGAGAAGATTCTGTCCCATTTGGAGCCCAGGTTCCTAACTCTTTCCTTTCATTGTTGTCTGTTCCTCTGCGAGCTGTATAGATAGACCTGTTTCCACTTCAAAAGGATGACCTGCGATTCAACAGCGGCCCAGCCCACATGTGGTCCTTGAGCTGAGCATCCTGGAACCAGAAGGAGATACTGTGTCCCCAGACAGAAAGGTACCCAAGATCCTGCAGAAGAGAGCACGTGAGGGTCAAGGCTGGGACAGCAATAACCTTTCCTCATCACCTGCCTGCACCCTTCCATGTTAACATACTGTGAACCGAGCAGAAGTGACAAAACCAATCCATCACCCCAGAGCCAACACAAAGAGGAATAGAGAGGTTAACAGAAATTGATGACATCCCCGCTGGAATTTTACACTGATTCGGCCAGCCCTGCGATTGAAATAGACAAAGATTTATAGTCCGAGCGAGGACGCTGGCTGCTCTTGATTGCCTTGATTTTTTTTATGCGCTCCTGCATATTTATTCCCAAGCTCATCACCGGCTTGTAGCATTAGAATGCTGATTTGATTGTACATTCCAAGAGGAGCAGGCATTATGCAGCCATTTGCATGATGTGAGAGAAATCACCAGAACTTTTCTGATATCAGCGCCAAAATGATCACTAATGTTCACCTGCAAAAGCAGGATTGTGTAATATTTTTTTTTGAAATTCAGATTTCCTTCTGCTTTTTCTCAGCGTAAAAATAAAAAAGGGGAATTATTCTATATCCTGTGGATGAGAAATTGTGTTTTGTCATGCCTCCGAGGGCTACAGCGGCATCGAGCTTTTATGAATTCGTTTGATATCAGGGCTGTGCGTTTCGAGTTCCAACACAAATTTTTCCCCCCATGATATTATTACTGAAAGCTTTTATCAGTTCATTGTGACAGCAAATTGATAATTATCCTTGACATTTGATGGATAGCTTTCATAAAAGTACTTTTTTTTTTTTGGATTTCATGTTGCCCTATAAAGCTCCCCCTTACTCCCTCCCCAAAAAACTTTCTCAAGACACGAAAAGAATTTCTCAGTTCTCCTGGAAACCTTCCTCTAGGCATCTGCAGTGGAGGATCAAGTGCCTAAGAAAAAAAGTTAAAGGGAAGCCACAGATCTGGACTTGCTGTTTCCTCTGCCCTGCACCTGCCAATGAGAACTTAGAATGCACCCAAGAGACAGGCCCCTGGGACTCTCAGATAAGATTCTGAGCCTGATCTATTCCACGATTTTATATTTTATCACCATGAGCAATTCTAAGTATGACCATACATGAGAAAACATAGACAGGATACTTTTTTAAAATTCTGTTAGAATTTTATTAATTCTAGAATTAAATTGTTAATTTCAGTGCCTCAAATAATTATATCAAGGGCAAATGTATTATTTTCCAAATATTTAAGCACTTTTTGAAATGTGACACTTTTTAGACTCCAGTCTGCCTTCAAAGAATGTTTAAGTAACATGTGACCTTTTGCTATATCAGTTAGAGAGTCTATCCATTAACTAGAATGTAATAGTCAGAACGCTTTGCTTTCTTTGCAGTGTTCACTCTCAGTGTATCATTGTCATAACCGTGTGAGACAGATGGTTTTATCCTTTCTTGCCAGAAGAGAAAGGTTTGGAGAGTTAAAGTAACTTAACACAGGTCCATGATAGAGACCTGTGCATGGTAGAGACAGACGTAGAACCACAAGGCTCTGACTTGAAATCCAGTGTTCATCCGCCGCGTCACATTCCCTCCTCGATAGCCTATTCCAATAGAAATATATCAGGCAGGCCGGGCACAGTGGCTCACGCCTGTAATCCTAGCACTTTGGGGGGACGAGAGGCGGGGGTTGCCTGAGCTCAAGCGTTCGAGACCAGCCTGGGCAACACTGTGTGAAACCCCGTCTCTATTAAAATACAAAAAAAAAAATTAGCCAGGGCTTGGCGGCAGGCACCGGTAATCCCAGCTGCTTGGGAGGCTGAGGCACGAGAATCGCTTGAACCCGGGAGGCGGAGGTTGCACTGAGCCAAGATCGCGCCACTCACTCCAGCCTGGGCGACGGAGAGGGACTCTGTCTCAAAACAAACGAACAAAAAACGAGAAATACACCAGGCATCACCTTTAGGAATGTATTTTTTTTTTCAACTCAGTTATTTACTCAAACAGAGAAGCACACACATACACACTTTGTCTCTCATAGGCTGAACAATCAAACCACAATGGATCTCAAACACCTGGCTCAGTCCCTCCACTGTCATTGTTCTTGACGTCACAATCCTGTCACACTCTGCTCCAGTCTTCCTGCAGACAAGGAGGGACTCACACTTTGTGCAAATTCTAGCAAAGTAGTATTAGTTTTCATTGGAGAATTTGGGGAGCAGCTTCCTAATAGTCTTACAGAAATCAGGAACCCCATTGGCATTTGAAAAGCAAAAATTCTCATTTTTAAGGTATCCTTGCTAACACAGAGTCAGCAGGTGTCCCATTTCACCTGCACAACAACGTTAAGAGGAGAAAGTCCAGCTCCCTTCTATAGATGAGGCCATTAAGTCTCCGAGATGTTCAGTGACTAGCTCAAAATCTTTCCAGGGGAGGGCCATAGATTTAAGTACGTGTCTTCAGGATTCCTTGCTCAATCTCTAGTACTGGAGAGTTACAGTTAGGGTTCATACCCCTTTAAAGAGCTTTTAGGTTTTGCTAGGCATTTAAATTACTTTCTGTGAGATTCACTGACATTTCTAACTGAAGCAGAACGTTGCTATTCCATAAAAGATCAACTTTATCTAGGACTCTAATGATACACACACGGTCATTCACAGAAGTCTTACTTACTTAGGGAAAATCACTGAGATCACGTCACAGGGGAATGAGAAAGTCACAGATTTTCCTTACTTTCCCCATGACCTCACTTTATGCCTGTCAGAGAATGCACTTGTTCCTACAGTCCCTTAGGGGTGTTATAATGAGGGCTGATAGTGTATTAGAATTAATAGGAACAGTGGGAGTCTAAGAAAAAAGGAGACTTAAAATAGTTCATTAAGTGTAGGAGGTAGAAAACTTTATTTGATGAATCAAATGGTCTTCATTAAAAGTGAACTTTTCCAAGGAACTAGAAATTCCACTTAAAAATACATTTTTTTTCTGATTGAGAGAGAAATTAATATATGATCATTATAGAAATTTTGGAACATAAAGAAATGCATTCCACACAAAAAAAATCACTTGTAATTTATGACTGTAAGATAACCACAAGAAATGTGTTTCCTGGCAAGACTGTCTTTTTTCCTAAGTGTTTATGTTTGCATCTGTGAACTACCAAGTTAGAATCATATGGTATTTATTGTTTTTTATACTGTGTTTTTAAAAATATATTTAGCATTGCATCTAGAGTCTAGATATTAAATAGTCTCTGAAAACTTGGCATTTAATGGCTACATAATCATCATTTGGCCTTAGCATGACATATATTTTTGTTTTATATCTGTTACTCCACTATTAACAAACAATTAAGTTGCTTTTAGTTTTCCTGGCTATAGCATGCTTTGATGTCTAAGCTGCATGAGTCCCCTTGGGAGACTGACTTTTTTATTCCATTTTGGAGTAGAGGAAATAAAAGTCAAATTCATGATTTTCCTAAAACCATCAAGTATGTGGTAAGAAAACAGGCAGGACTCGAACATGAGTGTTTTCACTTCAAGGCCAATTGGCCTGTGAGAGATGAAGTTTCGGTAATGGTACTTGGAAGAAATTCTCTTAACAGTGCAAAAACATGAGCTTTGGAATCAGATATCTGAATCTGAACAAAAAGCAAAACGCTTGTGTTTAAATCTTCATTCCTTACCGGGTCTGTCCCCTTGAACACATGCCTTCACTTGAGGCCCATTTTACCATCTATAGAACAGGTATTTTTACCCTCATGGTGTTGTTATGAGGATTAAATAAAGTGAGACATATTTTTAAATACCTTGGCAATGTGAAGTGTGAAGTAGGCTTTTAATGAATTACCGCTGTTAGGATCGCTACTAATATTGCATCAAATAGTCAATAGCAAGCAGAGTAGTCTTTCCTCATGAATGTCTAATATGTGAAAACTTGAATTCTATTATGTGTATTGTATCTCATTTAAAGTTTAAAGCCTTTAATAGACAGTAGAATAACAGATTTCAAAACAATGAGTTCTCCACAACCCTTGGACCATGACCCCTGGACGGCAGCAGAAAGAGAATGATACAAATTGTGGGAATGGAGAACCTAAGACCAGCTTGCTCTAGCCCAGCAGAGAACATGTCAAGGGTAAGTTCCAAACAGATAAAGTGTCTGCTTCAGAAATTACACCTATGTGCCTGGAACAGAACTGCCTGGAAGTAAATGTTTCATTTCCCTAACTTACCCCTTAAAATTAGGTACTCAATCACTTGGCAATTGTAGAATTTTTGTTCCTTTGTACAGAATAACAACTATATATATATATACACACTCACACATACATATATGTATTTATATACACCTTATATCTAAAACTGCAGTGTCCAATATGTTAACCTCTAGCCACAGACACCCAGGGAGCTTTGAAATATAGTGAACCCAAACAGAGATGCGTGGTAAGTGTAAAAATCACACCCAATTTTTAAGACTTATTAGGAAAAAATGATATGAAACATCTCCTTAATATCTTTCATATTGATTATGTGTTAGAATGATAACACATTGTGTGGAATGAATACATTATTAAAATTAATTGAAGCTGGGTTTTTTTTTTTACCTGTTTTAAAGTGCTACTAAACAACTTAAAATTGTGTGCATTTCAAATTATATTTCAACTGGGCAGCATTGTTCAATTGAGGATAGGTCACGTCTCAATAATTTGAAATAACTTGCTCCTGTATTTCCACTGCATTAAGTTTAGTAGATTGAGGATGTGGGTGGGAGAAAAGGAGGAAGGATGTTCTGAAGTGGCTCCCAGGTCAGTCTCTCCTCCCATCCCACTAACATTCTGGGCAGAAAATGCTTTGTTCCCCCAAAGATTATTTTATTATAGGATTGTTCCCCAAAGGATTATATTATTTGGGGAAGATAATATATATTCTCCAAAAATGTCCATCAGAAAGAAGAAATTGCTCTACATTTGGGTTTTTAGGTACCTAGAAAAATTTCTCCATTGTTTAGTACAAAGCAAAAAAAAAAATTGTTTAAGCAAACTTTTTAGATATTTTGCTCATATTTGAATCTAGTTTGACTGTCCCAAAGAAGCTCTTTTGCTTATTGCAAAACAGCAAAAAGTGTGGTCAGTAGTCTCTTAAAGCTATGACAAATTTCCCAAAGCTAAAGAGGCATCTTAACTACAATTACTAAAATGGAAAATTTCTTTCAGAAAATAATTTTGGTGGTATAAGTAGAAATAAGGAATTCTCAAGTTTTTTAAATGATTGCTTTCATTATTCATGTATTGCTCAAAATTAGAAGGAGTAAAGAAGAATTCTTAAGAAATAAGATTCTGAAAACATTCATTTTCCTTAGAAATTATCAAGGGGATAATATTTGAGCTGAATTACTAAAGTAAGTACTATTGACTAGATACCTTTTAAAAATTTTCTGATTTTGTAAAATTCAAAACAAATCCAAACTAAAAAATGCAAATTGACAAAGTGATTGGTAAATTCCAAGTAGTCTATTTTTAATTTATAATATTTTTAAGATTTATTTCATTCACAATATTGCCGTTAGTGCTGTATTTATCAGGTATTTTCAATATGAATGTGTAAATAAATTAATGAAATAAATGTAAGTAGACATTTAACTATTTCATCTTCATTCCTAAAAGTTTATATTCTCAAGGTGACAAAAATCTTGCACTTCTATCTTTTCATTTGGGAAAAAAGAGGGTATTTGGAGTCACTAACTTACCAAGTGTTTAGAGAGGAGTGGGAGTGGGGAGAGCCAGAGGTAGAGAGAGATTTTAAGAAATTGGATGGCATGATTCTGGGCCCTGAAGCATGTAAATTCTGCAGGGCAACCTGGTAGGCAAGCTGGAGACCCAGGGAAGAGTTGATGTTGCAGTGTGGAGTCTGAAGACAGTCTAGAGGCAGAATTCTCTCTCTTTTTCAGGTGACTCATCTGCTTTCTCGTAAAGCCTTCAACTGACTGGGTGAAAATCACCCACATTATAGAAGGTAATCTGCTTTACTCAGACTACTGATAAAATGCTAATCTCATCTAGTGGAGAACTATGTGTAGACTGAGATAGTTATATTGGCTCTCATGACCTGATGTTCTAGAGGAAAAAGCCTCATGCTTAGATGGGAGGAAGTTAAAGCAAGAAGTAGAAGAGGGAACGTCGTAAGGGGGATTCCAGATGGCTCCTTGATATGGTTTGGCTGTGTGCCCACCCAAATCTCATCTTGAATTGACGTTCCCATAATCCCCACGTGTTGTGGGAGGGACCTCGTGGGAGATAATTGAATCATGGGGACAGTTGCCACATGCTGCTGTTCTCATGATAGTGGGTGAGTTCTCATGAGATCTGGTGGTTTTATAAGTGGCTTTTGCCCCTTTTGCTTGGCACCTCTCCTTCCTGCCATCATGTGAAGGACATGTTTACTTCCCCTTCCACCATGATCATAAGTTTCCTGAGGCCTCCTCAGCCATGTGGAACAGTGAGTCAATTAAACCTCTTTCCTTTGTAAATTACCCAGTCTTGGGCAGTCCTTTATAGCATCATGAGAGCGGATTAATACAATCCTCTTTCCCTTGAGATCTGTATTAGTCAGGGTTCTCCTGAGGAAGAACCGATAGAATGTGTATATACTTACATACTTGTATACATACATGTACATCCTGTACACACACAAATATATGTATGTGTGTGTATATATAGATATGAGAGAGATTGTTTTAAGGATTTTGGCTCATGTGATTATGGAGACTGGCAGGTCTAAAATCCGCAGAGCGGGCCATCAGGCTGGAGACCCAGGGAGCTGATCCTGTAGATGAAGTTTGAAGGTTGTCTGCTGGAAGGATTCCCTCTTGCTCAGGGGAGGTCAGTCTTTTGTTCTATTCTGGCCTTCGACTGATTGAATGGACCCTCCCACATCAGAGAGAGCAATCTGCTTTACCTAGGGTTTACTTATGTAAATGTTAATATCATCCAAAAACACCCTTACAGAAGCACCCATAATAATGTTAGACCAAATATCTGGGAACCATGGCCCAGCCAAGTTGACACATAACATTAACCATTCCAGGATACCTTTGAGATTTCCTTGGGACCTTGTGTTGAGGACTTGTGATGAAAGAGGAACAAGTGTCATACATAAATATAAAGTTGCTCTTCATCCCTTTGTTTTGGCAAAACTATTGTAATGGCAATCATATTTTGAGTTATTAAGGTAGTTGTTTTCCATTCCTTTTCCAATTATGCTGTGCCCACCCCCATTATATCAATGACATATTCACAGAGAAGGCAGATACAATGTAGATCAAAGGACTCAACTTTGAGTTTCCATTTACACTTTTTTTGTGTGTCTAAAGAAAAACAATGTTCTTAACAGGTGAATTTTTTCATGTATAAAAGAATTTCATAAACTTATAAAGAAAAATAGTCTGGTTCTATATCAACAACAATCATAAAAGGCCTGAGCTGAGGGGTTTACTATGAGCTGTATGGTAGAAAGTGGTACAAGATAGAACTTCTGACCATTTTATCTGTGACCAGTTGCTCTGGTCTGAATGTTGGTGCACACCCAAAATTTATATTGAAACCTAAGTCCCGATGCAAAAGTATTAAGAGGTGAGGCCTTTAGGAGGTGATTAGGTCATGAGGGTAGAACTTTCATAAGTAGGATTCGTGTCCTCATAAACGAGGCTTGTGGGAGCCTGTTTGCCCTTTCTGCCACATGAGGACGCAGCAGAGAGTGAATCCTCACCAGACACAGAATCTGCTGGCTCCTTGATCTTAGACTTCCCAGGTTCCAGAACTGCAAGTAATAAATTTCTGTCATTTGTAAGTTACTCAAACTAAAGTGTTTTGTTACAGCTGCAGGAACAAACTAAGACACTGGGTAAGGAAGAAAAGCAAGCAAACAAACAAACAAACAAAAAACAGTGGCACAATGGAGAGTAAGTGGGGGAGTTGGAGGAAAAGAAGCCACAGAACAAACACCACCTAAAGGAGTTAAACCTCCAACTTCCCCAAGATTTGGTGAGAGAAGACGGGTGTGAAATGATAGAAATTCCAATCGAAATGTCGAAAAGTTTGAGAAGGAGTCTGAAACATCCAGGTTGTACTCCACTTCCTGCCATGTCGAACACAGCAAAGTAGAATAAAGCATATGTTAGAAGCAAATTGTGATGTGCAATAATGTTTTATTAATGGTTTCAGGTAAACCTATTCACTTTGGCCATTACATTATGGTTATACATTATTTATTTATTTACTCTTTTGTTCTTTTTTCCCAGGAAGTATTTATTATTTACCTAAACCAAGCATGGAGGAGGCATGAGTACAGAGCATGTGTGGTTGTGTGACATATCCTCTGTCCTAAAGCACCTCACTGTCACAGAACCCAAAAACATGCAGACTTGTCCCTCACTAATATGCCACATACTCCTCTTCTTGGACCCAAAGCTAGATTCCACTTGCCAACCTCCCTTCCAGTACAGCCGTATGGCTGAGCTATGGAACATGGGCAGAAATTTGCACGACTTTCTGGCCCAACAAAACTTCCCACAGGATCTTTGTTAAGAAGTAAAGGAAGCTGAAGTCACCAGATGGAAGAGATGTTGATCCTTGAATAACTACAACAAGCACAGTCCCCCTACCAAGTGACCAATGCCCAATTCTAATCTATGGGTGAGGAATAAAATTCACTGTGCTAAGTCACTGAGATGGGGGCTGTTGTTATGGAACTAACCGTATCTAATTGTGGGATAATAGGGGCTGTTAAAAAGCAGCTCCTATCAGGATAAATAGCTAATGCGTATAGGGTTTAATACCTAGGTGATGGGTTGATGGGTGTAGCAAACCACCACGGCACACATTTACCTATGTAACAAACCTGGATGTCTTGCGCATATATCCTGGAGCATAAAATAAAATAAAATAAAATAAAATAAAATAAAATAAAACAAAATAAAATAAAATTTAAAAATAGCTCCTAATCCAGCTCGGTGAGACTCAGGAGCAAACTTCAGAGGAGTATTTTATTATGGTTGGCAAGGAGCAGGAATATGTCAAAGGTGCTGGTGTAGGAGACTGTCCTTCCTCTGACTTGTGTTAGGCCAGACATTCTGAAGTAGACGTGACCATTCCTAGGTTTCTTGAAACCTTAAGCAAGGGGGTCCTCATTTATCCCAGTGCCTGGCCCACTGAATCTCAGTAAGGAAATACGTACTAAATGCAAGGCTGGAACTCCAGAGCATTTGCCTAATGAACAAAAGAACCGTACTGAGTTCTACTGAGGGCATATGCCAGGCAGGAACTCGGGGGAGGCATGAGTGTCCATATGTGGCATCAGAGAAGGAGGAGGCAGAGGTCACCGGGCTGCCTTCTGGTGGGCAAGTTGGAGGAGGGTAGGCCACTCAGAGCAGATGCAAGGAAGTAAAAATGAGTTTCCCCTCAACTCTACCTGCTCCAGCTCATTCCACTTGGTTCTCTAGGAATACTGAGGTCATTCTCGCCCTCCATGCCCACCCCATGCCTACAAACCCACTTGTGCTTCACATACATAAATTGCTGGATCCCGTGGCCACCAGACCTTGAAATCAGTTCTACAGTGTGTTTTCAAACGTGTGGAAGACCCAGCTATCCATCCCTTCTTATCCACAGTCCCTTGGGAATGAAAGGGCAACAATAGATTCATTTCACAAAAATCATCACATTTACATATTTTTATCATGAGCTCAACGAATGATTTTAATTAAACCGTTTTTAAAGAGGGTAGAGAGGAAGAAAGGCAAGATGGTAAATATTTAACACCTAATCAAGGGGAGAGAAGCGTGAAGCTGAAGCCCTCATTAAGCTGCACAGAGGAGGGGGGCTTTGGAAGCTGCCCGGGTTGGAGCCCCTGCCCTCCCTTATCAGGGAGGTGACACTGGGCCAGCTGTGTCACCTCTTTGGGCCTCATGTTTATCATCTAGGAAAATGGGGAGAGTGCCAACCTTCTGGGATTATTGTCAGGAGGGCCTAATGACATTAGCAATAATAATGGCCAACATTTCTGGAGTAGAAACTGTGGCCAGGCATTTTATCCATATTGTAGCATTGAATCCTTGCGTTGACACTGTAAAGGAAATGCTGTTCATTTCCTCAGTTTACTTAGGAATAAACTGAAGTTTAGGGAAATTAAATATCTTTCTCAAGGTCTCATAGATTGGCCTTTAAACTCTGGTTGTCACAACCCAGGGCACACATTTTTTGCTATTATTTTATCTTGCCTAAACTCTAGTGCCTGAATCACATATGTACACACTCCATTTCTAAAGTTCAAGCCAAAGAGCTTGTCCAAATATGCAACTTGTCCAAGAAATCCAAATATCTTCCTAATTATTTCTACTATGACTTCTAATACCATCATATATTAGTAGAGCATCTTACAAAGCATGCTTGCAAATCTTTTCCATCAGAAACACAGAGTGGCCAGAGATTAGAAGAGTTAGATCGTTCCACCAGGGGCACCTTTTACATGGAAGCAGGCTGCATGAGACCAGCTTTCCACCATCCAAGCACCTGTTTCAGAAATTGGTCAGCCCCGAGAGGGGAAGACCTGAGGGCAAGAAGAGAACCTCAGACCCCAACTCTCGGGCATCCCCTGATCCATGGTCATTTTCAGGAGGTAAGATTTCAGTCTGTCTCATTTGGAGGGTGATTGGATGCACGAAATTCAGCCAGGATGCAGGAGATGGGGGTAAATCTTAAAGCGCGGCCCTTTCAGCACTGTGCTAAGTGCTCTGTTGAGATAATTGTATGGCTGTTTCTGCAATCAGTTCTGAGAAAATTGCTCCTCCCAAATTAGCTTCCCCTTATGCAATAATTTTTAGTTGATGGCATGGAATCACAGCAAAAAAAAAAATCATATATATATATGAGCAAATACTGGACAAATCGACAGGATACATTAAAAGAAAAGGACACTTTGATGTATGTTACAAATATATCTGAATAATACTCCCACGGAAAAAGTTTCCATCCATTTTCCTCTCTCCCTTTTTTCTGCCTTTCCTTCCTCTTTCCCACCTTCCCTTTTTCTCCTTTCCTTCCTTCCCTTCCTCATCCTCTCTCTTCCTTCCTCTTTTCCTTCTTTTATTCCTTCTCTTCCTCCTCCCCACTTTTTCTTTTTATTCTCCTCTTTTCTCTTCCTCCACGTTCTCACCTGTTCTTCCTCTTACTTAATTACAATGCTGTCTGGTCTACTAACTTTCTGAATCAAGGAGACAGATTTGATCTTCCAGGCAGAGTTCTATGAAGAAAGACAGCTTTCACAAAGCTTTCCACGTAGGTAGTTATTTAGCATTACCCTCGTCATGATTATCACTGCCTTTTCCGTAGACAGCTTCGCCAATGTTCTCAACTAGTGGGGTCTCCCTTGTCCTCCTTCCTGCCACCGGTGGGAAGTGGGAATAGGCTGGCTCAGGTGAAATCTTCCTCAAACTCTCTCATTAAATCCCTTGTGACCAGGGATACAAGGTGCTTAATTGGAACCATGCAGTTAGTCCCAAGGATTGGGAAAGACTTCCTGAATATCACCTCTTGTAACAGATGGGGAACCAGAGCCCAGATGAAATGACTCACCTGTGGCCGTGCACCTAAGAGCATCAGAAAAAATCCACCCTTGATCTTCAGAGACTCAGCCCTATGTGTCTCCCATGCTGCTATGTGACTTCAGGCTACAAAATGCAACTTCCACATGAGTCAAACTCTATGTCTCTACCCGGGGTCAACCCAGCCACGGAATAGGCCCACTTCAGCGGTTCTATGAGAAATAAATGAGTGCAAGGGCAGAGTGTTGTTGTAAAAGATATTTATACTCAAATGCCTTTTGGTATAACCTGCTCTCCAGTGCCCACTCCCCCTCATCACCCTGCACATGGCTACATCACACTTGCACTTTACCTGCTGGACACCTGAACACTTCTCAGTTTGCAAACGTTGGTCTAAAGTGTGACCTTCTTGGCAGTTTACCAAGAACACCTGGGCTAACTTGTCCAGGGAGACCCTGAGAGTAACGGCACCCTCAGCCCACCCACATGGCACCTCTACTTGTATTTGCTTTGGAGCTCATTTGAATATATGGCTTCTATTTATGGTTTAAGGAGGCAGATCATGAGAGACAAGTCTCTTACTTAGCAACCTGAGAAACAATTAATTGGCTACCTCAATTGAAAGTAAGTAAAGTTTTAAATTGTACAGTATGGGCTATCTTGAATAAGAGAATACCAAAGGATAGAGAGGAGGTAGAGGCAGCTCTTCAAGGATGCTGAATTGTTGAATAACGCAGTTCTATTTGCATTATGCCCAACAATTCTGCCTACCCTGATTTATTCTCCATACATGAACTATATATTTATAAATGGGTATTTTGTCCTTACAAAAAGAAAGAGAGAGAATTTTTCCCAGAGATATTGAACAAGTCTGTAGAAAATGAAAATAACTATGTCATTTCAGATACATCATACTAAGTATACAGGTCCTCATCCTAATTTTCATAATTACTATTTTGCTGGACTTTTAACCTATAAACCAATATAAATTTGGGTTTTGGTTGTTTCTGGGTATCAGTGCTGTGGTTGGTCTTCAGGAATATCATTTTCATATCTCAATGATGTTCTCTGGGAAACTTCTCCTTGACCAGAGGACTAATTTATGACCTGATAGCAACATCTGCGTCAGATGATATTTGTCATCACCTACCATGCAAGGTATTGGTTGTTGCCTAGCAACAGGTCAAGTATACGGAGTATTTGCTGAGATAGATTAGTTGCATTGTTGCCATAACAACTACCTTAGTTAGGTAATTAAATTGATTTGACTCAGATTTGGCATTGGGATACTACATATGTTGTGTGAAATAGTGTTTGTCCTGACTCAACTACTGATTTTCACTACAGTGTTGAGATCCTCAAAAATGTGCTCTATGATTAGGGAAGGCTATTTTAGGTAAAGATGTCACTAAGTTAACTCTTCCAAAAGTTCAAGAAGTGACATCTCAACCATATATTAATCCACTGTTTTATTAATTTAACATATGTTTATTGAGCTAAAATAATATCTTTAAAAGTATGAATAATAGGAGAGTACAAGTGAGTTTCTTTGGAAGGAATAGAATACTTCTCTATCTTATTTTTTATGGTGGCTACCTGAAATTACAGATGGAAAAAAATCTTGTAGAACTGAACACCAAAAATAAATAAGTAGGTGCATGCAAAAACTTATAAAATATAATTAAGCTCTGTAGTTTATACAGTATTACACCATTGTCAAATTCCTGGCTCTGATAATTGGACTTTGGTTACATAAGATGTCATCCCTAGGGGTAACTGGATGAAGGGTATTCATAAATCTCCTTGCTATTTTTTGCAACTTCTACGTGAGTCTAAAATTATTTCCAACTAAAATGTCTGTAAAAATAGAAGAAGGAAAGAAGGAAAGAAGGGAAGAAGGAAAGAACAAGAGAAGTTAGAAAGAAAGAAAAGAAAAAAAGCAGACTGACTATGTTGATGTGTAAAGTAGATTCAGGTAATTTACCTGAATGTTTGGGGAACATTGAGAGTCTTCAGATTGCAGGAAAATTTATTGTTTGCTAGTCAATATGTTACTTCATTTGTAGTGTATCTGGCCCCTCTGTTCCCCATTCATAAACTGACTACTGCCTAACAACAAGTGTTCCTTGCCCTCAAACACTGTGACAATCAACATGGGACACCTATATTTTCAAACTCTCTGGCTTAGACCATCAAGTTCAATAAAGCAAATTAAAAAAAAAATACTATGCCATGTGTCCCTCAGGGAAACCCAGTGAGATGGGCAACGCTGGTATCCTTATTTCCATTTATCAGATGAAGAAACTGAGGCCTGGAGGGCTGGCTGAAAGAGGCAGGACATGATTCTAATCAAGGTCTTCTGAGATAGGGTCCGTTGCTCCTTCCACCATACCTGGGTTTCCCACATGTGATGTCGGGTGACTCATCGATCAGCCTCAAACAACAATGATGACACAGGGACAAGGTGCCACTTTTCACTTCTCCTCCATCTTTGCATTGTACAAACAGCCCTCATTCAGTGCTAACTTGTCTTCAATCTACCTCTTGCACTGTCAACCTCCCCTGCTGATATGGAGCAAACCTCAAACTTTTATTTGCATTGCCTTTATTCCTGCAATTACCTTCCTTTTAGGCATTCCTTTTGAAATAAATATACCTATGTAAAAACAAAGGCTTAATGAGTATAAAATAATTGTAGCCATACTATGACAAAGGCCCATACAGCAGTACCCCAAATAATAAGATATTCTAGTTGGGACTGGATGATTATGTAGCAGCATTCCAGTTGGAAAGAAGAGTATCAAAAGCACAAAGGTGTGACAAAGATAGGTGTGGGTGTGCCAGTGTGTGTGCATCCCTCCAAGGGAAATAACAGGAATGTTGTACAGGATAACAGGAAAAACATAAGAAATAGGGAGGGAGGATCTTTTCATTGTTGCACAGAGGAGCTCTAAGAATCAGACTCCAATTCCTACAGTGAGTTCAAAGCAGGAGAAGCAGTGGCAAGGATGTAGCAAAGGACTAAATGTTTTAAATATTTTAAACCGAATGTTTTCAAATGTGTGTATTCCTATTTATTTATTTATTTATTTATTTATTGACAGGGTCTTGTTCTGTTACCCAGGCTACAAGGCACTGCCTAAATCATAGCTCACTGCAACCTTGAGCTACTGGAATCAAGCAATCCTCCTGCCTCAGTTTCTTGAGTAGCTGGGACTACAGGCACATACCATCATGCCTGGCTAAGTTTTAAATTTGTTTTTGTAGAGATGGAGTCTCACTATGTTGCCCAGGCTGGTCTCAAACTCCTGGGTCTGCCTGGGCCTCCCAAATTGCAGGGATTACAGGCATGAGCCACCATGCAGACTTTGCACTCCCTTTTAAAAATGCATTGCCTCAGGGCAAAGTCTTGATTATTTCCATCTTGGTTGCTTGGTGAAGGTGAATGGCAGAAAAGGCATCAGGATAAAGGGGTGGATGAAGATGAGTGTTAGGAGAATGCAGAATTGAGACTGTGGGAGTAGACACAGGCTGGTTTTTGAAGTACCTCATTTGAAATCAAATGAATTTCGGGCTTTGTCCCAAGATTAGTGGTTTTCCAATTTCTTATGTATAAGAACCGCCAAGGAGTATGTTCACTCATGTTCACCATATCTGAAATGCAGATTTTGGGGCCCTAGCTCCAAATACTTTGATGGTTTATGACTTAGCGACCATTCTGAAATGTATGTTTTTAACTTGTCTGCTAAGCATTTTGGTGCAAAAGCCCTAGTTGTACACATAAAGAAACACAGCTATAGCAAACAGAAATCTACAGAAGAGAATAGAGGAGGGAAGTCAAAAATTTAACCTGCATCTTAGAAAGCTTGTGTCTATTTTTTTCTTAATCATAATATGAGTATTGACGTTTTTAAAAAATATAAAAAAGACACATAAGATAATACTCACCCAAAATGCCATCATTGAAACCCAAACATATAAAATTTGACATATTTACTTGCCATGAGTATCTAAGAAAAAAAAATTATTTTATAATCAGGGCCAACTTCCCCATTAGATGCAGCAGACACAGACACAGTACCTAGGGCCCATAATACTTTTAAGGGCCCATGAAAATAGTTTAATTTATTCTAAAATTTAAGAGAAAATAAACTATTAGGTTGAAGAAACGTTTTAATGCATAATACATCATACCAATGGACTCATCAGATATGTACGTTTTATGGAGGAAGGGACCCATGGGGAAAAAAGTGCTTCAGACATAACATACTTTATCTAACCATTTCCCTATTATTGAACATTTAGGTTATTTCAGAGATGTGGCTGAAATAAAAGTAGTCAATTGAATAGCCTTCAATATAAAGCACTGAATTTAGCCACGCTTATTTTTCTAGAACTGTCTATATTAGGGTACTTTGCTTTCCAATATTGTCTTTTTCTTGGTGTTGGTGCTGGTAGCACTGGTGTTATTCTGCTTGTTTCAGGTAACAGATTGACAATGTCTTGAAGATACAAAGTCTGCTCTACTAAGGCACAGGTCTGATGTCCACTTTCTGAAGTTCCATTCAGGCAGTGGGTTCAGCACACATTAAAATTTGCTTCTTTGGAGTCCAAACTCTCAAGACGTGGTTTCTGTTGGTTTCTTGTTCCTTCTACAAACAACCCACAATGCATGACTTAAGGTATTGAGATAAACCCCAAAATCTCATTGCCTTAACACAACAAAATTATCATTATTATTATTTTGGCTAATATCAAATCCACTGACAATGTTATATTCCTAGAAGCCTACCCTTCCCAAATGGTCACTCCACCTGCAGTGCCAAGTTCTCTCCATTTCTCTAGAAAAGGAGTTGGTAAACATTTACTACGAAGGGTCAGCTAGTGAATATTTTTGTCTTTGGGGCCATACGTTCTCTTGGAAACTACCCAACTCTACCACTGAAGCGTGAATGCAGCCATAGGCAATACATGAATGAATGAGCATGGCTATGTGTGGATAAAACTTTATTCATGGACATTAAAATCTGAATTTTACATAATTTTCACATGTCACCAAATATTCTATTTTAAATCTTTCTTCAACTGTTTAAAACTGTAAAAACCATTCTTAGCCTTTGGGTGATACAAAAACGAGCCGTGGATTAGATTTGTCTGGGAGCTTTGTTTGCCATCTCTTCATGCAGAGAGTGAGGAAAAAGAAAGTTGTCTTTACAGGTCAGACGTGTGGAGCAGCACCCATCATTTTTGCTCACATTCCACTGGCTGACACCAGTCCTGTAGTTATCCTAACTGCATTGAGGGCAGGCACCTAGCTGAGGATGCACTGTGTGCTCAGAGAAAAGTGGGCATGAGTCTTGATGAGTCTCTGTGCTCCATCACCAAAGACACACTGTATTAGTTCATTTTCACACTGCTGACAAAGACATAGCCGAGACTAGGCAATTTACAAAAGAAAGAGGTTTACTGGACTTACAGTTCCACGTGGCTGAGGAGGCCTCACAATCATGGTGGAAGGCAAGGAGGAGCAAGTCACATCTTTTGTGGATGGCAGCAGGCAGAGAGAGCTTGTGCAGAGAAACTCAGGTTTGTAAAACCATCAGATCTCATGAGACCCATTCACTATCACAAGAACAGCATGGGAAAGATCCACCCCCATGATTCAATCATCTCCCACAACATGTGGGAATTATGGGAGATACAAGATGAGATTTGGGTGGGGACACAGAAACAAATCATATCACACACACAGAAGTGTGTCCTTTCTGACCTAGACACAGCATTTGAGGTAGGAGAATAGGGTCTGGAGGCTGGGAACCTAGAGTCAATTCACCCTGACTTCCTAGAACTACATCAAAAGGAAAACCCCAACTTTCCATGCCCATATAACAAAAGAACAATGGCTACTCCCTTTGCAACCCCCCACTTTCTGTATGGCAGATGAGAGATGAAAAGTACCTGTGATTGGTCCCCTTCCACAACCAATCAGACTGGTCAGGGGCATAGTATTTATTTGCATAGGGCTGTAACTTTGTAACTTCATTTCAGCCTCTGATTTTTCCCCTCTTGCAACCAATCAGACATTTGCATAGGGTGTAATTTTGTAACTTCACTTCAGCTTCTGATTGGTTGTCTCCCATGAACAATCAGACTGGTCATGGGCCACTCCTTCATTTGCATGGGGTGTAACCAAATAACCAATGCAAAACCTATAGAGGGTATTTAAACCCCTCAAAAATTCTGTAGCCAGCACTCTTGAGCCACTTGCTCCAGCCTGCTGCAACTCTGACTGTGGAGTATTACTTTTGTTTCAATAAATCTATGCTTTTGTTGATTCATTCTTTTGTTGCTTTCGTGGTGCATTTTGTCCAATTCTTTGTTTAAAATGCCAAGAACCTGGACAACCACTGGTAAGACATTCACACTTTATTTCCTGAAGATGAAGCTTAAATAAGGGCAATTCCTTCATTTGACTTTCCCAGGTGCTACTAGTTAGAATGAATCTCTCTCTCTCTCTGGTTTTCTCACTGTACATTTTGTCTTGGCATTACTCTCACTTCTCCTTTTAGAGTGTGCCCCACTGCAGGGCAGTTGTATGACTTTATTCATCCTAATATCCTTCAGTAAGGTCTCCACCCAGCAAATTACACAAAGTAAGTCTCAAAATAAGATTGCTTTATAGGCCAGGAGCTGTGGCTCATACCTGTAATCCCAACACTTTGGGAGGCCAAGGCGGGCGGATCACCTAAGGTCAGAAGTTCGAGGCCAGCCTAGCCAACATGGTGAAACCCTGTCTCTACTAAAAATACAAAATTAGCCAGGTGTGCTGGCACACACCTGTAATGCCAGCCACTCGGGAGGCTGAGATAGGAGAACCCCTTGAACCTGGCAGGCAGAGTTTGCAGTGAGCCGAGATAATGCCATTGCACTCCAGCCTGGACAAAAAGAGTGAAACCCTGTCTCCAAAAAAAAAAAAAAAAAAAAAAAGATTACTTTATAAATTTATTTTTAATGACGAGGGGGGACTATTAAAGCAAGTTTTTTTGTTCGCTTGTTAGCTATCCTTTTTTTTTTTTTTTTTTTGCCTATTTTGAAAAATCATGTTCACCCATGTACAAGTCAATAGAAGAGGGTCATAGAATTGCATAATGACAAAGAAGTTTAAGATCTTGGCCCAGCTACCCAAGAAGTTCTACCCACAACCATTCTTATAAATTGATTGTGGCTGTTTCCCCTGATTATCTAGAAACTTGTTTTCAAAAATCCTAATTACATTTTCTTGATAAAATATTAAATGAGTTGCTTTGAATAATGTGCAGTTTCTCAATCTGTGATTGATTTAAGACCCAAATACAGTGTGCTGCATGAATCTGCTCCATGCTAGGAGCTGGAGCCATTATAAACAATGCCAGGAAAGACAGTAAATGTGATGACTAATTCCAAATGAAAGAAAACTAGAAGCCAGGACCAAACACAATGCTGAAAATAAAGAACTCTAAATTACAAGGTTCCATGGGATGAGCTGCTCAGCACTCTGTAATTCAAGATGCTATCGCTAGAATGCTAATCCTACCCACTTCCATGCTATTGAGTCTTCTGTCTAGGAGAAAAACAGCTTCGCTTCTATTGACTTGTTATTGATTTTTCCCTTTCAAAAAATTTTGTTTGACAGATGTGCATTCTATTAAATGTCTCCAATATGAGTTTCATTTTTTAAAAATATCTCACAGGCCATAACTGTATGTGTGGAAGGTAGTGGGAGCTATGGTAACTAGTCAGAAAATCTGGCGTTGAAGACAGAGGTTGGGGGTCGAATGAAGAAGCTGCGAGAAGCCATAGGTGTTGAGGTCAAGGTGCCAGTATCATTGACATCTCAAACATCCACCATTCACCACCCTGTTGGACAACCCCCAGCATGGCCCATCGGCTCCCAGTGACTCCCACAGAGGCCTCCCGGATACACCTCTTCCCCTAGTCCCCCACATGTCAGATTCCAAAGGGGTAGATTTTCCTTCCCACCTCTTTACTACCTCCTGACTCCTCCACCCCTCTCTGAGTGGCAGTCTTTTTGTTGCATTTGTTCTTGCTGTCCTCCATTCCAGCAATGCATTGGAACCAGAGAGATTGTTTTTTGTTTGTTTGTTTGTTTTTGTTTTTGTTTTTTTGAGACAGAGTCTCACTCCAACGCCAGGCTGGAGTGCAGTGCGCGATCTCAGCTCACTGCAACCTCTGCCTCCCTGGTTCAAGTGATTCTCCTACCTCAGCCTCCCAAGTAGCTGGGACTACAGGCAGGTGCCACCACACCCAGCTAATTTTTGTATTTTTAGTAGAGACAGGGTTTTACCATGTTGGTCAGGATGGTCTTGATCTCTTGACCTCATGATCCGACCCCCTCAGCCTCCCAAAGAGAGATGGTTTTCTAATGCAAATCTGAGCATGCCATTCCCAGGCTTTAAGTGACTCAGTGACTTCCTCTTCCTCTTTGTGTGAAGTGCTGTGACTGTACACCCCATTTTGCCCAGTACGATCCAGTCTATGCCTGCTAGCTCAGCATAATCATTAATAGCACCTGTGTTTGCTATCTCAGGTTTTTGTGTTGGAAGGATAAATATTATGATCATCCTAGTTTACATGTGATATTGTTAGTGTGGCTTACTCCTTCAGCCTCTTCCTTGCTCTGTGCCTTGTAGACACAATGGTCTTCTGCAAGTTCTTTGAAAGGTATATGCTCCCTCCTGACACAGGTGTTGCTTCGCTGTCTGTAGTGCTCTGCGCCTCCCCATCCTCCCCCCTCCAGATGCTCTCCTGACTCCCAGCAGCCTCCAGGATGACACTTCCTCAACCCCCTGACCAGGATATGTTCTCCTATTACATCATCAACTCATTGTCTTAAGTCTTAGGACTTACTACACTTGAATAGCTGTGCTAATTTTTAATATAAGTACGCAGCATCTATTATCCTTTTTTACTGGAGTGCAAGGTCAGGGAATGCATAAATGGAGAAAACCCACAGGGCTGGCACATAGATGCTCAAAAATATTTGTCAAATGGATGAATGAATGAATCAATGAGTAAATGCAGAAATGAATGAATAGATGGTTATTATAGGAAGTGAAAAAATATAGCTATAACATCTACAAATGGGTATAATTTCATGAGGACACAACTTGCCACCTTTTGGAACAATATGCACAATGTATGTGTAGAAGGAGCTCATCTGAGAAAAAGAAAAATTAGAGAGAAGCCAGGAAGAGCAGGTGGATGGCTGAGGGAAAAGAATGGCAGATAAGAGAGGAAAAACAAAGCATAACTGTGCTGTGCAAAATTGTTTTCCTTGCCTCTGTATAAAGCTGATAAAGTTTGACCAGGTTTTAGAGTACCTCTGGAAGCTGACTCACAGGTGAGAAAATAAATTTAAGAGATATCAGAGGCAGCTATGGGCACCAGAGAGTGAGAGATGCACATACTGAATCTCCCCAGCTCCCACAGTGTCCCCAAACCAGCACCGTCCAAAACCAGTCAGTCATTTTAACTCAAATGCAACTTAGAAAGATAGTTTGTAAACCAACAGAAAAGCTTCCTCTGTCATGCTGAGCAAACTGAAACTTAACCTGTACATGCTGATGATCACTCTGAACTCTATTTGGAAGGTTCCTATAGTTTGGAAAGAGGATTTAGGACAGCACAATCCAATAAACCTTTCTGGAATGAGAAATATTCTGTATTTCATTGTCCAATATGGTAACCACTAGCCATGTGTGGCCATCAAACCCTTGAAATGGGGCTGGTGCAATTAAGGAATGGAGTATTAAGGAATAGTACTACGGAATAGTACTGCATTCTACATAATTTTAATTAATTTAAATAGTGGCAACCCTATTGGACAGAACAGGTTAGAAGGTAATAAACCAGGCAAGCCTTGAAAAGAACTGGAATTAACAGAATTCTGATTGAGTGGGTCATCAGAATTATAAGGTTGATTTGAATGGTAGACAAAGAGTTTGTTGGTCAATTGAAGAAAAGAAGAAGAGAAGAGGAAGATACACACACACACACACACACAGAGTGAGTGTGAGAGAGAGAGAAAGCTGTGCTTAAGGAAGATTAACTCAGCAGCACCAGAAGGATGGGGAAGGGCCATGGAGTGGAGAGAGAGGAGTGGAAAGATAAGAAAGGAGGCCCATTATTACTTTAACGTAGTCCTTTTAACTTGATAAATCAGCCCTAACATCTGAGACCAGTTCCCTAGTAAACCCTAAGCCCCAGAAGGTCCCTTTGTCAGTGGAATGACCCATCAGCAGGCCATTAGGTCAGAGAAAGGGCGAGCCCCCATGGCAATCAGTAAGCATAAATCAGGGAACTGGCCGTGAAGCTGAAAGGTTAAGACCTGGTGGGAGAGGGCAAGTGCTATTTTATTGGTGTGTTAGAAAGCGTGTTAAGCCAGTTGGAAATTGCTTTAGCACCAGCACGTAGCCTCAGAACTACTAAGGGGTTGCTTTCCAAGTTTGTGATGCTGAGTTAAAGTGGCCCCTGTGAAGGCTGGCAGATTCAGCCGCCTTCTCCTTTTGTCTCTCTTTCTCTTTGCCCTTCCAAACCATCCATCTTTAAACCTCTGTCTCATCATCAATAAAATATGTGTAATAATGGTATTGACCCTGTAGCATTGTGATGACAATCAAACATAATGCTTATTTTATACTGAATGTAGAGTCACTGCTCACAAAAGTGCTTGTGTGCTTTATATTCTCTTTATAATGTCCACTCATGAGCTTTATCCTTATTTATTACTTTAGCTATAATCCTCAAAGACATGACCAGACCTCATGCAGCAGAGATACAAAGACATAGTGCTTAAAGACTGTCAGCAAGAATATCCTTTTAATCTTAGTCATCATGGATTAGTCACAGGACAGGTAATTATTTCTTTGACATGTGCCAGTGGAAGTTGCTAAAGATAACAGAAAGAATATAAAGTAAATCACAGATACCTAAACCAATAATAATAATAAATAGCTAGAATGGGAATTAAAATAAAATAAAAATAACAAAAGTCCAGAAGGAAGAGTAGTCTACATTAGTATTTCCCTGAGCTCTGACGGAAGGCAGCAAAGAGACAACGGCAACTCCAACAGCTCCATCACATGCTGAAACCAAGTGCTGTCCTTTACATGTGGCATCCCACTTAATCTTCCCCTAGCATTCTGGGAAGCAATTAGGGCATAGAGGGTGCCCTAGAAGTATAGAGAGGAGAAATCAGAGGGAAGCCAGGGTAGACTTATAGGGCCAAACATTTAGGATTCTGTTGGAAGACAGGCATCCTATGTCCACTGCAGAACTCTAAGTAAAAGAGTTTCTGAAACCCAAGCATCATGGAAGTCTATGTCTTTTCTCTTTGTGGAAGTTGCAATCTCTCGTGCATTCACTTGTGATTTCAAGTTCGGCTTGAGTTGGGAGAAGAATGAAAGTGGGAAAACCAGCTGGAAGGCTCTGGGTGAGCCCATCTGTGAGCAGACAAGGACCTGAGGGATGTATGCATGGTGGTAATGAAGAAGAGTGGCCTGGGGAAAAGATATTTTGGAGAAAGACACGGCAATGCATCAGGGTGATTTTTGTGTTTGTTAATCATGCATTAAAATGGAGAAGATTTCCTACAAATTTATGTTTTCACTCAAGAAGAAAATACTAACTCATTTCTCTCAATTTACCAAATCTTTCTTCTAGTTCAAGCCAATGTTCTTTTGGATTGACAACAGGAAGGATAGAAATTTAGCCCTTTCTGAATTACAAAGATTCTGGAGATCACTCTTCCCTTCCCCAAGTGAAGTATTTGCTATTTCAGCAACTGAAAGTCTTCCCTTTCATTTATCTTAAACTGAAAAGTTTAATCCTGAGCTCCAGGAGTATCCACACACTATGAATCTCTCCACAATCCTTTCACATTTTCACCCTCAAGGTGCCTTCCTTCCACTGTCTTCCATGAAAACCATCCCTAAATAACTTTTCCAGATCACTTGCATCTCTCTTTCTGTGAGATGTTAGCACACATAAGAAAGTTCCCTGGTATTCATATTTATTTCTTAACCAGAATCTTGATTCTGATTGAACTCAACTATCTAAAGACCACCTTCAACTCCACCATTTAAAGACTACCTTGATCTGTAATATTTGGGGGCTATAGAAACTAAAAGCTTCTACAGAAAGCTATAAACAGTCTCCCTAAAAAATGTACATTTGCACTTGTCCACAAAATGTATAGACACCTTTAGGAGATTTCAAGACCCTTGAAACACAACTGTGGCTCTGTCACTAAGCCAAGACACCATATTTTATGATCTCCAGGATAATGCTTTTTCATTTTATTAAATTGCATAACACATATCAGTTAATAGCCCCAGTTAACCTTTAAGCTCACTGAGAACTGTAAGTATGTCTTTGCTACTTGGTTCCATGGCTGATTTACAGATAGGATTTGAGGTGGTATCAACCTGAGCTGGTTTCCTAGATCCATCAAATATCAACGGTGCCATCCTAAGCACATCAATGAATTATTCACATCATCAGTTCCCACACCTGCCAATATGAGCAGAGTTGTACCTCATACCTAAGGTGGCTTTGGAGAGCATCTGAGATTGTCTATTAAAAACATCCAGCCATGTGCAAGGCACATAGTAGAAATGCATTAAATGTTAGTTTCACTTATCTCAGGAAAAACTTTTCAAATGATGTGAGACCTTAAAAATGCCTCCAGTGCCTGTGGAACTAATTGTGGAACAAACACAGAAGTAAATGAAAGAGAAATGAATGTAAGTTATTAATGGCACCACTCCTAGGATTTGCAGCTCACTTAAAATTGCTAGCATTAATTTTAAAAATAAGACCTGTGACCAATATTATGAAAGAAGATAAAGTGAACATGCAAACATATTCAATTTCATTATAACCTTCTGCAACAGTCCATACCTTGAGCTAACTTTTCCCCCAAACGGTTGTATAAATTAGGATTCTTCAATTGCAAGTAACAAAGCACTTAACTTGAACTGGGTTAACACAAAAAGACAGTTTATTTATTGGTTGAGTAACTCTGGTAACCTGTTTAGTTACAAATCAAATGAGGTTTTATCCTGGACCACAATGAATGATGTGGCCGTGACTTGGCATTTTGATTCTCTCTTGTTCCATTTCCCTTCTTTCTTCTCTCATCCCTCCCTCTCCCCTCCATCTCTAGCCTCTGCCTCCTGGGTCCATTCTTCTGTAGTTTCTCTCTTCATAGTCCGATACGGCTGATAGCAACTTGCAGGGCTACAGGTTTTCCTCCATGTTTCCCATGAAAACAAAAGAATCTGCTTCCTATAAAGATCAATTGGAATTGTCTCTCATTGCCACTGTTTGGCCTGAACAGTGTCATGTGACCCTCTCTAGTCTGGAGTCACTATGTTGGCCAAAGGATAGAACATGCGTGTTGTCTTAAGCTCATGTGAGTGCACCACTGGGCTCTGTGCTGGCCAAACCACATGGCTGAAAAGGATGGAACCATCTTAGACTGCAGTTAAGGGAGTGTAGTGAGTTGAATGGTGGACTCCTGAAAAATATGTCCACTGAGAACCTCAGAATGTGATCATATTTGGAATAAAGGCCTTTACAAATGTAATTAAGGTGCAGATCAAGAAATGATATCATTTTGGATAAGGGTGGACCCTAAATCCAATAACAACTTGTTCTTATAAGAGAAAGAAAAGAACACACTGTCACACAGAAGAAAAAGCTGTGTGAAGGCAGGGATGGGAGAAATGAAGCCACAAGCTAAAGAATGCCTGGAGCCACCAGAAGATGGAAGAAACAAGGAGAGATTCTCCTCTAGGGCCTCTGGAGGTAATGAGGCCCTGATGACACAAGATCTCAGACACCCAGCATTCAGAACCATGAGAGAATAAATATCTGTTGGTTTAAGCCACCCAGTTTGTGGTAATTGGTTACAGCAACCTTATGAAATGAACATGGCGAGAGCAGGAATAATGGAGGCTGGAGAATTACTTAGGAACAACCCACCAACAAGACCTATTGATAGCTGTGAAGTACAGAGAAGCCTCTGAAAGACAATTTGCCAAATGGCAACAAGCTCCCCTATCATGGGAATCATTTTAATACTCACAACAGAGTAATGATCAAAACAAAGTCCTTGTCCTCAAAAAGCCCAATATCTAATAGTTAGACAAACAAACCAAAGAACAGAAAACCCCAACACAATGGTGACAGTGCTGTCAGAAAGGTAGGGACAGAACCCAGTGCAAGTATAGAGAAGGGTCTCCTAACCCAGACTTTTAGATGAGAAAGGTAGCAGGACAGAGGGAAACTATATTAGCAAAAGCTGCTTTCAGAAGATGAGTCTTGGCTTATATTTAATAGGCTGAGAAGGAATTAATCATCAAACAAGGAAGGTAAGGGTCTGTCTCTGAATTCTCTGGAGAACTTCCAGTTTCCCAAGAAGAAACTTAGCAAATCTTTTGGATTCTCTAGGGAATCATTCTTTCCTCACTTCTCTAATCCTTCAACAAGGACACTCTTAGCTCCTCCTGGGGGCGCCTTTTGTCCCTAGGGCTTCTCCTACTTGAAGGTAAATATTCTCCCGGTGCTCCTTACTTTTTCCCTGTATTTTCTGTGCACCACCAAGCTAAGAGTCTCCTTTTCCCCTCAGCTCTGACAGCCAGATTCGTTAAGGCTGGTTGCCTCCATTTGCCTTGGATGCATCTTCTGCATAAAGATTGACGAGCTTAATCAGCGAATCAGGAGGAAGCCTTGGGCATCAATCATTGTCAGTGTGCCTTCTTCCTAACTTCTGATTTGCTGCTTCCAGTTATGAAGGCAATAACACAGTTTCTCTTAAAGGTGAAGCTGAGGTGTCCAAAGTTTTGAATTCTCATCTGGAAAGAAAGTTGTAATAACAGTGTTAAGTTTAATCAGTCAGAGAGAGACAGAGAGACAGAGAGAGTGCTTCCTCCTCAAGGGTCATGTTTCTCCAGAGTCATCAACCTTCTGACCACATTACTCAAGATCCAGGGTGAAGGAGAAGATCATGTTAACAGTTCATTTAGAATTTGAAGGAACGTGTTTCCTATTCCTTTTCTTTCCACATTGCCATCTTCTCATCTTTCATTCAGTTTTAGGAAGCATCCTGGCAGGACATATGAGAACATTCTCATTTTTTCTTTGTTGGGATAAAAGCTTATATTTCCATGAGCCCTTTTCAAAGAAAAAATAGCATGGTGCTACCCAGGGGCAGACAGCACCTGTGTTCTCTTGTCAGTTTCACTGATGCACCCTAACTACATACAGCCTCTAAAATCCACCTGCCACACAGTCATCCTGCCCCATATTGAAAACAATCTGATGATGTCACTTCACAAAAGAGGAAAATGAGAATGATTTTATAACAAGAGCTCAAAATCCCTTCCCTGATATTCCTTCAGCAATTCATTCACTCTTCTATGCATTCAATAAACATGCACTCAGTGTCTCATATGTGGCAGACACTACTCAAGGTTCTGAATAAACAGCAATAAATAAAACTGTTCTGTGATCACAGAGGTTATATTCTGATGTGCAAAGATCTCCACAATCTGGACCCAATATAATTTTGAATTACTTTACTGAGGTATCATTTGTATTTAAAAATGCATCTATTTTAAGCACAATTTGGTGAGGCTTGAGAAAAAATAAACCGATGTAACCACCACTATAATAATAAGAACATTTTTGCCACTCCAAAATTCTCTCATGCGTCTTTTCCATTGACTCATTCTGCCCTAGGCAGCCATAGCTCCAGTTCCTGACACTCTATATTGGCTTTGTATTTGCCGGAATTCCAGATGATAGGGTCATACAGCATGTACCCTTTATGTCTTCCTACTTTATTTATATAATGTTTCTGAGATCCCCCTTGTGGCTTCATGTATCAGTGCTTTGTTATTTTTTACTACTGAGTAATATTCTTGTATGGATATATCACAATTTATTTCTGCATTCACTGGTTGATGGATGCATGAATTATTTCTGGGTTTTGACTACTTCACAATAAGGTTGTTATAAATGTACTGAAAATGTCTTTGAGTGGACAAATGTTTTCACTTCTCTTGGGTAAGTTGGAAAATGGGATTTGCACACAAGTGTATGTTTAACATTGTAAGAAACTTACAAAATGTTTTCTCAATGTATGAGCACTCTAGTTGTTCCACATCTTTACCAACATTTGGCATTGTCTCTTTTACATTTCAGCCATTCTAGTGTGTGTGCTGTGGTATCCCCTTGTAGTTTTAATTTGCATTTTTCTGATGATTAACGTTGTTGAGCTTCTTTTCATGTGCATGTTAGATCTCTATATATTTTATTTTATGAAATATCTGTTCAAAACTTGTACCCATTTATGAAGCAAGTTGTTTGTTTTATCATAATTTAGTTGTAGGTGTTCTTTATATTGTCTGCATACTAGTCCTTTCTCAGATATATGTATTGTAAATGTTTTCTCTCAGAGTGTGCCTTACCTTTTTATTTTCTTAATGATTTCTTTCAAACAGCAGGGTCTTAAAATTATTACTTTTTAAATTTTATTGCCTGTGCTTTTTGTATCCTATCAGTGAAATCTTTGCCCATTCTGTTTGCAAATACAGTTTTTGTGCTCTTTCTAGAAGTTTTATATTTTTGTAGTTTACATTGATTTATATAATTTGCTGCAATTTAATTTTTCTTGTGATGTGAGAAAAACATAAAGTTTCCACCCCTTATCCTAAATTTTAAAGTTGTTTGAGCACCATTTGTTGAAAAAACAATCCTTCCCCCACTAGGATCTTTGTTGAAAATCAATTGATAAAATATATGTATATTTATTTCTGGTTTGTATATTTTGTTCCATTGATAGAGATATTTATCCTTCTGTCTTTAATTCACCTTCATTTGAAGAGTATTTTTTATGAATATAGAATTTTAGATTGATTTACTTTTTCTTTCAGAATTTAAATATGCCACTCAATTGTCTTCTGGTTGCATAAATTCTGACAAAAACTCAATGATTATTTTACAATTTCCTCCTTTGTCTAGTTGCTCACACTGCTTTTATAAAAAATAAAATGTTATGTTAGGACAGCTTTAAATGTACAAAATTGTTGTGAAGATAGTACAGAGAGTTCTTTTATACTTCACACCCATTTTTTTCTATTATTAACATCTTGCATTTGTACAGTAAATTTGTTACAATTAATGAGCCAATATTGATGTACTATCATTAACTAAACTCTACATTTAATTAAAATTTCCTAATTTTTTCCTAATGTATTTTTCATGTTTCAGGATATTATCCAAGATACCACATTTTACTTCATTACCATATCTTCTTAAGCACTTCTTGGCTGTGACAATTTCTTTGACTTTCCTTGTTTTTGATGACCTTGACAGTTTTGATAAGTACTGGTCAGATACTTCGTAGAATGTCCCCAAGTAGGATTTGTCTGACATTTTTCTCATAATTAGACTAGGGTTGTGGACTTACGGGAGGAGGCACAGAAATAAAATGTCATTTTCATCACATCTTTTCAAGGGTATATGCTATCAATATGAGTTATCACTGTTGATCTTGACTTTGATGACCCAGCAGAGATAGTGTTTATCAGGGATCACTCTAGCTCTCATGTAGTCTGTAAACGTCGAGTCTGCTTCTGTAGATGCTTGCAGATGCCCTCAGTCTGTCTAGTGCAGTGTTGGGGTTGAATGCATGTTGCTGCAGCTCTCTGTGTCTGGCATCCTGTAGGAGGTCCTCCAAGAGGCCCTTGTCCTTTCCATGTGCTGTGGTTATAGAAAGGACGGTTAGTTATTTTCTGCTTGGAGTTCAAATACCACAGTGTTTTCTGTGAAAAATCATCTGACTTCCTATAGAATATCAAATCAAGCTGCTGATCTGCTTAAAATGCTTCAATGTGTTTCTGTTTTATTGGGGATGAAGTTCAAAATAATTGCCATAAATCACAAGACCTGGCTTGAAGACATCCCTGTCTATCTTACCTCAAATTTTTGCCCATTATGCATAGCATCTGCATCTCCTGCAGGCCTGAAGCTCCCATGAAGACAGAGAATGTGAGTGCCTTGCTTACTGCTATGAGCCTGATACACTACTTATGACACAGTAAGATTACATTGGTTACTAATGTCATTGTCTATAGGTAATAAGCAGTGGTTTCAGCCAGAAATAATTTATCCTTTATTTATTAGAAAATTTGCAGGTAGGTTGTTCCTATATTGGTTTGCCAGCTCAGTGAGATCACCAGAAACCTGCTATGTTTCATCCCTATCTCTGCCATGTTCAGCATGATGGGTTTTTCATGGCTAGCCTTGTTGCCTCATGGTTCTAAGATGGCTACAACAGCTCTAAGGATCATATCTTCACACAAGCAGAGTCAAAGATAGAAAGAAAGAGATGACCAGGGTGGTGAAGAAGAGCTCCCCTCACGAACCTCTTTACTTTTATCAAGGCAGAATTCTCTTTCCTGGGAGCCATTCAATAGGCTTCCCCTTATATTTTATTCTTTATAACTGGTTGACCAGCTCCTTCTAGCAGCAAAAGTGGATGGAAATGTGATTATAAGGCTTTTCAGCCTCTATAGTTGGATGTAGGTGAGGCAAAAGGTTTAGGAAGAAATGTGGGGTAGTATCTGACATGTGGTGCTCAGGAAATACATCTTTAGTGGGTAAGCAAAACATTTGTCTAGAACACACTAGAATTAAGCATGATCTCATGTTCACTTCATGATCAATACTGGGTACAAATCTTTATCCCCTTTTGATGCCTGGAACTCAAATAGGCCCAAATGATAGAGCTACTGAAATGCTGAAATCTTACCCAGATCTGCCTGCCATCAGAGTCTCAGCCATTTTGAATCCCCCGAATGCAGTGTCCCTATAAGAGGCTCTGACCATCCAAGGCTGAGGTCTCACTCCTAGGTTGAAACTCAGGATGACAAGACCCTCCCAGAGTTCCCAAACTCTGATGAAGCAAATGAACACTTTTAAGACAGAAATTCCAAACTCTGCAACTACTCAGTTTTTGTTCAGAGGGGCTTGATTCATTACTATTAGTCAGTAATAACATATTTCTGGCACTAGCCATGGACTTATTCGGTGCAACTCACTATAGTTGCTTGTGCAATTTATGTTTTTAATTTTGTAAATAGTTCCTAGTTGCTATGGTCAAAAGAGGGGTGTGGGTTCATACATAAGCAAATATAGTGTTCTGGTTACATCATGCCATAGCTGCAAAATATGGCTTTGTTCATCAGATGATGGTGCTGACAGCTGCATTGCAATGGCCATTGAATTATAACCACTCACATAAAGGGAGAGATAAAAGGCATCAGTAATGTGTGGCATATGACACACACACACACACACACGTACACACACAGGGGGCTCAAATGCAAGCCCCTGACAGGCTCAGAGCCATACATACTGACACAAACACAGTCATGCCCAGGGCCTTGGCTTTTTTATACCAGCTCATAGAATCCCTTTTATTTTCTACATTTCCTGTTACTGACAAGGTTTTGGCAAGTATAATTTCAACTTGAACGCTATCTTCCAAGACAAAGATGTAAGGAGTAAGAGAATAAAGAAACTGTTTATTGTAACTATAATAATCAGAAAAATAGCAATGCCTTATATGTTTCCAGCCCTTTTCACATGATGCATTCTCCATAATGGGAAACTACTGCCTGGCACACTGTCTTGAGGGTAGAAGGGAAGGGAGGGTGGGGCGGAGAAAGAAACTCACTCAATGTGACTGTGGTAGATTGATCATGCTTATTCCCCACCTAAGGAATCCATGCCTTTTGCTGTACAAATTTGCAGTACCCTCTCTCCATGGGTGGACTCACTCCTGGACTTAGGACATATTTTAACAATGGGATATTAGAACGTTAGAACTAAGCCCAGATTTTTCAAATGCCCTTGCCCACCTCTGCTTCCTCTTTTCCTCCTCTACAATTGCCCTGAGAACAGGGTCAGGCCAGCCTGCTAAGGAATAAGATACATCGGGCAGAGCCAGGATGCCCCAGGTGTCCTGGATGAGACCATTCTAAACCAGCTGACAGCTGGCTGACCCCAACCTGCATCTGACAGTCCATACTTGAGTAAGCCCAGCTGAGACCCAAAGAGCCACTCAGCTGCCTTACGGAATTGAGAACAATCATAAATATCATTTCAAGTCACTGAGTTTGAGGGTGGTTTGTGGCCATCAATGACTGAAAGAGACATAGCAGGTTATAGATCTAGACCTAATTCGCTGAATTCCTACTTTCAAATGAGTGATTTTTCCCCAATACTCCAGGTTTACAGAAGGAGAAACTGAGGTGCAGTGTGATTGAGTCACTTAAAGCTCGTAAAAATCCCAAGTTTTAAGGCAAAATCCTGCTATTGATTTTAAAGACTGAGTTAATCATTACTTTTCAAGAATGTAATCTAACAATAGTACCTACATTTTAGCATAAGATGAGATGCACAAAATCTCTTCCCATAGTTTCCAGGGTTCAGGAAGAGTTTAATAAATCCATATGTGAGTGAATGGCAGTGTGATTTTTAACTCAGCATCCTCCGCCCAGCAGGAATGGCTTCTCATTAATATTGGACCCTCCCAAGCTCAATTTTCACACACACTGCCTGCTCTTCAAAGTAATTAATGATTCCTCCTCCTTCACGCCTGCTAGTGAAGCCAGGCTTGTTGCTTTCCAGCATTCACCCCAATCATTCTCCTGCTGAACCTGAGTGGAGGTTCTCTTGAATTCACCTGGGCCCCAAAGTGGACAGGAAATTTGCCAGACACAGGGAGTGGAGAGATGATACAATACATGGCCATGATCCTGCTCAAGGATTCAGCCCACCGTTCAAGGCTTTGATGATTCACCTTTCTCTCACTTTCTCAGGCCCACACACCTCGTATTAGTTTCCTTCTCCAACTTGAGCATCAGAAGAGGTCCCTTGTAATTTCTAGGTATAATCCAAATGCCAGGCTCCAGTGCGTGGTCTTCCCTGCCCCAGGTCTCCCAAATTCATCTGTCCACACCCAACCCATATTTCAATATCTACCTGCAAAACAGTCATGAGTTCAGGATTGGTATATTTGCCCAGGAGGCAGTGCCCTCATACTTTCCAAATTCCCTCCAAGTTGCCTCTGGGACACTTTTGTTTATGGTACATGAGTTACAGTTTAGCACTTTTGCCATTTGCTCTTAAGATAATTGTTTTTGTGCTATATTTGAGGAAACCAAGACTTGAAGACCATGTCTGTAGCCCGTGTCATGATCTGGCGTTGGGTAGGTCTAGAATTTGAACCCTGAACCGTTGACATCTTTTGTCAAGTTCCTTAAACCCACATCCAGCATTTTCACCTAGCATGTTATTTGCAAGTGACTTGACACAAGGCCATCTGTAGGGGTTTGAATGACAGGGTCTTTATTAGGATGAAGGAATATCTTATTTGTGAGTTAGGTGGCTATTGGTGTAGCCTGACACTGAGCTTTTGCAGCAACAGTGTGGCCAGGTTTTACCTGCTTTGCTGCTCCTTGATCGTGGCTGGACTCTCTGCTTGCAGTCTCAGAAGCCATCTCTTTTCTCAGAAATCAAAATCAAAGCAAAACACAAACAATAAACTTTCATCTCTCACTTGACCATCTTTTCTCCCTGCTGTCCTACCTACATAGATCAAGCTGCCTCTTTGCCAGGTACTGAGAAGAAAGGATTCTATTTCGTTGGCCTACATTGTACCTACATAGCTGAAATGTTCCCAAACATTTCAGAGCAGTCTCAATCAAATAGACTTTCACAGTTTTTGCAAACATCCCAGACTGGTGAGTGCAAACGCATATAGTGCTTCAGGCAACTTATGTTGCCTTGCAATGACATATAGATTGAAAATGTTTAATATGTCTATTAATTGCTCCATAGATGGTGGTGACTTTATAAGAGCAATTTCATTCCATTGTTTGAAAAACATTTTTGAGAATTCTGAAGAAAACTAGCTGCAACACATGCTTTCTTTTAATTCTATATGCTGGAAACAAATCCTACCATATCACGGAATGATGACTATCCAGATTTCAGGTTTGCATCACATGAATGTAAAGCCTCAGCCCTCCCCCGCGATGTCCTTTTTATCTCATGCCCTAACTTTCCAAATACCCCAATACAAAGACTTTTATATATTAAAACCAAGCTCAGAGCAGATTTTAAGGCCAGATTAAGAAACGAAGAGTTCTTGAACCCCAAACATAATATCACTTTTGTATACATTATGTTAATTTTCCTTATATACTTAAAAAAACTATGAGGAAGATTATTCTTTCCAATTTGTTCATGCAGAACCTAGCCTCAGGAAATCTAAGTGTCTTGTATGTAGCCATGTGGCTTGTTGGTAGTGTGAACAGTACTCAAACCTGGGAAAATACAACTCCAAAGACCATGCTGTTTCTGCCCCAGTGCATTGACTGCCAGCTAGAGCTTTAGAAAGAAAGATACCTGAAAGAGGATTGGGGCCTGTGTCTGCCAGAATTTTTCAGGGAGGCAGAACCAATGTTAGATACATACACATACACATACACACACACAGTTTATTTATTTCAAGGAATCGGCTCTTGCAATGGTAAGGACTGGCAAGTCTGAAACCCATCGGGTAGACCAGCAGGATGGAAGCTAAGGCATTATTCTTCTCCAAGAAACTTCAGCTCTTGCTCTTAAGGCCTTCAACTGATTGGTTGAGGCCCACCTACATTATAAAAGGTACCCACCTTTACTTAAAGTGAACTGATTGTATATGTTAAACAAATACCTTCACAGCAACACCAAGATTCATATTTGATTAAATAACTGGGTATGGTAACCTTGCCAAGTGAAAAATAATCATCATAGGGCTCAAATGGCAGAGCCTAAGTTCATGACCTTCATAGTAAGTCCCTACAGCTTTAGGATAACCTCCAAAAGACTACAACTATATCTGGTCACATATATGTCAAATATGCAAACAAACTAATCTCAAACATTACTATTCATACATTTGAACACTTTAATAAGAAATATTTTGAGCATCAACTTAGAACATCGGCATGGTTTTTATATTGTAAATACGAAGTTAAGGAATGCAGAATTATAAGATATTCTTTTTCTTCAGGTAAATTGGTTTAATTGGAGAGATAAGAAAATTAAGTTGAAGAAAATTTGGCTGTGTATTTTTTAGTTGAGTGGTATGGTCTCTATGGTTAGTGAATAAAATCTGTAATTTACCTTCTTTTTAAATTTGTCGAGGCTTCCTTTATTACTCATCACATACTCAAAATATTAAGAAGGTTTAATAAGTGTTTTAACAGAATTTATTTTGATCCAGTAAATATATATATGTGTGTGTGTGTGTGTGTCTGTGTGTGTGCGCTTGTGTGTGTGTGTCCAAGAACCCCAGAACCAGATTTATTTTGGTCCATTTAATATTACGTACATATTCAATGGACCAAAATTAATTTATTAAATATTTATATATGTATATGTGTGTGACTGTGTGTGTATATCCATGTATATGTGCATACATATAGACATTATGTAATCTGTGTGTTTTATTCAGCATACTAATTGTGTTAGTCAAATCTTCCATTTCCATATTTATCTCTATTTCTATTTCTGAGAAATGTTAACATCACCTACCGTGATTATGCATTTTCACTTTTTTCCTTGCCTTTCTAATAGTTTTGCTTTATATTTCCAAGCCTATGTTGTTATCTGCATAAAGGTTTATGCCTATTATATCTTCTTAGCATACTGTATCTTATTTACATAAAATGTATCACTCTGTCCTGTGAACTACCTTCCATATTAACTTTTTAGCATGTGTTAATAGTTCTATACAAATACATTTTATTTTTATCTGATATATATTTTCAAGAGTTTTTTTCAAATAACTCTTTTGCTCTTTTGTTTTAACTATATTAAATACTATCTATAAGTAAAATTTTCTTTTTATATTTTCTTTAACTCAGCTCCTTTCTCTTTCTATGATAAATTTAGTTTGTTCACATTTTTTGTGATTATGGATATGTTTGGATTTATTACTCTGATTTTTCTTTTCTTTGTACTATATTTTGTTATTTCTTTTTGGTTTCCATTTTTTGTCTTTTATGTTGTTTTTTCTACATATGAATTTTTACACTCTTCTGCAAAAATAACTGATTATTGTAATATTTTGTGCATGTCTGCTATGCCCTAGTTCAATAAATTGTTCACAGAAGAGTGGAGCATAAATTCTGAAGCCTGCTGGTACCCTCAGAACTAAGTTTCATGAATGAACTTAAGAATTGCTAAGTTCCCTGAAACTCAGAGAGAGCATTGAATGACCTCATATCTTAATCCTTCCTGTATTTATGCCGTTTGCAATGTGATTTTTGAACTCTTCTCATAAACGGCCAAGGTTTCTTCAGCCATGTGACTTGCTTTGGCTCATGAGTCAGAATTTGTCATACAAGCAAAGATCTGAAAAAGTATTTGCTCATTTTTGCTTTTTTATTACTCCTCAGCCTTTGTTATGAGAACATGCCCAACTGGACTAATAGAAGATGAATCACCCAGAATTGTATTTTACCACTTATTGTAGGTGAGGCTGCCCCTGATCAGCTGAGAGTCAGTGACCCTCACACAAGCAAGAGAGCCATCCAAAGCTAGCATAACTAGAAATAGAATAATTATTTCTAGAAAAGCTGCATTTAATTAGCTAAGTAAATGCTTATTATACCAAAATACTAGGATTGGAGTGGTTTGTTACAGAGCATTTTTGTAACACTTGATGACTGATACAGTGTGTATGTGAGAATGTGGATTTTCAAAAGCTTGTGCAATAATCAGTGTCTCTAAAACTATCAAAGAGGGGCATCCCAATGACTAAAAATGAACTTAGAAAACAATGTTATGATTTTTATGAAATTGTTCCTAAGATAAAGTAATACATCTTCAGATTTTAAAAGAGGAATGGGAAAATTTCATAATCCCCATAATGCTCTGTAAGGTACAATTTCATAACCCAATGTTTTCATTATGGGCTGAAAAGGCAGATATTATACCTTTTTTCAAAATAGCATGTATTCTTGAAATTTTAACTCATTAAATAGTGTGGTTTGGGAAGTGGAACTTCTGAGTTTAACTACAGAAGTTATTTTGAAGTGTCATAACTTGTGGGTAAATTTAGGATTTCCACATCTTCCCAATGCTAAGTATAGGTACTTGGTTTCTTAAGACTGAAGGAATCTCAGGTAATGAATTGTGTATGTCTCCATTTGCTCAATGAGCACTGATTGAGTGCCAGGGGCTGACAGGCCCACTGATTATGGGTTTCACCTGGTGGTAACCTATACCCTCTCCAGGAAGCTGCTGTGCCATATATGCCCAGAGTTATGTGACTCAGAGAACACTGCACCTGGGTCTCTACTCCTTTCCAGGGCTGTCTGGAGTCATCACCTGCCTCCAGGCAGTTATGAGTATTGCTATTTCATCCATAAATACTTGTCCCACTATGTCTCATCTGGTATGAGCACTGCTGATTCTCCTTCAAAACATCTTCCGAGGAGGCTTCTTGTCTTTCTGAAAAGAACTAAACACTCCCTCCTTTGGATTTTATCTATGCCTCATATATATTTATTTTACTCAAACATCATACCAACTAAACTTATTGCTCATATGTACTCATCTGCCAGTAGTCCATTAACTTCTTAGAAAAAGTGTCTATAAAATGTTTGCTTAAAACAGTAAAAGCATGTGCTTGATAAATTTTTGTTAAGCTAAGCACCTGCCTGTGTGTGCTAAGCTACAAAATGCAGAAACTATAGGACTTTCCTCTCCTACAAGCCTCCAAACTTGTTTTCTAATTCATTAAAATGTGAAAAATGTCAATTAAAATGAATTTAAAGAGTTAATATTAAGTTCATTTCTCTGACACCAACCTAACTCCACTTAATCAGAGCCTCACAAACAGAATCACCTACAAAAAACACAGCATTGAAGGAGCATAGTCTGGACGTACCTTACATGCTTCTTCACTTCCAAGAGGTAAAACAATATTTTTGGAATTATGATAAAAATTATACACTCACACACACACGTGCATACAGAGAGTATTATAAGTCTCACTGATTATGGGTTTCATCTGGAGGTAACCTGTACCCTCCCCAGGCACCTAATGCACCAAATAGGACCAGAATTATGTGTTTCAGAAAGCATTGTGTCTGGGTTTCCCCTTTACACCTTTCCAGGGCAGTCTGAAGAGAAGGTGAAGGATGCACAATGGAGGGGGGTGGGTAAATAATCTCATAAGTGTAAACCATTTCATAAGAGTAAACCATTTCATGAGAGTAAATAATTTCAAATATTTAACGTATTAGAAATTAAAAGATAATAATAATAATAATAATAATAATAATAATAATAATAATAAATACAATAGTGAAATGCTTTTTGGGAAAAATTCAACAGGAGTCTCCCAATGTACTACAGTTAGGAGGGAAACCACAACAACAAAAACACATGGTGTTTCAGCACCATGGACAGTATCACGTCAGCCCCAGAACCCAAACGTTCTAGCCATACTATGACTATAACATCTACAGCTCCAAATTAAATTTGCTACTGTAGTGGAGAATAGAAAGGAGAGATAGCCTTCACTTTGTGGCCATTTGACTATCCATATCAAAGTCAGGATACCTTTGAACCATAAAACTGAGTCTACAGCAGACATCAGGATATGCATACAGCTGTATTCAAATGGCAAGAAAAAATCTGTCATTTGAAAAATCACTGATTGTTTGTTACAGGGGCTGACTGTGTATAAGGTCTACAGTTAGACCTTCAAATAAGCAATGGATTCTAGATCATTTCAACACAGTGAGTGAAGCATTGCACAATCTCCATGTGGAAAAAAATGTTGACTATTAAAACGTAAGTCAAAATATAATGAAAACATAGTTCAGAGAAGAAAGAGAGAAGCTGGGCTGAAGAGCAGGTGAAGGCTGAACAAAGGAGGGGGGTGAGCTGGGATGCAAGAACATGGCAGGATTTGGAGGAGTGCTGCCCATGCACAGAACACATCCTATGTCATGAGGACCATGGCAAGAGATGGAAGGAGAGGTGTGCACTGCTAAGACAAATGACTCCTTCTTTCTGGTGTCTATTTTCCTTCGTCTTAATTTGGACTAAGTCCTTAGATTCTACTTCATCCTCATTCTCACCTCCTTGGATAACTCTCCCACAACAAGGGCTTGATTTTCCCCCACCAACCTAATTGCCCCTCCTGCCTGTAAATCAATTGATTAATTTATTTATTCAACAGATGCTTATCGAGCACCTACTATGTTCCAGGAACTCTCCTAGTCCTTTAAAAACCTCCCAAGCCACAAGATTGCCTTGTTTATTATTTATTTATTCACCTCTTAATTGAATAATAGCTTAGTTAGTAAGACTTGTGTTATGGAATTATAAGTGCTATAAAGTCTAAGTGTTATAAAGTGCTAAGTGTTATAAAGTCTGCCATCAAGGAACAGACAGTCAAGACAGTTGGGGACACAGGTATGGAAAGGTAGTCATAACACAGTGTGATAACTCACTTGAAAGAGAAAGAAAGGGTGCTACGGGAACTCAGAGGAAAACCAACTCCATGTGTTGAGGATTCTGGAAGGTGCTTCAGCCACCACAATATTGAGCATTTTACATGTGCTCAAAATTCTGCTAAGTGCTCACTTTTTAATACTCATAACAACCTCATGAAGTTGACAATAAAAGGGGAAACTGAGGCTCAAAAACGTTCCACTCCCCCTCCAAGTCACAGAGGCTGCACATGGCAAAACTGGAACTCAACCTCATTCCGTTTCAAGTCTTTTTCAACTCAGCCTGGCCCCGTTCCAAGATGCTCCAGAGGGGAATGCATTTGAGTTGAGCCTTGAAGAATAAGTAGGACTTTGTCATGCTGCCACCTGTGAAGTGGCAGGGATGTTGAGGAAACCAAGCCAAGAGAGGAGGCAGAGGGACTCTCACCTGGGGATGAGCAGCCCCTGGCTTCCACCCTCAGGGGGTGTCTCAGTGTTTCTGCGATGAGGACTCAAGTGCCCCAGGGTGGTTTCTGTGGCAGCATGGAACCCCTGGGTGCCCTGAACCATCTTTGCCTGATTTTTCTTCATAATTGGACCGGCTGCTGCTGGCTGCTTACCTGATTAGTGGGTTCACTAACCCAGCAGAAATGGGATCTAAGAGGATTAAAATGTGAAAAAAAGGATAATACAAATTGAAAACAGCAGCTTCTCCAGCCGAGCTTTGGATTAAAAGTTGAGAAAGTGAATCAGAACATTAAAAAATGTGAAAGACGAGGTTAGAAATGCTGATTGAAACAAGTCTTTTTGTAGCCCAGCCTCCTTGCATGCTATTGTTTCTCTGTTTTGTACCAGTTCTACAGGGAAAAGTACGAATGCCTCTGTCTGCCTTTCAAGTGCCTCTGAAGATCTAGGGGAGCCTGGCTTTCTGCCCGCACTTCCCACACGCCCTCTCTCTGCTCCCCCTTCCCGGTGCCGGTCTCCTCCTGCATTACCTTTTGAATTTTGCTCCCACAGGTTCCTTCCCCCAGAATTCCCAGCTCTGCTATCATTATTTCCCCACACCTACCCTTCCCTCTTGCTGAACGCAGCCTCCTTTGAAAGTCTTCAACAATCTCCCAGTTGAAGTCATCTCCCCATCCCTGAAGCCTGTTGCACTTTGTCTGTCTTCTCCAAACCTTGGCATTTTCATGCCTCCAAATAACATGATTTATATCCTTTCTCCCATGGTGAGCTGTGAACACAGAGGGCTGAACAACACCTCACTCCATGAAAATAGCCTTATACTGTTATCTACAAAAGTCCTTTTTGTATGAAGGAGTGAGGAAATGAGTCAATGCGTCCACACAACAGTGAACAATCAAGGCACTGCTCCATGGTGCTGCTCCTTAGCTCAAAGCCCCTTCGACACAAGGCAGCCCCCAGGAATGAGGCTGAAACTCAGCATCCCTGAGAGACTAGCTGGCCTCCCTCTCTTCCCCTCCTGTGCCTCACCCTCCTCCCCAGACCCCCTCCTCTGGCTCCAACAGACCCCAGGAGAGCCTGCCACAAGGACTACTACACCAGCCTGATTTAGCCCCTTCCAGACACCACCTGCCTGAACTCACAATCCCAGTGCTTCTTCTTTCATGGAAAATAATACGCATTCAAGGTCCAGTTTATGTATCATGTTCTTCCTGAAGCCTTCCCTGATACGTCTATGGAAAAGAATTCTTTTTTTCTGTGCTCCTTGCTCAAACCCCTTTTTGTTGCTCTTGTTGTTTTGGTTTTTGTTTGCTTTTGCTTTTGTTTTTGTGATAGGGTCTTGCTCTGACTAGAGTACAGTGGTGTGATCATAGCTCACTGCAGCCTCAATTTCCTAGGCTCAAATGATCCTCCAGCCTCAGCCTCTCAAGTAGCTGAGACCACAGGCACACACCACAACACACAGCTAAATTAAAAAAAAATATTTGCAGAGATGCCTTCTCACTATGTCACCCAATCTGGTCTTGAACTCCTGGCCTCAAGCAATCCTCCTACCTTGGCTTCCTAAAATACTGGGATTATAGGCATGAGCCACCCTGTCTGGCCCACGTGTGTTTTATTACTTTTAGTACTGTATCAGAATTTCTGTGGCTTTGTTTTGTGTGTGTTTGTGGGTTTTGCCATCTACACATCTATTGCCCACACTGAAGATAGGCTCTTCAAGACTCAATAATTTTCCACTGTGGTGGTTGTTAACATTGATTAAGCTCTTGCTATAGGTTAGGCCTTGTGTTAACATAAAAGATCCTATAAAATCTTCACAGCAAGAATACCAGGGTGGTATCATGCCCATGCTCCCTTTTGAAAATGAGGCAAGCAGAATGTAGAGTCACACAGGTAGCGAGAAGCACAGAGGTGCTCACCCTAGACTGCCTGGGCCTATGGTCTGTGCTTGTAGGCACTGCATTGTGTGGTTTGCCTCTGCAGCTCTCCCCAGCACAGTGCAAAGGGTGCTTTGCTGCCACCACACATTTGTGGAGATGGAAGAACAACCATGATCAACTCAGTAAGCTCTTCTCAACGTGTACCAGGCACCAAGTACCTTGCATCACCTCATGTAATCCCTACAACATCTCAACAAGCAGAGTGCTATTGTTTCTCTCTCTTTAGAGATGAAGAAGCCAGGGTTTAAAAGAACCTAATTCATTTGTCCAATATCACATGGCTGTATGTGTCAAAGACCACACCCAGACCCAGGTCCTGCAGGCTCCAGAAATGAGATGTTTATTATTCATCAACCTAACTGGGGCTGCAGTTTGTTTTTGCCCAATTCATAGATAATTCTATCTAATTATTTAGGAGGTTGTATAAGTCAATCACAACTTGACCTCAAATGACACCGCAGAAGCTCTGCTCACAGCTGCCCAAGTCATTCACCAGAGGTGAGGCACCCCTCTCTGAAGCTGAATGCCCTGTCTCAACTCTAAGAGAGCCTTCACCCAATAGGAGAAGGTGTGCTCACTTGCACCCACACACAGAGGAAGGCCAGGACTCACCTACGCCTGGGCTTACAGAGCAAATTCAAAGTGCAGATACTGTAATCCCAGCACTTTGGGAGGCCAAGGCAAGTGGATCACCTGAGGTCAGCAGTTCAAGACCAGCCTGGCCAACATGGAAAAACCCTGTCTCTACTAAAAATACAAAAATTAGCCAGGGCGTGGCCACACATGCCTGTAATCCAAGCTACTCGAGTGGCCTTTATGGGAAGATGCTTTCCGTCAAAACGGCCGATCAGTTCAAAGAGCTCCTTGTATTACAGGTAGGTCAGTGTGGCTAGAGATGAAGGAAGAAGTTAGGAGAGGAGCTGGGGCCAGTCCCAGTAGAGTACGTTGGGCCAAGAAAGGAGCTTGGAGTGTATTGGACTTGCATTGGGAAGGTGTTGGAGGTTGAAGGTGGTGGGTGATAAGGGTGATAGAGAGCATCTTTGGGGGCCACAAGGAGAAGGACTGGAGGCCGATGTGAGTAAAGGAGACTGGGAGTCCAGGGAAACACTCATGGGAGTTGAGATGGTCGCCAGGAGTAGGGACTCCCCCGGGTCACGGGGCCAAGTGATGAGATTCTGGGACACATGCTGGAAGCAGGGCCAACTGTAGCTCCTTTTGGCACACCCAGATGAAAGCTTAATCCACCCTCACTGAGAAATAAAAGACAAAAGATTCCTGCCTTCTGCAGTAGTGAAATGTGAGGCTGAGGCCCTCTGTCACCAATGAACTCATGCAAAGGCACAAATAATTTCATTATACATTGTTATATCTCAGAGTCATGGTGTAGAAAGGGCTCTGGAGATCACTCATCTCATGTCCTCACTTATTCCTTAAATGCAAGGCCATGTCCTAGGGGAAAACCTTCCCATGTGGCAGAGCAGAGACCAACCTGAGTCAGATTTTCAAACTGCTAGTCTGATACTTGGTTTACGATGCTGTCAAAGGGGCATGGACACTAAGATCTCTGAGCAGCCCAAGACTCTGTGTTCTATCCACTCCTTGACCATATCATGTATGCCAGCCACGAACTCGACACTTGCTGAGCATATGCAACTACCACGTACCTGCCCTGTGGTCTATGCTGGGGCACCTGGAAGGAGGGCTGGCCTGGCTCTCACCCCCACTTAGCTTTTGGAGGAGTGTCTGTCGCTTGATCAGTGGGGTCATGCAGGGTGGTCATTTATGACCTTCGACATAACCAATGACACAGGACAACAGACACAGAGATTCAGCAACCTGCTTATTCTCTACAGTGTGTCCAAGACAGACACTGCTCTGAGGACCAAAGAGAAGCCTGTGCAAAGTATCTGGTCAATGTTCAAAGGCTCTGTGGCTGTCAGCGATGCAACAGGATTTTGAAAAATTCTATCCTCGCCCAGAGTTGCAGCCTGGGGCAAATAAGTCAGGCATACGTACTGAGGTCAGAAAGGGAGAAATCACAAAGATCCCAGACTGCACAAACGATGCTTTAAGATGTCCCAGTATAGAAAGGCCAGGGGCTAGGGTGAGGAGAGGAGGAGAGAGACAAGGAAGGAATGAGGAGGGGCAGGACATGGGAATGAGACAGAAGGGGAAAGCCACAGCAGTTGCAGAATGTACTCAGAGTGAAAAAGGAAGAAAGGTAATTTGAGAGCCCTGGCCTCCATCTGCTCAGACTCTGAGGATAAAAGCAAAGGGAGGATTAGGTGACCTGAGGAGGGGCCGCAGCAGGGCCCTCTCACCCCCACAAGTGCACCCAGGATAAAAATGCCATTTATTAGCCCCATGCATGGTAATTATATTTAATACTGACCCTGATTCCTTTTGTCTATGGTAAGTAATGAAAGCTGCTCTGTTTGAGTTTGAGGGCTTCTAAGTGACCCATTTGCAACTCCTACTTCTATCCCAGGCTTGCAGTCAAAATAGGACAATGGGAAGCCATGGGCATGAGCATTCAGGTTGTGCATGTGGCTCGCTCTAAGAGAAGTTTCTGAAGCTGCATAGTCTAGTGTGGAAAGGAGATGCATGTTTAGAATTCAGGATGTCTAGGGTTTTAGAAAGGTAATATGGCATGGACATCCTATGTAACGGCCTCCATCAGGGTTCCAGAGAGGCCTCCTCTCCAATTCCCACTGTTCTTCTCAGAATTCATCACCAACTGACATGGTAGCTGTGTTTGTTTAAGTAACTCTTGAGAACATGTGGCCACGAGGCAGAGATTTTATTTTGTGTGTCATTACTTTATATCTGTGTCCAGAACAGCAATTAGCACATGGTAGATGTTCCATAAATGTGTGAAGGATGAATCGTGTACCGTCACCTCCTAAGACTTCAGGGACTTGGAGATCAATAACATATAACTGACTCAGTATGGCTTATTACAAACGATCACACACGGATCATGCGTGTGGAGCACTTACCATGTGACACATCCTGGCCTAAGCACTCTCCTTGGATTAAATTTATTTCATCCCCACCACAAAATGTTGAAGTTGCTTTTGATGTTAATCCTCAAAACTGGGGAAAGAATACAGAAGTGGCTTGGTCAGGGCCACACAGCTAGGAAGCAGTTCAGGGGGCCCTCACTCAGCCTACCTGACCTCAGACCCCCCAGTTGAGGACTGGAGGAGGCACTGCGACCACAAATCAAGTGACTGTGGCGGAACACAACAAATGTTCCCTTGAACCACAAATGAGGAGACAAAGCCCTGCATCCAGGGAGTGGGGCAGGAATGGAGGAATCTTGGTGGAGAAGAGCAGCCACAAGCCTGTGACTTTTGCATCCTCTTTTTAGAATTCTCTTTTCTCAACTGTCATCAGGGTGCTTGGCAGTACCTGGACTTTCTCTGCCTCCCTCTCTCAGATGTCAATTCTACATATGTGGGTCTAATTACAAGACAATTCACTCAGTTTTCCTCTGCTTGGCCTATGATAAATCCCACTTTTGCAACAGTTATGTACCGGGCCTGTATTAATTTCTTTATGCCTATTCTTCAATGCAACCTTTGAAGCAGGGATTGTTACCACCGTCATTTGGGGAGGAGACAGAAGACAGGGGAGATGAAGGGCCCTGTCCCTGAGTCTGCACTGAGTACAAAGTGTGTATCCTCCTAGCTGGCCCCTGCTTCATGCTCCAGGTGCCTTCAAGCATTCCAGCAGTGGCTGATGTCCATCTCAGGCGGGCAGTGGGTGTTCCCAACCTGTCCACTTGCATCCTCTGACAGCCACTCACTCTCCACGACCTCCTTTAGAACAATTTCATGCCTCCAAAAAAATAGATGTTGCTGTAGGATATTTTAAGTAAGTTTTTCTTCCAAATGCAAAATTAACACTCACTATTGTAGAAAATAGTTAAAATCAGAAGACTGTAGATATAAGAATAAATATTCTGGCATCTAGATATTATCATCGACGGGTTTTTAAAATAGTTTTCTCTTCACTTTGAACACTGTTTTTGAACACCGATAATATCATGGTGTAGATAAATGCAGATCCTACTGTTTTCATCTGAAACAGAGGGCAGAGAAATATCCAATATTTCAACATATTTTGTTTGTGTATTTCATCTTTATTCATCTATATTAATAGCATAATACAATATATGAATGGTATTTAAATGTTTTAGAAAATGAAGCTTTCTCTTAATTTTGAATGATTTACTGATGGCAGATTTTTCAGCCTAATAGTTGTCAGAGGTAAATATATATATATATATATATATATATATATATATATATATATATATATATATATATATATAGCTGTTGATACATACCCTAAAGCTACTTGTTAAGACCTGACCATGCCAGCCACCACCATGCTGAGGGATTTATCAATATTACCTCATTTAATCAGCACAGCAGCACTCCGGGAGGGCAAAGTCATTATGCCTATTTTACAGGTAAAGAAACGGAGCCTCAGAGGGGTCCACCATGTGCCCATGTCATACAGTTTTCAACTGGTCAAAATCCCTGAAGCCTGCCTGTTCTTAAACCAAACCTAGGCCGGGTGTGGTGGCTCATGCTTGTGGTCCAGGCACTCTGGGAGGCTGAGGCGGGTGGATCACCTGAGGTCGGAAGTTCAAGACCAGCCTGACCAACATGGAGAAACCCCATCTCTACTAAAAATACAATAAATTAGCCGAGCATGGTGGCGCATGCCTGTAATCCCAGCTACTTGGGAGGCTGAGGCATGAGAATTGCTTGAATCCGAGAGGTTGCGGTGAGCTAAGATCGTGCCATTGCACTCCAGCCTGGGTAACAAGAGCGAAACTCCATCTCAAAAAAAAAGGAAAGAAAACAACAACAAAAACCTAACATAATCTAGATGTGGTCCCTACCCAAATCTCATGTTGAAATGTAATCCCCAGTGTCAGAGGTGGAGCCTGGTGGGAGGTAACTGGATCATGGGGGTGGATCTCCCCCTTGGCCCTGTCCTCACAATAGTGAACGAGTCCTCGTGATAACAGGTTGTTTACAAGTGTGTGGAATGCCCTTCTCTCTCTCAACGCTCTAGCCATGCAAGACATGCCACTCCCCTTCACCTTCCACCATGATTATAAGTTTCCTGAGGCCCCCTCAGAAGCCGGGCAGATGCCAACACCATGCTTCCTATATAGCCTGCAGAACCATGAGCCAATTAAACCTCTTTTCTTTGTAAATTATCCAGTCTCAGGTATTTCTTTATAGCAATATGAGAATGGACTAATACAAAACCCTTATCCTGCTTTCCAAAACCAGTCCCATTCACGTACACTGTCATCTGTTGTGGACGAAATTACCTTAGCTTGTTTGGACCTTTCCAGCTGGTTCCCTTAAATATGTGTGTTGCGGGGGGGATTTTTTGTAATAATATATTTTATTAGCCCTTCTTTGTCTCTGGTCAAAAAAATTACACTGGACATATTAAGGATGGAGGGTGGAAGGAGGGAGAGTAAGAGAAAAAATAACTACTGGGTACTAGGCTTAATGCCTGGGTGATGAAATAATCTGTAAAACAAACCTCTGTGACAATAGTTTATCTATATAACTAACCTGCACATGTACCCCCGAACCTAAAATAAAGGTTAAACAATAAAGAAAAAACAATAAAGAAATGCAATAGTAATGCTAACGTACATTCTTTGAGATAAGATCTCACTCTGTCACCCAGGCTGGAGTATAGTGGGCTCACTAGAGCCTTGACCTCCCCAGGCTCAGATGGTCCTCCCACCTCAGCCTCCCAGGTAGTTTGGACTACAGGTGCACTCTATCAAAACTGGCTAAGTTTTGTATTTTTTGTAGAGACGGGGTTTCACCATGTTGCCCAGGCTAGTCTTGAACTCCCGGGCTCAAACGATCCACCCACCTCGGCCTCCCAATGTGCTGGGATTATAGGTGTGAGCCACTGCACCAGGCACTAATGTACATTTCTATAGGCCTCTAACTTAGAACATTTTATATGCAATCTTTACTTCCATTCACTAAACAACTTTAAAGGGAGAATGGTTAGCCTCATTTTCCAAGTTTCCCTTTGACCCTTCAACTGGTCGACTGCAGTCCTTGACTCATGTCCTCAGCCTTAATTCCTCCCCACTAAGCACAACCTCAACCTTCAGTGCAAAAATAATTAGGAATGAAAATGTACATTAACACAAAAACCTGGACATGAATATTCACAGCAGTTTTATTCACAATATCCCCAAACTGGAAACAATTCAGAAGTCCTTCAATAGGTAAATGGTTAAATAAACTCTGATACATTCATACCATGAAATACTGCTGAGAAATAAAGAGAAATCAACCACTATTTCAGGCAATAGTGTGGATTAATCTCAAAGGAGTTGAGTGGAAAAAAGTCAAAACCTAAAAATTACATACAGTATGATTATATTTATATAGTGTTCTTGAAATAGCAAAGTTATAGACATGGAAAATCAATTAGTGATTGCCAGGGTTTAGTGATGGGGGAGATGGGAGCAGAAGGGAGATGGGCATGGTGTAGTTATTAAAGGTTAACATGTGGGATCCTTGTGGTGATGGCACTCTAGTATCTTGACTGACATGGTGCATACATAAATCTACGGCATGTAATAAAATTATGTAAGAACGAGCTGAACGAAATGTACACAAGCATAACTACAAGTCACACTGGGGAAATGTGAATAAGACTGGTGGACTGCATCAAGGTCCATAATCTGGTTATGATATCATGGGATGGTGTTGCAAAACCCTGCCATCGTGGGAAACTGGGTAACATCTACACCAGATCCCTCTGTATTATTCTGCACAACTGCTTATGAATCTGAAATTCTCTCAATTAAAAAATTAATTAAAAATAAATAAATTAGAAGGATGAAGGGATATGAAACATTTTCACCCTCGGTGAAATTGATCTGGGTTATTCATTAGAATTCTGTTAATTTTAGGGGTCCCAAAGCATCTTCTCTATTGAATCTCCTCTTGGGGAGAGACTGAGAAGTGGTCAGAGTTTAGAATATATGTCTATTTTTGAGTGGGAATCACCCAGCCAGGAGCACAGCATGATTGGAAGGTTGAGGTCACAGTTTCCCCCGCTTTCTCTCCATCCCCGCCACCCACCCCCGCCACCCCAACTGCTCACAACCTTGAATTCGAAGAGTTTTAACTTGAAAGAAAGGACAATTTTGCTCCGATGTTTTCTAATTTTGCTGTAACTGCTACCAGCTGTGAGTTAATGTAGACCATATTCCAGGAGGCATCCTGAGGCCTTTTTCATGTTTTCCAGTTGCCTGAGAGCTGACATGGTTAAATAAGTGGAGAGGGTAGGCAACACAGAGCCTGGTTTTATGTGCTGGTTTTCCAAGCTGTGCGGGTTCTCATTTCAGTGTCTTAAGACGCTGGAGGTGAGCAGATTTCTGGCTCTGGGTCCAGAGCACCGCGGAGGACTTGGCAGGACACTGGTTTCTGCTGTTCAGCAGTCAGCTATGTGCGATATCCAGATTTGAGCTGTGGGGAGCTGCTCTCATTAACCTTGGTCGATCTTCCTGTGTTAAGTTGGGAATGTCATAAACACACCAGGCCTAGAGAGAGAGAAAGAGAAAAGGTGAGAGAGAAAGAGAGAGAGAGATGCTACCTTATTGTCCAAGAAACTCCAGAAGAGGGTGGTTCATCTCTCTCAGAGTCATTCATTTACTGTTTTAGCAAAAACTAGGAACCCACTATGGGCCAGCTCTCCCGGGGATTGGCTCTACCTCCCAGTTGCTCCTCCATTTCCAGTGGACAAAACGCATTCACATTTATGTCAAGAATTCAATCTCAAAACACCACTTTAGGGCGGTCAGTGTTAGAAGCACTATCCTATTATTTATTTATTTATTTATTTTTTTTTTTTTTTTTGAGACAGGGTCTCCCGTTTTGTTGTGCAGGCTGGAGTGCAGTGGCACAATCTCAGCTCATGCAGCCTCAACCTCCCTGGACTCAGGTGGTCTCCAGCCTCAGCCTCCTGAGTAGCTGCGAACACAAACACTTGCCACCAAGCCCAGCTAATTTTTGTAGTTTTTGTAGAGACAGAGTTTTGCCATTTTGCCCAGGCTGGTCTCAAACCCTTGGGCTCAAGCCATCCACTGGCCTCCGCCTCCCAAAGTGCTGAAATTCAGGCATGAGCCACCACACCTGGCCAGCAATGCTATTTTAAACAGATGAAGAAAGAGATCCAGAGCCGTGTCCCGTGCAGGACCACACAGTACAAAATAACAGATCTAGGAGTGGAGTTCACGTGTTTCATAGGCAAGATGCCCTCAATTATACCGTTAGAAAATGTATTGGTAATTAAAAATTAAGCCCTACCTGGGAAACTCCAGTACAATAAATAGAAAGGCCAGGAGGAGAGACTGGGAGCACAGGCAAATAGGAGACATCTTCTCTCATGGGAAGACAGTGCTTCTACGGCCTCCCAAGTAATTTCACGTCATCCACAGAAGGACTCCCCACCACAGAGAATATTCCCCTCAATCTACAGGTGATAAAACTGGGGCTAGTAGAGGCTAAATGTCTTGGCCAAGGTCTCAAGGAACATTAAAATCCAGATCAACTGATATGGAGTCGCAAAGTCTTCACAGGACATTCTGCTTCTATCAAATAATCAACGGGCACTTTGAGCATGCACTTAATGCTTTGCTTTCCAGATCAACTGAACACACCTGTTCTCTCTTTTTTTTTTTTTTAATGGAGAGGCTAATCCCAACCACAGGGCATTAAAGATGCCATGTGTAAAAAGCACTAAGCTGGGCCCTGCCGGGCACGCGGAGCTGGGGTCGTTCCCTCCAAGTTTAGGTGGCCAAGCCCAGGTGGATGTGCAGGTGCGCATGCGCAGCTCGGCCTGGGGGAACAGAGCGGGGGCGCTGGTCCCACCCTCCTGGGCGCCGTGGGAGGCACTGGCAACTCTTCTCCTGTGTGCTCAGCTACCTCCAGTCGACCTCTCAGACCCAGCCAGCCCTGCCACTTCAAGCAGATCTCTGCTTCTCTTTTGGTGGTAGCCGTCCTTGGTCCTGGCCTCCCACGCCCATCCCGGAGGCCATCTGAGGGCCAGGAGGACCGGGACAGCGGCTGGTCCTCCCTGCCAGCGGCTCCCCTGGGGCCCGGATCGCAGCCCCTCCACACACTCCACATGGGCTCAGTGAGGAGCCGGGCCTAGGAAGGCAGCAGCAGCAACAGCCCAGGGCGACACAATTCCCATGGGGTCCCTGCAGTGCCACCCGGCCCTCAGGCCCCCTTCTCCATCCCCTTCCCTCTCCCTTCCAAAGTCCTGCGGGCTCCTTCTTCTTCTTCTTCTCACCCCCCTTTCCCAGGCTGTGTTCTCTCTGCCTTTTATCCGTCACCTTTTTTCCCCCTCCTTCCCTCTCCTCCCTGCCCCTCCTCTGTGTCCCTTTGCCTGGGCTGTGGCCTCTCCCTTTTTCCTCTGTCCCCTGGTCTCTGTGTCCCGCCTCCATTCATGGTCTCAGCGCGGCCTCTCTAGTTGCTCCGTCTCCTGTGCCCTCTACTCCCACCCCCCGCCCCATACACATTCCCTCCCTGGGGGCTCTTTCCCACTGTACAAGGCAAGGCCTTTCATCCAGAGCGGCCTGACCTCTGCACAATGTTTGCTTTGTCCTGGGGGTTTGGAGCCAAATGAAGACAGGGGCACGAGTGTCCCTCTCAGCCCTGGCTCGGCCTCCTCCACTGGCCCTCATTGTTCTGCTGTGTCTGGGAGCCCAGCCCTCCACAGCTGCCTGACCCAACCAGCTCCAGTCAGCTTCACATCCCACAGAGAACAGGGAGCCAAAACTCAGCAGCAGCAATGCCTCCTGTCTCATTAGTATTATTTTAAGGATCATCATGGTCCTGCTGCGTGGAGAAATCTGAGTGGACAAATGGGCAGGCAGCTCTCCCGAGGAACATATATCTCCAAAACATGCATAAAACTGAAACAGACCATTAGGTGTTGCCCTGTGCAGTCTACAATTTTCCTGATGAGTCAGGCTCTGTGCATTTGGGAAGGAAGGTCACTAGCCCTAGCCCCATGGGTACAAGGCTAGTGATATTTATATCACCTGGAATAAAGTAAAATAAATACTACATGGAGGCCAGAGATTGTAGTGAAGAAAGCTGAAAAATATTGTGATTGTCAGAGACGCGTGGAATACAGTGTGTCGGCGGTGAGCCTTAGATGATCCTGTCCTTGGTCCGCTCAGGTGAAAGCTAGAGAAATGGAGTGGCCCAGGACACCATACTCTAGTGGGGACAGTAGTAACCTGCACCATGTCCAAAGAAATGTGCTTAGAAGGGTATTCTTCAGTGCTCTTCTTAGGAGAAAGCTCCATGAGGAGGGGGGAACAAGCTTGCTCTGGGTAAGTCAATGAAGCCAATTTATCAACTCATTCACCAAATATTTATTGAGGACTTTGTCCATGTCGAGGGTGAAGAGCGGCACTGGGGATTCAGTGGAAAATAGAAGACAAACAGCCTTTGTCCTTATTCGGCTCAAAGCCTCCACAGAAAGATTCCATTGAACACGTGCCAGCTAAAATTAGTGGGTTCAGGGAGCAATGGGACCCCATGGCAGGGAGTGAAAATCAGAGAGACATGGTTTTTTGTTTTTGTTTTTTGCTTTTGGTTTTTGTTTTTGTCGCCCAGGCTGGAGTGCAGTGGCGTGATCTCGGCTCACTGCAATCTCCGCCTCCCGGGTTCACGCCATTTTCCTGCCTCAGCCTCCCGGGTAGCTGGGACTGCAGGTGCCCACCATCACGCCCGGTTAATTTTTTGTATTTTTAGTAGAGACGGGGTTTCACTGTGTTAGCCAGGGTGGTCTCAATCTCCTGACCTCGTGATCTGCCCATCTCGGCCTCCCAAAGTGCTGGGATTACAGGCGTGAGCCACCATGCCCAGCCAGGAGATGGGTTTTAATCAACCCAAGGAGGAATGTTCAGACAGTCAGAGGCATCCAAAGACTCTGTGGGCAGCATGTGAGGTGAGGAGCCCCCCATTAATGGAGGTGTGTGTGCAGTGCCTGCATAATCTCATGACAGACACTACCAGGAGGGGCAAGCCCCAGCCAATGAAGTTAGACTGGATGAACCTGAAGATTCATTACAATTCTGGTAATTTCTGAAAATTAGGGAGTATAATTACTGATTATTGTCATTATATAAGTTCTAATAAAACATCTGCCTTTAATAGAGCTTCTCACCTGGGAGGCACAGACAGTGGGATAAGGCTATGTCCAGCATCAGACAGACCTGTGGTGTATGCCAGCCACATTGGCTTTGTGAGCCTTAGCTTCCTACATTATGTAGCATAAACAAGGTGACTATACCAATTTTGTAGCATTTTTGTTATGATTAAACAAGATATACTAATATATCTAATACATTATAATATATTACATATAAATATACTATTTATATTTATATAAATTTCATGTATTTATATATATGAAATAAAATCTAACTCAGGTTGAGTATCCCTTATCCAAAATTCTTGGGATCAGAGTGTTTCAGATTATGGATCTTCCCAGATTTTGTAACATTTGTAGTGCTGGCTTAGCATCCCTGATCCAGAAATCTGAAATCCAAAATGCTTTAATTTGCATTCTATTTGAGCATCATTTTTCAGATTTTGCAGCATTTCAGATTTCAGGTTTTCAGATTGGGATTGCTCAGTGAGTAATATATATGCATATTATATATTATTATACATAATGTTATATGATAAAGTGATAGAAATCTCTACCATGGTACATGACACTTAGTAGGCATTTGATAATGGGTTGTTATTATGATTTATCATTATTATTACTATTATCTCAGTACCAGAGTCACCGTATCATAAAAAGTATAAGCTTAGAAATTATTTAATTTTATATTACTATAGATTGCAAAAAAATGTAATGGAAAAAATTTCCATTCACACTATCAAAAACAACATATAAAAAATCTAGGACTAAAACTAATGTGAAATGTCTGAGACTTACATGTTGAAAGCTAGAGTTGTCTAGATTGTTCCAAAAAAAAAAAAAAAAAAGACATGAATGAATGAAGAGACACACTGGACACAATACCATGGATAAGTGAACTGAATGGTATAGAGATGTTGAGTCTCCTCAATTTAGACTACAAATACAATGCAACTCCAATCAAAATCTCAATAGAATGCTTTATGGAAATTGACAAGATAGTGCTGAACTCCTTCAGAAAAGAAAATGTACATGAACTGGCAAAGAAAATATTTTAAATAAAGAATAATGAGAAGCTTAGCTTGCCCTGCCATAAAAATGGCTATCAAGCTACAATAACTAAAACAGTGCCATATCAGCCCAGGAAGAAATGAAGGGAGAAATATAAGAAGAGAGAGAGGAGTTCAGAATTGGTGCCAATTATGTTTGAGAATAAAATGCATAGCAAAGAGGGCATTTCAAAACAATAAAGGAAAGATACCTTATCTTTATTCAAGGAATGAAGTTACATTTGGTTATCTATTTGTAGAAAAATAAGCAAATGCCTTCTGCAAAATACATCCCCAAATAAATAATTTTTGATGGATTTGTTCATTCACTTTAGAAATGTTTATTGAACATCTATGCCTTAAGGCCTTACTAGGCACTTGGGAGCATGGTAGAGGATGAAACAGACAGGGACCCTGAATTAATGGCTCCTACAGTGGGGAGCTAGACAATAGACAAGGTAATAAAGATGTTACTGTGAGAACTGCTAAGAAGGGAACCAGTCAACTTCCATGACTGAGAAGATTGGGGTTTCATCAGAGAGGACCTTGACTCAGAAATGCAGGGTGGAGTTTGAGGCAGAAGAAAAGGCATGTGAAATGCCAAACCCAGAAAAAGGCTTGATGTGTCCTAGAATCTGAAGGGAGCCTGTTGGCCTGAACATGGTGTGTGAAGGCAGGAATGTCAAGACATGAGGTTACAGAGGTAAGCAGTATTAGAAATCTAAACGTCAAAGGGACAAGGAAGAAGAGTAGAGAAAATCATGGCTGACTCTGCTCCCCAAGAGAGCAGAGGTGGGACAGTCTTCCTAAGAAGAAAGGAAGATGTGGGAGAGTCTTCCTAAGAAAGATGCAAAACCCAAAAGCCATGAAACAGATAATGTTATGGTTTGAATATGTCCCCTCCAAAATTCAGATGTTGAAACTTAATGGCCAATGTGATGTTATTAAGAGGTGGAGGCTGATATGGTTTGGCTATGTCCCCACCCAAATCTCATCTTGAAATGTAGCTCCCACAATCCCCGTGTGTCATGGGAGGAACCCGGTGGGAGGTAATAGAATCATGGGGGCAGGTTTTTCTCATGCTGTTCTCATGATAGTAAATAAGTCTCACGAGATCTGATGGTCTTATAAAGGGCAGTTGCCCTGCACATGTTCTCTTGCCTGCCACTGTGTAAGACATGGCTTTCCTCCTCCTTCCCCTTCCACCATGACTGTAGGTTTCCCGAGGACTCACCAGCCATGTGTAACTGTGAGTTCATTAAACCTTTTTCTCCTTATTTCTTTACAGCAGTATGAAAATGGACTAATACAGGGGCTTTTTTTTTTTTTTTGAGATGGAGTCTTGCTCTGTTGCCCAGGCTGGAGTACAGTGGAACAATCTCGGCTCACTGCAACCTCCACCTCCCAGGTTCAAGTGATTCTTCTACCTCAGCCTCCTAAGTAGTTGCCTGGCTAATTTTTGTGTTTTTTGTAGAGACAGGGTTTCATCATATTGGCCAGTCTGGTTTCGAACTCCTGACTCTGTGATCCACCTGCCTCAGCCTTCCAAAATGCTGAGATCACAGGCATGAGCCACTGCACCCGGCCTAATAAAGGGGCTCTAAGAGGTGATTGGGTCATGAGGGCTCCTGCACTCCTGAATAGGATTAAGGCCCTTATCAAAAAGACTCTGATATGGTCTGGCTGTGTCTCCATCCAAATCTCACCTTGAATTGTAGCTTCCATAATTCCCACATGTCATGGGGGGGATTGGTGGGGTGGGAGATAATTGATTCATGGGATGGTTTCCCCCATACTGTTCTCATGGTAGTGAATAAGTCTCATGATTGCTAGGCTTCCTCAGCCGCGTGGAACTGTGAGTCCATTAAAACTCTTTTTCTTTAGAAATTACCCAGTCTCTGGCATGTCTTTATCAGCAGCATGAGAACAGACTAATACAGGCTCCAAGCAGCATTCACCCTTCTAACTTCTGCCGTGTGAGCACACAGTGTTTGTTCCCTCAGAAAGACTCAGCATTCAAGGCACCATCTTGAAAGCAGAGACGGAGACCAGGCCCTCACCAGACAGTGAACCTGCCAGCACCTTGATCTTAGACTTTCCAGCCTCCAGAACAGTGGTAAATAAATTTCTGTTGTTTAAGCCATCCAGTCTATGGTACTTTGTTATAGCAGCACACATAGACATAGACCGAAATTCTTCAGCAAAACAACTACTACCACCATTACACTTTTAGATGACAGAATTCTCCATAAACAAAGTTAAAAAATGGAGAACATGTTTGCAGCACGTCTTAATGAGGATCACAATATTATTAACGGTGAGCACCCATAGAGCACTTGATACATGCTTTACAAAAGTTAGCTACATATAGTCCATGAGGCAAGCACTATTGTCATCCCCACTGAACAGATGAGGAAACTGAGAGACAGACAGAAGTCACTTGGTCAAGATTGCTCAAGTAGGTAGAAGGACCTGATCCCAACCCCAGCCGCCTGGCTCCAGAACCCATTTTCCTCTCCACCAGGCTCCGCTGTCATGCCAATGCCACCTTTCTGTGTATTTAATTCGAAACAAAGATGGCCAGTGGATTCATTACCAAGAGTCAGCCATGGGCCCTTCCATGGTATTTTTATCACACGTGAACCTGTCCTGGGCAATGGGGCCCAACCCTGGGCCTCCCTCCAGGATGAATGAATGCTGCAGCCCAGTTTCTGGCTCAAGCCCGCATGGTTCAATTCTAGGACAGGCAATTCTGATCGATTCTCTCCTGCTGTCCCAGCAACAGCTCGGGCTCCCAGGCCACAGGGCCAAGGGCTCAGGACTCCCAACAATAAGGTCTTCCATGCCAGAGAGGCTGTTTTCTCTCCAGATCAGGTTCCTACCGCTGAGGAGCCTGTAACTCCTGTCCTGGGGGAATTTTCCCTCCCGTTCTCAAGTTGAGCTTTTTACCTCTTCAGTTTTCAAAACATCAAACCTTTGATCCCCTGCCCCATCAGACAAATCCAGCTTAATTGCCTCAGTGGGCCCAGGCATGGAAATCAAAGACCTGTTTAGGGAGGGTGCCTGCCACCTGGCGTGTTCTCCTCCCTGGGCCTACAACGCACAAAACCCTCCCAGCCATGGGATTAGGGAGGGCCCAGACACCAAGAGCAAAACCTGGCACCATGCCTGGTAGAAAGAGAAGCCTGAGGGTGGAGACACGATTTGGGGAAATATCTGTCATTTCTTTAAGGAGTGCCTACAGGTAAGAAACATAAAAGTTACTTTCTCAATAGATTATTTTACTACATTAATAACTCAGTAAATTATAAAGCCTCTTTATAAAGTTAATACAAAAGGGCAAATGAGAAAGGAAAAAAATGTCCAAAAGTTATATATAGTCAATGCAAGGAAAGTAAACACAAATAGCCAATAAATTTATAAAAAAGATTAATAGGCCTGCTATTAACCAGAGAAATGAAAACTTAAAAGTTGTGGTACAATTTTCAACCCTCTGATTTACAAATAATTTTTTAAAATGCAATTGGCAAAAGTTTTGGAAAGCAGGCACTTCTTAACAAACTGGTACTGGTACTTAACAAACTGGAAGTGAAAACTGGTACCATTTTAAAAGGGCCATTTTTTATAATAAAGGGCTTTTTTATAATAATTTAAAACATACACATACTGTTGACCAAGAAATTGTATATTTTATAATAAAAGGGCTTTTTTATAATAATTTAAAACACACACATACTGTTGACCAAGAAATTGTATATTTTGTAATATGTAAATACTCATGCATTTAAACAAGTATATTTAAAATAATATGCAACTTGGTATACAATGATATTTTTAGCAATGTTTGTAAAATATAAAAATGTTAAAAGTAGGATCAGTTAATTAAATATAAACTATGGGATTTTCTTTTTTTTTTTTTTTTTTTGCTGCCATTAAAAAATGTGCCTCAAGCCAGGTGCAGTGGCTCACGCCTATAATCCTAGCACTTTGGGAGGCTGAGGCAGGTGGATCACCTGAGGTCAGGAGTTCAAGATAATCCTGGCCAACATGGCAAAACTACATCTCTACAAAAAATACAAAAAATTAGCTGTACGTAGTGGTACATGCCTGTGATCTCAGCTACTCAGGAGACTGAGGCAGGAGAATTGTTTGAACCCAGGAGGCAGAGGTTGCAGTGAACTGAGATCGTACCCATGCACTCTAGCTGGGGGGGCAACAGAGTGAGACTCCATCTCAAAAAAAAATGTGCTTCATGGAAATTGGCATAGAAAGACATTCGTTATGTTATTCAGGGAAAAAAACTAATAAAATTAAAATACATACAGTGAGAAAAGCAATTTAAAGGAAAATATAAAATATATACTCTTGAAATACATTGATATATGTGCATCCATCTATGCATTGATGAATGCAAGTGTATGCATTATATTGCATGTGATATGATATATATGCAGATATATATCCATGCAATTAAAGCATACATAAATATGCTTATTTATTCCTACTAAATATATGCCAATGGAATATCTCTGTTTCCCAGGTATTTGCATATCTCTGTTTCCCAGATTGATCTTTCTAGAAGGGTATAGAAATATAAATACGGGCAGCTCGAAGAGTAGAAGAGGGAAGAGTAGAAAACATAAATAATGAAAGACTTTTCCTTCTATATGTTTCTCTATTTTTTTTTCATTTTTGCAATCCGGTGTTACTTTTTAACTTTAAAAAAATTTTATAAGCCGGGTGTAGTGACTCACACCTGTAATCCCAGCACTTTGGGAGGCCAAGGCAAGGGGATCACGAGGTCAGGAGATTGAGACCATCTTGGTTAACACGGTGAAACCCTGTCTCTACTAAAAATACAAAAAATCAGCCAGGTGTGGTGACATGTGCCTGTAGTCCCAGCTACTAGGGAGGCTGAGGCAGGAGAATTGCTTGAACCCAGGAGGCAGAGGTTGCAGTGAGCCGAGATCGCACCACTGCACTCCAGCCTGGGCGACAGAGTGAGACTCCATCTCAAAAAAAAAAAAAAAATGTTTTACAGAGTCTACTCCATTCCCCTCTGTGAGGACGGGTGCACTGCACAGTTCTCATACGTGTCCACGCATGGTGCACATAAGTGGGTGTCTGCCCCCCTCCCAGCCTCTCAACGGTCTCAAAGGGTGCAAGCCAGGTCCTCATGAGCAGCCTTTTCCATTCTCTACTAGCTGAGTTAAAAGAAAGTTCTTCCCTTCTACAGAGGTCCTAGGTCCCCTGCCTGTGGGCACCAGGTGTACACAGCTGTCTCTGGCTGGAAATCAATGGTGCATGGACTTTTGAAAGCCCTTATGGAAGGTGGAGTTGGGAGCATTACTTGAGGACATGAAGAACGTCCTGATTCAGGACAGATTCCCCATGTCAACCTAAACTCTGCAAAAATACAGTTTTCTTACTCAAGCCTCAAAGCCAATGTCTACATAAGAAATGCCCACTAGGAGCTGGTGGCTTCTGCTTCTGGAACACTGCTTGGAAATTTCTAATCCACTCCCTGTTTTGCCTTCAGGCAGGAGGTGCAGACCGTCCTGTTTGCAAGACCTCCACAAGTTCAGTAACACCTGCTCACGGGGTCCATTAGAACCACAGGGCATCAGCTTCACAAGGTGCAATTGGGAAGTGTCTCAGCATGAACAAAGTTGCTTCTCATTCTACAGGCAGTGAATCTTCCTGCACAATGTAACTGCCTGAGGGGGCTTTTTAAAACACACATCTCATCCCGACACCCCTGCTTCAAACCTTGCGGCCCCTCGGCCCAGCAGTTCACCGCTGTTGCAAATGCAACCTCAAGTTCAGTCAGACTCCCTCACATACCCCTACATGTAGTTCTTTCTGTCTGCAAGGCCCTCCTCCCCCAGCATTTCCATTTAACCCTCATCTTGCTTGTTTAAGACTCACTTCAGATGTCATCTCTTCTGGAAGTCTTCCCTGGCCCCAGCCTCCCCAGGGTGGATTGGTCCTCCTCTGTCCCCTGCAGCTCTCCATCCTGCCTTCTGCTGCCTTGCTGGTCTCAACCACAAGATCAGAGGCTCCATGAGGATAAGTCCCCATCTGCTTCTCCCCATCTCCCCCATGCAGCCTGGCAACTGCGTCTGGCATATCCTTGTTGAATATGTGAATGAATGAATGAATAAATAAATAAATGAAAAAAATGAACTCACCCAATGGAAGGAAACACCCATGGAAATCAGAAGCAACTTACTGAAAATACAAACAGATACCAAAAACATCTTTATAATACCAGAGGACTCCAGTTTGCACACCATGGAATAGAGGAAGCCACAGGTAAAAAGGTATCACCGGGCAAAATCAATTAAGTTTCTCTCTTCCCCCTGCACCCCTCTCCCTGCACCTGTGACTTGACTGTTTCCTAGGTTTCATCCATGGGTTCCCACTTTCCCCATTGCTGGGCATCAAACTTACTCAAGACACTTGGGGTCTCCCAGGAACTTAAAGGTTACAACCCTGATCACTCACACACTCCTGCCTCTTCAGATCTTGGATTAAATCGGAGGCATCAGAACCCAGTATTGACTCTGAAATCAGGCCCCCATTCTATCCTCCGAGAGCTTGTGGTCCTGTGGTCATTTCACTCCACATTCCTGGACTCACTGAATATATCTGCCTGTGGTTTCCCCTGGACAAAAGAACACAAGACAGAAAACACACAAACCAATAAATGCCTTCATCAGTCACTGTCCTCAGGAATTTCACAGTCTATGGGGGAAAAGAGACAGGTAGACAGAAACAAGCTAGAAAAATAGAAGCGTGGACAAGATGGCAGGGAGAGCAGAAGGACTCACTCCAGCTGGGAAACTGCAGGAAGGAAGTGTGTGGGGTGAGCTAGCTGTGCAGCCCATGGGGAAGGAGAAGAACAGCAGGCAGAGGGGAGGGCCCAGTAGGCAGAACAGAGCCAGAGACATGAAGTGTCACGAGGTGCATGGGGGGCCAGCGGGAGGCTCCACGTGGCTCAGGGTCGGGTAGCAAGGGCTGAGGTCAAAAAGGAGTCTGCAGAGGGCCACATGGACACAGGCTTCGGGTGGTCATCCACAGGCAGTGGATTTTAATCTCTTTTTAAAACAACCTAGAAGGAATTTAATGGTTAGCCAACCTGAATGTCATTCAGCACCGGTAATGTGTTAGTGCCAAATAATCAACATCACCCTGAAGAGTTACCAGAATGATGATAAGGAATTCCATGTACAGAGTCAGAGCCTCATGGGAGGACACCTGTCATAAGCCTTGGGCTGGTGCTTATTTCTTGGCACAAGCATTCACCATACATTTCAAAACGGAAAACAATCTTTTGAAGTTCTACACTTCAGAAGTAATGTGAATTGTGACTCCAGGTTTAAGATATTACTAAATTCCATGTAATCATCATTATCCTGTGTATAAATATACACAGACCACAAAATAATTTTCACATTGAAATGAATTTTTAAGGGAACGTTTCAGGTAAAATGACATAATCTTCACATTTTGGAGCCTATGACCTTCTGTGTGTTTGATTTTCCAATTCCAAACCTCTCTTTTGGTGAATTGCTAAATTGTCTCGGTAAACGGATTTTAAAACCTAGCTTTGAAAACTACCAGCTAAGTCATCTCAAATATCTGTTTTATACCTACACATATATTTAGCGGGTCTTTTTTCCTCCTAAACTCAACCCCTGTTTAAATGGAGAGTCCAGACTGATTGACATGGAGGTTACTGAGTTTACTCACCTCTAGAGTAAGATGTGATGGTAACAGGTGGATGAACACACATTTTGGAATTCCTTGCTGAATACTGTTTTTTTTGCGGCACACAGAAGAAATAGCAGCATTAGGTGTGCAATAAGAACAGGTATTGCATAAATTATTCCAACATTCAAGATTCAACAGAAACAAAATGCATTTTTTTCAAGCACTTTAAACTTCATAAACTTGGGTGTACATTCCAAAACATTCAATCCAACATAGGATGTACTTCAACTGATCAAAATGGTTTTGAAGAATTACTTGCTATCTAAGGGACTTTGTTACTTACAAAATAACTTTTCTAAAGATCTGTTTGGCCAGCTATAGATAGAAAGTACGCAGAAAGGGAGAGCTTTGCTTCTAAAAGGTTGAACTTCAAAAGAGTTCAGACATATTTCCTATCAACATGGTTTCCAGCAAACTTTTCAAACATGAAGGCCGTGACTTGGCACTGAGGTCCAGAGAGAACTTCTTCTGAGATGGCTTCAGTGCATTAGAGTACTTGGTCATGTGGGGCAGGTGGGGGAAACTAAATTTAGGGTCTAAGTGGCAAATGCACAGGCAAGAACTTCACCAGGGTGAGCCAAGTGGGAAGGGGATGCCAGTTAGAGGGGAGCATTACAATGGCGAGGTTCCTAGAAATTAACAAGACACCTGTGCCTGTTTTGAGAACATTCTCCTTAGCAGTGACTCTTTGCTTCTAGACTTAGACTCAGGTCTTTCTCAACTGTAGGGATATCTCATCTTCAGTATTAATAAGCTGACTTCTTGAACAACCTAGCAACACAGCAATGCACTAAGACTCAGGAAACGAGTACTAAGATCAGGAGCATCCCTGGAGGATGCCTTCTCTCTGCCCCCACCCCAGTTTTCTGGGTGCCTGCCTCTATGGAAGGGATGGTACTCATGGCCAGAACTCCAAGTGTGACACAGATGTCTCCTACATCCTGGAGCAGAGTAGGGCAGAATTTGGGCTTACTACATAGATAACCTATCTTTTTTCTGAGCCTCGGTTTCCTTGTCTGTGAAACAGGAATAATAACAACTTCTGGAGAGGGCTCTAATGAGTAACAGATGAGAAGAAATGTAGGAAGTAGACTATAAATTATAAAACACTACTGAGATGCAAATTATCATGATTATTTATAAGGACCCAAGGGTTGTCCCAAGACGTGTTTTTTCCGCATCTCAGTTCTTCCATCTCTTCTTTGGGACACCTCATCTCCCCCTAAATGCCTCCCTTTGCTGGGATACAGCCTCCCCTGCTGGTCTCTAAATTAGCCCATCCTCCTAACACTTCTCCTTGAGAATTTCAATTCCTTTAATCCAGTGAAATAAGAAGTTCAGGCCATCATCTTCAAAGAATAAGAATAAAATTTGGGGACCAAAATTATACCCATTGGGACTGCTTCTGTAGAAATACTTTGGAATTCCTTTTCATGCCCTATTAAATAATTAAAATGTTTCTTTTCTGCATTCAATGTTAGTTATTTAAATCTTAGTCCTAAGCTCCATTAGCAACTTTATTAGCACAAAACTTTCTTTGCCAGTTGGATTAGTTTTATAGATTTTTGCATAGAAGGAATGTACGCAGACAAATACAAGTGCGTGGCTATGGTTAACATCCTACAATCCTAGGAAATAGGTTGAATTTAAGCTGACCTGACCAATCTCACTCCACTTAATAGCTTATTAGCTTAATCGGTGTCTTCCATTTGTGTCAGGAGCTGTTAGCACATCAAAATCTTTTGGTAGATTCCAGCAGATGAAAGTCACACCTCACCCTCCCACCCCATCCCAGAATGGATGCTCAATGTTAATGACTTGAAATTTCATAGTTAGGCAGAAAAACAGAGTCACAAAATCTTAGGACCAGAAGATAATCATATACGTAAAGCCACAAGGGCCAAGCAATAAACCTGATTTTGGCCATTCCTTCAGCCTCCCTCCTAGGCCATATTCACTCAAACTTCACACCTAACACACTCCCTCTAAGATAAACCTGGAGACCGAGGGAGTTGTTAGTGAAAGTCTAGTGTCAAGATCAGCATCAGGTAAAGAGAGAAAGCAACAGAGAGCTCGTGACGCCCACCCTCCAGAGCCAGTTAGGATGAGGGGAGACTGGCTGTGCATGTCCAATTCCCTGTCATGGAGGCCAGGACAAACCACGAACCATGAGGAGGGCCCCCAAGGCTGGGAGGCAGGGATTGTCTGGAGGCTGCTGCAGTTGAGATTCAAGGGTTGAGAACACAGCAGGTCATCGTCAGAGCCAAGAGAAGGCCAGGCCTCTGTGGGCCAGGCCAGGAAAATAATGGCCAAACAAATTGAGTGGCTGACGAGACTCAGCACAGAGCTTGTAGCTGGGATGCTGTCTTATGAGGGCAGTTCTTGGCTGCACAAAACTCCCAACAGCCTGGAGCTGGGCTGGTGCCTCAAAGAAAAAGGCCGAGGCTTTGTTTTCTACCTGAGGAGCCCTTGCCAGGGAGGCACACCTCCCCTTTCTCCCTGCTGGGTCTTACTGGCCATCCTCAGCGGTATCTTGCTCAGGGCACCGTTGTGGAAGTGGGGCTCTAAGTGCTCTTCATTTCAAGTAACATTAGCTTCCTTGTCTCTGCTTAGCTGAAGCTCCATTTTTTTCCAATTACACAGAGGCTGTCTGCATGGGAGGAGGTGACTGCCTTTGGAGCAAAAGGTGCTGAGAATGTAAGGAGAAGAAATTGCTATTGGCGTGTATGTCTTTGTTACAGCTAAAGGAAAACGTGGATCGGGTGATTGTACTCACACCTTTCAACACATTCCGTTCCTTTATTTAAACAGGGATGATGCCCTCGTGTCACTGGGAAGATGCTGGATGCTGGGACTGTAGGAGGCGTGCTCGCAGCATAGGCTGGCAGGGAGGCCAGGGAAGGTGGAGCACAAGAGGCCAGGGCTGGAGGTGCTGGCCAGGTGGTAGGGCTGGAGGTGCTGGCCAGGTAGTAGGCCTGGATGGGGGCAGGGTGCAGGTGCAACTCCAAGGGGCCCAGTAACCTCAGGCCAGACACATGCTGGGTGGAGGGAGAAGAAGTCCCGGGAAAATGGCCTGGAAGTCTTAGGAAGCATCTGTTTCCACTGGGCAACTCAGGAGGCAGAGTCTGCTGTGAAGCTGGGTGAAGAAGACAAGAGCTAAGCAGCATGTTGGGACGAACCAACAGGGAGGGGAATAGAGCCAGATCAGAGGGAGGGAGTCAAAGGCCACCCGGAGAGGGGCTGGGTGCAGAGCATGGGGCCAGGGTGTGACTGACCCTGGGCCACCCTGCCCAGGTGTCTGTTCAGTGTGCCAGCTTCTGGGAGTACCGTGGGCCCTTGCAGAATTGCCTCCACCTCAGAGGGCTGCTTTGAGCAAGGTCGCAGCTTTATTGGGCTGACTCCCACCCACAGGCTGGTCACAGGGGTGTGAGGGTGGGACAACTCAGCAGTCCTGGTGCCCGCATCTCAGCAGGACTCTTCCTCTGTCCAGTTCTGCTCCCTTCCTCCCTTCCACAGGTGATCCATGGTCCCTACTGAACCTCCACACACCACCTATCATCTCTCAGTCAGCTTACTGGGGAGCCCAAACCTTGATAGGTGAGAAGGAGGAAGTGCATTTTAATCAGGGTTCTGCAGTTCCCTGCTCAGCACTCCCTGCTTTCTTCCTCGGGCACTCCAACAACCTTATAAACTGGCAGCTTTGGATCCTGTTACTAAAAAGGGAGCCACCAGGGCAGGTGGACCTGCCCATGGTCAGACACCTGGCATGGGGCAGAGCTGGGACAGGAGGCTCCTGAGGGACTCCAGGAAGGCCATGGCTGGGCAAGACAAGCTGGCAGCTTGTTAAGGTGCAGGTCTCACTGATCTTCTGGAAAAGCACAACACAGGACACGAGGGCACTGGCTCAGGAACCCCAGATCTGAATTCCAATTCGCCACTGACCAGCTGGTAACCTTGGGTGACTTACTGAACTCTTCTGAGCCTCGGTTTCTCCACTGATTAAAAGGGGCTTAAATCCACTTAGCAATATTTTCTAAGGACTACGCCTTTAAAAGTGTATTGAAGTATGCAGCATGATGAAAGCTTCATAACAAGTGCTGAGAAAACAGTGGCTCCCCATCCCACTCCCGTCCAGCCCTTCAACTCCATCCCAGGGTTACCGCTCACCTGGGCTAAACCTGTAGGGTCCCTGTATCTGTGTCTGCAGCTGGGCAAGGCCAGGCTGTCCCCGGGAGCCCCACCACTTGCTATCTGTGTCCTATCCTCCTCTGTGAAGAGCACTTCCTTGCCTGCCCCTGCCCACTCCTGGAAGGGAGAAGGAAGTATTCCCAGGCAGACATATCTGGCTTCCAGCAGCCCTGTGCACGGTGGGCCACTCCAACCTCCCCCAAGCTGGCCAGCAATTCCTGCCCAAAGGCCCCGTCTGTGCAGCTGCCAGCGATGTCTTCTCTACTGCCTTCTCTCCTGGGCCCTGGCAACAGGCTTCCCTGTGAACCTGTCAAGTCTTATGCACTGAAAGTACTACACCTTGAAAGAAAGGTGATCTCCTCCTCAGAGCACAGTGGGAGGAGGGCCTCCATGCGGAGAAGCAGCCATCCTCGCAACTCCTCTCCTTGGGACCAAAGCCAGGCTCAGTACAGGCTTCAGACTCTCCCTAGAGACCATCAGGGATCATCTGCCATCTACCCAGATTATGGAGGCTCCAGGAATGAGGTTGGTCTTCATTTGTGGCCTCTCCATCGGAGAGGCCTAAGACTTGTGTCCCTGGAACTAGGACTGTGTGGAGCAGATGAACCCCTGAGCTGCGCTGGCAAGTGATCCTGCACTATGGAAGAGAATGGGCTGCCCCAGGGACTGCACAGGAAATGATCACAGGGCACTGAGCTCTGTTGTAGGCCTGGAGTTCCCCAGAGTGCTTCCTTCTCTCATAGACTCAAGGCAGGTAACAAAACCCCCAGTTTCCAGAGAAGAAAAGTGAGGCGCTCAGAGGGGCAAGGCCTCCTCACTTGCATGGCATGCACCTCAGGGATGTCAGATCCCCACACACTCACCCTTTCCACCATATCTGACATCTGTTTGCAGGGCTTTGCAGCCTCCAAAAGACTTCATTCATCCAGTGTACAAATTACCTTGACCATATCCCTGTGCGCCCATTTTAAGGAGGAGGAACCTGAACCCCAGGCCGTTTGGAAGACATCTCAGCATCACACGTGGGCTGCCATGTGTGCTAGGAGTCGGGTGCCCTGAACTTTTTCTTGCCCCTGCAGGCTTGGGCATCAACTCTTAGAGCATGGAGGGGGTTATGTGGTGGTGGAGGGCAGAGAGGGAAAGCCTCTCCAGACTTTTCTGTGGTCAGTGGGTCATCCAGAATCACAGCTAATATTCATGGAGCCCTTGACTATGCCCCAGGTACCTTGCAAAGCACTTGAGCTGTATTATCGCATTCAATACCCTCGATAACTCTGTAATGTAAATGTTATTCTTCTCCTACTTTACAGAGAGGGGATCTGGAATCAGAGGCGCTAAGTCAAGGGTCAACATCCCTCAGTGAAGGGGTAGCAGATGAGGGGTCTCACTCCACTTCCATCTGCCTCGGGCTGGGGATCTGAATCACCAACTTGCTTTCATCTCTCCTGCCTTTATCCATCCTGCTTCCTGTCCTCTCTCTCTCTCTCTCCCAATGTCTTCTCTTCCTTTCTTTCTTCCTCTTTTTCCTCTCATTTTCTTTATAAAGAGAATCTACTAGGTACAAGGAAAATCACGAACCTGCTGACAGCTCAGGGATTGCAGTTGCAATTTTTTTTCTATATGTAGATGGATCTTTTCTTAAATATAAGTGTGAGAAAAAGCTGTTCCCTGAGGGTTTATGATTAAAAAAAAAAAGAACAGAAATAACCTTTGTGCTATCAGGGCTGCTAAGTAAATGATGGTTTTAACGTGATAAAATATTAGTGCTTAAAATAATGGTCTTGATGTGTCAGTGGTGGTTTTCTCAGGGTTATGAATGTCTAGGAGATTTTCATTTTTTTCTTGAATGTTTTGTGTTTTTCCAATTTTTCTACAACAAGCATGTGGTAAGTTGGTAATCAGAAAAGAAAAAAAAACCTAAAATATAATGGTTATGAAGATTATGTAGGAACTCATGAAAAAAAAAGGTACTTATGAGAGACCTGTTTCTGGGATTTATGGAGCAGAATGTCGTCAGATAAGGTGAACTTCTGGTCTTGTAGCAGGCTGAACTCCAAAGAAGGGCAGAGTGGCGAGTAGGGAAAAATTCATACTAAAATTAGGCAGCTAGAGTAAACAAGAGTAAGGGCAGGGGGTGACTGGAGTAAAAACTAGTCAAAGTAGAGAATTACTTACTATCTAAAGGGCTTCAGGATAGATAGAGAGATTACTTTGCTATCTAAAGGTGGAGACTTGGGGAAGGAGGAAGCCAAGGGCCTGTTGAAAGTCAGGAGCTGTAAGAGGAGACAATAGCTTGTGCCAAGATCCGTCTGCTGATTATAATGAGCCTTTGAAGTACACCTCACCTTCTCTAGAGTGGACTGGGAGCCCCTGTCTCACCTCCCAGCCTAAGGTGCCATCAGAAAACTTTATCCAATAAAGAAAGTGCTGTTTCCAGAACATTCCAGCGAGGCTACTGCAGCCATGATGGCAGGTCTTCCACCATCACCAGCAACACTCCAGGGGGTGGGGCAAGAAGTCACTGCATATATTCGGGAAAGTGCTAGCTAAGAACATCCTAGTTATTAGAGATTATTGACTACAAATATTCTCTGTGCAAAATGCTTTCTTTTAGAAATGTCCTTATGTGTGGCTTTCAAGAAGGGGCTGTATCGCTTAAGTGCAGTGACCACATCACATCTTCACAGGGAACAGAGATGAGAGTGGCTGCAGCTTTCTTCTGTGGAGCTCCCGAGCTGCTCTCAACTGCTCCTGCAGGAAGCCGTGCCCTGGCTCCTCTCGCACCCTTTCCATCCTCTCCCTTAGTCACGGCGTCTTTCTGTACTCACTTCCCTTGAGATTTTCTTCCTGCAGGAAGCCTTGTGGACTCTCCAGCCTTGGGCGTCGTGTGTACGCCCTCACCTCCCTGCTCTTCCCACTGGCAAAGCCCTTGTCACGCAGCACTGCTCCATCTGCTTACTGGTCCCCTTACCACCACCCCCTTGTAGGCCATAGCACCTTGAGGGCAGGTGCTATGGCCTACAAGCACTGCTTCAAGCACCCAGCACAAAGCTTGGTCCAAAGTAGATGCCAGGTAAGTAAATAGAAAAATGAATGAATGAACGAACAGCACACATTTTTTCCTGCAAGGTATTTTAAGATTAGAACACTATTACCTAATCCAAGAATAGAAACCCATTTTGAAATGTTTGGGAAGATGTGCAGGATGGCATTTAGTTAAATCTGTTATGTTGTGTTTTGCTCCCTCTTACCAGCCTCAGAACTCACTGAAGGAAGGTCCTTCTTCCAGTTACTTTTGCATCCTTGCAGTGTCTAAGGTCTCAATGCATTTTTGTGGCCTGAACAAATGAACCAATGAATGTGTGAAAGTCACTTCTCCGGTTCCTTCCTGTAAAAGTTTGATGTTCTAAGGACCTTCAAAGTAAAGTATCAGAAAAGAATGTCACCTTTCAACAAATTGTGAACAATTCTGAAAAAAAAAAGGAGCCATCAAAGGACAAAAGGGACAAGGAAGTACCTCCCAGCATTACAAGGCATTACTGAAGCTAGTGTTGGCCTGAAATGCATGCTTTTACTAGGAATCTAAAACCCATATAAGCAAACCAGGGAGTGAGCTGGAATTCTAGGAAAGAAAGTCAACCCTGCAGTGTACAAGAGAGCACCTCACAGTTTCTGACAAATATCTTCACATCCACAGGAAACTGGTCTGCAATGTGGGACTAACATTTGGCAAAACCTCTTATGTAAAGCTCAGTTTCATCTACGAAGTGATGGTCTAGTGCCCACTGAAGCTGAATGACCCTGGACAAGTTCCTTAAAGCCCTAAAACTCAGTTTCCACATCGACAAAATTAGGAGAGTGGAAACAGCAGTGTCTCCCTCATGCATAACATAATGAACACAAAGCCAGCACGGGGCCTGGCATTGAGTAATGAGTCAACTTATTTAAATGTTTAAACTGGTTTGACTCTTTCATAACAATAACAGTAATTCTAACATCAGTACAGGCCAAGCATTGAGCAGGTTCTTTACTTATTTTATAATACATTTCTGCAACAGCACTATATGGCAATTACCATTATTCCCACTTTACAGAAGAGAAAACCAAGGTGCCAAGGGTTCAGAAATTCGCCAAGGGTTCAGAAATTCACCAAGTTTACACAACATGTAGTGGCTGGCCCGTAAATTAAACCCAGATGAAGCCACTGCTCTGTGACCACATAGCGAGTGGCAGGGGAAAGCCATGAGACAGGGTTGAGCTGAGGCAGAAGCTCAGAGACCATGCCTATCACTTCAGAAACAGTGTTCCACTGGAAAAACAGATGAGAGTTGTAATAAAATGGTTGATAATTGTGGCTTGTAAGGTACATATTCAGCAGCAATCAGTGAACTAGAATACAAATATAATAAGCTTTTAAGAAGCTCTAAGCCTAGGCTGGAAGGTGGGGCATGGTAATCACTAGGTAGGAGGCAGAAAGTACAAAGCACATGTTAGAAGCTAGAGCTAGAAAGGTGAGTAGGGTTTCAAATGAGGTTAGACAGGGAATTTGAAGAGATGGGCTTCAGAAGCCTGACTGATGATCCAGGTCAGAGCTGGAGGAGATGGGAACCAGGGTAAGAGGGTGCTGAAGAAGTGAGGTGGGGCCAGGGGAGAAAGCCCTTTGGAAAGTCAGCTAAAGCACTTGGACTCTGTGTTAAAGGTGATGGAGATCCCCAACATAAGCTAGAAATCAGCTGGCCGTGGTAGGAGGTTCTGGGGACGGCAGATATCAGCATGCCATGCAGAATTGCATACAGTCTCCTTGAACTAAGCCTCCTGCTGAGGCGCAGGCTCGGGGAAGGAGGAAGCCAAGGGCCTGTTGAAAGTCAGGAGCTGTAAGAGGAGACAACAGCCTGTGCCAAGATCCGTCTGCTGATTATAATGAGCCTCTGAAGTACACCTTGCCTTCCCTGGAGTGGGCTCCAATGCCCCAGTGTCGTTGTACACTGTGTTGTCTGAGACTATTTTGGGAAATCAGATTTGCAACTCCATGAGCTGGTGAACAACCTGCTACATGAGCAGCCACAGCAGCAAAACATAGCTGGGCCTGGTGGCCAGAGGTCACTCAGGCTGTCCTATTGTGCACAGCCCAAAAGGAAAGTCTCCCTGCAGGGACCCATTCAGTCATTCAGGCATCAGTGCCTGGACTCAGCATGCATTTACAAACTCTTATTTACTCATGCATCCATGCTTTCAGGGTTCCTTCACCGGATCAGCTGTTCATCGCCATCCACCGGTTCACTCCTGCACTCGTGTGCTCACTCTCTCACTCCTCAGTGCCTCGCCTGCTTATCCACATACTCCTTCCCTTCTGCGTCCTCTTGCATGCTATGAGACAATGTGGCTTGGTGGTTACAGGCACTGGCTCTGGAGCCCAGCTGGCTGGCTTCAAATCCCAGCTTGATCATTTCCCACACATAATTTGAGTGGCAATTAAACTGTGCCTGTGTTCCTAGTCTGTAAAATGGGGATAATCCTAGTACTTGATGTGCAGCAGCTGTGAGCACTGAACAAGACAATACATGTAAAGTTCATGTAAGGCCTGGAGCTGCAAGGTCACATTGCACAGGGACACAGATGCAAGGAAATGACCATTATTTTCCCCATTTTTAAAAATTGTGTTAAAATACACATAACGTAAAATGTATCATCTTAACCATTTTTAAGTGTACAGGCCAGTGGTATTAAATACACTCAAAGGTTATATGACTTTCACTAACACCCGTCTCCATAATAACTCTTTTCATCAAGTGGGACCATTTTTGCAGACAATCTATCCCAGATGCATTGGAGTCCTGTTTGGGACTCAAGGGCCATGGACTAAATCTTCTGAAGACAGCAAGTAAACATGGAGCTCAGGGCATGGTGTGCCCTTGAAAGCACAGCCCATCTCAACACATCCTCCTGGCACCATGGATGTACCTTGGGGTGAAATCACTACGTTTTTGTGTGAACTAGAAGAGCTAAAAAAATGGACCTGCAAGGTGATGACATTCCATTAACCAGGATGTTGTGATCAGAAATGATGTATGCAAGGAGTATAGTGCTATGTCAGATATGGAGAGTACAGGCTTAATAAATCACAGCTACCACCATCTATAGTATGACCCCCACAGGGCAGTATTTGATTTTCTGTTCCTGTGTTAGTTTGCTGAGAATGATGGCTTCCAGCTTCATCCATGTCTGTCCCTGCAGAGGACATGATCTCATTCTTTTTTATGGCTGCATAGTATTCCATGGTGTATATGTGCCACATTTTCTTTATACAGTCTATTACTGACAGACATTTGGGTTGGTTCAAATTTTTTGCTATTGTAAATAGTGCTGCAATAAACATATGTGTGCATGTGTCTTTATAGTAGAATGGTTTATAATCCTTTGGGTAAATACCCAGTAATGGGATTTTACAGGCCATTTTTCTATGATAGGACACCCCAGAATGCTACTTGAAGTGAGAAAGAGAAGGAGTACAGGAACCTTCATGGCCCGGATGGCTTACAGGAGAGTGCAGCTGGAGTTAGTAGCAGTGGACTACTCCAGGCCTAGGTGTTTAAAGCAGCAAAGCCAGCCATATGGCACACTCTGCTTGGAGCAATACCTTTGGATGACCTCAAGGGCTGTGGACACCAAAACCCTTCAACAGCATCCAGCCTGCAGAATTACAACCTGGCTTCTATCATTAATGGCTTGGAGGTGGTTGTGCTTGATCTGGTAAGATCGTACAATGGGCAAGGCTATAAGAGCCAGCAACAGGTCATGTGGCCTCAAGGGGCTCGTGGCCCTACGAGGCCACAGAAGCCAGTGAACAGAGACAAAGATTGCTTCATGGACACCTGTAAACATCCACAGGGAAGCTTGGAACCACCTGGGGAAATGAACCCTGAGCACCACAAAGTGGAGGTGACACCTGTGGAAAATGAGTATATAAATTTAAAGATCTCTAAGCTGTGCTCGCAAATCAAGGCAGAACTCAGCACACAGTAACACGGACAACACTAGCGTTCAATGACAGGTATTTTTGAGAGGATTGGTGCTGGATATGTATCTCTAACACTTTGAGGATGTTCTTTTGTGGGTAACATGATCCTTCTGTCTGCCTATGGAGGCTGTGTCAGAGGTGGACATTTTCCAAGATTTGGGCTTATTTTACCTAGAATTTCTTTAAGCATCTTAATTTCGTTTGTAAAATGGGAACTATACTCCATAACTCACAGGGCTGTCATGTGATCAAGTGAAATCATGGATTAAAAAGTGATGATTATTGTTCATATGGACCTACCACTGAACTTTTTCGTTATTATTACTTTTATTAATATTATTGTTATTAATTCATAATCTTCTAGCTGCAATTTTTCTTTAAAAGATGTTTTTCATGGTTCCCATAATAGAGAACAAAATAATATTCCAGTAATTATAAGGCACTTTGAGATCCTCTGGTAAGGGTATCCCTTTAGTAATCAGAACTACAGCAGATTTACATGGTTGAGGATATTAAAGCACATTAAATTCCATTATGGTTCTGATAGTGTTACTTAACATTCTCACACCTAATCATAAAGCATTAAAACTTATGGCCGGTTGCAGCAGCAAGTCTTTCCCAGAACAGGTTTCGAAAATCCTCATCTTCGGCCAGGTGCAGTGGCTCATGCCTGTAATCCCAGCACTATGGGAGGCCAAGGCGGGTGGATCACGAGGTCAGGAGTTCAAGACCAGCCTGACCAATATGGTGAAACCCCGTCTGTACCAAAAACACAAAAATTAGCTGGGCATGGTGGCACGAACCTGTAGTCCCAGCTACTTGGGAGGCTGTGGCAGGAGAATTGCCTAAACCCAGGAGACGGAGGTTGCAGTGAGCTGAGGTTGTGCCACTGCACTCCAGCCTGGTAATGGAGAGAGACTCCCTCTGAAAAAAAAAAAAGAAGAAGAAGAAGAAGAAAATCTTTGTCTTCATAGGCAAAGTTCTGTCATAGAGAAACACATCATTTAATGGACAACAATCACCACATCTCCTCCCCGTCTCATCCAGGCCAAACGATAGTTTGAAGCACAAACTACTAAGGAATTGACATTCACTCCCATTTCTTGCATGTCTGACTTCAAGCTGCTTCTCCCCATAGCAGTGGAAGTTAAAGTGGAAGGAGTCAAACCCCACAGGGCTCCACACACTGCATTTCGAGGGCCTGTAGCACCCATGTGTGAGAGAGGGGAGGCAGAAGGAAGGAAATTGGAGTCATGCCCCCCACACAGGCACACGACTTTAGTTTTCACTCATTTATTCGAACTTGCTTATTGGACGCCTGCTAAGATCTGTGCAGTCTTTGGGTAATGAGTGAGGTGCAATTCTTGCCTCAAGGAGACCTCAGAGTAAGGAAGTGAGGTAGAGAAACACCCTCAAGTGTCCAGGAGCTATCCAGCTTGTAAAGGTATTTAAATGAGCCACCTAGAATTGGGAGAACAAAAAATGAGCACCTCTGATTCCGGCCACTCAGTGCCGGAGCTGGGAGCTCCCAGAGAGAGGGTCCTATGGTTAAGGCTTATTATCCTGTGGCCGGCAGACTGCCCGGTCCCATTATTTGCAGGTGGCTGTAAATGGGACTGCACACGTGGTCTGGCACATGTCTTATCCTTGTGGTTTTGTGGTCACATGGAGAGCCAAGCTTCTCCCAGAACTCACCTTGCTCCTTACCCTTCCTCCAAGGGGACTGCTCCGGAACCACTGACTGTTGAAAAAACTACAGGGCTGTTACTCTCTAGGTTACTTAGATATGGTGGGCAGTGAGCAGCACGTTTTTTCAAAGTGCTCAGAAATTCTTCCTTTCTAAAAAACCATACTTTATTGGCCAGATAGGTCTGAGTTTGAACTATGATAATTACTTCCTAGTCCTATGCCTTGGAGTTTTATTTCTCTAAATCTCAGCTTCTTAATCTGTAGGAAGTGGTGATAGGACCACCCAGGAGGCAGTACTGTTGTGGGAATTCAGTGAGATATTGCATGGATAATGCCTGTAATATAGAAGGTTCTGGAAAATATGAGTTCCTTTTGGTCACCTTCCCTAATGATGAGTAGCCCAAACTTCACACAGAAGCTCTAAGTTTATATTTTATCCCCCCAAATAAAAGGCCAAACGTTGATTCCAGTGCCATCAGACCCTGAAAAGATTCTTCTTGGTTCAATGTTTACCCCATCCCTACATCTGACCCCATGGTTCAGCCACACCATTTTCTTACTGCTGTAGGATACATTTCAGGTCCACTGTCGCCCACCTATTACTTCTTTAGCCTCAATACATGTAAGTTTTCACCTTCAACATGATCCAGCCACACTAAACTGGTCAGTTCCCTTAATGCACACCTACTCAGTGTTCAGAGCAAGCACTTCTACCCCCACCACCACCTCTCTGTGCCCTACATGGCTCACATCACTCCACGCCCCTCTCTACCTGGGTAATGAGTTCTTATTGCCCTTACCTAAGTCTAAGATTCACTCAGCATAACCTATCGCATTTATTTCTGTCTCTCTTATGGCAGGAAGCTCCTTCATGATTACCACTATGTCTGATTGAATGTCTTTCACTTCCTGGAACCTGGAGATGCATGTGGTACATTGCAGATATTCAATACTTTCATATGAATGAATTAATGAAAACCTACTAGTCTTTCTTGCTAACAAGTGTCTTATTGTGATTCCAATGCCCACCATGTTTTTTGTCCTTACAATTCTGTCCCTCACATGCCATGATCTGATTTAGTCTACCAAACTGTCCTTAATTTCTTTATGTTATGCATCAAAAATTGCTTAAAATCAGATACATATCTTCGAATATCCTAGAGGAAAGCAAATAAGTGAAGAATACTAAACCAATATAACAACCACATTTAAAAATATAAAACAATAAATAGAAATTAAGAGAATTGGTAAGTATAACAATATCAATAATTGCAATAAATGTGAATGGGTCAAATCCCCCTGTGAAAAGATAGAGATTTTCTTATTGGGTTTTAAACAAAGGAAAATTTAAGAAAAATTCATTTATGTTATGTTTATAAGGCATGACCCTAAAACAAAATGACAGGGAAAGCCTGAAAACAGACAGATGGAAAAAGAGAAATCAGCAAATGCTTAAATAAAAGAGGTGAATGAAAATATATATCAGAAAATGTATAATCCAACTCAAAAATATTAAATAGGACAAAAAGGGATTTTAATATTATTAAATATTACACTCCGTCAAGAAGAATATTCACACATCCAGTAATAAAACTCCAAACTACATAAAACAAAACCTGTTGGAGAGACAAGAAAAAAACTAATAAATCCACAATCATAATAGAAGATTTTAACACATTCCTCCCAGATCAAATGTCACATCAAGTAAACAAAAAATAAGTAGAAATACAAAAACTTTGAATATACCACTAACATGCAGTGCCAAACAGAAAATACAAACCTTTTCAAATTCCTCTGACAGAGACAATAGAATTGAATACAGATAATGTATCAAATAAAATATCAATATATTCACAAAAGCAGAAAATAGGAAGAAAAATATCTGACTATAGTATTTGTATAAATAAGAACGATAGGAAAAACAAACTAAAAGTTTTCACATTGAATTGGAAATTTATCCCTCTGCATATGTCTTGAGTTACAGAAGATATTAAAACAGAATAAAATACATTTTAGAAATAATAAAATGAAAAAACTACAAAACAAACCCTTAGAGATATGACCAAAGAAATATAAAGGAAAATTTCTAGTCATAACTGCATTTATTAGAAATTGAAAGCTGGAAAAAAATATTGAGATTTCAACTTAAAATGCTAAAAATACAATAAAATTAAACAAATTAGAATAAAAAATTAATCAATTTAGAGGCAGAGATGTCTTACATAGGGAACAAAAAAAGGTATAATTAATAGATTCCAAAGCATATTATTTGAAAACATCAATAAAATAGTTAAAAGTCTTATCAGGAAATCTGAAATGAAGAAAAAAGAAGACAAAAATAAGCAAAATTAGGAATAAGAGATTATATAAAATCATAGAATCAGATGAAAATTTTTAAATGACATTATATACAAATTCATTACCTATAAATTTTAAAAGCTTAAGCAATGGACGATTATTAAAAATATATGAATTTCAAAATTAATGTAATCAACATATTTAAAAACTTCTGTTCATCAAAAGACATTAAGGAAATGAGAAGCCAAGCCATGGACTGGGAGAACATTCCTGATGGTACATAATATATCTGCAATATCTGTATCTACATCTGTAATAGAAAAAGAAATCCTAAAATTCAATAACAAAAATGGGCAAAGACTAGAACATACATTTTACAAAAGAAAATGTACAAAGAGCCAACAGGCACATGAAAAATTATTCAATATCATTAACCATCATAGAAATACAAATAAAACCATAATGAGGCAACACTACATGCCCATGAGAATAGTAAAGTTAAAAAGGATTGACAACAACAAACATTGGTGAAGATGTGGAGCAAACTGAATGCTCATACATTGCTGGTAAAAGGGTAAAATGGTGCATGACTTTGGAAAGCCTTTGGCAATAAACAAATTAATCATTTACCACCTGTCATGGTCAGTTCATGGTTAGCTCGGTCTGCTTTAACAAATTATCATAGACGGGGTCGCTTAAACAATCAACATTTATTTCTCGCAGTTCTGAAGGTTGGAAAGTCCAAGATCAAGGTGCCAACCTACTCTGATGACCACCTACTTCCTGGTTTTCAATAAACACCTTCTACTATATCCTCACGTATTGAAGAGAAAGAGATCATCTTTCTTTCTATCTCTTCTTGTAAAGGCACTAATCCATTCATGAAGGTTTCACCCTTATGACCTTATTACCTCCTAAAAGCGCCACCTCTAAGTGCCATTTTTGGCCAAGGTTTGTGGCAACCCTGCATTGAGCAACTCTATCTGGGCCATTTTTCCAACAGCATGTGCTCACTTTGTGTCTCTGTGTCACATTTGGGCAATTCTCACAATATTTCAAGCTTTATTATTACTATTATATCTGTTACAGTGATCTGTGATTAATTATCTTTGATGTTATGATTGTAATTGTTTTAGTGGTGCCATAAACCATGTCCATATAAGACAATGAAATTAATCAATACATAGTTTGTGTGTTCTAATGCTCCACCGGCTCACAGTTCTCCCATCCCTCTCTCTCTATCCTTGCACCTCCCTTCCCTACTCCCTGAGATACAAAAATATTGAAATCAGGCCAATTAATAACCCTACAATAGCTTCTAAGTGTTTAAGTGAAAAGCAGAGTCATTTACCTCTTACTTAAAGTCAAAAGTTAGAAATGATTAAGCTTAGTGAGGAAAGCATGCCACAAGTTAAGATAGGCTGAAAGTTAGGTCTCTTGCACCAGTTAGCCAAATTATGAATGCAAATGAAAAGTTCTTGAAGGAAATTAAAAGTGCTATTCCAGTGAACACATGAATGAATGATAAGAAAGCGAATTAGCTTATTAGTGGTCTAGACAGAAAAATCAAACCAGCCATAACATTTCCTTAAGCCAAAGCCTAATCCAGAGCAAAGCCCTAACTTTCTTCAATTCTGTGAAGGCTGAGAGACATGAGAATACTCTAGAAGAAAGGCTGGAAACTAGCGTAGGTTGGTACATGAGGTTTAAGGAAAGAAGCCATCTCCAAAACATAAAAATGCAAGGTAAAGGAGCAAGTGCTGAGGTAGAAGCTGCAGCAAGTTACCCAGAAGATCTAGCTAAAATCATCAATGAAGGTGGTTACACTAAACAACAGATTTTCACCGTAGATGAAGCAGCCTTACATTGGAAGAAGATGCCATCTAAGACTTTCATTGTTAGAGAGGAGAAGACGATGCCTGGTTTCAAAACTTCGAAGAACTGGCTGATGCTTGTTAGAGTCCACTGCAGCTGGTGACTTTAAGTTAAAGCCAATCCTCATTTCTCATTCTAAAAACTCTACGGCCCTTAAGAATTATGCTAAATCTAATCCTTGATAATTACCACTATGTCTTATTGAATGTCTTTCACTTCCTGGAACCTGGAGATACATGTGGTACACTGCAGATATTCAATAAATACTTTCATATTAATGAATTAATAAAAAACTACTAATCTTTCTTACTAACAAGTGTCTTATTGCGATTCCAGTGGACCAAGAAGAATCTTTTCAGGGCCTGATGGCATTGGAATCAATAATCAAACGGAACAACAAAGCCTGGATGACAGCACATATGTTTACAGCATGTTGTACTGTCTATTTTAAGCCCACAATTGAGACCTACTGCTTAGGAAAAAAAAAAAAAAAAAAAAAAACTATTACTGCCATTGACAAGGCGCCTGGTCACAAAGTGCTCCAATGGAGATGTACAAGGAGGTGAATGAGCCATTGCCCCCAAGCCTGAATGTTGTTTTCATGCCTGCTAATGCAACGTCCATTCTGCAGCCCATGAATCAAGGAATAATTTTGACTTTCAAGTATTATTATTCAAGAAAGACATTTTATAAGGCTATAGCTGCCATAGATAGTGATTCCCCTGATGGAATCAGAGCAAAGTAAATTGAAAACCTTTTGGAATGCATTCACCATTCTAGATACCATTAGGAACATTCACGATTCATGGGAAGAGGTCAAAATATCAAAATAAACAGTCATTTGGAAAAAGTTGATTTCAAACTTCATGGCTGACTTTGAGGGGTTCAAGACTTCAGTGAGGGAAGTAACTGTAGATGTGGTGGAAAGGGCAAGAGAACTTGAATTAGAAGTGACTTGAACAGATGAGGAGATGCTTCTTAAGGGTGAGCAAAGCGAGCGGTTTCTTGAGATGGAATCTACTCATGGTGAAGGTGTTGTGAAAGTTGTTGATATGACAACAAAGAATTTAGAATATCATACAAACTTAATCAACAATGCAGTGACAGGGTTTGAGGGAATCAACTCCAATTTGGAAAGAAGTTCTACCGTGGGTAAAATACTATCAAAGCAAATTGCACACTACAGAGAAATCTTTTGTGAAAAGAAGAGTTCATCAGTGTGGGAAACTTCATTGTTGTCTTAAAAAATTGCTACTGCCACCCCAAACTTCAGTAACCACCACCCTGATTAGTCAGCAGCCATCAACAGCAAGGCAAGACCCTCCATCACTAAATAAATATGCTATGACTCACTGAAGTCTCAGAAAATTGTTAGCATTTTTTCAGAAATACAGTTTTTTAAATGAAGGTATATATGTTGTGTTTGTAGACATAATGCTGTCATACACTTAAAAGACTATAGCATAGAGTAAACATAACTTTTATATACACTGGGAAGCCAAAGCATTTGTGCAACTCACTTTACTGTGACAGTCACTTTATGTGGTCCAGAACCGAACCTGCAATATCTCTGAGGTATGCCTGTATGTGAGTTTTGGGAAGACAAAAGCATTCAGTCCATGACACCACCCAATAACTGAGCCACTCCACTTCTAGGTATTTACTCAACAGAAACTTCCAAAATTACTTGTCTTTCTTATTCGTAGCAGCCACAAACTATAAAGAGCCAGTTTTGAAAATGTCCATCCACAGAAGAACAGATAAATTATACTATATTCATACAACGGATTATGACTCAGCAACAAAACTATTAACTACTGGCACACAACAAGATCATGAGTCCCCAGATCATTATACTGAGTGAAAGAATCAAGATATAAAAGAGTAGATACAGTATGAGTCCATTTAGGTGAAATTATCCATCAGCCAAAGGTAATCAGTGGCAAAAGAAATCACAACAGTGGTTGCAGGGCTGCAGGCGGTTGGCAGAATTTCACTGTGAAGGGAACATCATGGAGATTTCTGGGGTGACAAGAATATTCAAAATTTTAATAATGGTGTGACTTATACAGGTGTATCAATTTGTCACAGCACACAGCACTTTATACTTAAAATCTGTGCATTTTTCTGCATGTAATTATATACCAACTAAAAAAACTTGTTAATGCCTTATTTCTCAGTGTTATTAAAAGATTAAAAAGAGATTCTGCCTGTAAACTAGTTATGGTCAAGGTGTTTGATATTTAGCACATACCCAATGAATTAGATCTTTTACACACTACAATGTTGATTAAACAAATATAAACAAAATACTGTAGACTATCTATGATAATGATCACTTTGAGCAAGGTTTTCCCCACCTAAACAGCATGATAAATTCAGAACATAACTGTTCTAGAATTTAGACTCAGCTGGCAGGCCAGGCCTCATAAACAACCTCCCAGTGACCTCTGAATCCCAGGTGGGGACCAGGTGAGCAGCCTGTGGGACTGGTTTAATTCAATTGTCCGAGTTATTAACTCTGTTTCTGAAGGAATTTGTGCAATTCGAGCCCTGATGTAGCTCCATATTTTTTGTTTGTACCTGATTGATAATGTGCATCTGACATTTCTTCATTTTGCAATATCTGAGAACCAGGGAGATTTTAATTAATCCTTTTCTGCCTTCATGTCTAAAAGCTAAAAGACATTTTAATGAGAAGGCAGCGGTGGCAGCAGCAGCAGCGGAGGCAGCAAAACAAAAAAAAATCAGTAATAAAATAAATAACCAAATAGAATTGGTGGGTCTCATAAACAGCCCCACAGATGGAAGCATTCAGCTCAATGAAATAAAAGATGAATTTATTTGGCTAATGTAAATAGAGAGAAAATGAGGCACTTGCATGGAGCTCAAACCCACTATGAATAGATGAGTAATGTCAGGGTGTCAGACCTGCGGTCGTAAACTCCCCGGCGCCAACAATGGTCATGCCCGATTTAATGAAAAAACAAATGAAATGCTACATATTACTGTTTGCTTCTCCCGTCAAATGAGATGTCTGAATATTTTATTCAGTAAGGAGTGTTGTATATATGAAAGATAATTAAATGCTGTATAAAGGAAGTGGGTTACATGGCGTTATGCTGGGGCGCCGTGAGTGTAGGATGGAGCTAGGGAAACCTGGCCTTCTCCAGTACCGTTATAATTATGATGGGTGACATACAGCAAGAGCTTCCCACGTGCCTACCACTGTGCCAATTAAACCATCAAGGATGAGATTCAATTGCAGGCATGTGGTGAGTGCTAAGAGGCACATAAAAATAGACAGAGACTAGCACTCGGAGACATCGTAGTCTCAATGGAAAAGTAAGACAAGACAACGCTTTGTGCACTGCAGTTGCCCAAATGCATATTGAATGAATAAGTGACTGAATATAAAAAGTGATCAAATAAATACAAAAAGGCCCAAAATGAAATCATCATACTCTTATGTTCCCAGGGTCACTCTCTGTACTTGGGACAAACTCACCACTTCTCTCTACTTGGGGAAGCAGTTTAGACAGAACAGAAAGAGGACACACCTCCTCCACCTCAACACCATTGACATTTTGGATAATTCTGTGTCATGGGGGACTGACCCGCACACTGTAGGGTGTCTAGCAGTATCCCTGGTCTCTACTCACTAGACACCAGCAGCAACCCCTCCCCAACCCTCTCCAACAATGTGACAAACAAAAATGTCTCCGAATATTGGCCAATATTTCCCGGGGGTGAAAGTTTCTCCCGGCTGAGGAACACTAAGTTAAATAGATTTAGAATTTAGTCCAGATCCTACCATTTTCTAGCATTTTGATGTTGGACAAGTCACTCTACTCTCTTTCAGCCTCATTTTCCTCATCCATATGATGAACATAATTTTGTCCATATGAGTGTGGTAGATTAAGTGTTTGGCTCCAATTATCATCTCTCTCTGCACCCCTAACCCTTGACTTTCTCTGACCCCAAACCTTTGGTCATGTGATTTGCTTTTCCCAAGTCAAGTCAACAAGTTATCACATCTTGCTACTTCCACTGTCTCTCTTATGCGTCTGTCATCACCATGACAAGAATAAGCCCCAACATGCATGCTTGTCTAAGAAGAATGAAAATAATGTGGAGAAGGCCCAGACCTACACAGCTGCAACCTGAAGAAGAGCTACCCAAGCCTACCTGCAGAGAAATGGGAATAATTGCTGTTTTACACAACTGAAAATCAGGATAACTTGTTATACAGCATTATTTTGACAACAGCTGACTGATACAATGGGAATAACTCTATACAGATCCAGTCATATATCAGATGATCAACACATGTTAGCTGCCTTCTTCCCTCCCCACTTCTGCTTCTTTCAAATATCATTGTTCCTGGTTTCCTTCTGGCTGCAAGTATGGTCCAGTATTAACACAAGAACATTTCCTCCATCATTTGGAGATGATTAAAACAAAGAAAATAACAGCTACTAGAACACTACAAATAAAAGCTAGACATTGATTTTCTACCTCCTATAAGGCAACTATAGCTTGGCATGCACTAATTTCTGAAAACAAGACTTAATTAACAATGTGTTGAAGCACTTAAACAGGTGCATGTTAGAAGAATGTTACTATATCTTTTTCATTCATTCAGTGTGTTCTATGTTTAGGGTCCCATTTGGAAACCTAGAGCAAATAAAATGTGCAGAATCAGTTCAGTCAAGGCAAAGGACTTAGTGAATAATTGCATCAATCCTGCAGGTGTCCAAATGGGAGCCTTCCTTTTCTCCTGGATTTCTGTAGAGCTCCATGGCTCTGTCTTTTCTAGAGTCCCAACACTGCAGGAAACTTCTGTTTCAGCACTGTCATGGCAGGATTTTTGCTAACTAAGCCCTCTAACCTTGTCTCTCCAACTGACAGTCTAGGACAGTTTTCCAACAGAAGAGGCTACAGGATGTGCATGAGACCTCATTCAGGCATAAATCATTTTTGGGACCTTGTATAGGTTGTTGTTTCTACCCTCAGGATATCATGGGTCCATGGGAAGGAAGCCCCAAAAATTATAACACAGCATAAAAATGTATTAAAGATGTCCACATTCTAATCCCTGGAACCTGTGAATGTGGTACTTTCTGTAGCAAAATGGACTTCACAGATGTCATCAAATTAAAGATCCTGAGATGAAGGGATTATCTTGTATTATCTGGGTGGGCCCAGTATAATCACAAAGGTTATTTCCCTTATAAGAGAGATACAGGAAAGGGTCAGAGTCAGAGAAGGAGACATGAAAACAGAGACAGAGATTGTAGGGATGCAGCCACAAGCCGAGGATCACAGGCATCCCCTAAAAGCTGGAAAAGGCAAGGAACAGATTCTCCTTTAGAGCTTCTGGAAGGAATACAGCCCCCCCGACCCCTTGATTTTAGCCCACAAGGCGTATTTTAAACTTCTGACCTTCAGAACCAAGGATAAATTTGTGTTGCTTTAAATCACAATGTTGGTGGTAATTGGTTACAGCACTCACAGGAAACTAATTCAGAGGGAAAGTACATGGTGAGATCCTGACCTATTCTGGAGGGATCAAGGACTTCTCGGAGCAGATGTCGAGAAAGCTGGAGAACAGGAAAGACTGAGCCAAGGAAGAGATAGGAAAAAGGGTGTTTCTTGCAGTGGGATTGGTATGGATGGAAGCCTGAAGAAGGAAAAAAATAATTTTTAAAACCCGATTTGTTATGACTGCTCAGAATTTGGCACATGGAGGGTGCTCAGTGTTTACTGAATTACTTTACTTAAACATGCATACACACATATAAGTCATACATGTCAGAATGCACACAGGACAGAGCAATGCTAAATGCAAGTGAAGAAGCCAGGAAAGTCCTAATGGGGAATTAATATTGTTAATATTGGAACTGAACCTTGGAGAATGAGGAGGGACTTAAGGAGCTGGACCTTTATCCCACAGGCATTGGGTCGATTTGAAAGGTTTTTTCAAAGGTGTGACCATGTTAAGAGGTATATCAGGAGCCATCACTATGGCATGAAGATTAGATGGAGGCAGTACCCAAGGCAGGTGACCAGCTAAGTGGCTACTGTAATAATCTAGGTAAGAAAGGCAAAACTTTTTGTTCCCACCAAGGACAGATATGCATCTATGCTATTGTACATTCACCAGTTCCTATATTCAAGAGTGTGGCTTGTTATGCGGTGGCCTCTGTGCCATGGGCTCTTTCCAACTGCCACCCCTCCACACCCTCACACCTTGTATTCCATGCCTTGGGGAGCTGAGAAGGCACTCTTTTTGCCAAAAATAATTTTACAGACTCAATGAATTAGCTATCTTGCTATATTATAAATCTGTTTCCCTTTCTGTCTACCCAACTATGTTTTATCCATCTTGATAACCAGAATCCTAACATTCTTAAATAACAACTGTAATAGCTACCATTCATTGAACACTTTCTATTTGCCAGGCACTGAACTAGACTGTAAGCTGCAAGTGAGCAAGAGCTGTTTCTACGTTGTTACATATTTAATCCCTGGTCCTTGGCACGGTGCTGCATCAGTCAACTATATGTGTTAGTGGGGACAGGCCAGACTATACTTTGGTTACAAATGAATCCCCAAATCTCATTGGTTTAATCCAACTAAGGTTACCCTCTCACTCATGTTACATGTCTAACACAAATTTGGAGGTGTTATAGGTGTTATGGGCTGAACTGTGGCTCACAAAAAAGAAATGCCAAAGTCCTAATCCCCATATCTGTGAATATGACCTTATTTAGAAATAAGGTCTTTGCAGATGTAATCAGGTGAAGATGAGATCATTAGGGTGGACCCTAATCTAATATGGTGGGTATATTTATAAAAGGAGAAGCATGCTATGTGATGACCAAGGCAGAGATTTGAGCAATGCACCTACAAGTCCAGGAACACAAAGGATGAAGGCACACATCAGAAGCTAGGAATAGGCAAGGAAGGATTCTACCTAAAGTCTCAGAGGGAGCATGGCCCTGTTGACATCTTGACTTCAGACTTCCAGCTTCTGGAACTGTCAGAGAAGAAATTTCTTTTGTTTAAAGCCACCTAGTTTGTGGCACTTTATTATGGCTGTCCTATGAAAACTAACATAGCAGAAGAAGCTAATACAGCTTAGCTCCACACGGTGACTCAGGGACCCAGGCTGACTAAGACTCATCCTTACTGCAACCATATCATCTGGAACAGGTGACCCTCCAGGCCCCTGTTGATAGGGACTAAGAGATAGAGAGGGCTCGCTTCTTCTCACATTCCCAATTGTCAGAACTCAGGCGCATGTCCCCAACCCAACTATAAGGAAGACTGTGAAATGTAAGAAGACACATAGAAACTGGAAGAACACTGATGGTCTCTGCCATGGTGTTAAGTAAATATTTGTAGAATAATTAAATATATCTCCATTCCATTTAGACCTCCCAATGACCCTAATGTGATTGGACTCTGTTACCTTCCCTATGTCAGGACAGAAGAAACTAAGGCACAGAGACATTAAGTGACTTCTCCACTGTAACACAGCAAATGGGGGCAAGGCCAGAATTCAAATCCAGGAGAATCAGCTCTGAAGTCTGTGTTCTGACCTCTCAGTAAACGAGTCCTGACGGAATGAAAATGGAGTCCTTCACAGCAGGTAACCTTGTACTACACCACTTAAAGGTGTTCCCAAGGCTAATGGCTTAACTGTTTCAAAGTGTAGAGAGTTTCCCTCCAATTAAGATGCACCTTGTGCATAAATGCCCCCTCTCTATACTCAAGAGATGGTCTTCTCACCACCACCTGAATTTAAAGCAGGCCATTTGGCACACCTCCATTTTATTGCCATTAACTGAGTCATTTTGCAGGGGAAAAATCTCTAGCCTTCAAGAATAGCTATATTTCTGACTGGAAGGTGATGAGACCTTCAGGTCACAGCTTGCACTTCAGCCTCATCCTGGATCTCGAGAAAGTACATGTCATGTTTGATGCTGCTCACTTGGCGAGATATTTTAATTCAAATTGTGCCAGCTGAGTTGGACATCTCCTGGTCAGAGAAGACCTGTCACCGAAATCTGGCAGAGTTGCTGCATTGCCAGCTCTTTTTGACTTGACGAAAGAACGCTGGTCTGGCGGAGGCTGCAGAAACCAGGTTTGCAACCTAATGCTGATTTTGCCCAGAAGTAATTAGTTCATTAACTGTGAGCACACAAGCTCATTAAAGGGGGAGGTGGATGATGCAAATCAGTGGTGTGTGTAAGTCCATCAAAAATTAGAAGAACTGGAAAAGGTCTGGCTCAAACCTGCTCAACACCTTCATTAACCAAAGAGGCTTCTGAAAGTCCAGGAGTCCCTAGAGGTCAGCAGATCTGAAGGCACTGTCTATGCTAGATGGCAGGAAGGTGGGTGGCTGGAGAGGATGGAGGAATCTATTATTGATGGAGTGCTTTCCTGGGGGCAGACCTCACAGTCCTACTCACAGTATCTAGCGTAATGCTCATAGGCATGACCTCCGTGTATTTTACGTATAAGAAGAGAGGCTTAGAGGTGTTTATGATTTGCCAGACATCTCAGTCAGTCAATGGCAGAGTGGAATCAGGCCTGTGCCTTTTATGAACCATGAAACCAATGCTTTTTCTACCACACCAATAAATTAACGAGCCCAACTTGCGGATTCACCATCACATGATCAGCTCTGGTCTTTTAATCATCTAATCTCAGCACACATTTGGAAGCATTCCTGGTTAGTGCTATATTGAGCTGAAGTTTGCAAATGTTTATTTACAGGGGATTAATTAACTTTGCTATTTGCAAGTACTGAACTAAGGGAAAATTGGCTTTCTCTCAGAGTAGGTACGGTGACATTCCAAAGGCCCTCATCCTCATGCTCAAAATGTCAAAATCCTTCTAGGCCAAACCCTGAAGAAAATATGGCACATGTTATGACACACAAAGAGGATAGCCTGGGAGGCTCAGAGTACTTGGGCTGGCACTGTGGTTTCAAGTCCCTGCCTGTCACTGAAGGGCCACAGATCCTTGGGCAAAACCCATTACTTCTCCAGGCTCCAGTTCTCTCCGCCTGAAAATAAGAAACAAAACAGAGTGTCTGAAGTCCTGTCTGGCTCTGGGAGTCTCTGAAAAAAGTCAGGGAGGCTGACTTGATTCATTATCCACAGCATGAGCACAGGGTGGGGAGAGGGCTCTTGGTGGAAGATGAAAGATTATGTCAAGGGGTCAGAAAAAGGGGCCTCAGAATTCCTGGCCTCTGGTCCATGCACACCCACATCAGAGGAGAGACCCTAAGAGAAACGGAAAGTAGAGTTGCCCAGCAAGGAGGCATAGTGGTACCTGCAGTTTCATTCTAGGATGGCATGAGGGTGGTAGGTGAGGCTACATGGAAAGAAAGTCTCCATCTTCCATGAGAATGGAAGTTCTCCCAGTGCCTAAGAGGCCTGGAGTATCCAGGGAAGAGTTTGGATGATGCAAGGGACAGAAAGAAAACTCTGAGAAAGGGACAGATAGGATTCTGGTGCCAAGTGCAATCAAGCAATGAACTTGCCAGCCTGCAGCACACATGGAATGGAACATTCATTCTTTCTTTCAGCCACTCATCCATCCGTCCATTTATCCATTCATTCACCCATTCTTTCATTCATTTATTCAACACCTGCTCACATATAAGTCTGTGCTAGGCCCAGGAGATGCAATGCTGAGTGACAATAAACAGCCCCTCCATCATAGGAAGTCCAGTGTAGTAGGGCAGAGTCTGTTATTTAGGGAGCATTGTCCACAAAAGACAAATCCAAGGGCTGAGCACAAGGCCAGTGGAGAATGGAGTGAGACTTTCAACATCAAGGAAAATAAAATTCTAATCTCCTCCCTCCACCCTCTGACTGGAGGCATATTAAAATGCCTATGGACTTCGAGAGTTGAAAACCTTAGGCTTGCTTTCTCCCCTTTTTGGCAAATAGGTTGGTACAAAAGTAATTGCGGTTTCAGGTGGGGAATTTTAAATCATTATAACTAGGCTCAAACACATCTTTATTAATCAGAATAGGCACCATTACAATCAACACATTTTTGCCAACGAGAAATAAGTTTGTTTATTCCTGTAGTGTCAAAATCCTTGCTTCAGGATTTAACAAACTGTGGGAAAGCATTTTCTGCATCCTGCTGGTTGTGGAAGCATTTTCCCTGCAAAAAGTTGTCAAGATGCTTAAAGAAGTGGTAGTCGGTTGGCTAGAGGTCAGGTGAATATAGCGAATGAGACAAAACTTCCGTAGCCCAATTCATTCAACCTTTGAAGCATTGGTTATGGAATATGCAGTCAGGCCATGTTGAGGAGAAGAATTGGGCCCTTTCTGTTGACCAATACTGGCTTCAGGCTTTGCAGTTTTTGGTGCATCTCATCAATTTGCTGAGCATACTTCTCAGATGTAATGGTTTCACCAGGATTCAGAAAGCTGTAGTGGATCAGGCCAGCAGCAGACCACCAGTGACCACGACCTTTTTTTGGTGCAAGTTTGGCTTTGGGAAGTGCTTTGGAGCTTCTTCTCCCACCAACCATTGAGCTAGTCATAGCCAGTTGTCGCATAAAATCCACTTTTCCTCTCACATCACAATCCGATTGAGAAATGGTTTGTTGTTGCATAGAATAAGAGAAGACAACGCTTCAAAACGACTATTTTTTTTTATTTTCCCTCAGTTCATGAAGCATCCACTTTTGGAGCTTTTTCACCTTTTCAATTTGCTTCAAATGCTAAATGACTGTAGAATGGTCAACGTTGAGTTCTTCGGCAACTTCCTGTGTAGTTGTAAGAGGATCAGTGTCGATGATTGCTCTCAATTGGTCGTTGTCAACTTCTGATGGCCAGTTACTATGCTCCTCATCTTCAAGGCTCTCTTCTCCTTTGCAAAACTTCTGGCACCACCAATGCAGTATACGTTTGTTAGCAGCTCCTGGGCCACATGCATTGTTGATGTTGCGAGTTGTCTCCACTACTTTACAACCCAATTTCAACTCGAATAAGGAAATCACTCGAATTTGCTTTTTGTCCAATATCATTTCCATAGTCCCTAAAATAAATATAAAATAAACAGCAAGTAATAAGTCATTAGCAAAAAAAATGTGAGAAATGCCTATTAAAATTATGTATAACATAACCACATTTATTTAAGAATGTATTCCAATATCAAATGGCAAAATTCAACAATGCAAAAACTGCAATTACTTTTGCACCAACTTAGAGATAAGTTGAAAGTTCACTTCAACTTACCTCTAAAACACAGATGATAAGGTCTGCCTGGTCTGTCTCATAGAGAGTGTGAGAAGCAAATGAGAAAAGCTTAGAAACTGTTAGTTTATGAGTCGTTAGGAATCCCCCGCATGATAGCTAAATGCTGTGATTGTGACTGATCTGGGAAAGTGCTCCTGTTGGAGTTCTAGAGCCTGTGGAGGTAGGATGGTGCTTTGCTGTGGCTGGACAGAATGCCACGTCTGGATTTCAGGTCAAGTGTTGGTTAAGCAGTTGGAGACCGATGCTGTACAGGGGACAAATAGGCCAAGCCTGCAGACCAAGGCTCCCTGACCCATCAGGAAAGAGCAATAGCAGGCAGAAGATCCCAAGGTACATGGGAGGCAGGATCAAATGTCTGTGCAAAGAGCTAGGAGCTGGATATCTCAGGACCAGGTCAGAAAACACAGTTCAAAGTGGAAGAGGAGATGAGGACACACGGATTGCTATGGACAGATTTAGAAGGCTGGAGGCTACTCTGTTTGTGACCTGGAGGTACAGTTCAGGTTGGACTGGAGGCTTCAGAAGCTGTGAATCCCATCTCCATGCGCAGGCTGCATGTTCAACAACTGATGAGGCTATTTCCTAATAAATATCGTGTTAGTAGGGACCACAATAGGACAATACCAGGCAGTGGGGTTCAGTTTCCCAGATTCTGGATATGAACCAGAACCAAGTCAAGGGTGATACTTTCAGCTCAGTCTACTCAAAGCCCAGGTTGTAACACAGAGGTTACAGGTCTGTGAGTGTTCCAACCGGTGAATGTTACCCAGGTGAACATCAGGCTCTTTTACAAAGTTCTGAAGACAAAACTCAGAATGGCATTCCTGGGAAGCATCCCTTTCCAGGGAAGACTAACCCTTGCCAAGATTGTTCCGTACACTGATTCTGCTACCATCCTCTCATAGCTGGTCTGTGGTGGTGATGCTGCACCCTAAGATATGGAAACAAAGAACTGTTGGCCATTCCTTCCTTCATTCCATTCTCTTTTAAGGATTCAGAGTAGTGATACATATTTTCCTTGCAGCCATGGTCAGTGCAAAAGGAAAGAAAGGAAGAATAGATGACCCAACATTTGGGATGGAGGGGTGAATTATTTAGGAAACATAGATAGCGCATCCAGTTTAGTCTAGGGCTGGGCAAAGTGTTAGTGATTCTTTTGTTCTCGCAGCTGGCCTTTGGAATTGCACAGAGCCAGTGCAGTAAATAATACCGCTATTGTCTGCCTGTGTCAGAGACAGACAGAAGGTACATTTGGCCCACGTCCAAACACTGCAAGGGCCACTCATAGTCACAGTGTCCAATTACTGCTGGCTTGACTATAAAATGCACTTATTTTTTTTTTTTTTTTTTTTTTGCTGAGCTAATTTAAGAATGGGCAGTCTTAATGGCCCCCGCACAAAGAAGGGTTTTGCTACATCCTCCAGTGGGGAAAAATAAAGTTATGTTCAGAACAGAAACCAAACTGGCGTGGAGTAAAGATTATCCAAACAGCAATCTATTCATAGAACGGTAAATTGTGTTTTGGTTTCCCTTTAAGAACGCGTTAGTGGGTGCAGCGCACCAGCATGGCACATGTATACATATGTAACTAACCTGCACAAAGTGCACATGTACCCTAAAACTTAAAGTATAATAAAAAAAAAAAAAGAAGAGGTAGAAAAAATAAAATCTGCTCAGTTTTGAGTTTCCTTGCACGTTATATTCAGGATGTCAGAGAAGATTTAATAAGAAGCAAGGGAAAATCAAAGAACTGGACAGCCCTGGCCATTTGCACAGAGAGTCACAGGAAACAGGAGGAAATGCTATCCTGTCTCTAAATGAATATATGACAACGACAATGGTGATGATAATAACAATAACAAGAGGTCACATCCAATGAGTAATTATTTGCTGACATCATGATAAGTACTTTTTCTCCTTTAATATTGCCAACCTTGCTATGAGGGTTAACAGTATTTTACAGAGGAGGATAAACTGAGGCTTACATCATTCAAACGACTCACTCAGGATTTACATGGTTGCTTAGCAGGTTATCAGGACTTGGAGACTTTGTCTTTAGGGGTTTGAAGAGTGTCCAAGGATGTGTACTTATACCTGGCACTGGTTGGAGACTTATCACATTCACTGGCAACCTGGGGATGGTCTGCAAACAGGGACATCCCTTCACATGAAGCTGCGGAGAATTCACCACTGCCTTGCAGCGGAGCAGCTCTCTCATTTGGTAAGATTCATCCCATCCTTTGTTGGTTCCACTCATCTGAGGCCCCTGTCTCTGCCCGGGTTTGCTTCTTTGTCCCTGGGGATCCCCAGGTCTAGTGTAATCCACTTATGGTGCTTCTGTGATCAGTAATTTCCAATAATCTCCCTTTGTCTCCCATTTCCCCAACAAGGAGGTGTTAATTTGTGCTTTGGATAAAGAAAGAAGGAGAAAAGGGTGCTATTATATTAAAAAGAAGGAGGAAGAAAGCAAGCTTTAAACCCTTCTTTCTCCAGCACCAAACCTGCCACTTACACACTGAAAGGTCAGAAAAATAAACCCGAGATTTATGTTTGAGAATGTTAGAAAGTGGCACCTGACCTCGGTCTTTCTTTCCTTGCAGGAGGAAAATCAGATGCATCTCTCAGATATATTCACTCCAAATTTCAGAGGGCTTTTAAATACACATGTCCCTGACACAGCAGAGTTATCTATCAAAATGTTAAATCCTTGATAGGCTCAGTGACGGAGAGTTCGACCACCGTCCCTTTCATCTTGCAATGTCTCACCGAGGGCTTCATTTGGAGAAAGACCAAAAAGCCACATCGGGGTAACGAGGAGGGATAAAAAGGAAAAACCGTCTGTTCCGATTTGCCGATCAGCAACCCGGAGAACACAGCACGTCGTCTGTCAAGGAAAATGAGGACATTTTTTCCGGCCTCTTTGAATCCTGAAAAGATACACATTCTTTGGGAAGAGAAAAGTGATGTCTCAATTCTTAAGGCAAACTTTTCAAAGAGCTGAAAGTTGGATGGAGCCAACTTTCCTTGTGAATTGCCGACTTTCGGGCTGTTTGATATCTTAGCATGTAGGGGAAAGTTGAAGACATTGCTTTTCTATAGGTGCTGTGGCCATGGGGTCTCCATGGAGCATGGGCCAGTCCTGACAGCAGAGCTGAGGGGCCGAGAGACTATGCTGAGTTACCAGGAAGGCTGACCTGACTCACAGGTCATTTCCCGGAAAACACCAAAACCCCTCCTGCCCCTTATCTTATTCCAACCCCAGAGGCTTTCTTAAAGTCCTTCTAAGATCAACTAGGACTCAGATAGTGTTTATTTTGATTAATAATTCTCATCCACTGAGAGCCAGGCAGATCACTTAACTCTATGCACAAGTGGCTCCTTGGCTCTTGGTTTGCCCCCCAAACACCCCTAGATTTACCCATTAATTCATTCCTTCAACAATAGTATTGGGCACATGACATGTGCTTGGTCCTGAGGACAGGTGAGATAGGTGTGGTCTCTACCCTTGGGTACAAACTGTAAAGGAGGAGGCAGCCATATTTTGAACAAGGGATAGTAAGGATGAAGATGGAGTGCACCACCCTTTCTACAGGGGCCAGGGAGGCTTCCCTGAAGCGGAGATTTGAAAGATAATGAATTAGAAGTCACCTGAGAACAGTGCAGTGCAGTGCAGTGGCTCACACCTGAAATCCCAGCACTTTGGGAGGCTGAGGTGGGTGGATTGTTTGGGCTCACGAGTTTGAGACAAGCCTGGGCAACATGGCAAAACCCTGTCTCTACAAAAAATACAAAAATTAGCTGGGTGTGGTGGTGCTCTCCTGTACTCCCAGCTACTTGGTGGGGGTGAGGTGGGAAAATCGCTTGAGCCCAGGAGTTAGAGGCTGCAGTGAACCGAGAAGGAGCCACTGCACTCAAGCCTGGGTAACAAAGTGAGATTCTGGACTCTGTCTCAAAAAGTAATAAGAATATAAATAAAATAAAAATGAAAATGAAAAAGAAGTCACCTGAGATAAGGTGCGGTGCTTGTGTGGGTGAGGCTATATGTATGTGTTCAGGCAAGGGCCACAGAAATGCATCCTATAAAGTCCTAGAACCTTCGTAAACATCTCTGCTTATGTCACAGCCCTCTGTAGGCCCATCATGCCCGTAATATGATAATTCAGACTCTTTACTGGACCACTCAAGGCCCAGCCATGCTTTCTTTTTTGCTCTGTATCCCCAGAACACCCACCATGGATACTAGGGCATGCTCTGGGGGCACCTCACCAATCACAGAACCTGCCACAGGTGGCTGCTCTCAAACATTTTATATTGTCGTTTCTGCCTGGAAAGTTCTCCACACCCACCTTCTCTGCCTGTCCATATCCCTCCTATAAATTTCCTGCTCATGGTGAGTGTGTGTGTGTGTGTATGTGTGTGCGCACGCACATAGATTTACAGTAAAGATGTCAAGATAGTACAGAGAGCCCCCATAGACCCCTCTCCCATTTTTCCCTACTACCAATTTTACACATTATTTCTCCCCTGTGTTTGTCACAATTAAGAAACCAACATTGGTGCATTGCTGTTGATTAAATTCCACACCATACACAGATTTTGCTAGTTTTCCCACCAATGTCCTTTTTTTCCACTCTAGGATCCAGTGTGGGACACAACATTGAATTTAGCCGCATTTGTGTTTTTATTGAACTTTGCTTGTATCTGTGGGTTGGCACTGATCACAGCTTGCTTTGTGCTGGGTTTGGTAGTGAGAGTCCCAGAACTGCTCAATGTGGAATTCTGGCAGATATCATCTCATAGGTGTCCTGTGGAGAGGGGCATCTCTGTGGACACTAAGTCCCAATCAATCTTCTAGAAGACACTGTGGAGTTGCCTGTTGGTCATATGGCCAAGGCTTTCTGAGAAAAAGAGCATGACAACATGCCAGCAACCCCATAAGCCACCCCATGTAGGCACGCAAATCACACTGAGGTTAAAAGAAGCAAGGTGCTGCACTGGTTGTCAGTTAGCAAAGGTGGACATGCTTGGCTCTTACCCTGAATGGCATCATCCCAAATAATGATCTACAGCTGACATCTTACATTTTGCAGTGGCGAGCAAGATATATATTAAAAGCAAGTCAAATGAAAGATTTATAAACATTGCCAGCTACAATCCTATTTCTGAGTCTTGTAAAGTAATTACGACTCTGATAGAGAGAACTCACTTCCCTCCTGCAAGTAAGGGAACAATAAATGAAGGGAGTCTCCAAGACAGCATCAACACCAAAGTTGCATGAGGCTAATAGCAATACATACCCACATCATATCTAGATGAGCCCAGACTGCCTTCGAGAATGGCAACATGGCAAAGATGACTACGTGGAAATGGGGAGAAGACTGCCATCTGGGTATGCAGGCAGAGAAGTTCAGAACTATCTCAGGAAACTGACCAAGCAATCAGTAGTCTTGCAGGGGTATGGAGAGGAATTCACAGCAAGAGACAACTATTACTCCCTCTCACACCCAATTGGCCAGTTGCCTTCTGTATTAGTTATTTCTTGATGCATAACAAATTACTCCAAACTGAGTGACCTAAGAAAACAAGCATCTATTATCTCACAGCTTCTGTGGGTCAGCAGTCAGGAGTGGCTTAGCTGAGAGACTCAGGATCTCTCATGAAGTTGCAGGTAAAATTTCAGCTGGGGCTACAGACATCTCAAGGTCCAAATGAGATAGGACTCACTTCCAGACAAACTCGCCTGGCTACTGACAGGCCTCAGAAGATCCATTTCCAAGTACACTCATTGTTGTTGGGCCCTAGCTCCTCACCCTGTGGGCTTCTCTGCCTGCTGCCTGGGGTACTCAACACACAGCAGGTGGCTTCCATCTCCCCCGGATCACCTCCTCTATGGCAGATGACTTCTCCCAGAATGACTTAAGAGAGAGAGATGGAAGCTTCCAAGATGGAAGCTGTAGTTTTCTTTATAACTTAATCTCAGAAGCGGTATCCTCTCACATCTAAGATATTCTGTCTGGTAGAAGTAAATCACAACCTAGCCCACACACAGGGGAAAGGGAAATATTCACCTCTTTTGGGGGAGGAATATCAAATAAGTTGAGGACATATCTTTAAAATCACCCTATTCTTCATGGTGTAGACAAATGGGATCCATGTTTTGTAAACATTAACCATCTTCTTACTCCAGGCACTAGACCAAGACTGTATTACAAAACTTGGTGTAGAAATAGTGCTGAGTAATGTTTTGAAGAATTAACGATAACATTCCATTCATATTAAAACACAATAAATACAAAACAATGAGAAAATAAGACCTTCTCTCTGAATTACACCAAAGCTATGGGAACTGACAATGCTAATTCGTGCATATTTGGGATTTACTGAAGTAGCCCCAGAACCTTTGAAATTGTAGACCGGGGATTGGCGATGTTTGTCTTCAAGGTCCAGATAATAAATATTTTCAGAGATGTGGTCTATGTAGTCTCTGTGATAGCTACTCGGTTTAGCTGCCATAATACAAAAGCAGCCATAGACAAGACATACATGAATGATTCTGCCTGTATTTCAATAAAACTTTATTGCAAAGCTGGCAGCTGCCCTGTGAGCCATAGTTTTCCAACCATCATTCTAGACTGTAAACTTCTTAAACCTTTACGTGCTACACTCCTTGAGGGCAGGGGCTGTGTCTCAACTCACCCTTGTAGTCCTATACCTAGTACAGCACATGGATGAGTAGGCAGGCACAAATGGTATTAATAAGTGAAGATATGAATGAGCTAATAATCAGGGTATTATTAAAATATAGATTCAATGTAGTAAAAAGTCTTTATTTGAAAATTTTCAATGGTATGTTTGGTGTATAAAGCAACTTTTGAATAACTACTGTTTATTATGTAACTCAGCTGTCAATCATATCCACACAGCACACAGACTACATTGGATACCAAAGTCTACTTCCGACAAAACCTGTCATGTCTAAATTATTGACACAATAGGTCATTGTAACTCCTTTGGACTCATTAGGCTTAATTATGTCAAGGTCTCACTGAGGACTCTTTAAATCTGAAGATTCGTGAGATAATAAAGTATAATAGCTCCTTCGGAGCCATAAAGGTCTCTTTATGTCATGGGCTATTTGGAGATTCAATATTCCATAAGATTAAGATCACAATATTGTAAAAATGACAACAATTACCACACCCTCAATGTCTTCCAAGTGTAAGTTAATCATCAGGACTTAGATAGGCCCACCCCTCATTCACTCCTTGGATCTTTGTCAAGGAGGAAAGGTGAAGGATTATGTGAGTTCACTATTAGCCTCTCTCATGACACCTAATTCCTGGCACACAGCTCTGTCTGCTCCTGGTGCAGTGTGCCTCTGCTTCTCACCTGACAAAGACATGCCCAAATGAAATGACTACCTTTGCCATTTCTGTCTGTCTGTGTTTAGGTACCAGCCATGCAGTAGGCTGCATACAACTGATACCAAGTGATCATAGGAATCAACAACCTTAGGAAAAAAATACAAATAGTGGTTATTTTCCAAGACTAACTCAGAAAATGCTGATAATGATCTGTAGCTGAGATAATGTGCTTTTTTAATGAAAGTAGCAGAAAAGGGGACTACTGCTTTATTAGTTAAGAGACATAATTAAAAAAATAATAAAAACCAAGGATAAATGGCTGTCTTAAAAGAAATAATTGCATCGTTAAGATAAGATAGGTTTGATAACAGGTAAATTAGAGAGTAAATGGTTAGCTATGGCCTCTGAAAATTAATATGTGTTAAATTATTATGAAGAACATAGCAACTTTACCATAAATATTAAAAAGTAGGCTAGAAACTTGTCTGTAGTACTCCAGCCCTAACATTACAGTTACTTGCTATGACAAACAGACTTTAAGCTGGCCCTCTATGACCCTTGCCTTTTTGCCATGCCCTTATACAGTTCCCTTTTATTGTTGAATGTAGCCAGGACCTGTTGAAACCAGCCCAATTTTCCTGCAAAACTGATGTTTATGGTTTCTCTGAATAAATACAGACATTGATCCTCCCAGTCTTAAAACTTGAGAAAGTTACATTTGTTTTATCTGAGTTTCTTCCTCAGGAAACCAAGGTTTAGGCCTCCCAAGTAGTGTCAAGGAGCTAAAACTTACCAGATCACTGCATCTGGACAGTGAGATGCCAGACCCCTCACCCATAATGATTGCTTAGATGACCACTTGCTCCCTATTGAACAACTTCTCATCCTTACCTCTCCCTAATTCCTGTTTTCCCACACATGATTACATTGTCTTGCCTGCTATATCGATCCCTAATTTTACTCAGTCAGGGAGATGAATTTAAGACTGATCTCCCACCTCCTCGACTGCAGCACCCTATTAACGCCTTCTTCCTTGGCAATACTCGGAGTCTCAGTGATTGGCTTTCTATGCAGTGAGCAGCATGACCTAAACAGAACCCCTGGAGTTTCAGTAACACTGTGACTTGCTTTTACTCAATAGAATAGGGCAAAGGCAATGGGATGTCATTCTAATGATTGTTTTACATCTCATGGTAAGATAATGGGATGTCATTCTCGTTATCCCATTATTACATTACATTAGTAAGACTATTTTGCTAACAGGTTTCCTCTAGAGACTTGCTCTCCTTGCTGGCTTTGTAAATACAAATTGTAATAAATCCTATAGCAGCTAGAAAATGAATTCTGCAAGCACACTAAGTGGGTATGAAAACAGGTCCTTCCCCAGTTGAGCCTCCAGATGATAATCCAGCCCCCTAACATCTTGATTTTTGTCTTGCCAAAAACCAAGCTAAGCTGTGCCTAGACTCCTGACCCACAGACCCTGCAAGATAATTAATGCATGTGACGTTTAAAGCCACTAATTGCATGGTAATCTGTTACACAGAATTTTTTTTTAAATAATACATTATTTAGGTTCCAATTATATTTTTATATAAAAATTAAAATCATAGAATCAGAATTTATTTTATATACTTCTTTTGAAATAATGCTAGCTCTTATGACATTACATTTGTATTATAAAATATAAACCTCTTGAGGGCAAAGAATTTCTCTGTCTTGTGTATCATTATATCCATAATGTCTAGTACAATCCCTGGCACTTATTTTATAATAAATAAATGTCTGCTTAGTTAACAAATGAATAAATAACATTATTGTAGTGTATGAATAATATTTCAAAGTGTTAGTTTACTATAGTTCACTTAGCTAATGAACAGTTGATTTGTTTCTAATTAATTTGATAGTTATATGTGACATGATAAATGTCTTCACTCATATAATGTGAGCCACACACGTATTATTTCCTTAGGGATATAGACCAAAATTATGATTGAGTTCCAATAGAACAGAATTTTTTCTTCAATAAGAGGTTGTATCCCCATCACTTAGCACAGTGTCTAAAATGTGATAGATACTAAAAACTATGCTGAATGAATGCATGAGACTTTTTATTGCTCTTAATCGATGTGGCTCAATTGTTTTCAGACTGCATTTATTTATGCATTATTCAAATCACTTAACACTGTCGCTATCATTGTGTGAGAGTGTAATCACACTGTACCTTTCCTAGCACTGGTTATTAAAACTTTAAAGATATATTAGTCAATTAACAGACAAAAATATGCACAGTTGTTTTATTTTATAGCTCTTGATTACTACAAAAGTTTAGCATGTATCATTACGTTTCTTTACTAGTGGAATTTCCTCTTTGGTGAATGGTCTTCTCATATTCTTTGCATACTTGTGTATGGAGATTTCAATATTTCACTTATTTATTAAACTTCATGAACTCTTTATGTAATATTGACATTTATCATTGTTCCATCATATTTGCTACAAATATATTCGTTTCTAGATACTTCAAATGACTTTAAATAATTACAATAAGATAGGTTTTTATTAGATTTAATTTCACCTAAAATGTATAATGTTCTCATTTCCTTAATATTGTATATGTACCTAGTAGCAGAGCTTCAAAACACAGGAACCAAAATCCCACAGAATTGAAAGTAGAAACAGATAAATCCACAATCATAGTTGGAATCTTTAACACAGCTCTCAGTGACAGACAATACAAGAAAACAGAAGTTGGTAAGCATATAGAAGACCTGAAAATCACTACTAACTTGCTTTCATTAACGATTATATGACACTCCACCCAACAATAGCAGAATACATCTTTTATTTTCAAGTATAAATGAAGCATTGACAAAGATAAAACATATGATGGGCCATAAATCAGGTCTCCATAAATTTAGAATTTTCCAATAACAATAAAATAAAATTAGAAATATCACCAGGAAAATAAGTTAAAACAACTCAAATAATTTAAAATTGAACAAAACACTTCTAAATAAACATGGGTCCAAAAGAAAGTATAATAATAATTAGAAAAGATTTCTTAAATGTTAAAATAAATGAAAATGAATATACAACATATCAAATCTGGGGGATGTGGCTAAAAGAATTCTTAGAGGAAACTGAATGGCATTAAATACTTACATTAAAAGGAAGAAAAGTCCAAACCAATATTATTATAAGTTTTTACAATAAGAAGGTAGGCAAAGAAGAAAGTATTAAGAAAAAATAACAAATAACAAAGTAAAAGGAAAAGAGTAAAAATTCATGAAATACAATGTGGACAGACAATAAAGTAAATCAAGAAATAAAGAGAGAAGGTACAAATAGCAAGTGTCAGGAATAACAAACAGGAATTTGCTACAGATCCAAGAGACACTAAAAATAATAAGAGAACATTATGAACAATATTATGCCAATAAATTACTAAAACTGATGCAAGATGAAATAGAAAACACAAATAATTTTATATCTACCTAAGAAATTAAAGCTGTAATTAGACACTTTCCACACAGAAAATTTTGTAGCCCAAGTGACTTTACTAGTTAATTCTATCACACATTTAAGGAAGAAATTGTAATTAAATTCCCTCATAAAAGTAAGGTGAAGAAAAATACTTCCAAATTAATTTAATGGGGCTAAGTTAACTTTATTACCATAACTAGACAAAAACAAAGATATTATAATAAAATAAAATTACAGAACAAAGTATCCCTCTTGATTATAGGTAAAAAAAATCATTTACAAAATATTAACAAATCTTTTCACATGCATAAACACGCACACACATAAATATGTGTGTGTGTGTATATATGTATATACAGTGTGATACATACAATGGTAATATATATATGGACACACATAACCTACGTAAACATGACAAAATACAGTAAATCTAAGGAATGACACATTAGTTTAACTTTAAAATCAAAGAGTAAAATTTCCTATGTTAATTTACTAAAAAAATTTAAATACGATTATCTTATTAAATGCAGAGCATAATTTGCCAAAGTTCAAAACTCATTCAGGATAAAAACTCTGCAAACTAGAAAAAAAAGGGAACAGCACCAACTTGATAAAGAGTTCTACAAAGCTAAGATCAGACATAATTAAAAAAATGTATATTTTCCCTTTATATTAGGAAACAAGGTAAAGACGCCTGCTTTTACCACTTCTGTGTAACATTGTGTTAAATGTAGTAGCCAGTGCAATAAAGTAAGAAAAAGAAATAAAATACATTAAAATGGGAAGGGAAGTTAAACTATCTTTATCAGCATACAACATCATAGAAAACCCTAAGTTATATACAAAAAAATTAAGCCTAGGATTAATAAAGGAGTTCAATAAGGCTTATATACAAAAGTCATTTTATTTCCATATACTAGCAACAAATAATTGCAAATTTAAATAAAGATAATAGCATTCCTTAATAGGAAATAACCCAAGACAAGATTAATAAAACACCTGTAAGACCTATACATTAAAAACTATAAAATATTGCTGAGAAGCAAGTAATGAAGACATAATCAGAAAATTATACTATATTTATTAAAATGTTAACTCTCTCCAAATTGATTCATATATTCAACACAATTCCAGACAAAATCCCAGAAGGCTTTTTTATTTAGAAATTGACAGGCTGGTTGTAAAATTTATATGAAAAAAATATGGGACCTCGAATACCCAACAAACTTCACAAAAGAAGAATACAATCAGGTGATTGATATGGCATGATTTTAAGATTTGCTATAAAGCTACAATGGTCATGATAGTGTGTTATTTTTATGAGAAGAGATATATAGAACAATGGAACATATTAATGATTGTTCAAAAATATATCAAAACTATTCAGTGGGGAAAAATTCTATTCAACAAAAGAGAGAGAAATAGATAAATATCCACAAGAAAATGAATATTTTCATAAACAAAAATAAACTCAAAATGGATTTACACTTAAACATGGCAGCTAAATTTAAAAATGTTCTAGAAGAAAACTTTAAGACCTTGAAATAAGCAAAAATTTATTAGAAGAAACACAAAACACATGAACTGTAAAAAAAGTTATTAATAAATTAGACTTCATTATAATTAAAATCTTTAGCTCTTCAAAAGACACCACTGAGACAATGAAAAGGCAAACCATACTCAGGAGAAACTATGCTAAATATATATATTTTGACAAAGAATTTATGTCCAGAATATGTGAAGAACTCTTAAAAACAAGAAAGCAAACAGCTCAGTTTTTAAAATAGGCAAAAAAATTAAGCAGACACTACTAAAGAAGATAAACAAATGGCAAATAAGCACATGAAAAATATGTTCAACATTACTAGTTGTAACTTAAAACTACAATGGACCCTACACCATACCCCTTAGAATGCCAAAATTAAAATGGCAGACTCTGCCAAGTATTGGTGAATTCTAATATGAATTTTAATATGCTGTGCATGAAAATATAAAATGACACGAATATATTTTTTTTTTTTTTTTTGAGACAGAGTCTCACTCTGTCACCCAGGCTGGGATACAGTGGCGTGATCTCGGCTCACTACCACCTCCGCTCCCAGGTTCAAGCAATTCTCCTGCCTCAGCTTCCCGGGTAGCTGGGACTACAGGCACGTGCCACCACGCCTGGCTAATTTTTTGTATTTTTAGTAGAGACGGGGTTTCACCATGTTAGCCAGGATGACCTCTATATCTGGACCTCGTGATCCGCCCGCCTTGATAGTTTGATATAAATTTAAAAGTACTGTTACTATATGACCCAGAAATTCTCTTTCTTGTTATTTACTTAAGTGAAAGGAAGAGATGTCCACACAAAAACATTTACAGAAATGATCATAGCAAATTTATCCATAATAGCTCCAAGCTGGAGTCAATCCAAATGTTCATCAATAAGTGTGTGGATAAATAATGTTACAGCCATACAATGAAATGCTACTCAGCAATAAAAAGGAATAAATAACTAAGACATTCATCAATGTAGGTAAATGTTAAAAATCATTTTGCTGAGCACAGAAAAATTAATACAAAGTGTTCATAACCTAAGCTTTGTTCTCAAGGAGCTTGCATTCCACTAGGGAAGATCAACGTGTAAACCAATGGAATAATTGTCCAAACCAGTGAGCCCTGAAACTGAGATTTCCCGTTTGGGGAACATATGTGCGAAAGCTATTCATTTGACATGGCATTAACTTGGATGTTAAAGAATAGGGAAATTTCTAAGTAGACAGCAGCATGTTTACATGTCAGGCATCTTTAACCAGGCCTGACCCCTGTCTCCTCCTCCACATCCCTTCACACTCTTGTTTCCATTTCTCACAATGCTGCAGGCATCCAAGATGCCAAGATCTTTCCCACTTCCAGGCCCTCATACCTTCTGCTCATTCACTATTCAACAAGCATGTAACAAGAGCTTACCATGAACGGGGTGCCTTTATCTTCATCTGAAATTGAACAGTCAGCCAAGTTCCTGTCTCATGAAGCTCATGTTCTGGTGGAGAGAGACAGAGAAAAATAAATGAGTAAAGAAGTGAGTAAAGAAATAAGCGAGCTAATTTCAGATAGCCGTAAATGCTACAAAGAAAATTAAAACAGAGTAGGTTAGAGCTCCATTGTCCAATATGGTAAGCATTAGCTTCATGTGGCCATCAAGCACTGGAAAAGTGTCCAATTAGGATTGAGATGTGCTGCTGTGTAAAATATACACCAGATTTCCAAGGCTCAGTATGAACAAAAATGTAAAATATTTTATTAATAATTTTCATATTGATTACATGTTGAAATAATAACATTTCTGATATATTAGGTTAGATAAAATATATTATTAAAAATTAATTTCAGCTTTTTTTTTTTTTTCCTTTTTTAACGGGCCTACTAGGAAATTTTGAATTGCCTATGTGGCTCATATTATATTTCAACTAAAGAGCACTGTTCTGGAAGGGTGGTTAGGAAAGATTATTCTGTTCCCTGTCTTGGCCATGTGTTCCCCTGGGCTGCTTCTGGCTAGCTCCTACCTACCCTTTAGATTTCATGCCCAGAGGAGTAATTAATTCATTTTGTCTCTTTTCCACCATCAGCAAGCTGTGTAGACACAGGGACTGTGGCAGGGTAGGCTGGCTGACTGACAATTCAGTGTGCTTGGAAGTTAGGGCATGAAAAAAGATTGATGTCCAAGGCCAAACAGATGTGAAACTGTCTAAATAAAATGGGGAGATGCTGTGGGGTCTTATGCAGGGTGTGAACCCACCAAGGCACTATCATACAACGACGCTGTGCACAGTCATCATTAGGGTAGAGATAAAATAGTTGATGCAAGACCCTGTAGGCTCTGATGGATCCTGTTGGGTACTTCCAGGTTCTTCCTGCAGTTACTGTACATCATTGCTTGGAAAATAAATGCCAGTCAGAGAATTTACCCCCAGAGTTCCAAAGTGTTTAGACTGTATCCTAGAATCTGCTTTGTACTCACGTATTATTAATGTTGCATTGTCTAGAAGAAAATAGTAGTGGCTAGAATATTCTGTGTATCCTCTGTATTTTTCTAAATGTTTGAAGTATTCCAGAATAAAAGTGATAAAAATACATATAATCTATATTAGATTATATCTATATTATATATGGATATTAGATATAGATATCAACTATATCTATATTAGATATAGATAGAAAACTATGAAAGGTCTCTCAGAATAACAATTCTGCCATGAGTGAGATGATCACACCATATTATCATAAGCTCTTCCACTTGATGCATTAGGTCCTCATTGATTTTTCATGCACACTTTTCCTGGGGCTGCTTGCAAATGTAGAACTAATACAATAGTCCTTAAAATATGTAAAATTATGTTCAGGTGCCATGCTCCTGCTATCACTCCCAACACTGGTGCACTTGAATCAATTATCTGTTATTCTTTTATGTTCATCTCTCCAACTGGGAAACATCTGTATCCCAATCACTCATGGGTTGACCCATTTTCTGATCAAATTTGTCTTACTTATGGCACCATTAAGTAGAAAAAAAATCAACATCAAGCGTTTCACTTCCTCGCAATCTCCCACTCACTTATTACAGGGTCTTTATACTGAACGTCAGAAAATGCATACCCCACAAGTACAGGTTCTTTATTGTACACGGGACTTTCCAGAGTGACATGATTGCATGGCTTTTTACTATCAGTTTAAAATGTTTCACTCCCAGTGTCAAACACAGGAATGGAGTTTGGAAGTTACGTCACCAAAGTAAGAATGTTAGCCCATTCCTACCCTTTCTAGACTAATAATCTGCTGCTTGTCTTCATCTAGCCAAGGAAAACTGACATACACAGTAATTAAAATTGTATTATTTCCCATCCCCATGCCTTTGCAGACACTTTAACCTCCAACAGGAAAATTATATCTGCCCATACATATACCTGAAAAATCCTATTCAATCTGCCAGCTCAGCTTAAATGTCATGTGTCCTCTGAGAATTCATCCTTTAACAAGAGAAATAGTTAGTCCCGACTGTGTGTTCATAAAGTGCTTGGTTTTCAAATCTGGTTCATTGCTGTCAAATTTCAAGAGAACGTGGCTCATGTAGCCAGAACTGGAGAGCAGATTGCACAGATTCAAACCCTGGCTTATCATACTCTAGCCTGGAGAACTCTGTTAATTATCTAACTGTTCTCTGTGTTTCAGCAACTGAAAATGGGTACAGTGGTCCAAGCCTGCCTAGGTCATTACGGAGACTACATTGGCTAATAGTTTAATATTTTTTAAATGCTTACAATAGGATCTGGCATACAGCATTTATTAAACTTAAAATAAAAAAAACAAGTTTACTTGCCTCTATCCAGCCCTACCCTAGGAGACGTTTAATTGTAGGAGACAGATCATCCACATTTCTGTCTCCTGCATACCTAGCACTGGGTCAGAAACACAGCTGATGCTCAAGTTTTAAAACACAAAACAGCACAACATACTGCAGAGTCATTTTCTATAGTGACTCCCACATGCCCCAAATCAAGGGGATATATTGCTATTTTCAAAAAGCACGTGGACATTGGCGCTTACCTTCTCTCATCCTGCACTTTGACCCTGAGACCACCACATGAGTGAGTCTGAGCTAGCCTGCTGGAGAATGAAAGGTCATAGTGGGAGAACCAGGGTGCGGCTAGCCCTTAGCCAACAGCCTACCAACCACCATGTGAAAAAGCTAGCCTAGATCACCAAGCCAGCAGCCAGTCAGCCAGCTTTCCAGAGGGTCAGGAGATAGACCAGCACGCTGTCCCAGACAGAAGCCATGCAGCTGCCACACAGAATTGTGAATTACATAGAATGGGTATTTTTTTAAACCACTAAATTTTGGATTGGTTTTATTACACACAAAATATGTTAGATGTTAAAGCAAACTAAATACGTCCTGAGAAGGATTCCTAAGAGATGTTAAAGCAAACTAAATATGGCCTGAGAAGGATTCTATTCTTCTATATTTGAGTCCTTGTGGACAAACTGCAACCTAACTTAGTGAGTAGACAAGATTGAAATCCTGACTTAGGTGTATGCTCCAGTAACAGTGGCGGAGTCTTGTCCAATCCCAGCATCCATACTTCAACCAGGTATATGCTGCTGAGTGTTCAAACTGTTCAAATAAGGCAAACGCCATCCTGTAACCTATCCAGCTCTTTCTGTACCTCATCTCCAATTTCTGTACATCACTTCCCTTTTTTTTGCCTATAAATTTGTTCTGACCACAGGCATCCCTGGAGCCTCTTTGAAACCGCTGTGATTGCCGATTCACGGATCGTTCATTGCTCAAACTCCTTTTAATTTAATTCAGCTGAAGTTGTTTTGTTACCAGAGATATAAGCATGAACCTTTTCTTCTCACTCAAAACTTAGGTAACTAGAACAGTAACTAGGACATAAGAAGCATTCAGTAAATATTTGTATCAAAGGCAGCATAGCTTGGTAGTTAAAGGTAATTCTTTTTTTTTTTTTTTCTTTGAGACAGAGTCTTGCTCTTTCGCCAGGCTGGAGGACAGTGGCATGATCTCGGCTCAGTGCAACCTCCACCTTCCGGTTTCAAGCGATTCTCCTGACTCAGCCTCCTGAGTAGCTGAAACTACAGGCGCATACCACCACGCCCAGCTAATTTTTGTATTTTTAGTAGAGACAGGGTTTCAACATGTCGGCCAGGAGGTACTTGATCTCTTGACCTCACGATCCACCAGCCTCAGCCTCCCAAAGCACTGGGATAACAAGCGTGAGCCACCATGCCCAGCCTTTTTTTTAGACAGTGTCACTCTGTTGCCCAGGCTGAAATGCAGTAGTGCAATCAGGGTTCACCCCAGCCTCAACTTCCCAAGCTCAAGCAGTTTTCCAGCCTCAGCCTCCAGAGTAGCTGTGACTACAGGTGTGTACCACCACATCCAGGTTTTTTTTTTTTTTTTTTATGTTTTGTAGAGACATGGTCTAATCAGGTTGCCTAGGCTGGTATTGAACTCCTGGGCTTGAGTGATCCTCCTGTCTTGGCCTCATGGGATTATAGGTGTGAGCCACAGCACCTTTTCTTAAGAGACTTCTTGTCTGTGAAACTCTACCGCAGTTTCTTCATCTGCTACTAATAATTACCATCTCATAAGATTTTTTTTAGAATTAAATGAGTTATTAGTTAATATATACAGAGTATTTTGAGCAATGTCTCACACATAAGTACTCAGTATTATTTCTACTTTGATTAGGATGATACTTACATTTTTATTACAAGGCAATTTATTTTGAAGTTGGTGATATAAATAAAAATCACAGCCAACATTATAAATATCATTTATTTCACATTTATTATGTGCCAGGCTCTATCCTAAACCCTTTTTTGTCCTAAACTTTTGTCCTGCATGTTTTTATTTACTTATCATAATTATAATGCTCTTCCAAGATATTTCTTCCTTTTTGGAATTTAAACTGCTGGGGAAAAAAATGTACAAATTCTATTTATTATTATTAAGAACTGGGAAGCACATTTTATTGTCTGTATTGCCTATAGTTCACCTTTATATAATAGACAGAAAGATAATAGAATAACTCCTTCTTGGTTTAGAAAATTCATTTCAGCTTTTTCTACCAATAAATGACCTAGTGACAGATCTACAGTATTTTGTTCCTGGCATATTTGAGTTCCAGCTATTGTACAACATACTCTAGTTGTTAATTGGTGGCTTATTTGGAACACACAATTCTAGAAATAAACTATTGTTCCTTTTTGTCCAGAGCATGCTAATCCCTGACCTGACATTTCTGGTCTATGCCTAGGGAGGTAAGCTGGGAATTCGGAAGTGTGTTTTTTTATGTATAACGTGTAAAGCTGAGACCTGAGTAACTTAACAATAATGATACTACAGGCATTACGCTCCCTATGCAGATTTATGCAAATTGCTGTAAATTTCCAAGGACCCCTAGGCCATGGCCTCAAAGCATTCCTGCTGTGGGCAAGCAAGGTTTTGAATAATAATGGAAAATGTGACTGCATTACACAATGTCAGCCCAGTAAAGGTGACTTCTTAAAACCACCCTCTCCCAGGTATTTCCTGCCAGGCAGTCACATTTGATGTCATCCAAGCCTAACAGCATATCTCCAAGGAAGGTATTATTTCCTTTTTTTAAATTATGGGAAGTGAGGCCCAGAGGAGTAAGTGCCTTGACCAAGGCCACACAGCTGGAAAACAAAGTTGCCCTCTCTCCCTTGAGTGTGAATTTCTCCAAGCCAACTTGATCTTCATTTCAATCTCTATCCATAGTACCCAGTGAAGTGTTCTTGCTACAATAGAAATTTGTTAATTAATTCATTCAATAAATATGTATTATCTATCACATGCCAGATAAATCACAATTTATGAAAAAAATCCAACACACAAACACATTCGTATCTAAGAACTCGTATTACAATGTTATTTTTAATAATGAAAAAGAAAACTGTCTAACTGTGCAACAATAGAGAATTTGTGAAATATACCATAAAATATTCACAGCCTGGAATATCTTATAGCCATTTTTATAGAAGATCTAATGATGTAAACTAGGGGTCAGCACTTTCAGCCTGCCACTTGTTTCTTAGATAAAGTTTTATTGGAACACAGCCATGATCACTCATTTATGGCTGCTTTTCATTGCAATGGCGGGATTGAGGATTCGGGACACACACCAAATAGCCCACAAAGCTTGAAATATTTATTATCTTACCTTTTACCGAAAAAGTTTGCCAACCCCTGGTATAGAGAAATGTTCATAAAATGATAGGTGTAAAGGGCAGAACATTAAAAAAAAAACCCAACATGCTTACAGATATTATGACTGCAATTTCCTTCCAGCTAGTTTCGATCAGCCGCTTATGTTATTCCATTTGATGATGGCTGATGAGTGTCACTGCTTCCTGTGCTTCAGTCACTGCCCTGCCTACCTCCTGTGCACTGACAACCCAGGGGTGCATCAGGTAACCCTACCTTCAAGAAGTTCACAGTTTAGGCAACTGGTATAAAATATTACTGGAGAGAAAATAGAACTTATTTATACCAATTTCTTTGAAAAGAAAGCAGAAACTAGAAAATTACGAAGAGTACACTTTATCATGAAGAACTATAAAAATGAATTCTAATGATAGAACTATAAGGAGAAATTATAAAATCCAAATTTTATATTATGTGCTCTATCAAAAAAAGATGAAAAATAAATGATTAGAACAAAATACACTCTGTTTAAATGTGTGTGTATGTATCTATTTATCTATCTATAGTGTATACATACACACAAATAAATAATTCTATATGTAGAATGAGAAAATATCTATTATTTTTCATGGTATATGGAACTCTAATATGTGTTAGGTTCCAAAGTGTATTACATACAACACATTTCAAAGAATCAATATAACACAGCCCAAGTTCTCTGATTACAATGCAATTAAAATTTTAAATCAACAATAAAAGTATCATCAATGCTCCTTTCCTTTAATATGCTTGGAAATATAATGGGCCAAAAGTGGAATCAAAATTAATTTTTGAAAATTATGTAAATTTAGAATAAATTAGAAATCAGTATACTGTATATCACAACTTTTGTGAAAAGCTAAATTAATATTTAAGACAAATGCATAGCTTTACTGAATTTATTTTAATAAGAATTTAAAATAAATTGATATGATTGAAAATTTGTAAACAACTTGTTAACATTAATGCAAGAATTAAGCAAGTTTGTTTTAACAAGATTAATATTCAAGAAAGTTGTTTCTTATTTACCAATAATAGCCAATTACTAAAAAAACTAACAAAAACATTATATTAACAATAGCAACACTTCTGTAAGATACAGTAATAATCTATCAAAAGATGTGTCACATATGAAAATAATTACAAAAGTGCCATTGAAGTGAGAGACAGGACTAGCTGGATTTCCTAGGCCAACTAAGAATCCCTAAGCCTAGCCGGGAGGGTGACCGCATCCACCGTTAAACACAGGGCTTGCAACTTAGCTCACACCCGACCAGTCAGTTAGTAAAGAGAGCTCACTAAAATGCTAATTAGGCTAAAACAGGAGGTAAAGAAGTAGCCAATCATCTATCACCTGAGAGCACAGTGGGAGGGACAATGATTGGGATATAAACCCAGGCATTCAAGCCGGCAACAGCTACCTGCTTTGGGTGCCCTCCCTTTGAATGGGAGCTCTGTTTTCACTCTATTAAATCTTGCCACTGCACTCTTCTGTTCCGTATTTGTTATGGCTCGAGCTGAGCTTTCACTGGCTGTCCACCACTGCTGTTTGCTGCCATCTCAGACTCACTGCTGACTTCCATCCTTCCAGATCCAGCAGGGTATCTGCTGTGCTCCTGATCCAGTGAGGTGCCCATTGCTGCTCCCAATTGGGCTAAAGGCTTGCCATTGTTGCTGCACGGCTAAGTGCCTGGGTTCGTCCTAATCAAGCTGAACACTAGTCACTGGGTTCCATGGTTCTCTTCCATGATCCATGGCTTCTAATAGAGCTATAACACTCACTGCATGGCCCAAGATTCCATTCTTTGGAATCCGTGAGGCCAAGAACCCCAGGTCAGAGAACACGAGGCTTGCCACCATCTTGGAAGCGGCCAGCCGCCATTTTGGAAGTGGCCTGCCACCATCTTGGGAGCTCTGGGAGCAAGGAACCCCCCTCCCCCTGGGGAACCGAATTACTTAAAAGGAGACCTACATGAAATATAGTCAGGATTTTTAGAGGAACTAATATCATAAAGATACAAATTTTCCCCAAAATTATTATATTGCAGTTACAATCCAACTGTTTGGCTTGTCAGAAAACTTGCCTTGATGTGTTACAAACTTCTCGTAACTAAAACCATGAGGTCAATGCAGGCGATAGAAAATTGACTGAAAACTGAAGCCCAAAAATTGACCTGTGGAAGTATGGAGGACCCGAACTGGCCCAAGGGTGGCACTAAATTGTAGTGAGGGGGGAAAAGGATCACACAATAAAGTGTAAAGAACAATTGCTTCTCCATATGGAAAATAAAATGCACATACCTACCTTATAGTATGCTCAAGAAATAAATTTCAGACATAATAAATATCTAAATCTAAAAAGGAAAAACTCTGAAATTGTGGGAGAATGTATAAGAAAATATCTTTGTGATATACGGGCAGTGAAGAATTTCTTGAAAAAAAATCTAACAAGAAGCCTTACATAGTAAGAAATTAAACCTAATGGAATTGACTGAAAAAATTAACTCTATGTAAGCATTTCTGCATAACAAGAAACTTTCAACTATAAGAAAAGACAGGCCAGATTGAGAAAATATGTTTATAAAGCATAGAACTGAATAGAAAAGGTATCTAGAATACATAATAAACTACCACAAATGTAGAAAATTAAAAAGAAAGAAAAGGAAATAAATTTCTGAAAAATGTTGGCTAAAATCTGAAAAGGAAAGTCACAAGAAGCTATTATAATGATTAATATACAGAGAAATTGTGTTCCACCTTAATCATCTGAGGTATGCAAATAAAAACAACAATAAGACACCATTTCATTTCACACTCATCAGACTGTCAAACACACAAGTGTCTAATGATACTTAGTTACGGTGAATATCTGAAGAAACAAGAACTGTATGCTGTTGGTGAGATGCAAAGTTGTTTTGACAAATTTGAAGAACAATTTGGCACCGTCTAGGAAAGCTGAACATATCAATGACCTTCAAGTTAGAAATTTCACTTCTAGCCATATACCTAAAAGAAACTGAACTATGTATTAAAAAAAAAAGTAAATATAGAAGTTGCAAAATGTTCATCTCAGCATTTCCTGTAAGAAACACTGGAAAGCTAAATATCCATTGTATGAAAATTGGATTTAAGATGTTTATAGTCCTTCAATGAGAACACTAGACAGCAATAAAAAAATAACTGGAACTAACATGTCACCATGAGTGATTTTCAAAAGCATTTTGTGTGTGCATGTGTAAAAAGCAAGTTTCAGGATCTGCTGTGGTAATGAAGGAGTAAGATTCTTTTGAGCAGATGACCCCACAGCAAACAACTATAGAATAGGCATGTGATAGTACAAACAGTTGTTTGAAGTCACTGGATAGTGTGCAGAAGTAGATGAACTCTGGCAGGGAGTCCATGCACAGAGAAGAGGAAGGAATAAAGTCAGTCCCCATTTTCATGGCTTTTAGCCTAAGACAAGTCAGCAAAACATTTGATATAGCAAGGAAGGCCAGTGGGAAAACCACAATGTTTCTGGTTTGGAGAACCAGAAAACTATATATAAGGAATCTATGGCTACTGAAGACAGCTGAAGAATTCTAGAAAGTAAAGAGCCTAGGGTGGATCCTTAAATTCTGCCTCCCTGTATCTCTGACAACGACTCACACTTGGATCACCCAAGCACACAGACTTAAAGCACTCCAGCTAAAGACAAAATATGTGAAGAGACGAGATGCCACCCAAGAAACGGAGTTTGCAGTTCAAGTCCATCCAATATAATTGCCTACTAAAACAAAGGGACATCATTCACCAGAGAAAAGTGACAGAATAAAGAATCTCCACAAATTAGTATCCACAATGTCTCGGTTACAGTCCAAAACTGTAACCAGATACAGCCGGGCACAGTGAGTGGTTCATGTCTGTAATCCCAGCATTTTGGGAGGCTGAGGCAGGCGGACAGCTAGAGCTCAGGAGTTTCAGACCAGCCTAAGCTACATAGTGAGACCCTGTCTCTACGAAACATCAAAAATTAACCAGATGTGGTGGCACATGCCTGTAGTCCCAGCTACTCAGGAGGCTGAGGTGGGAGGATTGCTTGAAACCAGAAGTTCAAGGCTACAGTGAGCCGTGATGGTGCCACTGCACTCCAGTCTGGGCAACAGAGTGATACCCTGCCTCAAAAAAATAAATAAATAAAATACCAGACACATAGAGAACCAAGAATACAAAACACATGCAAAGGAGAAAAGAAAATAAACTGAGACCAACCCTAAGATGATCCTGATATGGAAAACAAAAGACCAAGATTTTTAAGTGGCTGTTATAATTAACAATTAATTAATTTTGTAAATAGACTTGCACTAAATAATAAGATAGGAAGCTTCAGATGAGAAACAGAACAAGGCCTAAAGAAAAAATCATAGTAACAGAGACAACAAAGGAAAGATTATGTAAACATGAAATAAATTGATAGAAATTATCTGAAGAAACAAAGAGAAAAAGAAGTGTGAAGACCAGCAAAGCCTCAGGGAGCTGCTCAATAATACCAAGAGTTCCAACATATGTGTAATTGGAGGTCCAGAGGGACAGGAAAGAAAGGCCAAAAATAATATTTGAAAAAGAAAGGCTGAAAATGTTCCAAACATGATGACAGAGAGAAGTTTACAGATACAAGATACTGATAAACATCAGTCAAAATAAATATGAAGGAACATCGTAGTTAAACTGTTGAAAGCCAAAGGTGTAGTCAAATATGGAAAACATTGAGAGAAAAACAAATATGTATGAAAGTAAAGAGTAAATGAATAAATATCAGAAGCTACAGAGGTCAGAAGACTGTGGAAGATTTTATATTAGTGAAAAAATGAAAACCAAAGCTCTCCACCCAGAATTATATGCAGCAAAAATATTCTCTAAGAATAAAAGTAAAATAAATATATTTTCAGATTAAAGAAAACTAAGAGAGTACCACCCAAAAAGCTGCACTGCAAGAAATGCTTCCTTTCTGGCTGAAGGAAGAAAGCTCAGATCTTCAAAATTTAAAAAAAAAAAAAAAAAAAAAAGGGCATTTCATCACAGCACACTGCAGCCTTGACCTCCTGGTTTCAAGCAATCCTCCCACCCCAGCCTCCCAAGTAGCTGGGACTGCAGGCATATGCCACCACACCTGTCTAATTTTTTGATGTTTTGTAGAGACAAGGTCTCACTATGTAGCCTAGGCTGGTCTCAAACTCCTGAGCTCAAAAGGGCATTTCTATGCCCTTTTTTTTTTTAATTTTGAAGATCTGAGCTGTCTTCCTCAGACATCTTTCTAAATCCAAAAGACTATATTTTTTGTTTCATTCTTGCTAATTTTTTATGATACATGTAAATATTAAAAACAACATATGTAATGTTTCTGGTAAGTTTTAAAATGTATGTAGATGTTACACATACAATGACTATAGCATAAAGCACAGGATGGGAGATATGAACTAGTGCAGTTTCAAGTTTTACTATTTTACATGAAGTGGGATACTGTTAACCATATATAAAATGTGAAGATGCAAACTGGTATATTATAATTTTTACAGCAACCACTAAAAACATAACGTAATTAATGGTAGCAAAAAAGCCAACATAACCGTTAAAGAGGGAATTCTAAAACATGTTCACATTATTTTTTAAAGGCAGAGGAGGAATAGATGATCCAAAACCAGAAAAGACAAGTACAACATAAATTAAAATGTAGATCCAAACCCAATCATATAAATAATTATATTAAGTGTTACGAGATTAAGCACTCCCATTAGAAAGAAGATACAGGCATATCTCATTTTATTGTGCTTTGCTTTATTGCACTTCACAGATACTGTGTTTTTACAAGCTGAACTATTGTGGCAACACTGAATTCAGCAAGTTTTTTGGCACGATTTTTCCCAAAACAGGTGCTCACTCTGTATCTCTGTGTGACATTTTGGCAATTCTAGCAATATTTCAAACTTTTTCATTATTACCACATCTGCTATGGTGACCTGGGGCCAGTGATCTTTGATGTTACTGTTGTAATTGTTTTGGAGCACCACAAACTACCCATTAAAAGGGTGAACTTAATCAATAAATGTGTGTGTTCTGACTGCTCCACTGACCAGCCATGTTCCCCTCTCTCTCTCAATCCTTCAGGCTTTCTGTTACTTGGGACACAACAATATTGAAATTAGGCCAGATAGTAACCATATGATGGCCCATAGGTGTTCAAGTGAAAGACAAAGTCACGTTATCTCTCACTTTAATTCAAAAGCCAGAAATGATTAAGCTTAGTGAGGAAGGCATGTCAAAAGCTAGGTATCTTGCACCAAATAGTTAGCCAAGTTGTGAATATAAATGAAAAGTTCTTGAAGGAAGTTAAAGATGATATTCCAACCAAGACACAAATAATAAGAAAGTGAAACAGACTTATTGCTTATGTGGATAAAATTTTAGTAGTCTACATAGAAGATCAAACCCATCATAATATTTTCTTAATCCAAATTCTAATCCATAGCAAGGACCTAACTCCTTTCAATTTTATGAAGGCTGAAAGAGATGAAGCTGCAGATGAAAAGCTGGAAGCTAGCAGAGATTGGTTCATGAGGTTTAAGGAAAGAAGCCATCTCCATAACATGAAAAAACAAGCTGTAGCAGCAAGTGCTGATGTAGAAGCTGCAACAAGTTACCCAGATCTACTTAAGATTATTGACACATTAAACAACAGATTGTCACTGTAGATGAAGCAGCCTTATATTGGAAGAAGATGCCATCTAGGACTTTCATTGTTAGAGAGGAGAATACCATGCCTCGCTTCAAAACTTCAAAGAACAGGCTGATTATTGTTAGGGTCTACTGCAGCTGGTGACTTTAAGTTGAAGCCAATGCTCATTTACTATTCCAAGAACTCTAGGGCTCTTAAGAATTATGCTAAATCTACTGTGCCTGTGCTCTACAAATGGAACAACAAAGTCCAGATGATGGCGTATCTGTTTACAACATAGTTTAGTGAATATTTTGAGCCCATTATTGAGACCTACTGCTCAGAAAAAAAAAATCAAAAATGTATTGCTCATTGACATTACATCTAGTGACTAAGAGCTCTCTAATGGAGATGTACAAGGAGGTGAATCTTGTTTTCATGCCTGCTAACACGTCCAATCTGCAGCCCATGGATCAAGGAAAAATTTTGACTTTCAAGTCTTATTGTTTAAGAAATACATTTCATAAAGCTATAGCTGCCATAGGTAGTGGTTCTCCTGATGGGTCAGGGCAAAATAAATTGAATCCTCTGGAATGCATTCACCATTCTAGATACTATTAAGAACATTCATGATTCATAAGATGAGGTTAAAATGTCAACATAAACGGGAGCTTGAAAGAAGTTAATTTCGACCCTCATGGATGCCTTTCAGGGATTCAAAACTTCAACAGAAGAAGTAACTGCAGATATGATTGAAAGAGCAAGACAACTAGAAGTAGAAGTGGAACCTGAAGATGTGACTGAATTGCTGAAATCTTATGATAAAACTTGAATGAATGAGGACTCGCTTCTTATGGATAAGCAAAGGAAGTGGTTTCTTGGGAAGGAATCTACTGCTGGTGAAGATGCTGTGAGTGTTATTGAAATGACAACAAAGCATTTAGAATTTTACCTTAACTTAGTTGATAAAGCAGTGATAGGGTTTGAGAGGATTCACTTCAATTTTGAAAGAAGTTCTACTGTGGGTAAAATGCTATCAAATAGCCTTGCATGCTACAAGGAAATTTTTTTAAAAGGAAGAGCCTATCAACATGGCAAACTTCCCTGTTTTCACTGTTGTCTTTTTGTTTTGTTTTGTTTTGTTTTTAGACGGGATCTTGCTCTGTCACCCATGCTGGAGTGCAGTGGTGTGATCATGGCTTATTGCAACCTCTGCTTCCAGGCTCAAGAGATCCTCCAACCTCAGCCTCCTGAGTAGCTTGGTCTACAAGCATGCACCACCACAGTCAGCTAATGTTTTGTAATTTCTGTAGAGATGGGGTTTTGTCATGTTGCCCAGGCTGATCTCAAACTCCTGGGACTCAGGCAATCCACCTGTCTTGGCCTCTCAAAGTGCTGGGACATTGTTGTTTTATTCTGAGAAATTGCTACAGCCACCCCCACTTTCAGCAATCAGCATTGTGATCAGGCAGCAGCCATGAATATCAAGGAAAGACCCTCTACCAGCAAGAAGATTATGACTCACTGAAGACTCAGATGATTGTTAACATCCTTTAATAATGATTTTAAAATTAAGGTGTATACATTTTTTTAGATATTATTGCACACTTAGATTACAGTATAGTGTGAACATAACTTTTATATGCTTTGGAAAACCAAAAAGATTATGTGATTTGCTTTATTGTAATATTTGCTTTGATGCAGTGGTCCAAAACCAAACTGGCAATATACCTGAGGTATTGTGCCAGCACGTATAATGGAAAAGCACTTAAAAATGAAAAGAAATACACACAGATAAATCTCTAATAATTACAATGATGAAAAGAAGTCAGACTAAAGAATCATATACAGTTTAATTCCATGTATTCAGGAAAAAGTATCTAGTACATGTAAAGTAATATATAACAAGAGAAGCCAGATCAGTGGTTGCCTAGGGATGAGGGAGAGGATCTGGCAAGAGGGATTACAAAATAATATAATAAAACTTTTTGGAATGATGGATGTGTTCAGTATCTTGATTGTGGTGGTAACTTTACTGAAGTATGCACATTTCAAAAATTTTCAAATTGTATATATTAAACATATAGAATGCATAATACATTAATTATACCTCAATAAAGCAATTAAAATATAAGTAACAATAAGATAACTAAGGAAAATAGAAATATTTAGAAATTGCATATGACATTTCTAAAGAATCCATAGTCAGAAAACACAAAAAATGAGCAAATATTTTTAACTAAATGTTAGTGGAAATAAAATATCTCAAAATTTGTGAGATATAGATAAAGTCATACATACAGGAAATTTGGTGCCAATATATATTACATTTCAAAGGAGACCCATAGTCAACTATCTGAGATTCAACTTTCAAGGCATGGTAAAGAAAAGTAAATGTAAAATAAGAATAAGCAAGGAAAGAATGATAAAGGCAGAAATAAATGATATAAAATTTTAAACTAATATTTGATTCTTTCAAGAACAAATCACATACATAAGCCTCTACATAGACTGAGAAAGAAAAAAAGAAATAAGACATAAATTCCTAATACTAAGGATAAAAGGATGGGCAGCACTGAGGATTCGATCAACCTTAAAAGGAAATTATGGACAACATTTCGCGTATAAATTTTTTTTTTTTTTTTTTTTTTTTTTTTTTTGAGCCGGAGTCTTGCTCTGTCGCCCAGGCTGGAGTGCAGTGGTGCGATCTCGGCTCACTGCAAGCTCCGCCTCCTGGGTTCAGGCCATTCTCCTGCCTCAGCCTCCCGATGAGCTGGGACTACAGGCTCCTGCCACCACGCCCGGCTAATTTTTTGTATTTTTTGGAGAGACGGGGTTTCATAGTCTTAGCCAGGATGGTCTCTATCTCCTGACCTCATGATCCGCCCACCTCGGCCTCCCAAAGTGCTGGGATTACAGGCGTGAGCCACCCCACCCAGCCTTGCCTATAAATTTTAAAACCTAAATAAAATGGGCAAATTCCTTGATAAACGGAAGTAACCAAAATTCACCCAATAGGAAATAGAAAACTCAGTAGGCCTATATAAATGAAATCGTTGAGTAAAATTCTTTTCACAAATGAAATTTCATGGCCAGATTGCTTGATTGGTGAATTCAATCAAATATATATGAGATAAATAATATCAACCATACACAAACTCATTCAGAATATATAGAGAAGAGAATCCTTTACAACTCATCTTACAAATCTGAGATTACTAAATCAAAAGCAGATAAAAACATCACAAGAAGAGAAATTATAGATAAGTATTCATTCCTCTTGAATCTGGATGCAAAATCCTTTACAAAATTTTAGCAAATTAAATCAAACAGTATGTAAAATCAGTGATATTTTATGACTCAGTGGATTTTACCTCAATAATGCTAGGTTGTTTTAACATCTGAAAAGTAATCAATGTAATGTACTAAATAAAAGAATATAAAAGGGAAAAACTTGTGACAATGTAATAGATAAAGATAGTCTTTGAAAAAATTCAAAATACATGCATGATTTTTTTTAAAAAAACCCTCACCAAACTAGTAATTGAATGAGACTCCCTTAGCCTAATTGAGGACATCTACAAAAGTTTTATGACTAACATCATTCACAATGGTAAAAGACTCAATACTTTCTGCCAAAGACCAGAAAAAAGACAGGGAGGTCTTCTCTCTTTACCTCTGTTCAGCACTGCATTGGAAGTCCTAGATGGCATCATAAGGCAATAAAAAGAAAAAATAAAAGGCATATAAATTGAACAGTATCTCAGTCCATTTTGCGCTGCTATAACAATATACTATAGATCAGGTAATTTATAATAAACAGAAATTTAGTTCTCACAATTTCTGGAAGCTGGGAAATCTAAGATCTATGGGTTGTGTCTGATGAAGACCTTCTTGCTACATCATAATATAGTGAAAGAGCAAAGACGGGGGAGCGAGAGACAGAGAGCACACAAGAAGACAGGAAACCCATCTTTATATATAAACCCACTCCCAGGATAATGACATTAATCCATTCAACAGGGTAGTGACCTCATGACCTAAACACCTCTTAAACGACCCACCTCCCAACACCTCCACATGGGGAATCAAGTTTCCAACACATGAACTTTGGAGGGACACATTCAAACCATAGCAAAAGGGATAAAATGAAAACTTCTTCATTTGTCGATAATATAGCCTTGTACCCAAAATCAAGCCATGAAAGAAAAAACTGATAGAAAGGACTTAAGAAAATCCTTAAAAATCTACAAAATAAATAAAACACTAGAAGCAATAAGTGAAGTGAGTAGCATGACAGAATAAATGGTCAATATAAACATCAATATAATCCATTTCTACATACGAGGAATAAACAATGAATACATACTAGGAATAAAACACCGAGAACTACAAAATTTCACAAAGAGAAATTAAAGATGACTCAAGTAAATACAAAGATATTCAGTGCCACCTCAATACAAATCTTTTTAGGCAGCTTTATTTTTTAAAATTGGCAAGCCAATTCTAAAATTTATATGAGAAAAACAGAGGATCTAGAATAACCAAAATAATTTTGAAAAAGAAGAGCACAGATGTTCATACTTCCTACTTTCAGCATATACTATAAAAGTACAGTAATAAAGACAATGTAGTATTGACATAAGAATAGGCATATAAATGACTTAAATAGAATTAAGATTCCAAAAATACATCCACACTTATATGGCTAATTAATTTTTGCCAAAGATGTTAATACTAGTCAATGAAGAAATGATAGTCCTTCAATAATAGGAACAACTAGATTATCTGCACAAAAAAACCCTAAATGAACATTGACGTTTATCTCACACCATAGAAAAATATAACTTAATATGGATTACTGACTTAAATATGTGAGCTGAAACAAGTATCTAGAAGAAAAACTAGAAGAAAATCTTTGTAACAATGGGTTAGGCAATGATTTCTAAAACTAGAACCAAAGCACAAGCCATGAAAGAAAAAACTGATAGAAAGGACTTAATCTTTCAAAAACAAGTTAAGAAAATGTAAAGCTATGCCACTTACTGGAAGAAAATATTTGCAAATCATATATCTGACAAGGAACTTATGTGGAGATTATATAAAGAATTACTATCAGTCGATGACAAGAAAACAAACAAATCTATTTTAAAAATTGATATAACATTTGAACAGATACTTCACTAGAGAAGATATATCAATGATCAATAAGCATGCAAAAACAAGCTTGACATCAATAGTCATCAATAAAAAGTAAAGATAATTACTGAAAGATTCTATTCATAATACTTAAAAACATGTAAAGAATCCTATATATAAAACAATTTTTATGGAGTTACAGCAACATATAAATATATACAGTATGTAGATGTTTTATGCATGCATATATGTATATAAATGTATAGAATGTTAATATTCATAGAATATGTATGATATTAAAATTAATATATGTCATTTTATAGAAACTTGTATGGAAATAATAGATACCAACATTCAAAATGGAGATTTTGAGGAAGAAATAAGAAGGACATTGGAATAGTAGAGTAATATATAAGAGATTTAAACTATTTCTCTAATATTTCATTTCTTACAGTCTGTTAGAATTTTATAGAGTATAGGGGCATACTCATAGGATATGTATATTAATATAAAAATCCATAATTCCTTGGCTGGAACCTTTGGGGCAGATGGTTTCATATTTCAGAAGTTTTTTAGATTTTAGAAATGTAATATGATCCATGTACTGGATATGACTTAACAGCCCCAGCAGGATCTGAAGCAGCAACCTGTAATTAAACACATGAATATTTCTGCTACAGAAGACATGAATATTCACACGAAGAGGGCCCTGATAACGACTATAAATAGCCTCACTTCAGTTTAGGTCAAGGTCTGCTGCCAAACGAGTGTGCCACAAACTTTTCTTAAAATGTGATTTTCGGAACTGTTCAGATTTTGGTATTGCTGATAAGGGATTGTGGATCAACAGTAGTTTGGGGGAGGTTTAAGATATTTAAAAAAATTATAAGGGATAGATAGACCTCAGAATTGAACTCTCTTTAGTTACCTACACAATTGGCTAAGGCATAAAAATAAACAGTTAACCATCTTCCTTGTTACCCTCCCTAAACAGCTGCCGAGAACCCTCCTCTGACACACCCCTGCTTTTATTTTCTCTGCAGTGTTCAGATTCAAGCTCAAGTGGGTAACCCCCAATTCTCACCCCAGAGTGTAAGGGCTCTGACATTGCTTTCTCATCTCATGACCCACACTTCTGAGTTTTTAGCCTTTACATCTGCAAATGCTCAAAGCTAAATTTATATTTAGCTTGTTCTGCTTCCCTCCAATATGCTCAGCAAAATACTGTCTGCCTGTTTAACTCTTTAACTTAGAAGTGGATTTTATCTAATGCCTGATCTAGCCAATTTCCCCCATAACCTGCATGTGCTGTTCTGCCTATAGTCACTGCTGACATCAACATACTCTGGATGCTGTGGTGATAAAGGGGTCATTGAAAATCCTTTTCAGAGTAAAAGTCACTTTCTGTGTGGGGTCCAGCCTGAGGATGCTTTCCACCGGAACCATGTGATGAGACTTCCTGTGTCCCACCATCAAACCTCCCCCAGGCAGCAGCAGTAGCGCTGCTTCTTCTTCTTTTTTTTTTTTTTCCTTTTTTTTGAGATGGAGTTTCACTCTTGTTGCCCAGGCTGGAGTGCAATGAATGGCGCAATCTCGGCTCACTGTAACCTCCGCCTCCTGGGTTCAAGAGATTCTCCTGCCTCAGCCTCCCGAGTAGCTGGGATTACAGGCATGTGCCACCATGCCCTGCTAATTTTGTATTTTTAGTAGAGACGGGGTTTCTCCGTGTTGGTCAGGCTGGTCTCAAACTCCCGACCTCAGGTGATCCACCTGCCTCAGCCTCCCCAACTGCTGGAATTACAAGTGTGAGCCACCACGCCCAGCCCAAAACATAACTTCTAATAGCCTACTGTTGACCAGAAGCATTACCAATAACATAAACAGTTGATTAGCACATCTTATGTGTGTTCTGTGTATTATATACTGTATTCTTAGATTAAAGTAAGCTAGAAAATATGCTATTAAGAAAATCATAAGGAAGGGAAAATATATTTACTGTTCATTAAATGGAAGTGTATTGTCATAAAGGACTTCATCCTCATCACCTTCACGTTGAGTAGGCTAAGGAGGAGGAAGAAACAGAGGGGTTGGTCTTGCTGTCTCAGGGTTGGCACAGGCAGAAGAAAATCGTCGGATAAGTGGACCCACACTGTACAAATCTGTGTTGTTCAAGGGTCACCTGAATATTGCTTTGCGTCCTGTTTTCTTACATTATGTCAATCATCTCCATTTTCCTACATGAGTAAAGATTCCTTGAAAGTGTGACGTTTAATGGCCGTGTAATTTTCCATGATAAAATGTCTCAAAATGTATTTACCCATTTCTGCAAATTTGGCAATTTAGGAAGCTGCCTGTGTGTGCATGTGTGTGTGAATGACACTGCACGAAGCAGCCTCACACACATAACTCTCTGGTTACATCTCCAATTATTCCTGTTACTGAAAGGTGATTTCAAGTGACTGGAAGGAGGCTTGCAGGAATGCAATCAGAGCTATTTAAAAACTTGGATCATTGGTATGAGTGTTATTTTTTTTCACCTCAAGGGAAAAGGTGTTGAATGTTCTATAAATGTTTATCTTTTGCTATATATTTTCTAACTTGTCAACAAATTGCTGAGTAGCAGGGGAAAATTTAGTGGCTGTTTCAGGCTAAAGCTATGAGTCTATGGAATGGTACACATTTATCCCTAACTGGCCATTTGTCCAGCACTCCATAAATGCAGTCCATGCACCAGGACCCTTTGTAAAAAAAAAAAAAAAAAAAAAATTTTCCTTGAACTACGACAGAAACAGAAAAATGAGGCCAACAGCAAATATTCCAAAGAGCTGAATGTATTCCCCTTTAGGAATGATGGTGAGAGGTGGTAGTAGGCTGTGTAGTTGCTCATGACCGATTTAGCTCAAGATAAAAATTGGCAATCGTATAGTCATCTCAAGAAGTTTTCATAAAACTTTACAGGTCTATGAAAGTTTATTGCATGAGAAACACAAACTTTGTCGCCTGCCAGCTTCTGTTATCTGAGTTTTTTTCTGAGGTTGCTCACCGCCCTGTCTGCCCATCCTTCCTTTTCCTTCCTTCTTTCCTTCCCTCTTTCCTTCCTTACCTCCCTCCCTCTCTCCCTCCCTCTCTCCTTCCTTCCCTCCCTCCCTCTCTCCCCCTTCCTTCCTCCCTCCCTTTCTCCCTCCCTCCCTTCCTCTCTCCTTCCTTTCTCCCCTCCCTCCTTCTCTCCTTCCTTTCTCCCCTCCCTCCCTCTCTCCTTCCTTCCTTACTTCCTCCTTCCCTGTCTCCCTCCCTTCTTTCCTCCCTCTCTCCCTCCCTCCCTCTCTCCTTCCTTCCTCCTTTCCTCTCTCCTTCCTTTCTCCCCTCCCTCCCTCTCTCCTTCCTTCTTTCCTCCTTTCCTCTCTCCTTCCTTTCTGCCCTCCCTCCCTCCCTCCTTCCTTTCTTCCTTTCTTCCTTCCTCCCTTTCCTCCCTCTCTCCTTCCTTCTTTCCCTCCTTCTTTCCCTTCTTTCTTCCCTCCCTCCTTCTTTCCCTTCTTCCCTCCCTTTTTTCTTCCTTCCTTGCTTCCTTCTTTTCTTTCTTCCTCTTTTCTTTCCCCTTCCCTCTCTCCCCTCTTTTTATCTACTTCAAGTGCACAGAACTGGAATAAAGGTAGTGTTTAGTTCATGACACACTTTCATTTATTTAGCTAGCTATATAGACATTTCTAAACGTATGCAAACATAAACCCACCTTGTGAAATGAAAGCCAGGAGCTTGACAATAATTCCATCTAACCAAATGTCCCCACACACCATCCCAACCCCTGCCTTTTTTTATCCAAGGTAACACCTTCATTCTCAAGCTTCTGTTCATCTTTAACTTGCTTTCTTTTATAATACATTTATCGCGTTTATGTATATCCATTAAAAATGCTTTTTATTTAACTGGTGATAAACTTTATAAAAATAATATCATGCTGTTACATGTATTCAGGACTTTTTCATGTAATATTATATGCTAATATTCAGCCTTTAGTTATGAGTCACAATAGTTCAGCAATTTTGACTGATGTCTAATATTTCATTGTGTGACTATATCTAATATTCCATTTATTTATCCACTCTCACTGACATGAAATGTTTTTGTTCTTATAGTTCTGTAACCGTGAGCAGTGCAGCTATAGTCTGTCTGTATATGTGCAAGAATTTCTTTCAAGAATATTCCTAGAAATAGTTATCAAGGTTATTGATTTACTAAGATCTCCACTTTAGAAAGCAGTAGCAAAATGGATTTCAAAGCATTTGCACCAATTTTTCCTTTCTCAGTTATACAGAGAAGATTCTGCAGATTCCATCATATCCATCACCTGCAATGTTCAAAATCGCCAATCGAAAGTATAAAAAATATGACTTTGTGGTCTTGGCTCACCAAGTATGCTGAACAGATCTTTATACGTTTATCGACCTTATTGTTCACATGTTTGCCTGTTTTTCAAAATTTATTGGATTTTTATACTACTTCTCTATTAGATGGTTATCTTAAATATCTTCTCTTAGTTTATAACCTTTCTTTTCACTTATTTAAGGTGTTTGTGGATTAATTTTAATAAGGTAAAATTTTTTGCCATTAGTTTCATAGTGAATACTTTATGTCTAGTTTAAAGGTCCAGTCAATTTTTGAGATCTAAAACATATTTCTGCAAGTAGTTTTAATTTTTTTAATACATAAGACCTTAACCCTTTAGGAATTAACTATGTACATAGCATAAGGTAGGGGTTAAGGGTTCTATTTTTCAATTTAGATAGCTATTTTTCAGAACGATTTTTTAATCTGTTCTCCCCTCTTTAATCTCACATACTGCCCTGATGTATACCAAACTCCCCTGCACATGTAGCTTGGTTTCTTTCTTATAGCCCATTGGTCAATGTGTCTATTTCTCCTCTATTTTCATACTCCTGTGTTGTTTGTGGTTTCATAATAGATGTTAATAACTGATATCACTCCTTCCAGCTTTTCTCCTTCAGCAACATCCTGGCTAAACTTGCAGGTTTAATCTTTAACCTTTAGAATATATTTTAGAAATCAGTTTTCAAGTTCCATAACTGGACCTACACTGAATAGATAGATCACTTTGGGAAGAATTGATACATTTATAATATTAAGATTTCCTATCAATGAACATAGTATATTTCTCCCTCTATTTACATATTCTTTCCTATCTCTTATTAAAATTTATCTAAGGCGTTTCCTGCAGTTTTCTTTCTTTTTCCCTGTGGTTCCTCCAGAGTGTTCTCAGGGAAGGAATTCAGCAGTTATGTTTCCTCAGAATCTTGTCCACAACCAAAACCATAAGTTCTTCCATCTCCTGGTCTTTTTGCCTCTGATAATGCTTGTCAGTGTCAACACATGTCATGCCATTCACACTTAAACTTATGTTGCTTCCTCTGTTTTTAATGCCCTCTGTTCTCCTCTATTCCTGGTTAATACCTATTCATTCTCTGTCATTTAACTCACACATCACTTTTTCCATGAGCTTTTCCTGACCTTCTGCCCGGGTGAGTTTCCCATAATTCCTTGTGTTTACATCTCACACAAGCCTTTCAGAATTCAATTGAAGTGATCAGTTCACATGTTTGTCTCACCCATTAGGCTATGAGCATAGGAACAGATTTATTTGTTTTTGGTTTCCCAGACCCTAACATAGAGTCCTTCACACACAGAATACTCCTTAAATGTTTGTTCAAGTAAGCTTCAAAGTTATCTTAATAACCCAGAGGTCACAGGGTTGAGGTCTAGGCTAAATCAACGTCATTAAATGAAAAATTATTCAAAAGAATAGCAAAGGGAACCAAATCCTAGTACTTCTTTTTTCCTGAAACAATGCGAGACCCTTGATGGGCATTTCTGTCTGTGCACCAGTCTTTTCATGTACATCGTGGGCATAATTCCTGGCCTCCACACCTACTTGGAAGTTTTTTGAGTTTTAAAAGAAGAAAAAATATAAAAAGTATTGAAAATTTTATAAATACAAGTATGATTACTATTCCACAGGGATTTACTTTATCTCACCCCATCACAACTCTCAGCCTTTTCAGAGAAATATCAGGATATATTTACAGCATTAACGTTCTTGCTAGATCATAAGAAGATTTTTATAAAGATTTTAAGAAGATATATATTTGTGTGTATATACACACATATATGTATATATAAAACCTTAACAGATGGTAGTCTTTGGTAAGGAATCAGTTAAAATATGATAGAATGCAAACTGTGCTTTTTTAAATTTCAAACATGTAATAACTATCTTAACAGTAAAGATTCATTGTATTCTAATATTTAATAACATTTATAAGGACTTCTTTATATTGCTTCAATGAAACAATGGTTAATCCATACATTAAAGATTCAATTATATTATATTATGTCCTTAATCCCATTTGAGGTGTAAATTTCCTATCACTAAGACCATTTAACATTTTTAAGAAATGCTTGATTATTTTGACAACCAAGGCAGCAGTAGCTGTAATCACAATGACCACATTTTCCAAAGACAGAGCAGGTTCTTAACTTGAACCAGCAGATTCCAAATTCAGCTCTTGAAAATCCACAGGTCCTAAGTTGGTGGCTCTGGTTGGGGTCACTGTGGAGGACAGAAGTAAAAAACATGGCTAAGCTCTTTTAATAATTATGAAATATGTTGAATATAAAGAAAAGTAAAGATACTAAGTTTACAAATTTAAACTTACTTCCTTCTCTTATTCTCTCATTTCCCTTTCTTTTTCCTAGAGGTCTTTAGCATTTTGAAGATGTTGCATGTACTTCCCATTATATTTGTAATGCTTCTACTCTATATCTTTTTATCTATAAATAATAGACAGTATTGTTTGGTGCATGTATTGTACTGCATATATCATTCTGTAACTTGTTTTTGTTCACTCAAAATTGTTTTTAAGTTTTATCCACGTCAATATCCACAGATCTGGTTAATTCCTTTTAACAGCAGTGCCTCTGTCGTCATCAGAGGTCCTGGTCACAAACAACAGAAACTGACTCTCATTAAATTAAGCAGAAAATGATTCAATTAGAAGGTTGTTGGGGGTTTGACAGGAGAAACATACAGTCTGAAGATACAGGCTTTGGAAAAGAGTAGTTGGGCAAGAGGGAAAGGGTAGTTGGGCAAGAGGCCAGGCAACTGAAATCACACACCTAGTCTTACCAAAGGAAGTGTAGTTGGGTACCCCCGGTGGCACCTCTGCAGTTTGCCTGCCACCAGCACAGCCACAATCAGTGGCTATGCTCCAGTGAACCATGCATGTTACCCCGTCTGTCACATTTGCTGGTACTCACTGATGCTGCTACCTCCATCTTCATTCTAGTAGTCTATGGATTCCCTCATTTCTCAGGCACTGTCTTATGCCCTGAGAACAGAGCACTGAATAAAACCAACTGTTTGCCCTCAAAGGGCTGACACTGCGGAGGGGATGATGGACAAGAAATGAATTGTATTTATACCTGCATCTATATCTATATCTACATAATTGGTGACACGCTCAAGATTCAGGAGGAACACGTGATTGTTTAACGTCAGATGCTATGTACACTATAGGTGCCAGGAAGCCAGAAGAAATATCTACTCTCATCTACAGCATGGAGTCACAAAATATTTGCTACTTTATTGTTTACATTTTAATTACTCCAAAGGGAGCAAAATAATGTGAGATGTTATCTTAATTTGCATTTCCCTGAAACATAGTGAAAATGTGTTCACTGTCCTGTAGGATTTTCTCTTCTAAAATTTTTCGTTCACAATCTGTGCCTGCTTTTCTCCTGTTTTTCTTGTCTCTTTCTTATTACATTGTAAGGGAAAAACATGCATTTTCTTATTCCAGTATGCTAATCCTGGTTAGGTATGTATGTTGCAATTATATTTTCCCAGCCCTTGGCTTATCTTTCTACAGTGTTTATGCTACTACTTTTTAAAAAATCAGCTTTATTGAGATACAATTTACAGAAAATAAAACTCACCAGTTTAGAGTGTACAGTTTGATAAGTTTTGACAAATGTTCATAGTCACAGTGATGGAATAGAACATTCTCATTACCCCAAAAGGCTCCTGAATGTTCATCTGTTGTTAAGCACCTCCCGACCCCTGGGCAACCACTGATCTGCTTGTCCATATAACTGTTTTAAATTTTTAATTATGTAAAATTAATCATACAGTATGTAGCCTTGGTGTCTGAATTTCTTCATATAGCATAATGGTTTTGAGATTCATCAACGTTGATGCCTGTATCAGCAGCATGTCCCTTTTTATGGCTGAGTAGTATTTTCTTGTGTAAATATACCACAATTTGTTTATTTATTCATCAGTTGGTGGATATTTGAGTTGTTTTCAGTTTTTTTGTTGGTTTTTTTTTCACATTTACAAATGAAGCTACCATGAATATTCAAGTACAAGTTGAAGGAGAGACAAAATCCTACCCTCATCCTTTTAGGGTCCCAGCTGGGTTGGGGAATTAAATTGACATAAGATAGATTAACAGGAGAAAAACATACAAATGTATTTAATACAAGTGTTAGGCAGGTTGAGAGCCCTGGTAAAGAAACAAAGAACAAAAGAAGCAGTTAGAATCAGTTACATAAATATGAGTTGGACAAAGAATATAAGTTTGAAGAAACAGCTAAATCATGTAGGGAGTCTTAAAAGAGTTATTTTAACAAGGTCTGTGCAGAAGTCTCTTGGTCTCAATTTCTCATCCTTGAGGATAAAGATGTTGCATCTTTCACACGGGACTTTCACCTTTTGCTTTTAAGAAACAGCACAAATGTCAGAGTAATCTTTTTGCACCTGCTGTTTTCCAAGTGCCTTTAACTTAAATAGTCAATATGCTAGAGGGTTATATTTTTAATTCCTTCAAAGTCTTTGTGTGCACATACATTTTCATTTCTCTTGGGAAACTACCTGTGAATAAGATTGACAGGCAGTATGGTAGATATTATAACTTTATAAGGAACTGTATTTCAAATTATTGCACCACTTTGCATTTTTAGCAGCCATCTATGAGAGTGGAAGTTGCTCCTCACCCCCAACCAACACTTGATATTGAATGTGCCCAGTTTTAAAACGATACTTTCAACTTGTTTTTCCCTAAGGACAAATAATTTTGAGTGCTTTTTTATGTATTTATCAGTCATCTTTGTATTTTCTTTGGTGAAATGTCTGCTCAACTTTTGTAACCACAATTCTTAAAATCAGGTTTTTTTTCTTATTATTATTGAGTTGTGGAAGTTCTTTATATATTCTGAATACTAGCTCTTTGTCAGATATCTGTTTTGCAAATATTTTCTCCCAGTCTTTTTAATTCTTTAACACTGTCTTATAAAAGGCAAAAGTTTTAAATTTTTATGAAGTTCCACTTATTATATTTTTCTTTTTATGTTAATTTTGTGTGTTCTAAGAAATATTCACCTAACTCAAGGTCACAAATATTTTTTCCAGTGTTTTCAGCTAGAAGCTTTACAATTTTAGCTGCTCTTATATTGATATGTCTAATTCATTCGAAATTCATTGTTTATATAGTATTAGATAAGGGTTGAGCTTCATTGTTTTCAATCTGGATGTCCAATTGTTCAAGTACCATTTGTTGAGAAGACTATTATTTCCCTTTTGAATTACTTTGGCAGCTTTGTTGAAATTCAATTGACCATATATGTGAGGGTCTATTTTTCTACTTTGGATTATTTTCCACTGATCTATTATGTCTGTGTTTACACCAATAGCACAATGACTTGATTACTGTAGCTTTACAGGAAGCTTCAACTTAGGTACTACAATTCCTTATAAAATGTTCTCTAAATATTTTGTATTTCCATATAAATTTTAGAATCAGCTTGTCAATTTAAAAAATTCTACTGAGATTTTTATTGGAATTTTATTCAATCTATAGTTGAATTTAAGAATACTAAGTGATACTCTTCCAATCCTTAACGTGTTTCATCTCTCCATTTATTTTGGTTTCTTTAACTTAATTCAACAGTGTTCCATAGGTTTTAGTGTACAGATCTTGCAAATATTGTGTTAAATTTGTCCTTAAATATTTCATATTTTTTATCTTCTGGTAAATGGTATTGTTTATTTAAATTTCAATTTTTTAACTGTCCATTGCTGGTATGGGAAATACATTTGATTTTTGTATACCGATTTTGTATCCTATGGTCTGGCTAAACTCACTTTGTTAAAGAATTATTAAATTTCTAAAAATTATATTACTCTTAGACTTTTCTACGTAGACAATCAAGTTTCTATTAATAGTGACAATTTTACTTTTTTTGTTCCAATGTGGATGGCTTTTATGTCCTTTTTGCTCCCTGTTTGCAGAAGCTAGGATCTCTGGCATATTAAATACAAATGGTGACCATGGATAGTTGTGCCTTGTTTCTATTCTTTTGGGGAAAACATTCAATCGCTCACTGTGAATGATGAGGTTAGCTCGAAGTTTTTGTTCAATTCCCTTTAGCAGGGTGACAGAATTTTCCATTCCTAGTTTATATAGAGTTCCTAATTTGCATAGAGTTAACTAGGTGTTGAATTTAGTGAATATATTTCTGCATCTATTAAAATATATTTTCCTTTTTAGTCTGCTATTACAGTGAATTGCATTGATTGATTTTGGAAAGCTAAACTAAATTTGCTTTACTGGGATAAACTTCTTTAGATTATGATACATTAGGACATTTGTATGTACGTTGTTGGATTTGATTTGCAAAAACAAATTTCTTAAAGATTTTTGCATCTATATCTTTGAGGGATATTGCTCTATAGTGTCCTTTTGATAAAGGACAGGCAAGCCCCAAGATTGAGGCTTAGCCCAGGAGGTTTCTTGGCTTTACCCACGAAAGAATTCAAGAACAGGCTGGGGGTGTTCATCAGCAGCTTTTATTGATGCCGTGGAGTACAGCAGCAACAGAGGGACTCCTCCTTGCAGAGCAGGGTTTACTCCATAGGCAGAGTGCCCAGAGCAGCAGCTCAGAGGCAGGTTTGAACTCATATTTATACCCACTTTTAGTTATATGCAAATTAAAGGGCAGTTTTGCAGCAATTTCCAGGATGAGGGTGGTTAATTTCTGGGTTGCAGGGTTATTGCCATGAAAAGGGGCAATAACTTCTGAGTGTTGCCATGGCAATGGTAAACTCACATTGCACACTGGTGGGCATGTCTTATGGGGAGGTGCTTCCACCCCAGACCATTTTATCTAGCCCTCAATTTGGTCTAGTGTCCAAGCTCCACCTCCAGAGTCTAGTCCAGCCTCCTACCTCACTTTTGTTTTTGTTTTTGTGTTTTGTTTTTTTTAAGAAAGGGTCTCCCTCTGTTGCACAAGCTGAAGTGCATGATCTCTTCTCACCACAGCTTCAACCTCTTGATCCTCTCACCTCAGGCTCCTGAGTAGCTGAGACTACAGGTGCACACCACCATGCCCAGCTAATTTTTGTATTTTTTGTAGAGATGGGGTCTCACTATGTTGCTTAGGCTGGTCTAGAACTCCTGGGCTCAAGCAATCCTCCTACCTTGGCCTCCCAGAATGCTAGGACTACAGGCATGGGCCACCGTACCTAGCCTGTTCTTTAGGTGTACTATCTTTGTCTGATTATAGTATCGTGATAATGCAAGACTCATAAAATGGGTTGAAAAATAATTCTTCTCATATATCCTGAAATAATCCCATTAGAATTGGTTAAATGTCTTCTTTAAATATATGGCAGAACTCACCTGTGAAATATTTGGGCTGGGAGTTTGCCTGGCTGGGGGGCATTAAATACAAATTTGATTTATATGATAGACACAAGGATTTTCAGGCTATCTTCTTCAGTTAGTTTCATACTTTGTGTCTTTCAGTGACTTTGCCCATTTCACCTAAGTTGCTGATTTATTTGACATAATCTTATTCATAATACTTCATTGTGTTCTTCTTATTTTTAGCAGTATTAGGGAGGTCAATTCTTTCATTCCTTTAATGGTAATTTGTGTCTTTCTTGTTTTTATCTTATCATCTCTAGAGAGTCATTAGTTTTATTAATCTTTCCCAGTAATCAGATTTTGACTCTGTCATTTTTTTCTATTACCTTTCTGTTTTCTACCTCATTAAATTCTGTTCTTCTATTTCATTGTTTCCTTCTCTTAGTTGCTCTGGGTTTACTTTGCTCTTTCTTTTCTTTAAGTTTCTTTTATGGACGATTAGCTCATTGATTTGAGGCATTCCTTTTTCTACTGTATGAATTTAATGCTAACCATTTTCCTCTAAAAAACTGCTTTAGCTGTATGTATCCCATAGATTTTAATACATTGTGATTTTATTTTCATTCAGTTTATGATACTTTCTAGTTTCCACTGCAATTTCTTCTTTGAACCATAGTTAGTTACAGTTATGTTGTTTAATTTCTCAGCATTTGAAATTTTTCTGGAGATTTTACTTTATTGGTTTCTAAATTATCTTTGGTATGTTAAACAACATAATTTGTATCAAAATTTGTATTTAAATCTTCTTAAATAGATTTAAATTTTATTTTAATAATTTTATTTAATAATTTTAAAATTTTATTTTAATAATAGACACCCTTACCTTCTTATTAGTTTATCAAGAGTTTTTATCACAGATATGTATTGAATTTTATCCAGTTGTTTTTTACATCAATTTGTTGATACTCTGGTGTATTTTAATAAACTTTGTGATTTTAAGCAAATTATGCATTTCTGAGACCAATCTAGCATGTAATGTTTTAATTCACTGTTGAATTTGGTTTCAAAATATTTTATTTATGATTTTTTCTTTTAATAAGATAAATTTGTAATTTTTCACCTCTTGATCTGTCCTTTACCAATTTTAAAATCAAGCTAAAATTAGCATCATAAAAAGTTGAGTAGGTTTCTTCCTCTTTCTCTATTCATAAACAAATTGTACACACACACAAAAAAAAACTATGGTGTATTTTCTCCCTGATAGTCTGGTAAAGTTCATTTGTAAAAAAACAAGATTTGGTGTCTTTCTAAAAGAGATACAACTTATGTAATTTATATATCAGTAAGTTTACTTTTTAATGGTAATTGGTGTATCTATATATTTTCTTTCATTTCGTCTGATTATAGTCATAGTTTTAAATAATTATCTATTTCATCTAAATTGTTATATTTACTGCAATAAAGTTGTTCCTAAAAATCTTTTCCTGTCACAAATATTTTTGTTCCTAATATTTTTATTTTTGCTTTTTCTCCATTAATTTTACCAGAGGTTTTTCTGTTTCAGTAGTCTTTTAAATAGTTACCTTTGATTTCTTTAACCCTTTAATTTTTTTTTTTGTAATATTTGCTCTTATGTTTATTATATCTTTGCTTCTACTTTCTTTGGACTTACTCTATTGTCTTCATTAATTTATTGAGTTAAAAGCCTATTTAATTTTTAAACTTTAGTATTTCCTAATGTGTGCCTTAAAAGTTACAAATTCCCATCTAAATAACACTTTAATTTTACCTGACTTTTTTATTGGTAATGATATTCTTATTTAGTTTTAAATATTTTCTTATTTACATTACGTCTTCTTCTGTGTTCCATGAATTACAAAACATAGCATTCTTCTGTTTTAGTGTCTAAGCAGATGATCAAATTGGGAGAGATTATTTCACTAATCTCTGAATTTCTTGCAATAGGTTTAGAGATTGTGGTCTATTGGATATACAAATCAAATAGTATCGAAAATATTGGCTGAAACTTTCATTCAGTTTACTACATGGTCAGTGTTTGAAAATAGTACATAGATATTCTTGAAAATGAATATTTTCTGTGTTTTTCAGAATTTTATATATAGCTTAAGTTTTTCAGCATGTTGTTCACATTTTCTGTATCTTTACTAACAGTTTCAAAAGAGGCTTACTAAAATAATCTTACTCTGATTATGAATTTGCTAATTTCTCCTTATAACTCTGCAAACTTTTGCTTTATATGTTTTGTAGTTGTGTTGTTAGTTGCATTCAGGTTCATGATTATTGTATACTCAGATAAAATATTCTTTTTATTATAAGTAATGACAAACCAAATCCCTAATAATAATTTTTTATTTTGAATTTTTTTGATATTAATTTGAAAATATTACCTATTTTTAAATTTACTCATTTTTAATTGCCAATAATTGTACATATTTATGGAATACAACATGATTTTTTAATCTATGTATACATTGTACAAAGATTCAATCAAAGTAATTAACATATCTAGCACCTCACCAACTTTTTTTGGTGAGAATCTTAAAAATCTACTATTATAGTAATTTTGAAAGAGTACCTTACTATTAACAGTGTTCACCACGAAGTGCCTTACTTATTCTTTTAGTCTAACTGAGATTTGCACCTTTGGATCAACATCTCCTTTTTCCTTTCTCTTTGACCTTACCCCAGACTCTGGAAACTACCTTTCTACACTCTGTTTCTTAAAGATTGACTTTTTAAAGATTCCCCATATAGGTGAGATAATAAAGTATTTATCTTTCTCTTCCAGGCTTATTTCACTAAGCATAACATCTTCCAGTTCCATCCATGTTATCACAAATGACAAGATTTCCTTCTTTTTCAAGGTTGTATAGTATACCATTGTGTGTATATACATTTTCTTTATCCATTCATCCATTGATGGACACTAGCCAAAGCCATCGACAGATTCAAGGCAATCCTCATCAAAATTTCAATGTCACTTTTTACAGAGATAAAAAACAATCTTAAGGCTGGGCACGGTGGCTCATGCCTGTAATCCCGGCACTTTGGGAGGCCAAGAGGGATGGATCATGAGGTCAGGAGATCAAGACCATCTTGGCTAACACGGTGAAACCCCGTCTCTACTAAAAATACAAAAAAATTAGCCGGGCGTGGTGGCGGGCGTCTGTAGTCCCAGCTACTGGGAGGCTGGGGCAGGAGAATGGTATGAACCCAGGAGGCAGAGCTTCCATCTAAAAAAAAAAAAAAAAAAAAAATTCTTAACATTTACACTGTAGGACTCCAAATAGCCAAAGCAATCTTTAGAAAAGGAACAAAGCTAGAAGCATCACACTCCTTGGTTTCAAAATACATGATAGATCTATTTTAATAAAAGAGTATGATACTGGCATAAAAAAACAACACATTGACCAATGAAACAGGATAGAAAACCTTGAAATAAACCCAAGTATTTATGGTCAATTGTCAATTGATTTTTTGATAAAGTTTCCAAGAATACATGATGGGGTAAAGATAATTTGTAATACATCATATTGAGAAAACTGAATATCCACAGGCAAAAGAATAAAATAGGAACCTAAACTTGCACTATCTACAGAAATAAACTCAAAATCAATAAAAATACTTAAATGTAAGACCTAAAACTGTAAAGCTACTAGAAAAAAAAAAAACAAAAAACAGTTTCAGGACATTGTTTGGAGCAATGATTTCTTGAACAGGACTCCAAAATCCTAGGAAACAAAAGCAAAAATGGACAAATGGGATTGTATCAAACTAAAAAGCTTCTGGACTACAAAGGAAACAATTAGAGTGAAGAGACAACCCATGGGTTGGAAGAAGACATTTGTAAACCATACAAATGTATAATATTGAATATCTAATAATGTCTAATAGCTAATATCTAAAATATATAAGGAAGCTCGACTCAATAGCAAGACATAAAATAAACTGATTTTAAAAATGGACAAAAGTTCTGCGTAGACATTTCCCAAAACAAGAGATACAAATGGCCAATAGATATGTTAAAAAATGCTCAACATCTCTAATTATCAGGGAAATGCAAATTAAAACCACAATTAAACATCATCTCACACCTATTGGAGTGGCTATTATCAAGAAGATAAATAATGGGCTGGGCACAGTAGTTCATGCCTATAATCCCAGCATTTGGGAGGCTGAGGTGGGTAGATCACTTGAGCTCAAGAGTTCGAGACCAATCAGCCTGGGCAACGTGGCAAAAACCTGTCTCTGCCAAAAAATACAAATATTAGCCAGGCGTGGTGGTGTACGCTTGTGGTCTCAGCAACTTGGGAGGCTGAGGTGGGAAGATCACTTGAGCCCAGGAGGCAGAGGTTGTAAAGAGCAGTGATTATGCCACTGCATTCCAGCCTGGGTAATGGAGCAAAACCCTGTCAAAATAAATTTTAAAAAAAGACAAAGAATAATAAGTGTTGGTGAGGATATGGAAGAAAGGAAACCCTTGAATATTGTGAGTGAGAATTTAAACTGGCACAGCCATTTCAGAAAGTAGTATGGAGTTTCCTCAAAAAAAACTAAAAATAGAATTACCAGTAATCCAGCAATCCCACTTCTGGATATATATCCAAAAGAATTGAAATCAGTATGTCAAAGTGAAATCTACACTCCCATGCTCATTTCAGCACTATTCACAATAGCCAAGTTATAGAAGCAATCTAACTGGAATACTTATCTTTATAAGTACCTATATTTTATTCTATATATAAAATATATTTTTATACCTAAACGGAATACCTACTTGTTACTAGCATTCGTCTGATGTATCTTTTGCCATTCTTTCACTTTCAGACATTCTATATTACCTTATTTTTAGATGTGTGTCTTACACATAGCACATAGCCAGATTTCGTTTAGGGGAGACTGTCATTTATTCACCTTCATCATTTCCCAGGTAATAAGTTAAATGTAGTTCTTGAAACACAACAAGCACAAAGTCATGAATGTCTAATACAGACATATCAACACCTAAACTCACACATGTAAGTAGAGGGACATTGGACTCTAGAATGCAGATCTCCTATATTTCATTCAGGGGACTTTTCCTTTATGCTATCTTTCTTTAGATGTAGAGGAAAAAAAAAAAAACTTCAATGTGGAGAAGATATACTAAAGATAGAGATGCTGCCTAATAAAGTAGAAAGAGCTGCTGTAGGAAACCGAAAGCTTAAGCCTAGACTTTGTCAGTTACTCCGTGTGAACTTGGTCAAGTCATCACCCTATCTGATCCTTAAGTTTTTATCTTGCTGGACAAACCAAAGCATACATGTGATTATCCTTCATGTGACTGTCCTTACGTCCACCTTAAAGGTGAAGAAATTCATATTCAGTGAAGGAAATTGACTTGCCCAGGTGGAAGATCTCGAATGTATTCCAGACAATACATTTTTTATATCATGTAATCTCTTAAACGGAGCCTCACTCTGTTGCCCAGGCTGGAGTGCAGTGGCACAATCTCAGCTCAGTGCAACTTCTTCCTTCCTGGTTCAAACAATTTTCCTGTCTCAGCTTCCTGAGTAGCTAGGATTATAGGTTCCTGCCACCATGTCTGGCTAATTTTTTTTATGTCTCTACTAGAGATGGGGTTTCACCATGTTGGTTCTGAACTCTTGAAAAAGGCCTATTTTATGGCTTGAATTGTGACTCTCCTCTCCCACTCCCCCTCGTCCCCCACAAACTTAGTATGTTGAAGTCCTAATCCCAATATTTTCAGAGTGTGACCTTATTTGGAGATACAAGTCATGGTAGATGCAATTAGTTAAGATAAAGTCATTAGGGTGGGCCCTAATCCAGTATGACTGGTGTCATCATAAAAAGGGGGAATTTGGACAGAGACACACAAATAATGCCACATGAAGATGAAGGCAGAGACTAGGGTGATGCTTCTGCAAGCCAAGGAATGGCAAAGATTACCAGAAACCCCCAGACAATAGGGCAGAGGGCCTGGAACACAGTCTTTTGCCATCCTCAGAAGAAATATGTTGATCCCTTAATTCAAACTTCAGACCTCCAGAGCTATGAGAGACTGTATTTCTGTTGTTTAGCCACTTAATGTGCAGTACTTTGTTACTGTAGCCTGAAAAACTAATTCAGCATCATTCTATTACAACTGGACACCTTCTGGCAGAGTACCCACGCATGTCCTCTGTACATACATACATACATGTGCACTGTCTTATATGTGTACCATGGAGAAGTGTTGCTTTGTATATGACATTTTAAAAATCTCATTATCTCCTTGGAAGATCTTCCCAGATAGTAGAGACTAAAGGATAAGGGCCCTGGCTTGGGTCAGGAAATTTGAGTTTGAATATTAATTTAGACAAAAAGTCTTTCCTGCTGGCTCTTGGTCTACTCATTTGCACACTGAGAGGGTTACAACTCTAATCAGGTCTTAGTTGACTGAACTTTACATTTTCAAAATATTTTGCCAACCAATCTGTTCTTAGGCTGACATAATTAATTTGATTGCCCAATGTTTATTAATCAAAGACATATAAAACAAGATATGCACAAAAATCACTTCCCCCAGATTCCTATGATGTCACCAGCAGCCAATCATAGCTGAAAAGGACATTCTTGTGGATTAGTTCTAAAGCTTATGCACAGCTGGGCCAGATGATCGAGGGGTCCAGCAGGGTGGACTCATGTGGCTAGGGGCCAACATCTGCCCAGAAACACCCCCTGTGGCCTCTTGAGTGGAGCCTGGTGGTAGAGAGGCTTTGTCATCTAGCCCAAGTGTCAAGCATTCCCTGGAAAGTGGTGAGTGAGAATGGGATTCTCTCTCCTAGCTGTTCCATCCTGGATGTGCATTCTCACAGAGGGCCTTGTAAAGGGGAAACTGACGGGATCGGGGCAGATCCAGGAAGACCAACAATTGGGTGGGCCACATGCTTGCATGAAAGGCAAGGCCCCACTATGGCTACTGGGGAGGAGAAGAAAGGGAGGGTGGGGCAGGATGAGGGGCTGAGTTGGTGAAAACCTTCAGCATAGGTCCCACTGGCCTTTCCATCATCTTTGCACAAGCAATGCAGCTGGGTACCAAGCCCCCTTAACAACCAGTCACTAACATTTTGTCCTTGAGTAAGTCGCCTAAACTTATCTGGACATCAGTATTTCTCTGGGTCAAATGGAGATGATAAGTTCCCATCTTCCACTCTGCCCGATTAGGGTATCTATGATAATTGAGTTAGGATAATAGGTATGAGAAGTGTATTTAGTGTTCTGTAATTCAGCAGACATGCTCTGAGCATTCCTCCTTGTTGTTCATTTATTCTATCAGTAAAGACATACTGAGGGCGTAAGATGTGCCAAGAAGCAAATCAGGTGCCAGAAACATTGAGAGGAATGAATTGGCTGTCTAATGGGGAACAGAAACAATTGCACTGCTTTGCAGCATGTGTTTTGAGCTCTCACCAGCACAGCCTGTAGCAAGAGGGAAGCCTGAGCTCAATCCCTCAGAGCAGAGAGATTCCAGGGCAGCAGCTTGCAGCCTTGCTGTGAGCAGGAAGGGATGCCCTTCCAGGGGTGGCCAGCTCTCCTTACTCAAGTCTCAGCCCACGGATGGAAAGCCAGGGCCATGCCTCCCTTGCTGTCCCAACTAGATAGTGAAAACTGTGATCCTTCATCCATGCTCTGTAAAAAACAAAATAAACCTAAGCCCCACACAGAAGAAAACCCTAAAACTAAACTTCTATCACCATTTTTGTTAATTTTCCCTGGAGCTGTTTGGCCTGCAACCTTTGGGATGTTTTTAGAAGGATGGAGGGAGGAAAAATGAACACCATTTTCTCAACTAGATTTTTACGAATTCACTTCCCTTTTCCCCTCAATTCTAGAGTCACAGGTTTCCCAGGCCCCAAAATGACCCTCACTCTCTCCTATTTCCTCTGCCTTACACCTATATATAAAAAGAGACTGGGAAGTGCACATCCTGATTCCCTCCTGGATCAGGATGGACAACCGGATTTTTTAATCCACTGTGAACTGGAATTACAGCCGCTCAAAGCCAAGGTGGTGAGTCCTGCTAGTTGAACCCCTGCAGAATGAATCTCCCACAAAAGGGGAAACTGACGGGATCAGGGCAGATCCAGGAAGCCCAACAATTGGGTGGGCCACATGCTTGCATGAAATGCAAGGTCCCACCCTGGCTACTGGGGAGGAGAAGAAAGGCAGGGTGGGGCAGGATCAGGGGCTGTGTTGGTGAAAACCTTCAGCATAGACCTCACTAGCCTTTCCATCATCTTTGCACAAGCAATGGAGCTGGGTACCAAGCCCCCTTAACAATTGGCATCCTCTCCATGATCTTCACGGGAGCCCTCACGGAATTTAGAAACACAATAATCCCAAAGAGAAAGAAAGACTATGGGAGTCACTTTCGGATATCACCCTTCAGTGTTTCTGAACCTTCATCGATTGGCATGTGAGTCCGTGGTCTGTCACGTTCTTTTATCCTGTGATCACATTTTCGCACCAGCAACACAGGCAGGGATCTGGCATCAGCCCCATGGGACTGATGAGCAAAGTGAGGCTGGCAGTGTGCAAGAAAAAACTGGAAGTAGAGCTGCAGTCCAAGCAGACCAAACTCCGTGTGGGCTGGCCCAGCACTGACCTGACAGCAGAGCTTTGCCTCGGACGCTCAGGTGCTGTTGGAAATGCAGGGAACCGCTCTCCCTCCCAGGGGGGCAGGGTGGCTTGGCAGAGACGTGGCCAGTCGCTCTGTTGGCTGCAGAGATAATGATGTTTAGAGCTGGTTATCAACCACCTTTGAATGGCAGGCTCCGAATTCCTAATTAACTAACATCCGTGGTCTGGTAGCTCTTGTAAGAGTCCAGTTGTATCAGATCACGGGCATTCTACATGGGTCTATCTCTCCCCAAAACCTGTGCTCGGTGACTGATAAATAGAAGTTCCCCATGACAATAATTAATGAATGGAAGGAAAGAAAGGGGCAGGCTTTGTGAATTGTCCCAAATCCCCAGAGCTCCCAAGAATGAAAGTTGATTTTTCTGCCAAAGGAGGCCTGTGTGGACAATGCGCTTCGAGGAAAGGGCCAGGATGCTCAGCTGTTCTGAATTTACCCAGGAACGCAGGGGCCTGCAGTCCTGGGCCACCTGGCACCCAGCTGTTCATAGCATCATGGTCCTAGAATCCTGCCCTGGAGGGGTGTGGGGAGACCAGCCAACATAACCCTTCATTGTCCACACCTTACTGGGTCCACCCAGCTCCTTAGGGACAGATGCACAGTGGGGACCCAGGTCATCCTGGATGGTCCTCTCTCTCATCCAGTTCCCCTCCTCCTATGCTCCAGTTACAGCTGACTCTATTGATACCATCTTTGTGTACAGGTTGCTTTCCTGAAACATGCGGCCCCGGTTGGGCGTGCTGGCTCATGCCTGTAATCCCAGCACTTTGGGAGGCTGAGGCAGGTGGATCACAAGGTGAAGAGATCGAGACCATCCTGGCCAACATGGTGAAACCCCTGTCTCTAATAAAAATACAAAAATTAGCTAAGCGTGGTGGTGCGCGCCTGTAGTCCCAGCTTACTCAGGAGGCTGAGGCAGAAGAATCACTTGAACCCAGGGGGCGGAGGTTGCAGTGAGCCGAGATCGTGCCACTGCACTCCAGCCTGGTGACAGAGTGAGACTCCATCTCAAAACCAAGTAACCAACAAACAAATACATGCGGTCCCTCCTGCCTGAACACCCTTCCTTTATTTTCCTCCTGGAGGATCCCTAGTCTTCCGTCAAGTTCAGCCCAACCTCACTTGCTCAGGGAAGCCTTCTTGGACTTGCTTTCACTCAGTGGTGAGTTCATCCCCTTCCTCTATGCAGCTTACCTGGCTTCACTACCTTCATTGCAACACGTTTCCTGCTGCATTGAAGGTTTCCACATCTGCATCTGAGCAGTACGCTAGACCATGAGCTTCTCAAAGGCATGACCAGAGCCATATCTATCTTTATCACAGCAGAGCTCAGGGGAAAGCCGAGCAGAAAAGAATGGATGCCCAGATAATATCTACTGAAGAACAAATTAATAAATGGTTTCTTTTATAAAATAATACTCTTTAACTCTCTAAGGACCAGGATGCTAGTTTGGTGACAAATAAATTACTTAATTGGACTTGGTTCCTGTTGAAAGGGTAGGAACTGAATTCAGGCAGTAAGTGAAAACACGTGGAGAAGACACTCCTGATGTACTGAAGGCCGACTGAGGAATGGCAAGGATGGCCCTGGGCTCAGCCAGGCTGGGATGAGCAGTGGCACACCATCACTGGTGGATATACCTCTCTGAGCACTCAGAAAATCTGGCCAGTGTGGTGACCAGCTGGCTTCTGTCTGTGACCCAGGCCAAGCGCCAGGAACTCAGGCCTGAGAATGAGGCTGCTATTTAGTACTCAAGCGGGAGCTCCACAACCAAGGGCTGTCTTTGCCATCCATAACAATTTGCTGCTCTGTCTATTTCCAACAAAGCTCAAAAAGACATGCATCTGGTGGAGAGGACCGAGTTTTGGTTGTACTGGAGAGTCCATCCCTCCGACCAAATGGTCACTGCGTTTGCTTAGATCCAGAGACATGGGAGCCTAGAATCAAGTACGGGGCATCTTCTAGGTGGTGGCATTTCACAATCACGTGATGAGGGGAGTTACTCAGACCATCTGAGCCTCAGTTTCCTTACCCATAGGTAAGGAAATGATGACAGGTCCTAGTCTGCAGGGGACAGGCGGCTCATGCAGATGAATAGTTGTGCTGGCATCATCCAGGAACTCAGTAAATACCCACCGCTTTCCTCCAAGGCTGGATTAGGGGAGGCACAAGAAGAAAGTAAGCTCTTTCTCTCAGATACATGTCTCCTTAAATGCCCTGCCCTGAGTGTGCTGCTCGGCCAGAGCTCCTCCTGCTGTGGCTCTTGGCACAAGGTCTTTTTATTGAAGGCTTGCATGGAAGACAACAGAACACCAATCTCCATCAGCCTGTAGCTTTTCTTAAAGACCAAGTAATAAAATACTTGAATTCAATAAATCTTCCTCACAGGAAAATCTCAGATACCTCCACCCACCTAAAACTCAAATAAGGCAAGTTCACCAACTCTCTGTTTCCTTATAGATATTTCTAGAATAGAGTTTAATGAGCATCATAATATCTCACATGTATTTTCAAGCAAACGGAACTTTACATCACAAATACACTTGGAGGGTCAATAAGAACGATCACTTATGAGGATGGAAATTTCTCCATGTAAAAACTTAACAGCAAATCCTATCTTGCAACAGCGCATCTCTTCCCAGAACCACACGTACACTCTCCTGGTGCTCCCCACAATGGGAGACACAAAGTAAGATGCCTTCAGGATGAACGACAAGATGTGAACCCTGAAGTTACAGGAAACAGAGAATTGCAGGGCAGCAGGGGATGTGACAGCACTCATCCCTCTGAAAGTTATTTAAATTTTCTCTTTTTGAAAATTTTATTAATAATTTTTTTTTGAAACACAGTCTCACTCTGTTGCCCAGGCTGGAATGGAGTGGTGTGAGCTTGGCTCACTGTAGCCTTGGCTTCCTGGGCTCAATCGATCCTCCTGCCTCAGCCTTCTGAGTAGATGGGACCACAGGCGCATGCCACTACATCTAGATAATTTTTGTAGTTTTTGTAGACATGGGGTTTTGCCATGTTGCCCAGGCTGGTCTCCAACTCCTGAGCTCAAATGATCCACCCACAGGTGTGAGCCACTGTCCCTGGCCTCTTCCCCTCTGCCCCAATTTAAAGGGCTATGACGCGCCCCAACACACACACACATTTATGGCCTAAATTCTTGCCATCGCCTGCACACTTCATGAGGCGAAATAGTAGGAAAGCCCCTACTCCTTACCCTGATATCATCTGCCCTCTGAGCTCCATGAGAATAAGAACCTGTGTCTCAGTTCATGATTGCCTCTCTGATGGCTCCCAGGCACAGTGCCTGGTGACACAGGAAGCACCCAGTCATTTTGTTGAGGAAGCCAGGGAAGGACTGATGTAAGAGGAGTGAGCTCCCTTACCTGCGCACAGTGCTATGTTAGTACAAGCCATGACCTCGTCCTCGAATGCCTCCCTCACCCACTGGCAAACTGCGGTTCATCCTTCCCTATGTGCCTGTATCTAGCTGCCCACTGCAGCCTTCCCACGCATCCTGGGCAAGCCTCCCAAGTGGCCACCTCCATGCCATTCTGCACTCTACATGTCCTCTGTCAACACAATGACCACTGCCCCAGAGTGGTTTCTGTAGACACCTGGCTCATGTCCTCCATCAGCCACCCGATCCCCCACCAAACGCTGCATCCCACCTCAGGGTTTATCTCTGCTACCATCTGGGTCTCCATGCAAGGTGTTGCTCAGCCGAGGCTCTTTCCACTCCGGCTCTGACACTGTTTGTCCTCCGTAATCCCCCCTAACACTGCTCCATCAGGGTGGCTCAACAGCTGGGTGCGGTGCACTGGGGTGATCATGGTCTTTGTTTCACAGCAGTGGATTTGGGGAGGTGGTTCTAAAAGGCTGACAGCTTTTGCAACACCATGCTTAGCTCCTAAGTGCTGCAGACAAGAGATGCAAATCCAGCCACCAAAAGCAACAATTGAGCCCCTGTGAAAAAAGTACTACTTTTGGAGCTCACCCCCTTATCAGGCTCCAACATCGGGTTTGGTGATAATAAGAAGTCCAGTCACCCACGACACACACAAAGAAAGCCTCATCACATTGCAGCCGTCCTGAAAGATGCTTTCTTGGGGGCAGTCATTCATTCACTTGAGGGAGTATTTCTGGGGGCCCTACCGTGGGCAGGCAGTGTTCTAGGGGCAGGGCCTTTGGTGAACAATTTAGACAAACTCTCTGCTTTTGTAGAGAGAGTGAGCAGGATGGGCGATCAACAGAACCAAAATGTTGTATAATGAAGTCAGCTAGTGAAGAATTCGGGGCAGAAAAATAAAGCAGCTTTAGGGTATGGTGAGGTACAGGAGCATCTGCCTTAGCTAGGCCCAGCTGGGTGGGCCCCTCTAAGGTGCTGACATTTAGCAGCAACTGGGTAAGTGTAAGGGTGAGCCATGAGGCCACTGGAGTCAGGCATCCCAGGCAGGGTCAAGGGCAAGGGCAAGTGGGGCGGTGTTTGGCCTACTTGAAGAGCAAGGGGGCTGGGGCCTTGAATGAACAGGGGAAGGGGCAGTGAAAAGGGTTTGGGTTTTCACCAAAAAGGAAGCAGAGGAGTCTGAACACCAGGGCCTTGGGAACCACCATGATGGTGATTCTGCTTCTACTTGGAGATGGGAGAGTTATAAGCAAGGAATGATGTGATTTAACTTACACTTTTGGAGTATCGCTCAGTTGCGGTGGAAAAGTCTTGGAAACCAGGCCCGGCTGAGCCTAAAATCCCAGCGACATCACTGCTTCACTGCATTCAAAAGAGAGGTCTTTATGAGCTGCCATGCGAATTTCATACCTGCTGTAGTACACAGGTATCTTGCCTAGTGGACCACAACAAACACTGATTTCCTTCCTAAAGTGTATTTCCAAATCCATGTCTCTCTTCTCCCAGCATAGGGACAGTGAGACAATTTGGAGGTGTGTCCCCTCCAAATTTCATGTCAAAATGTAATCCCCAATGCTGGAGGTGGGGCCCGGTGGTGGGGCCTTGATGGGATCACAGGGGCCAGTCCCTTATGAATAGCTTAGCATCATCCTCTTGGTGATGAGTGAGTTCTCATTCAGTTCCTTAATGGGAGATCTGGTTGTTTAAAAGTCTGAGACCTCCCACTTCTCTGTCTCTTGCTCCCACTCTCACTATGAGACACACCAGCTTTCCTTCCCTTCTGCTAAGATTGGAAGCTTCCTGAGGCCCTTACCAGGAGCAGATGCCGACACCACACTTTCTGTACAGCCTGCAGAATCGGGGGCCAAAATAAAACTTCTTTTCATTATAAATTACCCAGTCTCAGGTATTCCTTTATAGCAATGCACAAAATGGCCTAATATGTGCAGCAAAGAGTGTGGTGAAAATAGCCTTTCCTTCGAAGGGGATAGTCATTTCTATGTGTGCTGCCTAAACCCCGATATTCAACATGCAGTGCATACGCTCTCTGGGTCCATCATATACCATGGCAGAGACCATTTAAACTCATGCCGTATCATATGAGTTTAAATGTCCATACAGTTCAATGCAGATACACTGAGATCTTCTGAGAGTAATTTTCCTGGACGCAGGATGCAAGACTCATGCACTTACTCAATTAAAAACAACAACCAAAAAAACAGCATATATGTTCAGATAATGCAGGTTATCTCTGTTTCCTGTGGCTTCTCCGAATAAAAGTTTTGGTTAAGACAGACTCATACCCTGGAACAGAGGCCAGGTGCACTTGCCTTAGGATGCTGGCAAAGCTCACGCCTCTTGTTCTATCAGGTCCTGTTTCAGAAATTGCCTTTGCAAGTCTAACACATTTAATTGAGAGGGGGGTATTCAAAAAGATTACGGAGGAAGGTGGGGCATTTGTCCAATCAGTTCCACTTCCAGGGGCCCTTCATTGTTCTTGGAGGAGAGCCAGGCCTGTAGCTGGGGTATTTGCATCTGTTTATCCTTAGTCAAATGCCTTTTGTCTAAGCCATTGACTTTGGAGCAAAAATGTACGGACCTCCACAGACCATTCTCAAACTTGGGATAAAAGAAACTCATTTTTTTTTTCCTCAAAGAATGAACTTAGAAGATCCACCTCCTCCCTCATCCCTTTTGCCAGAGATGCCCATTGGAGGCTATTGCTAAAAAGAGGGGCCCAATTCAACAGAAGTGTCTAGTTCAAGTCACACACAAGCTCAGACTGCCTTTTGGAGGGAGCGTTATCAATAGTTTGTTCAACAGCTGCTAACCTCATTGCATCATGGGACTTGAACTTGCCGGTGTGACAGGCAAGTTGGGAATCTAAAAACTCCAGTGCCTTCTACACAGCGTCACCACAGCTACTATTTATTGGATGCCCACTACATGTTAGTTGCTCTCTGTGAATTTTGTACAAGCCCAGAAATAATCCTACAAGGATTTTTATCCTTATGAGTAAACTGAGGCTCAAAGGAGCTATGTAACTGGCCCAGGATCACAGCCAGCACATTCCCAAGCCAAGGCTTGTACCCAGGACACCTGTGCCCCCTCTGCTTTTATCCGCCTGTCACATGAAGCACTTGCTGGGCACCTCCTCTTTTCCAGGCACTGTGCCACCTGCCAGAGCATCCAAGAATAACCAGACAGGCCAGAACTCTCTGAAAGCTCAGGCTTGGTTTGAGTTCTTACAGAAGCAGGACTTGGGACAATGATTGGTGAGCAAGGTGTTTATTTGGAAGGTGATTCCAGAAAGCACTAGTGAGGGAGTTGAGACAAGAGACAGAGATGGGAAATTTGTAAAAAAGGGTTGCACCACCAAGCAAAATACTTTGGAGGGCAATAAGCTCAGTCTTAGGAACTCTGGGAGGTGATATTCTATACCCTCAAATCAGGTACCAGGGAGCTAGGGTATTTAGTCACCAATGTGCCACCCATGAGTGGTTGATGGTTTTTCCCAAGGCCATTGAGTATAAAGCATTTTTGTCTCCCCATGCCTGTAGGCAGATAGTGTTCTTTCTTTCAAGAAAAAGAGTCCTCAGACAGACATTAACTGCAAATGGGCAAAGGAAGGCAAAGAACTGGCATTTTTTGAGCATCTCCCACACATCAGGCACAGGACATCTATTTACCTACCTCATAGAGAGACAGGCAGCATGTATTTACAATAATGAGTGCAGATATCTGGAGTCCACATTTATAAGCTGTAGGATCTTGAACAAATTGCTAAACCTAATGTCTGCCGCAAGAAGGGAATGGTGATAATGCCCACCACAAAGAAGAAATCACGGATTGAAAGAGATTATGTGTGTAATGCAGTCAGAGTAATATCTACGACCTAGCGAGTTCTCAAAAACGGTTTACATATTTGTAAGCCCTAGTATCCTTAGCTCATTAAATCCCTACAATGACCTGTGATGAAACAGAGTCCCATGGAGGCTAAACAATGTGCCTAATATCCTCAAGGCATCTAAAAGCAGAACTAAGCAGTGATCCAGGCTGGGCACAGTGGCTCATGCCTGTAACCCCAGCACTTTGGGAAGCCGAGGTGGGCAGATCACCTGAGGTCAGGAGTTCAAGACCAGCCTGACCAACATGGTGAAACCTCGTCTCTACTAAAAATACAAAAATTAGCCGGGCATGGTGGCGGGCACCTGTAATCCCAGCTACTCAGGAGGCTGAGGCAGGAGAATTGCTTGAACCCAAGAGGTGGAGGTTGCAGTGAGCTGAAATTGTGACATTGCACTCCAGCCTGGACGATGGGGCAAAACTCCTTCTAAAAAAAAAAAAAAAAAAAAAAAAAATTCCAAGTCTGTGTGACAGCAGCTCCTGGAGGCCACACGGAGCTCCTTGGGATGCATGGCACCATGAAATTCCGAGTGTGAACTCCTTTCTTCCTATGTGTGCCTTCTCCCCACTCCAAGGAGTGCATGACTCAGAGTAAGCTCCTTACCCTGCTAGCTAGCATCTCTATTGGAAGTGGTGAACTTCATAGCTGAGCTCCCTTCCAGATTTATAATATATCCATTCCCCCAAGTGCTTGACATGGATGTGTTAGAGAGTTGAAGACACTCTTTAATGTTCAATATTTCTGTGATTAACGTTTTATTGGACGGTGGGCAATGGAAATGCTATCCCCGCACAAGAGAATTCAAATAGGGGACATTGTCTGTTGCATAAAACCTCCATTTAAAGATTTTTTTTAAATGTTTTAAAAGTGACTTTGGAAGGAAGCTTCAACCTGAGGAGAAGGATCAAAAGTAAAATTGATGGCTTCAGGATGGAATTTTTCCCTTCAGTAACTTAGCCATCCTGATAGAGATAATGCTGTCCACCTGTCAAGGCGAGGCGGCAGGCTCACTGCAGAGAAAGACAGCAAGGACCTTCAGAGCCTGCTCAACTCCAGAAGCTTGTTAAGGGGCTGGGAGAGAAAGAGCAATTGCCCTCCCTCTTGTCCTTCCCCTGTCCTCTTTCTCCAAGCCTGAGAGAGGACTGCAAGGCCACTGGTCCCCAGAAAGCTGATGAGGATGAGTGGCTCACGGTTCTGTGTGGCTTGTTAATCACACCAGCTAGCAGTCCTCTTCCTATGTGCCTGCCACTGTGCAAAGCTCTTTACTTCAATTAACTGAAGCTTCCCTGTGACCCCTTGATATTAATATCAACATCCTTATTTTACAGATGAGGAAAGTGAAACCCCAAGACCTCAGTCTTACTAACCCCCAGACCTCAGTCTTACTAATCCAGTTACTCAATCAAGACCTGGCACACTGAGACAGTCTGAGCCCTGAATCACCATGCCACACTCTCCACATTCCTCATCTCCTGTGACCCTCACCACAGCGCTGCTAGATGAGTTTTTGGCTCATTTCAGACTAAGGTGATCAAGAGCCAGAGAGAAGTAGTGGCTTGTTCAAGGTCACACAGCCAGTGCATGGCACAGCTGGATCCTGAACCCTAGCGGCCTGACTGCAGACTACGTCACAACTGGTGGACATAAGGGAGGACGTTTAGCTGATTTTTCTCCTTAATGGTTCGCTTAGTTACTGAATAAGGTATTCCAGTAGTTTTTTGCTATAATTAGCTTTTTATGTTTTATGCTACAGTGCTAATAAGAGTAGTTTAAATAGATTTGAAAGTTGTATTAATTCCACTCTTTTTCTTTTAAAAAAAATGGAGCTAAAAATTAAGTCACCTTGAGAGAAATTGATATTATCATTGTTACACATAGCAGGTATAAACAAATCTGTATGTATGCCTAAACTTACCCATAGGTATTGCTACAGATATGTTTTATATCTATAAATATGTGACATATGTGCAGTTAATACATGTCCATGCATATCTCCTTTTACTGCTTAAAATTATTAACCCTTTTCAAATAAACTGACCCCTGATGCGAATCCTCCTCACCATAGAGTTGCTCACAAAAGAAGCAACTTGGTTACAAAGCAACACCTGAAGTTCAAAGTTTTGCCCCTGTGACTTTTAATTCAGAGCCCGTTGTTGAAACCACTATTCATCTTCTTTGTCCGCAGCATCTTTATGCTGTGGTCCATCTTTCCCCATAAGCCAACGCACATACTTCTCATTAAACCTCAAGGTCAGCTGGAGCTGCCTGCCTCTCTCTTAGAAAGGCCATCAGGATCCCCAAAGTGAACGTTACACATGCCACAGAGCTCGAGTTTTCTGTCCAGCCACCCCAAGCGCAGTGCGTAGGAATCTGGCCATTTTTGCTTGATATGGTGACAGAGAAAGAAAATGTGAAATTTATTATATAGTTTTATTTATACCTCCATTATATTCTACAAAATATCAAAGGTGGTATAAGCAAGATGTAGACCTAGATGGCTAATATATCTTCTTTGTTCCAGAGGGTTTTATATTTCATTTATTTTCAAACTGAACATGATCAGGTGATTATATAAATAATAAAGATGTGTTGTATCATTTATTTGAAGAATAACTGATCTGTGATCATTTTGGTATTGATTAAATTAATAGAATAAGCACTTACGTACCTTACTACAAACCTGTATATTAAAAATATGCCTTAAAATATAAGCCAGGGTCTGGAAAAAGGTTTGATCTGGAGTAGTGGGAGTGAGCTCATTTGACCTCAGCTTTGCTTCCCAAACTAGAAGACACTGAGAACAGGCTACTGGCCTCAGGGTCTCTGTTCTTTTTCAAACAGCAAGTTGGCCTACCATTCTTACTAAATCATTGCCATTCCCTTTGAAACCCAAGCTGATATATCGATGACCTTGCACCAAGTAATAAGTTCAATTATATTTTCCACTTGTAATTTCACATCTACATCCAAAAAAGGCTCAGTCCCTTTCTTTTTATTACAATTTATATTTCTTAGTATGTTTGGACTGATTTTAGGCAGATTGCAGATTCATTGTTAGTTTTTATTCTTGTTTTCCAAGTGTGAGAAGAATGACTAATTTTAGTGGTTGGCCTCCTCTCTTCCTCAAAGTCTTCAGTTGAGTTAATGTTTGCTTTGTCTTAAAGCTACTAGTTTCATTCATTCCCTTTGAATCCATTGATTCAGAGATGTTGCACAATGTAAGTAATATGATCATTACATCACATCCCTTTTTTTTCAGATGGTGTATCTGAAAACCAGAGATGGAGAGTGGATAAGCCAAGGTCACACAGCAAATTCATGGCAGAGCTGGGACTAGATCCATGGGATCTTAGACTGGGATGATCTTCTATTTTGTGTAGAGTGTCTCTGTAAGAGGGTGGTGTTGGATGTATCTGCCTGTCCATTCCCATTTTTGGCCATGGTCCATATTGCCCAGGGTGACTATCTACTCTTTCACCCCCTAAAACTTTATACATGATGAGCTTCTCCAGCTAACCATTGCAAACACTGCTCTAGTGTTTCATTACCATTCCATTTCCACAATGTTTATAGCTAGAGGAGCTACCAAACCTAGACTTCATCTTAGAGTAGAGTTTACACTTTGTGTCATGCATCTTACCAGGGATGAGATTAACCTGGGTGTGGCTCAGATAAGAAGGTTAAAATAATTACAAAATGAAAAATTGAGCATTGGCCTATTGAGCATTGTCTTCAAATATCTGAAGTGCAGGTTGTGGTGTACATGAGGAATCAGAATTGTCTGCACAGAGTAAAGCTAGAATCATTCAAGTGGCCAGTCCATTTATATACTAATTGAAGACCTTTCTGGAAATGACAATGCATTAGTTCATTCTCACACTGCTATGAAGAAATACCTGACACTGGGTAATTTATAAAGAAAAGAGGTTTAGTTGACTCATAGCTCCGCATAGCTGGGGAGGCCTCAGGAAACTTACAATCATGGCAGAACACACCTCTTCACAGGGCGGCAGGAGACAGAATAAGCGCAAGCAGGGGAAATGCCCGATGCTTAAAAAAACCATCAGATCTGTTGATGATAATGAGACTCACTCATTATCATGAGAAGAGCATGAAAGAAACTGCCACCATGATTAAATTACCTCCCCCTGGTTCCACCTTTGACATGTGGGAATTACAATTCAAGGTGAGATTTGAGTGGGCACACAGAGCCAAACCATATCAGACAAGTAGGCCAAAAAATAGATGTCTCGTCTTGTGAAAGAGTTGCCCAACCCAAGTGCAAGACAGCCCATTCTATCACAGCACTCAGGGCAGACTTGAGTTCATGTCTTAGCTCCAACTGAAAAACCATGAGACTTTTTAGCTGCATAAAACAGTGAACATGCTGGAGATAATGATGATGATGATGATGATGATAATGATGGTGAGGATAATGATGATGGTGGTGATGATGATGGTGATGATGATGATGGTGATATTGGTGATGATGATGATAATAGTAATGGTGATGATGATAATAGCAATGACAACGGTGATGATAGTGATGGTAATGATGATGAAGATGACAATAATGAGAAAAATGGTGATGAGGAAGGCAAGAGTGGATAATAATGTAAACACAGGCTGCTTCTCTCAAAAATGTTGAGTAAGAGATCCTCACACTGGATGGGAAGTGGAGGAGCCAGGTGACTTCAAAGATTTTCCACTTCCCCTATGAGTCTATGACTCTTAAGTAGTTAAATAAAAACAACAAAGCTTTAGCGTTAGAGCAATAACAGGTCAAATCCAGTAGGTATGAAATATACAACCTTGTATCTGTCAGATTATGTATATTCTTAAGGCCTTTTATTCTTAACCCTAGAATATGGTGATAAAATATCTATCATGCAAAATGGTAGACAGAATTAATGTGTTTTAATTTTGTAAAATACCTTGTTACAACTCCAGACATGTGAGAGTCACTGAATGAATGTTCATTTATGTTCTATGAATGGTGAAAGAAGTGGCAGATGTTGATCTAGAATACTGGCAACCAAAAAGCCAGAATGACTGGACTGACATTTTCAGGGACTTTTTGAGAGCCATGTTCAGTACCTATGCCTTGTGCCTTCAGAAAACTGAATAATAGAGACCATCCCTATGTTGTCCTGGCAAGATGCCAGGTAAGCTTAGGTCCATCACCCCTCTCATTAAGCTTGTACTTCACTCTTCTATTAAGTCTTTCCAGACATTTTCCAATTTTTTCCAAAGCTGAATTCCAACCAGGCTGCTCACTCATTCATTCGTTCAGCACATCCTTATTCATCACTTACCATGAGCTAAGCTCTGTTCAGCATGAAGTGGACAGGACTAAGCCCTGATCTAGCTCTGGGGATGGGATGGAGGAGACAGGCATGTATGTTAAGATCTGAAACTGAGATGTACACAGAATGCAAGGATGGTGTGGTGCACAGCCTGCTGAATTCTGCCTGGGGCCACAGGTGGGGGTGGGGGTGCTTCCAGGAAGATTGAGAGGTGGATTCAGGAGAACTGCTGAGTGAAGGGGTAAGTACCATAGAATAAGAGTAACAATTGTAAGAACTGTGGATTCTTTGTGCAATCAATAAATCTTTAATGAAGACCTCTTATGGGGCAGTTTCTGTGTTAAGCATCCGGGATGCAGTAGGAGCAAGAGATGCACCATTCCAGCTCCCCACTGTTTCTAAGAGAGGAAGCAGAAAAGTGAAATGTGGAGAGGTATGTAGGTGGGAGAGAGGATGGGTGGTTATACATGACAAGAAGCTAATAAAATGAAGAAGTAATATAACATATGAGGAAATGAAGATAATGAAGGAGGGCAAGGATGCAGAGAGGCAGGAGTGGAGGTGGCATCATAGGGAATCATCAGGGAGGCCTCTGTGCCCCTGCTTGCCATGGAGAAATTGTGAGCCATGACCCACACAAAGCCCCAGGCAGCTTTTTTCTGGCACATACCAAAGACCCATCAGAGGTAGTTCCCTTTGGCTACTCTGCCCGCATTCTGGACACAGAAATTTAAGGATATGGGAGTGATTATTCTCTAATCACTGATATCTGAGTTCTTCAGACATCTGATGAGGTGATGTGTGTGTGAGGGAGGGAAGGGAACTAAAATTCTTGCAGGTGTATATGCAGCAGGTGGTCTGCAGGGTGCTTTGCTCACACCTTCTGAACTTCCTGTCACTCTCCTGACCCCATGGGGGTACACTGGTTTTATCTCCCTGACACAGGGAAATTCTCAACCATCCTACTTGCATTTTGGCTTGCTCACCATTTAATGTCCAGTCTGTAGCACACAGCCTACCACATAGAAATATGTAATGATAATTGAATGGATGGATGGATGGATGGATGGATGGATGGATGGATGGATGGAAGAATATTATAATGGGAATAGATTATTCCTGTTTTTCAGATGAAGAGAGCTCAGAGACGTTGTGTGACTAGTATGCAACCATGGACCAAGAAATCTGCAGAGGTGGAGTCAATAGACAAGTTATTTATTCATTTAATACTCCCTCTCACAGGCTTTGTTAATAGTGCTGCCCACTCTTCTGTCAGCTGGTAATAAAAAGACAGATAAGGCTTCCCACTGTCTTTAAGACACTTATCATGTGGAGAAATGAATCGGCTGGCAAATTTCAGAGTCCAAATTTTAGTAATTTTCCTAGTACATAAGATGAATTTGTGGAAGTTACAAGAATAAAGGTTTTGGTGAACACATAAAGAAGATGATTTTGACATTTCTCTTTCAATGCATGCTTGTTCTGTTGTTGGTGAGTTCCTCTTCTCTGGGAATATTCAAGGTGAGGCTGAATGATCCCTGGTCAGACCCAAGAGAGAGGGGACTCAAGCTCAGGGTAGCCTGTTAGATTGGGTGGGCAGTCAAGGGTAGGTCTCTGCCACCCCCAGGAGTCAAATGCAGTGCAAACCTGCATACCATTTCCCCATTCCCAGTGTGGCCGCTGGCATGGGGTCCTTGCTCTGATGGGCACTGAATATCTGAGCAGACCACTTTCTGAGCAAGCCCAGGGACTTCTGTATCTCCATGAATGGGCACCCTCACCTAGAAAGAGCAGTCAGGGAGCAATCTGGGACTGGGAGATTTCCAGCGTCACTGCAGCACACTCTCACTTTTTCCCTTGAGTGCAAAAATGCACAGGAACCCACGGAGACTTAGTGAGACTCTAAGTAGAACTTAGAGGTGTTGAGGACAACTTCTGTACACTTCATTCTAGAGAAAGAGCAAAAATCAGAAAAGCCCTCTGAAGGCCTCCAATTTCTCTGGTCCCACAGCCAGAAGAACACAGGGGCTGAAGCCAACACCTCCCGTGTGGGATGCCTGCTTCCTATCTCTCCAAAAGGTGACCCTTTAGTCCAGAATACCTGAACCACGGCTAGCATTCACGGTGTGCTTCCTCTAGGTCCACTGCAGACCAGGTGCTTTGGAAACATGAGCAAATGTTCTTCAAACAAATGGGAAGGTTGATCCTCATTTCACAGAAGAAACAACAGGTTCCACGAGGTGGGGTGTATTAGTCTCTTTTTACACTGCTGATAACGACATACCCGAGACTGGGAAGAAAAAGAGGTTTAATTGGACTGACAGTTCCACATGGCTGGGGAGGCCTCCAAATCATGGCAGGAGGCAAAAGGCACTTCTTACATGGTGGCAGCAAGATAAAAAGAGGAAGAAGCAAAAGCAGAAACCCTTGATAAACCCATCAGATCTCGTGAGAGTTATTCACTATCAAGAGAATATCACAGGAAAGACCAGCCTCCATGATTCAATTACCTCCCCCCGAGGTTCCACCCACAACAGATGGGAATTCTGGGAGATACAATTCAAGTTGAGATTTTGGTGGGGACATACACAAACCATATCAAGGGTAACCTGTTCATGGCCACCCAGGTTGTAAAGACAGAAGTCATCGTTATGAGTCTTTCTCCAGCCACTGACTCACTCTCTCACCTTGTTCTCACTATGTTTATGGAGGCCAAATAAAAGGGGCAACTTCAACTAACAGGCTAGAATGTCACTGGCCCTGTATTCTACAATATGAGATGGGCTAACCCATTTAGTCAGTGTGCACTTGGTGGAAATTTACCTGTCTATAAGTTTGTTTCTTCCAATAGACTTAGCTCTTTCATGGTAAGGAAAATAGTTAAGCCATGCTTCTATTTCTAGAACCTAGCTGGGACATGGAACTTAGCTGGCTCTCTGATATAGGCACCATGACATATGAGATGGTGGTTGCATAAATAATTAGCAGGGTCTCTAAACTCTAAATAATCTTCCCTTGCCTAGGCCAGTTCTATACCTCTAGGGCAGCCCTCAAAGCATGTCCAAGGTCATGTAGCTATTCAGTGGCAAAGGCAATATTCAAATTCTGTTCATTCCACTTCACATATCACTGCCTGGCATATCTGTATTATATACAAACCAATATGATAGCCTGAGCCACCCAATGTGCATTGATTGTGCACTTGCTGTATGTCAGTGAACAGTGTCCTAGACTGGAGAAAAGCTTCCCTTACTGACAACTAGAGGACCAGTATCCTAGCGTGGAAACAAGTTGACGGTTTCAACCAAGATGCTGTATTGGGGTGAATGCTGACTGCAAAATGCCAGCAGTGCACCAAATGAGGAAGATATGATATCATATGAACAAGGCCCTAAGGGAGGATGGTACTCCCCATCGTAAGCTGGTGTGACCCTTTGATGGTGTGTGGCCTGCAATGACTTGGTGCTGGAAACTCTGTATTTGCAAGGCCCAGAGAATGGGAAAGAAATTGATGCCTCAAGAGATGTTTCTAGGAGTACCCAAAAGCCCGCAAGTCCTAAGCTGAGTCCTGTGCACACTAAGGCTTGGTTTAGAAACAGAAAGAATACACTGCATAGCCCACTACTCAGAAACACTTAGAGAGACACGGTACAGAAGGACACATGCAGAGTGTTCACCGCTGGGGGCACTGGGAACAGCTTCCAGAGAAAGGTAACTGGAGTTGGATTTTAATGAGGGAATGAAATGCAGAGATGGAGGAAGGCCTTCCAAGTAGGGGGTCACTGCATGAGCAAAGATGTGATTTGTTCTAGGAAAACAAGTCTAGTCTCAGAAAACCTTGCTGAGCACCTGTCAATGCGAGACCTGTGTGAGGCTTGGAGGAGACAAGGAGGGGAGCAGTTCCAGCCTGTCCGGTCCTCCAAAATCTCCCAGTTCACTGGGCCAGGTAACGAGCTCCTCTCACATGACAGGATTAAGGCATATGGTTAAACAGACAAGTGAGAACCTGTAGGTGGAGCAAGATGAGAGTGTGAGGTCTTGAAGACCAAGTTTAGGATAATGATCTATATCAGGGCATCCTTCAGAGCTAGCAAAGTTATGCAATCACCCTATTCCCTAATTGAAAACAAAGGCAAACAACAATATGTATTTCCAAAGAAAAAACTTCTAAACAAATATATTGGGGAGACGGGATGCCAAGGAGCAAAGTTTGAAATAACCATTTGCTGCCCTCTTTGAATGACCTCAGATTTTTAAAATTCATTATCTTCCCTCTAAGGACATTGAACAGATGAAGTCAGCAGGGTGTCTCAGGGCGATTAGCACTATCTACTGAACCAAATTGTGTTTTGTGTTCAGAAGATCAGCTCTTCCGGAGAAACTCCTTTGACAAGCTGTCATGAACATCCATGTGGAGTTGAGAGAGCTTGGGGGAAAGAACAACACGTACACAGGGTATTTTATTTGGGGATTGTCAGGTTTCAATCAAATGCTGCATCTTCACCTGTGATTGATTTTCCTCTCTGTTTGAAGACAGAGATTTAAATCAAATGAGGGTATCATACTCCCTCACTTTCCTGCGCCATCTCAGCTGCCAAATGTGCGTCTCCTGCCTTGGAGCCTCCCTCTGAGCTCTGCACCTGATGCTTACCCTCTTCCCTTCTGGAGGCTGGTGGGCTCCTTACATCAGCAGTTCCAACTGGGAGCTGTCACCTCCCGTGGCCTCTGTCCCCTGTGGTTTGTGACTCTGCAGAGGATACCCATCCATCATGGCTCAGGATAGAAAGTCGGGCCTTTCTTCTGTCTCCTGCATTCCTAGCATCCTAAAGATTTTATCTCTACACTTTTCTTAACTCTAGTCCTTTCCCACTCCACTCCAACTACTGTTCACTCTCTTATCACCTCCCAGCGGCTCTTTTAAAAAAATAAATTTAAGGGGTGCAGGTGCAGTTTTGTTACATGGATATATTGCATGGTGGTGAAGTCCAAATTTTTAGGGTGTTCATTACCCTAATGTACAGTAATGTACATTGTGCCCATTAAGTAATATCTCATCCCCTATCCTCCTCCCCCATGCCACCTTCTGAGTCTCCAATGTCTATCCTTCTACACTCCATGTGTACACATTATTTAGCTCCCACTTTTAAGTGAGAACCTGCAGTATTTGACTTTCTGTTTCTAAGTTGTGTCACTTAGGATAGTGGCCTCCAGTTCCACCCATGTTGCTGATATGATTTCTTTCTTTTTAATAGCTGTATAGTATTCTATTGAATACACGCATACACACACACACACACCCCCCCCACACACATATATATATACCACATTTTCTTTATCCAGTCATCCATTTATGGATACTTAGGTCGATTCTATGAGATACCTGCCCTTGTATGGTTATTGCACCACTATTCACAATAGCAAAGATGTAGAATCAATCCTAGCAGTTCTTTTATTCTCCAATAAAGTCCTCTCAAACTCACTCTTCCTGAGATATGTATTTTCAATGCACATCTGATTCTATGGCCCTTTCTCCCTGCTTAGAGCTCTGCTAGGGTCACCCTGCACCAGTCCCATTCCTTAGCAAAATTTAGAAAGTCCTTCCCCACTTTGACCATGCCTTTCTCTGTGTCCTTGTCTCTTTCAACTTCAGCAACACCGAACAGCTTTCATCCCTCAGCTCAGACTGTACACCAGGCAGACTCGCACCTTTACCTCCTTAATTCATTCATGTCCTTGATGACTCATATCAGGTTTCAGCTCCTTCAGAGACTGCAGATTCCTCAAACCCCATCCCCATTCCAGGGGTTGGGGGCAGTCCCATTTCCCCATGGCTACAGCTTCCCTGGCTCTGCACTTCACTTTTGCACTCACCAAGTCTTGCATAAAATATCAGTTGGGTTTCTCTATCACCCATTGGACTGTGGACCCTTTGGGCTCAATCTCTGTCTACCCCAGCACCAACTTCAGTTCATGGTACTGTCAGTGTTGAAAAAGTGTCCAATAAATAAATAATTAATTAATTTTCTCCCTCAACAACAAACTGCACTCATAGCTCCACAGTCTTACAACTGGAGGAAAACTTCCCCCACCCCCACTTCACAGATGTAGAAACTGAGACCCAGAGAGGGGAAAGCTGTGTAGTGCCAAGCCAAGCCTGCATGAGCCCAGGACCCCAACACTGGTGCAGAACGCCTCTCCTAGCAACAGCACTCCTTTCCCTCCCGCTCTTCTCTGTTGATACTCACCCCGTCCAACCGGAAGTAGTGCTCATAAAACCCTAGCTTACTCTCAATCAGCTTCATTTGTACCAAGAATCGACCTCAGATAAAAGCAGAAACTTGGCTTATTGAGCTTGAAACTACAGTCAGAAAATGTCTACAGCTTTTTGAGACCCTTGCTGTCAGTGACTTCCAGAAGCCAGGACGTTAATTTGAAGCCCACTCAACTCTAAAACCTCATTCCACCCATTCTTATCAAATTCCAATTCTGTTACCTATGGGGGCAGAATTTGACTTACCCACTAGACTATAGGATCCTGGGGATCCCGTTTATCTACCTATCACCACCCCCCTACCTCGAGGCAAAAACCAAGCATACAGTAGGTACTCAGGAAATAGTGGATGAAAGAATTTAGTTCTGACCCTAAGAACAGAGGCAGATTAATGCCTCTAGCAGGCAGGAAGCACCAACCATGCAGCGCTTGGGTGCCTGCCACTGGCTAAGCCTTTAAATTCCATCTCATTTACTCCTCACCATCATCACAGGAAGGAGTCGCTGTTCCCATTTTAGAACTACAGAGACTGAGGCTGAAGGAGGCTGTGTAACCTGCCTAAGACCACCCAGCCATGATCATCAGAGAAAGAATTCAAGCTGAGATCTACTTGACCCCAAACCCTAAATTCTTACCCACCATGTGCTGATATAGTTACAGGTAAACCTGTGCTCCCTTTGCCCACGATTTGTCATTTCCAGGTGTCTCCTGGAGGAATGAGACCACATCATATTCAACCTCATGAGCTTATTTCTGTCAATCTGTGATTTAAAAAAATAAACCAAAAAACCCTGGAAGACAAGAAAGAGACATACCTGAAGCCAATGTGTGAGTTACCCAAGAGGGCAAGGGAGTTGAAGCCCAGGGATGGTGGCTGCAGAGATTTGGATTCCACTTGATTAAGACAAGTTCTTTTTCTCTTATTCTGTTTTTTTTTTTTTCCTTTTGTCGTGGCTGCACTATTGGCTTGTGCTGTCTAAAGAGAAAATAGTTAATTGGTTTATTTAGCCAACTATAGATGTATTCAGTATTATTCTTCATCGTGTGAATTATATTAAATAGTTTATTTACCCCCATGCAATCCATTCAGTTCATTTAATTTAATTTCATAGTTATAATATGGGGAACAAACTAACTAGATTTTTCCCTTTGGGATGGAAATGGGCAAATATTTTGGTTCTGAATTAACAAGCAGCAAAGCTGATATTTATAATAAATCATCCATTGTTAGCCATCCTGATAATTATTCTGTGAATGGTCTAAAACAGACATGGGCATGTAATAGACACATTGTTGGCTTTTACTGCAGTTTAGTTCTTTGTGTTAATGAACAATCTAAACTGAAAACTCAGAGATGATTCCAGAGCAAATAGGTTTGTTTCACAGACATGAATTGAACACCTACTCTGCTCCTGGCAAGGTGAAACAGCCACAAACACATCACACCAACCCCTGCTGAAAACGTGTCTGCGTTTCCTGTCTCCAACAGGAAGATGTCCCAGTCCCTGCAGGACCTCCCCTGACTTGGCCCCACTGGCTTCTCACTCTCAACTCCTCCCCCTTCCTTCCTGCTCCCCACTTGCCCCCAACTTGCTATAAGCTTTTGCAATGCTAAACCACGTGTAGTTGCATAAACATGCCAAGCAGCACAGTGATTATAGGTCTTTGCCTCCTCTGTCCCCTCTCCCTCCTTCTTCCAGCTCTCCCTGGTGAACTCTGACTCATTATTCAAGACTCAGTTTACTTTGCACCCCCTTCTGGGCAGGCTGCCCTAAAACATCACTGGTAGAGTTGATACCATCCTCCGTCGTGGGGTCCATTAAGTATGGCAAGCATCACACCCTAATGCAAGTGGCCTTATTGCCCACGCTAAGTGTGTGGCTTTGGCCATCCCCAGATCAGGGAATGAGCCTTCCCCTACCTCATACTCGCTCGCTCGCCTGCAACTCTCACATCCCTGAAATTGGGCTGATAATAATACCTTCCTCGTAGAGTTGTTTGTTTTGAGGATTAATTGAGGTTACAGTGTGTGAAGGACTAAATGGCAATGTGTGTAATAGTAAACCTCCAATAAATATTAATTATCACTATCTGTTTATATATCACACTGAGTTATGAATTGCTGGAGAATCAAGACTTTGTCCTTTTTTTAATCTCGGGATTCCCAGTGAATAGCACAATGCTTTGAAGATATTTTTTTCTTCCATAAATGCATATTTCATGATTTATGAAGAAGGTTAGAGAATTTCAGATGACAAATAAGGTGCAGCTGGTCAATGGAAAAGGGGAGGAGAAAAGGAAGAAAAGCTTTGTTATTTGAGGAGCACCAAAAATTGCAGAAAAGAGCTCCTTGACTTTTGGTAGATTCTGGAACCTGTCGGAGAGGACTGGCCAGGAATTAGGAAAATGGGTTGATTAGGGGAGCATAGGGAAAGCCTGCTGCCTGCAACTTATATCAGTCAGGAAGCTTTTGAGCAGACGTGCAAATTCCCACTGGAAAAAAAGTGCAAATCCCTGGAGTTACACAGTCTTTTAATCCCTCATCGTCTAATACTCTCCTGAGCAGTCCTTTTCAGGAAAAGGAGCAGACTCCTAAGACAGAGTCTAGGAGATGTTTTCTTTGAATGAGGGGAGCAGATCCAGAAAGAAAGGAAATTCAAAGCCTGATAGCTCTGTGTCTGCATCTCAGCTCTGTCTGTTACAAGGTGTGTCATCTGGGGCTGTTCACCACCTTCCCTGGGCTAATCCCTCACCTGTGAAATGGGGAGGGCAGCAGGAATGTGAAGGTGAGGAGGAGTGGATGGTGGGAAAGAGTCCTGGAGGGAAGAAGAGAATAAGCAGAAATGGCCGGGGTAGGGGGTGTGGTTCTTCCACCCTGGCCCTGCACACACAGTGCTGCGATACTGGCTCTCCAGGCATCACGCTTAGAGCTGCATATCAATTAGTCACAGGCCTTAAAGCTGAATGTAATTAATTCTATAATGCACTGCTGTTCCTGCTACATTCCAGTAAAATCACATCATGAAATTGGGGCATGATGAAGGATTTCTCACAAAGGGAAGGCAAATCTGAGTCAACCCTCCATACGTCCTTCATGTCAGGGTGGGATCCAGGACTGTCGAGCCAAGTGCCGGCCTGTGGGTGTCCTGCTGTGTGCACGAGAAAACAGGGCATCCTTAGCCACATCCCCACACCCCACTGTTCCCAGAGAATGCACACAGGGCAGAGGAAAAAAAATGGTAAGAGGCCAATGAGTGCCTAACAACTTGTCCCATTCCTCCTCAAAGTCCCATCCAATTATTTTTGCCTGCAGATATTGGGAAATATAATTTTAATAACTTTGTTATTGTGATAAAATATGCATAGTAGAAATTTACCATTTTAGTTATATTTAAATGTACAGTTCAGTGGCATTAAGTATATTCACAATGTTGTACAACCATCACTGTTACCCATCTCCAGAACTTTTTTACCATCCCAAACTGAAACTCCATGCCCATGAAATACTAAGTCCCACTGTCCCCCTTCCCCAGGCCCTGGGGACCACTATTCTACTTTCTGGTTCTATTAATTTGACTACACTAGGTACTGCATATAAGTAGAATCATACAGTGTTTGCCCTCTTGTACCTGGCTTATTTCACTTGGCTTGATGTCCTGAAGTTTCATTCATGTTGTAATGTGTGTCAGAATTCCCTTACTTTTTAAAGGCTGAATAATATTCCATTGAATTAATACACCACATTCTGTTTATTCTTTCTTCTATAGACAAATATTTAGGTTGTTTCTACATTTGGGCTACTGTGAATAATGATTCTATGAACACAGGTGTACAAATAGGTGTTTGAGTTGCTACTTTCAATATTTTGGATATATAGACCCAGTAGTGGGATTTCTGGATCATATGGCAATTCTATGTTTAATTGTTTAATTTTTTTTTTTTTTTGAGACAGAATCTTGCTCTGTCAGCCAGGCTGGAGTGCAGTGGCATGATCTCAGCTCACTGCAACCTCCATCTCCCGGGCTCAAGCAATTCTCCTGCCTCAGCCTCCTGAGTAGCTGGGATTACAAGCATGTGCCACCACACCCGGCTAATTTTTGTATTTTTAGTAGAGACGGTTTCACCATGTTAGCCAGGCTGGTCTCCAATTCCTGATCTCAGGTAATCTGCCCACCTTGGCATTCCAAAGTGCTGGGATTGCAGGCGTGAGCCACCATGCCCGGCCCTATGTTTAATTTTTTGAGGAACCTCCTCATACTGTTTTCCACTGGTGACCGAAACAGTTTATATTTCCATCAGCAATGCCCAAGGGTTCCACTTTCTTCACATCCTTACAACACTTGTTATTTTCTGTTTCTTGGAAGAAAATATAATTTCTAAGTTAGGCACATTGCTCCTTCCGATAATGTAGAGGTTATGTTAGTAAGAAGTGGCGAGTGGATCTTGGGAGGAAAGAATTTTTTTTAGTACCTAATAATACAATTCCCGAAACATAGAAAACAAGAGCTCGGCAAAACCACCACAAAAAAGGGACAAATCCTCAACACAAGCAAGAATCTCTAACACACTTGGCTCAGAAAATGACAGAACCGTCATAACACAAGTAAAACATATGATAGGACTGAATATCACTATTGAGACGCTGATGTACAGCGCATATACCAGGATGTGCAGGTAGTGTAACTGATAGATGCAGGAATGTGTACTATATGCTCTTTTTAAGTATGCATGGAAGAGTTATAGAAATTGATCCTGTACTAAGTCTAATCCTCCTCCCTCCTCCCAAAACGGGCATCATACAAACCATGGTCACAGCACAACTAGAAATCAACGACAACAAAATAACCAAAAAGCAAGGAAACTGCTATTGAGTGAGAAAATGCTGTGTCTGCAAGCACCAGAGGAGGATAAAGGGTGGTGGGGAACTGGGACTGCAACAGCAGCCTGTGCCCACCACCCCACATCATCTGTCTCAAGTCAAGTTTCATTCTCTGACCACCTCTGGGTTTCTATTTGGGGTTAGTTCTTGTTTTTATAAATGACAAAGGAGGATGTGCATGTAACAATTCCAGCTGGCTAAATCTTTTTGTTTTTTTTTTTAGTTTTTAAGTTTATTTTTTAATTTTTATTTTTTGTGGGTACATAGTAGGTATATATATTTATGGGATACATGAGATGTTTTGATACAGGCATGCAATGTGAAATAAGCAGTATCCATCCCATCAAGCATTTCTCCTTTGTGTTATAAACAATTCAATTACTCTCTTTTAGTTATTTTTAAATGTACAATTCAGTTATTACAGACTGTAGTCACCCTGTTATGCTATGAAACAGTAGGTCTTATTCATTCTAACTACTTTTCGTACCCATCAACCATCCCCATCTCCTCCCCAGCCCCCGACTACTCTTCCCAGCCTCTGGTAACCGTCCTTCTACTCTCTATGTCCATGAGTTCAATTGTTTTGATTTTTAGATCCCACAAATAAGTGGGAATATGCAATGTTCTGTGCCTGGCTTATTTCACTTATTCAGAAAGACAGCTGAGTGTCCTCTACACCCTTGCCCAAGCAACTGCTAGCTATTTATTTATTTATTTATTTATTTATTTATTTATTTATTCATATATTCATATTTATTTTTCTTTCCTTCCTTCCTTCTTTCTATGTTCTTTTTTCTTTTTCCCTTCTTCCTTTCTTTCTTCCTTCCTTCCTTCCTTTTTCTTTCTTTCTTTCTTCCTTTCTCTGTCTCTCCCTCCCTCCCTCTCTCCTTCCTTCCTTCCTTCTTTCCTTCCTTCCTTCTCTCTCTCTCTCTCCTTCTTTCTCTTTTTTCTTGTTTTCATTCTTCCTAGAATGAAGATTCTATTACTGAAGAAGCCACCACTTGCAACCCTGAGACAACCACGAGCAGAAGCTACTCAGATCCAGACCACAGGCTGTTTTTGTAAAGGCTGTCAGCTAAAATAGTTTCTACATTTTTAAAGGGCTCTGAAAGTTCATAACTTATACATTAGTCCTTTTATCAACAAGTAGCACTGTTGTCCCTTTTTCCCTTTTAATTCTCTTTTTTGGATGTTAATAATTGACACACCAGCCTTCTTTAGGTGAAAGTTTTGCTTGGATATCTCTTTCCATCCATTTTCAATCCTCGGAGTTATTTGTTTATATGTGTTTCCTATAAAGAGCATTTTGCCATATTTTAGTAGGTCTGGTTTTGATGAGTTTAACTTGTTTTATATTGGAATTATTAAAATTTTGGATTTATTTCTGCCTTCTTCATGTTTTCTACTCTACTTTCCCTTTTTTAAATATTTCCTCTTTCTTTCTGTTAGATGATTGAAATTTCATTTAAGAGGTTTTTTTTTATTTCTACTCATTTGGAAATTATGCATTTTCTTTATTTATTAATGGCTGTCAAAAAATTTAAATCACCTATTAAGTGCTTTTTCTGGAAGGCAGAGCTATCGTCAGTGTCTTGGCATCTTCCTGAGCAAGACAATCTTCAGAGTCCACTGCCTCCAAATAACTCTCCTCCCCATTTCATTGTTGTCTAAAATTTAGCTCCAGCTTGTTTTTACATTTTATTTTTATTAATCACTATTACATCATGTATCAAATAATAGACTCAATAAAAATTATTTACTTTCATTTTTAGCATCTAATTCCTTTCTCCTGGGTTCATATTTCTTTTTGCTAAAGTACATCCTTCAGGATTGGCAATTTTCTGGTTAAGGGCTAGATAATAAATAGTGCAAGTTTTGCCAAACATTTGGCATCTGTCGCAGCTTCTCAGCTCTGCCCTTGTATCAGGAAAGCAGCCACAGGCAACGGGGAAGCCAGAGGGCATGCTTATGTTCCAACAGAACTTTACTTATTGACACCAAAATTTGAATTTTATGTAACTTTCATTTGTCAGAAAATGTTAATACTTATTTGATTTCATTTCAATCATTTAAAAAATTAAATCCATTTTTAACCCACAGACCATACAAAAACAGGTGCTGGCTGGATTTGGCCCACGGGCCATGGTTTGACGATGGCTTTAGGTTGTGTTGTTCTTCCAGAGAGCGTCTGTGGTAATGTGCTGGTTTGTCTATGTCTTTAAATTTCTTTATTTTATATTATACTTACTCTTGGAAACTACCTGGAATGAGTAAAGTATTTATGACAGAAAACTGTTTTCTCTTTGAATATATTACTTAATTATTCTTCTGGCATCTAATATTCCTGATGAGAAAATGATGTTAATGTTCATTTTCATTCCTTTGCAGAAAATGTGTGTGTGTGTCTGTGTGTATCTGTGTGTGTTTGTGCGTGTGTTTCTGTGTATGTTGCGTGTGTCTGTGTGTATCTGTGTGTATCTGTGTGTGTGTCTGTGTGTAGCTGTGTTTCTGTGTGTATCTGTGTGTGTGTATGTGTGTGTCTGTGTGTATCTGTGTGTGTCTGTGTGTGTGTGTTTGTGTGTGTATGTGTGTGTCTGTATCTGTGTGTGTATCTATGTGTGTGTGTCTGTGTGTATCTGTGTGTGTGTGTCTGTGTGTGTCTGTGTGTATCTGTGTATGTGTGTGTGTGTGTTTTAATTTTCTCTCATAGCTTGTAGAATTTTCTTTTTACTCTTTATGTTTGGAGGTTTTTCTAGACGACATCAGCCAGTTCTTGGAATATCTAATTGGCACATTTGTAGAGGTCTCCTGTGCTCTCTTCTATTCATTTGCTTTTCCTAGAAACCCCACTGAACTTGTGTCACAGGGCCACCCATCTTCTATGTCTCCTAATTTTTCTAATGTGTTTTCTCTTTGTACTGCTATGGTCTTGGAGGTTTCATCTGTCCAGAACATCTTTAAAGGTACTTTTGTGATTTTCAAAAATTTATTTTTCTTTTTTTTTTTTTTTTTTTGAGACGGAGTCTTGCTCTGTCACCCAGGCTGGAGTGCAGTGGCGCGATCTCGGCTCACTGCAAGCTCCGCCTCCTGGGTTCACGCCATTCTGCCTCAGCCTCCCGAGTAGCTGGGACTACAGGTGCCTGCCACCAAACCCGGCTAATATTTTTTGTATTTTTAGTAGAGACACGGTTTCACCGTGTTAGCCAGGATGGTCTCGATCTCCTGACCTCGTGATCCGCCCTCCTTGGCCTCCCAAAGTGCTGGGATTACAGGCGTGAGCCACTGCGCCCACGCAAAAAATGTATTTTTATATATGGAATTTATCACTGCCTTCCCTAACTTTCTGTTATTATTTCAAGACTTCTTTTCCTCCAGAGCCTTCTTTCCTCCTGCCATGGTTGCTTTCTCTCCTTTCTTTCAGGATATTAAAAAATGTTTCACGTGTCTTTTCAGATTCTCTAAGTTCCCTTCTTTTCACCAGTTATATAGTCCTCTGTGCTGTGTTTTTGTTTGTCTCACTTGGGCTCTGTCTTCCTCCAGTGTTGTGTAATTCTTAGTTGTGAGGTCATCACCACCCTGGGTGATTTCCTTTCTTTGAATTCCAGGAACCCCCAAGATGCATTATCATGGCTGTAAACACAGGTTCTGCACGTGTCTAAGTTCAGCCCCAAACCCACATGAAGAACTTATTTCCAGACAGCTCCTACTCTTATGGTGGCTCCAGACCCTGCCCCATGCAGAAGGCACTTCTCAAGTTCCAGGACCAGGGCTTCAGCCACAGCACTCGGTAGGCAGACACAGAGCTGATACAGACTCTAGAAATGAGTGGGGGGTAGATTTTCAGTCCCCACTGCAGGTTTGCGGTCCTTTGCCACACCTAGATTGCCAGATGTGGTCCCCTGCCCCTCCTAGGACCTGAAACCCTCGACACAGCCTTGTGCATGGCTCTCAGCTCTTTTCCCGGCACCCTCTTGGGCCCTAGTGATTCAGCCCCTAGTAACCATCCCAAGCACCCTCCTTTTCAGGAAATATTTCCATTTCTGGTATCTGTAGATTGCCCATTCTTGTTTCAGGGCCCTGCTATGTAATTAGTATGGCTTACTAATATTATTCCTATCTTCCTTATGTGTTCAGAGAAGTGGGGGAAAGTTGTAGTATTTATTTGGTGCACCATTCTAAACTAAAATTCTCACTGCTTTTTGAATACAATGGAGTAATCATATCCATCTCTCAAGATGGCTTTAAGAACCATATGAGATAAATGCTTTGGAATCCATAAAGTGTCTAAAATATAACAAATATTCATTATTCCGTTTTACATTGCAGCAAAACCCCACAGATACAGTGCCAATGACAGAAATTAAGATTAACTGGGGGCGACACAGATTTCTGTGAATGCCAGTGCTGTCAGATGCTTCCTGATAGTACTTTCTAGAGTAAAAGAACTTCGGGAAAAGTAAAAGCAGCAAATGGTAACACCCTCATGGAGATCTCAGGTACATACCCGTGCATTACAGGATGCAAGAGGCCCTGCTATAAAGGCACTAACCTTACTTTGTTTAGTCATATTTCCAAAACACATTGATCATGAAAGCCTCTTTATGATGTGCAAGAATGAGCAAATCGGGGACTTATTAAAGAGTCTTGATTTTCTGAAAGACTGAATTATAGAAGAGTTCTAAATGGGGCTTTACTGAGGCACAATACAAGCGATAGACCTCACTCAAAGGCAGTCTCAAAATATCATATGAAGTGGTATATTGAAATAATTGCAATCCAAAATATTAGGTTGGTGCAAAAGTAATTGTGGTTTTCACCATTAAAAGAATGGCAAAATCACGATTACTTTTGCACCAACCTAGTAGCTCACTTTATTTAATAATGCGTCATAAGTAAGAACTTGTTTTACACTTAGGAATGACTTGAAGAATCAGTAAGTTGAAAGCCTACTATGGGAATTCTTATTGAGACTAGGGCCCTAAGATGAGCTACGTAGAATGAGCTAGTATTATAGATATGAGTATGAATAGTAATTCCAACTTCACTTAGCCTCAGTGTTATCTTCTATAAAATGAGAATGATTTTATTCTCACATACCAACCACTATGGCAAGTCACAAATATTTGGTCACTGAATAAATAAATGCATGTTTCCTTTTGCTGTGGCCACAGCACCCACCCCAGTGTAAAGAGTCTATTGAATGTGGCTGGGGGGCCATGGGTCATGGGAGCCTGTAATCCCAGCACTTTGAGAGTCCGAGGCAGGAGGATCCCTTGAGCTCAGGAGTTGGAGACCAGCCTGGACAACCGAGCAAAATTCCTTCTCTACAAGAAATACAAAAATTAGCCAGACATGGTGGTGCACTCCTATAATCCCAGCTACTTGGGAGGCTGAGGTGGGAGGACTGCTTGAGCCCAAGAGGTGGAGGTTGCAACCAGCCAAGATTGTGCCACTGTACTCCAGCCTGGATGACAGAACCAGACCCTGTATCAAATAATAATAATAATAATTTTATTTAAAAAGAATCAGCTGGGCTTGGTGGCTCATGCCTGTAATCCTAGCACTTTGGGAGGCCCAGGCAGGTGGATCACTTCAGGCCAGGAGTTCGAGACCAGACTTGCTAACACAGTGAAACCCCATCTCTACTAAAAATGCCAAAAAATAGCTGGGCGTGGTGGTGCATAACTGTAATCCCAGCTACTTGGGAAGCTGAGACACAAGAATCACTTAAACCCAGGAGGCAGAGTTTGCCATGAGCCGAGATTGCACCACTGCACTCCAGCCTAGGTGACAGAGCAAGACTCTGCTTCAAAAAAAAAAAAAGAAAGAAAGAAAAGAAAAAAAAGATTCTATTGAATGAGAACTGTGGGCATCATCCTGCAAAGTTATAACTATTAGTAGTAAAAGAAATAGTTTCTAAACCCATATTATGCCTTAAATCATACTAACAATTCTAGCTGATCTACCACAGATTTTTACAGCTAGAAGTAATCTAATGGGTCACTTAATTAAAGCCCCTAAATTTTGGATAAAGAGCCTGAGGTTCAGCGACAACCTAGGACTTGTTACAGGCGGTGGCAGGTGACAATGAGAACCTCATCTTGCTGGCTCCCCACCTAATGATTTTGCAGGACTCCACGATGCCTCTCTTTGGGTGAAACAAAAGTTTATTCGAGTTCAGGCAAGAAATCTAGGGTTTGAAAAAGGCAAGAGTGGCCGGGCGCGGTGGCTCACACCTGTAATCCCAGCACTTTGGGAGGCCGAGGAGGGCAGATCACGAGGTCAGGAGATCGAGACCACCCTGGCTAACACGGTGAAACCCCGTCTCTACTAAAAATACAAAAAATTAGCCAGGCATGGTGGCAGGCACCTATAGTCCCAGCTACTCGGGAGGCTGAGGCAGGAGAATGGTGTGAACCCAGGAGGCGGAGCTTGCAGTGAGCCGAGATCGCGCCACTGTACTCCAGCCTGGGCGATAGAGCAAGACTCCGTCCCAAAAAAAAAAAAAAGCAAGAGTTTCAACATTTTTTATTTCCTTGAGTAGATCTTAAAACACAAAAGAGAAGCATGAATCATATTCCACCTTTATTTACAACATCTTGTGTCTTCCAATTTCTACAAATAATTGAGAGTTCTGCAGCATTGAGAATGGTCAGCAAAAAGGGCAAATTTTTGCTCCATATCAAATGCTGCTGCCCCTTAACTAGGTGCCTGTCTGGAAGGCTGGCCCAGGAGTTCCCCACGCTGGTCCCAAGGAGGGGCACAAGCTCAGGGTTTGTTTCTGCCACCTGGAAGGCAATCGTCAGAGCCTGCCATGTGTGCATGTGGATGCCTCTGTGTATTTTTAGAACGTTTTTAAAAGGGAGGCAGCCAAAATATTTTTACTACACAGCAGGCACTGTTTCATGTTGGAGTGTTGGAAAGAAAAGCAAGAGAAAGAAAAGACAGGGAGGAGAAGATTTAAGACCAGCGCACAGATTGAAATGGTTAATGCCTTCTAGGGCTGCAGAACAAGCACTTTGAGTGCTGAAGACTTCTCCCATCTCCACGTCCCTAACTGTCCCCATGCAGATTCCAGGATCCACACATCAGAGGCATCTGCCACTGAGCTGGGTGTGAAATCTGAAGACCAGGTAGGGCTCAAATGCAAGACGATACTGGGAAGAGCATTTCAACCAAGGCAGGGGGAGAGCAAAGCCATGCGGCATGTGGGTTGGAATGTCATGTGGAAAGTCACAAGGGATGAGGTTTGGAAAGCAAACCGGGTCTCAGCTGGGGACAGACTCTAAAGCAGGCTCTGGGGTGTGGACACTGCCCATGGACAAAACAGTTATGATGAAATTTCATATTTTGAATAGCTCTGTGTATCTCAGAGTGCATTTTCATACCTCAAAGTCATTAGGTCCCCAAATAACCTCCTGGGTTTGCCCTGTTAACTCTATTGCACAGAGGAAGAGACTGAGGTTCAAGAGGATCACACAGCTAATAAGTATCAGAGTTGGGAATTGAATCCAGATCTTCTTAGACTACCTTCAGGGTGCCTTTTTTGCACACAGGGTGGCTTAAAGATTTTTAAGCAGGGTAGAGACAGGATGTGAGACCTTGGGTGGAATCAGGGTGAGACATTGAGGCTGGGCGAGAAGGTCAATATGAAGAATCGTCTAGAGCAGGCATCTGCAAACAGTATCTGTAAAGGGCTTTGCAGTTGGTCGTTGTTGCATATTCTTCTTTATTTTTGTCATGTGGTTGGTTTTTAACAACTCTTTAGAAATGTAGAAATATTCTTAGCTCAAGGGCTATGAAAACAGACTAAGGGCTGGATTTGACCACAGGCTGTCATGTGCTGACCCCTGCTCTAGAGCCTGGATGTAGGCAGCCATTCAGAAGGCTGTCAAATTACCCCACGTGAGGAGCAGGAAGGGCCCAGGCTGAGATGGAGAAGAAAGATCGAGAGCCCATTCTACAAGGAGCCTGCACGAGTTAGGGGCTGGTGGGGAGGTGCAGCAGGTGAGGGGCCCTTGGAGGAGCCGGTCCCTCCACAGTGCCTGCAACAGGCTGGGGGCCCAGCCCAACACTAGCTCCTCACTGAGCACCCCCTCCATGTCTTTCTTAACCAGGGTGTAGAGGCAAGCACTGAAGGCCCATGATCAGCCGTGGGAGCCACGGGAATCAATTGCTTCCAGTACGACTGGATGCATCGGAAAGAGCCTGGGGCAAGGCTGGAGGCCACAAGAGGAGCTGCCAGGCCACATAAGCAGGGAACAAAGCCGATGATCACACGCCCATCAGTGAGCCAACTTGGTGAAGGGAAATGCCCAAGTTCTCAGCACCTGCAGAGCCTAAGACATAACAAGCAGCATGCCCTGACGCTCACCAAGGCCAGGTGCTGTGGTAAGTATTTCCCATACATTGCCTTGCTTGTTAAAATTTCACTATATTCCTACATGGGACTAACTATGGCTTAGAAAGGCAACCACTGTGGTAGAGAGTGACAGAGACTTGCCAACTCTGCTGTCCCACAGCCTTTTCCCAGGAGTGGAGCCTCGGACAACAGGCTTACTCCACCCAGCCTCCTTTTCTGCCCCTGTAAAATCAAGACCATCATTGCAAAGTGAGGGAAAGGGGAAGAGTCAGCCAAACACTCCAACCAGCACCTGGCACCAGGTACATGATTGACGTTTGCAAGGATGTCATCGGGGTTCTTGTCCCGTATCACACAGCTAGCAAAGAGTAGAGCCACGACCTGAATCCTGATAAATCATTAATTGATCATAGGAAAAAAATGGACAATTCTAGGTTTCTAGATTTCCTCTATGGAAAATGAAGCTATGAGTCCTTTTGATCTTCAAGAGAGGATAAAATGAGATAAGCATTTGATAGAGCAATTTACCATAGCAAGGAGTGCTTCTGCCTGGTTCAAAGATGACTGTAGCATGTACCTGGGGGCAGGAGTGAGGTCACTGTCAGAGAGGAGCTGGCCCCTACGGATGCTAGAGGCAATGTGCACTTGGCAGAGAGGGAGGCGGGGAGGACGGTGAATATCCACAAGAGGCTTCCCTGTGTCCAGCACCAATGCATGTTTCAATCCCCCTCCAGGTGAGTGCTCTACCTGTTTCTGTACAGAAGAGAAATCAGAATGCCAGAGACATGAAGAAACTTCTCCAGGGTCATGTAATCACCAAATAATGTCTGCTTCGACCATCTCTGCATTTTGTGCTACACCAAGATTTAAGCAGCTGTTCAAAGGAACTGTAGAACAGATGTCACAGATGTAACTATTCTTGAAAGGAAGTCAGATTTCATAGATGGAAAGACTGCCCTTTTCCATTTGCCTCCTCCAGACCCATAACTTTGGATAGGGGGGTTTTATTGTCCGTGAGGCTTATGCATATGTCAGAAGAATGTCCAAGCAGAGGAATCTAAGTGGCAGACCCCCCAGGATAGGAAAGAAGAAGGACGCTCGTGCTGACACTTCCAGAACACTCTTCACGTTTTGTGACATATGTGCTTGTCGAGTGATCTTAAGACAGCTGGATGTCCGAACCATGCAGTAATAGCAGAGAACCTGCGGAAGGAGAAGCTTCCCAGGACGTTCTGAGGGCTTATGCCGGGTGCAGGCTTTCCTTCCCGCAACATCCCTGAGTCCAGAGAAGAAATAATCCCCTGCCCTGTGGGCCAAGCACTTACAGCAACAGCACTTTGAGTTTGCTGTGCTTAGATTCACTTGTGGAACTTGTTAAAAATATAAAATTCCAGACCCCACCTCCCAGGAATTCCCCAACTTTGCGTTTTTCTAAGGCTTACTGCCCAAGTGATTTGGAGCACATTTGAAGAGACATTGTCTCGGGACTCCATCGCATCCTAGAACTCATTAAACAATTGCAAGTGCCTAAAGAGCTCCTAAGAAAGAGTGGGGGGTGGTGTGGAAGTGTAGAACAAAGGGATGTATCAAGGGTAGGAAGTCGCAGAAACATCTTATGAGAAGGTCTCATTTCAGCTGACTCCTGAGCCAGGAACTGGGAACAGTCAGGGGAGAGTCTTCCAGGCAGTGGAGAGTCTGGTCCAGCGCAGGTTTGGAAGCAAAGGGGATCACAGCATATTAGAGAACCTGAAGGAACATAAAGTCGACTGAGTGCGGTGGTAATCCCAGTGCTTTGGGAGGCCGAGGTGGGCGGATCACCTGAGGTCAGGAGTTCAAGACCTGCTGTGCCAAAATGGGGAAACTACGTCTCTACTAAAAATACAAAAATTAGCCAGGCATGGTGTTGGGCACCTGTAATCCCAGGTACTCAGGAGCCTGACGCAGGGAGAATTGCTTGAACCTAAGAGGTGGAGGTTGCAGTGAGCTGAGATCGCACCACTGCACTCCAGCCTGGGTGACAGAGCAAGACTCCATCTCCAAAGAAAAGAAAAAATATATATAAAGTCTAGTGTGGAAAGGGCAGGAAGAGAAACTGGAGACATACCAGGGATGGAGGCAGGGGTCTGAACAGGGAGGCACCTTGGAAGCTGGTTAAGACATTGGATTCTATGCCGAAGTCCGTGGGAAGCCGCAGGAGTTTTGAGCAGGGGGATTACATGACCAGGCTTGTGTATTTAGTTATTCTCCATACTTTGTGGGATGTGGCTGGGGAAACGCGGCGTTCCACTGAAAGGCTTCCTGCCACAGTCACCCAGGTGAGAGAAGAGAGTGGTTTTAAATAGGATGGGCAGTAGAAACGGACAGAATAAACAGACATGAAGGTTATCTAGGAGGTAAAGTCCACGGGATGTGGGAGAAGTTTGTGTGCAGGAGAGGAAGGTGTCAACATGGCCTCTCAGCTATTTAACCTGTGCCGCAGTTATGTCACTGGGGACATTTACCCAGATGAGGAGTACAGGGGTAGACCAGGTGTGAGCACCACCAAGTCCAGACCAGGACCTCTCACTGCTGCCTCCTCCAAATCCTACAAAAGGCCCAGCACATGGGAGAGGCTGAACATGACTGTGAGAATGGTAAAGAAGAATCCAGAGATATGTGTAGGTAATGTTGCATTTGCGACCCCTGTGACATACCGTAGTGAAAATGTCAGGTGGAAGAGGTGTCTGGACAGGGGTACCTGGGTTACCTGTCTGTCCCAGAAGAGAGGGCTGGGGGGAGCTACAGGTCCCTTGGAGTCATCAGGATACATAGACGGTAACCTAAACCATGGAAGCACTTGAGATAATGAGGGAGTGTTTTGACTAAACTGTAGAGAGGAAGGGAAAAGAAGGGGAGGAGAAGGAAGAGGAAAGGAGGGGAGAGGAGGCCAGGGAAGGGAGGAGAAGAGAGCATAGACTCAGAGTTGAAAAAGCCAGAGATGGAGAATAAGCCTGGGAGGGAACAGAGAGTAAACAAACCAAATTCAAGGTGAGACTGGATCTTGGGACCCAAGAGAAGCCCAATTATCAGAACTGGACTCCATATCAAGATAAACCACAAAAAACTCTGTCAAGTTTGCATCTGGATGAAGCTACTATTTATTATAGAGCATCATCTACATTTTCCCTTAACTTTGCACATTGGAAAGGGCTAAGGGTAATTTATAGACGACCTACATGGTGCCAGGCACTTTAATAAATGTTATCTGTAAGTGAAACTTTGCAAGCCACTGTGCTAAGCATTTCACAACATTATCTGATTTAATCCTCACAGTCCTCCTGTATGGTGGGTATTATTATCCTCACTTTTCAGAGAAGGATGCAAAATGCGAGAGCGTTTAAGAGACTTGCCCAAGCTCACACAGCCGAGTGTTCCAGCCACAATTTCAACCTGGTTCCCCAGGTCCTTCACAACATGTCTGTCTTTGCAAATGTTTGTGAACAATAGAAAAGGAAAAATTTCCAATGATTAGAAAAAGAGAAACTCAACAGTGCAAAGGCAAAGTGTTCATTCTTTTGTGGATGAAGAAATGGAGCCTTCGAAAGCCCGTCCCTTTCTCCCACAGGTTGATATGAGCTCAGCCCTGCCAGGACCCCAAGTCTTCCTTCCTGGGCCTCTTCTGAGATCTGCATAATGCCTGCTCGGCTACCTGAGAGCTTTCTCTGCCTGATTTATGGGTGTGTTTCTTGTGCTTAGATCATAAATCTCCACCCCCAGGACATTTCAGTTCTGGTATTTATTGACCAAAGACATCTTGTGTTAAAAAATGTTTGAGATTTTGCCAGCTAATCACTATAGAATATTTAAGAAAACACCGTATCCTCTGGTAAATGAAATTCCACAAGTAGTTGATTTTGCTGCTGAGGCAAAATATCTTCCCTGTCTACTATTTTTCAACCTTGTTTTATTTTGTTTTGTTTTAATAGAACAGGCAGATTTTTCCTATGTGTCTCTTTACCTCCTCCCGAACTCATCAAGGGAGAACGGAGAAGAGGAATTGTCAAAAGACATTTCCCTTGGGGCCTAGAAGACTTTTTGATTCTTTTGAACCAGAACTTTTGGCCAAGTGCATCTCAGAAGCATTCAGGTGGCAAAACACCTGGAGAAGAACTGTGAAAGATAGATGCCTTCGATGTAAAAAAAAAAAAACCCAAAGATGTAAATGTGAGCCCAATCTGCTGCTGACGGCAGATTCTAGTATAGACAAGCTTAAGACTTTAAAGAACATTATTGGAGAAAACGTTCAGAAAACTCATCAATAAGCTTTGCTTAGCATGAGCACATGTGTGTCCTTGTGCATGGCTGTGAAGACTTGGAAAATACTGTCAATGGTCCATGTTAATGATGCTTTATCCACTTTAAAGAAAAATAGTGTTTCTACCTGGAACATAGTTGATAACCATTGCTTTAGATAAAGGTTTCAAAAATTCTCAAGGCTACAGGACTCAGGAAGGTAAGAGAGGTAGGGTTGGTATAAGAAAATACAGAAATCATTAAGAGTCACCCTAGGACTTTGGGGACTTGGAGAACAGGTGTCTCTTTTCAGAGACAGCCACCTATTAGGTCCAGGGGTCTCCAACCCTGTTGACATGTGAACTCAAGCTTTGTCAGATCTTCTGGTCTCTCAGTAGAAGCAGAAAATTCTCATTTTAATGTGGCGAATCCAAATGTTAAATGTTTATTACTAATTACAAAAAAAAAAAAAAAAAAAAAAAACAGTGTGAAGGCCAAACAAAACACATCTGCAAGCCAGACCTTACAGAGCCTACTGGCTCTGGCTGTGGCCAAGGTCAGACTATGATTGGCTGCGGAATCATGGTTCATTACTAGCAGTTGCTGCTTTGCAGAGTGAGAGGTTGGTCCTTGACTTTCTATAATTATTCAGATTGAGTGCTTGTGGTTTGTTCAGAAACCTGAAGCTTTATGAAAGCAAAAGAGGAACACTGGAGTTCAGTCTCTGCTACCTGCCTCCTTTCTGCTGGTACCCTAAAGCCTGCACTCCTCCACAGGGGCTGCCCTGACTTTTGCTTTGCTTTGGTGTTAGGTTTTATGTTTGCTCCCCTTATGATGATAATGATAACAACAGTAGCAGGTTCATTGAACACCCGTCACCTGTGAGTTGTTATGTTTGGTTCTTCTCCCCATCATCTCATCCAGTCTTCACTTAAGATTAATGTTAAGGTTACCTTCCTTCCACAGATGGTGATATGATTTGGCTGTGTCCCCACTCAAATCTCATCTTGAATTGTAGCTCCCATAATCTCCACGTGTTGTGGGAGAGACCCAGTGGGAGGTTATAGAATCATGGAGGTGGGACAGGTCTTTCCTGTGCTGGTCTCATGATATGAATTAGTCTCACAAGACCTGATGGTTTTATAAAGGAGAGTTTCCCTGTGCACGATCTCTTGCCTGCTGCCATGTAAGACATGACTTTGCTTCTCCTTGCCTTCTGCCATGATTGAGGCCTCCCCAGCCTTGCTGAACTGTGAGGCAATTAAACCTCTTTTCTTTATAAATTATCCAGTCTTGGGTATGTCTTTATTAGCAGCATGAGAATGGACTAATACAGATGGGAAGCTCAGACAGGTTGAGATGCCTGCCCAAATCCACTCACCTGGTGAGTGGCAGATCCAAGATTCAAAGCCACCTTTGTCTTTCTTCAGGGTCCATCCTCAGGTCCTGCCATACTGCCTGTCTCTGCACACAGCTGTGCTACTTTTAACCAGCTTCCCACTGCACCTGCCTGGGCTCCACAAGTCCCCTGCAGCCCAAATGGCCTCTGTGCACTCGGGTCTCCAGCCTCAAGGCTCCTCACTGTTCTTAGCTTTTAGTTTTCTGCCCCAGAACGGGTGACTTGCATCAGCCCTGCCCTTGATGGGCATGAGGCATCCCCCATTTCTGTGTGATATATCCTCATTTGGGGGGCAGAGGATGCGTCCCTTGAATTCTCTTGTAGTTCACAGAATGAGGCCCTTTGATCAGTTGTATGAGGTTCTCCACCAACTATCTCTGTGACTTTGCATTGCTATTCTTCTAATGGTAGAAGCTGAACCTTAGGACCCAGATTTAGACAATTCTCTGTCCTTCATTTCCCACCCAATCTAATCACTTTCCAAACCCTGTGGATTTCTCCCTGCACATCTCTGACACCTAGCAGCTTCTCTCTAGGACCACTCAGCAGCCCTGGCTCCTGTTACCTTTTGCCTGGCATGTCCAAGTTGTCTATCTTGTCTCTGTTCATCTAATCTTGACCACTTCCAACACATTCACCATACAGCAGCCATCATGACGATTAAAGTCTGATCAGGACTCTGCTCTATATACAATACGTCCATGGCTCCCTACTGGTCTGAAGGTAAAAATCTCAGCCTCCACTCTCTGCAAAAGCTGATTCCTACCTACCTCTCTCTTGACTTTCTCAGATTTCAGTTCAAAGGCCACTTCCTTCACTACCACACTAACTCAGGATGTCTTTGTTAGCTACTACTGAAGTTCTTGGACTTATTCTTTGTGGAATCAATCGCCCCTTTAATTAAATAACTGATTGCATAACTGGGATAATGTCTGCCTCCCTTACAAAAATGTAAGTTTCACAAGGAAATGAATGGAGTTGTTTACTGTTAGATTCTTAGTGCATGCAAAGTGTCTGCAGAGAAAAGAAAATGAGGAAAAAGGAATTCCTTCTTCATGATACGAATGAGAAGTATAAAGTCCTTTTATGAAAAGTGAATTGTTTCACTTGTTCACTTGATGCTTGACAGATGTTGGCAAGCAGCAAACATGGCTTCTGGAACCTCGTAGATGCTTACAGATGAGAGCTATTCTTGTTTTGACCCCAGATCCATTGCTTCATTAAATCACAGGCATAGGCTCAACTCACTGCATTTCTCTTCTTTGCAAGTGTGATGGTATCATTATATACATAAGCCCCATGTCCAGAATCATCTTTCCAACCAAATGCTAGTGACATTTTGAGATTTGGAATCTTAATCTTTGGAAGGTAATATCAGTTCCTTCATTTGGGGCATTTTTTAAATTTGGATTTCATTTGATAACCATCATGAAATCCATTCCCCTAAAGATGGGGACATCATCCATTGGGCACAATATACCATCTCTTCCCAGAGCATGCCCATCAAAGGGTGTTGGGAGGAACCAGCAGGCAGTGTGTGTTGTATCACCTGCCACATGGCTTGATGCATGCTTCTCATCACCCTACTTTTTTCAAATTAATAAATGAGTGATGAGAAGGTACACAGGACTTTTCAGGGAGGCAAAGAAAACCAATTAGGATGTGCTCAACTCTGGCTAGTTCCACACATTGAAGACTCTAAATGAGGTCAAAGAAAAGATAACCCGAAAAATAAGCTTCCATAGTGATGCTTTTTCATGCCATGATAGTCATCCCTCCTTTCATACTATAGAATTGTCTGAGCTGCTGTGACCCCTGAAAGAAGAGGGGGATCAGGATCAATTCTCACCAAGGCTGACTGGAGACACCTTGTTTGTTCCTTTGTAGTTAAGGATAGTGCACTGCCTCATATGCAAAGTGGGCTGTGGTCATGAACATCCATGGAGTGGGAAGAGGCTCAAGCTCCCATTATATGGCTTTAGTATGCATAAGAAGCTATTGTTTAAAAGAAAAGTCTTCTTTTTCAAAGTACTATTTGTTGGAGGCTCAATAGGTATTGAGTGCTATGCTAAAAGCTTTACATGCATCATTTATTTAATTCTTTTTTTCAGAATAATATTTTTATTTATTTCTTTTTCCCCTCCAACTTCTTTTTTAGGTTCAGGAGGTTGTACTTGTGCAAGTTTGTTACATAGCTAAATTGTGTGTCACTGGGGTTTGGTATATACATGATTTTGTCACCAGCCCAAGAAGAAACATGTCCTTTCTCAAGAATACAGCCCTATTTTTGACATAATCCAGTAAAATAATAATTCCTAAAAAATAAATTTATTTCAACATGAACAAGACAGCATACCTGCAAATTCAATCTGTAAAACTAAAAAACTTAAATTGTAGTTCTCACTGTTTAATTCAAATAGTAATCAGTAAGCATAAGTTTATGCTTAAATTCAAGTTTATTTTGCAGTTGTCCTTAAAATTACAACTGAGTAATTTGTATGTCTTTCTATTTTTTCAGTTTATTTGAACCAATAAAGTAATTTCATCTCTTTCAAAAAAATAAATAAATGAACTTGGATACCTTGTATAGATTCTGTTCCTATTAGTAAATGTGGGGCCTTTCCCCCTGATCGCCTGCCTGAGAACTCAGAGTTGCAATGACATAAAAGCAATTTGCTTGAGGATTACAAAGGAAGGGACCAAAATCTATCGTCTGAGTGCGTGTGTGGGGCTCACTTGATAAATAGCACCATCTTCTTCAACTTGTAGATGTTACAGCTCTGATAAGTTTGTTCGGGAGAGGAATTTGGAAACAGGCTGGCGTTGAAACGCAGGGAAAATGCAGAGGGAGAGAGACAGGACTGCTCATCACCCAGAAAGTCTGCATACCCAGGCTCTGCCATTACCCATTAACAGGAGACGGGCGTAATTACACAGCAGCCTGGGAGAGGTCTCTGACTGAAACCCACAAATAAAACTCTCTGGTTCCTGGTGAAGCTGTCTCGATCCCTTTCCAGAGAAGGCTATGCATCTGAGTAACCTTTTAATGCGCCTCTCTTCCTCTTGCTGATACACTGGATAATTATTTATTTTGTTGTCTAATTAGTTAATTAGGCTGGCGTTGTGTTTTAAGTCGAAAATCCTGTTGTTTAGTTACTAGAAAATGGCTTTTTGTCTGTTTGGGGTATTTTGCAGGGTAATGGGGACTTATTAATTGAGTGTCTGGCTCTGGGTGAAGCTGCTCAGGGACACAGTGTGGAATTTCTGGGAGTAAATTACGCATTAGCTGCGGAAGGCTGTGTTCAAAACAAGAGCACCTGGGTGCAGGCAAAGTGCTGGTGGACAGTTTCAGTTGTCATTTCATTTCCTCATGTGTATGTGGCAATTTACAGTTTGCAAAGCCCGTTCACTTAAAATAGCTCATTTAGTCCTAAGTAAAGAGCCTTTGGAATGCATTTTATTACTTCTAATTTACAGATGGGGCAGCTGAGGGTCTAGACAGTCTGCGGCTGGCTCACGGGCCTCGCCGTCCTGCTAGGTAAGCTGTCTGTTAAATTGGGCAGTAAAGAGGAAAACAAAATAGGGTGAGCCCTGGACTAGAAGGTCCTAGGTTTGAATTCAAGTCCCTCCACTTTTATTTTAACCAACAGTCAGGATGCCACTAGCCAGTCGTCTGTCTAGACCCAGATGCTGTGCATGGATATCACGGGACCCCTTGCTGCCCGGGAGGACTGGGCTGACTGGCATCCCTGGGAACTTTAGCAAACCCCTGGCAAACGGGAGAAATTCCATTTACCTTGAAAGACTCTTCCCAGGTTGAGAGACAGCATCTGTCAAACACCGCAGGTGGCGTCTGGAACCTAGTAGGTGCTTAAGGATGAGAGCTGTTCTTGTTTTGACTGCAGGTCCATCGCTCACTTCATTAAAACACAGGCATAGGCTCAACTCCCTGCATGAACTAGGTTTTTGTCAGGGCTCCTCTGCAGCCTTTGGGTCAGCCTCCTGCTGTGGTTCCACATGCTTTGCTCTCTGCGCTCCTTCGTCGCATCCTTCCCACTGGGCTCTAGTGGTTCTCACATGCTCCCTTCCAAAACCAACTTCTTTCTTCTACTGGTAACTTGGTCTCTCATGGCAGTACCTGCACTAAGTGCCAAGCAATTCACCTTCCGGCTTTCATAGCATTCCATCTTATTTTCACACAATGCAATAAGGTGGCTGTGTTAGTTTTCTAGGACTGTGTGGAACAAAATAACACAGATGCCTGACGAAAGAAACAAGATGTCTTCGACAACAGAAATTGATTTTAGGACGGTTCTGGAGGCTGGAAGTCTGAGGTCATGGTGTTTGTAGGGTGGCTCCTTCTGAGGCTGTGAGTGAGAAGGTGTTTTCCGTCTTCTTCCTGACTTCTGCTGGTTGTCAGTCATCTCTGTCGTTTCTTGACTTGTAGAAGCATCGCTTGATCTCTGCCTTCCTCTTCACATGGCGTTCTCTTTATGTGCATGTGTCCATGTCTAATTTCCCCCTTTTGATTAGGATGCAAGTCCTATTAGATTAGGGCCCACCCTACAGCAGTGTGACTTTGTCTTAACTAAGAACATCTGTAAGGAGCCCATTTTTGAATAAGGTTCCATTTTTGAGGTCCTGGGGCTTAAGTCTTCAACATACGAATTTTGAGGGGACACAATTCAACCCATAACAGTGGGTCTTATTTTTTTTCACTGCTCAGGTAAAGTAAATAAATAAATAAATAAATAAATAAATAAATAAATAAATCTCAGAGAAACAATGCATGCCAGGTCTGGGAACTAGTTTTTGGCATGGCTGTTCTAAACCAAGTCTCCCCAACAATTCCAGGGAGCAGAGTCTTTCTTTTTTGACAAACAGCCTCTCTAAAAACCAGAGAGGCAAGGCGGGCATTGGTCTGGAGCTGAAGGAGACTGGCAGCAGGTTTCCCCAAGGCTGGCATTTGCCATCCCCGCTTTGGAGTATACCTATGAATGTTTGAGGCTCTGCTTCAGAAAAGCATTGGATCTGTCTTGACATGGCCGGGAGGCTGGTTTTCCCTCTGGTTTCATCAGGTCTTTGAAGTTCATGGACAAGCTGCTTCCCAGGAGCCCAGGCCCTCTCTGCCTCAGGTGTGTGTTCACGTGGCATCTGGGCCTTCTGGGCTCTCACCACACCTTACATTTGATCTTCCTGAAATATGGCCCACGTTGGCGCATCCTGGGGCCCTGCTCAGGCTATCCCTGAGCCTGCCGACTGCTCTGTCTTCCAGAGTGAGCTAAACACAGTCTCTTCTCCTTCGCAGGCTCCAACAACTACTCCCGCAGGCAGCGTGAATGCTTCCTTCAGCTTTCCTTTCTGCTAAAAGGCTACTTTATATCACCACCTCCATGGATTGCCATAGAATTATTTTGGCTTCTCTTCTTGCATCCACCCTTAGACTACGTCCTGCTTATAGAAATACATTGACTTTGAGTTTATGTCCCCTCTGGTAGGTTCATCTTTGTCTTCCCAGCACCAGGCATAGGTAGACTTTGCAAATAACAGGGGCAGAACAAATGACATTCAAGAATGGTTGTGTCTATACCTGGGCACTGATCTTCAATATGGATACTGAAAAAAAAGTTTCTGCTTCAGAGAGGTGTTATCGAAACCATTAGAGAGAGAATTCAAACTCAAGTCTTAGGAAGGACAGTTGAAAGAAGGACCAAATTTCAGCCTAATAAGCTGCTCAAAGGGCCTAAGATCACAGGCTTCTGATTGAAAAGGCTGTGCTAGGTCAGACAGAGTGAATGCAACCTACCAGTTACTCTATCCTGCCAAGAGGATTCATACACAGAACTTAAGTGAGTCAGGTTTTAGTTCAACATGCAGGAGAAATTCCTCATGGAGCTGTCAAAAAATAAAGTAATAAAACAATAAAATGAAACGAGAAGGCCATGTTTCCCCAGTCTAGAATGAGTTCTCTAAATCTAGGGCAGAAGTTCTCAACTGGGGCAATTTTGACATCCTCATCCCCCCACAACCAGGGGATTGTTGCCAATGTCTGGAGCCTTCTTGAATTGAAACACTGTTGGATGGGGGGCTGCTAATGGCTTCCAGTGGCGGATGCCAAAAATGCTGCTCAAAAGCCTACAGTACACAGGACAGCCCACAAGAAAGGATTGTCGGGCCCCAAATTTCTATAGTGCTGAAATTGAGAAACCCTGAACCAGAGGTATTTCATCCCAAAGCGGACCATGTATTGGTAATGTAGCATGAGTGTGAGAGTTTATCATGCCTAAGACTCCCCAGGTAAGCTGGTTAAATGTCCATACTCTTGGGTTCCAGCTCCTAGGGATGTTATTTCAGTGGATCTGGAGTAGGCTTGGGAGCCGGCTTTTCTGTTAACAAGAACCCTGGCGACCCTAAGTAGGAATTTGGGGCCCCCACTCTGAGAAATATTTTGCCAGATGACCTTTGAGGTCCCTCCAACCCTGTAATCTCCTGACTTCAAGAGAGAAGCAGCAGAAAAGTTAAAGGCATTTATCTGATTCCCACCTTCAGAAAATACTGGTTGAAGGGCTCAATTAATTAGGACTTTTAAAAAACTTGGAGATCTATTTTTTAATAAGAAAATGAACATAAGTGCAAAGCATCATGACTACTCATTATTTAATTTAACGATTTGTGAAGATTCTGTTGCCATGGTGACTGAGCACTATTTATAAAAATTAAGAACATAAATTATAAATAATAATATTATTACAAGCAGAAGGGACTCGAACCTCTCAATCAGAGGGAGTAATTTCCAGATGGAAAACAAAACAAAACAAAAAACAACAAAAAAAACAACATTGTTTGCATCACATATGGGGAAGGGTGCTGGCGGATTTGTATTTCCACAGTGTTCTAGAGGGAGAAATCAGGTCAAGATGATGATTTCATGTCATTTGCATGACAGTCCATGTCTTTGTATTCTGTGGGGTGTATCAGATCTGCTGTGTGATTCAGGACAGCGAAGGTGGGGCTAATAATGGTGTTAGAGAAAGCACAGAGGCAGGGCTGAGATGTCACCTCTGAGATGTCAGAGTCAGCACTTGGCTACTCCACAACCCCCTCACCATGGTGATACAAACCAGCTTCCCAACTTTTCCTAGACTCAGGAAGAGTCAGGTCAGAATGTCTGCATTTATTGAGAGGCAGGCAAGTCCTCCACTGGATTGCAGTCAGTTTCATTCAATCCACGTGTTCAGGCATTGTGTCCTAGGGTAGCTGAGGCCAAGGGAAGTGGGCCAGCCAAGGAGGTTGAGACAGAGGCCAATGGGGCAACACTGCTGCCCTCAGAGTTTGCAGCCAGACTCTGCTGCCAAGTGATTAAGGGTCTCCGTCATCAAGTGTGGGATCCCCAAATTAGGGAAAACTACTTCCATCTAGGAGATCCAGGAGAGGAACTGAGACCAAGTGTTCAACTAAGATCGTGTGCCTTGTGTTGGTGGTAAAGCAATATCAGAGCCCCGGTATGGTAATTCTCAATCTAATGCCTGTCTATGTGATCAGGCTTCTCCCCTTGTTGTCCTCCCAGGGCCCTCTGCAGACCAGCTACCTCCACCAGTTGCTAATAAGCACTCCTGGCCGGGTGCAGTGGCTCACGCCTGTAATCCCAGCACTTTAGGAGGCCGAGGCGGGCGGATCACAAGGTCAGGAGATTGAGACCATCCTGGCTAACATGGTGAAACCCTATCTCTACTAAACATACAAAAAATTAGCCAAGTGTGGTGGCAGACACCTGTAGTCCCAGCTACTCGCGAGGCTGAGGCAGGAGAATGGCATGAACCCGGGAGGCGGAGCTTGCGGTGAGCCGAGATGGCGCCACTGCACTCCAGCCTGGGCGACAGAGTGAGACTCCGTCTCAAAAAAAAAAAATAAAAAAAAATAAGCACTCCTGCCAGGGTCCAGGTGCTGTTTTGACAATCATCAGTGTGTTCTGGCTAGAAACAGGCTGGATTGCCCTAAGAGATTGCTCTGGTGGGGCACCATACAATGCCAAATCTAGTTACACCATTTGTTTCCTAACACAGCTGATTGTTGATTACTAACCATGTTTACACTAGGGATTTCCGCATTAAGGCTCTTCTCCTTACCCATTGCGTGTCCAAACTCTGTCCATCCCACAAGTAATAAAGTAAGCCAACACTGACTCCAGAAATCCTTCCCTGATGCCCAAAACCACCCCTTGTATTTTGAGGCAACATGTTGGAATCAGAGGTCAGGGTGCATTTCTGACGACAAAGCCATTGTGCAGATAAGAAAGTTCTGGCTTCTGCTCTTGCATTTGAATTGGTTCTGGACTAGCCTTGGCACACCAGCCTGCCTCGGGCAGACATGTGGAAGGCAAGCTCGGACAGCTATCAGCACAAACCCCCAAAGAGTGGACCCCAATATAATCCTCTTGTCCACTGAATTACTTCAAATTAAGGTGCTTTGAAGGATTCAGGGTTAACCAAAACATACTCCAGGCACTGATAGCAAATGGAATGTTTACAGAATATAATTGCCTTTCCTAGACACGGCAAAGGGAATTAGGTCTCCACAGAGCCAGTGCTAGGATGAATACTTGTACACAGATGGGAAGCATAAGACGAGGCCTAGCAAAGCAAGTGGGTATATATTAAGGGGGAAAAAAGTGCTTGAGCAATTGAATTCATCCCCTTTGACTTCACTCCTAAAATGTTTATTTTATTTCTTAAAAAGGTAAGTTAGTTAAGCAGTGAAAATGGGATATGCACTGTCCAATTAAAAAGTTAACAAACATTTTTTGGCATAGGAGAGGAGTTGTTCCCACCATAGTGACTCAAGGGAAAGAGATGGGGAAGGAGAAATAGCCTTTTCTCCCAAAGGTCATCTGGCCACAGAAGCCAGAGACGTACTGACTGTCCTGGTGTGGGTGCCAGGCATCGGAGCTGACGAGCAGAGCATTAAGGGCATGTGTGCATGCAGCCAGCTTCCTTCTTGCTCTTTGGGTTGTAGAGGTCATAAGTGATACTGCTTTGGATCCAGGTAATCTCTTTAAGGCTTTGATGGTTATTCTCCCTCATGTCTCGCTACAAAACTTTTTTTGAGGAGTAGGAGAAAAATGGAGGTTATTTATACCAACTTATAAATGAGGACCTTGACCTCCAGAGAGGTCAGAATTACCTAGAAAGCTGTCTATCGGATTGTGTCCAGCGTGACCTAACACCTCAGATTAACCATCCTTTTCTCACCATCAGATCTGCCTTTATTCTCAGAGTGGGGGAGCTTTCAGCCAAGCCAAGGCCATGAGCCTATCACTGTCTCCTGCTTTGCCACCTGCCTCCAAACCTGCTGTATCGATCTCCTCACCTCTAGCCTAATCGATTGCCTGGCGACGTTCTCCCACTCCTTTCCAAGGCTGACGAAAAACACAGCCCTCTCTGCCTGCACACATCTTGGGCTTCCAGGGGCTGCATTCTGCATTCGCCCCTGAAAACATGTCTTTCTGTCTTCTCTCTGGAGGAAACCCCAAGCCAAGTCTTGCTCTAATGACTCTACCTGCATCTCCACTGGATTTGACCATGAGATACAACAACCAGGACATTTGTTCCTGGTCTTCTTGAACCTGTATGAGGAAAACAGCTTCCTAAGGATCTCCAGGCCAATGTGAGCCCTGGTGACTCAGTGTCTACCCTGGGAAATTCAAGCAAAATAGTTCTCCTACATTTCCTTGCTCTGTTCTCATCTACCTGAGTTATCTATGACTAAGGATCAGACACATTTTATGATGTTGATTATTTCTTCCAAATGAGAGTAGGTAGAGGAAAAAAGAAAAGTTAAGGAATTTGACATTTGACTCATTGTACGGATGGATTGTATGGCAGGCAGTAACACCCCACTTAAAGGACAACCCACAGGCCTGATAGCTGTGCAGCCATCTGACCGCAAGGACTCTATGGAGAATCATGTGGATTTCCTTTGCAGATTTGGCCTGAGTCGGTTTCCTCCACAGGGCTTTACCAACAGTCATTGAACCTGCCACAACCTGAACCCTTGTCTGTTCAGATCTGGGTTGGGTGAACAGGGAGAGATTTGTTTTTATTTTTCCTCAAGGGAAAAGGAGGGGCACGGGGAGGGAAAGAGGAGGATGGGTTTGTTGGCTTGTTTGAGTCCCATAAATACTAATTCATCAAAGGTTAGAAAATAATTCGTTTTCCATGGAGATACTGCAGGCTTCTTGCCCAGTGTTCAGATAAACGTTTATTTAGGCAGATAGTTTATGAATTATACAGTGCTTTTTAAAAATGGGGTGATGGGGAAAAAATATAACATCCTGAAGTGCTTCCTTTGGTTCCATCAGAACCAAATGAAGAATTCCTCTGAAAGAGACAGGTATTCCTGCGGTCGAGCTGCCCCCACCTCCACAGCCACTCTTGGCCACCCATGGCCTGCACAGCTAAGGTCAAGGACTCTTGGACTCACAAAATAGCAGGGCTGAAATGGGCTGTTTGAAGAGCTGTGGACCTTCCTCCTAGGAAAATAAGTATATGCTTACACATCCAACAAGTTTTCCATAATTCCCAATGTGCACAGGCTACTAGAAGCCCTCCAGGAACATCCTAAGAGTCCTTGCACTCCAGTTAAAGGGTCCTGCTTCAGCTCAAATGCCTTATTTGATAGATGTGGGGATCAGGAGCTAAGCCCAGAAAGAGGCAATTCAAATTGTAAGTCCACGGGCAGCCACATCGGATGTAGGATGGAGCCTTTCTTATTCCTGATCCTCTTCCACCAAGAAAACAAAGAAAATCCAAATCCGCAGGTGGAGGTCTAGCTGGTGGAGTCGGGGGTGGGGGGCAAAGTGAGGCCTGAAACAGAGTCACCCAGGTGTTGGTAATTGAGAATCTGGAGGGACTCAGTGCTTGTGTTGAGTCTAGAGACACCTTTGCATCCTCAGTGCACAATGCAACACCTGCTGTTATCATTTGGGGAATATTAGTTCAATTAACTCAATAACGTAAGCTAATTTCTGTTCCATGACAGAAACTAAGGACACAAACATGAATAAGAAACAGTCTAGTAAAGAAGTCAGATAAAAAGAAAGGAAAAAAAACTAAATAAATTAGATCTTTATAGTTTGTTATGAAAGAGGTTTAATAGAAGACATGGCAGTAAAGAGGAAGAAACTATTATTTCTGCTGAAGGTGACAAAAAGAAAAGCCTCATTTAGGAAATAAGATTTCACCCAGGTCTTGAAATACAAGTAAAAGAAAGGTCAACATATTGATTAGGATCCATAACCAATTTAAATAATGAGAAGAAACGAAGAAAAATAAACAGAAGGGAGGAAGAAAAGAAGAGAAGGAAATAAGAAGAGAAAGGGAGGTTAGGAGGAAGTACCCAGATAGGAAGATAGAAATTAGTCCAGGTGCTTCAATTGGAGGGAGTCAGATATCGGGAATTGGTTACACAGGGCCACGGAATTTCTGAGGAGTCAAATAAGAGAATAGTGAGAGAATATAGGAATTAGTAACAGCTGGAAGCCAATACCACCAAGAAAGGAGATGGTGTTATCAGAACCCAGGAGCAGAGGCCATCTGGTGGGAGCTAGAGCCACAGGAGACACTTCCCAGTAGGAGCTGGAAACACAGAGGGACATGACATTGGAGAGCAGGGAAAGCACACAGGCTTTTCCTTCCCCTACCCTCTGACCTTCTGGCAGTGTCTCCCAATAGTCAGCCCCACTCGGAAGCTGGAGGAGAGTCGGGCTGGGTAAATGCAATGCCTCATGTTGTAGAGGATGATGCCAAGACTCAGAGCCATTAAGCCACCTGCCAAAGGTCATGAACACAGCTCGTCCTATGATGGTGCACACAGGACACAAGCAGGCCTCTCTTCCCCAGAGACTTTGCTCTTAACCTTTTCACAACACCGCCTCCCAATCTTTAGCCTTCACTAAATATTTTGCTCATTTAACTTCCAAAAAATGCTTGCTATTTCTATCTTTCAAATTAGATTTATTTCTCAAACTTAACTTACCAGGGTCTTTGTTCTAATCCCAGATTGTATCAACTGGCAATTACTTGCTTTCAGGAGGTACAGCAAAATTTAATCTTTTGATAAAAACATTTAAAACAACTATTATTTGTGATGCTTTTTTCAGATAACTGAGTGAAAATCAGTTTTATCTTAAGTAACAGTTCTTATCGTATTATGAGAATTGTATTTCTGGCACTAAAAGCAAAGCTCTTATTAGACCTCAGGATTAGTGATCTTTGGGAAACATTTAAGGATCATGAGCCCAGATTGCAAACCTAGGACCTCATGCTAATCTGAGATCCTTTCTATTGACAAGAGTTTAGTCATCGCCAGAACCCGAAATCCAGACCGTTCCAAGCCCCTTTGGCAAAATAGGTGCCTCTGTTACAGGTAATTTGTGCTTTAAGGTTTCATCTTGGTCATTACTGCTGCTGCAGCTGATTTAAATATTTTAATGAATGATGTTATTGTCTCTGTGCCTGGGGGTCTTTTCAGCAGAGGTCGCAATTTGAAGAAGGAAAAAAATACAGAAAAATAGCTCTAAATAAGTCAGTGATGATGGATGACTTGTTGTTGGGTAGCAAAACCTAGGCTAGAATGTCACCACGCACGAGGCTCACTTGCTAGGAAGGGATGCCCCAGTCTTGGAGGGGAGGGGCACTGAGGCACAGAAGTGAGTCATTGGAGGAACTAGGGCCATCTTCCAAGAGCATCTTCACCAGATTGAGCCAAAACTAAGGGCATGGGGCAGGTAAAGTGTTAAGAATAAGCACAGGGGTATAGCATCATGTGTAAAGTTACTATCAACATGTGGCTTCAGGGGCAGGTAAAATGTTAAGAATAAGCACAGGGGTATAGCATCATGTGTAAAGTTACTATCAACATGTGGCTTCAGGGGCAGGAGAAAATGATCACAGTGTTGATAGTTAGATCAAATAGCTTGGGAGGGTTTGTCTATGATTTCACTCGAAGAGAATGTGTCCCAAGGTGTGCATGACTTGGGCATTGTGGCTTCTTTTACTAAATGGGTCCCAGTTCCAACACATGTGACCATCTTACCAAGGAGGATGTGATTCTGGTGCTTATCGATGGGCATGTCTCAAGCAATGTGGATCCAAAACCATGGCCTAGTTCTGCCTCTGATCTTCTACCAAAGAAACAATAGAATGTTCTACCACTGGAGAAAACTAGAAGGGACAGGGTGAGAGATGACTTATCAGCCTCAATATGGTGGCCTCCAAAGGGATTTCAAGATGTCATTGCCTTGTTCAACCTTCACTTTCCGTGATGGCTTTGGACCCCACCCCTGTAAGTGGTATGCATGATGGCCAACATTGACAGGGATCACCATGGTCACTGTGGTCATTTGTTCACTTAGTTATGCATTCAGCAAGTGTTTATAGAGCATCGTCTCTGTTGCAGGCAGTGACCAGGAGATGCTGAGATGCAGTGAAGATTGGACAGTGAGGGGCTTTGTCTGCTTAGCACTTGCATTCTGATGAGGGAGACGGACACTAAACCAGAACACAAATCAATAAGTATTGTAATTCCAGGTAGAGATCAGAGTCATGGAGAATGAGGAAGTGCCTTAAGATAATAGGGTAGGGGTGTAGTTTTGGATATTAGGGACAGGGGGGCCAATGAGGGTAAGCAGGCACCCAGATGATGTGAAGAGGGAAGTCATGCACAGATCCAAGGAAAGAGAACTCCAGAAAAAGGAACATCAGAAGGAAGGAGGTGGTCACATTTGAGGAGTAACTCACAGGACTCCTCATGCTCGGTGTGATCCTCCCAGAGAAACAACGGGGTGGCAGGGAGGTGTGATTAACCCCATTTTATAGATCCAGAACCCGGGACTCATGAAGTCCCTGCCCAGGGTGTGGCCAAGCCTAGCAGACAAGGCAGATGTGGATGTGGCCAGGGAAGGCATTTCTGGGTAGAACCCAGGGATAGAGCTGATAAGAATGCAATTGAACAGAGGCGAGGCTAGAGAACTAGAATCCATAGTCAGCCAAGGGTCAGGCTATGGGCATCAGCACAGATACTAAGACCCCAGGTTGAAGGCACTTATCAAATATCAGTCCGTGCCAGCGAGTCTGTGTGTGGCAACGTAGATTCTAGAGTCAAGCGTGTGCAAAAGCACAAGGATAAAGTGCAAAGATCTTTTCAAGAGCTTCTAGGAACCTGGCTTTCTGAGATTTTTATCTTGCTTACTTCTAAATCTATGTGCAACAGCTTATGGTTAGATGCACGTGCAAAGAAATTGTTAAAATTGTGCTTTAAAAGAATAATTAGAGGTCATCTGGAGTGAGGAAAAAGAGAAATCCATTGAGGCTCTTGTTTAAAATGGCTGCCACAGTTGAACCTTGGGCAGAGTCCATGGCAGCCCAGGCCAGGGTTGTCTTGTGGAATTGCTGGATGGGAGAAAAGAATGTTTCCTGGGAGATAATCGTCCAGCTCTAAGTTTATTTTTTGGATCCTCACATAAAAGATTCCTTTTTTGTGAGACAGCATTTGTATGGCAAAACCTAGGTCAGTTTCTACTGGGGAGATATGACAGATACTGTGTGCAGTTGTCACCTGTCAGTTTGGGTAATTCCAGGGTGTGGGTAGGATGCCGGCCAGCTTCTGAGCCCCACCTGTGTCAGAATGCTGCCTTTTTGTTAGCCTTCAATTCTCCCCTAAACAACTCCCAGAGCACAGCCAGACAGGGTGGCTGCTCCCCACTGCCATGGAGCCCTTGGGCTTGCTGTGGCCAGTGTAGACAGGGAGAGCTCAGGAGCAGACAAAAGAAGCACCAGCTGCCACCCACACCCTTCACATTGCCACAGAAATTCCCTGCCTTGAGGATCTGGTCTTGAACAAAGCAAGCAGTGCGAGCCCATCGTAATTAAAGTTTTCAAGATTTCTGCTTCAGTTGTTTTACTCAAAAAGCATAATCTCTTGGAGGTTAAGATGATGAAACCTGGTATTTACAGAAGCTAAATGGCCTCAATCCTGGGCCTTAGTGGGGCAGCCTGGGAGGAGGCAGGCAGGGAAGACGGCCAGAGAAGCACAGGAAATGCTTTCTGCTCTGAGAAGGTTCTGGCCGGCGGCCTTCCGCAGCTCACACGAGCCTTGGGATTTCCGTTCCACCACTCTCTGCCCCAGCCACGGTGCCGCCATATTCCCTCCCAGGCTAATCCAGAACGTGATCCAGTGAAAAGGTCTGGAAATCCCACCTCCCTTTTCAAGCATCCAAGGTGCTCAAGGAACTCTGTTCTTCTCAGGGCCTCTCACCAGGAATGTGTGTCTGCATTCACATAGTCACTTCGTGTCTAGGGAAAACCTGTATCATCGGTCCACTGATATGCATATGTTCCCATCAGAACAAAGAGGGAGAGTCAGGAAAATCACACACCTATAAAAAACATTGTGATTAGATGCAGGGGTACTCAGACCAACACAATTCGGTTTAATAAATATCGGTTGGATTGAGTCTCATCTATGCAGAAAACTCTGCACCGGACATTATGCTAAGCTCCAGTAACAAGAACAACTGACAACTTCTGGGAAGTTACAATTTAATAAACCTTTCATGACCATTGTCTCATTGATTTATGCTACAAGCCTGTGAGGTCTTAATTATCAATGTCATTTGACAGAGGCCAATGAGGATCAGAGACATCAAGCCACTTTCTCAGGGTGACACAGTTACTAAAGCAGTAGAAATTGGGCTTGAACCTAAGGTTTCAGACTTTCAATTCTGTGTTCCTTCCTCTACATTGGACTTCTGGTACAGATACAGGTACTTTAGAGAATTGAAAGATGAATACCTTGTTTAAATAGAATGGAAATAATTTGTATTGACTCAGACCAGTATGTACTGGTCTCCTACAGTGCATTTGCCACCAGGGTTGTAACTCTTAACATCGGTAAACAAGATGACCAGTGCTGACAAAATCACAAACACACACATGCCCACAGTGATTTATCTATGCTAAACACTTTACACACATCATTTATTTAACCTATACATAATCCTATGAGGCAAATACTTACATCATCCCCACTTTACAGAAGCTAAAAGAAATGAAGTAACTTATCTGGTGGTCACATAACCTGGGAGGGCCCAAGAGCTGGAACCCAGATTGATCTCTCTTCAGAGTTCTAGCCATGATGCCACTCATATCTACAGCACCTGCCAAAGTGTGGTAACAAGGTAGCTTAAAACAACAGAAACTTACTCTCACAGTTCTGAAGGCTAAAAGTCAGATGTGAAGGTGTTGGCAGGGATATGCTCCCTTCAAGCTTCTAGGGGAGGATCCTTCCTGGCCTCCTCAAGCTCTGGTAGCTTCAGCCATTCCTTGGCTTGTGGCCACATCACTTCAGTCTCTGAACTGCCTTCTTTTTGTGTCTCTGTCTCTGTCTCTCCTCTTTTTATGAGGGCACCGATCAGATTAAATTAGGATCTCCTTTAATTCAGTATGATTCCTCTTGATTATATCTGTAAAGACCCTAATTTCAAACGAGAGCACCTTCACAGGTACCAGGGGTTAGGATTTTAAGGTATCTTTATTGGGGACACAACTCAACCTATACAATATCCGTTGTCATCACCCCTACCCCACCCTCATGCCAGGCTCCCTCTCTCTCATTTAAAATGAAAGTCATCTTCCAGAAGTTGACAATTATGAAGGGTTCAAAGGTTATAGAAGGGCAAGTTGATCCTCAGGGAAAGGAAGTGATCCCAGAATGTCAGAGATCCAATCTGAACCAGTTCCCTTACTCCAATCCACCAATTCTCATGCTTTTGTTTATGTTTATTTTTATTTTTATTTTTTGAGACAGAGTCTCACCGTGTTGCCCAGGCTGGAGTGCGATGGTGTGACCTCGGCTCACTGCAACCTGTGCCTCCTGGGTTCAAGCAAGTCTCCCACTTCAGCCTCCTAAGTAGCTGGGATTATAGGCATCTGCCATCATTCCCAGCTAATTTTTGTATTCTTTATAGAGATGGTGGACCATGTTGGTCAGGCTGGTCGCAAACTCCTAACCTCAGGTGATCCACCCGCCTCAGCCTCCCAAAGTGCTGAGATTACAGCCATGAGCCACAGCACCCAGCCCTTTTTCTTTTTTTTTTTTCAGAACTTGATGAGCTTCCCCCTCTAAACAGGATGTACTCATGAGAAATGGAATTGGCCATGGCTAAGTCTTTGCTAAACCAGACTTCTGAAGCTTCCATCTTCAAGAAATTGAGGAAATATTTATTGTGTGAGCTGGCGAGAAAAGAAAAATCTACATTTACTTTGCACACATAACTTCCATGGTCCTAAAAATGATTAAGTCTTGCATCCAACATCTTTTGTGATTAACAGAGTTGTCTTTCACTGTAAATGTTGCTGTTTGTCTTGCCTGAGATTATATTAGTTAAAGTCATCATATGGAAAGCCAATATCCTGATATAAATGTTGAGGAAAGTGTTTGCTTTATCCCCTTCATGGCTATTTAAGTATCTAGCAGTGATAAGGTTATATGAAATCTCAGAGTGTGTACGGCCCAAATGATATTAATATTCAGAAGTAACTCTGAGCATCCCAAGTCGCTCAAAATCTACACAGCCCAGGCAGACGCCTGGATTTCCAAAATAAATTACTTATAAAACGTAGTGTCTCGATGAAATATTCAAGTTTAAACCCATTTTGTATTCCCAATTTTAAATACAGACACAAAGTTATGCCGCAGCTTCTGCGGCCATATCTGAAAGTGAGCAGGCGCATTGAATCAATCAGCTGGAGTCGGCAGAGAGAAAAATAATCCCTCCCCGTCAAAGTGAACTGCAGAAATCCATAAATAAAAACCAGAGCTACAGAAAATCTCAGTTATACAGGGAAGTTTGTACATGTGCATTCTAAGACTTAACTTCCTTTCCCCCCAGCTTGGAGATTTAAGGGTCCTGTCTTAATAGGCAAATATGTATGAACTTGACTTTCACCACAAACCTGTCTACAATTGCACCTGCATGTCTGTAGTTTTTAACCAGAGTTACATTTGGAAGCAGAAAATTGTTTGCACAGCGAGAGAAGAGGAATTTAAAAATGTTGTTGTCTCAGGATTAGCTGTGTACCTGAGCAGGAAGAAGAGGAGGAAAAAGCCAATTTCCATAAGCTCTCCTCCCTCTCTCTCAGGCAGCCTCCCATCTCTCTATGCCTGGTGACCTGTTTTGCCACTGGGGAAATGGGAGATAAGAGAGTTTTGCAGCCTCACGCCTGTAATCCCAGCACTTTGGGAGGCCAAGGCAGGCGGATCACGAGGTCAGGAGATCGAGATCATCCTGGCTAACACAGTGAAACCCCATCTCTACTAAAAATACAAAAAAATTAGCTGGGCGTGGTGGCAGGTGCCTGCAGTCCCAGCTACTCGGGGGCTGAGGCAGGAGAATGGCGTGAACCCGGGAGGCGGAGCTTGCAGTAAGCCGAGATCACGCCACTGCACTCCAGCCTGGGCAACAGAACAAGACTCCGCCTCAAAAAAAAGACTCTTGCCCAAGATCCTAGGGTGCCAGAGCTTCCCCAGTCCATTTTCAGGTCATTTTCTTTCTGGAAGATTCCATTTCTCCAAATCTGCATGGCTCCCTCCCAGGGGAATCTCATTCTCTTTAGCACAGATAACTCCTGGACATAAGCTATAGGCTGCTGTACCCTTGATTGTCCAAGGCCAACTTTCCACTTCTAGCAGAATGAACCCAGCTTATCATGCAGCATCTGAGCCTCAGTTTTCCCACTTTAAAATGAGCTTTGCAAACCACACCCTCAGACTGCACCAAAGCAATATGCAAATATAGACACTGATTTTTATAAATTGCTATAATTGGAATCACTTTCATATCACCAAAACAACTTATGAAACAATCTGCTTCATATTTTCTCTTGATTTGCTAATCAACATCAACGGCTATGGCCTCCCCACATATTAGGCACTGTTTTCCCCACTATTTTTTTCTGGTTTTTTTCCCCTTTGATTTTCTCTTTCTTGTTTTCTGTTTACTTCTTTGTTCTTCTGTTTCCATGTTGAAATCAATGGTCTTCTAATTTCCAGCTCAAGTCTAGAAGCCCCAGGGCTTTCTGTTCGCTGACATTCTGTTCCATGCGGCAGTTTAGGCAGGAGGAGCAAGATCCCAGGCTCAGACTAGGAAAGAAGCATTGGATGCCTTAAGGAGGGAGAGGAGAGAGCGGCGGTAGGAGGGGAAGGAAAAGGAAGGGCTGGCCAAGCACCTCGTTACGCATCCCCCAACTCCCCTCTCTCTCAGTTCCCAACCCTCCAGACATTCCAAGGCAAGCAGGTCACAGGCCATCTTTCTGGACAGCTTGTGCTGCAGATACTGCCGAGGTCAAGGGTATGCCCACCAGTACACCGTCCCCAGCTCAATCCCAATCCAGTTCTCACCCACCCCCAGGAAAGCCCCTCCCTTTTTTAAACTCTATTTACAATTTCTTCAACCAAGACCCAGCTTTTCAGACTACAGTATCGAAAAGGAGATGTCTGGCTGGTGGCAGTGGCTCACACCTGTAATCGCAACATTTTGGGAGGCCGAGGTGGGAGGATCACTGGAGCTCAGGAGTTCAAGACCAGCCTGGGCAATATAGGGAGACCCCGTCTCTACAGAAATAAAATAATTAGCCAAGCACGGTGGTGGGCACCTGTAGTCCCAGGTACGCGAGAGGCTGAGGCAGGGGGAATAGCTTGAGCCTGGGAGGTAGAGGCTACAGTGAGCTGTGATCGTGCCACTGCATTCCAGCCTGGCTGACAGAGAGAGACCCTGCTCAAAAATAAATAAATAAATAATAAATACAAAAAGGAGATGTCTGAAGCAAAATTCTACACTAGAGGAGGCAAGTCAATGAAGTCCAGCACAGAGTAGAGGCAGACGAGCTGCTGCCATGTGAGGGTTTCAACTCAAGGATGGGATCCAACCACACTCCTGCCACCCTTAGTGCTCATAGCAGTTCCCCCATCACGTAGAGGATGCCTCCCTAGCCCTCAGCCCACAGGCTCCTGTACTTCCCTGAGTCTCTGCCCCGTTCATCCTTGCCCCCAAGCTTCACGCTTTCTAAACCACATTAGGTTCTCCAGAGTGGCTGCACTTCCTGGATAAACAGAGCTCTTGATCTCCATCTCCTCTTAATTACTGCTTGGTCCTCCATCAGCTGCGACAGCCCTGCCCCTGATCCTGAAAGACCGTCTTGACTGCAGACATGCATGCGCGTGCACATACACACACCTTTATACATTAAAAAGCATACAGACCCCTTAACTACTGTGCATGCATCTGTGAATGTGTGGTGAGTGTATGTATGTCTCTGAGTGTGGCTGTGTGTGTACGTCTATACATCTGACTGAGAAAAGGCAGGGAGAGAAAACAGAGATCTAATAATTTATTCTGAACTTGATCCTAAGGAACAGCCATGTCTATTTTAACACCGCAGATTCACTAGCACATTTAAACATTTTAGGGTCTCAACAGATATTGAAGGAATTAATGACTTCCCTCCACAGTCCGCACCTTCAATAAGTTACCTCTTCTGAATTCCCATAGCATCTTCTTCTCACCTCTACCCTACGGGCTAGGAAATTTGTCTGGCCGTCTGTTCCCATGCCTGTCTCCCTCCCTAGACTGTGAGTGCTTTGAGAACAGGACTATATCTCATTTGTTTCTTCTGTCTACAGCATCCATCCCAGAGCCAGGCATAAAACAGAAGCTCAAAATACAGATGTTCCTCAACCTACAATGAGGTTATGTCTTATCTGGACAGATAAGGCCATGATATATTGAAAAATATCATAAGCTGAAAATGCATTTAGTACTTAACCTATTGAGTTTCATAGTTTAGCGTAGTCCATCTTAAGTGAGCTCAGAACACTTACATTAGCCTACAGTTGGGCAAAATGGCCTAAAACAAAGCCAGTTTTATAATAATGGGTTTTGGTGGGGGGGCGGGGGGACGTGTTTTGTTTGTTTGTTTTGGGTTCGTCTTTTTTTTTTTTTTTTTTTTTTGAGATAGGGTCCTACACTATTGCCCAAGCTGGAGTGCAGTGGTGCAATTTTGTCTCACTGCAGCCTTGACCTCTCTGCACTCAGGTGATCTTCCCACATCAGCCTCCCAAGTAGCTGGGAATACAGGCATGGTCACCATGCCCAGCAAATTTTTGTATTTCTTGTAGAGATGGAGTCTTGCTATGTTACCTAGGGTGGTCTCAAATTCCTGGGCTCAAGTGATCTGCCTACCTCAGCCTCCCGAAGTGCTGGCATTATAGGCATGAGCCACCACGCCCAGGCCAAATGTAATAATTTATTTTATATTTACATATATTTATAATATAATACAATACAACATATAATCATGTTGTTATAAAGAATTATGAATCAAAATTCAAAGTACAGTTTCTATTGAACAGTTTCTATTTTGACTTAAGTCAAAAATCCCAACTGCACCCATGGTGAGTCGGGGACCTTCTGTAGTTACTGATGAATGAGCATGAATGTGTACAAGGCCCCAGCAATGGGCATTTGCTCTAAGAGACCATAAAAGTCCTTCTTGTTAAAATATCTCGTTTCAGTTTGTCACACATTCTGGGGCAAGGAGTCTCCCCAGTCCCTCCCCACTGCATCCGTACTCTGAAGATGGGTCCAATCAGCCGGGGCGTAGGCAGATACGACCAAGCCAGCAGGAGCTGGAGATAAAGCATGCCTCCGAGGGCACCTGTGAGGGATGAGGTGAGCAGAGTCCTGCCGCTGCCTTCCTGAGCAATTTTTTATCTCCAAATATAATGTAATAAGATGTGATAATCAACACACCACATGGGGAAACAAATCATTCCTTCTCCCAACTACTGTCTTGCTCACACTGGCTTCTATAAAAGCATGAAACAAACATAACCTTTTCAACCAAACCACATTTTTAAAGCTAAGTGGTTACTTTTTAAAAATGTTAAATGATGGTACCAAAGAATATTAGCATTTTCCTCAAAACAGCCAACAGCAGCTGCTTAATAGTCTACAGGTACATTCGGGAAAAGAAAGAAAGAAGAAAGAAGGAAAGAAAGAAAGAAAGAAAGAAAGAAAGAAAGAAAGAAAGAAAGAAAGAAAGAAAGAAAGAAAGAGAAAGAAAGAAAGAAAGAGAAAGAAAGAAAGAGAGAAAGAAAGACAGAAAGAAAAGGCACAAGGAACGGTGCTTTCACTATCAGTCCTAAAAAAAAAGTCCTATTTTAAGTTCCTTTCTTGGTTGGAATTGGACTACTTTGCCTTCAGTTTTATTAACATTAAAAAAATAATAATCAGACCAGTCCTCATCTTCTTTTTCTCTGAAATCTCTCAAGTGTCCTTTAGACCAAGTATACAGGATAATAGATCATAACAATTTTTGCAAATACAGTCCAATTAGCACCAAATGGGGGAAAAATAAATCAAAAGTATGTAGGATGGGAAAACAAACAGGGCTCTTGCCACGCTAGGGTGTTAGCATTATTTATTTAACCACAACGCCCCCACTGAGAGCAGCTCCATTTTCAAAGCCTTTCCAATGAGCAAGAAGGCAATTTATTTTGGCAAATTTTATCATAAAATAGCCCTACGTCCTTTAGCCTTCCGCCTACTACAACCAGAACACAACTGGATCCACCAACCGGAACACAACTGGATCCACCGTTCATTGTCCCTGGTCTTAAAGGGAATAGAGAAAGCATCCACACTGAATTTGGACAAGGAAGCAGTCTCACGTGATGATTTCAAGATCACACAAAGTGAAGATCTTCTGGTTTAGGGCTTTGCCACTGCAGCAGCATCTGTTACTCTCAAGGGTTTTTTTTTTTTTTTTTTTTTTTCAGAAATGAAGTTCCCACGTACACTTGAGTGTCAAGTCGATCCCACCAAGACTGTGGGGCTCAGGGTCCACGGAGGTGTTTCTTACTTGCCCATAATGCAATATGCAGTTCAGCCTGGAGATCAAAACAACTATCAGAGCCAAAGGGCATCATCTTGAGCTTCCACAGTCCTCCTTTCATTAAAGGTAGCATACAGTGTACTCCAACAGACCCACTGCTTTTTTTTTTTTTTTTTTTTTTTTGGCATCAAAATTACAGTTGCCATTTCCAGGTTGGGTCTAAATATATCTATCAAAACACCCTCTGAGGTACACCAACTGGAGACTTTTTTTTTTTTTTTTTTTTTTTTTGAGACAGAGTCTCGCTCTGTCACCCAGGCTGGAGTGCAATGGCGCGATCTTGGCTCACTGCAAGCTCCGCCTCCCGGGTTCGCGCCATTCTCCTGCCTCAGTCTCCCGAGTGGCTGGGACTACAGGCGCCCACCACCATGCCCGGCTAATTATTTGTATTTTTAGTAGAGACGGGGTTTCACCGTGTTAGCCAGGATGGTCTTGATCTCCTGATCTCGTGATCCACCTGCCTCGGCCTCTCAAAGTGCTGGGATTACAGGCGTGAGCCACGGCACCCGGCCATAACTGGAGGCTTTATGAACACAACAGGACTGCTTGCAAATGAATGAAGAATGAACCCACAGCCCAGAGTGGCTTCTCCCTGAAGGTCACCCAACATCAACCTAACCATGAGGCAGACCATGGACTCAGAAGGATCTGATCAAAGGCCCAGTTCTTCCTCCTTGATACAAGATAATCAAGATTCTCTACGCGTGGTGCAAGTCCTGCTGTGTCTCTCTGGGAGTTGTCAATGTTCTTGTTCCACGCCCTCTGCACCTCTGCGCTGACATGCTCTTATGCTTGGGTAGAACTCTTCAGTCTGTTCTGTAAAACATCTGGAATCCTTTGGATCTACCAGTGTGGAAAGTTTCTTTTCAGTGCTCTGTCTTCAGCAGTTGTTTCCTGGGGAGGGTTCTTTCTTCATTATAGTTTACAAAAGTCAACTTGATGGCTCATGGTTAACCAAGAGATAGCTCCTGTCTGTCATGTTGATACGCTTTGCCCTGCACCCTGTGCCCTGCACCTCTGCTTGCTGCTATGAAGGAAGGAAAGTCTTAGATGCTTTCTGTGCAGCAGGGTTATTGGGGTTAATAAGAGCCATTGTCCCCTCATATCCCTCATCCAAAACCACACAGAACATGACATGAATAGCCTGGCACTTGCTTGCTGATTCCCCCTGCCTGCCTGCTTAGTGACTTCAGTGTCCAGTTCCACACAGGCCACATATTCCAAACAAACAAACAAACAAACAAAAACATAGGATGAACAAGTGTTCTTTTCCATATCAGCTTTGTCCTGCATTTCCCCAGAAGTGTCATGGACAACCCTGCCTAGAAAGGTAAATAGAAAAAGAAGACCAGAGATGCCATACAGCCACAGGCAAGCTGAAGCCACACACACACCCTTGCTCTTTGGAGGTCCACAACTCCAATAAGAAAGCACTGAGTCCATGACCCCAAACTGAAGTCACACCCAGGATCTCAGCTCCACATCCACTCCCTCTCCTCTTGTACAGAAACACTTAATAAATGTCAGATTTCATGATCAGACATCATGTCATGTCCATTCAGGGTCTCTTCCCTTCTCCAACCCAAGCTAAGAAATCATCCCAGCTACTCTGTCCCACATACACGCTTCTACCACACCATGCACACTACGCCCCAGAGTGTACCACTCATCAGCTGCCCTGTCCGTTCCCACACTGCTTTGTGAATTCCTTGTGCAGTCACTCTCTCGTCTTCCTTCCCTCCCTCCCTTCTTTCATCTCTTCAATTATTCATTAAATAAAAATAGACTGCTATCCTGTGGCATGGCAGGCACTGTTTTGAGATTTGGGGGTAGAGTAGTGAAAAGGACAGATAGGCTCCACCCTCATGGAACTAATATTTCAGTAGAAGGAGAGCAGGGCATGGTAAAAAGCGATTGAGCTATGGACTCAAAAAGTAATAAATGTAAATGCAATTCCTAATTCTGCAATTTACTAAAAGCAGCATTGAGGCAAATTACCTAACAGCTGTCATTTTTGGGTTCCTGATGAAGTAGAAATGATTGTACCTACTCTATAGGTTTATCATGAGAATTAAATTGAATAATGCTTGTAAGGCAACTGGCACACAGTAGGTGCTCAATAGATGTACTTATTTTTATCATGGAGCCCCTTGTCTTAAATAATGGTGTCAAAACGTTTTTGGAAACAATAAGCATGCTTTCCCTATATATGTGCATATATTTCATGTTGTAAATTATAGATATGTGTAAATATTAGCCTATATATAAAATTTTAAAGAAAGTTTAAATTTTTTCTTATGTTTTAGATAAAAACAAATATAAATAGAATCTCAAATATGTCTAAATCATTTTAGGTACCCCAATGAGCAATCACTTCACTTTTAAGATCATCAGTAGAAAATGTAGGCTTCAAGGTTATTGATGAGTGCAGTATCACAGGAAAAGAAATACCTTCCAAAACGCCACGCTTTTCATCACTTTCTTAGGAGTGGCATGATGACAAAGATATTGCCCAAATCACAGAAGAGAAACTAAAATGGCTAACAAACATTTGAGATGAAGCTCAGCCTTGTTAGGAATCAGGGAAATGCAAATTAAAACGATGAGATACTCTTTCTCAAACATCAGACTGGCAAATATGAAAAAGTCTTCAAATACCAAGTACTGGCAAGGGTGCAGGAGATGGGAATTCCCAGCTATCACTAGTGGGTTCATCAAATAATTGGTAACATCTTTTATTAGAACAATTGTCAATTTCTACTAAAGCTGAAATTGTAAACACCATGCACCCTAGCAATTATATTTCCAACACTTACGTCCTAGAGAAGGGCTTATTCAATTTCTTTTTTTTGTCATGGACCCTGTTGACAGTCTGTGATGCTTATAAATATACATGTATGTGTAAATGTTTGTATGTGTTTGTATATGTGTGTGTGTATATATATCACATTTAAGATATATATGTATACAATAAAATACACAGTATTGAAATGAAAGCCAATTGTACTGAAAACATCCATAAATGTTTAAAAAACAAATCTTTGATATTGTAACATATGTGCTACTTCTTAACCCGTTAAAATAGAGATCTAGTAACGTTCACACAATTACTGTAATTTTGAAGTGCTGATGCTCCTGAATAATATTTGAGATATCTTCAACAACTGTAACGTGATCTGAAATTGTACTTTCCATTGCTTTCAAAGCCACAGCACTGCTAATGCTACTGAAGTTGGTTGCCTGCATTCAGAGTCAGAGGAAATACCAAATTTCAGGTAAATATTTAAAAACATAGACTTTTTTCTTCTTTTAAGCCCTGAACCCCCAAATTGTTACCCTGCCCTATAGAAGACTTCCACAAATACTCAAGAAGGCATAACCAAGATGTCAATTCCAGCACAGTTTCTAAGCATTAAAAATTAAAAATAGCAAATGATATGAATGGATAAATGTAGCACATTCATAAAATGGGATATTGCAAAGCAAAGCAGGTAAAAGAGATTAAGTTGTGCACATAGAGCTCTCAAACATACTGCTGAGGGTATAAAGCAAGGTACAAAATAAGCAAAACCACAGTGCTCTTCTATTTGTGTATATATTAAAATATGGCACAAGACAATGCTGTTTACTACTTACTATGAACAATATGTTGTTTATGGATTTTCTTGTAATAACTCATTAAAGTGTAGACCAAAGGGATTCACAGGAAATGCCTGATAATTGTTGCCTTTGAGAAAGGAGGGAGAAAAATTAGAGCCATGCAGGATAAAAAAGTGATTGAACTCGTACTTATATGTATTCCAGACATAAAATGGATAATTAGATAGATAGAGATATAGATGGCAGATAGAGAGACAGAGAGATGTTAGATAAATAGATGATAGGTAAGGAATAGATAAATAGATAAATGATAGATGATAGATAGATAGATAGATAGATAGATAGATAGATAGACAATAGATGATACAGAGATAGAGACAGACAAGAGATAGATAGATGACAGATGAAAATAGATAAATAGATGATAGATAGATAGATGGATAGATAGATAGATGATGGATAATAGAGAGACAGAAAGGTGGATAGAAAAATAGATTACAGATAGAATGAAAGAGAAAGACAGATGATGGATAGGTAAATAAATAGATGACAGATAGATAGATGATAGACAATAGATAGATGATAGAAAGATAGATAGATGGCAGATAGATAGACAGAGATAGATATATAATAGATAAATAGATGATAGCTAGATAGATAGATAATAGAGGCTCTATAGAGAGATGGCAGATAGAGACAGAGAGATGATAAAGAGATAGATGACAAGATAGATAGACAGAGAGATAGCGACCTAGAGAGAAAGATAACAGATAAACAGATGATCGATAGACAGATAGATATAGAGATTAAATTCTAGATGTTGGGTATAGTTATCATTTTTAAAATTTGAATATTTATGTATGTATGCATGCATTTATATGTATATATATGATATGCATATATGTATATGTATGTATATATTTCTGCTCATCAAGAGTTCCAAGAGGATCATCCCCATGGCAATATTTTCTCAATTTTAAGCCTGTTCTTAAACAACTACGTAGAGCTTTTTTAAGCTCCTCCAATAACAAGGAAAAAAGAAAATAAATATAGATGCATAAAATTTATTGCTTTGATATCCAGTTTTTCAATAATCTTAACATAATTTTTGGAATAATATTATAAGCCAAAATTATTAGCAACAATACTTAGTATTATTATATTCATTTTTGTAACTCCATGATAAGTTAGTTGCTTTTTAATAAACATTGATGCAATATGGCGAGATGTAAAAATACAAGTTAGGAAGAAAATAAAAGACCTCAGTATTTGGTAATGCATCAGAAAAGCAGGTTTGGGTTTTATTGAGAATGTATTCGTAATGTTGCAGATGGCATCAACCTTGGGAAATGGCCTGGGGAGTCCCCTGGTCTATCACAGCCATGGTGCCAGGCAGTGCCTCTCTTTGAATTGTTCTCATTACTTTGCTTCAAAGTAGAATTTGGTGCCTGCTGTTGCAAAGGTTGATCACAAATATCTCAGAAACCACACAAGATAATGCAGGTGAGGAATAAATCTTTAGAATAAAACAATATGGAGAGATTATGAAAAAGCTATTTCCAGTCATTAAAAAAAAAAAAGTCAACCTGAATAGAGAGAGCAGGGTCTGGATGGAGCATTGCCCAGGGCAACCATGCTGCTGGTTTTAGAACATTCCGGAAGGCTCCAGCACTGTGACTGTGACCAGCTGTGTCAGTCTGCTGCAATGCACAGGCTCCCAAAATCCCAGTGTCAGAGAGGACCTTAAATAACACATTATCTGCACGCCTCCAATACTGGGATGAAATCAACGATGATTATGATGATGATGACAACTAAACACTGTAATATGCCAGTCACTGTTGAAGCACATTCCATTTTTTAAGTGGTCTAGCCAAGACACCACTGAGTCACTGCTTGCATATCTCCAATGACAGGGAGCTCATCACCTACTGCCAAAGTTCATTTTATCTTTGGAGAACTCTGGCTGGGCAGCTTTACATCCAGCTGAAAACAGTGTCCCTTGGCTTTCCCCCAACAACTCTTCTTCTGTCCCTAAGGACTAACACCTTCCTTTGTGATCTCTCTTTGCATATTTGAATTCCACCCTCATGTGTTCTCCAAGACTTCCCTTCACACTAACTCCAGTGACCATCCTTTTGCTTGCACCAGCATTCCCATAGGTTCTGTCGCTATCTCCATGCCTCTCCAAGGAACTATACTTGGCCACTTCTCATTTAAGAAACCCAAACTGAATGCATAACCTAGATGTGTTCTGATCAGCATAACAATCCCTCCCCGATCAAGGTACTTTACTTGCATCCATGCAACCTGACTTCAGTTTTGTATTCTTGGAAGCACCCTGTTATATCCATCCACAAGTAGAGACCATGTGGAAGAAAATTAGGGAAAATAACACTGGATAACACTGTCAGCAACTCCTAAGATGCCACCTTAACTTGCCTGGGCATCATCCTCAAGTCACGGAATTCCACTGACCCTTCTAACAGAAGAGTAACAGCATAATCAAATGCTGATGATAAAGATATTGCTCAATTCACAGAAGAGAAACCTGATGTACAGTAGTTACTTAGCTAATTTCTGTTGGATGGGTGGGTGAAAGAATGGATGGATGGATAGGTAGATGGATGGATGGATGGATGGATGGATGGATGGATGGATGGATGGAGTGGGTGGATGGATGAATGGATGGGTGGATGGGTGGATAGAGGGATGCATAGATGGAAGAGTGCAGAAAAGGCCTGGAGAAGGTAGGAGTGGGGAGCAAGGAAGCCAGGCAGATCATGTCCTGGGAACATGAAACTAGAGACGAGGAGTGCCTGGCCAGGTTCATGAGAGGGAAACTTGAGAGATCGCACACTCTGAGGTCAGCAGAATGACCGTGGAAGTGTGCGAAAATACCAACTGCCAGGCCCTGCCCTAGATCTCTAGGTGGGGCAAGGGCAACTGCATCTTAACAAGCCCTCCTGGTGAGTCGCAGTTGAGAACGACAGGGTTCTAGAAACATAGGGAGGAGGATTTTGTAATGAAGAAGAAACACGAGCGATAAAGGAGGAGGGAGCTTGCAAATGAATCTGGGACATTTAGCCCTGGATACTGGATAGGAAAGCTTGCTGATATAAGAACTAAGGAGACAGAGGAGAAGAGGCAAGATTGAAAGGGAAGAAAATTATTTTTCTTTTTTCATGCTGAGTTTGCATGGTCTGTGGGACTTCCAGCTAGAGACATCCAGCAGATGCTTAGTAAACAAACCTGGAACTCAGTTAGATGAGATCTATTTGGGGGTGAATTTCTTTTAAATCTACAGAATATGGCCTTTCTTTTTCAAATTTAAATTCAAAATACCATCTTTGAACTATTTAAATCCAAATTCTCAATTGGGATGAAGGTTCAAAAGAAAACCCACCTGTTTAAGTCAGATGCTAAAATGACTAATATAAAGTCACTTTTGATTTTAAACTTTTAAATAACTTTCTATTTTTAAAAAAATTGCCTTCAAGGAGTGCAAGTGCTTACACACAACAGGCAGTCGATGATAGTGGGTATTGAAATATCAATGTGTTTTTTCACAGGTGCTGAAAAATAAATATAAGTCATGAAAAAAGTAATGAATCAACTTGAAAACCCAGTGGGATGTTAACCTCCTGGAGTAATAATAGCACACTCTCTGTCAGGGCAGACTGCACGTTAGAAAGGTATTTGCACCCAACTTTGTTCCCATGAAAAGCCTCGAAGTACTCAGTAATAAGAGCTGCTGGCAGGATCCTGACAATCTTTAAAAATATCTACCCTCTGAAAGAGCTTGTCATGCCGGAGTTATCTCTTCTAGAGACAGCTGTTGAAAGCACCGATGGGCACAGGCTGCATAAGAAAACCTGGAGTAATCCAGAGGAAAGTGGTGTGGGGAGAGGGCCCTTATCACTGCTGAGGCAGACCTCCACACCAAGAGGCCAAGGAGACCAACACTGTCATTTCTATATTTAGAGATGGATAGGGACGGAAGTGCTTTGGGCTTTTCATTTTTATTTGCTCTGAAGAAAGGTGCAAGAGGATGTTGTAAGGTGGGTTGAGTGGTGGTATTATTCATTTGGGAAGTCACCTAAAATCTGTTGTCCCCTCATTCAAGGAAGCACCTCAATGTACTTGAGTGTCTACAGATTGTCCCACCCTGCTGGCTGCATCAGGCTTGTGGGATCACGAGGAACCAAATGTTGGGACTTTTATCTTGAGAATCTTGTGTATCCTTAGCACCTTGGGCCAGGCCTGGTGTACAGTAGTTATTTAGCTAATGTCTTTTGGATGGGTGGGTGGATGGATGGACAGGTAGATGGGTAGGTGGGTGGATGGATGGATGGATGAGTGGGTGGATGGATGAATGCATTGGTGGATGGGTGGCTAGAGGGATGCATGGATGGATGATAGGGTGGGTGATTGATAGATGGATGGATGGATGGGTGAATGAATGGATGATGGAGTGAGTGGATGGATGGATGGAGGGATGAATGAATGAACAAATGAATTAAACGAGCTGCCTTGGAACATAAGGCCAGAATGGCCAAAGTGCTTAGATCTGAAGGGTTGAGCTTGGCTACAGTGAAATCTGTAATAAACAAGGTTTGTAAACACAATCAGTATGTTCCAGGAACTATCTAAGCAAAAAAGTTAGGAAATAAGGTTTGGGAGCCATGACAGTTAAAGGCTTTAGCATTGTCCCTGCCTTCCATTTTGCACCCCTGTCTGGTTCTCCTGGAGCCAAGCACTAATCTAGAATCCATATGAACATATGCCTGCACAGATTTTTAAGTTAGCCTGCATTAGTTCAGCTTTTGAAAGGGCATCAAACTAGCAGTCTCTGGTGGAATTTCCTTCAACTTCTTACTGCAGTCATTCTGAACACAGAATAGTAATAGTAAGGGCAATAGGCATTTTTGAGCTCTGATATTTTTGATCCAGTCAGTATGATAAAGGCTTGGCACAATTTTCACTTGAGGCTGACAGCTCCAAAAGGGTGATATTATTAAAATCATTAGTCCACTGAAGAGAAATCAGAGTCTCAGAAACATGGAGAAAAAAAAAATCTCACCAAATCCTCATTTACAGCTAGGAACTGGAAAATCTGGCCAGAATAAGGCTGGGTGCAGAACTTAGGAGCAGGACTAAACATCGCCATTCTTAGCCTACCTTTACTGTGCCACTGCTGATAAAGCAAACCCACTTACCTGAGGTTAGGAAGAAAGCCCCTGCACCCACCCTCCAGGGTCCTCTGGGACAGAAATACAAGATCTGTCCAAAGTGGAAACCACACAGCTCTTTCATTTTAGTATCAGCACAACTTTGGGTGGTAATCTCCCTGCTGTTTCTTGCTTTCTCCCTCCATCAGTTGCCCTTGCACTCCAAAGAAGAGAGGCATCAGGACAGCAGGCTCCACCTCAGTGTATTTAGCTGTGAAATGGGAACATAAAAACCTTTCTCTCAGAATTTTTTTGAGTATTCATAGGACTCATATAGATGGAGCACTTCCCACAGTACAGTCCATATCATAGACTCAAAAGAGGTCAATTATTCCCACTGTTACCATTCATATTATCATTTTCTAGCTTTTCACAGATTGTAACTCTCAGAAATCACGTGAGTCAAATCCAAGACACCCAGTGGTCATATGACAGGTCCTGGAAGACATGATCTTCATCATTGAGGCACATCAAGTAGAAACAGAGGGTGGAAGGTCCTGGTAGCAGTGTATGCTGGAAATGATCATTTTTCACACAATCTGTGTGCTGAGTCTAAGCCCAAACGGGACTGTGAAAAGGAGTATGTGAGCACACAGTCTCCCTGGATGACTCATTCCATAGCATGTGGTGGGCTAGAGGCCAGATTCTGCAATCTTGGCTAGATGGTCAACCTCAGTCAAGCTCTCCACTTTGCCAGCTCTTGGTGTCCTCATCTACAAAATCCCTTATGACAGATCATGCTTCCCTGGCAGGGTGGTTTGAAGCACAAAATGAGCTCATGTATGTAAAAAAGAACTTAGCATATTGAATGTCATGTGTTAATCCTTGATTGACAATAGGTAGTGTTGCTATTTCTGTTGTGTTTATCCATATCATTACTACAGAAGACACTTGACGCTGAGGAGCTCAACTTACATATAATTTATGAATTGGGAAATAGTAGAGAGAGCACATGTAGAACACATGTCTTTTCTTTGGTCAGCCCAGGGTCTAGAGAGCTCACTCCTCATATGAGGATGAGTCAACAGGAAAAGGAGCTGATGAAAGAACAACACTGCACAAGAAAGGAGGAAGAAAACAGTAGTTTCAATAGTCAATGAAAACTCAGGACACAGAGAACAATTTAATGTTCAAATTTTAAAAAAAGAAAATTATCTGGCATTATTGGACATCTTCATCAGGGGCCAGCCAGAAGTCAGAAGTAAGAACAATGTCAAAATCAAATCAACTAAATAAGAATAAAAAGAAGAAAAGTGTGGTAAGGAAGGATTGCCTGAGCACTAAAGATGCTGTATGGAAGGTTTTAAAGAGTGGAACTAGCACTGTAAAAAATAAAATCAGTGATGTATAGAGAAAATTTGACTAGATCTTTTAGACTTCAGACAAAGAGACAAAGAATTGTAAATAATTAGACGATGAGACAAGGTAATGAAAACAAGAAAAATGTTGGACCTCTTGAGTTAAAGGTGATCATGCATAAGAAGTCAGGCCCACAGGAATAGAAGGGACAACTGGATTCAGAAGATACTAGGGCATTGCAGTCAGAAAGCCTATCTGATTTAGAGGGAGAAAAATCAAAGAAAAGAGAGGCTAATAGCAAAAATGATGAATTAAAAGGAGAAGAAAAAAATGAGTTATACAAGTATCCAAGCATACAATGCAGATCACTCAAGAAGAAGTAAAGCTCAGGATTATTCTACCTTTTTTGAGATTACATGACCAGAGATCATGAGCTAGACTCTACGTAGATTTGGGGAGCAAAATTTGTGACCCAACAGTATTATACCCAGCAAAATTGTCTTTCACGTGTGAATTAAATAGACAGTCATTTTTTCTCAGCTAGATAAGGGGTCAAGACACATATCAATACAAGCCTGTCTCTGAAAATTTAGTTAAAAATTTATGCAAAACCATGGCAATCAAGCAAAATTAAGGACTGAATGATAGCATTTAAGAACAGACAATAAGCATTAAAGCCAGTAAACCCTGGAGTTAGCTCCAAATTGCTTTTGTATTTTGGCCATAGACCTATGAAGACTGTGTAAGATGAGCCCAGTTATTGCTGAAAAACTATGTAAATGGAAGCAATTTTTCAGAAAACCAATTTGGCAATTTCTACCACAAGCCTTAAACTATCTATATATATTGACTCTATTAATCCATTATATCTCTATTAATCCATTAATCCAAATCCATTAACTTTCATTTTAAGGAAACAATCAAATTGCCTTCAAAGCTTTAGGCTGCAGTGTATTTATTTCCTCTCTGTCAATAATATTATAAAGGTAAATATTGTCTAAAATGTCCAACAAAATAAGAATAATTTAATGAATTATATGACCATATGATGAAACTTTAATTTTCTTTAAAAAAATTGGCATACTATTCTCATGATATAATGCTAAGTAGAAAATAAGTAAAGAACAAAACTGTATAATTATATTTAATTTTTAAAACATACTGATAGCTATTGATAGGTAGGTAACTATTCAGATACATGCACAGGACAAAAATAAAGAAAATGAACAAAATATTAACCTGTCTAGTGAAATAGGAGCAACGTTTTTCTATGTCTGTTCTTTATTTAAAAAAAATTCTATAGTGAATTAGGATGTAGAGAAATTTTTGAATTTCTACAGTGAAATTTCAGGCAAGGCATGGGAAACATGGAGATGAAATTTCCTACCATGGAATTTAGAAACCACAGACAGTAAAAGAAAAAGTAAATAGATAAATAAATAAATAATATGTTTTAAAGGAAGGAGAGCACAGTGGTCTCAGCTTCAGAATCTACAGGGGAATGAAGCACTAGGGAAGTCCATTCAACTTCTTGCCTGCGTTCATGTAAGCATGCATTCTTCCGCCCATTCATTCATCCATTCCCTGCGGATCTATGGATCCCTAACTCCTGTCAGATTCTAAGCTAAGCATAAGGAGCACAGAGATGAAAATTCCAGATATGATTGTGGCCTTCATGGAGTTCACAAACATGCAGCCTTGTCTACGCCAGTCGTAAGGGAAAGTAAACACAAATGAGGCTGGTAGTAGTTACTGAGGGAATGAAGGACTGAGCCCGTGGGCTTGTGGAGAAGATGGACGTACCACGCCTGAGGACATAGCTGGGAGAAGCCCCAGGCACTTCCTCACCAGGCCTTAGGCATTGAGGCAGCATGATGTGCTTTTCCAAGCATTTTCAAGTCTAATACCACATGGATTCCTCTTTTCAATATGGGGTCAGTGGTGTGGGTCTGGATGTTGTAGAAACTGAGGCTCAGGTGTATTCATTACAGATGGGAAAACCAATGGCAAAGAGTTTAATTTTTCCCCTGCACATTCAACACAAGTCTACAGGGCGGGGGAGCTGAAAACCAGGTCTCCAACCTTATGGTCTTGCTCACTCTTCGCTGCCATGTCCTCCTCCCATTCCCGTCCCGCAAGATCCAACTCAAAGGTTTCTTCTGCTGTGAGATCTTCCCAGCTTCCTCATGCAAGTTGGTCATGACCCCTCGGGGCTCTGAGTACTGGCCTCTAATGGTACGCTCTTGACATTCAACTATGTTATCTTTCGTTTAGCAAGTATGCAGGTAGGAAACTTTTATGACTATCTCCAACTACAGTGGGAGATCCCTAGGTCAGGAGCTGGGTCTTTTCCTATTTATTTTTAGTTTGTTGATTCTAATCACTATTTATCTAGGCCATTGTAAAGACCCTGATAAATACGTTTGAGTTCTGTTGGATTCACTGGAGTTAGTGAGGAGAAAAACATCCATATGACTATGTGGTTTATACATAAATTATTCATAACTACAAACAGTGACTCTCTGACTTCTCTTCTAACAGATAAGCTGACCTCAAAGGTATACCCTGTTTCCTTAACTGCTCTCTTTCTAAAAGGCTTTGCCTCCCTGCTCCTACTTCTAGAACCTTTTTGGATCCCTAGATACAAAAGCAAGTCCCAAGATGGGTGAGGACAAGAATGAATATTTTTTTAATGCCCACTGAATGCTAAGCATTGCAGCCTCACAGTCATGCTCTGATTGAAAAAGGATTGTTCTTTAAGAGCCAAACATACACACACACACACACACACACACACACACACACACACACACACATACGAAACCTTGAAAAATAATCCATCCTGTGTCACACACAAGTAGTAAAAGGAAGCAAAACTGAGATTAGAAACCAGGGCTGCCTTTCTCCAAAGCTTGTGTTCTTTTGATTAAGTGAGGACTTCCCAAGGAAAAGGCAGGTCTAGCTCCACACTACATCGCTCTCTCTGTAGGTTAATAAAAAAGGAAGGGCCAGGCGTGATGGCTCACGCCTGTAATCCCAGCACTTTGGGAAGCCAAGGCAGGTGGATCACCTGAGGTCAGGAATTCGAGACCAGCCTGCCCAACGTGGTGAAACCCTGTCTCTACTAAAAATACAAAAAATTAGCCAGGTGTGGTGGCCCATGCCTGTAATTCCAGCTACTTGGGAGGCTGAGGCAGGAGACTCCCTTGAATCCGGGAGGTGGAGGTTGCAGTGAGCCGTGATCGTGCCACTGCACTCCAGCCTGGGCAACAGGAGTGAAACTCCGTCTCAAAAAAAAAAAAAAAGGAAGATGGAGAGAAAAGAGACAGAGAACTTTCTTAACACATTCAGGCCTCCTTACCAAGGCACCCACCCTGCCACCAATCAGACAGAGCCAAGATGGGAAAGCCCTGACCACTCTCTGCCCTAGGGAGTGGCACAGCTCCACACCTTCTTCATTTTCCCATTCTGGTTGTCCTCCTACCAGGACCCTCCCTGAGTGTGGGGTGGGCAGGGGTGCTGGGAAGGGCTTGTGTGGCCTGTGGGAGTCCTCCCTGCCATACACCTGTGAGCCCTTCAGCCTCCTCCTGGTGACAGCTGCCTTAGACCTCAACTTTCACAGATCCTATTCTTTTGCAGAAATTGCATTAAACAAAGACCTGGAAACACTGGTTGACAAAAATCTAAACATTTACCACTTTCATGAATTTGCCAAAAGAGGCTCTAATCCTCCTGTTAAAACATTAGCAAGTGCCTGCAAATGTAACCATGTCTCCTTCTGGAGTCAGCTCATCCGTGAGATTCCCTTGACCTCAGGTAAAGTCTAAACACTTCACCTGGATCCACCAGGCCCTGCATCACCCTGCCTTGTAGTTCTCCAGCCTCACTGACCTTCATTCTGACTAAGTCCTTAGTTCATTATCCTCTTTTCCTTCCTTCCTTTGACTTTCCACCTTCCCTGGCTTCCTAACTCCTTTTCCATCCTTCCTCCCTTCCTTCTTCCCTTCCTCCCTCCCTCCCTTTCTTCCTCCTCTTCCTTTCTTCTTTCCTTCTTTTCTTCTGTCCTTTTTTCCTCCCTCCTTTTCTTTCTTCCTTTTTCCTCATTTTTCCTTATTTTTCCTTTTCTTTCTTTCTTCTGTCTTTTTCTTCCTGCCTTTTGTTCACGCCCCCGCCCCGTCTCTCTCTCTCTCTCCTTCCTTTCTTTTCTACTTCCTTTCTAATAAATATTGATCACCTGTTCACTCCTGAGCTCTTAGTCATGTGCTGTGGTGGCAGCTTCCCAGGTGAATAGGCTTTGTCTCCATTCCAGGTACCCACCCCACCTGAATAAAACCCTCTCATCCTTTAAATCCCAAATCAAATGTTAGGGTGTTTTGGGTTTGAGGGTTTTTTTGGTTTGTTCGTTTTTGTGTGTGCGTGTGTGTGTGTGTGCGTGTGTGTTTTTGACTTGTTAGTTTTGGTTTTGTTCTAGACTCCTCTCCTCTTTTCAACCTGCCCTCTTGGAGTTGGGGTGAGATGCCCCCTCATTATCTTCTTTTCCTGCCCTTTCCGTTGCCCTCCTCACCTCTGATGGAGCCATCTGCCACTTACCTGCATCCTCAACTAGAGTACAAGCTGCTCAATGTAAGGGCGCTTGGTGTCATTCGTGGCTTTGTTCCCCACAGCTAGCTCTCTCCTCGCACCTCTGTGCCTTCCAAGACTTCCAGGCTCATGCTTAGGAAAGCCTCTGTTTCCTCTCAGAGAAAAGAGAAGTCACAGGATAAGAAGATCCTCCACTTCCAGCTTCCAAATCTACACACGCCTGTATAGGCCCCCATTTTTCCTCCTGAGCTCCAGATCTGTACACCCAACAGTCCACTTAGACTCTCCTCTAGGGCAGCCCACAGGCAACTCAAACTCAAGATTCTCTTGGACAAGCTCCTCATATTCCTCTTCGAACTGTCTCACCTGGTGCTCTAGAGGTCTCGTGAAATCGTCACCTAAACTGAAACAAATGAATCAACACTGAAGTGTCTTCCTTCCTCACCCCACATACCCACATAGCCACGGAATCATGTTGATTCTAGAACCTAACTCGATGCATGCCCTCCTCAGCCTCTCCATGGCCACCACGCTTCTCCATGTCTCTGTCATTACCTCCAGGAATTCTGAGCCTCCTACCTTGTTCCTCTGTCTCAGCTTTCTCTCTTGCCAGTCCGTGTCTACACAACAGCCAGAGTAATCTTCTTAAAACATAAACCAGATGATGTCACTCGCTAGCTATAAACCCACAGATGCCTTCCCATTGCCCCAAGGATAACGCCTAAATTTCTTGAAGAACCTACAAGGCCACTCAGATCCCAGCCCCTGCATTCCTTTCTGGGTCCCCTTCAGTCACTCCTCCATTATGCATTCTCCAGCTACATTGAACCTTCAATTATTGAGACTCACCTTGCTCTCTGTGGCCTCCAGCCTGTTATAGAAGTGGCTTTCTCTGCCTGGAATATTCTCCGCCCCCCCCCTCCCCCATTGCCTGGTTGGTGTGAATGTCACCTCATTATCACACACCAGCCAAACTTGCCAGGCAATGCCGTGACGGGAACCCTCCTAACATCCCTTGGCCCCCCACAAAGCCTCAAGTGCCATGAGGTGGCCTCCCCCAGCCCACCACAGCCCAGATGTTCCCCAGGATCTGCAGTGAGGAGCATGGAGGGTCCTGGTGCACCCCATTATCACTGCACTGGTAAACAACAGCAGCAATGACATCAGTCTGCAAAACCAACACATGCATATTTCATCTATATAAACAGTGCATATAATATGACATTTCTTTTCAAAACTCTCTAACTGCTCAGAAATTCAAATGAGAGCCTGTACCACCCTTGGACTGGAGACTAATGAGGGCATCATAAATATTTGATTAAAGCCAGGCCAAATTCTTGGGATTTTCACCTCACAAAATTTTCAGGAGCAACTGCTCGAAGATTTCTTGAATATCATAAGGACTTTGGGGAGACAGCAAAAGGCAGCTTCCTTCTCAAGAAATTTTCCAAATGCTTCTGCTGTTGCATAGATGGGTGGCTGATATTTCTCTTGAATATTGTTGGGCATGCAGATCCCTCTGAGCTTTAAAATCATCTCTTGCCTTGGCCTCTTGGTCAATGGGCTTGTGTTTGTCATTAAGAGGCAATGAGACGGGGAAAGAGTACGAATCAGACAACATGGCTCGTAGGTTCACTAGCCCAATTTCTGGCTGTCAGCCTGGGAAGAGGGGTTGAGCATTCCTTGGCCCCAGTGTTTTCCTCTATAAATGATGAGAAAATAAATGGTTGGCAAAGCAACAACAGCTTTTGCATACTAGAAATTGATAAAGAAAATGTAGTAGATTGGGAATACTAGTTAACATGCCAGGCTAAACAGCCTGATCACCTCAGGGAATTCTGTGTTGAAACTCTCCAGACAATACTATTGATCAGATTACAAAATGGAAAACCCCATTTGCAAAGTCATCTGTCTCAAAAGATTTAATTATGTTTATAACTTTAGTCCTGTAGATCACACTTTTAATAGAAATGAAATAATGCAAACTATGGAGAAAATAATTATTTGGAATATTTTTTATTACAGTATACTCTAAAATAGTAAAAGTCTCAGAAGCAATCTAAACAGCTAATAATAGGGTCAAATAAATTATGACATATCCCACAAGAGATTATTGTGTAGAAAAATAGTCATAAAGCAAAGTCTTTAATAGCAAGGTTACACACTTAACATAATGTTAAGTGAACATAGAATACAAAATCAAGTAAACAAAAGTTTAAGTGAAATAAAGAATTAAAAAATTTAAAAACATCGAACTCTCAATAAGCTAAAAGAAATTACCAAACTTTTATCTATTCCCTAAATAGGAGAGGGATTCCTAAGACTTAAAACAAAGAAAAAAATCACTGAAAAATTTAAAAATCAATTTTACTACATGAAAATATAAAATTCTGAAGTAAAATATGTCATAAAGAAAATTAAAGCAAACAGAATGACATCATTTTAACAACTATGCAAATATATCACTCTTCCTATTTAAAAAAACACAAACTGAGAATAGATATGTTGGATAAATGGGTGGAGAATATGGGCAGATAATTCAAACACACAAAAGAAAAAAATCATTTTTTAAAATAATTAAATCTACCAGTAAATAAAGAAAATATACCATGATATTTGTCAGCTGATAAAGAGATTTTGTTGTTGTTGTTGTTCTTGTTTAATACAACTGGTCAGTGTTTGGAGAGGGAAGATGAAGTAATTCTGACACATTCTGGTACATTTTTGGAAGAAATGTAAAGAAAAATTTGTAAATAGCAATTTCTAAACATAAATCAGAAGCCTGAAGAATGTTCATATCTATACCTGGTAATTTCATTTGTAGGCATCTGCCCCAAATAAAGAACCTCTTATATGGATGAAACATTATACCTTAAGATTTATCACAGAATTATTTAAAGTCCAAAATGAGAAACAACACAGCATTACAAGAATGATTAAACAAGGAGGGAGAATGGTCCATTTTAAAAGTGTATCGTATAGGTGCTTCAATCTTTATTGTTTCTGAAACAACATAAAATAAGGAGACTGAGAAAAAAACAAATTGTATCTTCCATAAAGCCAGGAAAGATGTTTTGAAAAGAAAACTGACCCAGCATACGTGAGGATGTTGAGACAGGACAGCTACCATAGCATAGCCAGGAAACCACGTATTCTTCAAAAAATAAGGAGGCTGAGAAAAAAACAAATTGTATCTTCCATAAAGACAGGAAAGATGTTTTGAAAAGAAAACTGACCCAGCATACGTGAGGTTGCTGAGACAGGACAGCTACCATAGCATAGCCAGGAAACCATGTATTCTTCAAAAAATAAGGAGACGATGGGACAGTCTCCACAGGCAACAGATCAACACTCAAATTTTTCCTCCCACCCTCAAGCTGACCTCAAGTTTACCTCCCTCTCCTGGCCTTTCTCTCACACATATTCCAGCAGCATGTAGCCCATCCAGGAGGAATGACCCTATTTGAAAACAAGGGAAAACCAAAGAGAAATAACCAACAAGGCAATCCTCCAAAATCCTAGGTATGGAGTAAGAAAAACATGGCAAAAGAGAGTAGGCAATAAACATACTTCAGAAAAAATTGGGTATTCAGGAAGACAACAGTGGACCCTAGCATTGACTCTTTAAAAGAAATTATGGCATTTATGAAATAAAAGATCAAAGCAGAAATATAAGAACCAAATTACAATAAAAGACAATGAAATAAAATTGAAAAAATGAATTGGCAAAGATCAAGACAAAATAGAAGAGAAAAATAAAAGTAAAATTATCAAATAAGTAAAGGCCATTTTGGAAGCAGTAAATAAGAAATAGACTTTGCCACAGCAATGATTTCAGCATGTAGGACATGCTTGAGGAAACTGAGGAAAATAAAATAGAAAAAAAGTTACCAAAAGTTTAAACTTATAGAAAAGAAAATGATGGATATAAAAATTGACAAAGGAGAACCAAGATATGTGAAATTGGTGACTGGATTAATGAGCAAAACAAATAGAACACTAAAATTACTTAAAGATGTGAAGTAAAGAAAATATTTTTGAAATAAAAATTTGAATCTACATATTGAAAGAACCAATTCCCAGATGAATTGAGGCAGATCCTTGAACAGAGAGGCACATTTTATACTTATTAAACCTCAAAAATACCAACAAAACTCTGTAGCTAGAAAGAAAAAGTCAATTCATCTACAAGAATAAAAACTAATAAGAATCCGCCTTTAAACTTTTCCCTGAAAGATTCAGTGCTATAAAAGAATGGAACAGTGTCTTCAGAGTCCTCAGGAAAAGTGTGATGCAATAATTTTATACCTAGCCAAAATGTTCTTATAGAGCAAGGCAAAAGATAGTCATTTTTAAACATTAACAACTCAAGAAAGAGATTCCATGATCTCTTCTTAGAGAAATTATTAAAAGCTATGCTGTCACCAATCCAGGAATAAAGGAAGACGATATTGTAAAAGAATTAAAGATTGTTATTAATTTAACCTAAATAATTAATTTTTAAAAATATTACACAGCTGTGGGGAAATTTTGCTATTGAATACAGTGTATACTCTCAACCATGACATGTAAACTATCAAAAATTGGAAGGAAAAGAAAGAGGGGGACAGATATTATATGAATGCCAAGCTCATCATCTTTTTTGGGGATGGTTGGACAATCAATATATATAATTTTAAAGCTAATAAATTCAGAAAAACATATAAATTATATTAAAAGTGTAAAGCATTCACTTGAAGAAATAAAATTATAGTACAACTAATCAAAACTAGTAGTACAGGAAGGAAGGGGGGACGATGGTGATTAGGGAGAGAAAATCAAGAACACCACAGTGTGTGTGTTTGAAAGGGGAAAGTCAATAAATTCTGCCTATAGAAGTAAAAATCCTGTGTGTTCTATACATTTATAGCTACAAACATAACTACTAGAAGAAATGAAAACACACAATAGTCCTTCCAAATGATTACTAATAGAAGAAACACAACCATATACAGCCACACTCATGCATACACACTCCAAGGCAGGTACTAACCTTAAAATGTCAGATAACGATAAATTCAAGGCACAGAGTTTTAAAGAAGTTAATGTAAGGCAATTTTTCTTGAGTAAAGAAGCCACAACTTTGGGAGGCCGAGGCGGGTGGATCATGAGGTCAGGAGATCGAGACCATCCTGGCTAACAAGGTGAAACCCCGTCTCTACTAAAAATACAAAAAATTAGCCGGGTGCAGTGGCGGGCGCCTGTAGTCCCAGCTACTCGGGAGGCTGAGGCAGGAGAATGGCGTGAACCCTGGAAGCGGAGCTTGCAGTGAGCCGAGATTGCGCCACTGCAGTCCGCAGTCCGGCCTGGGCGACAGAGTGAGACTCTGTCTCAAAAAAAAAAAAAAAAAAAGAAGCCACAATGAAGATGTGGCAGTTTTGAATAAGTATGCAACAATTAAAACTGCAGCAAAATCAATCAACAAAGATATAAGAAGTGTAAGAAGAGACAGAAAAAATACCGTTAGGAGATTTTAAGGCATCTCTCTCAGCCCATAAGAGTAGAAATTTAAATCAGATAAAGTAAAATAAAATGAAAGTAAGAATCTGCAATCATCTAAAATTAAAAATCTTTAAAAAACTAAAAAAAGTCAGTCAGGATACAGAAAAACTAAATAATGTAATATAATTTGTGGATATTTAATATACTATATATGAAGTGACAGAATTTATAGAATCGATTCGTATGCTTCTAAAACAGTCTGGGTTCAAAGCCACAACAACAGAAGCTATCTCTGGTTGATGAAGTACAACAAGGAGCTTGTTTGATAGTCAGGTCACAGAATTGCAAGCAGGTCTGAAGAACCACACTAGTGGACATGCTTACAGGAAAGATCCTCAAAATGATAATCATAAAGTGACCTGATAAAGAAATCTTCTTTCTTACCACTACAAATTCCACAAGCAGAAAAGCCCTTTCTGTCCCAGAAACTTTCTCTGCCTCACCTACTAGTCTCACATTCCTCCAATGGCTAACTTTTGCATTTTAAAAAATTTCTTTGATTTAAGGAATGCTCACTTCCAAACATGTATTTTATGAGTGATGCTTGGCCCAGATGCCTGAGTTTCAGCTGCAAAATACAGAATATCTATATAACATAAATTACAATTATACAAACACCAACCAACAAGCTATTGTTAAAACTACCTTCAGAACAAAATGCCTTAAAATAATTTAATTTTTTTATATTGCAAGGATAAATTAATAAAACTATAGGAAACATTCAATTGAAGAGGTAAGAGAAAAGGTAAATGCAAGAAATCTAATAGAAGCTGAGGCAGACAAAAGGAATGCAAATGATAAAAACAAAAAGTAATGAAATTGAAAATAGAAAATGATAGAAAGAATAAGTACATTTAAGAGCTTAACAACCAATAATTTTTTTAAAAAACCTTAAATAAGATAGTCAAGAATACAAATCTTTCTTTGAAAGTATAAATACCTACATGAAAATATGAATATCAAAAAACCCAGAAAAATAATAGAAATTAAAGACACATAAGAAAATAATTTGCTTAATGCTATGCAAATAAGCTTGAAATTCTTTACGAAATAGGTGGTTTTCTAAGAAATCATAAATAAACAAGTTGATCTCAGATGGATAGACTTTCTGCATATAAATAGTTCCGTAAAAGAAATTGAAGACTTTTTTTAAAAAGCTGCTCCTCCCAAAATCCCTGGCTGAGATAGTTCTACCAATGAAATCCTCAAATTTTAAGGTATGCATTACTTCAATGTTCTTTGACTCTTTGGGAGCATAGAGAAAGAAGAGAAGCTTCTAAATTCCTTTTGTGAAACCAGTCTACCATTGATTTTAAAACTGACAGAGAGGATAAAGTAAAACTACAGACGAATCTCACATATGAATATTGATGAAAAATCCTAAATAAAATATTAGCAAATAGACTCCAGCAGCACACTAAACTAGTTTGAAGATGGCAATCTGAGCTTCCCCCTCCCTGCACCCAATCCATAGAAATGATAGTAAAGCTATTTTGAAAACAAACAAATAAATTCATGCACTCAAAAACACAATGAGGGAGCTCTCAGACTTCCAGAGCAGAGTGAGAAAGCAAATGGAGAGAAATGCTGCTTCACCAGGGTGACTTGGACATGTTCCTTCCTGGAACGCCACTCCAATGACAGTGAAGTAATGTTTTTAAAGGCATAAGCCCACAAGGACAAAGAAGGCAGGCGTTGGGTTTATTACTGTGCAACTAAGCCTCCAAGTCTCAATGACTCAACACAAAAGAAGCAGATTTCTCAATCACAAAAAGTAGTGCTGGTGAAAGTGGGGGACTCAACTCCCAGACCTGCAGGGACCAAGTCTGTTGGGGGCTCAACAATCTCCGACATGTGACTCCCAAGGGGGCTCCGGGATGGGCATTCAGTGTGCAGATGAGGGAAGGGAGAAGGGAAAATGGCAAATAGGAAGTTGTGTGAGCCAGCTGTGGAAGTGATGTGCATCTTCCCTCCCTGCAGTCTACTGACCTCTACCCAGCTGCAGGGCTCTAAGTAGCTGCAAAGACTGCAGGAAAACAGAGTCTAGCCATGTGCTCTGGGAAAGGTGTGTGGAACACCTACCTAGTCCCAGCATGCTCCACCTTTCTGTACAGCTAATACCCATTTCACTTGTCTTTGCATACATAAAATATACTCAACTACACTCCCAGGTAAACAATCTCAAATCCAGTATACTCAATCTTTCGACAGTATGCTGAGACTTAGTCTTTCTACTCTTCAAGTTCAGAGATGGGAAGCTGAGGAGAGCCAAGAAGCACGCTCGTTCATGCTGCAGAGGCCCCAGAAAGGTGGGGGAGACCCCCCTAAAACAATGACTCAGAGAGGGATAAGATCAGAGATTTAAAAACTTCATTTAACAAGAGTGTACAGATTAAAATTTCAAGGCACATGAGGAAAGCTGACATCATAAAAGTTACCTAAATACAACTAAGGGAAGATGTATTTTCATAAGGAAATAGAAATAATTATGTAATTGGGAAAAGACTCTAAATATAAGAATAAAGTTCTCAAAGTGATAAGAATGAATAGCATACAGAAAGCTAGACAGAAGACTAAAAGAAAACAGACAGATTGATATGAACTGAGAGGTAGTAAGCAATTAGAAAACCCACAATTGTAAAATATAGAATTCTCATGGAAAACCCAATATTTAAATTGCACACAGGACACAATCAAAAAGGGAATTTTTGAAAGAGAATATAAGGCTGAGGAATTAACCAGAATTCAGAGAGATGAAGAGATGGGAAAATTAAAATACTTAAAGGAAAGTTTGAGAAGTTCCAATATGTGTCCAACAGGAGTTCAAGATTGTGGTGGAGAGGAACGTTTAAAGAGACAGTAGCTGAATGTTTTCAAACATTAAGAAATATATGAGTCCCGAGATAAAAGGTGTAAACTCAGTACAAAACAATATAAGTAAAAGTCCACATCTGAATGCATCACAGAGAAAGGGAAGAATATCATGGACAAAATTAATCTTAAAGGCAAACAGCAAAAACAAATGACCTTCAGAGGATAACATTTAGATTGACAGTGCCCTCAGTGGAAACAATAGATGTCAGAAAATTAAGGTAATTTGTTCATCACGGACAATTTTTGAAAAAAGACTGGTTACATTCTGGTATTTCCATGCATTGAAATAACACAGCTATTTTGAAAAGAATTCAGTAAATCTGAAAGTTCAATTCAGAATGATCTCCAATATTGAGGGGGAGAAAGCAGAATAACAGAAAAAATGCATAAAGTGTACCCAGATATATATAGACAAATAAAAAAGAGCAAGATAGACATGGGTGATACAAGATGCATGCCCGGGTAGGCAGACACTCCTGCAAATTTAAACATCAACTTGTAAGAAATGTCGCAACTGGTAGGTGAACAGGTTCAAGGCCAGAGGAAGAGAGATCTGTCTTTCAACGTATACTCTGTGTACTACCCAAACATTTAAAATATGTTTATACAATGCCTTTTGAAAAATAAATTTTAAAACATTGTGAAATTGCATCATAGGCCATCAGTGAAATGTAATGAGATAATATGGAGGGAATATAGACGATATTTTATTCTCTTTGCACATTGCATTTAAATTTCCTACAAAGATTCAATAATGATTGTATAATCAGAGAAAATAAACTAAAATAGAAACAACTTTAATGCAAGTGGAAGCGTAATTTTTAGATAAGTAGCTTTTCATGTAAATATAGGAAACTAAGAGCTTCAGCCTCAAGAAGCATAAAATCGCAGTGGATCTCAACCGACGCAGCCACGTGGAGACATGCTTGTGATAGAATGTTAAGTGGAAAGGAAGAGACACATTTAAAATGAGAAATACGTTCCATTTAGAATTGCTTAGTCACAGTTGCCCCTCTGAGCAAGAAGTGGTTGTTGACATGGCAGCAAAATAGCGGGTCAATGTTGAGGACAAAAATGCATCAAATCCATCGTGTGGCTTTACACGTGAGTAAGAAGCTGCTGATGTTTGGTTTTGCTTTGTTTTTCTTTTATATAGATTCACAGAAATCCTTGTAGGAACGCTCATCATTTTCTTACACGAAAGAAATCTCAGAAAACCTTCCTGGCCATAGATGCTAAGGAGGGCAATGTTCAGATGCCTGAACAGCACCAGGCATGCAGTGAAGTCTCAAACGCGATCTGCCTACAGAGGCTTCATCTGCCAGCTCCTTATACGGAGCGTTGGAAGGAGCCGTTAACTCCAGGAAGGCATTGCTTCACCCTCGACTCCACTCCTAATGCTTTCCGGTAACTAAAACTCCTCTGAGTGTCCTCATTGAGGAAGTATTTGCTGTTCCCTGGCCTCCACCCATTATGAGCCGGGTCTCCTGACCTGTTCCAGTTCCCACTGCCCAGTGGTTTAATCCAATACATCCCTTCTCACCTTCTTTAAACACTCCCCTTACTTCTTGACCATCTAAAACCTGGCTACTTCTGGAATAACACCACTCTGCCTTCATTTAGGCATCTAATAAGCATGTTAAACTTTAAAAAAAAAAAAAAACAGAGACAGGGTCTCTCTCTGTCACCCAGCCTGGAGTGCGGTGGTGTAATCTTCGCTCACTGCAGCCTCGACCTCCTGGGCTCAAGCGATCCTCCCGCCACCGCCTCTCAAGTGGCTGGGACTACAGGTACACACCACCACACCTGGGTATGCTTTTTTAATATTTTGTAGAGACAGGGGTCTCACTATATTGCATAGGGTGGTCTCAAACTCCTTGCCTCAAGTGATTCTCCCACCTCGGCCTCCCAAAGTGCTAGGATTAGAGGAAGCACGTTCAACCTAACCAAAGAGTCCACACAGACCTCTAGCTTTTCCATGTAATACTGTTCTGCCTCTCCTTCCTCATGTCAGTCCACAGAACCACCCAGAAGCTCCAGCCAAAATCACAGGCAGCCTTATTTCTCTCTTTGCCTCACTACTCACATCAGATCCAGAAGCAAGTTCTTTCTGTTGACTCTATTCCCAAATATATCTGAAATGAGTTCGCTCACCCTCCCACCCCCATGGCTGCCATTCAGTCTGTGCCACCTCCCCACTGCCTCCCACCTGAGGCAATCTGCATCCTGGCTCAGCGTCATCTACCTGGAAACCTTACCTGTCACCTTTTATAGCAGAGTCCTCATCACCCTGACTTTTCGGGTAAATCTTGCCTTTTTGGAGAAGTTTGCAAGGCTACTCAGCCTCTATCCTTCTTTAATGTTTTTTTATGGAGCACTGAACTCTTCTTGATTGATTGACTGATGGATTGCCTGTCTCTGCCATTAGACTCTAAGCACAGTAAGAATGGGGGCCCTTGGCTATCTTGTTCACTAAGAAATTCCCAAGAAATTCCCAAGATATTCCCAGAGGTGAAGACATGGCTGGCACATGGTAGGTCTTCAGTAAATGCTTGATGAATAAATGAACAAATTAAAATGTTCTGTTTACATTCTGGTCATCTCTGCTGGATTGTCAGCACCTTGAGGACAAAAGCAGCATTGTGTGGACACCTGTGTTCCTGTCACCTGGTACCCAGAATAGGACATCAGTAATGTGTATCGGATTAGTGAGAACTGGGGCATATATTTGTCAATATTTAATTGCATGAAGAGATATAACTGATCAACAAATAACCCACCCCTTAGCCCCCCACTTCTATAAATAATTCTCCTAATTATATGGCATTTACAAAGGGCTTTCTATGTATCAGGTACTATCCCGCATGTCTTATCCATATTAGCTCAGTTAATTATTTGAACAACCCATAAGGTAGGAATTATTAGTATCTCCACTTTAGAGATAAGAACACTGAGCCACAGAGAGGTTGAGTATATCAATGGAGGAAGTAAATTAAAGTTGACATGGAATTCAGACTCCCTGATCACCAGGGCACTCAGATTCTGATCCACTTTGCCAAGCTGACCACCAGTACTTTTGAGTCCTTTCTAAGTTCTATTTACCTTAGAACTCTGCTATCCAATGCCGCTAGCCACAGGGGTACTTAAATGTACATCGATTACAATCAAATACATTTTAAAAATCCAGTTTCTTGATGTTATTGACCACCTGTCTTCTCACTAGTGGCTGCCATATCAGAAAGCACAGATATAGGACATCTCCATGGCAGAAAGCTCTCTTGGATGGAGCTACCTACGAATACTGATCCTTCGAGGACAAAGATCATATCGCACATTGATCATAACTTTTTTTGGTGAGGTGAAAGAGTCAGCTCTAATAATGAGCATAGTAGAAATCCTTAATAAATATTAGCTATTCATTCCTGAGGCATGTCTTTGCCACCTAATGGTAAACCAAGATATCTTGTTGCTAATAAGTGAGCATTCATATAAATCAAGTTCTTCATTCCTGACTGAAGGGGGAAAAGGCTGAGGTGCTTGTGTTCCCAGTGTTGCTAACTATGGCACACATCAGAGCCAGCTCCCTTTACTTGCCTATTCTACTCCTAATTAAGGATGTTTATTGTGTTCTTTGTTCATATGGATTTTTTTCTCAACAAATATATTTGACTATTTAGCAGCTCTGAACTTTCCATACCCTGGAGAGAAAGCTCAAAATTGAGATCTATTAAGGATGCATGCAACGCTCAGAGTTTTCCAAGACTGTGATTTTATTTTATTTTATTTCACTGCTTTTTTCACTAGCAGTGTTCAAATCCCATAACATTCTGACAGGTTTCCAGGAGGATGTTAATTAAGACCTTCAGCTTCATTGTCAAGAGCCAGGAACGTATTCCACAGTTCAAGACAAGTAGCACGTACTGAGACCCTTCCATGTGCCACCCTATGTTAGGCACAGGGCTTTGGAGAAGTACTACCATGTCTCTGATCTTGTGCTAGGAACTGGGGATTTGGAGAAGGACCCTGGACAACTAAGGACTTCCCATTCTATGGAAAAGAGGGGGTGTATAAACATTCATTCATGTAATCAATATTTATTAAGCAACTACTAAATACCCAGCAGAAGGCTAGGCAGTGAGGATCTAGAAGAGGGCACGAAACAATTTCTGCCTTTGTGGAAGTTGCAGTGGGGAAACAGCCCAAAAGCAAATGCATGGACATATAATATGTCAAGTGCCAATAAAATAATGCTAAGGAAATAAAGCAGGTTGTGGGGGATGAAAAGCATGGTTGAAAGCAAGATTTTACAGCGAGCAACAGGAGAGTCTGAGGAGGTGATGGGAATACAGTGGGAGAGGGGGCCATGACATCATACAGCAAAGAGTACTCAGGGTAGAAGCACTGGAAATGCAAAAGCCTTTCAGTGGGAGGGCACTGGGCATGTCTGGGGAAGAACTGGGGAGGGGAAAGGGAAGAAAGGATGACAGGACATGAGGTCACATATGCAGGTGGGGCAAAATAAGAGGGGGTCTCATCGATGTTGGAAGGACTTTGGGTTTTATTTTCAGGATTCTGAGCAGAGTTGGGACTTCATTGACTTATATTTTAGAGAAATCTCTCTGTGCAAAGAATAGACACAGGGCAGCAAGGATGGAGCAAGGCCACCAGGTGGAAGACAACCACAACAACGGAAGGGAGGGGTCACTCTGTCTGGGGCCAGGGTGCTGGAAGCCCAGAGTTTTCCGATGTGAAGTATGAGCAGAACAGCATGATAAATAAATGCATGCATGGGAGTGCTTTGATAGGGATGTGCATAAGCATTAGGGACACACAGAGGAGGGACACCTGACTGGCTGCCAGATTTAGCAGATAAAAATTCAAGAGGCCCAGTTAAATTTGAATCTCAGATAAACATTTTGTTTTAATCCTCAAATGTTTCATGCAGTATTAGGGACATACTTACACTAAGAAATCATTTGTTGCTTATTTGAAATTTAAATTTAACAGGTAGATCTGTATGTTATCTGCAATGTAACCAATGTGCTGGTCACACCCAAGGTAGGTATTGAAGGACAAGCAGGACTTGGCCAGGTGAGTAAGGAGGAAAGGAGTCCCAGGCAAAAGAAATTACATCTGTCCCTTCTCTGAATTTCCATGGACCTTTCAGAAAGTAGAACTCAAACACCTGCGGGAGAGGGAGCAGCACCAGCCCACCACTTCCAGTGCCTCTAAAAGCCAAAGTCAGGTCAGTGACCAAAGTTCAGGGAGGCAGCCTTCAGCTTAGTTCTAGGAAGAGTGTCCTCTCAAAGCCTGTAATGCCAAAGATTCATGTGAGCTTCTCACAAATAAGTGGTCAAGATGGCCACCACCATTTTCCCCCAGGCTAAAGGTCTGCCTTGCAGAATTTGAGCTGGATCTTGGATGGATAGGATTTAGAGATCCGTGAATACTCATAACCATTTGTGCACAAATACTCATGGAGGGCTTGCCACATTTCAAAGGCTGCATTAGATGTCTTGCTCAAGTCTCACAGAGGGGACAAACAGTAGAGCAGGGCTCACACCCAGGCCTGCCCAGCTCAGACCCTTCCCACCTCTTTCTACATTGCTTACCCCCACCCCCACTCTCCCCAAAATGGCACCAACAAAGTGAGAAGGGGAGAGCTTGTTGAGCTGGGCAAATTACTTGAAAAAAGGTACAGTGGTGGAAATGCATGTTGTGGTCCAGAGGATAGTGAGGAAATCTGTCTGATTTGAAGATAATGCAGGAGATAGTTGAGGCCTCGGGCGAGCCACTGAGTGCTTGGCTGCCGTACATCCCCATGTGATGGAAAGTTTGGAAGACCTTGGAGATGGAGAGAAACAGAGGAACAGCGGGGAGGAAAGCCAGAGAAATATTCTGTTTCCCAGAGCCTATTCACAGAGGTAGCCAAGGGTGAGAATGAGAAAACACCCTGCCTTCGTGGGATTTTTATTAAGAAGCAGAATAAGACATTAAGTAATGGCTTATTTGAGTGCACATACTCAGCAGGGAAACAACCAGTGATTTCAGAGAGCTATATTATTACTTTGTGTTTGCTTATCTTTTTCTCTCCTTACCTGATAATCATCTGTAGCTCTATCTGTCTTTTTAAGGACATGTGAGAAAATAGAAAAGGTTACAGAGGACATTCAAAGAATTGCATATTATTACCTGGCTTTCCAGAGCTGACTGTGCAATTGTTTGTTTTTGATGAGATAACAATGAAGATAGAATTGTTCAAAGCAAATGCTGTTCAAATTTCATCAAGCCATACCTCACTACCCCACTCTCACGCACGCCCCCACCCTGCACTGATGACTATTGGGAACACCCTGGCCACTGCCAATGGAATGATCGGTGAGAAGTAAAATTTTTTTTCTTTGATCTCCCTGCCCACTAGAACCAATGACATTTCTGGATTATTCAGATGGCATTAATTTCTAGTGATGGCATCAGGTTCTCACCCAGGGTTTCCCAAGTAAGCCCTATCGCTGCACCCCTTAATACCTTAGTATGCTGGCCCTTCCTTCCCGGTGAAACGCCCTCCTGCCCTTCCCCAATCTGCCTTTTTCTTTCTTTTCTTTCTTTCATCACTGCAAGCATATTTAATCATCATTTTCTTTGTCACATGGATGCAGTACATTTCGTACTCTCTCCCCTGCTTGTTTCTAGATCTACTTTCCCATTGGCCATCTTTTTGGGATTATTGTGTATTTCTGGAGCATCATGCCTGCACAAAGTTACCACTCCTTGAGTTTTGTCCAATAAATGAACAAATAACAAAAAGTAAATGTTTACCAGGAGTAGAGGAAAAGTATTATTTTAGGAGTCCTCTATATGTTGTGTGACGGGTGCTTCATGGTATTTCTAGAGCTCTACTGGATGCCTTTGCATTTCAAAAGAGAATCATGTTGATTCTTCATGAGCAGTGTTGCAGATGAGTCACCTGCACCATTGACACAATGAAGGGAACATCTCTGCATGAGACTAGCCATCTACATTGCTTTTCAATCTCACCCAAAAGACGGTTCAAAGATAAGTGTTAGAGACCATGGCTTTGGAGTTCAAATGCTCTGGATTCGGACATATGTTCTGTCATGACAATTCTGTGCAAGTTTTGGCAAGTAACCTTTCACCTCTGTCAACCTCTGTTTCCACCTATGTAAAATGAGAAAAATAAAAGTATTAACCTCATAAAAATGTTGTGAGAAAAAGATGAGCTAATACACTTGACACTTAACACAGTGCCTGCTATAGAAGTGTTTCAATACTAGGTGTCATTACTGGTACCTCTTTTATTTTTATTCATGCATTCATTTATTTATTAGTTTATCCCTTGAGCAAGTCAGTAGGTCTAGCATTGTACTACACAGTAGTCCCCACATGATGAATGGTCTTCCTAAACCCTTGGGAAGTTCTTGGGCTCAGTCCAGAACTGTCGCTCTGATGCCTCCTCCACTCCACTATCCAGACCAACGCTGGTCTGGGACCCCAGTGGGTACCTCTCCATCTCTTCTGTTCCCAGATCTGATAACTCACCCAGGGATTGTCTCTGACTTTCCAGTCTTGTTATCTTGATAGCAAGATTGATTCAGTGGCTTCCTCTACCTGCTTCAATGCCACCAAATATTATATCTGAACTAGTCCAGCCCCCCAGATCTCACATCATGGTGCAGAGTGTCACAAGTGTTGTACCCCTAGATTAACCATAACAGTGTGGCAGGAATCTAAACAATTCCTTCCAGATAAATAAGGAGGTACCAAGATGGAGAGTTTCATAGCATCTGTATTCTTTATAAATAAGGTCAAATACAGGTAAACTTTTGGAAGTGATCTATTATAGTCTATTTCTAGCTGGGCTAATGGCGGGAGGGGGTGGGATGAGCTGTGTAGTGGACTTTGGCTGGACATTCAGTACTCCAGTTACCTACTGTTGCATAACAAAGACTCCAAAACTCAGTGGCTTAATACAACGATTTACTGTGACTACAACTCATGAGTCTGTGAGTCAAGAATTTGGAACATATATACACAGGAAATATGTAGAAAAAATATATAATACTATTATAATATCTTTTCAAGTCTTATCAAAGTCTTACCTCCTGAAGTTATAATTAGATTAGAGAGAATAAAAATCTTAACTCAGATTATATTAATTAGCATGTGGAAATAGACTCTACAGCTTAGCAACAGTACAGATCACCAGCTAACATGCATGTTGATAACAAGATTTGTCCATCAGATTACATAGGGTTGTTCCAGAAACCAGCCCTGCATTATTCAAGGAATCCAGAAAAAATAGGCAATGGAATTATGCTGATTTTTAAGTATAATTTTCCAGTAGTTTAAAAAGAATAAGTTTTTCATTTAAAAAGCCAGCGGGATCAGCAGGCAAATAAGTTCTGTTTTAGTTGGAAATCAGTGGGTGGGAATATAAAGCCACATTTTTTTTCCTAAATGGAACTAGAGAAGCAACAGATCTAACAAGTTGTAATCAGCCAAATTTCTTTTTTTATAAATATGTGAGTAAGGAGTTGGAGTTCTCTTTTTACAGTATATATGTTTTTAATCCAACATAGCAGTAACAAATCACCTTTGCTAATCTCACCTATGCTCATTTCTTTTTGTGCACAGAAACCTTTATTTGGGGGAAGTCAAAAGAACTTCCTTTTAAACCTTAAGAATCTATGAAAAATCAGAGATTTAAAAGACCAAAATAGCCCAAGGCCATTTGCATCTGAAGGTAAAGGAGTATGATTATCTAATAGTATCTCTCCTGTCCTCCTGCCCACAGGGTCCTAGGCTGGGCAGCTCAGGGGCACCAGCTCCCTGGACTGAGGCTGGAGGTCTGAAATGGTCAGTTGGAACGAGTTAAGCCAGGGGTCAGGTAAAACTGGGGACCTGAGAAAGGAAACTGGGAGTCAGGGAATGAGAAAGAGTATCACCCAGTGGCAGCAGAATATGGATGGAATGGGTTATATTGGCCATTGTTGTTCACCTTCGTCCAAGAGCTTCACATTTCTGGACAAGTTTCTTCATTGGCAAAGTAGGTCTTATAATGCCTACATAGCAATTATTTAAAAATTACGCATTAACATGTTTACAGCAGCACAATTTGCAATTGCAAAATCATGGAACCAACCCAAATGTCCACCAATCAACAAGTGGATAAAGAAACGGTGGCATACATATATGGTGAAACACTACTCAGCCATAAAAAGGAATGAATTAACGGCATTCGCAGCGAACTGAATGAGATTGGAGACTATTATTCTTTTTTTTTTTTTTTTTTTTGAGACAGTCTCGCTCTGTCACCCAGGCTGCAGTGCAATGGCGCATCTCGGCTCACTGCAAGCTCCACCTCCCGGGTTCACGCCATTCTCCCGCCTCAGCCTCCCGAGTAGCTGGGACCACAGGCGCCCGCCACCGCACCCAGCTAATTTTTTGTATTTTTAGCAGAGACGGGGTTTCACCGTGTCAGCCAGGATGTTCTCGATCTCCTGACCTCGTGATCCACCCGCCTCGGCTTCCCAAAGTGCTGGGATTACAGGCGTGAGCCACCGTGCCCAGCCGAGACTATTATTCTAAGTGAAGTAACTCAGGAATGGAAAACCAAATATTGTATGTTCTCACTGATATGTGGGAGCTAAGCTATGAGGATGCAAAGGCATAAGAATGATACAATGGACTTTGGGCACTTGTGGGGAATGTGGGGAGAGGGGCAAAGGATAAAAGACTACAAATAGGGTGCAGTGTTCAGGTGATGTTCAGGTGATGGGTGCACCAAAATCTCACAAATCACCACTAAAGAACTTACTCATGTAACCAAATACCATCTATACTCCAATAATCTATAAAAATTTTTTAAAATTAAGCATTAAAATGCATATAAAGGGCTTGGCCTAATTCTTGGCACATAGAAGTGTCAAAAGTCCAAGAGGCAATGGCAAGTATAGAAAAATCTGATGAACTAATAGCTTAAGATCGAGCTGAATGCCCTGGCAGGGAAGGAAGCAAAAAGCAAACTAGGAAGATCTCTAGAGGATCCCAGACTTTGTTTGGGGTACCCCTGAGGGTATTTTTGGGTAGGGGTGTTGGACTGCCTACTGCTAGAGACATTGACTGGGGACAGACAGATGCTGTCACTCCCAACATAACAATGAAATCTAACGGTAATAGGCCTTCTTTCATGCCACAGATCTCTTCCTCAATAGCTTGCGTGTGTGTGCCTTTTTGTGTGTGCATGTGTGGCAAGGGAACTATTTAACAAATCCTATGGTAAGTTCACTAAGATAGTTCAATAGAAACATGAAGTGAATCATTTTGTAAAGCAAAGAATCTTTTGGCCAAGTAATTATTATCCAGCGTGTAATTTTTCTTTTGTGCACCTTTCATTGGCGTGTTTGGTTATACCGCAAGGCAGTATTAAGGGTGTGGACACACACATTGAAATATCAAGGTGAAAATTCAAATTCTGGGTCTTCAACTTAGGCAAGTGATTTCAGTGCTCCATGACTCAGTTTCCTCATTTTCAAATGGGGATTATACCAGTTCCTACCATGTATGTTTTTATCAGAATTAAATGAGTTTGGGCATGTAGAACACCCAAGATAACACTTGGCACATAACTTAAGTACAACGAACATTAGTTATGTTATTCTATTTTATTTCATCTTATTGTTTTAGCACCACCATCATTCACTTCCTTGGCCCAGAAATCTTGTAGGTGACCTTGACCTCCTCCTTTCTACCACCTTGCATAAAATTCCTTTCTACCAGAGTGCATACAATTTTATCACCAAGTCCTGTGGATTCTACAACCATAATGTGGTAGAGACAGTGCTTCTTGTCCTTCTTTCACTGCCTCTGTCCTAGTGCAGGCCATCACTCTTGCATGCTGCATTTTCAATGACAGTCCCACATAACCCTCCATACACCACCTTCCACGTTGCAACCATAAAGAACCCCAAAAGCCACCCAGAGCTGGCGTGTAAGCCACCTGAAGCTCCCCAGGGCCAACCTTGACCTAGTTCCATTTGCCTATTGCCTTATCTCAGATCTCAGGAAATGTCCCTCCTAGGGCCCTCAAAGCCATCTGCACAGGTCTTCTCGCTATACAAAGAACCCATGCTCCTTCTGGTCACTGGCACAATTTACTTTGCATTTAAAAAGATGAGCTATTTGCATTTATTGCAGCAACCATATGGAGGCATGTTTTCTGGTTCTGTATTTCAGTGCACTTAGTGACCATTTAATAAATACAAGTTAAATTTAAAAAGATAAAATGCAGTCACATTCTATAGGACAAACATCTTGGTGTGAATTCCAAGAAACAGTCCCTGAGTCAAAACTAACATGGGAATCCCAGGGAGAATCAGCCAGCCCTACTCCTTGATTTGTCTGTAACTAGACTATGATGAAGAGCCTCAAAGCATGTCACAAAGAGCCATCTCTTTGGAGCAGAAGCTCTGCTGTCTTTGAGGTACTTCTGTGGCACTCTAATCTTATATTTTAAAATATTAGATATATTTCAGTCAAATGTAGGCCACCACTCTTGATTTCCTTCACTGTGGGTGAACAATAGAGATTTGAGTGGTGCCAAACATTGGGAAAGCACACAATTAGGTATGCTCTACTAGATTATAATTTAGTTGCATTTGGCATGATCAGTATACTCTTACAGAGCACTTAATATGTACAAAACTACAAATGCATTCAGGGCATATACAAATGCATTAATTATCCAGTTTGACAAGACTGTCAGGGGCTAGTAGGCACCTGTGGAAATGCCACTGAAAAGGTAATTTAAGGTGAGATCATAGAAAGACTGAAAAGTGCCAACTGAAGAGTGAGTTAAATCACTAACAAGGAGCCTGGGATGGATTACTAGCAGGGTGGATCTCATCTCTCTTAGTAGGTGTGGACATCATGTCCTTGCAACATGACTTCTGCCTTGTTATTCCAACTGAGATATTATATGGCTTAAAGCAAATGCAGAAACAAAGCGCAGGCCTCTGCTTTTCTTGTGTCCTGATATGGAATGTTCACAAGTCAGGCTGCTTTCCCAGCTTGACACTCTGGAGAAAATGCTTAGAGCCCAGGTAATGGGCCTGAACCCCTGGGTCCTGAGAAAGCAGCTTACACCCTCCAGCAGTGGAAGCCCAGATGATGTGGGGAGCAGATGTGGGAAGCATCAAGGAGCTGCAGATACCTGGTACAGTCCGTCGTCAAGGACACAGTGCAGTGGACAGAGACTCCCATAGCCACCAGCATGAGTTCAAATTGTGGCTCTCATTGATTTGCCTTGTGGCTTTGAATGCATCATTAACTCTCTGCATCTCTAATTACTCATCTATAAAATGGTAGAAAACAAACATTCCTGGCTAAATGGACATTTACCTTTGTTTTCTTTTTACTTTCTAAATCGTGCCTTCAAAGAATATAGACCCATTGTGATAGTTAATACTGAGTGTCAACTTGGTTGGATTGAAGAATGCAAAGTATTGATCCTGGGTGTTGTCTGTGAGGGTGTTGCCAAAGGAGGTTAACATTTGAGTCAGTGGGCTGGGGAAGGCAGGCCCACCCTCAATCTGGTGGGCCCAATCTAATCAGCTGCCAGCAAATATAAAGCAGGCAGAAAAACATGAAAAGGTGAGACTGGTCTAGCCTCCCTGCCTGCATCTTTCTCCCATGCTGGACACTTCCTGCCCTCAAACATCAGATTCCAAGTTCTTCAGTTTTGAGGCTCACACTGCTCTCCTTGCTTCTCAAGCTTGCAGACAGCCTATTGTGGGACCTCGTGACCTTGTGATCATGTAAGTTAATACTTAATAAACTCATATATATATATATATCCTATTATAAAGGGATAGTTAATAAACTCCCCTTTTTATATCTATCTATCTATAAAATAGGGGATAGAATATATAATAGGGGATATAATAGGATATAAATATATATCCTATCATATAAAATAGAGGATATAATAGGATACATATATATATCCCATCATATAAAATAGGGGATATAATAGGATATATATGTATATTATATAATATCCTATTATATGATATATATGTATATTTTATAATATCCTATTATATAATATATATCCTATCATATATATATATATATATATATATATATATCTCCTATTAGTTCTGCCCTGCTAGGGAACCCTGACTAATACACTCATTTTTCCAATCATCAATTGTTCAAAATAAAAATACAAGTTAAATCTGGACTCAGAATCTACGGCTACAGTCTATTACTAGATGAGAGCACAGTAGCAGCTCCAGAACTAGAGGGCTTTCATGGAAACACAATCAGAGCTGCATTAGACCCAGAGCATTATACCCAGAGCTGCATTAGACCCAGAGCATTATACCCAGAGCAGCATTAGACCCAGAGTGGCTATGGTTACTATGACAAACTGGTTGCTCAACCTCTTTCCTTTTCACCTTGCAGAATAAATAGAGGGTGCACACAGGGCTGTTATCAAAGGTCCCACATGCTATGAGTTACTGCTATCATCATCATCATCATCATCATCACCAGAAGTTCAGGCCCTGGGGGAACATATAATTGTGACCCATCTCTTCCAATTTGCTCATCTATATATTTACCTACACTTATTTACCTAGACCCTACATGTTGTTAGAGAGGATGTAAGGCAGTTTACAACAACTATAGTGATGGCATGAAATGAAAATAAAAGGAAATTGAAAAGAGTAACATGAAAAAGGGAGCATGCCGTTATTTGTGGTATAAGAGTTAAGATAATTTCTATGCCTTAAGCTCCTAGCAGCTAACACAAAGAGGAGAACATGAGGAATCCATCACTTGTGTTATCACAATGGAAGACCTCGGACAGTTCCTCAGGAGAAGAGAATCTTTCCCTGATCTTCAATCCTGATATAAGTGTTTCTAGGAGTTCTGTGGTCAGAGGTAAATTCTAGGAGCCCAAAGAAGCAGCGGACCCTGGCTGGGTTAAGGCCCAGGGGCAGAAAAGGCTTTCAGGGAGCTTAGGTGAGTCTCGAAGATGACCAGACATGGACAGGAGGGAACCAGCAGCCTAGACAGGAACCAGTGTGTGCAGGCACCAGAGGTGAGAGCGTGCACCAGCAGGATTGCACTGACTGATGGCAGGAAGGAGCCACGCTGGAGTCATGGCAGCCCGCTGCATTCATTGGCACTTGTGGGTGACTATAAATATGTGTCCTGTGGAAAAAGCCAAGGAGAAATGAATAAATCTGTCTGGAAAATAAAACCAATGTACTAGTTAGCTCAGAAATTCAACCATGCCAAACATCTCTGCTTCTTCCATGAGTTTAGTGTGATTTAATAATATGACATGGACAGGCTTTATGCTGAAGCACTCTTTGTCTTTCTCTTGCTGTAATCTTTGTCCAAATAGTGCCAAGCAGTATGGATGCTTCTGGAACATTCTAGCACCTTAATGCTTCCCCAGCAGTGATTGACATCAGTAAACTCTCGGATGGTAAGTGCTATAAGACTCTCCTCCAGGTGACAAATCCAGAATGACTTTTTGAATAAGAGAATCTGAAAAACTCCCAAAGCACCTCGTTGATTCGCTGCCACCGATTCTTACTGAATTTCGTCAGCTTATCCTCTGAAGCTTGATGATGCATCAGATATTGACCCTGGCATAGCAGAGTTAAGCAATTAATAATAGCTAACAATTAAGAGCTCAGTTGTTGTTTATTTAACAATCTAGGAAACCTGGCTTCTACTGAGTATTAGGCCATGTAGACATTAGGGATCTGGAGATTAGTAAACCATTGTCCCTTCCTTCTTCCAAAGCTCACAGCTTCTCCCTATGCATAACCCTATTGGCTACACCCTATCCCAGACACTTCTGCCTCTTTGCCCTCTCCCTCTCCAATTCTCTCACTCTCCCTTCTCTCTCCTACTCCTTTCTCTCTCTCTCTCTGAAAACATTTAAGATATGTGTTTTATCCTCAGGGTTTCAAATGTCACATTGGCATGTCTAGGAATAGATCATTCTTCATTCATTCTCCTCCCTCTGGGAAAACTCATTCAATCCAATTACTGACATATCTTTTCAGCGTTGCGGAAAAAAAATCTATCTGTGTGACCATTTCTGACTCATTTTTTTCTTTGCTTTCAGTAACTCATATATGGCTGTCGTTGGCAGAATAATGGTCATCCAAAGATGTTCACGCTCTAATTCCCAGAACCTGTGCATGTGCTAGGTTGTGTGGCAAAGGGGAGTTCGGGTTGCAAATGGAATTGAGGTTGCTAATCAGCTCTCCTTAATGTAGGAAGAGTGTCCTGAATTACCCAGGTGGGCCCAATGGAGTCATGAGATCCTGAAGAGCGAATGGGGGAGTCAGGAGAGGAAGTCACAGGATGGAAATATGAGGACTCAAACTGCTGTTGCTGGCCTTGAAGATGGAAGAAGGGGCCACAAGCCAAGAATTATAGGTAGCCTCTAGAAACTGAAGAAGGTAAGAAAACGGATTCTCCCCTAGATCTTCCAGGAAAAATGCAGCCCAGCAACACCTGACTTTTAGTCCAGTGAGGCACAAGTTGGAGTTCTAATCCACAGGACTGTAAGATAATAAATCTGTGTCACGTGAAGCCACTATTTGTGTACTTTGTCACAGGTACAGTAGGAAACTCATTCACTGGGACTCTTGGATTAATGCTCTACAGCTCTTATAATTCCTATCAATATTCTTATTTATTTAGGAGTTGTCTTTGACTTTAACTTCTGCCATTTCTATCCAGCTATTTCATTTTATTGGTTTGACATTTAATAAAGAGTTTTCTTTCTTCTTTTCTTTTACTGTGGCATTTTTTTCTTGTTTTATTGATGCAATATCATTTCAAAGAACTTCAAGCCTAGAGGCGATTGCTTCTGAATTTTCTCTGATTTATTTCCAGATTGCATGTTGATCTTAATCTCTTTCTTTTGTTACACTGGTTTCCTTCAGATGTTTAGTGGCGTTTGGTTATCTCTCCATATTTAAGCATGAAGAACATGGTTTATTCTTCTAGGTAGATAGCAATCCCCAGAGGAGATTTGGACTGTCCCCTGGTCATCTGTGCACTGTTCAATGAGAGGCCATTGACACTGCTAAGTGACAGGCTGGCAGAGTGGACAGGAAAAGGGAGGTAGAGAGTTGAGTCTTCTCCAGGTTCCCCTCCCTCCTGGGAATGCCAGTGGTTGGCAATTTGCAGAACATCTCAGAGAAAACACAATCTTGGGGACAAATTAAATGTAGTTTACACAGTCTTAGAACCTGGGCTTCGAACAAGAGTATGAATAACAACAACAACAACTAGCCTTCTTCACTATCATTAAGAGAGCTCAGGCAAGAAGAGACCTCCTTGTCATAAAAGTGCACCACAGTGGGACACAGAGAAGGTCCATGTCCTTGATGAGGAAAAAAAGACTTGGTAGTATTTTTATAGATCATATGACAGCAGCCAGTACTGCAAACTATACACAGTTCTCACGTCAGCCCCTAGTACAGTGCCTGGCATGGAGTTGATATTCAATGATGTATTTATTGAATAAATAATTCCAATGGTAGGTTTAATTGTTATTTAATATTTAAATAATATTATTAATTAAATAGGCACACATATGAATCCTAGGTCTACCACTTGCTAGTGGGGTGACCCTAGGCAACTTGCTTACCATTTCTGAGCTTCAGAATCATGTGGGTGATAATACTTTCCATGTAGGGATGTTGTGAGGATGAACTTGAGTTTGAAATAGTTAGCTCAGCACTTGACATTGATAGGTGCTCAGTAATAATGGCTAGTGCTCATTTCAGCGGAAAACTACATATAGTTAGGGGTAGGTATCAAGGCCCAGTAGAGACTGCCTGATTCTGATTCCTGGAGACAGAAAAATCAGGACAGTATTCCAACATAGAGAATTGTTATAATAGATCTTTTTCTCTCATTTTCATCTAAATACGCTTCATGTTTTCAGCGCACAAAATGGGAGCTCAGGAATGATGACCCCACAGCAGGTAGAATGGGACGCAGAGTTCTTTCCAGACCCCTCACCCACCCCACTGGCAAACACCTTTCACTCACATCTGTCAGAGGAAGAAGAGGGCTCAGACATCACCCCATTTGGCTTTGTAGAGGAGATCTCAACAGAAGGGAATGAGTATTTCTTGAGCAACTACTAGCCCCTCAGGAAAGCTCTCGGACTGTATTCTGTGACTTTGCAGCACATGGCAACAGATTGTTGAATCTCTAGAAGCCAGAATTCTGAATTTCATTTAGCATTTAATTAACTGGAATAGACCAAGAACTGCATGGCAGCCCCCTGATTGCAATCTGTGGATGGATGGGCATTTTTATCTGAAAATAATGACCAGCTTATCTTCTGTCGTGCAGCGATCACACATGATATGTATCTCTAGTTATCTCACCCAATCAAACACAGGAAGTTTATTAAGATTCTATCACTCGAAGTTATCACCAACTATAGGATTTTTTATCTGAATGTGCTTGTGTACAATACCGTATTTTGCCTAAGAGACCCTCAGGGAGAATAAGAGAAGGAACGTTATCATTTATGAATATGCTATGACTCTGCAGTCAATGACTAAGCAACTTAAGGAGTACGGCCACCCAGATGACTCTAATAACCAGATCACTTTAAAAGATGTCTATTAACTCTCCTTTCTTTCCATGTTTATGCTATGGAATAGAATAGCATAGCAAAAGTGGTTTCAATTCTATTCTATAGAATAGAATAGCATGGAAAGAAATCAGTGTGATCCTATAGTAAGAAGGAAAAAAAAACTATTGCTTAGGTAAGTAACTGAAAATGCAAGCCAGATGGTTCCATATTTTGCTAAAAGTAGGCTCTGAGCTTCCTAGAGGCCACAGAAAAAGAGCAATGTGATCAATTCTGAGATTTGTGGAGCCCCTAAAATGACTGCTATCCATTATTTATGAGAAGACAGTTATCATTCAGGTCGGTTATACATAGTAAATTCAGAAAAAGAAAATTCACTCCCTTAAACATCAGATATTAATTTATACAATCAATAAATCGTTTTTGAATTCTCACTTATGCCACTTGCCCTATTGGTGCTGGGTTTTCAGTGCTGAATCAGACTTACCTCCCCTCTTAGTGTGGACAAGCCACTCCATTGAACAAAGGGGCAGTAAGACTGCCACAGAATGTGGGAGTGCTTCCACGGAGGTGTGCACAGCACCCACCAAGGACCCAGGGCTTAGGCTGATCTCCCCTACTTTGTGCAATTGGGGTTATTTTCACAGGCAAGACAGAACTTTACAAGAGAAATTCATCATCTAGGAGATGAGGAAGGCAATGCAATGGAAGGCACCAAGGTAAGAAAACAATTCTGCATCATAACTAATGTCCACATGAGGGGTTGTTGATAAGTGTCAGCTGCTCTTCCCAGGCTGAAAGCTCCTTGAAACCACTTTGGCTTTGCTCTTCAACGTCACGCTCCCAGCACCAGCACAGGACCTCACATGCAGTAGATGCCAAACGGGTTCTTGCAGAAAGAGTGATGGAAGCAAGAGACACACCAAGGAAAGCAATGGCAATCTGGAGGTGCAAAAGATGTCGTTGGTACTTGGACAACCAGGATTACCTGTTTGCCTTAAGTTTTCATCTAAATAAATTGAGCAGCACTGCTGTTCTTTTGAGGCTATTCAGAGAACCACAAGGAGAATTGCTGCAATTTTTCTAGAGACCTCTGGAGTTTACAAAACTGTTCACATCCTTGGTCTTAGTTGATGCCCACAACCATCTGGTAGGGGAAATAGCAGCCTGGTGGGAGAGAAGCCTGGATATAAATCTGGAAGAAATTCTACTTTAACTTTTCCCATGATATATTGTTCTTGGGGTGCATATCTGCCTCCCCTGCTGAGGCTGTGAGTTTTCTGAGCCCAAGACAGCATCTGCATTTTTATAGCAAATTCTGAAAGTGTTGAGCAGAATCTGAGTTGTACCACAACTGGGAGCTGTGTGAGCCCTGGGCAAATAATTAAACCTCTCTGAGTTTTAAATCCTTCCGTTTTCAAATACAGACTCAGGGGATAAATTAAGTCAAAACACAGTTGCAAGTCACCTTATGTCCCCAAATTCATATACCTTTCCTACAATCTTTAATCACCCCTTCTCCATCTTTTTTTTTTCTTTTTTTTTTTTTTTGTCAGAGAGTCTTACTTTGTTGCCCAGGCTGGAGTTCAGCGGTATGATCACAGCTCACTGTAGCCTTGACCTCCTGGGATCAAGCGATTCTCCCACCTCAGCCTCCTGAGTAGCTGGGACTACAGGTGTGCACCAACACGCCCTGTTAATTTTTGTACTTTTTTTGTGGAAACGGGGTTTCTCCCTGTTGTCCAGGCTGTTCTCAAACTCCTCAGCTCAAGCAATCTGCCCTCCTCAACCTCCCAAAGTACTGAGATTACAGGTGTGAGCCACCATGCCCAGCCCCACTCTCCATTGTTGAAACTCTCCTTACTTACCTGAGAGCAGTCTTGAAAGACTCTGCTCCTGCACTTGCATTTCTTTCTCCCTATTCCTATACAAATAATAGTGTGCAAGCTCCCCATGGGCTCTCCGTCTTCCACCTTCAACATCTCTCCAGGGCTGCAGGACTCCCATCGTTCTCAGCATTCTCCTTGTCTTCCTGACTCTTTACCTAGCCTGGAGACCTATCTCCCTAATTTTTCTACCTTCCCTTTCTAGAGCCATGGGGGCCACTTTGAACACTCCAGGCTCTGCCTCCTGGCTCCATAACTCTTCACTATTACCTCGAAACCTCTGACAACAGCTCCTCCTCGGCACTCATTAACTTGGCTTCTCCATTAATTCATTAGCACTCGGGAGCCCTGGCATGATCTTTCTCTTCCTCCCGCCGTCTCTATCCTTACAAATTTCATTTCTGAGGTTTCTCTCACATTCCGTTTATTGTGACATCATTTATGAAGTTCTCCCTCGACAGGAGAGGAGAGAAAAAAATAACTATATATCATTTTAAATTGCTCTGGTTGGTAACTCTACATTTTAAGCATATCAAGGAAAAGAAGTGTCTAATGACAGGGCTACAAGTGGATAAAGAGCTGACAGGGTAATTGCACTACCAGATGCTTCCATACACCAGTTAGCTGCTTCCCGGGCCTATTTGAAGAAACGGGTGTCAGGTCAGTAATTAGGCTCTTGCAGACAAACTGGAAGTGCCATCTGATCTCCTATGAACACCCCCATCACTCCCATGTATGCCAAGTTCAATATGAAACACAACGTCACCATCCTTTTCCCTCAAGGCTGCCAGAAGTTCCCAGGGACATCTCCCCCCTTCACTCTCACACGAGCTAATGAAGTCAGTGCTTCCCCCACCTGTCAAAGAACTTGCTCCTCAGATGGCAGTACGAGGGTGCCCATCTATAACGACAACGCCCAATAGCAGCCTTGATTCTGCTTTTGATTCTTCTCTTCTGATTGTAGGCTGGCTGACATATTCACACTCGGAGCTTCTTTATGTTAATTTCTTTGTTTGATTTTCCAGTGTCGTTGGCTCTTTGGAATAGTGCAAAGGGCAGGTGAGCCTAGAGAACTGGCTGCAAGTCCCAGAGGAGCCATTTACTTGCTGTGGGGCATTGGTCGTGATCTGATGCCCGTTGGATCCGTCCCCATTTATTGACCCAGGTTGGGGTTAACGGGGAAGGAATGGGACATGGGACCAGACAGAGCCATTGGATGACTGTATAATTGGTGTTCCTGGAGAAAATAACCAAACAAACTATTCAATGCTGTCTTAAAATAAAATTTTCTGAAATAAAGACTAGAAGATTTCCATCTGCTCCAGCTCACTTTGCCCCTGTCCTTCTTCATACCATTTGTCTGTAGATAGCAGAGCATGCAGGGAGGCTTTCTTGTCCATTATTCATGGTTAAGAGTCACAAGGTAGAGCAACAGCAGGTGATAACCCAGGTGGACCATCTCTGTTAGAGGGAGGGTGGAGAACTCCAATATGAAGGAGAAAAAGTGAACAGCTAATCCTTAAAAGTGTTTAAGATCAGTCATATTTGGAGAGGTCTGTCGGCAGCCTTCAGGGCCGGACTCCAGGCCAAGGGTAGTCAGGGATAGAATGCCAAACCAGGGTGAGAGAGGGCAGGAGAGACATCTTGAGCATCTGCTGGTTTGCCCACACAAACTCTATCTCCCCTTTTTCTGATAACGAGCATCCATGACTTCTCTTAGGAAAATTTACTCTTCCTCTCTCAGTCCATATGGTTCAGGTGAGGTTGACTTACCCCATTCCCACATACCTGGGGATGAGTGTGACTCTCACTCGGGTCCAATGGAGAAAGCACTGGAATTTGGAGGGGGGAAGGAAGCTTTCTTTCTGATGATATTGCTGAGTTAGTTCCAGCAACTAGATGAAACTAGGGGTTGGCTTAGGGGGCACCAGAAGGAGAGAGAGTCCCTAAATAGAAAGCCAACGTGGAGGAGAGATAGAAAGAAACCAAGCCTGAATAATGCTACGCAGCTCCCTGGAAGCACCGTTGGACTTTACAGCTCTGGACTGCTGCAAGTCTCCTTGTATCTAGTTTAAGCCCATCTCCATTGAGTTTAATTCACTGCCAAAGGAATAGTCCTAAATAATAAGGTTGAATAGAGCTCATTCCTAAAGGAATTAGGTAGTGGTCAGTTCCATAAGAACTCTCAGAAACTTCAGCTAAAACTAAAAATGAGTGTGCGTCCCAGAACAAAGAAGAAACATGGTTACCCAAACTAGGACATGAAACAAGTCATCACGGGGGTTGATTCTGAGTCCCAGAGGGTCAGGTTCTTCAAATGGCTACCACTCAGGCCACAGTAAGATGGGTTTCCTTGGTGGGGCTGGGAGTGCAGCTGTGAGGGTGCAGACGCTGGTTTCCTTATTCACACTAAGCCAGCCTGACCCAGGAAGTTTGGACAGGCCATTTTCTTCCCTTGGCCTTGGTTTTTCCATCTGTAAAATAAAGAGGCTAGATCAGTTGCTCTTCAGATGCCCTTCTAGGTGTGAAAAACCGTAGCCTCCTGCTCCCACCTGGTCCCACTGTGAAGCAGTGGCAAAACCAGAAGAGGTAACACCCAGGATGGCTGTGAGAGCCTCAGAAGGACAGTTCCTGGAACTTGAATGAAGGTTGTTTGTGAGCAGGGACTCTGACTTCTACACCCATCACGAGAATCTTCCATCTTTCTCTCACCTTTCAATTCATCTTCCACACAGCTATCAAAGAGTAGACCCTGAAACACCAATGACATCTTCTTGTGTCTCTTATTTCTTTGACCATGCTTGGCCAAAAAATGACATTTGTTGAGTTTGAGGGTGGAACATCCTGTCAGCTGAAAATTTGGAATTTTATAAAACTCCCATATATAATGCCCTTTTACATTCTTTAAAACAAAGATGTCAATGGCATCTATAAATGTTACATGGTATAATTTTATATGGTGTGAATTTTATTATCTTATTTTTATTTAAAGTTTCTATAAAATCTGTAGAGAAGCAAAGAACATGGAAAGTTAGGACGTGTATGTGTCAAGATGTGGGTATAAATGCATGATGGCCTCTCACTTTTATAGCACAGTATCATTGCCTCAATCCAATCCTGTACTGAGTATGCTATGTTGGCCGAAGTTTTTAACAGCCATGAAGAGAGAGGTTACTTGACTTCTTGATCATTGGAAAGTCCACTCAAGGTCTGGATATGGCAACACACCATCTTGATGTTGAGAACCACTGGTAATGAGATTGGCCTCCCAGAGAACTGCTGCTAGGGTGGAACCCTGGAAGCTACAGTCAGGTCCTGCAAGGAGCAGTTAGGAGAACTCCCTCTCCACCCATCCTCTTGTGTATTAATCTCCAACCTTCAGTAGGTTCACGGGTGTCTGCCCACGGTGTGGCAGGCTTAGGAGCTACAAAGCAGTCAGGTTCCCTCTCCCACCACTCTTTAATCATGAAGCCGTTTTTTCAAAGAGTGTTCTATAAATATTAGCTTTTTCATGATGCCCTGCAGGAAACATTCTCTAGACAATCAATTTTTTGCTGGTTTCTGGACTGGATACTGAGGATACAAGTGGAAACTTCTTAGAGAAGATGGGAACTCAAGGAACACCTTAGAGAGACAGAACCACACATAGGTAAGTTCAATATTAAGTGGCAAATGCTATGCACCAAATGCTACCAAGCTATGTACCACCAGAGGAGGTCAAGCTGAAAGTACCGTTTTAAGGTGGGGAAGTAGATATTTCTGGTGGGAGAAGGAGGAAAGCAAGTTTTTGAAAATGGTCAAATGTAACTTGAATTTAAGCACATTTTCTTAATAATGTCTTACTAGTTTCTATCACTGAAGCTTTTGGTCACCTATGGAAATGTTTCTAATGATGATGTGAAAATAATCACTCTAGATTCATTTTTTTATTAAAAAACTTTTTTAAATGTTTAAGCAAATACAAAAGACTAAAGGACTGTAGAGTCACAACACTCACCGTGCCTCCATGACAAAAGCAAAGCAGAGACTCTGCGGGCAGACACCTGTGAACCCACTGAATGCTGGAGATCAATACACAGAGGAGGGCTGGAGGGGCAGTTCTCCTAACCAGGTGGTAGGTTATCCCCTCAGCCGACACCAGATACAGCAAGAAAAGAAACTGGGTTAGGAGATGTACCATGAGGAAGTGAGAGAATGTGAAGATGAAGACAGTGTGTAATCACTCTCATTGTGTTATTTGCAATTGCTGAGTGAGTGAAAGGATGCTGTGGCCAGAGTTCAACTTTACAAAGTTTTTGAAGTTGGTTCTCTTCAGCCTAGCATAGAACATATTGATTGGAAATAGACCAAATTATTGAACCCATCAATAATAGCTATAAAAGTACAAAAAAAGCCCCCTTCTCATCCAGGCACACTTAACAGTTCCCGTTATACACTGGTTAGTGAATGGACACTGATAATAAGTGAGCCCAGGGAAAAGTACCCATGAGGTGCCGCTAAAATAGCCACAGAGATTAAACTCAAAGCAAAGGGCATGAGGAAAAAGAAATTACTAGGGTTTGCTGAAACTTCTACTGAATTAAAATTTTATTTTTAGACTTCACATATTGTCTATAGAGAAAAATAGGAGGAGGAATCAGGAAGTGAAAGTCACTTGATTTTGAATGCAAGCTCAGTGATTTATCATCCAGGCACCTGATCTTTCATATTCTCACTTTTCTCTTTTTCCTCTGGTAAAATGGGGTTAACAAACCTCACCTCAGCAATGTGGCCTATGTGTAGCCAGTGGTTCTTTGATTAAGATTCTAGAATTGTTTGCAAAATATAGAAGAGGTGGCAATGTCCTTCTGGAGATCCCATCCAAGAATATAAATTGTCTGGAGAAGTGTGGGCTGCAGGTTCTTGTTTGGATTTGAATTGAAATAAGCAAAGCATCAACCAAGCTCCTGGACCATCATAGGCATTCAAGCAGCTATAGTCAATATTATCATTGTTATGCTCAAATTCCTCCTGACAAAACTTATTTGGGCCACATATAAATATTGATCCTACGATCCCTTGGCTCTTAGCCTAAATTCTTAAGCTAAATTTGCATCTGTCTTACAATTAAAATCGGGAGATATAGAAGCCCTAGATTATCATCTCTCTTAATCTAAAAGTCACAGGAATTGTTCATTTGAAGATGGTTAAGAAAGTACATTTTTGCTTGATGCTCAACTCTTAAACCTACCAAAAATAATAACATTTTTAAAAAGGAATGAGAATAAGAGAGAAGATGACACAAGGGAAGCACCACCACAAACCGAAAGCTATGGGACACACCTGCCAAACAACATCTAGTTTAAAACCTAGATGGTGGAGGATACTAAGCAAAGAAAAACTCCACCAGCTTGGATCTCAAGCGGAGTACGTTGTCCCTAAAATGCCAACTTTTTGAGCAATGTAGCCAGTGTGTAGCCAATGTGTAGCCAATGGTTCTTTGATTAAGATTCTAGAATTGTTTGCAAAATATAGAAGAGGTGAGCAATGCCCTTCTGGAGATCTCATCCAAAAATATAAATTGTCTGAAGAAGTGTGGGCTGCAGGACTCATGGCCTCATTGTCTCTTAGCAGATAAATATTGTGGAGGTCAAAAGGATCCCAAGAGGGAGAGCAGGTGGGAATTCAAGATGGCAGCACAGAGAATCTGCAGCCTTACTCTTAGCCACAGCAGCATTTGAACATTAAAAACTGAGGCAACAACAAAAAAATGCCTTGTATCTCCCAGGATACAAGACATCCTAGGTATTGTGAAGAGGATGAAAGATTCACTTTGTCAGACTTGAGGCTTCCATCTGCCCCAGCTCACTTTTCCCCGTCCTTCTTCATACCATTTGTCCGTAGGTAGGCTGAAACAAATTTTGGACATAATACATGTTAATGATACTAAAAAAAAAAAACGAAAAGAAAAGAGATATAAAAAAGAGATAGGTAGGGGCAAGGTACTGTGGCTCACACCTGTAATATCAGCACTTTGGGAGGCCAAGCCAAGTGGATCGCTTAAGCCTAGGAGTACAAGACCAGCCTGGGAAAGATGGTGAAACCCTATATTTACAAAAAACAAAATTAGCTGGATACGGTGGCAAGTGCCTGTAGTCTGACCTACTCAGGCAGCTAAGGTGGGAGGATCACTTGAGACCAGGAAGTCAAGGCTGCAGTGAGCTGTGATTGTGCCACTGCACTCCAGCCTAGGTGACAGAGTGAGACCCTGTCTAAGAAAAAAAAGAGAGAGAGAGAGAGAGAGATGAACATATATATATATTTATATATCCATGTATATGAATATATCCATATATATTCATGTTGAATATCCATATCCATATCTATATATTTATATCTATGTAGATGACATAGATATAGATAGATATCAGGAGGAATTACCCATAAGGATAAAAAAATAGATCACAAAATAATTATACGTAGCTTTGAGGGGATTTTTCTCTATAGAATTGAACTCAAGGAAGTTATACAATGGTGCAAAGAAGAGGTTATCAGACATAAAAACAGCTGATAATCTGGAAAAGAAAGAAATGTAAAAGAAAATGATATTAGAGATGAAAATAGTTTTGGAAACAAGAAAAAAGATAAACACAATTCAGAACCAAAAAAACTTGGAGAGTAAACTTCAGGAAATGGCACAAAGTAAAATGAAAAGAAAAGCAACAAAAATGATTACATAGAGGATAATAACATATAAAAGAGCTAAACAAGAGCCAATAAATGTATAATTGGTGCTTCTGGAGGAAAAAAAATCAAACAAATTATCCATGGCATCTTAAAAAAATTCTGAAATAAACACTAAAATCTACAAAACAAAAAACATGTTATATTTCAGGAAAAAATAATAAAATCCCAGTACTATGACTGACCCTCAAAGAGAAACAAAACAAATCATGAAGATATCTAAACAAGAGAATCAAATTACCCAGAATGAACCTCAGCTATTCAATGTCAGAAGAGAGTTGACTGTTCCAAACAAAGTTTTGAGGGAAAACAATGTACTCCTAAATTGCATAGAGAGCAAGCTAGTCTTTAGCCATAAAAACAATAGAAGGTATCAAAGGATGGAGTACTTGAGGACTCTAGCAGCCCTGACTCATTCTTTTAAAATCTGCTGGACTCTAAACCCAGTTAACAATGCTGGGAATAAAAAAACAAACTTGGCTGGGTGCAGTGGCTCACGCCTGTAATCCCAGCACTTTGGGAGTCGGGGCGGGCAGATCACTTGGGGTCAGGAGTTCAAGACCAGCCTGGCCAATATGGTGAAACCCCATCTCTACTAAAAATATAAAAATTAGTTGGGTGTGGTAGCATTCGCCTGTAATCCCAGCTATTCAGGATGCTGAGGCAGGAGAATGGCTTGAACCCAGGAGGCGGAGGCTACAGTGAGCCCAGATCGCACCGCTGCACTCCAGCCTAGGTGACAGAGTGAGACTCCATCTCAAAAAAATTAAAATAAAAAAACAAGCTCAGGAATAGAGAAGCTATGTTAAGAAGACTAATAAAAGGCATTGAGTTCATTCAAACGTAAAGGTGTCATTAAACAATTGTAAAAAGTATAATTAACAAACTCATAAATGTAAAAAACATATAAACTGTAAAAATGACACAAAATTCAAATGTAAAATTAATAATGTAACTGACAAAAATCAGGGACTAGAGGAAGGCATAAAAGAAAGCACAGACATGCTAATTTTTTCATCTTTTATAGAAAAAATCAGTAGGTACTCTTTAAAGTTGAGAGAGTCTTCTAAAAATTCTTCAAGTTTTTCCATAATGAATCTCATTTTTAGATGAAGAAACATGTGTCTATAAATCAAGTTGTTCAGTTTCTTGCTGCTGTTTTTGTAGTGAAGCAAAAAATATGCATTTGATTTTATAAAAACCAGAAATATAATTTGTACTAGCAATATGTATTCTTTCTAGCTATATTTTAACTTGTTTCCTATTATATACACAAAAGTGTCCAACTGATGATTATCAAATGTTAGATAATTGTTACTTCTGAGTGATTTGAAATGACAATTTTAAGTTTCTTTTCACTTAACCGCTTGCATTTTTTCATAATTATCAGAGTTTTCAACAAAAGAAAAATTGTTTATCCCTACCACCAAATGCCATCCCCATTTTCTTATAATTTCTTGGACACGAGTTGCATGACAACCACCTAAGTGGTCATCTAATGTTCTACTTGTCAGTTGAAAACAATACTCTCACATCATTCTTTACTGAGCCATGTGACCAGCCAGGGGCATCTGATCCCCAGAGCTCCCACCCTTGAGAGGAGAGGCTGATGAAGAGCCATCCTGGCCCAGAGGCCTCCATGCTCCTGCCGGGTCACCCTCCGCAGCACTGTCCAGTGTCTTTCATCCAGCACCCCCTGCCACGTCCTGCAGGGCCCGCAAGATACACACACTGCAGCCTCCCTGCTCCTACAACCCCTTCGGCATCGGTGCCTCCTCCTGAATGCTCCAAGCTTGTGCTCCATTTAGATCCTTTGCTTTTTCTTTGGCTGGAGTGCGGTTTCCCCTGATCTCCACAACATCTCATCACCTAGACATCAGCTCACCGACTCAGTAATGCCTGATTACCTATTCCATCCCACCCTTGAAAGTTTTAGGTCCTTCTTAGCACACATTAGTGCCTGAAATCATCTCATTCATTGATCCCTTTACTTGTTTATTGTATCTTCCCTCCAACCACCCCCACCCAACACCCAAATAATTCAGGAGAGGAGGGGGGCACCTCTTGCTTGTTCACTCCTGTATACCCAGTGCCTGAACTGCTGGTGGCATATAGTAAGCACACAATAAATACCTGTGGAACCAGGGCTGGCTTCATGGGCACATGATCTGTGCCATTGCACATGGCCCCAAGTCCAGAATGGCCCTGCACCTAATTAATGCTCTGCTGTTGCTGTCTTGAAATTTTTAACAATTTTGAAGGAAAGGTTCTATATTTTTATTTGTCCCATAAATTTTGTAGTAGGTTCTATGTGAATGAATGAATGAATGAATGCTACCTAAGTGATCTTGGGCAGGTCACTCCAGACTTGAAGCCTGTTTTCTGAAAAGTAGGGACAATAACCCCTCCAGTGCCTGATTCACAGAGCCTTATAGGATCACCACAGAGGACGTAAGGAAAGCTCGCCCAAGACATGCACCTCCCAGACACATAGTTCATCTACCCAACTAACCACGCTCAACCTACACTTCTGCCGCTTTAAGCAGATTTTTTTTTATCTTCAAAGTGCTTTTCCTTATACTGTTTTCCATTCGAAATGCCAACCTGTTCCCTGTCTGGCTGGCTGCTCATGTCTATCAGGACAAAGAGAGGGTATTTCCTGCTCTAGAAAGCCTTCCCAACCCAAGAGGACTAGTAGACCCTCCTCTAAACCCCCTCAAAATTCTTTGCTTGTGTTTTTCACAGTGCCATTACATTCTTAGGCAGGGCTGTCATTTATTCATTTCACAAACCTCTCTTGCTTTTCTACTCAATACCTGGTCCTTTGATTGACACCTGAGAGCCGGAGAAGCCTGAGGCTGAACCTGGCAGGACCGACAAATATCCCATCTTTTCTGCCATTGTTATGAGCCCATAGGAGGTGCTCCATAATCATTTGTGGAATGATTGATTGACTCAAAGGCAGGATTGGGACTTGGGAGACCTTGTGTCTAACCAAGACTTTGCCACAAATTTGCAGGCTGACCTTGAAAAAGTCAATGGTCCTCTCATGTTCATAGTTTCTCCTTCTGCAAAATAGGGAGAGGGAAGGGCCAGACTAGAAAACCTGTTTCTTGTCTTCTTTTTGTCTGAACCCTAGAGTCTATAAATGTGGATCAAATGGCAATAGGAGCAGCATCGTGAATAATATCTCCTCCAGTCATCACAAAAACCTTGTAAAATAGAGAATTATTCCAGTTTTTCAGAGGACAGATGCATGGCTTAGAGAATTTAAATACATTTACTCGCTGCTGCACAACATATAAATGACCACTCTAAGATCAGAATTTACCTACCTGCCTCCAAAACCCATGTGTCAAGCCACTCCACAAGGCTTCTAATCCAATCCTATCCAATCCAATCTAATCTTCATTCCTCAGGCCCCTGGCTGGTCTCAAAACAAAAAGCACATATGAGTTAAGAATAGAAAATATAAGACTGCATACTGTAAATAGTTTTTCCCCGATCACCATCTAGTTAGCCAGGATTTGAAAGCAGGGGATTCCCCTCTTCTGGCTGGCATGAAGCATCATCAAATCCATGAGCGTCAATCTCCAGGGCCTTGCTGTAAATCACTCCCACAACATAGAAAGCCTGGTACTCACATCCATATGGGTCAAATAGAAGAGGTGATCTTGCCCCAAGAAGCTGATTCCCAAGTTCCCTGTCCGTTGATCCAAGGCATCCACTCAGGTGCTTGTGTTGGTGACAAAAGAGCTCCCCAGAGGGCTGTCAGGAAGCTGATCATGTGATAGATCCTCTGTGTAGCTCTGGCCCTTTCACCAGCCTCACCCTTTGACAGTTATTACTGCTGCAATAAATTCTTCAGTAAAACAAACAGGCACGCTGTAAATTTATTAGTCTGGGCACTCTGTGTTACTTAACGTAATGGCCAGTCTTAAACAGGTAACTACTGCAGTAAATAAACCAGTTTATTTAGGCACTGTCAGCCCTAAGTGTTCACGGGGGCCTGGAGAAATGGCATTGGCCTTTATAAGCATGATATATGCCTACATAAATTACACTTGCCCACTCAGATATTTGATGGTAACACACCACCTGGGAAGAGTGTGACAGCTCAAAACATCTCTGTAAACTTCAAAAAGTCTATTTACAGGGGACATGGTACTTTATATGGAACTGTATATATAAGTAGAATTTGTATATATGGTCTCAGTATAAAATAAACCAGTGCCCTGCATTTGCATATTATGTGAATGCATGCAAAATTGACTAAGGTTTTCTGCTGAGCTGTTTGCAGAGGGCTAAGTGGAGAACAGAAATAAGAGAAGAAAGAAAGGAACTCATATTTATTGAACCAGACCAATGTCTAGGCATCTCCAGACACCAAGTTCAAGCAAATAATAAATTCTGGGCCTCTGTGCCAGGTTCTGTGCTAGGCTTTCCATAAAAATATTTGTTGGGTAGTAGATCCTTTCTTAGGACTGCCATAAGAAAAGTCATCACAAACTGGGTGATGACTTAAGACAGCAGAGATTGCCGGGCATGGTGGCTGACACCTGTAATCCCAGCACTTTGGAAGGCCTAGGTGCGTGGATCACGAGGTCAGGAGCTCGGGACCAGCCTGGCCAAGATGGTGAAATGTCTCTGCTAAAAATACAAAAAATAGACGGGCGTGGTGGCAGGTGCCTGTAATCCCAGCTATTTGGGAGGCTAAGGCAGAGAATTGCTTGAATCCGGGAGGCAGAGGTTGCAGTGAGCCGAAATCATGCCACTGCACTCCAGCCTGGGTGACAGAGTGAGGCTCCATCTCAAAAAAAAAAAAAAAAAAAAAAGACAGAGATTTATTCTGTCACAGTTCTAGAGGCCAGAACTCCGAAATCAAGGTGTAGAGTTCTTTCTGCCTCTCCCTGGTTGTTTCGGTGGCCTTGCATCCTGTGTCTCCTGGGCTTATATCTATATTACTCTAAGCTCTGCCTCTGTCTCCACATGACCTCCATCTCTATGTATGGTAAGGGTCCCCCAAAACCCACCTCAAAACAGTCTGAGCTTCTGAGAAGGACATGAATTTGGGGGGACGCTATTCAACCCAGGACAGATACATGTGTCAAAGTGCTTTGAAACGTATTATCTAATTTTACCCCTGCAACACCATGGTGGGTAGGAATTCTCATACCCATTGCACAGATGAGGACACTGAGACTGGGAGAGATTGAATAACTTCTTGAACATTTCAGAGCCAGTAGTTGATGGAGGCAGTGTTCCAACTCAGTTCTGATTCCAGAATCCACAGGGCCCCAAAAGGCAATTCTCTGTACAGTGCTTGATCCACATGAAGTTTCCTTTATTACCCTCTCTTTAAAAAGCAGTGTGTCTGTGTGTTTAATGGGGATAATTTCACTGAAAAACGTAGTTGGAATTGTTTAAAGGACAATTGCAAAAGTTAAAAGAATCAGCGCCAGGAGAAGAAGACAGTATATAACAGAACTAAAGCTTTCTCCAGGCCATATTTGGATTCAATCGCCTGTTACCCAGAGCCCTGAAAATAAATGTACTGATAAATAATTATTTCCTGCCCCACACATAACCAAATATGACTATGCCTGGCCTGGTGGCCAAGGAGACAACCCATTGTTCAAATGCCTGGCCCCACTCCCCTTGGCTGCAAAAAAATGTGGCTTCACTTTCCTGTGAATCCCAACTCAAAAAATAGAATGGCATATAGTCAGCAAATGCCTCACGTTGGCTCACCACTGCCCAGCCCTGGGATCAATTAGATAAACACAGAGCAAAGAGGCTTCCTCCGAATATGGTCAGGAAAACAGTCTCCTCTGGGTCTGGTGATTCTGGCACCTTCTGCTTGAGAAATGATGCACAGAGCCCTACAATTGGACAGCATCCCATTCACAGTCACCCTTCTCCATGGAGTGGCCATTGGAAGGTGCACTGTGACAGTCCACAGCATCTTGCCTTGGAGTAAATTCTAAGTGAGAGTCAGGACAGTGGGTGTCAACTAGTCCTACCCAGGGAGGCAAAGTGCAAGGATAACAGCAACAACAACAAAATGCATGGGATTTTTGGACCAAATCAGTCTAGGTTTCACACCTATTCTGCTGCACACTGGCCTTGAGATCTTGAACAAGTCACTTTATCTCCTTGGTGTCTACTTCTTTGTATAACATGAATGGTACCCACCTAACTATAGATCGAATAAGCTAACATTGTTAAAATACTTAGCCTAGGGGTGGACTTAAACTCTCTCATTAGATCCCTTTATCCCCTACTCAACAAACAGGGAAACGAAGGTGAAGGTTGATCATCTGAGGCTAGAGTCAAGGTTCTACCCCAGATCTCCATTACAGTCAAGGCTGTGCTGTCCAGAGTGGAAGCATCTTATCTCCCTAAAGGATGCTGCCTTAAAAAGGTATATTTTGGCCCCAGTATCTGTACTCTCAAGTGATCTTAATTCTAAACTCTGCAACTATCTGTGTGCATACCCCTCTGCCCCACTAGACCATAAGCTCCTCGAGAGCATAAACCACTTATTATCCATCTCGGTACACCAAGTGCCTGGCAGACAGCAAGCCAAGGTTTCTAATGAATCCTTATTGAGTGACTGAAGCAGATAGAAACTCTTCTCATGTCCCATACCACCTGCACTTCCCCCACCCCCCTCTACCACCACCAATGGCCAGGGCCATTCTGGGGCATGACTGCTTGTCTACATATCCTTCCTCAGAAGACTCTAAGAGCCACGGTGGCTGTGTCTAAGTTGCTGTCAGTCACATTTCTGCAATGGAATGGAATGCCTAGCACATAGTAGGTGCTTGAGAGCTAGTAGCTGAAAAGTGGTTGACAGCCATGTAACAGCGCACTGGAGGAAAGGAGGGGAGAGTGGATTTATTTATTTTTTTATTTTTATTTTTATTTATGTGAGTGCATAGTAGGTGTACCTATTTATGGGGTGCATGAGATGTTTTGATATGGGCATGCAATGAGTAATAATCCCATCAAGTAAAATGGGGTCTCCATCCCCTCAAGCATTTATCCTTTGTGTTACAAACAGTCCAATTACACTCTTTTAGTTATTTTTAAATGTACAATTAAATTACAATGGACTTTGGTCACCCTGTTGCTGCACTATCACCTACTAAGTCTTATTCACTCTTTCCACGTGAATTTAGTTTTATTGAACACCTAGCATGTGCCAGAGGCTCTACCTGGAGCCTCTTCATGGTTGATCATTACAGGCACACCTAGGCACACGCACACAGCAGACACCATCCCCGTTTCTACAGATGAATAAGATTGAGTTTGGAGACTTGAGCCAACCTGTTCAAGACCACACAGCTAGTGGCTGTCAGAGTTCAAATGAAGCTCACGTCTGACTGCAAAACCCTTGCAATGCCACACTGTTTCTTCGAAATCCTGCAGAAATTTTTGCTTCCTTTGCCATTTTTCCTAGAGCCAGCTGGGAGGTTCTCACTGTCTGACCCCCTGCCATCGCTGGTGGGAGGAACCATGGGGGCCAGCCTGGCTGAACAATGGATTGTGCTGGCTGCAGGAACAAGGGAAGGGCTAGGTCTTCCTACCAATATGCCTTTAGCATCCCAGGTCCTTATTTTGCACAAGTCTGGACCCCTTGGACTTCAGGGCCAGAGAACTGTGGGCGTAGGGACATGGGACTCCCCGCCCTCCCAGAGCCCTGCAGGGAGATAGACCCATGTGCCAGCGTGAGTTGAGCCTCGTGCATTGGTGCATGTCCCTGTGGCCGGCTGCCACGAGCCGGGGGATGAAATGTTACTTGTGGTGGCCATGGTTTCTACAGGCATGTGGGAGTCCCCTTCACAGCATGAAGTCCAGCCTCCACGTCTGCGCCTGCTCACCAAGAAGCCCCAGTGCAGGGGCAGGGGGACTGCTGGCAGCATTGGAGAGTCATGAAGATAAATTGACCAGAGGCATCCACACATATTTAGGGAGGAGGAGGACCAGCAGCCACAGTATTAAATAGAGACTGAGCATGGGTTTGGCCCTCAGCCAGGCTCCTTACTCTGCCCACCCCATTCAAGCCCCAAGGCAATGCCTTGATAGCCATTTTGCAGATGAGAAAACTGAGGACCATCAGATGCTTAGAGAAGAAAATGATGGAGGGGAATGTTTCTATTCCACCGTCAGTATTAACATTGGGAGCAAGAAGCTTAAACCTGAATCCAGAGATTTCTTGACCAGATCAAGAATAATCTGAGAGTAAACCTGTAGAAAGGGGAGCTATCCTGTCCTCTCGTTTCCTTGGTGTGAAACCCAACAGGGTACAAGTGTTCACCAATATGCACTGCTTGCTGGAGTTCCCTTCTTTATCCACTTTGAAGAGAACTGGCAAACTTCTCATAGTGCTATGACTTCACATAGTGCTGTGACTTCACGCAGTTTCTTCAGGGGCTAGGTGGTATGCTCTAAAAGTTACATGTATTTGTTCACCTGCAGATGTTTGTCCCAGGTTTTCAGAATCTCGTCGGTCATTATACAAAGCACATGGCCATCCATGGGCTCCCATCTTTGTGAAGTAGAACCACACCCATCTAATGGTGAGAAAAAGAGGCTTAGAGAGCCAGGAACACTGCCCAGGGCTGAAGAGCAGCAAAGAGCAGACTCTGTTTCCTCCTCCAAATTGCTTTGCCCAGAAGGGTCTGGATTCTGTGGTCCAGGGAAGCTCCTCAGAGAATCTCTTGTTTGTTCCCACCCATGAGGTCTATGGTCTCCAATCCTCCCCTTGGGTCTGCTTCCAAGTTCCTCTACAGACATGACCTGAGCAAACTGAACTTCCCCCTTCCTCCTCCTTCTCCTCCTCCTTCTCATCTCCAGCATGCTGGACACATCAGCCTGACATGTCTTTCCAATTAGGCCAGTCCTGAGCTGCAGGGAAACAGGAAACCTCAGACCCATCCAGACTCAGGAAACCAGTCAGAGACAGTGGCGGCCCTGGCCGTGGCGTCAGCCGGGAGACACAGCCCAACACAGGCAGCCTCTGCCTGCCTCCTCCTAGACACTGCCCACCCCTCCTGCTGCAGGCCAAGGGCCTGGCCCGAGGAATGGAGATGGGTGAACATGCCTTTAGATCTCCCAGAAATGACCCCCAGCAAGAGTGGGCTGAGAGGCTGATCCTAGATGGAAATCTAAGAAGCTAAACAGCCCTGTGTTATGAGCACTGGCTTTGGGGTCATGTGGACATCAGTTTGTACCCAGCTCCACCACTTTGTAGCTGTGAAGCCTTGAGTGGACTTCTCCTTCTCTCCTGATGATTCCTGCAAGGTGGCATGATCCCCATTTTGAAGGACCATGGTAGAGATACACACAATGAGATCATGTTTGAACAGCCCAGCCCAGCACCTGGCAAGTGGTAAGTGCTTATTTGTCCCAAAGAATGGGCAAGCTCTTCACATAAACCAACCCCTTGGCTCCTCACAGCTGCTCTGGGAGGAGGGTATTTGTGGTTTCTTTTTACAGATAAAACTGAATCCAGATCTATGTGAATTGCAGTGGAAGAAGCATGGAATTCAAAATCAGGTGGATATGGATGGAAATCCCAGCCGTGTCATTTGCTAGTTCAGGGCTGATAAATGTGACTGTTTAGACCATACCCACCGCTGTGCTTGAGCACATCATCTCGCATTCCTAAGTCACACCCTTCGGAGGGTGTGCTGGCCTGTGTTCTACAATGGAGGCATTTGAGGCCCAGAGAGTTTGCCTAATAAGCCCAAGCTCCTACCCAGGAGTGGAGGAGCTGACATTTGACTTGGCCGTCTGTGGCTTGGAGGCCATCTCTGCAGCTCCCCAAGCTTCATCTTCTCCTGTGTAACGTGTCTAAAAATCTCTCTGTGAAGGCTCTGGCAAAGAATTCACATACCTGGTACTCCAGGAAATTTACACAGAACAAAACTGAAATGCTCAAGCAACTGGGGTCTGCGTGGGAGTGGCGCTGAATCAGCAGTGTCCATGACAGAACAGATGGCTCAACCCCTCGAAGCCTCTTGCAACCCATTTTGCCTCTGAAGGGCCTTCAGATTTGCCCTGTGCAGATCCACACATCTGCAGACCCCAGGTCAGAACTCAAAGGCCAGCTGACAGTATGGCAGTTCCTCAGAAAGTTAAACACGAAATTATCATGTGAGCCAGCAATTTCTCTTCTGGGAATATACCCAGAAGAATCGGAAGCAGGAACTGGAATGCAGATTTGTACACCCGTGTCCATAGCAGCATTGTTCACACTAAACAAAAGGCAGAAGCAACCCATATGTCCATTCATAGTCAAATGGATAAACAAAATGTGGTATACATACAATGGAATATTATGCAGCCTTAAAAAGGAAGGAAATTGTAACACATGCTACAACACAGGCACTCCTTGACACCATTGTGCTGAGTGAAGGAAGCCAGTCATGAAAGGACAAATTCTGCACAATTCTACTTATAGGAGGCCCCTAGAGTAGTCAGATTCATAGAGATGGGAAGTACAATGGTGGGTACCAGGGGCTGGTGAGAGGGGAAATGAGGGGTTGTTCAGTGGGGACAGAGTTTCTGCTTTGGATGATAAAAAAATTCTTGGAAGTAGATAGTGATAGTGGTTGTACAATATTCTGAATTGTACGTTTAAACATGGTTAAAATGATGAGTTTCATGTTACGAGTATTTTATCACAATTAAAAAAAAAAAAAGAAAAGGCCAGGCGTAGTGGCTCAGCCTTGTAATTCCAGCACTTTGGGAGGCTGAGACAGGCAGATCACGAGGTCAAGAGTTCGGAACCAGTCTGGCCAACGTGGTGAAACCCTGTCTCTACTAAAAATACAAAAATTAGCCATGCATGCTGGCAGGCACCTGTAATCCCAACTACTCAGGAGGCTGAGGCAGGAGAATCACTTGAACCTGGGAGGCGGAGGTTGCAGTGAGCCAAGATTGTGCTACTCCACTCCAGCTTGAGTGACAGAGCAACACTCCGTCTTGGTAAAAAAAAGAAAAAAGAAAAAAGTCAGGTGAATGAATTTACCAGGGATTCTCCTCCCAAGAGTTCACATCTGCACCTGCATGACTTGGTGCCTTGATGGTGTGATTGGCAGCTCAGCACATCCTGGTGTGGCCCCCGTGGAAGAGCTCCCTGCACAAAGGGGCCAACAGAAGAGAGAGGGCTTCTCTGCTGGGGACCCTCCAGGAAAGCCCCACATGCTGCCCTGGCCTGGCCCCCAGGAACCCGCCCCCTCAGCGACCCTCAGCGTCCTGTCTTTCCACAAGACCTGTCCCTGCAGATAGGATGGGGAGGCCCCTGGAGAGTTAGGGTGCAAGGAGGTGGAGCTGTGTTTGGTGGGAGAAAAGAACTTTGGAATGAAGGTAGACAGGTTGGTTCAGATTTTCTCGGAAGGTGCGGGGAAGGGTTAATGGGCAAAAGAAAGATCAATGTTTCTCCCTGAAATTTCAACAGTCATAGATTTTAATGCAATGAAGCTGTGGAGTGTAAGCTGGGAATCTCTGATGAAAACGAATACAGCAAGACCAATGCCTTCCACATCGACTGCACCTACCTGGAGTGCCGGCCCTCTTGCAGAAGGCTCCAGTACCCACTTACTCACAGAAAGAATGGGAGGGCTGAGTGTTGGGCCCCCTCCAGTTCTTTTACTTTAACTAACTTTTTTTTTTATTTAGGAAAAAAAATCTACTAAAATAAAGCAAAATAAGAAGCTACAGGTATTAAACCTGATGTGTTTAAACCCCAATGAATAACAGACTTCCAAGTCAAGAATAGTGCTAAGAGCATATGGTTATGACATAACCCTCTCCCTGCACCCCACCTTTGCTTGTAGGTGGCCATGTGCAAACTGTGTCTGCACACACACACACACACACACAGCATTAGTTCTTTCATTCAGCTGGACTCTGGCTTCATTTCATATTGTCATAAAATGCATTTAATAAAATTTAGGTCTTTGGTATTTGATTTAGTAAGTGTGTGTGTGTGTGTGTGTGTGTGTGTGCACTTGGTGTGTGCAGCTACCTTGCCAGTACATGGGCAGAGCTTTACATTTATAGATGCAAACCTTCCCCACAGCTGGAAGGAACCAGTGCTCTCTAATCTGGAATACATTTCCAGAGGGAAACTGAGCCTCAGAGTTCATTAACTTGTCCAAGGTCATTTAAGGAGCTTTCCTTCCTCCTCATCTACTTGACCTTGACTCTGCTCTCTGGCTTCGGTTTCAAGAGCAACTTGAACCTGAAGACTGGGCCCAGTGAGCTGCCCCAGAGCCAGACAGCCTTTTCAATATTTATCTAAGATGCTACACTATTTTAGCAAATACAGTTTTAAACAGCAATTGTACCTCTCAGATTCTATCTTCTAGAAATAAGTCGGCACCTCAATATGATATTTGTGACAAAGCAAAGAGTTGTTTTTACTCTACATTCCATTCATACTTGTTTCACAGACATCCACTAATTTTTGATTCATAATATTTCCTCCTCTGTTCTTAACCAGAGTCCTGCTCCAGGTCTTCCACACCCTATCATCAAGGTGTAATTTTTCTGCAGTCATTTTTTTTAGAAAAAATCAATAAATTGTTTGTGATTCCTCTAACTGAGACCACATGGCTTTAGTGTAGAAATTCAACATTTACGTTAAGCAGTAAATCTATTCTGTCAGCCACTATGATGTGGGAGTTGTTATGAAAAGATAATGATATTTTTCCAGGCGCACATACACGTACACACAGCAGTTAAAACTGGCTTCCATAGAGAAGATGCCCGGTGTGTTTCACTGGCTCTTTCTAGCACCCAGCAGGTCACCGCGTGGACATCCACAGACGTTCGGTGGTGTTCACTTATCCCAGCTCGCTTCTCCAGACCTGACATTCCTTCCTGTTTTGGGTATGAGTTGATCTGGATCTGGAAGCTTATTGAGTGGCCATTGATGAAGCGGGAAGAGGACTGAACTAGGAACCAGGGGACCCAGGTTCTAGGCCACAACTTGCAGTAACAATCATCAGTGTGACCCCTTGTTCGGGGGCACCTGGTAGGTGGCAACTGTCTGTATATTCCTGAGAGCGCCAACAGCCCCTGTTTATAGGGGAGGAGCCTGAGCTTACAGGAGGTCCCCAAGGTTACCCAGCCAGATGATATTGGTGCCAGCCTGCTCCAATGTCCATGCCTTCCCACAAAAGATCCCATGGCCCTTGGGATCCGTTGGCCTTTGGAACCTCTTAGCTTCTTGGATATTCTGTGTCTTCATTTGTAAAATGGGAGGGTTGAAAAAAAAGATTTTAAAAGTGTTTTCTGGCTCATAACTATGACATGCTTGTTCAGCTCACAGCATCATCACTTGAAATGGTCACGTTGCCATCACTCTTCACCTCAATGCTTTTTCGTAAGCAGATCTAGAAAGCTCACAGGAGCATCCCAAGAATGCCCCCCAATTATTCCCCTCCCCATATCCACAACCTTTGCACTATGAGCACAACACCTTCCATCAAGGGACAATGAATCTACTTCCCACACCTTGACTCTGGGCTGGCCGTGTGGTCACAGTGGAAGGAACACTGTGCCCATTCTCAGAGAAGGCCTTGAGAGGCCCTGCACACTTCTGCTTTGCAAAAAAAGCTGCCTGGTTACCATGAAACAAGCCCAGGCCAGCCTGTTAGAGAAAATCAAGGCCACACAGAAACGTTGCCGCAGCTGTGGACATCTCCTCTGGTTCCCCATCGCTATGTAACAAACCACCCCAAATTCTACGGCTTAAACCATGGTGCCTCAAAATTCTGATCAAAGGAGATCTTTTAGAGCCTTGTCATATGGCCCCAAGTATTTGTTATTCTCTTTCCTGGTTCCTCATATCTCTCTCGTGTCTGCAGACAAATGACAGCCAGGGCGGAAGTCATCTGAAGGCTCAGCTAGGTTGGACATCCAAGACAGCTTCCTCCCTACAAGTCTGGTGCCTCACCAGGGTGGCTAAGGCAGTCTGGGGTTGGCCGGGCACCTCTCTTCACTTCTCACTTTCTTCTCTCTTCTCTTTTCTCTCCCCTTCTCCTTTCCTCCCTGATCCCCATCCTCTGTCCCTCCCTTCTTCCCTGTCTCTCTCCCTCCCTCTTCCTCTCCAAAGAACAAGGATTGTACCTCCCTCGCTTCCATCTGCCCCCACCTTAACCCAGCGTCTGGCACCTGGAGGCATGTCATGTGTCTCCCTGGCCGTCTGCCACTGCATTCCTCCAAGGTTGGGTTTTCTCCTTGGGACTTAGTCTCAGTCTGAGAGTTACCACCCCAGCGGTGCCTCTTCTGGCCTGTGGAGTGAGTCAGAAAATCTCCAAGTAGGAGATCTTTCAGGGGACAGAGGGCATGATTCTAGCTCCAGAAGCCCCATCTTCAGCAAACCGAAGAGCTCCCTCAATGGTCCTCGAGTCCCACAACCATCCCAGGAGGCCTCTTCCTACTGTCCTCCTGGAGGTCTAGACAGCTGCTGAAATGCATCACCCAAGCAGAATGCAACCCTCAGGACATAACTGATTTGAGTCAGGCACACTGACACCAGCACCTCCCTCATTCTAAGAATCATTCTTCCGTTCATGTGGCCAAAACCTGCATTACCCTTCTTGAAAACCACGCTGGTAACATGAGATTTTGTAAACGCCAGTGCTTCCCAGAGCCAAGACTTTCAGGGTCCCAAGGGCAAATGCTTATTATGCTATTTCTTTCCCTTCCTCAATTAAGGAAATTGTTTATTTGTTTGTTTTGCAAGTCCTCACATCTGGAACTTGTCTCCACTCCTGTTAAAGGGAAGATAGCCCTATTTTACAAAATAAGCAGAAGACTTGGAGTCACAGATCCAGGCACGAGTCCAGGTTCCAACCTTCCTCACTGTGTAAGGGGCCGGGAGCACCTTATTGCTAACTCCTATTTCCTAGTCCAGAAAGTCGGGGCAGCTGTGCCTGCTCTCTTCTCATCAGGAGCACCAAAGCATTTCAGGTGCCCAGCACAGCGTCTGACCTAGAGTGCTCTGAATAAATGGAAGATGTTAGAATTAACAACAGTATTAACAATCATGAAAATGATAACAATTATATGATGATATATTCCATGGTGTCTCAAAGTTCTGATCAAAGAAGATCTTTTAGATCCTTGTCATATGGTCCAGGTATTTTCAATTCAGCTTCTTGTCCTCCGCAAACTTGTAACACTGTCAACATTTTCAACTGACTTATTAAGAGCACCTTTGAATCAGACAGGGATGATAAAGCCTTCGGGATGCTGTTGCATCTCCTAACTAGTATTTGTCATGGGCAGTTTTTGAAATAGTTTTTTCATCTCCCTAATTTTACTATCACTCTGTCCATATTTCTCCATCATGGCTGCATAATTAAAAATCAAAGTAAGATATTTAGCTCTTAAATTTCTTTAAGGCTGTCACTTTATTTTCCTTCTATCCCTGGAGCATCCTTCACCTCCGTACCGGCTCCCCCACAGGCAACTTCAAATGAATGTAATCTTCCCGTTACCTCCCCCTCCCGAAATCGCAACTCGACACCCCCTGCTTGGCCTGCCCTCTTTGTTGGAATATGTTCAGTTCCTATTGTCTGGTAGATAAGGAATTTTTAAAAGTTGCTTTGTTAATAAAACGCTTCAGTTTAAAAAGTTTGCTCAGCAGCGTGTGTCTCTTAATATGTGTCAACTTCTGTTTGGATCAATTGACGTGGGATGCTATATTAATTATTCATTTTTGCAGAATGGAAATTAATTATTGTGCATGAAATTCTAAACACATATGGCAACAGTGCCGGCTGGACTGGCCCCCCTGCCAGCATTTCAGAGATTCAGATTCAGAGGTAATATGTTGTTTTGCAAAGCCAAGACCTCCTAAGGGTTCCAAGATAGAAGAATTGAAAAACTGACATGTTTCTGTACATGGTCCAACTCCTGCGCCTCCTTGAATGCACCCCTGACTTCCCTGCTATCTCTTCCCAAATCTGTGCTGATGAGGGGAACTATTCGAGTCTATCACAATAGCTGCAACAACCTAAAACCTTCAGAGTCATTATCTTTGCCTCCAAATCTGTCTTCCTGCAGCAGGTGGTACCATTAACCACTTCTCCCTGAATCCTTCCAAGTGAATCTTCCTGGAGGGGATGACTGGGTCCGGGGTGTTCCCTTTACAATGGGTCCTACCACTCTTATTTTGTTCATCATGTTGCAATGGAGATGTCTGTGTGTGCGACTATCACAGCTACCATTTGTTGAGTCCTCTGTGGGTAGGAATTGTGCCTCGTTCCTTCTCATATACTCTCATGCCCTCTGAAGATAGGGAGTTTATTAAACTGAATTGAACCTATTCATTCCATGGGGGGGAAAAGGCTCACAGAAGTGCCTATCCTTTTCAAGGAAAATGAAGAAGGAAGACAATTCCTGGTAGAAGAGGAGGCAGGGTGCACGTTTTAAAGCCAAGAGAAGTTACTGAAAATTTTGGATATACAGGAAATGTGCATCTAGACCTTTTGGCATGGAAGAGAAGAAATATTTCAGAGCAAGCAAACAGACACTGCGTAATTTCTCAGCCCCTGTTATCCCATCCTCTTTCTTATTGTGTTACCACCTAGCACAGTGCTGGGCAGGAAGCAGCAGCTTCACAAATATTTGCTGAATTGATCAAGACATGAAAGAATGAATACATGAAGTTAGGATTGTTCTGGTTGCAAATGCCAAAAAAAAAAAAAAAAAAAAAAAAGCCCAATCCTAAATAGGCTGAAAAGACACATTGTGGTATTTTCAAATACTCAAATTCCAAAGTCAAAGATAGGAAGGCAAAGCAAAGTGAAGCCTTTGGCAGGTGTTTTGCATGAGGTAGCAGGTCATGCTATGAATCTGCAACGTTGCAGCTCAGCTTTGGATCTCAGAAGGTGACATTTCGTGTAATTTCCACACTTGAGTTCTGACCCTAAGCTCTGTGAACACACAGAGAGGGCCTAAACCTCTCTATTAACCACCATGTCCTCATCATGAGATAATGCCATGCCCATGCTGGTCATCTCCAAGATAACCCAGATGTTGCTCTCCTTCCTCAAACAACATGGTGCTCTCTCTCCACCTCTCCTCTTTCATGAGTCACCAGTTTGCCCTCCATCTCTCTTAGGAAATGGAATTGGGGAGTGCAAAAGAGTGGTTCTCAACAAAGTTTATGTCTATAAAGAGAAAATGTATGATAGAAATTAGAAAAGGGAAGAAGGCAATCATGAGAGCTCATTTGGTTGATTTAATATCAAAGTTGGATCCAGAGTTTCCTGGTGGTAATGGCAAAAAGGGAAATACAACATTTAACACCGCAAGTTGTCAGACTAGTAGAAACAACAGCCTCTCAATGTAGGGAGCAGTGGGGGCAAACATGTTCCAAACAATAAATCATGACAGATGTTGCTTATGTAGGGGCATTAGGTAATGAGCTAGACAATGTGACTTCAGCATAGTGTTTTTTAATAAATTCTTTTATTTTGGAAAAAACTTCAGATTTATGGAAAGTTTGCAAAGATAGTGAAGAGGGTTCTCATATACCTTCACCCAGTTTCTTCTGTTGTTAACATCTTGCAATGCTGCGATATGTTTGCCAGAAGTAAGAAACCAACAATGCCACATCACTATTTACCAAACATGCTTTATTTAAATTTCACCAGTTTTCCCATTAATATCATCTTACTAATCCAGGACACCACAATGCACTTAGTTATCATGTCTCCTCAGCGTCCCCTGATTTATTACAGTTTCTCAGCCTTTCCCTGTGTATAGTAGCTTAACATCCTTGAGGAGTACTGATCAGGCACCCTATAGGATGTCCCCTAGTCTGGGTTTGTGTGATTTCTCATGACTGGACTGGGGTGACAGTTTTTGGAAATCATACCACAGAGATAAAGTCCTTTCTGCTCACATCACATCAGGAAGTTTATGATATCCACCAAACTTGATTTTATTACAAAAACATAAACAGTTCTCATTTCATTTCTTACTTTGTTTTTGTTGTTGTTGTTGTTGTTTGTTGTTGTTGTTGTTGTTTGAGACGGAGTCTCGCTCTGTCGCCCAGGCTGGAGTGCAGTGGCGCGACCTCGGCTCACTTCAAGCTCCGCCTCCCAGGTTCATGCCATTCTCCTGCCTCAGCCTCCCAAGTAGCTGGGACTACAGGCACCTGCCACCGCACCTGGCTAATTTTTTGTATTTTTAGTGGAGACGGGATTTCACCGTGTTAGCCAGGATGGTCTCGATCTCCTGACCTCGTGATCCGCCCACCTCCGCCTCCCAAAGTGCTGAGATTACATCTTACTTTGTTAAATGCGAATTTCTCTTAAAGCAACCCAAACTTATTTTTATTTCAATTCTGTTGTATTAGAAATATTCTGGTATTGACTATGATCAACCTTACAGTCAACTAATAATCTCTCAGACTTCTGCTTATTAAACCTATTAAATCACAACCTAACCCCTCTCTTCAATTTTTCTGCCCTTGTTTTTGTTCTTGGTGTGTTTGTTTTCAATTTAAAATATATATATATATATATATATATATATATATATATATATATATATATATATCTTTTCCATGTTTAATGAATTTTCATCTTGTTTATGTCACCATGATACTCGAATCTACTAGGTCTTCCTGGATTTTGTCAGCCAGCAACAGGGCTTTCTCTCCACGCCTGGTCTTCTTCCCAAATTATTCCCTGTTGTTGTTCACATTGGTGATAAAATTATTGAACAAGGCAGAGTTGAGGACTAAGTTCCAGGCTCAAAGATCTAGAACTTTGAACTTTGTTTTGGACCAACTAGAGGCCAGAGCCTGCCTTTTCATCCAACCACATCCTTTGCTTTGTCTGACTTCATTTCCCCCAGCTGCCAAAAATGGTATAATCCAGCCCAAGCCTTCAGTAATGAGGATTGGAGGCAGAACGGCATAATTGTCAACACATGCCTGAAATTACATTTCTTAGCATCAATGTCTCAAGTGAATTTGTATCTGAGTCTCTAGTTTTGAAGAATTCCTTGCATCCCACAAACATGTACGGAATAACCACCGTGGGTCAAATTTGTCTTCTTTTTTCTTCTCTTTAATTCATTGTTCAATTACAATCAGAAACTTCTTAAGCTGGCAAAGAGGGAGGGAACTTTCAGTCCCATATGGGTGGTTGAAGATGGACCCCGAAGTGGGGTCTGGGTGTAGCTCCAATGCTGTCTTCCTCTCACTGGAACCCTCTGGCAACTATCTTCTACTGACTTGGTGTTAGCTTCGCACATGTGTAAAACAAGGGGGCTCTAATTAAATGGTATCTAAAGTATTTTTCAGCTATGGCATGATAATTGGGAAGGATTCAGGGAGGGAGAGAAAGACAGAAAACACACAGTGTTAGCAGTAAGCTAGATCCTTCGTATGCTATCTGCTCCAAGTTGCCTTACGAGTTAGCAGCGGCCATCCCATTTTACAGAGGAAGAGACTGAGGCGCCGAGGCTGCATGGCACGCTGCAGTAGTTCTCCCAGCACGGACAGCATGGAGAAGTCCGAACATAGGTTTATGACTTCAAAGTTCATGGTACTCCTTCCACTGCACAAATATTTTTCTCTTTCTCATTTTAATGCTTTCCATCTTATTAAATTCCATTTAGAGGAAAATATACTCAGGCTTTAGATAACTGACAACCTGTTTGAAAAGTGGTTCTATTAGGAAATTACTGGAAAGGATGTCATATCCACCCTTCTGAAAATCTCAATGCCGGCTTATGACTTTCTACTTTAATAGGGCAGCATAGGGAACCTGGAAACCGGTGGGCTTTGACAGGTCTAGAACCATGAGTTTGCCCGGCTCAAAGATAGCGGCTTAAGCTGTGGTTAGCCCATTGACCTGATTCACAGGTCCTCACTGGGGAGAAGTGGAGTTAAGGCTTTGGCACTAAAGAAAGCAGTGATGTGACAGTCCAATTATTGAACCTGACAGACAGAAGAAGCAGACAGAGGGGGCTGAGCCTGGCACTGACCAGGGTGCACCCTGTCTTGTACACTGTCACTGGTCTACATGCTGAAGGACTTCCCAGACATGTTCCCAAAACGTGGTGGGTTTAAATTTGAAAACATTGAGGAGGGGAGGGAAGAGACAGGGGAAGGAATCTGTGAGATAGTGATACTATCGTCAGGGTGAATTTTTTTTTCCAAAAGCTCCTGGCAAACATAACTTTTTCAAAGGATGACACTGAATACACAGAAGATTAATAATAGCTGCGATCAATGTATTGAAGGGCTGCATTGGGAGACATTCCTTCTGCTTGCCACAAAAACTCCATGAAAAAGCATTGTTTTCCCCAATTTAAAGATGCAGAGACAGGCTGGGCGCCTTGGCTCACTCCTGTAATCTCAGCTCTTTGGGAGACTGAGGTGGGGCAGATCACTTGAGGTCAGGAGTTCGAGACCAGCCTGGCCAGCATGGTGAAACCCTGTCTCTACTAAAAATACAAAAATTAGCCGGGCGTGGTGGTGGGCACCTGTAATCCCAGATACTTGGGAGGCTGAGGCAGGAGAATCACTTGAACCTGGGAGGCGGAGGTTGCAATGAGTCAAGATTGTGCCACTGCATTCCAGCCTGGGCTACAGAGTAAGACTTCATCTCAAAAAAAAAAAAAAAAAAATGCAGAGACAGAGGCTTACAGAGAGTACATAGTCTTCCCCAAGTCGCAAAGTTAATAAATGGCATTAAAATTCTGTCTTCTTGATACTGAGCCCATGACATTTCCAGTGGTCATCGTGACTGCTGTGGTACCCAAATGACTTGAAAAAGAGCATATTCGGGTTTATAGCACACATGTACACACTCCTACACCGGCATACACAAACACACATACACACTATTTATTTGAACTTCCAAGATATTTATGATCTAAAAAACTGTAATAAGCTGTCAAAATTATTTCTTAAAAATAAAGGTGAGAATTTACCACCAACATACTTCACCAAAGAAACGTATAAATGATGTACATAATTGAGAAGGGAAAAGATGCAGCAATGAGGTCTGAGATACAAGAAGGAACCATGAACAAGATTGGAAAACACAAAAGGAAAATCTAAGCAAACGCCAATTGAGTTCAACAATAATAATGCTAATGGATATGATTAAATATAATATAAAACTACGTTTCTGGAAAACAACAGAGTAGAGTGGCTGCTTCCATCCTAAGGATGTCATCTTCCTGTGTATCCTCTTGGTAGGTAAAGACCAGCTAGAGAGGCTCAAGATTTTATAGGGAAAACAACATTCAGTAGGCTCAGAAGTAAGACACAAACTATGGGAAACCTTACACATATTTGTGTGTTTACTGAAATAGAACGCATTTTGTAGATGAAGACATCTAAATAAAGAAAAGAGCAGTGAAAGTTTGTGTTACTTGCCTTAGCAATAATTGGTACTTTACTAGTCAGGTTTCACAAAATGAAAGCCCCATGAGGACAGCAGGGACTGTGTCTCGCTCCCATCTACATTCCAGTTCCCAGGCAAGAAGCTGGCAAAGTCAGTGCTCAAAAGGTGTTTCTGAATTAATATACGAATTCTATTGATTAACTTCGAATTCTCCTCCCGGGAAGACGCATACATCTGCCAGAGTTTTCTCTGTGGAAGTTCCTGCTGATCCGATGTGTTGGCACCATCACTGGCATACGAACTCCAGAAATTAGTGCTTCCATTTACTCTGATACATCTGGCAAGAATATGCATTCAGGTGCCAAGGCAAGAACTGACTCGCAAGGCTCCCGCCCTGGACACAGAAGAAACCTTCTGTGACTTCTATCCAACGTATATGGAAGGGCCACCAGAATTTCTTCTTCTTCTTCCTGCGTTTCTATGTTAACACCTGTTGCTCTCTTCCTGGCCACCAGAATGGTGTCCATGTGCACAGGAGAATGGCCAGAGGACCAGCCTAGCGGCCCGATACTTCCACCATGTGCGCCGTGCTGTCCTGTTCCAGGCACTGAACACCTTCCACATGGTTGGTCAGAGGTGGTTTCCTGGGGTTCAACATGCACAGTTGAACAGGGCCCTGTGCTTAGAAGGACCCTGATCTTGGTTTAATGCTCTGATGTCACCATCTTGAAATTCTTAATTTTTGAACAAGGGACTCAGCATTTTCATTGTGCACTGGGTCCCACAAATGATGTAGCAGGTCCTGTGCTTGGCACTCTACTTAGCCCTCATTTCCCAAAGATACATCAAGTCTTCCAGGGAAGACCCTGCAGTTTTATCCACAACTCAGACATGTGAGCAAGCAGTACAGATACCGAAAAAAAAAAACCTCCTCTCCTCCAGCTGCCTGAACTGGTCCCCCAAATGCTATTTCCTTGGGGCCCCTACTCACCCCTCCTTGTGGCAGTAACTCACGTCAGACCCTCCTCCTGGCAGGCCGCCCCCGCTCAGCTCTCAGGTTCCTCATCTCATCCCACAGCCCACCTGTTTACAGCGACCCCAATCGAGCGTGGGCTGTCTCCTTTCTTGGCCTCCCTCTAGCTTCCTTCCTGGACCTGCAGAAGTTAGCTCAGGGGCTGTTTCCTCTAGGACTCCTTCTCTGACTTCCATAGTATGGTCAAATCACCCTTTTCTGTCCTCCCACAGTGCCCTTGGCTTTCCTGCTTTCCGTCTGTTTTGACAGCACTCCCATTCCCTACAGTCACGCCTAGAGCATGTGTCAGTCTTCCCCAGCAGATTCTGAGCTCTTTGCAACAGGGATGATGCCTTTTCTCATTGGAACCCTGATGCCTGGCAGGACCACAGTCATTGTTTGTGGAGTAAAGTGGTGAGGAGCAAGACTCTTTGGCAGGTTCCCTCGTGTACAGGGCATAACAGGAAAAACAGCCACCCAGGGACGCACCTTGCTTTGGTGCCCACATTGAGATCTGCTCACACGTTGACCTCGACTTGGCCATACTTCCCTGGAAGGGAAGCCATCTTTGCAGACAGTCCTCTGTCTCCCGGCAAAGGCGCTTTCCCCACCAATACCCCCTATTGTGGAATCAGATTTTCAACGCCCGTCCCACTGCTGAATCTGAGCCCACTTGTCACCTCTGTCTGGGCCACACACAGAGTCTAACGCCTTGTTTTCTCCTACAGGCGGCTGCCTCCTGAAGCAGGGATCTCCTCTGTCTTTGGCGCAACCCAATGTATACTCTGAAAGCTCTCAGAAATGCCATTAATTATAATAATAGTGACACTCTGTACTTTTATAGCCTCTTTCATCAGAAGATCTCTGAGCACTTAAAAAATATTATCTCATTAATCCTCACAACACCCTCGTGAGACAGCTGGCAGGTAAACCTATCCCAGTTTATCAGGAAAGGGAACGGAGACAGAAAGATGATGGTTAGAGAAGGGACTAGGATCAGACAAAGAGATGGAAGCACTTGGGACCTTGCACCCAAGCTGGCTGCATCATAAACCCAGTCCATGGACCAGCTGGACATGTGCATTCTATAAAAATGTATCTGCATCGCATGAGTGAGTAATGGACATGTCTGACATTTCATTGGTGTTTAGGAGATGGTATCAAATCACTGACATCTTCAAAAGTCACCCTTTTGTTTCTCAGCAAATACTTCCAGAGCATATGCTCAACACCAGCTCCCACTGGCAATACAGATGGGCGAAGCTTATCAATAATGTTTAAGAATCCTTCTTCCTAAATTTATCTGAGCGCTAATGAAGCTTCCAGCAAAAAGGAAACAGTATAATCATATACGAATCCCAAGCCCCTTTCAACATCAGGAACACAAAGCAAGCACCTGAGAAAAAATATTAATTATGTCTTTTAACGAGGAATCAGGACTTCGTGCCACTGAGCCTTCGTTTACATTCCTAGCTCTGAGCTGAGCAGGATTTTGAAGTTATCTGGTCTAACCCTCTCATTTTGCAGAAGGGGAAAAAAGGAGCCTCGAAGATCTTGGGGGGATCCACCTGAGTCACAGTGAGTAGAGGGCAGAGGTCAGATGAATTTTTTTTTGTCTTTTTCTTCTTCTAAGAGGTGAAAGGTTTTTTTCTCTGCTATTTGGGAACACCCTTATTTATCAACATAAACACCAAAATACACCTTTGATAGCATTTGAGAAAGTTCTGGTAAACATAAGTCCTTTCATTTTTACTTCCAAAGAGTTGTGGGTGTTGAATTGAGGGGTGGGAGGGGGCAGGAAGCTTCCCGCCAGCCCTCAGTGAAGGGCTTTGGCCTGGGACACACACAGGCTAGGAGGAGAGAGCCTCCCTCTCTGAGTGAAACGAGCCCAGGAGCTCTAATGCATGCACAATGTATAATAGATACCTGTCTGGTATAATTAATTGTATTTTTCCTAAATTTAACATTGCTCGAAGGGGAAAATCATTTTGCTTGATAAAACCCCTCCTGCCACACAGCTTCTATGAGCTGGCCAGATTTAATTGCTACGATAAAAACCACAAGAAAGACCAGGTTCCCACTCAATCTATAACCACATCTACTAAAGAATAGCTTTAATCACCTCTGAAAGGGCGACCACAAGATAATTAAAGGGGAAGGGTGCTCATTGGGAATTATCCAGAAATATCAAATTTCCGTTTATCGCGAAGTTTGACTTAAAATATCTTGGCATGGCTTTGTTCCCAACCCCCACCCTGTTTTGAGTTAAGCCGTTGTGTTTCCCATTATTTAGTGGTGGAGGAAATGGGCCTGTTCCACAAGTCTATGTCCACTAACAGGTTGAAAGAGGGAAGGAGGCAACTGTCAGCTGAGAAGAGCATGGAGTTTGGGGAAGGCCACACAGAGACCAGAATTGTCTTTCCTCTATGACCTGTGTGCTGTGTGACCATGGGCAAGTGGCCTAACCTCTCTGAGCCTCCTTCCAAAAGTGAGGGTCATAGTGGTTATTCCACAGGATTATTTCAGCTGAACGCCCAGTATATCTGAATCCCTTTTCTTCTGCAGAATATCCACCCACCTCTAGAAACCAAACAAAATGCATAAAGGCCTGAAACCAATGGGGCAGATTATCTGAGGAGCTGTGAAGGAGTGGAGAGGACGAGGGCTGCGTGTGCCAGTGGGGTTGGCTTTCCAGGGCTTGATTGATTTTCTCCTTCTGTTGATGCTCTTCCACATTGCCCAGGGCAGGGCTCTGAGGGGCAGGCGCAGGAACCAGTGGAGCGACATTCTTGGCAGCCTGTTTGTGCTCCCAGCAGAGAGGCTTTGTTCTAGGCCCAAATTCCCAGGCCTCCCGCTGTCTGGGGAGGCTGCCCAGGAAGTGCACATCTGCCTGGCCTTCACCTCCCTGAGGCTCCCCCCGACCGGCCCCAAGTGCAAGCACAGGCTGAGTGCTTATCTAAACTCCTGGGACAGAAGAGACTATGCCCAGCACCTGAACCCCTGGAGGAGGGAAGCAGGGGACAGCTTGGTTTTTCCCTCACCAGGAAGAGAACACTGATACCAATTTGTATATTCATTGAGTTCTCCATCCATGTAACCCAGGTGGTCACTGTGCCCCTCCCCCACCCCCAGCTATTCACACTTAAACTTGTCCCAGGATTTCGAGAGTCGCAGCCCTGGGCCTATGAGCTCTGCTTGTCTCTGCAGCTCACTTCCTGCTTCTGTCTGCCTTGGTGCTCCTGCATGTAAATGCAATACCTACCCCTGCCTCCACCCCCAGCCCCAGTATCCAGTCATGAAGAATACTTGCTCCCTATTTTTAAAATAATCCACTTGTGTCTTCTATCATAGGTAGAATAATGTCCCTCCCAAACATATCCATGTCCTCATCCCTAGAACCTGTGAATGCTACTTCCTATGGTAGAATGAACTATGCCGATATGATCAAGTCAAGGATCTTGAGGAAAAAGATCCTGATGGTCTGGGTAGACCCAGCACAATCATGAGTGTCGTTATATAAGGGATGAAAGAAGACACAGGCTCAGACAGTAGGAGTTGTGACAATGGAAGTAAGCAGTGGTCCGAGTGATGCGAGGTGGGGATCTTGAGCCAAGGAAGGCAGGCGGCCTCTAGAAACTAAAAAAGGCAGGGAAAAGGATTCTCACCTGAACCTCCAGAAGGACCCATCCCTGCTGACAACTTGATTTTAGAATTCTGACCACCAGGGCTGTAAGAGAATAAATTTGTGTTGTTTTAAGTCACTGAGTTTATGGTAATTTGTTACAGCAGCAATAGAAAACATTACTCTCCAAAATTTGGGGAGCCATGCGGTCCATAGTGTCACATCCTGGAGTACCTGGCCTTCTATAAACAACCTCCCCACCCCGTTTCCTCCCCCATTTTCCCCAAGAGCATCAGGTGGAAGTGCTTTCATTGGCAGGGAAGGGAAAATCTAAGCGCCAGCGCCCATGCACCTAACTCATTATTTTCCCCACACAACCAGGGCGTGCAGGTCAACGTAGGCATGGTATGACGGCGGTTCTCAAAATTCTTCACTCAGGATGCCAAGGAGGCTGCTGTGACTTTACAAATTATATTGACACCAAATTCTAGAAGAAGGGGTTGGGCATGGTGCTAGATAGGTCAGATCAGAAAAGCAGAAGTTTTCCCCAAAGCCTCCAGAGCTGCCCTATCTTTTGGTCTCATTATCAAAACTGGGTCCCACAATCACCGCTTGTCTTCAAAGAAGACCAAAAATTAACAGGATGGGATGATCATATCTCGCTTAGTCCACATGTGATTCGTTGCCTTGACACACTGGTGTTGCAAACAAAATCCATTTTTATGAACAAGGAAAAAAATGTTGGGTGTGTGGATGTAGCAGACACATTGGTGTCCCCATGATCACTGCTCTCCTGCAGTGCACACCAGCCCAGCTTGCAGCTGTGCTCGTCTGCTAGGAGGAGGGAGAAGCTGGATGCTAAGAGACCTAGCCCTCCACGTAGATCTGTTCCCCCTGGGCCTCCACCATGATGGATGGACGATGGGGAATAGATCCCCAGGCTTTCTTCCCTACCTAGGTGGGATAGCTCAGAGATAGGCTCTGTGCTGTCTCCCAGGGTGCCCCATCAGGGTTAGCCTCTAGGTGTGTCCACAGGAAACACTTGCACAGAAATGACCTCGTTCTTGGCCACCTCCAGGAGGTCTCCCTGGACCACCCTCCAAACTATGTCCTTGCACACAATCCTCTGTCTCAGCATCTGCTTCTGAGGGGCCTCAAATCAAGACCGACAGTATTTTCATTTTCTCTCAGCCCCATCCTCATGCAGAAACTGGGGGTATCAATGCCTACCCCCAAATGGTCTTTCCAATGCAACTTCTCAACAGAGGTGAGGATTTTGTTACAAGGATTTCTTCCACAAGTTGCCTGAAAGTGAGAGTAAATGTCATTGCACGTGCATTTGTTTACCAATCAATCGCCGGGGGTCAACTGGACCCGAGTCCAGGCTGTTTGTGAGGTTTACTAAGGTATACCAGATATAATCCCCGCCTTCAAGGAACAGCCAAACTGGAAGAGAAGGGAGGAGAGGTGAGAAGACCAGGCAGCCCAGAGAAGAAGGGATTAAGCTTGCCTGACGGAGTCTCATTGGGAGCTGAATAGAAGATAGCGAGAAAGGGGTTATTTCAGCCCAGGCACAGCATAGAAAGGAGAAAGAGTAATGACAGAAGGAACTCGTGGCACAGCCTGCTGAGTGGTGCAGAAAGGTAGGGGAGAGTAGGGCACATACTGGGAGGAAGACAGAGCTGGGGAAGGCAGATGTATTTGGAGACACAACCCGCCCACCTCGAAGAGCTTCATCCTTCAGCTGAGTTCTAAATCCTGGTGTTCATGAAACCAGCCCACCTCTGGGTGAGGCGGGTATTACTGAACCCTTTCGTTTATACAACTATTTATAGGGTTTTGTAATATAGAGATTTGTATTAAATCTTCTCCACAAACTTTTCTGCCTATTTCTCAATGAGAAAGTAAACCTCAAAATGCCAGTCTTTCCTAAGGCCACGGAGATAACAGGTGAAACCTCCACCATTTGAACAGAAGCCTCACGTTCTTTTTAAGGGACTCTAGCCACCCTCCTTTCAACTGGGAAAACAAAGGGACAGAAGACAAAGAATCCATTTGCCTAACACACCTGGTTTCATTCATGGCAAGTCTCCATCTTTATGAAAAGTTATTTTATCTTCTTGCCAGGTGCTTCAAATTCTACTGTCCAATAGAAATATAATGTAAGCCACAATGTAATTTTTAATTTTCTAGTACCACATTTTTTTAAAAAGTAAAGCAAACAAGTACAATTAATTTTAATAATATATTTTAATTAACTCAAAATACCCCAAATATTATCATTTCAACATATATCAATACAAAAATCACTCATTATTAATGAGATACTTCTATTCTTTTATTTATACTAAGTTTTAAAAATTCAGTGTCTATTTTACACTCATAGCACATCTCCATTTGAACCAGCCCCATTTCAAGTGCTCACCAGCCACATATGGTAATGGCTGCCATATTGGAAAGGGCTTCCATATTGGACAGGACAGCTCTAGAATTGCATGTGAAATGGCAGAGTGGTTTGTGTCATGACTTGGAGTTGTGAGGTCCGGCTTGGCTTTCTCTCTTTATCTTTGTTTAAAGCCACATTGTGAGCTTTTCCAAATAGTCAAGAGTGGAGAAAATGGGATCATTATGCAAAGCAAAGCCATGTTGACTCATAGATTTAATGGTAGATAAGAGACCAATGATCTAGGTCAGAGGTCAGCAAACTACAGCCCATGGGCCAAAATCAGCCCCAGCCGGTTTTTATATGGCATATGAGCTATGAAAGCTCTTTAAATTTTCATGGGGTTGTAAATAAATAAATAAAATTTTATAAATATGCGACCACACTCTACATGGCCTGCAAAGCCTGAAATATTTATTAGCTGGCCCTTTACAGAAAAATGTTCCCAGCCCCTCATCTAGCTAGTCATATTATTATTTTTACATCAGTTGGTTTTTTAATATTTGCATTCCAATCTATAACCATAATTCCTACATGATTTTACTATTAATCTAACATCTCTATAGTCTCAATGCTTACCACCAGTCTTTCTCTTCAGCTTCCCCATTCTTGAGTTCTTCATTTAATTCATCGCTTGGTTAGTTGAAATTTGCTGTCAATTTCTTTCTTGTTTTTTTCAAGAAAGGCACTTATGGGAAAAGCCGGGTTGAGAGGGTGAAAAAAAAGAAAGGCACTAACATGCTGTGTTTCTTGAGATTCTACTGTTCGATTGATAGTCCATGTTTTCTGTTTGTTTGTTTTTGATCATTTGTGTCATTATACTTACGGAGAAAAATCAGACTTAGCCCCTGCCTTCAAGTGATCTGGCTGGTTGTGAAATCTGGAGCTGGAAGTCACATTTATTTCCCTCAGAACTTTATATATCAGCCTTCTGGGGACACTGAAGGCTGTGCAACCATCTTCTGATCACCTTCTGATTTGCTGGACTTTAACATAGAACACTATTTCTTCCTAAGGCCTGACAGGACTCTATTGCATAACTTCTTTCAGGTTTCAGAATATCTGCCTGTTGCATTTATACCTGAAATACAACTTACCTGCAATGAGATTCTTGATTCATACCTCATATCATTTAGAACTCTATGTACTGCTCCCTGTCTTTGGGTGTGACATGTTGCTGCGGGAAAATCTAAATCTTGATTTTTTTCTCCCACTCAGATGTCTGAAAAATTCCACATGCTTTTGGTGTTCAATAAACTAAACAGGATATGTCTTGGTGTCAAATGTTCTTTATTGACTTTTTGTAAAACGTAGTGTGGTCTTTTAATATGAATAAATTTCTTTCCTCTCTTCAGGAGAATTTTTTCCTCTAATTAGGACTATGAACAGTTGTCCCATTTGTTGATTTCTAGATTTTAGGGCCACAGATCAGTCATATAAGACATTATCTTTGTCTATTATCTTTCCTCTGATTGAGTCAATCTCTTTTTTCTGCATTCATTTAGATTTTCTCAAGCATTTTCCCAATATCAGTTAATTCAGTATTTCAACCACATAGTTCTTTTCTTTGTTGTGATTTATTTATTGATTCTGGCATGCTGTTGTTTCAGTAATCATGTGGTTTTCTTAACTTTATCCTATCATGTTCTTTCCATCTTGTGATGTCACTAACACCTTGTTGACTACCTATTTTACTAAACCTATGATCATATTATATTTTAGATAACACAAAGCAGCAGTTGCTAAGGATTTTCTTCAGTTTCTGGGATTATGTCTTCCTCATCTGTATTTGATATATAATGGTCTTTAATTTTTTTATAATTGTCTTTTGATGTAGCATATTTCTAGAGTGGCCAAATTATTTCTTGTCACCTAACTTATCCTAAACAAGTGCATCGCTTCCCAAATCTTCTGTTTTCTTAAATAAAGAAACTTCTTGCTGTGAAACCGGGATCTGCTTCTTCCTCTGAGCCCCTAACAGATGTGCATGACTGGCCCCTCCACTCTTTATTAATCCACTTCATTTTCCTGGCAAGGCTAGACACTCCAGGTGGAAACAAGTTTCATAACTCCAGAAAGAGATTAGGAATAAGCAAATTTAGCTCCAACTCTATCCTGTTGCTACCTTGACTGATATAGACTGGTGTTACCTGGAGAAAATGCAGTGAATTTTCCCTGATGTTTCCTAAAGCTGCCTATTCATCTCCTCAGTCTACCTATCTCAAAGTTAGGAAATGGGGCTTTTGCCAAAAAATATCGGAGAATTTGGTTGACTCACTTTTTTTTTTTTTTTTTTTTTTTTTTTTAGAGATGGAGTCTCGCTCTGTCGCCCAGGCTGGAGTGCAGTGGCGCGATCTCAGCTCACTGCAACCTCCACCTCCCAGGTTCACACCATTCTCCTGCCTCAGCCTCCTGAGTAGCTAGGACTACAGGGCCCACCACCATGCCTGGCTAATTTTTGTATTTTTAGTAGAGACAGGGTTTCACCATGTTAGCCAGGATGGTCTCGATCTCCTGACCTCGTGATCTGCCCGCCTCGGCCTCCCAAAGTGCTGGGATTGCAGGCGTGAGCCACCGCACCCAGACTCAGTTGACTCATTTTTTTATGGGATAGTTATTATTTGGGGGGTTGAAGTAAATATGCAGACAGTCATTTCAGAATCTTACATTTCTTTTTTTGACTCCACTTCTGCATGTAAATAGCATGAGATTGGGTCTAGTTCCTTGCTTTATTGCAATTATTCATTCTTGGCTGCTTTTTATTAATTTTTATTCATTTAATTAAATGTTATAGAAGAAAGGCTCTGTGGTCCATCTTTATTCCATCTATTTATTCAAAGTGTCCCCCTCTTTCTTAATCCCAAATCTCCGTAAATTGAAATCTACTCCTCCTTCCTCTCTGTGTTCTCCACAGTGGTCCTTTTATCAGCAGCACCTTTCCCCCATCTCCAAATACCCAAGTCGTAACCACCCTTTAACACCCAGATCAAATGACACAGCTACATGAAGACTTCCGTACTGCAAATAATGATCTCCTCACTTGCTTGAATTTCCCCCATTATCTGTTCCATTTTTGTACCAGTCACCACTTTCTGACTTGTCCTAAATTTTCCTATGTCCATGTTGGTCTCTTTCACTACATTGTCATCACCATGATGGCAAGGTCTGTACATTATTCAGATCTGCATCCTTTATATGTAGTGAAATATATAACAGAGTAGGACCTCGACTAATGTTTGTCAAGCGAGATAAAATTTTGCTAAGCAGAAAATGATTTGCCTTATGTCATTGTGCATATACAGAAAACATGAAGGGATATGAAGTGGAGCTCAAACAGCAAATTTGGAGTCCACAATGAATTCCACTGTAATTACTATCATCAAAGCAAAGCACTCCAAGTGACAATTAGATTTCCAGCTGGACCATACAGCCCATTTGCTTGCAGCATGATTTACACAATAACACAGGTAATAACGATAATGTAGATTGACAACCATATTTACCTGTTATTCCAGAGTCATCAAAATGCCTTCACATTTCTTATCCCATCTAAATCTTGCAATAACCTGGGGAAGTCATTCATTTCAGTCCAGTTTTACAGATGAGGAAAGTGAGGTGTAGAAATGTCAAGTATTCATTCAAAGTCATATCCTTAGCAGGCAGCAGAGTTGGCACCTGGCTAAGTCTGTCTGCTTGTCCCATAGAATCTAAGATGTTCCTCTAAACAGTACCTGCCACCACTCACTGATGGCAGGCAGGACTGCCCCATAGGTTATACAGGTTGTTAACTGCTGGGGTCATCTGGATAAGAGGCCAAGTGCAGAGGAAAATCCAGTCTATGCTCCTCTTGCCAAGCTGTGTGTTCTGGCAGAAGGCCACCTCTGCTTAGCAAAAGCCACTTCCTGTAATTTGCATGAAGCTAGAAGGGGAGCTAATGGCAAGGATTGTGTCTTACTAAGTTCTGCCTCCCCAAGGACCTGCTGTGTGCCAAACACACAGTAGGCAGGCATTCATACGTTGCTTTATTGAATGAACATGTTCTCATTTGCAAATTTCATTTTCATAAACAACTTCATTCAGTTCCCATAAAAAATTCCCAAACAGACAAAACTCTGAGAAACATAAAGGCTTTCTCATGTACCCCATCCCTTCTAGTGATGGGATTTGACCAGGAGGCTCCATGGGGAGTGTAGGATCACCTCAAAGTCAGAGAGAAAGGGTGCTCCTCTTTGGCCCCAGAGGAAGACAAGAGTAAGAGCAGTTCTCCATCCTGCTATCTCACATCTCACCCAGCCCCAGATGAGGGCAGTACGTTCTATGATCTTTTAGGGTTAAATTTCCCAAAATTGTCCTACCATTTGCACAAGTGAAAACAAGAAAATGGAATGAGCCATTGTCTTCATGTAATCTGACGTGCACAAATTTTCTGTAAATGCTGCAGATATGTGGACCCCAGCCATTGGAAACCCAGGTCAACAGCAGACTGAGTGGACGACAGTGCCACGTATGCAAGACAAAGAGGAAGAACTTAGAAAGCCCAGGAGAAGAGCGAACAGAACACAAGTGGGAAGTGATGATGGAGAGAGGGGTCAGGGGAGGGCTGAGGAATGGCAGGTGGGACTCACTGTCAAGGAAAAGGGCAGTAAAGTGGAAGTGGGTAAAATCCATGGAGCTGGATTTATTCTGATTTTCAATAGAGAAAGAATCTGCTTCCTGAGTCCCAGTTTGATAACCTGGGAAAATATCTCTGCTTTTTCAAGCTATAGTATCCATTTACTGAAAGAGTAAAGAAGACCTCATTAATTCATTGAGCAAACACTTTCACTGTGTCCTCAGTATCAGGTCCTGTGCTGGGTACCATGACACAGAAGGTAAAGACATGATCTCAGCCTCGAGGAAGATATATTCTGATGGGCAGATGGGCCTGGCACAAGTATCTCCATGAGAAGTTAGAAATGGTCAACGCTAGCAAAATGGAGAAGAGAAGAAATTGAGAAGGGGGCATTGTAGGCAGGATGCAGGAATCCCCTCAGAAGGCATCTTCTCATGAGGCTAGATGTGAGGTGGGCCTGGTGGGTTCTACACATCACAGAAGTGTTTGTAGCCTTCATTTAGCTCTACCTGGATCTCCACAGCCCACGTCATTCTCTTATTGGCATATCACATCATAAACTCTAAGTCTTCAGTTGCAAAGGGAAAGAGGGAACAGGTTGGGACACCCAGCCATCCGCAACCCTTCATGCCCTATGGCATGATCTTCACATGGCAGCAGCTGGCATGTGTTGCTAAGTACCAGGAACCATGCTGAGTGCTTTCCTTGTATGATCTTATTGAATACTCATGCCCTCTGCAGAGGGAGACCCTAGCTGAGGCCACATGAACAGAGGCTGAATGAGGCCAAGGAGCACGCCCTGCAAGCATTTGGGGGAAGAGGGTGCCAGGCAGATGGGAGAGTAAGGACAAAGGCTCTAAGATGACAGCATATTTGGAGTCTGAAGAAAAGCCAGGAGCCCAGCATGGGCTAGGTAGAGAGAGCAAGGGGATGGGCCAGAGAAGCAGTGGGAGCATTACCCTAGTGCTGGAAACTGCTAGGTCACTGCAAGGACCTGGGCAATGACTCTGAGAGAGATGAGAAGCCATGTAGAGAATTTGACAAGAGCAGTGACATGATTTTATCTGAGCTTTGGAAGGATTGATATAATGTAATTTAGACCTCAAGACACTTTTCAAAGGGTTATTTGGCTGCTGTGTTTTTAACAGACTTGGGGCAGAGGAGTACAGGTGAGGGCAGAGAAGCCAGTGAGAAGCTACTTGTAAAATACAAAGCATCGTGCAAGGCACAGAGTGGGCATGAGTGCTTAGAGGAGGACGTTATCATGGCCAACCATGGGTTGACGTACTCAACCCAAGCTGGGTGTGGCTAACATGAAGAAGACTGACAGCCGATCTGTTCCATGGCCTCTATATGGTAAAACACAGTTTTCCTTTGCTAAGTGTTTATCGAATAAATGAATAAGTCACCCCCTGTGTAATTCAGTTCTAGTGGGGAGACCAACAGGGCAACAACTGAGATGTCACAGCAGGGCACCAGAGGAGGGGGCAGAGAACTTTTCTGGGGAGACAAGTGAGATGTGAGCAAATGCTTCACAATGGCAGTGAAATTGAGATGGGCCTTGAGGAGTGCATAGGAGTTTTCCAGGCAGATGGGATACCAAAGACACACCACAAAACGGCAGCTCTAGCAAATGTGCAGAGACAAGTGTGTGAAAAGTTTACAAACTCATGAAATTGTTCTGTACCTGGAACATAGTAGGTGCTCAGGACATATTTGTGGCATGAATAAATGGTTGCTATGGGACTAATTGGATGCATGGTTGTGAAGACAGCCCAGGGCCAAGCACAGGTGGGCTGTTCCTAGGAGCACTTTCCTAGGTACTTAAATGGAAATTGATGGGAATATCATGTGTCCTTTAAGCAAATCTGGGGTGAGGGAATAATTGCATTTTTGTCATTGCTGTATTCAAAATGCAAAATTAGGACATGAAACAGAGTAAAAGATATTCACTAGCAACTGTACATTTCTATATCAAGCCCCAGCTTCTCTCCCTGAGTCCTGGGCTCTAATACCCCAGTGCAGTTATCCACTTGGATATTCAATATTTACCACATACAAGGAAAAACTCCTTATCTCCCACTCAGACATGTGCCTCCCCTGCAGTAGTAGATATCCTGGTACTCACAAATATCTGACTCATATCCCCTTCTTGGTGCACAGTTTGTCTCCCGCGACTGGTTCTGGGCAGGGAGCAAAGAACCAAAGTGACATGTGTCTCTTCTCAGCCAGAGCATAGAAGAGGGGCTGTGGGATCTCCATGCTGTCATCCTTTCCACACTGCAGTCACTTACATGGCCACATGCCCTAGAAGGCACAGCTGCCAGATGGTGTCTCTGCACCTGCACTGAATAAAAGCATGAAAACAAATATTTGTTGTATTAAGGTATTGCAACGTGGGGGGTTATTTGTTACTGCAGCACAACCTGTCCCCGCTGATGAATACACCATGTCTTGCACAGTCTTCATTAATAGTGCTGCTCAGTTACTCAGGCCAAAACCTATGATGCCCCTCTTTCGTGTCCCAGCCTGACACACTTTTCTGACCCATCGCTAAGTCCCGGCAGATCTACCTTCAAAGTGTTTCTGGAACTGAGTGTTTATCACTATCTCCATCCCACCCCGCCTGGCAAAGCACCAGCAATGCTCCCTGGGAGGACTGGAGCAGCTCATCCACTGATCCTTCTGCTTCTCCTCTCATCTCCACATAGAAGCAAGAGAGACTTTTTCCAATATTTACTATTTCTAATTTTCCTTGCTTATGGTGACCCACTGTCTTGAGAACAGATCTGAATTCCATACTGTCGCCTGCAAGGTCCTGTGTGCCTTGGCTCCACATTGCTTCTTCAGTCCCATCCATGACAATTAATTACACCCTGTGCTGATTCCTTCCCCTGTCACCCTTGCCTCCTTGATGGCCCTCCCACCTCAAGGTCTTTGCACCAGTTGCTCCTGTTACCTGCAGTGCCCTCTCCACCAGCTCTTCCCACACTTGACAACTTCTCTTCATCTCTTCTCAACTCCTTAAAGAGGTCTTCCTGGTACCCCTTTGCTAAGCCAACCATCCTCTCTCCCCAGTAATGCTACATCATATTTTGTTCTATTATCTTCACAAAACGTACCTCCAATGGAAGCTACCTTTTCTTGTGCTTACTGAATTTTTGACCCTGTGTCTCTATCAGAATATTGTATTCACTAGACCCCCAGCACCTAGGAACAGTCTTGGCATATAGTAATCTCTCCATATATGGTCAATGAATGATTGAACAAATGAATGAATCTACTAGCATAAGCTTAGCTGTTGGTAGAATAAAATGAGACTGCAGCAAACTTCATTGAAAATGATGACTTCTTGGACCTGCCATTGTGTTACGATTCTATTCCCTCATCCAAGATGAAGAAGGATAAGAAAGGAAAGGAGGGAAGGAGAGAGAATAAGAGTGAGAATAAAAAGGCATTGTTCATGATCCTGTTCGGGGTGCCTCTCATGCCTGACAAATAATGAATTAGAGAGAGATCAGAACATCCAAGACCAAAACAGTCATTAACTGCCACTCCCCCCAGACCCCCTCCCAGAACATGCCGGCTGCCAGAAGCCGGCCCAGACAGTCCAGTTAGGAAACAAAAAGATGGAACAGAAAGGCCTCTTTGAGCAGCCTGGTTATTAAGAGCTCTAGACAGGGAGAGAGAGTGTGTGCAGCTTAACTCAAACATTTGTGCTGAAATGTAAAAAACAATTATGACATTCAATTATTCCATTAAGTGAAATTAACCATTCTTCTTGTTCTTTGAAAAGACCAAAAGGAAGCACAGATCTGAATAATTAGGTCAGTGAAGAATTGTGAAGAAAGGATGTCTGGACTTTTATTTTCATTTGAAAGTAGGAGGAGGATTTTGCGTTCGGGCTGTGTGTGTGTGTGTGTGTGTGTGTGTGTGTGTGTGGTGTCCGTTTGCTCTAAGAACGCCTTTGAATTCCCGGGGTGGTCATATGCGAGACTCTGCCCTGGCAGGTATGGCCAAGTCTGGATCAAGGAGTGGCATTCCCACTTTGATGTTGACTGTCACGCTCGGCTGCTTGACGATCTCTTTGGCTGCCTGCAAGTCTGTTGTCCTGGGCGACCAGGTAAACCCGGCTGGGAATGCAGACCCTGCCTCTCAGTCCTCCTTGGCATCCCTTGCAGAGGAGAGATATGTAGGTGGAGACTTTTCTCCTTGTCTTTCAAACTCCCAGGAGGGATCTTCGCCCCTAAGAATCATCTGCTGAGGCTATGTTACCTGGTGGCACATCCGGACGACACATATGCATTTAGCTGTACGCTCACACGTGTGTGTGGACATGCACTCACATACCACACACATGGCTCAACTGTGAAGACAGGGAGTGAGGATGGAGTGCAAAGACAAGGGCCACCACTGAGACCCCTGGTGTGTTAGTGAGCCCGTGACCTCTGTGTCAGTAGCTACAAATAAGGCTGTGCTAATATCCACCTGACCTGGGGTGTAGGCATTAAGGAAGCCACCATATCTGCCCTCCAACCTGCATCTGACTTTCCACAGTGTGGCTTCTCCGAAAAAACATTATTTTATTTTTCATGATGTCATTTGCCTGCAAATATTAAGTATCAATACCATGTGGGTTTTTTTGTTTGTTTGTTTTGTATTTTTTAATCATCTGTTGAGTGGTCCATTGCTCCAAGGATACTTGGGACATCAAGCCTGCTTATCTGTGATAAGGGCCTCTGCAGTTTGTTCTAACAGCCTGCCCTGTGATAGATCCATAAGCGTATAATGTTAAATTATGCTCTGGACATTCCTTTTAAAAAGCTTTTTTTATGATAGTGGTAAAACACACATAACATAACATTTGCCATTTTAGCCATTTTTAAATGTACAGTTCAGTGTCATGAAGTGCATTCACATTCTTAGGAAGCCATCACCACCATCCATCTCCAGAACTTCTTTTTATCTTCCCAAACTAAAACTCTGTCCTCACTGAACCATAACCATCCATTCCATTCCCTCCCCACCCCAGCCCGTGGAAACCACCAAGCTACTTTCTGTTTCTACGAATTTGCCCACTCTAGATGCCTCGGGTAAGTGGAATCAAGCAGAATTTGTCTTTCTCTGGCTGGCTTATTTCACTTAGCACAATGTTTTTAAAGTTTGCCCATGACATAGGATGTATCAGAACTTCTTCCCTCTTTAAAGCTAGATAACATTCCATTATATGTATATACCATATTTTCTTTAGCCATTCATCCATCAATAGACTCTTGGGTTGTTATGGGCTATCGTGAATAATGCTTCTATAAACATGGATGTACAAATATCTGTTGAAGTCCCTGTTTTCAATTCTTTTGAGTATTAAAATGATTTTTCAAGGAGAAAGAAATAAAATATCATTTTCTATTCAGTGTATTCAACTAGTGTGTTATCACAGAAAGTGGATGTTCTTTGCATTCAAATAAAACATGGATTGAAATTTTGGTTGTTAAAAATTAGAAGAATTGTCTATTTAAATAAATTAAATTATTTAACTTCTCCAAGATTTACTTTCTTGACAAGCAAAATGGAAAAGTTCTTTCCAACTCAGAAAGGTAGTTGTGAAAATTGAATTGATGATCAGTTTCAAGACAAAAAAATACCAAGAATAATGGAGGAAGACAAACCAGGGGAACTTTGACTAAGAATCTGCCTAAAGATGGGCCCCTTCCACTCCCACACTCCAGCCCTGGACCTGGGTCCTTCTTGACCTCAACCCTCCGAAGAGCCAAGAACCAAATTCCCAGCTGGTAGGTGGCCCACTCCAGCTTGGGATAGCCCCAGTCACCTCTGAAAGCATTTCTTCCATTTGACCACAAATCGGTGTCCCTGTGGCTTCTACCCACTTGTGATCCCAATCTCTCCTGGTGAGGTTTCAGAAAATAAGTTCATCCTCCTTCCATAGGTGGGCAAAGAAGCCAGGAGAAAGTGAGGGGGTCATAGACAGCAACAGGGGAGATTCCAAGGTTGCATGCAGAAGCAGGCTATGAAGTGACCTGCCAAGTTTGGTGAGGAAACAGAATTTGAGACCCTGTGAGCTGGGTGGACAGGACTCAAGGAAAGAAAGAAATAGGCTGGCAGTGGAGACCTGGGAGGTTAACGCCTGGGCTGGCGGCTGCAAGACAGTCACCCTCCCACATCGTCAGGTACAGGGAGTGGGAAGAGATTCATGGGAATGGGAATGGGTGGACTTTCAGAGCCCAGGGATGGGCAGAGCTGAAGAGCTGATAACTTGAGCCTGGAAAGTTCTAACCATCACACAGTGGGGCCCAGAGAATGTCAATCACAGCAGGTGGAGAGCTTCTCCAGCCTGAAAACAAGTGCTTGATGAGAGGACAGAAGGAGCTGGGAAGTTCCAGGGAGAACCACTCTTGAGTGTTCACAGAAAAAATCTGTGTTTCACCAGAGACCAGTTCACACTAGGCCAATATAAGCAAGTCAGAAAACAGGACCTCTGGAAGGTAGCCAGCCTATCACAGATACATGGAACAGAAGAGGGCCTGAATGCCTATCTAGTGAGGCAGTAATTGCTGGCTAGAAATCTCTACAGGGTGGGCCAGTCTGGTTCTATTGGTAATCTAGTCATTAGTATGCCCATTTTGAAGGTATGTAAAATTAGGCTTAGAGAGGCTGATGGGCCCATGCAAAGTTTTTTAGGACAAAAGAGCTTGTGTTCTTTTCCTCCTTCCCACGCCTTCCTACTGTCTAACATGCAGTATTTGTGACTCAGCAAAAATGTTGTGACAATCAGGAGTAATGCCCAAAATACTTAACATGGGGAAAGCAGACAACCAGGTAATCAGAGAAAATGAGACTGAAGGGCTAAAGCAGGGTCCCAGAGATGCCCTGCAAGGCTGAACATTAGCCCTTCAGTTGCTGGATGGTGGATCCCAGGGAAGAGGCTGGGTGGATAGGGCAGCACTTACGGACCTCAGAGAGTGGCTAGTTACCAACCAATTTTGTTGAGAAGAATTTGGGTATTTTAGCAGCCAATAGAGAGGTGCCTGTGTACATGTCAGCCCTATCATAGAAAAGGTATTAGGTGTACCCTTCAGTGTCAGCTGGGACCCAGCCCCAGACTAATGGTAGTAAAATTCTGAAATCTTATGCCCTCGAAAGCTCCTCCAGTCCTGGGGATTGCAATGACCAGGGAATTGTGGGCAACCCCTGCCTTCTGGGTCACTAGGCTACCAGGGCACTCAGAGCCTTCAGCTGGTCCCCAACCTGGACCAGCCCTCTGGGGCCTGGGCCAGCTCACAGACTCAGAAAGACCTGGGCTAAGCCTCAGGAACCCAGGTGTCCATGCCACATCGGATCCTGACCTGCTAATGTTCAAGGAGGCAGCTTCACGCCTGCAGATGTTCAGAGCTCTGAGAAGAAAATGCGACTGCTTCTCATTCCTGGGCCCAGGTTCTCTCCAGGGAAAGCAACTGTGTGAAGGCTGGGAGAAGTCGGGAGGTGTTAGACCAACCCCAAAGTCAGCAGGACCAGTAAGAAGTTCTCAGCAGGCAATCCTGCAATGCTTAGGGGATAAATGGCTCAGGGACGTGTCAATGGCATTTCCTCTGAAAGAATCACACACACCCACACACAGGCTCACACATGCTCACTCACACTCACACACACACGCTTACTCACAGTCACACGTGCTCACTCGCACTCACACAAACCAGCTCACTCACACCCACATAAACTCATGCTAACACCCGCTCACTCACACGCACAGACCAGCTCACACAGACTCACACATGCTCACTCACACATGCACTCATGCTCACACTTGCTCAGTCGCATTCACACACACACTGGCTCACTCACACCGGCTCACTCACACACTCACACCTGCTCACGTGCACTCACACACAGTTATGCTCACACCCACTCACTCACACTCACGTTCATTCACACCCACACATGCTCATTCCTGCTCACTTGCATACACATACGGTCACACCTGCTCACTCACACACGCCAACTCACTCAAACCCACACACACTCCCACTCACACACACACTCATGCTCACACCCGCTCACTCACACACATGCTCACACACTCACACCCAGTCACACTCAGTCATACACACATTTATCCACACATACACCCACTCGTTCACACTCACCCACACACTCACTTGCTCACTTGCACTCACCCACACACTCACATTCACCCCTACACACTCATGCTCACACCTGCTCACTAACACACACCTGCTCACTCACACCCCCCACACACTCACACACCTGCTCACTCACACTCACCCACATACTTACACTCATACCTGCTCACTTACACTCACCCACACTCGTTTGTTCTCACCCACACAGTCACACTCACATTCACCCACACACACTTATACCTGCTCACTCACGCTCACATACACTCACTAATTCACACTCACCCACACCTCTGCTCACTCACAGTCACCCACACACATTCACACCTGTTCACTCACACTCACCCCCCCAAGACACACACAGGCCACAACTCAGTCATTCACACACATGCACACACCTCACATACACATTCCATTCACACTCACACACAAACACTATATGAATTTCCTATCCCTGCTATAACAAATTACCACAGATTTAGTGACTTAATACAAATATATTGCCTTTCTCTTCTGGGCATTCAAATCCAACATGTGTCCCTCTGGGCTAACATCAAGTGCTAGCAAAGCCGCCCTCCCTCTGGGGGATCCAGTAGAGAAGCCCTTTCTCACCTTTCCAGGCTTCTGGAGGTGGCCCACGTCCCTCAACTCTGGGCCCCTTCCTCCATCTTCGCAGCCAGCAGAGGTAGGGCAGGCCTGCCTCCGGGGGCAGCACTGTGGCCTCCTCCCCCACCTCCTGCTCTCAGTCTTAAGGACCCTTGTGATGACATTGGGCCCACCAGGATCACCCAGGATAGTCTCCATTTTAAGGTCAGCCCTTGGGAAACCTTCATCCCACCCGCAGTCTTCATTCCCCTTTGCCTTGCAGCGTGTGACAGAGCCCTCGGTTCTAGGGATTGGGACGTGGATGTCTTTGAGAGGCCATCACTCTGCCAATCACACACACACACACACACACACCGCACTCACTTCACACACACACTGCACTCACTCACATACACCTTTTTGAAAAATTAAAAGCAAAGACTTGGATGATTCTACTTTGGGTTTTTCCGAGCCCAAAGCATTCGACAGTAAGTGGCCACTTCTGTCGCATCCCGCACAGCCACACACTCCATCCTCAATCCGTTCTCTCTTTTTTTACAAAAATACAAACAACAACAACAATCAGAAAAGCAAGCTGTTGTCGCCTGCACTCTCTGGTCGGTCCCTCAGGTCTGGCTTTGGAAGGCTGAGCCAGAGCGTGTCAGAGCCAGCCAAAAAAGGACTCTGGAAGAACCCAATCTCTCTAGTAGTGTCGAGAAGCCAGGCTCTGAGACAGCAAGGGGCTGTACTTAATGCTTGGGGGACGCAGGACAGAGGACTTTGGAGGAAGCATATGTAACCCGATCAGGTCAAAAAGATGGACATCTCAGCGTCCGAGGACCCTCTAGCCATGCACAGCTCCGCCCTGTGCAGACACAGATTCCAAAGCCCAGATTTGAGGGCCTCTGACCTTTCTGGGCAGGGATGGCGATGTCAATGGTCTCTGCAGGCAGAGGTAGGCAGTGGGGCCCGGGACTGTGCTCATGACACAGTTTATTAGGACCAAGGGGCTGTTGTCAAAGCTCATCCCATTATGCAGATGAGAAAATTAAGGCATGGAGAGAAAAGAAACTTGCTGGAGTCCACACAGCTGGTGACAGAGGCACAGCTAGAGCTCGCCGTTCTTGGCACCTTGACTAAGGTCTTCATCTCTGTATCATACTCCAGGCTCACACTCTTTCTCCACAGTCTAAGCTTGCTGGAAGTCAATCCATCACTTCGTTCCCTAGGCTGGTAATAGAATCTGTGTCTCCACGGCCTCATCTGTGCATGCATGGGCTCAGGGCATGCTCTGTGGCAGACCTGGGGTGGGCACTGAGGTCTTGGAGATGGATGGGGCATAGCAGTGGCATCCCCTTCTGCAGCCTCACAGTCCTATTGTGAGACATAAGGGACCAGTGCTGGACAGAGGCGGCAGCCTTTCCAGAGAAGTGAAGTAGAACCAGTGGAGTAAGGGGACAGCAGTGGGAACTTGGGAGTCTGGCAAGCCTGGACTGAAATCTCTGAAGTCACATGCCAGCTGTGTGATGTGAGGTAAGTTCCTTCACCTCTCTGAGCACCAGTTTTCTCATAGTACACCTGATTCATGCGAGTATCATGAATTTAATGTACTTCAATTAAATGCACCTCTTACTCTCCCACATACAGGATGTCTGAGTCCACACATCTGAGTGTGGCCTGACTGACCACCCATGGCGGGTGCTGAGAAGCCAGAAGAGAGAGTGGAGAGAGTCAGACAGCTGGCGGTGCCATTTCCAGCCATGACTTTTGCAGGCACCATCCCAATGTGGTGAGCACACCTTTGAAGACACGGCCTCTCCAGGCTGTCTCAAAGTGAAACATAGAATCTTCACATGACCCTGCAATTCCACTTCTCGGTATAAGCCCAAAAGAACACAAAGCAGGAACAAGAACAGATATTTGTATTTCCGTGTTTATAGCAGCATTATTCACCAAAAGGCAGAAATAACCCAAGTGTCCATAGACTGATTAATGGATAAACAAAATGTGGTATATCCATACAATGGAACACTATTAAGCCTGATAAAGGAAGAAAATTCTGACACATGCGGCACCGCAGATGAGCCTTGAAAACATTGTGCTAGTGAAATAAGACAGTCATCCAGGACAAATCCTGTGTGATCCCACACATATGAGGTTCCCAGAGTAGTTAATTCATAGAGACAGAAACTGGAATGGCGGGACCAGGGTCTGGTGGAGGGAGGATGGGGAGCGAGTGGTTAATGAGTGCCCTGCTTCTGTCTGAGATGATGAAACAGTTCTGGAGATAGTCATGGTGATAACTTCACAACTTTGTATATGTGCTTAATGCTACTGAACAGTACAACAAAAATGGTGACAGTGGCAAATTTTGTTTTGTATAGTTCACCATGATAATTTCTTTAAATAAAGGAAGCAATGGCCATTAACACAGAGTGGCCCTGCCAATTAGTAAGTCAGGGATGAGTCAGAGGGATGATTTTCTTCCACAAGCTAGGGGGTGTAGTGAGGGGCAGCAGGAAGGTGCAATCACCGTAGCAAATGTGCCCTCCTGCAGGGCTGAGACCCAAGAGCAAGGGTGGGCCCCTCAACCTCCACCCGGCATCATGCATCAGGCTCTTCTCAGCAGTGGTGAGGAAGCACACGAGCTCAGAGCTGCATTCTTGCTCCTCTCCCTCACGGGAGCTTTCCTTCCATCTAACATCAGCGGGCACCATAACTCAAGGGGCCATATTGTCTCCCACCTCCACACACTCACAGGGCCGATTTCTTCTTGCAGGAACACTATCCCATCTCTTCTTCAACTGAGCGATTTCTCCTAGACACTGGCCTAGTGTCACCTCTTCCAGGAAGACTTCCCTGGATGGACCTCCCAAGTCAGCTGAACCTACCCCCTTCTTCCCCTCTTACCCCATTCTCATTGCCATCTGATTACTCGCCACACCCAACTATGCATACCCATGTTTTCTTCAGGATCTCCCACTAAAGCAAGAGTTCCCTGAGGTCAGGGACCCCATAATATTTATGCAGTAAAATCAGCACCTGCATGTTCCCTGGCACAAAGTAGATATTCACCAACAGTTTGTGGGTGAATGAATGAGGGTGAATGAATGAGGGCCTTTTAGTAACAGCAATAGTCATTGGAGGGCTGCTTCCTCTGAGCAGGACTATTGTCGTTTAATGTCCACAGCAGCTCAATTAGAGGAGACCTGTCTTGATTGTCAGTTTGCAGACAAGAATGGTGAGACTTAGGGAAGTTAAGTAACTTGTCCAAGGTCACCCCAGCTTAGCACATTTTGAATGGATTGAAAGGTACATGACTGCCCAGGAATTGGTTCTGGTTTATTTTCCAGCTTGCACTTTGAGATTTAGAGACATCACCAAATCACCACTCCTGCCCCAAGTTCTTCAGGTGCCTACGCTGGGCTTCCAAATTGCCTTTATTTTTATCCCATTCGAAATGATGATCAAGAGCATGAGATTTTGAGTCACAGAGATCTAAATTACAACCCGGTTCTCCCCACTCACTTGGGCAAATCAGCCTCTCAGATACTCGGTTTCCCCATCTGTAAAACAGGGATCACGAGGATTAAGACACCGCACTCCTGAAGCCCTTGGCACATGGAAAATTAGCAGTGAATAATCATGCTAACCATAAGTGGGAACGGGATCGGGGATCTTTGGGGGTTCAGGCAGGAAGAGCTGGCCTGGCTGGCCATTCTCACGAGACTGATCAAGGAGGAATGACAAGCAAAGATGTGCGTTGGAAAGGAGAGTGCTAACATCGAGACAGGAGAGTGGGCCCCTGATGGGTTTCCAGCCTGGGATGCCGGAGACAAGAGTCCAATTCCAAGGTTTAGGGTGGAACGGGGCTGGAGAACCAGGAGAGCAAGTCAGAGCCAGGGAGCATGAGCAGAGAGGAGTTTGCAGATTCCAGAGACAAGAGGTCATGCCCAAGGCTGAGCTTTTCCTTTTCTGAGCTCCAGCACGCAAGTGCATGGGTGGGCTGGTCCCTCTTAGAGGGGCCTGTGACAGGAAGGACAATTTTCCCCACAGCTGGAGACTCTTGGCGTGCTGGAATTCAATCCCCTGTTGAATGGGTGGTCTGCCTCTCCCCCACCCTCCCTGCCTTTCTTCCTAAGTTGGAATATGTCTTTGCAGCCTTGGATCCAGCCAACACAGAGCACTTTCCTTGCTGCTAAAATTAACACATGAGAAATAACTAGAGATAGAAATCACAGTTCACTTAACACTAATTATTTCCCAGGAAGTGAAGATTAATATTGAACTTGTTACTTGCAGTGAAAAGAGTAAACACACACAGGCACACACCCCTCCAAGTAAATGTGAAGATCTCATCCTCCAATTGCTCCAGACCCAGCACACCGAGCAGCCCTGGTGGCCAAATATTTCCAAGTTGATTATTATGATCAAATCCAGGAATTTGGGGATTTTTGCGCCTGGCCCCGCGGTAGAGACACACCACAGAGGAGACAGGAGTTCTGGGGTAACTGAGTGAGCTCCGGGGCTCCAGCGTTCCCCAGGAGAGTGTTCAGTCTTCCCTAAAGGGCAATGGGTGTTGGGGCTTTCCTGCCCCCATGTGCCCATCAGCTCTGGAAGAAGCTCTGATCCCAGGCCTCTTGTTCAGACCATGAGGAACAGAGTGAATGGACAAGTGGATGAATAAATGGGTGTGTGAACACATGAGTTGAGTGTGAATAAAGCACTGGCTGCTTATGTAGCTCATCCAGGACCACAGAGTGAGCAGAAGCAGAACTGACAGCCAGAGGTTCCTGGTGCCCAGTTCAAATCTCAGTCCACACCTCCACAGCCACTTCTGTGTGCAGCCAGCAACCCAAGCCAGGCTTTGTGGAGGAAGCAGCAACGAAAATTTAGCAGCATTTTAAAGGGGGATGATTATTCTAGCAGAAGTGTCAGTAGGAGCTAAGATTTGAAAGCAGGAAAGATGGAGACATAAAGATGAAAGAGTGAGAGGTGTGTGTATGTGTATGCGTGTGTGTATGTGTATATATGGGCACGTGCATGTATGTATGTGTGTACATGTATGTATATGTGTGCATGTGTGTATGTGAATATATGGGCAGGTGCATGCATGTATGTGTGTACATATATGTATACTTGTATGCATGTATGTGTGTGAATGTGTGTATGTTTTCCCTCTGGCAAGAGCAAAAAGAATTGGGAGGGGTAATATTAACCACATTTGTGTGGTAAGCTCTGGGATTTACAAAGGACTCCATACCATTATCGGGGGGAGTCTCACAGCAGCTCTACATGGTGGGTATCTGCCCCACTGTAGATCAAGGAACCTGATGTGCAGGGAGGTAAAATAAAATGCCCAGAGCCCCAGAGATGGAGAGTCACTGAACAGAAACATGAGCTCCAGCTTCCTGAGTCCATACCAAGAGCTCTCCCCACCCCAACAGCTCAAGTTCCATAGAGAGTGGAGAGGTGTTTCCAGAGCCTCTCCAAGAAGCCGGTGGCTGAGGCTGGCAGCCTCTTTGTCACTGGCGAGTCCCATCAGGATCCCAATGATAACAGCGAGATGCAGAACTCAGCTTCTAGGAGCTGCTCACCTCATGAAAGCACCTCCTGGTATTCAGCGGCCAGCATAGGAAGATGGGAGCGAGACACTGGGTCTTACATCATCAACTGCACATTTCTTGTCTAAACTTCCTAGCGACCATGCCTTACTCCACAGACCTGAGACATTTGTGTCCCAAATTTATTACACCAAACTGCCAAGCCATGGTGTTACCAGGCCAGCAGATACAATTCAAATTCAGTTGCAGGCTAAGATGTTACAGCTGTCTTCCCCTGCCCTGCAAAGTCTCGACAGGCACGAAAATATACCTCCTGTCCCTCACCCCCCGACTCAGTAAGAGGCTAGTCCCTGAAGGCTACCGACCTGAGCAGTAACCTGTGAATAAGGTTGAAGGCTGTGGCCCATCATCTCAATGTGAGCCCATGTGGGACACACGTAGAGAGACTGAAGCAAGGGATTCACCTTCTCAGGTCCTACCAGCACAGAGACCGTGTGACAGGGCTGTCAAAGACCGAAGACCTGGCTTTGGAGTTACCCAGATGCAGGTTCAAATCTCAGCTCCACCAAGATCCTTCCGGGTGCCCCTGTGTTTATTCCTTAACCTTTCAGCTTCTGCCACTTCATCTGTCATAAGGTTGTCATTCATCTTGCAAAGGTGCCCTGGGGAAGGGAAAAGCAGGCATAAAATGCCCAGCACACTGCACAAAGGCCGGTTTCCTTCTCTTGCGAGACTGTGTACTCAGTCTTGGAGGCACTCAACATCCCCTAGACAGGAACATCACCTTGGTGGCAATGGACACAACATGAAATAAATGCCTTAAGGTTTGGAGAGTTACGTTCAACACAACCCATTCTAAGAAGGCTGGATGTCTATAAATGACTTTTGAGGAACTTTGGACACTTCTCAGTCCATACCTACAGGATCCCATCAGCCTCTCTCTTGCCTTTGGGAAATGGGAAATTGAGCATTCCTTCCTGTACTGGATGGGAGAGACCCTGGGAAGATATGGGGACTTAGCGTGAGTCAGTCTTTCTTTCTTTCTTACTTTCTTTCTTTCTTTCTTTTTGAGATGGAGTCTCGCTCTGTCACCCAGGCTGGAGTGCAGTGGTGGCGCGATCTTAGCTCACTGCAACTTCCGCCTGCTGGGTTCAAGCAATTCTCCTGCCTCAGCCTCCCGAGTAGCTGGGACTCCAGGAGCGTGCCACCATGCCTGGCTAATATTTTGTATTTTTAGTAGAGATGGGGTTTCACCATGCTGGCCAGGCTGGTCTCGAACTCTTGACCTCTTTATCCACCTGCCTTGGCCTCCCAAAGTGCTGGGATTACATGTGCGAGCCACCGCACCCGGCCAGTGTGAGTTTCTTGAAGAGGAGATGGCTGTGTGAGTCTTGGGGAAGGTCATGGCCGGCAGGGCACACACTGAGACCTGCTCCACCCCTCTCTCTGCTGTATGAATTTTCTTAATACCTTATCTAGGAGTAAAGTGACCCCCGTTTGCACACTGTATTGATGGAGGCTCACTGTTTCTCAGTAAGTCCACTTCATACTTGGCCAGATGGCCGTTAGAAAGCTGGCATTTAGTTGGAAAAGGTGGGAGCAAATGCTTGAGACAGTAAGCAAATAAAAATTGCATACTAAATTTGATAATCTTTGTGTAAGGATAGCACATATACACAGCAAAGACTCCCATGATATACTAAAATGGTAAGTTTTTAATCAATGAATGGCAGGATGCAGTATGATTGTAAGCTTTCTGATCTTTGCCATATTTCCAGTGTCTCCTCATAAATATCTGTTTACTTTCATAATCAGGAAAAACATTAGCATTAATCAAAAGAAGCCATTTCTGACATCAAACAGATAAATGCCTTTCTAAAACCCAGGTATCTTGATTACTGGCCCCATACTCTTATTAATAAAAGGAATAATTTTCACAGACACATTTGTGAGCTACTCCTATTCTGCCGGGATGACTCACAAGATAATTAGCAGGTGAACTTCAACATATATAATTAAAGGGTGACCCTTACAGGAAAAAGAGATTCTTTACTTTATATAAGAAATTGCCAGGGGTACATTAAGCTTGCACACATACAGTGAGTCACAGACCAATAAAAGGAGAGACCAAGGCCTCAATTAGACCAGAAGAGTATTAAAGTATGTGGTTTTGGTGGCTGGTCACCTTAATCTCTCAGTGCCTCAGTTTCCCTATTTATAAAGAGAAGAATGTAGACTATATGATTTCTAAAGGACTTACCAGCTCTTTAGGAGTGTGATAAGGACAAAAAAAAATTAAAAGATAATTGCATCCAAACACTGAAAGAATGGAAGTTACTGATCAATAACTGGACCTCCCGCCCCTAAGAATCTCCATCTATGACAACCAAAAGACTCAGACCAAGCAGAAACTTAAAAATTAAACTAAATTAATACACATAAACAGAAACTGGTAAGCACAATAGCAAGAACTAAGAGCCATTGCCCCTAGAAGATCAGATAAGAACAAAGACAAAACAGCTCTGAAATGTTAATAAGAGCCAGGAGAAAATAGACTTCCAGCTGTAAAAACCACACACACACACATGCACAAACACCTCACTCAAATACAGCACAGAAGGCTTCCCCTCTTGATACACACATCCACTTATTAAATAATAGTAGAAAATCATAGCACCAGAAAGGTCTTCAGAGATCACCCAACAACTGCTTTTCAGTATTTCTTTCAATTCATAAAACCCTTCCTTCAAATAAAATCCCACATAGCACACAGTTGAAAGCAGACCTGCTCTGATTGAAGAAAGGTGCACAGAGACTCCTGCTGGGTGGTACCCACTGGGGATGCCACCAAGTCCCTCTACAGCATCTCTGGTGTGCCACAGAGCACATGTTCAAAGCCACTGGTCTCATCCAGTTTAGAAACCAGGGTTCAAAGAGGAAATGTGACTTGCTTGAGGTCACACAGCAGATTGAGGACTGACCAAGCTCTTCCTATGACATCATGCTGCCTCCAGACCCAAGGGGGGATGAACACACCAGAAGCCAGCTCTAGGGTCTCACCCACTTGCTCATCAATGTCACCCAGCCCTCTCACTTCTCACCCCTGCTAGAGACAGCACTGGATCCCTTCCACCCACAACTAATCAGTCACCTTGTCCTTTTGATTCAGTATTAGTTCTGGGGTAAAACCAAGATATAAGCTTGAACGTCAGGACAGCTCAGCTTCCCTGCTCTTTGGTCCCAGCTCCAGGACTGACCCAAGGCTTCTTGGTTAGAAGGAGCCCGGTTCTCAGAGGTCTCTGGCAGACCCAGCCACATCAGCATCCCTGACTCTCAGTAAACTCAGAACCTGTGCTGAAGCGGACAGTGGGTTCAATCCCTCTATGAAGTGCTCACAATGGTCAGAACTGCCTTGAAAATAATGTCATTATGTCATTTCTCTTTTATCCTTTTTTTCTAAATTGTCATGGTGTTTTGTTTCTTGTTAAAGGATGAACGATGGCTCCTGGTAAAACTGGTGACCCTGGGATTTGTCTCCATATCTTAGCAATCTGTTCTGTAGTTCATCAAAGAAACGGTGAGGCAGTAATGATGCTTTTATTAGCAACCTTTACACTTTGTCAAAATTAAAATGAAAACCCAACATTCATATGTAAATCCAGTTACCTTCTAGGTTCTTCTTATCCTTTATCCCTTCCATGAAATTATAGATTATTAAGAAATGTTTGAAGAGAGGGAGACAGGCTTCAGGCACATGTGAGAGAGGCAGAGCAAGACAAAGGGGGGAGAGAAGGTAAGGCTCTTTGACTTTCACCTTGTCTTTCATACTCAGAAGCATCTCAGTCTGTGCTTCCTTTGCTATTCTATTGTCCAAGACATCTCAGCCCCTGACAGAGCCCGAGTCAAAGATAACTCATGCATTAGGATTCACCAGGGATCCAACGTCTAGGAAAGGACAGCAGAGGGGTGTGATGGTGACAGGACCTCTTGTTTTCAAATATTTCTCTTTGGTGATGCACTATTAGTAACAGAACATGACCATGAACACTCATTGGCAAAAGGGCTTACTTTAAAATTACGCAAAAAAATTTGTGATATGAGAATTGAAAACAAAACAAAAAAGAAAAGAAACAGAAGAAACCATCCAAAGGGCGGAAGCTGCTTCCACTGTCTTTCTCAGATGTGAACTGTGAGCAACCAGTTCACATTGATGAGCAACACATTGCCATGGAAGCCCTGAAGGATGGGAAACTCTGTCCTGGAGGTCATCTGGGAAGGTTTCAGAGAGAATGGGGATGTTTCCAGAAGGACTTTGACAGACCCTTACAGCAGCAGTCCTTGGGATCTCCACCCCATGGCATTCACACCCTTGCTTGATCCTTTCCCCTTGAGAGTCACAGGGACCTGTGACTTTCCCTTGCCATAGAACACAGCGAAGCTGACAGGACGTATGTGACTGTGTGCACATGACTATGGGATTGGGCTACATACAACTGTAACTCCTCTGTTGCAGGGGTCTCTCTCTCACTTTTGTTGGCTGTGAGGAAACAAACAGCCATATTGGGAAACCCCATGTACGAAGAACTATGGGAAGCCTCTAGAACCTAAAGACAGTGATATGGTTTGGCTGTGTCCTCACACAAATCTCATCTTGAATTGTAGTTCCCATAATCCCCACCTGTCATCGAAGGGACCCAGTGGGAGGTAATGGAATTATGGGGGAGGTTACTTCCATGCTGTTTTCGTGATAGTGAGTGAGTTCTCACGAGACCTGATGGTTTTATGAGGGGCTTTTCCCCTCCTTCACTCTGCACTTCTCCTTGCTGCCATCACATAAATAAGGACGTGTTTGCTTCCCCTTCACCTTCCACCATGATTGTAAACTTCCTGAGGCCTCCCCGGCCCTGCAGAACATTGAGTCAATTAAACTTTTCTGCTTTAAAAATTACCCAGTGTTGGGTATTTCTTCATAGAGGCATGAGAACAGACTAATACAGGCAGTCCCCAGCTGATAGTCAGCAAAACACTGAAGCTCTGAGTTCCATAGCTGTAGGGAACTAAATGTTGGCAACAAGTGGGAAGCAGAGCACAATCACGTGAATAGGAAGCAGATCCTTCCCGGGTTGAGCCTCCAGATGAGGCACCAAACTTGCCCAGCTCCTTGACTGAAGCCTCGTGAAACCCGAGGCAGAGGACCTAGTCAAGCTGTGCCTAGTCTCCTGACTCACTGAAACTGTGAAATTATCTGTACACAGTAAATTGTGTTAAGCTACTAAATTTGTAGTTGTTTTTTATGAAGCAATAGAAAACGAATGCAAGGATATTGGTGAAAGAGATGGAATTTGCTGATTATAGGAAGAGGAGAAAATTTCAGGCAAAGGGAATGCATATGCAAAGGCAAAGTAGCAAGAACATATATCGTTTATTTCAAGAATGGTATTGATTCAGGCATTCCTAGAGCAACAAGAAGAGTGGCAAGTGGAAGATAAGAGAGCAACTCAAAGAGGAGTCAAAAGGCACTAATCTCAAAGCCAGTTTTTCTTTAACATGGCCTCATCTCCAATTCACCTAGGAAACCTGTGTCAATCAAAATCTATGGTGCCACCCACAGCAATTCTTCTTCAGGGTGTGTGGAATGAGGCAGAGATAGTTGTAGTTCTGATAAATGTCCCAGGTGAGTCTGATGCAGCCAGTCCATGAAATAGGAGTTGTGGATCACTTCTGCATCAAACAGTTCCCCACAAGAGGTCGCGCAGTAGAAGAGTGACATAAAACATTTATTTTCTGTATGCCTAATCCAGAAGCAGTTTGGAGGATGGCCTAGTGTGGGAAGAGGGGTTGGAGACTACACTCCATGGGTTACCTTGGAGACCATTGCAATGACAGCAATCTGACCAGGGGGTGGCCCTTGGCAGAATCAGTGGTGAGTCAGATGTACGCAGTCAAGGAAAGAGAGATGCAGAGAAGAAAAGAAAGGAGGAAAAAAGGGGAAGAAGGAAGGGATGAGAGGGTGCCGGAGAAGGACGGCAGATTTGTCGGGGGGAGATGATAAAGTACTCTGTTTTCAAGAGCTGAGTTTTGCAAGTGCAGTCTTTTCTGACCCTCATTTCTGCTAACTGGGTCTCCAGAGCTTTGCATATTGACTCTGGCTCTCTTTCCATTGGATCAGCCAAGTGTCCAGACTCCAGGTTTCTGGAACATGTGACCTTCTCCACATGGAGGCCATTTACAGAAGAAACTGCTAAGCCTCACTAATCCCAGCTACTAGGACGGCACTCTTTGGCCATTTCAGACCTGCAATTACTTCTGCACTTAAGTCCATAGATAGATGGTGGAGTCAGGACAAGTTTGAGGAATGCTGGCCCTTCCCCTATGAGTTGTTGGTCTAAAGGCGGACCCCTGGACCCTGCCTTTGAGACTGATTGAGCTGCACACTGGGAAATTGCGTATTTGTTTATTCAGTTAACATTTGCTGAATACATACTGAATGCCCAGTGCTGTTCTGGGCTCTGAGGCTACAGCATTGAACAAGACAGGCGTGTGCTAATTCCACCTTTTCTTGCCTGTGAGACCCCCCCAGAAGTCAAAGATGTTAGAGTCTCCAGGGGCAGGAGAGACGGGAAGAGGTGGAACTATTGCCTTCCGGGCTTACACAGTCTCTGTTCCTTCAAAACTGTCTTTCCTACTAGGGATGTTTTCCAAAGTGGGTTCTCTGGAACCCCTGTTTCTATGGGGTATAAAGAAAAGTCAGACCTGCAAAAAGGAGTTCAATAATAGTCAATGTTATCCATGTAACATTCACTGCATGCCACGCACTAAGCACATTATGATATTAATCTGTCTGATCCCACCAGCTAGTATGATCCTTATTTTAGACCCAGGGAAATGGAGGCATGAAGTATGAAGTTGCTGCCAAAGCTCATAGAGCTAGTCAGTAAGAAAGCTGATATTCAACTCCTGTGGTCAGAACCGAGTATCTGAACTTTCACCACTGCACATCACCAGTTCCACATGGTCAAAGAAGCCAAGAAAACTCTAGGTTAAAAAAAAAAAAGAAAAAAAACTCTAGGTTTAAAAAAAAAAAAATTCCAAGTCAAGCATGTTCCTGCTAAGCATGTTTTCATGTGCTTATTGGCCATTCAGTAGTCTTCTTTTGTGAAGTATCTGTTTGATATTTTGTGCATTTTCATTGGGTTGTGTGTCTTTTTACTATTGATTTGTGGGATATTTTTATATATCCTAGTAATCAGTCTTTTGTAGCTATCATACGTATTGCAAATATTTTCTCCCAGTGCATAGCTTGCCTTTTTATTTTCTTGATGAGCAGAAGTATTTCATTTTGATGAAATGCAATTTATCAGTGTTTTCTTCTATAGTTAGCATTTTCTGTGTTCTGTTAAAGCTATACTTTTTTTTCTGTCCCAAGGTCATAAAAATATTCTGCTTTTTTAAAAATTGTTTTACCTTTTATATTTAGAGATATAATCATTCTTCAATTATTTTTCATATATGACATAAGATGAGGATACAGGTATGTTATTTTTCATATGAATATTTGGTTGTTCCAGTACCATTTTTTAAAAAGAATTTTCTCTGCCGAGCTGCTTTGCTACCTCTGTTAAAAATCAGTTGGCCATGTAAGTGTGCATCTGTTTCTGGCCTCTCTATTCTGTTTCATTTCTACACCATCCTGCCAATACCATACCATTTTGATTACTGTAGCTTTGTTTTTTCTTTTTTCTTCTTCTTTTTTTTTTTTTTAGACAGAGTCTTGCTCTTGTTGCCCAGGCTGGAGTGCAGTGGCGTAATCTTGGCTCACTGCAACCTCCACCTTCCCAGGTTCAAGAGATTCTCCTGACTCAGCCTCCTGAGTAGCTGGGATTATAGGTGCCTGCCACCATGCCCAGCTAATTTTTTTTTTTTTTTTGTATTTTTAGTAGAGACGGGGTTTCACCATGTTGGCCAGGCTGGTCTCAAACTCCTAACCTCGTGATCCTCCCACCTCAGCATTCCAAAGTGCTGGGATTACAGGTGTGAGCCACTGCACCCAGCCGGTAGCTTTTATTATTCCTTAAAAAAAGACACAAAAATTAAAACTATGATGAGATACAACTATGCACTCATCAAAATGGCTGAAATTAAAAAGACTGATAACATCAAATGTTGTCAAGGATACTGAGTAACCAGAACCCATATTTCTTGCTAGTAGGAATATAAAATGGCACAACCACATTGGAAAACTGTTTGGCAGTTTCATAAAAAATTAAAATTATACCAACCTCATGACCCAGCATTTTTACTCCTAGGTATAGACATGAAAACATATGTTCACATATAAACACTTGCACATAAATGTTCATAACTGCTGTGTTTGTCATAGTCAAAGCTGGAAATAACCCACCTGTTCCTCAACAGGTGAACTGATAAACAAACTGCAGCAAATCCATACAATAAAATTCTATCCAGCAATAAACAGGAATGAACTATGGATAAATGCAACAATATCGATTTTACCTACTATATACTTTCATTTATAGAAAGTTCTACAAATGGCAAAGTTATTATAACCCATGATTAAAGGAATTTTATTAGCAATAGTTGTTTCTTGCAAAGGATGTCTGGAAGGAGGCACAAAGAACTCTCTGAAATGAAAGAAGTTTCTTTATCTTGATGAGGTATAGAATATATAGGTGTAGGCATCTAAAAAATCATCAGACTGTATTTTACCTCAATTAAAATATTAAAATAAGTTAAAGACATTTAAAATGCAAAAAGAAATATGAAACAGGTTTCTTTTTTCTTACATGTTATTATATAGCCTGTAGATAAACTAAAATACACTGTAAATCCTTAAGAGAAGACTAAAGCTTGCAAAGCTTTCCAAGTTTAATTTCAGCCATTGTTATGGGTTAAATTTTGTGATGCTAAAATACATATGTTGAAGTCCTAACCCCTAGTATCTCAAAATGTGACCTTACTTGGAAATAGGGTCCTCAATTGACTTTTGAAATGCAAATGTAATCAGTTAAAATGAGGTCAGACTGCAGCAGAGTGGGCCCTAATCCAAAATGACTGGTGTCCATATCAAAAGGGGAAATTAGGACACAGGCACATCTACAGGGAGAACACCAGGTGAAGTTTAGAGCTAAGGTTATGCTGTCCCAAGCCCAGGAACTACCAGAAGCTCAGAGAGAGGCCTAGAACAGATCCTTCTTGTGCCTTCAGAGGGAGCATAGTCCTGCCAACCGCTTGATCTTGAACTTCTAGCCTCCAGCACTGTGGGATAATAAATGTCTGCTGTTTAAGGCGCTTCATTTTTGTGACTTTTTATGGCAGCCCTAGCAAACTAATAACGGCCCTAGAGCCATCGTTTTTCCTTGGTGCCTTCTGGTAACAGAAGACTCTAGATAATGCCCCTTGTTAAAAGGAATAGCTTATTTACTTCATTTCCTTTTCAAAGAGATAATAGCACCTATTGTGATATGGGCAGCTGCACCTACATAAATGAAGATTTTTTTAAAAAAATTGTAATAGCCCCGACCCGTGTCATGAACAAACAATGTTCCAATGAGCTTTCTCATGTTGCCTCCAAAGTCTAGAAGGCAAATATCATTGTTCCCACTTTACAGATGCGGCAAACAAGGCTCTCATTAGACAGCAGTGACTGGGCCATGGCAGCTCTTTCGCCGTACCTAGATGTCAGGGTATCTCCCTACTAGGTTCCCCCACAGCCACTCCCTCCTGCTGATTTGGGTCTAGTGCAGGGGGCAAAGAGGAAGGCTGGAGAACCACATCATGGGCACCTGGCTGGTCATCCTATGTATTGCTAGCACTAGGCATGGGTCAGGCTCAACCACATGGAATTCCAACTCCCCTGCTCACTTCCTGGTGACCCCAGACAGACCAGCACACCCCACTGAGGCCCGTTTCATTCCCTGTGAATCATCATAACCCATAGGCCACAGGGCCCCAGAGAGGACCAGGTGAACACCGCTCCCCTCGAGGCATGGCACAGTGGTGGCTGCTTCTCAGCTCTTAGCACCTGAGTTTCCTCCTCTCCCTGAACATCCAGCCCCTCCACTGCTTCACCCTGGCTGGTGCTAAGTGGCTCCCACCACACAGGAGTGGCCCGGAGCCGGGTTTGGGAAATGAAAGGCCATTTCATAATCTTTTCCAAAATGGGTTAAACAGCATGATCTCTCATTACCCATTGACGGAAATGGGAAATGCGGAATGATGTGCAATAACTAGTTTCAGTGGATTCTGATTTGAGATATATATCCTTTTTAACTGAGATAATAACATAGAAGCATGCATTCATGAGGTTTAGCAAAGAAGGCGCAGATTAACACCACAGTTAGATGACTTTTGAAGCAAAGCTTCTATTAAAGTTGCTGCCAAAAAGTCACTTTATCTTCCCTCCGATGCATCTCAGATTTTATCTACCCTTTTATTCTTTTTGTCCTTAATTTTAAATCCTTTTTATTATTATTTTTTCCCATGTAAGCACCAAGGGGGTTGTTTGGTACTCATTCTTTTGGAAGCAATTATCCACTAGAGAGGCGTTCACTTCATTTGGGTTGCATTTTATTTCCAAACCGTGATAAAAAATGCACAAAATTGACTTTGCCTGTGCAGCTCAGACACTGCAAAGTCCTTCCCTGTGAATTTCGATTCAGCTGCCCGTTGAACGAGCCCTCTTTGGAAGACAAGGTGAGTGGCGACTGCTTATACCATATTCTTTCTCGTAGCCCTAAGATTATCTCTTTACTGCCTAATAGGGCGAATAAAAAACTTTCATTTTAATTGCATATTCACTCAGAACTTACAGACCCCAAGCTGTCTGCAAATTTGAAAGAAGAGTTATTCTTGCTTGGGCGAAAAAAAGAACTTCACAATTGCAAAATCCTCTGACCTCTATGTCTTTATGATTTTCCTAGAGGAGTTCTTCATGCCTGGGCTGGGGGGCGGGTAGAAAAGGGCTGATTTGGGGCTCCAGCTCTACAAGATTAATTATAAGCATAAAATTTCTGTGTGAAGTCTCATATGTCTTCAAATGTTATGTAATACTGCATCCTATGTTATAGCATGTCTGTGTCTCATTTTAATATACTAATGATGCTTTAAATTAATTATTATCAGTAACAACAACAAAGTTTCCTACTTGTCTTGTAATTATTCATCAGGAAACAATTGCATTGATTTTTATCAATTTTATAAAATGTGACTGAACTAAAGAGAATTTACGTCAAACTGCACATCAGTATTAGCATTTAGGCAACTCCTCTTTTCTCTGTTTCCATCTCACAATATTTAAAAACCCCAACCCATGTGCAAATGTGGGTAGAAAGGTCGTCAGCCTCATGAGCTCCATCCAGGCACTGACTGAGGGGAGCAGATTCATATATGCCCAAAGAGCGGCCCAGTCTGCCCCTGCAGGCAGCTCTTAGAGACCAGGATCCTGACTTCTTGCTCAGTGGTCACATTTCTTGTGTTTGCTGCACTTGTCAAAATATTTTACTGCCTCAATAAAATATTTGTCAATGGACTTTTTCAATAAGAAAGAGACTGATTGGGTGGTATAATTTCATCCCCTGCAAATCATCTCATCTTGGAGAACTCACCTTACACACCCCCAACCCTTGAACGCCAAGGCGAAGCACCTCTTACTGTGCACCTTTTACCATAAAAGGAAATGCCGCTGACCCCGTATCAGTGACTAAGAACATTCGGGGTTAGAAGAAAATGGCTTCTAAATAAATGAACTGCCTGAGCCGTGTTTGCGATTCACAGGAAGAATTCCTTATTCATTTCATTTAGATCTTGACCTTCTGTCCTAGAGCCTTTGCTTTTTCTCTCCATGAGGAAAAATAAACCATACAACCCCAAGTTAGCAAATCCTGACCACACTTTCTGCCCACAGAGAAGCCCACATGGAGCTTTTGGGAGCGAGCTTTTGAAAGCACTGTTCACTTCATTCCAAACAGAAAAATGAGAATTCAGTCACCGTGGTTCATTAAAGTGATTGCTGTGCCCACCCCGGGAGCCCCCTCTCAGAGGGGTTATTGCTTGGTGCAGGAGCCTGGGCAGCTGGTGCCTTTGGGGGGAACAGGCAGACTCCCACCCTCAGGACCCCACAACCAGACTGGGAGCTGTCCCCTCTGCCTTTCAAAGTGACTAATCCCAGCGCCTCAAACAGGCTCTGGCAGGCCCTGCCTGTGGGCATCCACTTGTTTTCTTCCCTCCCTCCAAATATCCTCCATTCTCCCCCTGAGTCCCTAAGTATCCATCCACTAGGCAAAAAAAAAACAGGAAGAGGAGGCACCCTGACGCCTCCCATCCCTGCCTTCCCTCCCTTTCCTTCCGCTAAACTTCAGAAGACACTTTATCAGTCCTATCCTAGGCACTAACACATTCTGCCTTTAATCACCTTAAATTACCTCCCACCAATAGGCTGTGACTCCCTGGGGCAGGTCTATGTTTATCGGCTCTGTGTGTGGGGGTATGTGCTCACATCTAGCCCAAGTCTGGCTTTTAATTCAATGCAGGGAAGAGCATGTGGTTAGCTACCAAAAGCCTTTCATTATAGACCTGAACTTATCACTGGGCATTGGTTTTCCCACTTTCCATAATGGTATAGCCCTTACTTACATGGAAAACGTAGTGCTATCAAGTGTGTCTGTGACTGAATGTCCAAACTTTTCTAAATAAGGTCCACTCCCAGAAGGAATCCAGGTCCTCCTCATGGCACCATAAGGGAGATGAAGGAAAGAGATGGACTGGCTTCAATTGTTTAAAACTGGTTGGTTGTTCATGTCATTCTTATTTTTCTTGCATCTCTCCCCTCCATCTCCAAATGCAAGGCCTGGGGAGAAATAATCTAAATGACCTGTCCTATGTCACTTGTCTACCCCTCAGCTATATGCTGAGAGGAGGCATTTAGTTGACAGACCCTCTGACAAGGCACCCAAGAGTGTCCTTCCCCAAAAAGAAGTCGGGGCTGGGGCCAAAAGAGAAAGAAATTTGTAACAAATGCCCCTACAAGAGGGAGGGAGAAACAAGTTCTCAAAGCCTAAGCTGTTGTGGTGAGCATTTGAGAAGTGTGTATAACTCCAACCTTCCCCTGTTGTTAAGAGAACGCTGCATTCTCCTCTATCCCCCAACTTTCTCATCAAAATCAGGTTGATCCCTTGCTGTGAAATATTGCAGGTGAGCAGATGCTGTTTCTTAACTTGGGACATTTGTCAAAGAATTTTGACAAGTCCTTGTCAATAAAGACAAAAAATTCCAACCATGTGACGATACCATGTTAGGAGAAATGACAACACATGCGTTGTTCTTTCCACTCAGTGTTTGCCCTTGAAGTCATATATTCTCTTTCTTATTACACAGAATTTATGAGGTTCCCTAATGTTTAATCTTCTGCTTGAACTTTGATCTAGAACCAAGCATCCTTCAAAAAAAAAAAAAAAAAAAATCTACCCAAATCAGAAAGAATCCAAACCAGAAGCATAAAATGTGAGATTCTTAGTGTGGTAGAAAAGCTTTGCTATCAGACGGAACTGGTTTCCAAATTCAGCTCTACCGTGACTGGTTGCATGACATCAGGCAATTAATCCAAGCCTTGATTTCCTTATTGGTAAAGTGGAAATTAAGAGTGCCCTCGTTATCTGGGTATCATGAAGTTTCAATGTGATAACGCTTCATTGCCATCATTTATCCTCCCTCAGCTCTGTGGTACTCAATACATGGCCATTTGTGGAGTGAAGGCTGTGCCTTGGGAGCTTTGTATGTAATATTTCTATGCCTTACAACTTCACAAGGTTATGTAGTCCCCATTTCACAGAAGAGCAGACGAAGGTTCAGAGAAACGTGCTCTAGCACTAGCAAGCTCTTTCAGATACTGCTGGCTGCCTAAGCGATCAAAACAGCATTATCTCATGGGGGCTTTGCAACGGTTGGAGGCAAATGAGCACTGAAGGGTCAGAGGCATCGCTCCCTGCAGCCAGGCAGGACCTGGGGCTGCTGGAGCCCCAGCAGGTCAGCCCCCACTCTATTTATTCCAAGGTGCCGAAAACCTGTTCTCACTATCATATTCTATGTGTGCCAAGACATTTTAAAAGGTTGGAAAGAATGAAGTCAAAGAACTGAGAAAATTCCGAAAGGATAAAATAGGGGCTGAGTTATTTAGAGTCCCCAGGTCACTGAGTCATCAGAAAACCCACCAACCTTGACTCATGAATGGCCGCTCAGAGAATATCTCCCTGCAGCCCATCTAGGCGTCTGGACCCTCATCTGTTTTTCAAACAAGTAAATGTCCAGGCAGCCTGTTTGCCTGGCGATTGGTCCCCTTGGCGATTAGATTACTTGTTTCTAGACTTAGGAAATGAAAGAGATGAGGTGAGGAGTGGGGAAGAAGGTTAGCCAGGGTGGAGAAAGTGAAAGAATTTCAATATCACATCTCTTTCCTTATTCGGGCAAAATGAAAAGGCCTCATTATTAAATCACAAAGCAATTAAAAAATTAAAAATTTCATAAGACCCTACATAAAAGAAATACAAGTGTTTAATGATGGATTAGAAAGTGGAAGTAGGGGGAAGAGAAAAAGTAAAAGCCCGCTTGTCTCAGGGGGTTCCCTCTCCGGCGGTGATAGTGGTTTCTGCCTTCACCCTCATGCCAGCCGCAAGAACTAATAAATTCCGGGCTCCCCTGCCTAGAAGCCAAGGCCGATTAATATCTGCCTACCTTGTTACCTAATTCATTATGGAATAGCAGTTAATTTGATTTGATATTATTTTAATAAAATTCTGTAATATATTAGATTGTTTCAGGCTATCAAAATAATTTTCCAATTATTACGGTTACTCAAGCAAGTCTTTTTTTCCCCCTTCATGAGCAGCAGTTGGTCTGACTCAGAATACATTAGCCCCTACAGCTTCATCCTGGCCAGGGGAGCAGGGGAGCTATGCATGGCTACCCAGAAGAGCTCTGCCAAGAACAGGTGCCTGCAGTTCGCAGCCACGGACTGATGTGGATTCGTGGCCCCCGTGGCTCTCTGACCATGGGGCTGGTGACCCTTCCACCACTGGGTTAAATTTTAAGAGGATGTTGAGATAAATGTATATTAAAAGATCACTAACTGTTGAGATTAGCGAGTGTGCGCTGGGTGATCAATAATGCCTGGTGGAGACAGTGTGTACTTTAAAAGCTCAAGTTCAAGTGCTGGCTTCACCAGGTCTTCACTCTATTGACAGACTGACCTCCAGCTCGTCGTGTGCAAAATTAGGTAGGCTCACCTGATGTACAGCATTGTGAAAGATGTCAAATTCCATCACTTGTGCAAAAGTGGTGAATGCTGACCTGTAATTGTCTCTAAGACATGAATTCCCTCTTCCCTGTTAATCCACCTGGGAGCTAAAGCTGAGGGAGAAACAAAACCTCAAGAGGGAATCTGGGGGAAAGATGCTTGACATGCAGTGGGAAGCCTGGGTCTAGGTTTTTTTTTTCTCTTCTTCTTTTTTTTTTAAATTTGTGATGGAGTCTCACTCTGTGGCCCAGGCTGGAGTGCAGTGGCCCAATCTCGGCTCACTGCAATCTCTGCCTCCCGGGTTCAAGTGACTCTCCTGTCTCAGCCTCCCAAGTAGCTGGGATTATAGGCACCCACTACCACACCCAGCTAATTTTTGTAGTTTTAGTAGAGACAGGGTTTCACCATGTTGGCCAGGCTGGTCTCAAACTCCTGACCTCAAGTGATCTGCCCACCTCAGCCTCCCAAAGTGCTAGGATTACAGGCCTGGGTGTGGGTTCTTGATGGGCATTCTCCCTGAGTAGACATAGCAGGCAGTAGGGACCCTCAGTGTCTGTTCCACGACTGGAGACTCACGTTCTTTTTCTTTGTCGCTGGTTCTCTTATGGGGCCTCCCCAATGTGTTGAGACAGTTGATGTGCTCAGCCACTCATTGATTCATTCAGCAAACATTTCTCCAGCTCCTTGGATGTGCCTGGTACCCTGCTATGGTTAGCAGGTCAGAGAGAGTACCCTGTGCACAGTGTTTGTAGGGCACCAGTGCAGCATCAGCAGCCAACACATAGTAGGCACTCAATGAATACAGCTGAGTTAATTAGTCCATTGAGCATGGAGGGACTATGCATGAGCCAAATAATCACATAAGCAATTACAAGTGAAATAAACAACTATAGAATGAGAATCTATGAAGGAAAAGCACAGTGTGCTACAAGACTTGACAGCAAGGGGACTTGGCCCACGAAGTCGGTAGAGATCCAGAGCATGGCAGGGATTAGCCATGGGAAGAGGGAGAGAAGAGCACTCCGGGCAGAGCATGGCGCAAGCAAAGGCTCTGGGGTGGACATGCTGGCAGAGGGCTCTAGGGTACAGAAAGAAGGCCACTGTCAGGGAGCGGAAGGGGAGAGGTAGGTGGAGACCAGGTCCCCAGGGCACCTGGCCAGTGGTCATGTTAAAGTCATGGCTTGACCCTGTGAGCCACGGGAAACAGAGGGACTCTGAAGCTTGGGATTTCTTAAAGCTTGCTCCGTGCAGTGTGGAGAAAGGATTGGCACAGACAAGAACAGGTGGCAGGTGTGGACAGCTCATGAATAAGCCGTGGCAGGTGCCCGGGGAAGAAATGACATCAGTCTAGACCTGGGCAGATGTCAGGGTGAGCTTCTGGGGTTGGGGGATCACTCACTCCTGGGTCACGCAGCAGGGGAAGTTCTGAGCAGGGGCGCAAAAGCAGAGGCTGCTGGGCATTGTGGCCATGCCTGGCCACCCTCCCCTTGCCCCAGCACCTCCCAGCATCCCCAGCCCTCTGATATCTGGCTCATTTTGCATGCCAAGGTGCCCCCTGTCCTCGCCAGGGCCTTGTATGCTCGAAGCTGGCCAGCCTCTCACTGAGCCGATGCCACCCCATCCATGGAGCCCCAGAATCCACGTTGCTGTTACTTGCTCTGTCCTGCCAGGCCAGGCACGGGAGGATTTTTAACCTTCCCTTCCACAGAGGAAGAAATGACCCATATGTGCTTCAGCTCACCAGGTGAGCCTCCCACGGGCTCACGCGCTTATGTGTTTTCATCTTTCTGCCCTTGGAATGGGTGATTGGAACATGACTCCCAATGGTAAGGAAAGAATCGTAACCTGGTCACACATGGGAAGTTCTGATGCCTTCTGGGGTAAGGAAGAAGATGCTGATGGGGAAGCGGGTGAGTGAACTCTGGCTACCCGCAAGGCAGGGACTGAGGAGGGCCCGGGCCCAGAGGAACAGCCTGGGAGGTGGACTCCAAGACCCCCCAGCTCTTGCCCTCCCCTCAGTCCAGACCCAGGGGGACAGGCCACCAGTGGTGTCACCTAGGAGCACTGTCTACTAGGTGGGAGTAGAGAGGGAGCCAGAAATGTATAGGGCCTGGTGACCCAGGCTGCTGGGGTCTCTGAGACCCTGTATTTCTGTTCAATCTTCCCAGCTCACTGGAAACCAAGCAGCCTGCCCTCAGCTGTGCTGTGGATTAGACAGAGGGGGTCACTTGGCCACACCTGGGGGCCGAGCATTAAAAGAGAATTAGGAAGGAATGAGCAGCTGAGTTCAGGCTCCAGCCCCAAGCTGTGGGAGCTTGGAGGCCAGGAAGGTGGTGGCTTCCATCCACAGGGCAAACACTGAGCCCCTACTCTGTGCCAAGCCCCAGCTACATGCTGGAGACTCAGGGATGAGCAACGCCAGCCCTCAAGCTGCAGGGCAGGCTCACAGCTCAGTGGAAGTGGAGAGGGCAGGAAAAGTCACTGTGATTGAGGGGCTGATGCTGCCTAGGAGGGAGCTTGTCAGGTGCTCCTGACAGGGAGCAGAAAGTGCAGGCAAGAACTTGGAGAACACTGTGGTCCAAGAGACAGCCCCAAGTGGGTTAGGGATGCGGGTGGAGGGTGCAGAGCCCAGATCCACAGAGGGAGGGAACCAGCCAGGGATGGGGAGAGGAGAGGGCATGCCTTCATAGGAGCCTTCCAAAAGGATGACTCTGCATGGGATTAATGGAGGATTAGAGAAGAGAAGACAGAGGCTGGGGGCCAAGGGGACTCAGGAAAGACCTGAGCCAGGGCCTGGACACACAGTCAAGCAGAAGCCCATCAGAGGCTGACTGAGGGGCAGCAGGGGCCAGGCTTGGGGGCGGTGGCCACGACATAACATGCATGAGGGCCAGGGCTGCAGGTGCCTGGGCTAGGGAGTGGAAGTACTGCTGCCCCATCTCATGGCAGTTTGCTCCTCCTTTAGCTCCATGGGGCAGCGGTACCCCAGGCATCTGGGCAGGAGAAACAGCCATGGAAATATGTGTTTGAGTCTCAGAAAAACAGCCATGCAATTTCATTTCACTAATATGTTTGGAGCAGCATGGGGCCTGACATCAGGACGGCCTCACATGCAGGACGCTTCCCAGAATTTGGGGAGTGACAATGTCTCAAGGTTATCCAATTTCCGTTCCACCTCCCATCCTGCAACCCAGACATTTGTCAAAGAAGTGAGGTCCCCAAATCCCATGACACTTGCCAGCCACAGTCTTCAGCTTCTTTGAGAGATGCCAGCAGAGACACAAATGGCTCAGAGACAGACGTGTGGCTTGATTTCCGTGTTGTTGAATCACTGTGTTCCTGTCTCCACGTGGCTGTTCTTGGGTGAAGAGAGCTCCAGGAGCCACATGCTCCTATTCCGAGTTGATGGCTGTAAAGAAATGACGTGCCCCCTGGTTACGAAGCACCACTATTGTATCAGACTCGGGAGAAGGAGGCATTTTGGTCTGTGATTTGATATTGCTTTTGTTAAATTCCCACTGTGGTAAGCTTATTGCCTAATGAAAGCTCTGTAGTGAGACATAATAAAGAAGAAAGATGTGTGTCTCATGCCAGCTTGCACCCCCTTAAAATAATATAGCATGGTTACTGGAAAATGTGTCCTTCAGAGGTAAGGTGCCTTTGATACCTTTCAAAGTGGGATCTTAATAATTCTTCACAAATTCCTAGGATCATGGGTCAAATGGTCCCCCACCACCACCACCAAGAAAATAGCTCCACCCAGAATCTGTGAATAGGACCTTATTTGGAGAAAGGGCTTTTGCAGATGAAATTAAATTAAGGATCTTGAGATGAGATCATCCTGGATTATCTGGATGGACCCTAATCCAATGGCAAGTGTCCTATGAGAGAACGGTAGAGGGAGCTTTGAGATACATGTGGAGACCAAGGCAGAGATTGGTGTGATGCTGCCACAAGCCAGGGAACACTAGGAACCACCAGAAGACAAAAGAGGCAGGGAAGGATTCTCCTCCAGGGCCTTTGGAGTGAGCACAGCCCTGCACCTTGACCTTGGACATCTGGCCTCCAGAACCAAGAGAGAATAAATTTCTGTTGTTTCAAGCCCCCACCCCATTTGTGCTACATGTTACAGCAGCCCCAGGAACAAATCCACCTACCCTGTGTGAATGCACAATTTTAGATCAGAAAGCAAAAGTGACGGTTTTAAATAAAACAAATCCTAATCTACACATACGCATTCCTAGGAGAAAGGCTTAGGAATTACATACACGTTTAAGAGTTTTATTAAACCACATTAACTGAAGTTAATATTAACTAAAGTCTGAGTTGTCCTATGCAGATGACAAAGCTATGCCTTGTACACTTGACCCCTGCTTAGAACAACACTGTGAAGGCATCACCAACCAGTTTTCATATGGGGAAACCAAAGCTCAGAAAACTGATGCTTCCAGAACCTCCCAGCTAAAGGAGCAGCAAATTTGCAAAAGAATCCCAGGCTTTCTGCTTTGACAAACTATGTCCTTGTTTCAGAAGCAGCTTCTCACCAGCTATGACTTTTACAGTGGTTGTAAATAGCTTTATTCCTAAGATGTAATATATCTGAATCAGAGGAAGCCGGTCTAAGTGACCAATAGGAACATCCACCCCTTCTGAGAACATCCAGTCTCCAAGCCCAAACTTTGAAGCCAAGAAGCTCAGTTGTTGTCTTTCTGTCTTGTCCATATGCAACCAAAGGTTAGGGCTTCTTTCAAAGACTCCTTTAATACATAATCAGCTAAGATGATGGCAGAGCCTCAAAATTGCTACAAGATGGTTATAAAGTCTTTGTGTGGACAACTTTTCCATTTGGTGGTAAAACTGAAGAGTCTTATCACTCTTTTATAACTTTCTATATAACTTTTATGAAACCAAACAGCCAGCATCAAAGACTCGGGGCTGAAATTGCTCCTGTGATCCAGCCCAAGTGGAGAAATGGAGTTCCGAAAATCTTAAGTCTCACATGTGGTCTATGGCCTGCCCAGATGACTTGGCCGGGGAACATAGCCCCTGAGTAGACGGATGCAGGAGGAAGCTCAAATTTAATAATCACACTCGGTTACTGAATACAGTCATGAAGATGGAGGCGATGAAATATGTACCCACTGTGCCTTTGTTCATCAAGTACCAGAAGACCAGGAGGTATGATCAAACAGATGCAGAACTTGGAGGCAGGGTGGTCTACGCCTGGGGTCAGCCAGTAGGTGACCCACCTCATTGAACAGGTGCAAATCCTGAAAGCCCCAGGTGGACAGTCAGTGCTCTTAACCACACACTACATAAACGGAAAAAGGAAGAGTTCAAAGTTTGGAATTCATCAATGCTGGGTCCAAGCTTGCTCTTGGCCTCTCGCTTACTGTGTGACACCAGGCAAGACATTGCACCTTTTTCAGTCTCAGTAATCTCCACTGTCCAAGGAAGATGGTCATATCATCTTTCAGGGATCACAAGAGGATTAGAAAAAATGTTTGGAAAGTAAGTGATACTGTAGAAGATAGCTGTTATTATTAGCAACTTAAAAGGAGGGGAAACAGCTTGATAATTTGATATCTAAGAGCATGAGTTTTGAAGCCAGACCTGAATTTGAGTTCCAGTTCTGTCAGTCACTAAGGGTTAAGTCTAGATCTACATGTTTCATTTTTCTCCACTTCAGATGGGAGGATATAATAATCTGGAACCTGTGAACATGATCTTACTTGGAAAGTCTTTGCAGAAGTAATTAAGTTAAAGATCTAGAGATGAGATCCTCCTGGATTACCTGGGAGGGCTCTAGGTGCAATGACAAGTGTCCTTATAATGAAAATGACAGAGGAAGGTTTACATAGACACAGAGCAAAGCATCACTTGATAACGGAGGCGGAGGCTAGAGTGATGCATACACAAGCCAAGGAACATGGGTTTCCAGCAGCCACCAGAATCTGGAAGAGGCACAGATGGGAGTCTCTCTCAGAGCCTCTAGAAGGAACCCACCTGTGGACACCTTGGTTTTGGACTTCTGCCTTCAGGACCCTGAATGAGTTTCTGTTGTTGTAAGTCACCAGTTTGTGTGAATTTGTTATGGCAGCCTTAGGAAACAGACATTAGTTTAGCACAGCGCCTCGAATGAGAGACGCCCCTCTCAAACAGGGGCTGGGAGAGTTAGCGGAAGCAGCGGTACCCTAGTCTTTATTTGAGGAATTAGGAGACACAATCGTGGAGACATTTCCTCTTCCACCTCCCAGTGCCTCCTACCCCCATGTGGGGGACACTGTGCCTAGAAAGAACTGCCCTGCCACACCTCCTGTGACATCTCCAACATGTCACATGGAGCCTGTAAAAGACGTTAAGGCAGCCTGGTGAGGGCCACATGGTGAAGGTCACATAAACGGCAGAACCAAGATGCAACCTTATTTCCCCTGATCACCAACTGAGTGTTTTTTTTTTTCTGTCTTCATTTTGCTTTGTTTTGCTTCTGTTGAGGAGAGTTGCTTGTAAGTTGTTGTTATTTTTGCCCTTTAGACAAGCGCCCCTCGGATATCAGTCTCACATGGCCCTGGTTTTCCATCATGTTTGGAATTGTCTCAAGATGGTTCCAAGCATCCTAATGTGACATTCTAAAAATGCTCTTAACGTAAAATTCATGATAATTTACCTTAATGGAAAAAGAAGGTAAACTTTGTGTACATTGTTCCGCAACTGTTAAGAGAAGAGTCAGGAATTAAACACACCCACACCCTCAGTTATGCAATGCCACCCTGAAGTTAGGGACTGAGTAGAGGACGCCCTTCTTTGGGTTGAAAATTTAAAAATGCAAGCGCATAGAACCAGATGTGTGGCATCCCCAAACCAACATGTCCAAATCATGGCAGAAACCCCCAGCCCCCTCTAGAATGGCTTTTAACAGCTATACAAATTTGCAAGGCTGTTTCAGGAAGGAACATAAATCCTCTCCACTTCCAGGTTGCCCCTTCAAGTACATGGGACAGACATTCCCACATCCGCTGCCTCTCCAACTACAGGGCAGCAGGCCAGAGGCACAGGGCTACCCTGGTGTCCTCATGGAAATCAGTGAAGCCTACACAGAGCTGATCATCTAATTGAGTGAGAAAGTGAGACCTGGAACATCTGGGTGGTGCATGAGAAGGATCTGTTGCTGCCCTGCTGGGTGGAGCTATAGCTGAGGGGCATGGCCCCACCTGAGTCCTCTTGCCACATCTGATTTCAGCGCAGCTGGGTAGATAGTTCCATGCATGTGGCCACAGCAGGGCACCTCTCTGCTTTGCCATCGCAGGGCAGGGCCTGGTTATGAATTCCCTAGGAGCCCAACCTCAACAGTGGAGTGAGAGTTGGTGGTTGAGTGGGCCAGCCTCCCAGCCTTCAATGCCACAAGGGTGAGGCACATTTATTTGGTCCTTCAGAGGCTGCCTAGAGGAAATGCATCCAGCTGCCCACAGCAGCCACCATCTCAGTTATGTGCCATGTATTGGCTTTTCTCCTCTCCCCACCTCACTGTCCCCACCATCCACTGTGTGTGCTGGTGTCAGCAGAGTCTGCTTGAGAGGAGACACTGAGCAAAGGCTGAGCACGTGAAGGAAACTGTGACCATCTCCTTAAAAGGGCACTTCAGGAGGCTCTGAGGAAAGCCACGTTTGTCTCCCAGCTGAAAGCAAAGTCGAGGACAAGTTTTGGAATCTAAGAGACTTGCATTCAAATCTTGATCATTTCCTATGTACCTTGATCATTTGAAGCCACCTCCCTAAACGGGTACTTCAGGTGGCTCTGAGGAAGGCCACGTTTTTCTCCCAACTGAAAGCAAAGTCAAGGACAAGTTTTGGAACCTGAGAGACTAACATTCAAATCTTGATCAACATGTCCTACCTTTGTGGTCATTGGATGAGACAATGAACCTCTCTTCAAGCCTCAGTTTCCTCATCTGTAAACTGAGGGTTAAAAGAGCCAACCTGCAAGCTTGGTGCAAGATTCAAGTGAGAAAGCATTTTTGAAGAGTCTTGTGAGACCTCAATTTTAAAAACAGAGCTATCAAATTTCCCGGCGGCCTGGGAGAAAGTCTATGTGACCTTGAGTTAGGTAAGAATTTCTTAGCTAAGACAAAAAAGCACAAGCCATTAAAGAAAAATATTGATGAATTGGACTCCATCAAAATTAAATATTTATGCTCTTTGAAAGACTCTGTTAAGAGAATGAAAAGATAAGCCACAGTTTGGGAGAAAAATGTTTGCAAGTTGTTTATCTGACAAAAGACTCATATCCAGAATTTAACCAGAAATCCTACCAAAGAAGATGCATGTATGGCAAACAAGCATGTGAAAAGGTGCGTTCAACATCATCGGTGTTAAGAAAAATGCAAATTTAAAAATCAAAATGAAATACTACTACACATTTATTAGAATAGCTAAAAATATACTGGCAATATTAAATGCTCTCAAGGATATGAGGCAACTGAAACTGTCACACATTGCTGGCGGAAGTGTGACATGGCACAACCTTTTTGGAGAATGGTTTGGCAGCATCTGACAAAGTTCATATATTCTTGCATGCGACCCAGCAAATCCATTCCTAGGTATTTACCTAAAAGTAATGAAGACATGTCCATACGAAAACCTGTATGCAAATATTTAGAGCAGCATTATTCATAATCACTAGCAGATCCACAAATTGTGGTGCATCCGTATCATGGAATACTACTTGGCAATGAAAAGGAATGAACTGTGAATACAGGCAACAACTTGATGGATGGAAAGTGTCTTATCCTAAGTGAAAGAAATGAGGGCCAAAAGCTACGTACTGTGTGATTCCATGTATAGGCTATGCTGCAAAGGCAAAACTATAGTAACAGAAAACAGATCAGAAATTTAGAAGGTGACCATAGAGAGAAATGAGGGGCATTTTGGGGGGTGATGGAAGCATTATAAATCTTGATTCTCATGGTGTTTATACGATTCTATGTGGTTTCCAGAGGTTGGGTTGGGGAGTGGCTACAGAGCGGCAGCAGGGAATTTGGTGGAATGACAGAAATACTCTATATGTTGACTGTGGCATTGATTACACCACTATATACATTGGCTAGAACTTATAGACCAGCACACCTTTAAAGTATGAATTTTATGTATATAATTCGATCTCAATAAACTGGCTTGAAAAAAAAAAGGCATGGACATGTAGCAAACTCTGGCTACAGGTAGGTTTAAGACCTTCAGGCTCTCACCTGCCTGTGTCCCATCCCACCACAGGCCTGTCCCACGCACCTGCTCTGACATTTCCCCGGCCGCACCTCAGAGCATACACTGTCCTGTCTGCCCAGCATCTGCGTCTGTACTGGGGACTGCTTATCCCCAGAGGAAACGGGCAGCTGTGCAGTTTACTGGAATGTGCTTCAGCATCCAGCCCACACTACTCAGGTGCTCCTGCCTCCGCCAAGCAGCATGACTTCGGACAAGTCATCTGGTCTAGATTTTGGCATCTGCAATGGAGGTGTCAATATCTGCAGGCAGATGCAGCAGTACCGGTCAAAGAAGGCTCTGGAGACTGCCTCCCAGTTCAGGGCCAGCTGCAACCCTCACTTGCTGTGGCTGCTGGACAAATCCTTTTGCAGCTCTGGGCCTCTGTTTCCTCACTTATGGGGCAAGGGAGAGACGAGCTTGGACCTCCCTGGGTGGTGGTGGTGAGTTCTGCATAAAGTTGCAGAAAGCACCTAGCACTGGACAAAGTTCACACTCAATAATAAACTTCAGCTGTTACCACTGTCATCACAGTGACTGTGATGGGTAGAATCATGTCCCCCCAAAATTTACATGATGAAGCCCTAACCCCTAATACCTCCGAATGTAACTATTTGGAGATAGGGTTTCTAAAGAGGTAATTAAGTTAAAATGAGGTCATTCAGGTGGGACCTAATTCAATCTGACTGTTGTCCTTATAAGAAATTAAGATGGAGACACATGCAAAAGAAAGGCCATGTGAGGACACAAGAGACGGTGGCCATCTAGAAGCCAAGGAGAGAGGCCTCAGGGGAAACCAACCCTACTGACACCTTGATCTTGGACTTCTGGCCTCCAGAACTGTGAGCAAATAAATGTCTGTCATTTGGGCCCCCCGCTCTGTGGTGCTTTGTCATGGCAGCCCTGGCAGATCAAGCGATTGTGGTTGAGAAGCCAGAATCCCAGCCAGCCACGTTTGTCCAGGGCAGTGGTTTGGTGCATTTCACTGTGGAGTGAAGGGTGGCTCTTGCCAGAACCTCTGGAGCTCGCATGTGGCTCCATCAGCTGTGAACCCCAGGCCATTTTCCTCACTGATTTTTGGTATCGATTCTAGGCCCAATGTGTGACTCCTATTTGTCATTTACTGAATGAAACACCAAGAGAAGAACTTGGGGCTGGCCTCCTTTCTCTTTCCCCCAGCTCCAACACACAGCTTGGAAGCCCATCACAGACCCCCAATCTCTGGCCGGATGCCTGATCCACCAAGCACTCGGTCCCTACACAGGAAAGTTGGATTTCCCTGCAAATCTGATTCTTTCCAGAAAGTTTCTTCCTTCTTCTTCTCCTCCCAAATGTGCCCTGGAAGGGATATGGGTACGTCTAATATTGCACAATAAACGTCTGCAACGAACACCAGAGGCAGTCCATGGTGCCTGCCCAGAACGGAATCCCAGCCTGCCTGTGCTCCTCCATACCTGTTCACGGGGTGACCCAGCCATGCTTCCTGGGCTCCCGTGGCATGCACTCCACATCAGCACCCAGAATGCCTGCAGCAGGAGGCTATGCCAGGGCACTGGGCACAGCCAAGCCCAGCCCATGTCCTTGCCCCCTGCCCGTTCTCATGTGGTTCTCCCCGAACTGGTGCTTGATGTTTTGCTCTAATTTTTCCTTTCGTGGGGTGTTTCATTCCTTCATCTTCCCTTTGGTCTGAACCCCTTGTTCTGAAGGGACAGAATGCTGTCTTGGGTAGACCTGAGCAGCCTTGTGCAGACTGGAAAGAAACCTGGCTGTGATGTTTTCCAGCCACATGATCTTGAGAAAGTCACTTTCCAATCTGTGCCTCAGTTTCTCCCTCAATGAAGTGGAAAGAACCTTGTCACCTTGAAGAGTGTCTGGGAAGATGGATAATAAATAAGAGATAACAAATAACATAACACCAGCCCGTAAAGGTACAAATCAGGATGCCAGGCCATTTCCTGTCTCATTGAACCTCACACCAACATGCTCTCAGCATCCCCAGGCTAGAGACAATAAATAACTACTCCAGGAGGGGAAATGGCAGGTGCAAGGGGCAGAGCTACTCACATATTTGAAAGGGGCTTTGAGAATTAGAAAGAACTTACAGATGTAGGGAGTTTAACTGGACCTATAAGACCACAAGTTCTGGGGAAAGGTGGTCTGGGTTTGAAGCTCACCTGGGTCTTGTCCTAGCTATATTACCTTGAACAGGTTATTCAAACTTTCTGTGACTCAGTTTCCTCATCAGTAAAATGGGAATAATAATAGTACCTACCTCACATGATTGTGTATGAAGTTCAAATGCATCAATCATACAAAGCACTTAGAGCAGGGCCCTGGACACAGAATGACTCAATAAAAGTCAGCTGTGATTACTGTTTTTATTATTATCATCATCGTTATTATTACCATCATCTGTATTATTATTTTAAAAAGAGCACTAGACAGGGAGTCAGAGGACTCAGGAGTCCTGGTTCTTGAGGCAGCTTGGCTTGCAATGGTGAGAACACGGGTTTTGGGGTCAGACAGGTTTAGATCCCAGGCCCATTCTGGCCCATGCCTGCCGAGTCGCCCTCGGGTGCCTGAGCTGTGGTTTCATCTGTAAAGTGAGGCTGAGCAGCCCCGGGGTCCAGGCAGGGCCCCAGGACGACATGCACAGAGCCACTCAGGAAGTGCCAGTCACTGGATACAGAAGGCTCAGGGGCTGTCGCTGCAGCTGTCACTGTTGCTCGTTCACAGCTAAGAAGGGTTGGACAAAGTTGGAGCCACCCAGGCAGGGTCCCATAGTTCTAGGATCAAGCGGGAAGCTCGGGTCACATGGGCCTCTCTACCCTCCAGCCAAGGGCATGACAACCACTGGGGACCTTTTCCTTCTACTGGCCAGTCTGCAGAGCGAGAGACTCTCCCAATTACCAGCAAGTGTGAGGCTCCCTATCTGGGCAACTGCACAGCACTGACCTGCCTGACCCCAAAATTGCGGCATCTTCCTCCCAGGAAGGACCCTGGAGGCCCTTTCTTTCATGTTTACTTAAGACCCAGGAGCATCTGAAGGGAGCATTTGAAAAAAAGCATGCATCATTGTTTTTGTCAGCAATGTAATGATAGAAAAAAAGGAAATATAAAGCAATACCCCAAAGTGAGGGAAAAACACCATATCACATGACCTGATAATACCTAATTATTACAATTCTGGGAGCTTTAAAATGCTTGGGGGTCAAAGACAGAGGAGAAAGGCCAAGATTACATTACCTGGAAGTATACTTAGTATATGATGGAATACTACTCAGCCATAAAAAGGAATGGATTAATAGCATTCACAGTGACCTGGATGAGATTGGAGACTGTTATTCTAAGTTAAGTAACTCAAGAATGGAAAAACAAATATCATATGTTCTCACTAATAAGTGAGAGCTAAGCTACGAGGATGCAAAGGCATAAGAATGACACAATGGACTTTGGGGACTCAGGGGGAAAGGGTGGGAAGGGGGTGAGGGATAAAAGACTACAAATTGTGTGCAGTGTATACTGCTCGGGTGATGGGTGCATGAAAATCTCACAAATCACCACTAAGGAACTTACTCATGTAACCAAATACCACCTGTTCCCCAATAACCTATGAAAATTTAAAAAATTAAAAATAAAATAAAATAGAAAATATATTCTTAAAAAAACAGCATCTTTGGCATTTGAGAGCTGAGGAAGAAGAGGATGGGGGAGAGTAATGCTCAGAGGACCACACCTCTGGGCCTGAGAAAAGGCGCTACCTGACCAACTGCCAGCATCAGAGAGCAGAGCCCCTGAGACCAGAGGGAAGACACTTGAGGCAGATGCTACAATCATGCCAAAGGTTGCCCTCCAACTGGGTGTGCTTCATAGATTCCATGCAGTTCCATCCCAGAGCATGGCAGAGACCAGCTCGGAAAGATGAGAGGACCTACTGTGTGCTGGACACTGTATGTGCACATCCCCAAGGAAGCCTCCCAGATAGCTTGCTAAGCAGCAATTGTAGGTTCATTTTTTGAAAGTGAAAACACAGCTAACAGCAAATGAGAAGTAGGCAGGCTTGGTCCCATGACAACGCACTGATTGAGGGCTTATTGCATTTGGGGTCTGGGGTGACCCCCAGGATGCAAAGGTGAATAAGATGAATTGGACCTAAGTTTGTCCTTGGGTAGCTCAGGCCTACCAGGGACAACCTCAGTAACCGAGCATGACAAAGAGGGTGGCAGGCTCTAGGATGGACACCTTACCGATTACAGAAGTACAGATGGCAGGCCCTGCTCAGAAGAGGCTACGTGAGCCAGATCTTGATGGAAGAGGATGTTTACCCAGAAGAAGTAACATTGCAAGCAGCAGACCGTACCCAGCTCACAGACTTCATTTGGCTGCCAATGTTGAAAAATGTTTAGAGGAGGATGAACCTTTAAAGACCAGATTTACATAAGATCTGGCAACTGGCTAGGCTCAGTGGCCTACACCTATAATCCCAGTACTCTGGGAGGCCGAAGCAGGAGGATTGCTTGAGGCCAGGAGTTTGAGACCACCCTGGGCAACATAGTGAGACCCCATCTCTACAAAAAAATTAAAATAAGCCAGGCACAGTGGCTCATGCCTGTAATCCCAGCATTTTGGGAGGCCAAGGCGGGTGGATCATGAGGTCAGGAGTTCAAGACCAGACTGACCAACATGGCGAAACCCCGTCTCTACTAAAAATACAAAAATTAGCTAGGTGTGGTGGCAGGCGCCTGTAATCCCAGCTACTCAGGAGGCTGAGGCAGGAGAATCGCTTGAACCCAGGAGGCGGAGGTTGCAGTGAGCCAAGATCTCACCACTGCACTCCAGCCTGGGCAACAGTACAAGACTTCATCTAAAAAAATAATAATAATAATAAATAAAATTTAAAAAATAAAAATAGCCTCATGGAGTGGTGCACAGCTGTGGTCTCAGTTACTCGGGAGGCTGAGGCTAAGGCATTGCTTGAACCCAGGAGGCCAAAGCTGCCACGAGCTAGGACTGTGCCACTGTAGTCCAGCCTAACCAACAGTAAGTCTCTGCCTCTATTAAAAAAAATTAAAATAAAAACACAATTCTAGCAACCCAGGACCTGCTTAGCTACATGACTTCAATCAACTGGAGCTAAACAACAGACATCCCAGTTTAGACGGTCATCTCAACGTACAGGGTCCCTACCCCACCCTGCCACACTGCACCCCATCAGCTTTATTCCCCATGCGTGGTGCCTGCAGACATTTGCATTTGCGCTTTCTAAGACCACAGACTTTAACTAAGCCATTAATCAAGCTCTTTTTGTTTTGTACGGAAAGTTGTTTTATTTAACATGTTACATATGGCATTCAACCAGAAACACCCAGAAATCCATGAATCCCACTTCCCATTGTACAGAAGGAAACACAGTGGCCAGGGAGGCAAAGAGCTGTGGCCTACCTTTCACATTCATTTTGCATTTAATGGAACCACACAGCAACTCTACCAAGTAGGTGCTGGGCATTTTGCAGCAGCCCAAACAAGGCTTTGAGAAGTTGGGAGGCTTGCCCAAGGTCACCCAGCTAGTAAGAGTCAGAGCTTGGACAGGACCCAGGAGTTCTGACTCCATATCCAGTGCTTTGCTCACCACACCACAAGGGCTGCCTCCCATGTAGAAAGGGCTGTGGAGGACAACAGAGAGTCAGAGAGTCAGAGACCCAGGGAGGCCAAAAAACACAGAGGGTCCGATGTCACCCAACTGTCAACAGTAAAAGCGGTCAGCTGATGCTCAAACAGTTTGCATCTGTTCCACGGCATTTTTCTGAAACCCCCAAAGCATAAAGTATGTAGGAAAATGTTCTATTTCACATACACACACACACACACACACACACACACACAGTGTCACATTGTTATAGGCCTGTTCTTTGGGACACACTTGAGCATCACCAGCCCCCCACAGCCTGGAGACAGCCGAGCAAGCATCCGCCCTGGGCCACCAAGGGACTTTTGTTTCGTATTAAACCAATCTGGTCTAGATTAGAGATAAGTGGGAATAATTCCTTCAAATGAAAACGCAAAATCTTTGAACAGAATCTGCCAGTCCACAGTCATGAGAGGCCAGAGCCTTGGGCGTCTAAGTCCATGACACGTGCAGGCATCTGTCCCCGGCAGGAAGAAGGGAAAATATCAGAGAGAGGGATTGTGATCCTTTGTGATTAGGTGGGATCTCAATGATACCTCTCCCCACTCAGATAATCATAGAATGAATGAGTCATTCATTCAACCCTTGGCCTGGTTCAGGCTGTGCAAAGCAACAGAGGCACAGCCCTTCCCTGTGGGGACTTCCAGTCTAGTGGGCAGAAAGACACAGACAGGAGGGACTGCAGAAGGCTCTCGAAGCTGCTCTCACAGCTGCTTCCCCAAAATGTGTCCCTGCCGTGCTTCTCATCAGACGGCCCCGTCATTCACCCAGGTGGTCAAGTCTGATGCCTGAGCCGAGCTGCACCTGAACCTTCTGTCTCTTGCACCTTCCACTTCCAAGACAGAAGACCATCATCCTGGCTGAACTCCAGCATCAATTTCTGCTCCCATTGCCTCTCCCTTTCCCCTCCTCCTGGTCTGTACCTTTGTTCAGGCTGTTCATCTCTCCCCTGGACCTCGGCCGCAGCCCTGTCTCTGGATCCCCCTGCTCCCGGGTTCCACGCCACCCTCGGAGGGGTCTTTCAGAGGCTGTAGGTCAATCTCCTCCCAGCTTCAAATCCTTCAAGGACTTCTCATTGCTCTTAGAATAAAATCAAAATCTCCTGTCATAGTTGGCCCTTATGGTCCCCAAAATGGACACATGGCTCCCCGACCCCATGCAATGGCTCACTCACCCACACACCTCAACGGCACCAAGGGGTGCTCACCACAGGGCCTTTGCCCTACTGCCCCCTCGGCCTCAGTGCCTTACCTGCATTCTCAAAACTGCCTGACTCCTCACTCCCCCTAGACCCCGCTGAGTGTCTGCTCCTTGGGGAGGCCTTCCTTGTCTACCTTCTATAAAAGAAATTGGAGTTGTGACAGCTTTATTATGCCTGCAGCACTTGAAACACACTTTCCTGTGGCTTAGTTATTTGTGTGTATGTGTCTGTTTGTGTCTCTGTCTTCCCCACTAGACCAGAAGTTGCTTGAGGGCAGGAACAAGATCTGCTTTAACACCTCAGGCATGGCTTAGAATGGTCAGAGTAACAGAATCGTTGAAATGGGCCAGAACTCACTGGGTCCAGTGCCCCAGGAAATACTGGAATCCCCTTTGAAGCTCCTTAGAGGCAACTGTTTCTCAACTGCCCGGCTGCCTCCCATGGCAGGAAACCCATGTTCTCCCAAGGACGCTGATCCTATCCTTAAATGACTTTGATGACTGAGTAGGTCTTTCTCACATGGAGCTTTGCCTTCCTGCAACATCTTCTTTCTGGGCCTCCTTCCCTCCTGTAGAACCTGCCATGGTGAGCTGCTTCTCCATCCCTGTAAGGGCACTCCAGTTACTTAAGGATGGTGCTCTGGCTTATTCCATATTTTCTCAAGCGTAATCTCAGGTCCTCTAACTCTACTCCTCACAGGACTTCCCTTGGAATTCTTGGAGTATCTTGGTCACCACTCCTTGGACCTGCTTATACTTTTAAAAAATGTTCTAAACATTTTAGCCAACTGACCCAATACTCCAGATATGGTCTGAGTAGCACAAAGTAGAATTTTCAGCTCCCTTATCATAGAGACTATACTCCTGTTATTGCAACCCAAGTATACACTACTTTGGCAGATATTTGTGGTCAGGTTTCCCAGAAATGGAGTAGGGACTTATTAGAGAGGTTTTCCTGGAGGAAACTAGTAAGAGACTGTGGTAAGGAGGGCATCAAAAGGAAGAAACCTAGCAAGGCTGTGACCACAGCCAAAGCCCTAGGAAGGTGTATTAGTTTGTTCTCACACTTCTATAAATAAATACCTGAAACTGGGTAATTTATCAAGAAAAGAGGTTTAATTGGCTCATGGTTCTGCAGAATGTACAAGTAGCATGGCTGGGGAGGCCTCAGGAAGCTTTCCAGCATGGCGGAAGAGGAAGGGGAAGCAGGCTCGTCCTATATGGCCAGAGCGGAAGGAAGAGATAAAGAAGGGGAGAGATGCAACACACTTTTAAACAACCAGATCTCATGAGAATTCACTCTCACAAGAATAGCACACGGTAAGTCCACCTCCACAAAACAGTCACCTCCCACCAGGCCCCTCCTCCAACATTGGGGATTACAGTTCCACATGAGATTTGGGTGGGAACACACAAATCCAAACCATATCAAAAGGGCAGCCTCAGACTGACCCTGCAGGGGAGCTCTGGAGTAATAATTACACCTTCGAGTTTGTCAGACTTGAGCCAGGGAGCTGGGCTCTCATACTCCCTCACTGGTCAGCCCTTGGCTAAGGAAACCCCAAAGGGTCATAACCTCCCAGGCAGTCCCTCTTCTCTTCCGGGAATGGCAAAGCAGCTCCAGTAGCCTGAAGGCAGACCCCAGAGAGGGGCACAGATGCAGAAAGTTAGAGACCAAAGCACTGAAGCCAAGAGAAGGGCGCATCTGAGCTCTGCTCTGTTCTGTTATTGTACAGTTTTCATCTTAGACATAAACATGAGACTACATGTTCATCCTTGCATCCCTCAACTTCCAATGACATCTGAACTTCTAACTCTCAGTGACATCTAGCAAGTCAAGATAATGTTAAATAGTGTTTCTCCCACCCGGCACAGTCGCGTTGACTCGTGCTTTCATTCCATGGGCAAATCTGCTGCAGATTTGACTGCTTTTTATCGAATGCCTACTATCTCCATAGCGTAGCATCAGCCCTTCTTGCATTTTTTTACAGCTTTGTTTGAGACGAGAACTTCCAGAATGCTCACCACGTCCATGAAGAAGCATTGCCCTTTGTGGCTCAGAACCTGCATCTCACCATAGCTGACCCACAGGCAGACGCCCTGGAGAGGAGCCTTACCCACGACGGGAACACACCACCAAGGAACCCCGAGGAATCAGTGAAGGATGCATAGCTCCCGTGTGATCTTTAAGATAAAGATGCTACTTACCCCAATACTTGTCATGGCAGCGTGGCCCAGGGCCTAGAGGCTGTGGGACATGGAAACTGTCTCCAAGATGGAATGGCCTCTAGAATGCCTGAGATGATAAATGTGAACAATGATGCACACTAATGTCCTAAGAAATGACCAGGCCCCTTGTAGTTGCTCAAACGAAGGATATATACCTGAAGTGAGGATATGAATCATGCCTACTTCAGAGAGCCACCGTGAGGATTACAGGGGACACCCTGAGAACAGTGACCCCATCCGTGTGCACAATGAGTGGGAAGCACCTTGTAACTGTCATTCCTGTATCTACCTGGTTCACAGGCTCTCTTACTCTGATTTTTAAATCCTTTCTTGAGGACAGTTTTTTTTAAGCCCCCTTCGTAATTGGGTAAGAATTCAGATAAGACAAAGAAAACAAGTGGATACATTTAGACCAAAAAAAAAAAGAAGATTGTTTAACTCTGGATTACAGTCACACAATGGTCCAACAAATTTCACATCATAAACTGTGACAGACCCCACGTTAATTTTTAAGGTCAATATTGAAAACAACAACTTTCTAATGAGATTAAAAACATGGAATAATTGAACAGGCAATTAAGTGAATATCCTGTGCTTTACCTCACCCTAAATTTGTCATATTCAACATTTCTTCTAAAGGGTAGAATAGGTTTGTCGGACCCAGTGATATTTTCCTCCAGTTGAATGGAACTAAAACCATAGCACCATAGGATCTCAGCAGCAAGGGGACAGGAAAGTTATCATCTAGCCTGAATCTCTCATTTCAAGATGGCCCATCTCAGATGCGGAGAGGGAAAGGGAGCTGCTTGTGCCTCATTGTTGCTGGCAACATCAGGACCTGAATCCACAGACATTTTGTCCCAGGTCTCTTACAGTTTGAAAAGGTCATGACTTAATTGAGCACAGGGCTTGAAGCTCCTTTGAGGCAATTGGAAAGCTCTCTGAGCAAGGCACTCAGCCCTTTAAAGCCTGTGGCCTTCACATGTGAGTAAAAAAGAAGAAGACACCAGAACAATCTTGAAAAAGAAGGATGACGTCGAAGGACTCACACTTCCTAATTTCAAAACTTGCTACAAAACTGCATTAATCAAAACAGTATGGTACCGGCATAAGGATAGACACATAGATCAATGAAACAGAAATGAGAATCCAGAAACAAGCCTTTATATTTATGGTCAATTGATTCTTTACAAGGGTGTCAAATAGTTAAACAGAAAGAATAGACTTTTCAATAAATGATGCAGGGATAACTGGATAGCCCCATGTAAATGAGCAAAGTCTGACCCCTCCTTCATACATATATAAAAATTAATTCAAAATGGACCAAACACCTAAATATAAAAGATAAAACTATAAAACTCTTAGAGGAAAAAGTAGGAGTAAATTTTTATGAGCTCGAGATAAGCAATGTTTTCTTAGCTCCAACAATAAAAGCATGAGCAATAAAAGAAAAAAGTAGTTAAATTGGACTTTATCAAAAGTTAGGACTTTTATGATTTAGACTTCTATCAGGAAAGTGAAAAGACATCCCAAAGGATGGAAAACTACATTTGAAAATTATATATCTGATACAGGACTTGTTTCCAGAATATACAACAAACTCTTTCAACTCCATAGTAAAAGCTTATATAACACAATGTTTAAATGGGCAAAGGATCTGAATAGGCATTTCTCCAAGGATGATACACAAATGACCAATAAAGACATGAGAAAATGCTCAGCATCATTAGTCATCAGAGAAATGCAAATCAACACCACAATGAGACACTGATTTCACACCCAGTAGGATGGCTGGAATCAAAAGGATGGACAATAACAATTGTTGTTGACAATACAGAGAAGTCTCATAGCAGGCGAGAGTATAAATGGTGCAGTTACTTTGGAAAAGAATTGGCAGTTCTTCCAAATGTTAACTGTACAGCTACTGTATGACTCAACAATTCTATTTCTAAATTACACCCACAAGAAATGAGCACATAGATCACACAAAAACTTATACATGGATGTTCAAGCAGCATTATTCATTGTCTATATTCCAAAATAAATAAAACATGAAAACAACCCAGTGCCCATCAACTGATAAATAGACAAATAAAATGTGGTATATTCACAAAATGGAACGCTATTTTGCAATAAAAAGCAATGAAGTTCTGATACATGTTACAACATGGATGAACCTCGAAAACATTACACTAAGTGAAAGAAGCCAGTCACAAAAGACCACATATTACATGATTTAATTTATTTGAAATGGCCAGCACAAAAAAATGCATAGAGACAGAAATAGAACAGTAGTTCCCTACAGTGGGGAAAATGGAGAAGGATGTTACTGGATACAGGGTTTCTTTTTGGAGTGTAGAAAATGTTCTAAAATCAGATTGCAGCAATACTTGGGTAACTCAGTGAATTTACCAAAAACCAATGAAGTGTGTACTTTAAATAAGTGAACTGTATGTATGCAAATTATGTTTCAACAAAGCTATTCTTTTTAAATGGAAGAGATACATTTAAGCATTCATTCATTCGTGATTCAACATTCATTGAATTATTCTATTCTAGATTATGGACTACTGTAATGAATCTACCCTACATAAATACCCTACTTACTAGTGGATGATAGAGACATTAAGCAAATAAACAAACTACAGTCCAAGAGCCAAACCCAGCCCATCACCTGTTGTTATAAATAAAGTTTTATTGACACCCAGCCATGCTCATTTATTTACATATTGTGTTTAGATATTTTATGCCACAACAGCAGGAATGAATAGTTGCAACAGAGACCATATAACTCATAAAGACAAAAATACTATCTGTTCCTTTAAAGAAAATTTGCCAATTCCTTTAATAGAAAGTCAGGTAATGAGATGGGCTGAGTCCGAATAAAAGAGGGTAAGAGGACAGTGAGTGACATGAGCTGCTGTTTCAGGCAGATGAGTCAGAAGGCCTTTCTGAGCAGTGATACTGGAGTGGAGTCCCTAATGAGAATGGGACTGGGGTGAGTCATGTGACCACCTAGATGAAAAGTGGTCCAGGAAGAGAGAACAGACGGCACAATTATATTAGTCTATTTTCACGCTGTTGATAGAGACATACCCAAGACTGGGCAATTTACCAAAAAAAGAGGTTTAAAGAACTCACAGTTCCACATGGCTGAGGAGGCCTCGCAATCATGGCAGAAGGCAAAGAGGAGCAAGTGACGTCCTACATGGATGGCAGAAGGTAAAGAGAGAGCTCATTCAGGGAAACTCCCCATTATAAAACCATCAGATCTCATGAGACTTATCACAACAACAGTGCAGGAAAGACACGCTCCATGATTCAATTACCTCCCACCAGATCCCTCCCATAACATGTGGGAATTCCAGATGAGATTTGGGTGGGTCACAGCCAAGCCATATCAATGATGGGAGCCACTGAGGCAAGACTGTGTCCCAGGAGCCAAAGGAGCTACAGGAGTCACAGGAAGGAATATCAGTACCAAGAGGGCCACACCCATAGCACCAACCCAAGCTTGGAGATAAATGAAATCATTTCAGAAAATCTTAGGAAACCTGACACTAGGAGGCATTTCACTTTGGGGGGCAAGAGACTCTTAACCAAAGAGTCACCAAAAGTCATTGATGGTGAGTGGATTGGATGAAGCTATACTTTAAAGCAGAAAGGCCAAGCTCATCAACACTGGTCTCCCAGGCCAGCAGAAGCTGTTGCAGGATGCAGAGGACTGCTGGGGGTGACAGGCAGCAATAGCTATGGGGGACCTAAGTTAGAAACGTCCCTTTGTCACTTACTGGCTGTGTGCTGCCATGATGGATTTGTTTATATATGTTATTATTATAATAAGGATTTATTACCTTATTATCTCCAGCAAGGCCCTTCCTTCTCTTGAGTTCCAGCTTCCTCTGATGGGAATGATAATCATATTTCCTCCTCAATACATACACAATCACCCACCCTGAGACCAGACACTGACACTTCCTCAGTTTGTGCCCTTGAAGCCGAAAATGGCTGATAGTCAGGGGTAGCCAGCAGGGTTTACAATCCTGAAGGTTAACTCCTCTTGGAATGTCACAAATCTCCCCCACAACTGGCAAATAAACACCCCAAGCAGAGGCGTGGATACACTCTCCTGCCTAATCCAGGATAAGAAAAACACAAATATCACCACTTCACATCTGCAAGCCTCCAAAAAAATAAATAAAATAACACGCTAGAGGATGCACTGAAAATCCCAAATTGCATTTACTCAGAAGGTCCGTTTGGAGTCAATGTCCAGAATGTTTTGGAAATATGTCCAGAGGCTTCTTTCATTTCATGGTATGACCGGGGCGTTCTTTTCTATTCACCTCGTATGCCTGCAGGAGAATGAGAATGCACCATGCAGGCATTGTGCTGGCCGAAAGGAACCAGACGGCTTTAAGGCACGGGAGACCTGTAGGGCGGTGTCTGCATCCGTGAGTGAGCCAAAGATGTGTTTGTCTCCTGTTGGATAATTTGGAACATCAGGAAACCTCACCCCATTGTTATTTTAACAGCAAATAATTCCACTGGAGCTGAGAGGAAGAGTCTAGAGACAACTGCTCTGTCCACTCTGCCCTGGAGGAATCTTTAGTGCCCCAAGTCCTCAGAGATACCTCCTCCGCCTTTCAAAGATTGGTACCATGACAAAATCCAGTCTGGAGTCCAGAAGTGCTGTGCTTTCTGGACTCCAAGGGCCTCCTCTATACTGCAACAGAGAGTGGCTGCGATCTTCACTGGAAATTCTCGACCGGAAGTGGTGGCTCACGCCTGTAATCCCAGCACTTTGGGAGGCCGAGGTGGGCAGATCACGAGGTCAGGAAATCGAGATAATCCTGGCTAACGCGGTGAAACCCCATCTCTCCTAAAAAAAAAATACAAAAAATTAGCTGGGCTTGGTGGCAGGCGCCTGTAGTCCCAGCTGCTCAGGAGGCTGAGGCAGGAGAATGGCGTGAACCCACGAGGCGGAGCTTGCAGTGAGCCGAGATCGTGCCACTGCATTCCAGCCTGGGTGACAGGGTGAGACTCCATCTCAAAAAAAAAAAAAAGAAATTCTCCCCAACCTGGAGGACTGGGTCTCCCACGCTGACATGGCTTGGATGTTTGTTCCCTCCTGATATGGTTTGTCTGTGTCCCCACCCAAATCTCATCGTGAATTGTAACTCCCACAATTCCCATGTGTCATGGGAGGAGCCTGGTGGGAGGTAATTGAATCACGGGGGCAGGTCTTTCCCATGCTGTTCTTGCAATAGTGAATAAGTCTTATGAGATCTGATGGTTTTTTTAAAAATGGAAGTTTCCCTACACCAACTCTCTCTCATTGCCTGCTGCCATCCACGTAAGATGTGACTTGTTCCTCCTTGCCTTCCACCATGATTGTGAGGCTTCCCTAGCCATGTGGAACCATGAGTTCTCCATTAAATCTCTTTCCTTTGTAAATTGCTCAGTATCGGGTATGTCTTTATCAGCAGCATGAAAATGAACTAATACACCTCCAAATCTCATTTTGAAATGTGACCCCCAGTGTTAGAGGTAGGGCCTGGTGGGAGGTGGTTGGATGATGGGCGCAGGTCCTTCATGAATGTCTTGATGGCATCCTTGCAGTAATGAGTGAGTTCTCACTCTGGATTCACAAGAGATCTGGTTGTTTAAAAGAGCCTGGCACCTCCCTCACTCTTGTTCCTGCTCTCACCATGTGATGTGCCTGCTCAGCCTTTCCCTTCCACCATGACTGTAGCCTCCCTGAGACCCCACCAGAAACAGATTCCAACACCATGCTTCCTGTAGAGCCTGCAGAATGGTGAGCCAATTAAACCTCTTTTCTTTATAAATTACCCAGTCTCTGGTATTCTTTTATAGCAATGCAAGAATGGACTCATACACTCTGCTGACTTGCTTTTCCTGAATCTCATGACACCCATGATCCACCTGGGAACCATTCTTAATCTCAAGCCCAATATATTTCCTAAAGCTAAAGAACTTTTTGGTCAAAGGAAGCTGTATTAGTCAGTTCTCATGCTACTTATAAAGACATACCTGAGACTGGGTAATTTATAAAGAAAAGAGGTTTAATTGACACACAGTTCTGCAGGGCTGGGGAGACCTCAGGAAACTTACAATCATGGTGAAAGGGGAAGCAAACACATCCTTCTTCACATGGCAGCAGCAAGGAGAAGTGCCAAGCAAAAGTGGGGAAACTACCTTATAAAACTATAAGATCTCATGAGAACTCACTATCATGAGAATACCAGCATGGGGGTAACCACACTCATGGTTCAGTTACCTCCCACTGGGTCCCTCTCACAACCCATGGGGATAAGGAGAACTGCAATTCAAGATGAGAATTGGGTAGGGACACAACCAAACCATATCAGAGCCCTTGGGCAGAATGTCTGCCCTGGGATATAAAACAAATAAAAAGGAAGAAGCTCTGGATGAATTAGTGAGTTACAGACTTCACCACCTATCCCACCAGTATCTGTTCCTCCCAATAAACTCCACTCTGGGGCCAAATGGGGACCACCAGGAATCCAGAAAGCACAACTTGAAAACCAGTTTAACCCAAACTTTTTGTTTTACAGATGAGGAAACTGAGTCCCAGGGTCAGGAAGTACCTTGCTCAAAGGCCAAGGCAAGATCAGGTCAGGGCCTGGTCCCACTAATTCAGGGGTTGGCAAGTTGCTTCTGTAAAGTTCTCCACGAAAGTCCAGATAGTAAATATTGAGGGAATATGGTCTCTGTTGCAAACACACAGCTCTACCATTATAGCTCAAAAGAAGCCATGGACAATACGTAAACTAATGGACATGTTGGGGTTCCAGTAAAACATTATTTATAAAAACAAGCAGTAATATCTGTACCATGTTCATAGCAGCATTATTCACAACAGTCAAGTGTGGAAGCAACCCAAGTATCCATGAACAGATGAATGGATAAACAAAATGTGTTACATCTATATAATGGAATACTATTTAGTCTTAAAAAGGAAGGGAAGTCTGACCCATGCTATAACATGGATGAACCTTGGGGACTGAGTGAAATAAGCCAGTCACAAAAGGACAAATATGGCATGATTCTACTCCTTTTTTTTTTTTTTTTTTTTTTTGTCAGGGATAGATTCTTACTCTTGCCGCCCAGGTTGGAGTGTAGTGGTGCAATTTCGGCTCACTGCAACCTCCGCCTCCCAGGTTCAAGTGATTCTCCTGCCTCAGCCTTCCAAGTAGCTGGGATTACAAGCACCTGCCATCATACCCTGCTAATTTTTGTATTTTTAGTAGAGATGGGGTTTCACCATATTGCCCAGGCTGGTCTCGAGCTCCTGACCTCAGGTGATCTGCCTGCCTTGGCCTCCCAAAGTGCTCAGATTACAGACATGAGACACTGCACCCGGCCGGCGTCTCTCTACTTTTAGGAAGCTCCCAGGGAGTCAAATTATAGAAAGTAGAATGGAGGTTGCCAGGGACTGGGAGCAGAGGGAAGTGAAAGCTAGTGCATAATGGGTACAGAGCTTCAGACTGGGAAGATGAAAAGTTCTGGAGATGGATGGTAGTGATGGATACACAACCAGGTGAATGTCCTTAATGCCACTTAGATATTGTTAGGATAGCAAATTTTATGTTATGTGCATTTTACCCCAATTTAAAAACAAAAATATAATAATTTTTTTAAGTAATAGGCGAGATTTGGCCCATGAGCTATAGCTTGCTAAGCTGTGGGACAGTTTGAGCTGCTTGTCTTGAAACAAAAACGTGATCAGACAGCAGCAGAGAATGCAGAGGGATCTCGAGTGTTCTTGGGGCATAGAAATGTGGCTGTCTACCTCGAAACTATCTCTGATCCATTGACTCAAGAAGCCAACCATGGGTCAAGAAAACTTATACAGTACCATGTCACCTACCTGGAGCCATGCACTTTCAGTCACTCTGGCCACAGCCAGGTTAAAACTGGCAGAACACAGGCATAGCATCAGACTAACTGCAGTTTGCATCCTGAAACCTCCATTCAATGGCTGTGTGCATCTGAGCAAGGATTTGGCTTTCTGAGTCAGTTTCCCCACCTATAAAATGAGTATTTTGTACCATATGGTCTCTTAAATTAAATAATACAATCTTCCATGCCAGGTTATGCTAACATTTATTTTATAAAAATACGTGCAAATAACCTACCACACAATATATGTTCAATGATTGTTACCTAATTTCTTTTTGTTTCTAGATCTTAAATTAGCAGTGACTAAAAGTAAAGGACTCCCTGAAGAGAAGAAGAAAAACATTTTACAAATCAAAAAATGTAAAAAACAAGAGAAACTCCAGGGAGCTGCCACAGCTGCCAAAAATGGAGCCATTTCCAGGCTTGCCGTAAACGAGGGCAGGTCTGGAGGCTGTGACTCTAGGCAAAAGCACAGCCTTAGGTTTCTCACTGAGAACAAAGATATCTTCTCAGCCAAGGAAACAGGGTCAGCCACTGGAGAAAGAAGTTTCATTTTAAGAATTTCCTTGCTTCCCTTCTGTGATGAACTTAATGTTTGTGTCCCCCACCAAATCTATATGTTGAAGCCCTAACACCCAATGTAATGATACAGTAGGTAGGGCCTTCAGGTGATCATGGTTAGATTAAGTTGTGACAATGAGGCCCACCTGATGGGATTAGTGGCCTTAAAAGGAAAGGACGAGAGAGAGAACGAGAGAGATGACTCTCTCCACCATGTTACTCTCCACTCTGTGAGAACACAACAGGAAGGCAGCCGTCTGCAAGACAGGGAGAGAGCCCTCACCAGAACCTGACCATGCTGGCTCCATGGCCTCAGACTTCCAGCCTCTAGATCTTAGAGAAAATCAATTTCTGTTGTTTAATCTGCTTAGTCTCCAATATTTTGTTATGGCAGCCTGGGCTGACTAATACACTTCTCCTGCCCAGTGTTTTGAAAAAATCATTTCAATAGCCAGTTCTAGGGCTCCTGAAGTGTATTTCAATTCCCTTTCTGCAGCTAAAGAGACTGAGATGGAAGGGACAGGGACAAAGGATAACATTTGAGAGGCTTCAGGATCTCTGCAATAAGCCAGTCTGTCAGAGAGAGGGCAGCTTCTAGAATATGAATATCCCAGGTTGGGTTGCCCTAAGAGTGATCTCAGTAGGGTAGAGGTGAGGTGAGGCAGGGAAGCAAAGATTATCAAGTCAGTAACCACTGTGGGCAATGGTAGTTCAAGCCCACTGGGGAACTCTGGGATCCAACATAGAGCACACCTGAGAGTTACACCCCTGGGGTGAGAGAGCTGGGGTATTTATACACCAACTTGTATCCATCATTAGTTGGAGTGGAGCATCAACAGCTTCTGCAACAATGAAACAGTGTGTTGCTTCCTGTTTATTCCCTTTATGTACTTATTTTATTCCTTTTTAATACATCACTTTAGAGAAGATTCTTTTTTCAAACTTATGGGACTAAAGATTCTTAAGGATAAGACAGAAAAAAGTAGTGATGTGATAAAATTAATTCAAGCGGCTGCCTACAGAGCCCAACTATAAATGGAAGACTCACCAGTCATCTCCCTGACCCTCCGTGTCCAGCCTGCTCTGACACTGATTCCTTCAACCTCCTTCTTTTCCTTCCAAATCTCTCCTTCTTCTCAATCCTCATGGCCTTACTCACATCCTAAATGGTTTTCCTTTCTCTCTTCTGCCCTTTCTCCACCCTGTGGCCAACAGAGAAATCTTCCAAGATCATGCCCTTTACCAATCACTCCCTTGTCCCAGACTCTTTGATGAACCTGAGTGATAAAGTCTCATCTCGACTCATTGGTCTGGAGTCTGTGGCCCTCCTGACCACTCCAGCCTACCCCTCCAAGTCATCTTCTAATGCCTCTGGCCTCTTGTTATCTCTGTGCTGGCCTGCAGACAGCCCTCCACCCCTGACTCCTTATCCCTCCTTCCTGCTGGCTCATGCTCTTCCCTCCAAATGGATTTTCTTCTCTCTTTTTCTTTCCTAATCCTCTTCACCCTTGAAGAGCCATCAGGCATTGCCTCCTCCAGAAGCCCATCTCTGTGCTCCCAGAGCCTCTGTGCCACATTTTGCGTTGCACCTGGGAAGCCACACTGGGCGGGCTCTAAGGGAGTCTGCTGTTCCTCTGGGTGATCGCAGTGGCAGAGTCTTTTCAGGCCCAAATCCCAGCCCCCAGCACTAAGACCAGGCCCACAACAGAGGCCTTCCGTCTATGTCAATGAAATAAGCGGGAAGGGCCTGTCTCTTTCCGCCAGGACAAAGGAAGATACGCATATGCTCTGGCCACCTCTTTGAGTGCTATTGTGGTCCTTTGAAAGGAAATGATTCTGTCCTTTGCTAGATGTGAGATTAAGAAGCTTTGCAGACTCCCAGGGACCACTAGATCTGGGCTGACCAAACCAGACCCAGAACATAGAATGCATCCAGCCAAGGGCCAGGCTTGCGGGCGTGTGGGCCGGCAGTGGGACAGGCTCAAGCCGGCCTGGCCACCACATCTGATTGCCACAGGGTGACCACAGGCTGCAGGGCCAGCTGTAAACACGCAGGTGTCACAGGTCTTCGGCCACAGAGGAAGCAGTCCCCACCCGTGCTGGGGCTCTGGCCTCAGAAACCAGTGACACTACTGGGCACAGCCCCGCATAGAGCCCTGCTCTGCCCATGCACTGCAGGACACAGGGAAACCAGGAAACACAGCTCTTGTTGGTCCTTCTTTTCTCACTCCCTCTCCTGCTTCTTTTCCTTCTTTTCTTTCTCTCTTCAACAAATATAAGTGTTTAGTTGCCGTTGCAGGCCCTGGGACACAGCAAAATGTCATAATCCCCCAGATAATTTCCTTTTACTCTACTTTCATTGCTTGAGTAGCCAAGCCCCATGTTAGGCCGGGAGGATGTAGTAACGAGAAGGGGATACACTCTCTGCCCTCCTGGAGCTTGGAGTAATACCACAAATAAATACATGGGGATTCACGGCCATGACACGCAAAAAGGCAGAAAACAGGATGGACCTACGGGAAAAACAGTACCAACAGCAACAGCAATCAAACCCAGACAGGCTCCCTGAGGCTGGGCATTTGAATCCACAGAGGAAGGATGAGTGGGGAGGTAACTGGGTAGAACCCAAGGCCTGGCCTGGGTACAGGAAGGGGGCATATTCCAGGCAGGAGAGAGTAACGGCAAAGGCCCAGAGGTAGACAGGATATAGCAGGCAGTAGGTCTAAGAATTGAATAATATGCCAAGTAAACACATAACTGGGCTCCTTCTCCTGGATTCCATGCTTCCAGCAATGGTGGATCCCTGTGAGTTCCTCCATAGAGGCCAGCGTCCTCCCAGACATGAAAGAACAGGAGCCAGAAGAATGGGGCAGGGAGAGAGGAGCCCAGAGGACTAAACAGGGTGTACTTATGTCCCCTGAGGAGAGGGTTGAGGACGAGTGGTCTGAGTCCCACACCAGGAAGGGCAGAATGGGAAAGAGGGAGGAAGGGTGAGCAGAGCCGGCTGCAGGGAGAGCCAGGCACGCTCCAGGAAAGCCTGGGAGCCCGCAGGCTGGAGAGGTACTCTGGCCTGGGGGCGGAGGGCAGGCTGACTCAGAGGGCCCTGCCAGGTGAGCAGGGAGCCAAGGTGCGTGAGGAGGCAATGCTGGAGGCCAGTCTGCACAGGTCCCCTGAGGAGGGAAGGTGGGGCGGGAGGAGATCAGAGCAGGGGGCAGAAGGCAAGGCTAGGGCAGCGCCTGGGGTGGAGTGGAGGTTATTGAGACTGGCTGGTGCTGCCAGACACCACTCAGTGACAGACGGGTGAAGGCACCAGGGTGGAGAGAGGTTGGGCATGGAGGCCCAGACCAGGGCCTGCCCCACAGTGCAGAGAGGTGAGCCTCACAAGTCACTGAGTTTCCAGGGGCTGCCCTTTCCTCCTTTAGGCTGGAGTCAAGTTAAAAATAAATCTGCCACTTAAAAAAAATAAACAATTTGAGAGTCACTGTTTCCAATACAATGCATCATTTCACAGCCACCAACTCATCATTTCCCCCGCCATGATCTCTGAGTCAAGCAGGAAGATGGACAGACTCTTAGGAGGCACCTGTGCTGTTGCTCGCAAGTGGACTTTACAGCAGGATGACCTGGTTTCGAATGACTGCTGTGTGAATGGGAGCCCAGTGACTTAACCTCTCTGTGCCTCAGTCTCCTCATGTGTAAATGGGGTGTAACCATTGTGAAGATGAATGAGTTCGTGTACATAAGCGGCATTTAGAAAAGTCTCATTTGGCTAACAAGGTGAAAGCCCATCTCTACTAAAAATACAAAAATTTAGCCGGGCGTGATGGCGGGTACCCGTAGTCCCAGCTACTCAGGAGGCTGAGGCAGGAGAATGGCGCAAACCTGGGAGGTGGATCTTGCAGTGAGCCGAGATCGTGCCACTGCACTCCAGCCTGGGTGACAGAGCAAGACTCCACCTCAAAAAGAAAAAAAAAAGAAAAAGAAATAGAAAAAGAAAGAAAACCAGATTAAAGCAAAGATCCAGCAAGAGTTAGACGGTATGGATGGTGTGGCTTCTATCTTCTTTCTTTTTTAAAAAAATTCCAACTGGAAATCATGGCACTGAAATCACAGTGAGGAGTTGAGGCTGTGACGTTGTTGTGGGGGCCTCAGGCAGCTGTGTCAATTACTCCAGGAAGTTCACCGGGAGTCAAGGCTTTCGAGCCATGCCCTGCCAGGAGAGCTCACCAGCTTGAGAGCAGGACAGGTGGTTTCGGGTTGATTCCCACACGAATGGGGAAGTCCCCAGCCCCATCTTCCTTTCTTCCTAGGCATCCAGGGGGGTGATGGTGGTGGGAGGATCCCCCTGGCTCCCTCCTCCTCCTCTCCTTTCTTCTAGATGAAGTACCCCTGGGCTCCACCCCAGGTTCCCTGTCTAACTCCACTCCCCACAGACTTGGCCCAGCCCTGCCCCAACCCCAGCTTCCAAGACCCTCAATAAGCTGATGGCTCTCAAATCCCTATTTCCAGCCTCTCTGCCAGGAGGTCTAAATGCATGTATGTAGCTGCCTTCTCCACCGTCCATAGTGGGCATGGCTGGGTGCCTTATTTCCTGGCAATTTGCAACTGCTTCTGTGCAAGCCAGAGGAGGGGCAGTGCTGAGTATTTCAAGGTTGCCATTTTATCAGACAAGTACCTTGGAGGGTGAGGGACAAGGGAGAGAGTAGAAGACTGTGGAAGTGACTAACTAAGTACCGCAAGCCAGTGGATCTGGGTCCAGGGTGGGGTGGGGATACTAGAGGGAGCTGGAAAGAGAGGAGTGGATGTCAGGGAGAGGATGTTTGCAGCCTGGAGTTTGCAAGCGGTAAAGTTATGGCAAGGGAACAGCGAAGTCCAGGGGTGTGTGTGGAAGCAGAGGAGGGAAATAAACGATTGGAAGCAAAGTCATCCACCCATGTATCCAAAGTATGTTCTGAATCTGCGCATCATTCTCCCATATTAACCAGCCTGGCCCTTATCTCCTACCTGATCTCCCTGATCTCTCTCCTACCCCCAGCCCCTCACTTTATTCTTTGCAGATCAAACAGAGTTGTCTTTTAAAATTGCAAACTGTGTCACGGCACTGCCCTGTTCAAAGCCCTCAGATGGCTGCCATCACATGTAAGATACAATCCTAACTTCTTGCCCTGGCTGCCACACGCTATGCTCTCAAAGCTTCCTACCTCTTTTCATTCCCATCTCTTAAAGGCTTTGAATTCCTCCAGATGCAGGAATCCCGCTCCTATGCAACACAATGTTGCTGCACCCCCACCCCATGCAGTGGTGAAGACTGGAATCTGACTGGGCCTCATGATGTTTAAGCTACAACCTGAGTAACAAGAAGATCTGGGGAAGAGCAAGCCAGGCACAGAGGACTGCTGACCTGAGTGACCTTAGGCAGGAGCAGGAAAGCCAGTGGGGCTGGAGTGTAGAGGGCAGAGGGAGGGAGTGGCATGGGAGGACGCGTCAGTCAGCCTCTGCCATGTAACAAATGGCCCTGAAGTTAGCAGCTTGCAACAACCACCATCTCAAATTTCTTCTGATCCCATGCGTTGGCTGCACAGTTCCTCTGCTGGCATCACTGAAGCACCTGCAGCCACACTGCCCTGGAAGACTGGCCTGGCTGGGAGGTCCAAGACAGTGTCACTCACGCGTCTGGCAGTGGGTGCTGTGCTGGCCGGGATGCCTCAGTTCTCTCACAAGGCACAGCCTTGGCACTCAACCAGTCTCAATTCCCCTTCCTGCCTTTCCTTCACTGTCTTCTAGACCTGGAGTTCTTTCCAGTGGAGGCCTGAAGCCAACCTATCATTGTGAGGGGATTCCAGGAACGCTGGCGCAGCCCTTCAAATGCAACTCCTCAGCTGAAATCCAGGCCTGCTGGAATGAGATGGAGCTCCACAGGAGAGACAGATGCTAAACCCTGGCCCGGGTAGCCCCGGAGGGCAGGCGAGGCCCGCTTCTCCCCAGAACAGGGCTGACAGACCTCATGCCTCCTGGCTCTAAGATGAGCCCCATTCGGTGGCAGCTTGGGTGTCTGTGAGACCAGCACCATGGGCTTTGATTGGCATCAGCGTCATGGCACCTCTCTGACCCTCAGGCTTTTCTTCCATAAAGTGAAGGAACAAAACAGAGGAGGTGGGAGTGTTGGGAGCACCTTCAAGTACCACTGCGTGTGAAGCATCCTTTGTGCTCAACCCGTGAACAGACAATTATCCGTGATATTCTGCTGACTGGGTAGCCTTTGGTCGACCAATGCAGACCCCTGTAACTCTGCAAGATGACAACTTAAGTCTGAGTTACACGAGAAGAAAAATCACAATATGCCTGAGAAGCAAGAGGCTGCACCATGCGATCCTAAGCACCCAGTTCATTTGTATTTTCAGGGAAAGAGGTGGAAATCTCTCCTGCTGCACGAACTTTAAAAAGCCAGCACAGAAATCTCTTGACAGCTCTGCTCTCTGGAATTTCATTGAGGCACTCAATGGAACACTTTAGTTGCAAAGTAACCATTTCTATTGTTCTGAGTGGCCACGATCCCTTTTTATTGATGTCATAAAGTAGGTATTTATGAGATGAGGTTATTAAGATCAATAGAATAAATGGAACGCCCAATTCTATCTTTTTCAGAGCGGCACAAAGCATTCTCTTGGCGCAATCCCAGTGAATAAAGGGACCCGGGCGCTGTCACATAGGCCTAATCCCAAAGCAAAGAGCTCACCCTATTAACGGTGACTCCCTTTTACATGCTTCTTAAAGTCAAAAATTCTGTTGGCCCTAAGTAGACTTTATTGAAATTTTTTTTTAAAAAAGAGTACAGACTGGAATTCATTGTGCAACTGGATTTACTACCTTTATAACCAGGTTGGCCACACTAGCTTTCATTTCACCAGAAGAAGAAAAGAAATAACAAGGAGAGGAAAGAGCCTTCTGTTTTTAAAGCTGTTTGGAAACATGTAACTGGTTTACCTAATACCCCTTTCAAGGGAAAAAGATTCCACTGCAGGGGAAAACGCTTGATCCTAGACTCGACACTGGTGGTTAAGGGAAGCCCTAATCTCTGCAGAGACTGCTGGGCTCTTAAGAAGCTAATGCTGACACAAGCCCTGGAAGGCCCGCCCACTCCTTCTTCCAAGCGAAGGAACAGCAGAACAGGGAGTGAGTTGTTGATCTGTTTTTGCACCAGAACGAATGCTTCCAGGGGTAATTATCAAATGTCTATATTTAGACAAACTCGGCCCATTCTGAGATAATAGCACAGGCTCTTATTTACCAAGTGTGTTTTCCAAGGAAGAAAGCATCCAGCAACCGTGCTCGGCATATTTGCTTAGGTTAAAGCAACCTGGGTAACTAGGGGGCAGAGCCACCGCGCTTTCTGCAGCGGCTTTTGGAAACTGATTCTGACTGCACCCCAACATCCCATGGGGCAGTTCACATCAGTGGAACTGGGAGGAGCCTAGCCAGCACCCAGCACATGTGTTCCACAGCCCTTCACAGAGGTTCTGCTGTGTGCCTAGCACTATCCTAGGCACTGGCTGCGACTGTTCTTGTTTTTGTAGCTATCTTGGCCCACGAGGCCATTGGTGGTCACACCCACCTACCCTGTCCACCTTCTCCCCACTCTCATCCTCCATGCATCCTACGGGCAGGTCAAAGGCAACAGCTTTGTGTGTCCTTTTCCTCCCTGTGACATCCACCCTAGGCCCTGATCAATGGGATCTCTGCTTCCCATGTTCCTTTTCCCTCTCACGAGTGAGATAAGATGTGTCACATCTTATCCGTGGATTTATTACCTCCTGCAGTGATTAAAGAATCTGCACATAAAACAGTATCAAGTTACTCCAGAGCCACTCTTCAGGGTCTCTGCGTCAGCGATGGAAAGAGGAACTCTTCCCTTGGCCCTCAGGGCCAGGGTGAGCAACCCAGATTGAGCCCCAGTCCCTCCCTGAAAACAAGCTGGGGACAGACGCGGACAGATGTAGATAGTGAGGACAGACAGCAGAAAATCACGGAGCATGCAGGGATCTCAGAACAACAAGAGGACATGCCCAGCTCCCCAGCCCACTGGTTACGAGGCATTTCCACATCCATGACCTCATCAGGTCCCTCTACCAGCCAGGGAGACAGTGGATGCCGATCTTGCTTTGGAATTGCAAAAACCAAGCTAGGTGACCTGCCCACAAACTAAGAAGGTGCAAGAATACAAGTTTAAGCCCGTTCTTCCAAAGCTGGAGCCATTGCTCTTTTTACCACACCCCAGGGAGCAGCATGGCATGCCCAGTTGGGCTGTTCCCAGAGTCCCCCTGCCAGGCTTCAGGTCCCACTCCACCCCCATGCAAGCTGGGAGACCTCCCAGGCCAGGTGCCTTATTAGTCCCTCTATGCTTCGGTCTCTTGCCTGGAGAATCGAGGTGCCATGGTGAAATATGGGTGACCCTGACTGTGATCAATAGGGTTATCTTCAGGATTATGAGATAAGATGCAGGAAAGCATCCATATGGTGCTGGACATACATGAAGCACCCAGTAAATAAAAACAATTGTTCTACTTCATTCTTTAGGTCAAGAACTTTACAGATGAGAGGTTGTATACTTGACTGAGACCACACAGCATGGGGCAAAGTCAGGACTAACCACAGACATTCTGATGGACAAAGAGCCTCAGAGTGAGAGGCCCTGCCCTAATAAGATGCAGAAAACATTTGTAGCCCCGTTTAGGCAGTTAGTAAAAGGTGGGTCCAGGATGACACCCAGGATGACACCCAGGTTGACTCCGAATCCTTTGCTCTTTCTCACTTTATTAGGCAGGCCTTCCTTTTGGTCCCACCTAGGTAGAGAAAAGGAGGTGCCACTGAGTCACTAGGTGCCATGGACCAGGACAGCAGGATCCCAAGGTGATGAAGAGTGAGCCACAACCTCACTCGTTCCCCTGGGGTGTGCTGGGCACCATGCCTGCTGATTTCCATCAACTGGGGCCTCCTGGCAGCAGAGCTCAGCCTTTACAATCGTCCTTTCTGAGTGGGTATCATTTTATGATGGGCGAGACCTCCCATGTCCTGAGAGTAGCAGATTTATAATTGAGCAAAGCAAAAATGCCATTAGATCAAAGGTCCCAGGAAGTGAGGCCTCGTCAGTTCTCAGTAAAACATCATTTAAGTGGACATCAGGGATGGGAGTCCAGCAAGGGCATGTTCAAATTCAAGTCATCTAAGTGCCTAAAGTAGTTGGCCATTTCCTAATGACACGGATGGCTCTCATGGCAGGTGCTTTCCCTGGGATCTGAGCTCATATAGAAACAGAGGTTAAACACAGAGTATGGACTTCCAGAGCTGGGAAGAACAGAGGCAACCCAGTCTTTTGCTTCCGTTTATTTTACAGTTGAAGAAATAGAAGGAAAGCAACTTGCCCAGATGTCAGGTCAGACCAGTGACAGAGTTCAGGCATTCATTCATCAAACTCTCATGGAGCATGCCGTCTGTGTCAGGTCCACTGCTAGATGCTAGGCATATATATATAACAAGACTTAGCTCAAGGAGCTCCTGCTCTCAAGGAGTTCACCATCCAGTGGAGCATAGAGTGATCCTCTGAGGATTCAAATGGAGACAGGAGCTACAGACCATCAAATCCAGAGGGACCAAGTACAAATGTCTGATTTCAAAAGCAAGTGGAATAAATGACAGAAGCAGAAATGTGTATCTCTTGGTACTGTATTAGTCAGAATGAGATAGCTTGCACTGCAATAACAAACAATGCACTCACACCATGCCCAAACAGGTTGGCAGAGGAGGCTTAACTTCACACAGTCACTCAGGCTGACCAAGGCCACCACCTTGCAACTGCACCTGCTAGAACACACCAAGGCAGAGAAAGAATGCCAGGAATCTTGGACCAGCAATTACATTCTTAAACTCATAAGTAATATGCTTCACTTCAACCAGCTGCCCTAACCAATTCACTGTCTACTAACCAATTCAAATTAGTCCTGTGTCTCTACCTAATTACAGAGGGGTGGGACATCATAAATCTCCAACAAGCCCAGAAGGGAAGGCAAGTGGATGTGAGTGAGCCTTAGAACCCCACGGACACACTTCTGCCCTAATAGATGCTTGAGACTATGTTTCTCTTCCATCAAAAAACTTAGCTTATCTTTCTTGAAACCCTGTTTCTTTAGTTTATTTTTTATTTTCCCACTTTCGATAAACACATGAACATAAGATATCTTTTGTTCCTCTTAATGTTTCCATAAATGACAACTAGCATTCAGCCCAGAGTGGGAGCTATAAGGGTGAGTGGAGACTGTGGCATAAGGGGGACAGAGAGAGGAGCAGCTTCTGCCCTCTCTGCCTTCCTGTGGCCGTGTTGAAATGCCAGCAGCCTAAGTGGCACCAGTTGGTTTTTTTTCAAAGGGAAGCCAAAAATCTGATTTTTTCAGTAGAACCTCATGATGTTAATATATTAGCAAGTAAGCCAGCTTTTTTTAAAAAAAAAGTGATGGCCATACTACAGACACCAAAAATGTGTAAAATAAAAATAAATGCCTGGCCATCAGTGGGAGACTTCTGCTCCAATCAACATCTTCTTCTCAAAGAAAGGGGCAAGGCTCCAGGGGAAGGAGAAACTGGCCTGAAGTCAGCAGCAGCTCAGGAGACAGGAACAGCCTGGGCGAGAGGACCTATCCTCCGAGTACTGGTGTACTTGGCCTCTCCTTAAGATTCTCCCATCAAAACCGACCAACACGGCTCCTGCTGAAATGCAACACAGCTTGGCGTGGGTCCAGGCCTCTTCCCTGCTTCCTTATCTTTGCTCAACTTTGGTTATTCCAGGGCTTGGCAAGCCTTTGAACAACACCAAGCTGCCAGACTCACAAACTAAGAGAACTTCCAGCATGGAGGAGCTTTCCAATGGTCCCTGCTCATGGAGATGTCCCAGGGAGGGCTGGCAGGGGTGACCTCCCGTGAGGAACCTCAGCTTTCCCATTCAGGACAGACCCCCATCAGAGCTGGAGCCTCCAGTCTCTTAAATTAATGCATGGCCCAGGGGGCTCTGGGATCCCCATTGGGTGTCCTTCTACACTTAGACCCTCTCCTTCCTGAGCTCCAGATCTTTTTCCTGGGAGCAGCTCATGCTGCCTGGGATTGAGACTACCAAACCAAAGCCATGCAATGCACCCAGGGGTAACACAGGGCTACTCATATCGCACTGGATGCTCTCCAAAGTCCTGACAGGCAGGATTTTGCCAAAGAGCCCTTGTTGACCTTAAAGACTCAGAGGGGAGGCCAGGCATGGTGGCTCACACCTGTAATCCCAGCACTTTGGGAGGCTGAGGCAGGCAGATCACCTGAGGTCAGAAGTTTGAGACCAGCCTGGCCAACATGGCAAAACCCCATCTCCACTAAAAATACAAAAAATTAGCCAGGTGTGGTGGTGGGCTACTGTAGTCCCAGCTGTGCGGCAGGCTGAGGCAAGAGAATGGCTTGAACCCAGGAGACAGAGGTTGCAGTGAGCTGAGATCACGCCACCGCGCTCCAGCCTGGGCGACCAAAAATAAAAATGAAAAAGACTCAGATGGGAAAGATCACATGACTGGTTAGCGGCAGAGCTGGAAGTAGGGTCCTGGTCTTTGAACTTTAAGGACACTATTTATTTTGTCCATTTTCCATGAACAGAAAGTGAAGATTTGTGTCAGATGAACAACGGGCAGTATCATGGCCACTACATTCATTTGTTCATCTGAGAAAGAAAATGTGAGTGTTTATCACGTGCCAGCACTTTCCAGATTTCAGATGTGTCTTCATCAGTTCGGGATACTATAACAAAACACCTTAGACTGGGTGTCTGCAGCAGCAAACATATATTTCTCACAGTTTTGGAGGCTGGAAGTCCAAGAACAAGGTGCTGGCATGGTGGGGTTCCTGGTGAAGGATTGCCTCCTGGTTTACAGACTGACACTTTCTTTTTTTTGTTTTTTTTTTTTTTTTGAGACAGTCTCCCTTTGTCACCCAGGCTGGAGTACAGTGGCGCGAACTCGGCTCACTGCAACCTCCACCTCCCAGGTTGAAGCGATTCTTCTGCCTTAGGCTCCCAAGTAGCTGGGACTACAGGCACCCGCCACCACACCCAGCTGATTTTTGTATTTTTAGTAGAGATGGAGTTTCACCATGTTGGCCAGGATGGTCTAGATCTCATGATCTCACGATCCATCCACCTCGGCCTCCCAAAGTGCTGGGATTACAGGCATGAGCCACCATGCCCCGTCCAGACAGACGTTTTCTTGCCATTTTCATATGGCAGGCAAAGAAAGTGCTGGTCCCTTCACTCCCTTATAAGGGTGCTAATCCCATCACGGATGCTTCACCCCATGGCCTCATCCAAACCCTATCCCCTCCCAAAGGCCCTGTCTCCAAATACCACCACAAAGGGGATGAGGGCTTCAGCACATGAATTTGGGGGAAATGCAAACATTCAGTTCAATATGTAAATACGTAAAACAAAACACATACACACCACCCCCACAGATTCGGGAATTGTTACAATTTGCAATTTACAGAGAAAACAGAGGCTCTAAGTTACACAGATAAGAGCAGACAAAGCGGTTGGGTGTGGAAGAACAAAGCTGCAGGGAGGATCTGCATCTGAATTCTCAGGCCTAGATCAACACTTCAGGTTTAAAGATCTCTCAACCCCAGCCAGAGACAATGGAGGGAATTAACACCACTGACAGCCACCACCACGCCTTATTCTGCACCACGTATGATTCCAAGGACTTTTTTTTTTAACAGTTTCATTTACATACCATAAAATGTACTCGTTTTAAGTGTACAATTCAATGCTATTTAGTAAATTTTCAGTTATGCAACCATCACCACAATCCAATTTTAGAACATTTGCACCATCACAAAAGAATCCCTCAGGCTTATATACAGTCACGTCCCACTCCCCTCTGTCCCCAGTCCGTAGCAACCATGAACCTACTTTCTCTTTCCATGGATTTGCCCACTCGGGACATTTCATGTAAATGAAATCATACCATATGGGGTCTTTTGTGCCTGGCTTCTTTCACTTAGGGCGATGTTTTTGAGATCCACTTTTTTGTAGCATTATCAGTATCTCTTTCCTTTTTATTGCTGAATAATATTCCATTGATGGCTGTAACACATTTTCTTTCTCTATTAATCCATGGATGGGCATTTGGGTTGTTTCTACTTTGAAGCTATGATGAATAATACTGCTGTGAACATTCACATACAAGTCTTTGTGCAGAAGTGTTTTTATTTCTCCTGAATAGATATCTAGAAGTGGAATTGCTGCTGTGTAAATTTATGTTTAACTTTTTTAAAAAACTGCCACAGTGTTTTCCAAAATGGCTGCAGTATTTCATGGTTCCACCAGAAACGGATGAGGGTTCCAGTTGCCCCACACCCTCACCAACACTTGCTATTGTGTATCTTTTCACTATTGCCAAGTGATTTGTTGTTATCAATTAACTTAGAGAATCCTGGCAGAAACCATAGAGATACAAGCTGTTCTTATTCCCACTTGACAGCTGGGAAGACCGAAGTGCAAGAATGATGAAGCCCCTTGCCCAAGGTCACAAGCCGGTAAGGAGCAGAGTCAGGGCTGGACCCAGGTCTGCCTCTCCCTGAGGCTGGTCTGCCACTCACCACCCTTCTCTCCTGCCTCCTGTGGCATTGGGCAGTGCACTGGCTTTCCCCACATCATCCAACCATTAATCAGCACCTACCAAGAACCAGCACTGACAGGTCTCAAATAATCCGTGGTCACTTGTGTCATCTCATACTCTCACTCACAGCTAGCTTTTTCCTGCAGAAACTAAGATTCAAGAGAAGTCACCATCTCTCCAGGGATCAGCAAACATATTCTGTAAAGGGCCAGAGAGTAAATATTTTAGCTTTGCAAGCCCAGTGGTCCCTGTTCCAAATACTCAACCTTGATCCAGGAGTGCAAAAACAGCCATGGACGATACATAAACGAATGGGCATGGCTGTGTTCCAATAGAATTGTATTTACTAAAACATGCAGGAGGACAGGTGTGGCCCACAGGCCATAGCTTGCCAACCCATGATTTTTTTATCCATTGTTACATGACCAGGAAGGGACTGAGTAAGAATTTGAATCTGAGTGGGCCTGACGTCTTGGAGCCCGTGGTTGTCCCAATCCTCATAGCCTTGTACAAATCCACTTCCCATGTTGATTTCAAGACACTCTTTCCATCCGGGTTGTACACAACTCTTCCCCTCCATTATTGCTCATGACTGGCTGTGGTCATTAATTCATATATTTAGCACAATTCAACCACTAGCAATTCCTCATGCCCCAGGCTCACGCAAATATAACAGGAGCACAAGTGTTGGCCCCAAATGCCCAGTTCAAGTCCCAGCTCCACACTGCCTGGCTCTGGACCCTCTCAGAGCCTCACTCTTCTCATTTGTAAAGTGGAGGCAGTCAGAGTGCCTGCATCATAGGTTGGTTGTAATAATGAAATAAACTCTAGGAACATCACTTTCAAATAGGGCCTGGCACAAAGTAGGCTATCATCAAATGATAGTTATCGCCAGGTAGCCCCCGCCGTCCAGGAACTGGCATCCATTTCACATCAACGCATTATTTAATATCTCACGGGGGAGAGCAAAGAACGCACTGAGGTTAAAAGTTCCTATGTAATAATTATCATTGGCTGCGCAGGGTGGTGCCATACGGTTCTGCACAAAGTGGAACAGCCCGAGGACAAAACTGTAACACGGTAGTAGTAATAATAATGATAATAATAATAATAATAGCTCACATTTATTAGGCATTTAGTAAGGTGACATGCTAAGTGCTTTCCAAAGACGGTCTCATAATAGCTCGCATCAGGACAGCCCTTCCGAGCTGACAAAGCGTTTTCCTGGGCTGTATCTCACATGTACCTCCCATCAGCCTGTGAGGGTGGCCTCTGTGTCCTCTCTAGTTTACAGATGAGGAAACCGAGACTCTGCGAGGCAACGTGACTTATGCAGGCAGCCAGTGAGAAAGTGGTCAGGCAGGACTGTCACTCAGGACTCTGAATTGCAGAGTGGGCTCCCTTTCCTGACTTCACGCCCCACCCTCCCCATGCGAGGCTTCAGCCTCACGTTTTCCTTATGCTTCTGCCCACGGCTGCAGAGGGAACAGCCATGCTAAGACACCAGGCACTACCCACTCCCAGGAGTGGGTCTGCTCCAGAAGACTGGGGAGGGGGAATGCTTAGCCAGGAGAATGCCCTGTGGCAAGAGGTTCTCATGCAGGCAGGGCCTGCCTGGTGCTTGAGGACCTTCAGGCTGGGGTCCTGCCTGTGGTGGATGTGCAATGTGGAATTTAAAGTGGGGAGAAGCCTGAGCAGCCACTGTATTTGACCTCCCTCCCCAATGCTAGAATGTTCTCACAAGGCCATGCTCTGGGGAAATGCCTCCAAGAACAGGGGATGATTCCTGCCCCCAACCCCAGCAGCGTGGATTGGGAAAGTCTGTTTGTGTGACATCGTCTAGACAAGCCAGGGGAGCCCGGTGTCCTCTGCCCTGTGACAGCCTGAGGGCAGTGCTGCCGGCCGCCACACTTCCTCTCCAGGTGACCCTGCAGTTGCAGCCTGCACCGTTTGTACCTGGTGTCGTTTCCAGACACCTTAAGGGGCCAGCTCCGGCTATGTCTTCACCAACCACACCCATGGGTGGCTGGTTTGGAAGGACACAGACCAACCTTGATCATTTCCCTCCCCTGTGAAACAGGAGTGATGACCCTCGCAGTGTGGCTGGTGTCTGATAGAATCAGAGGCGGTACACGCCAGGGGCTCCCTGGAAAGACACTGTGAACTAGGGCTTCTCTGGCAGTGGTAGATGCTACCGGCTCTGTCGCAAAGCCAAGAGTCCTTCAACAGGGGCCGGAAGGCATGCCTTCATTTTGCATGGACCTCGCACAGCCTCTCCTATTGGGTGAAAGGGATTTATTAATAGAGGAAACAAAATTACTTTAAAAAGTATTTATTTAAACGTTTAGTTGACAAATAAAAGTCGTACATATTTGCTGGTGTGAAGCTTGATGTTTTGAGGTAGGTACACACTGAGGAAAGGCTCAATCAAGCTAATCAACACATCCATGGCCTCACATACTTCCCATTTTTGTGTGTGCAGTGAGAAGAGAATTACAATTTTTTATTTAAAAATGCAGAAAGCAATCTTCACGGCGAACGCCATGGCCATCAGAATCGCGTCTAATCTGTCGCTCCCTCATGGTTCCCGCACTCGGGCTGGGGCAGCAGCGGACCATTACCCCCCACCAGGAACGGCCCCCAAGGACATGAACAAACAGGGATGTGCCTGCTCCCATCAGAGCCTCCCAGGACCCCCAGCCAAGCACCAGGACATGCCATCCATTTGCCCTGCTGTTCCTTCTATCTGGAAGACACTCTCTGTCCCTTCTGTCTTCATGTCCTAGAGCCGCCATCCTCATGGCTCTGAAGCTCTCCCAGGCGGCGTGGGTGTGAATGCTGCCGCTTCCTTTCTTGGTGTGTACTATACGGTGCCATGTGAGTGCTGGCCCCCATGCCTTACTCTCCACCAGCCTGTCACAACAACAATGAACAGCCACTGTCCGCTGAGCACTTGCTGCACGTGAGGCACAGTGCTGGGTGACTTAGATGTGTGTTCTTGCGGTCCTCCCTAAATCCTTGATAGTCAGCCCTTTGGTCTCATCCTCTGAAGAGGAAACTCAGGTTGGCGATTTTTCAAGTTACACTGTGATGTTAGGGCAGAGCTGGACTTGACTCTGAAGCTCCACTCATGATCTCAGCCGTCTATCCCCAGCCCCCAGCACCTGTGATTCCAGCCCAGTGAATCGCAGCCCTCTTAGGAGAACAAAGATTATCAGTTGTTGTCTTGCAATAACAGGGTCTCCCAGATACCTCATTTAGTAGCAAACCAGATGGCAGCCCGAGCCAATGGTTCCTGCTCCACTGCCCAAGGGAAACAGCCTTACCTCCAATTGCATCATCTCCCCTTCCATTGGGGGTTCTTGATCTAATGACCTTGGCAAACAGAGACTTAAGCCAACGCCAGCCTCCTGAATCTGACTGTCCTTCCTTCTTTCCTTCCTGCATTTCTTTTTTAGCCTTTCCTTCCTGCCTGCCTCCTTTCCCTCTTCCCTCCCAGCCCTTATCTCTCACCTGTCATTCATTATCCTGCACTCAGTTGACAGTAGCTGTGCCCTGCTGTGGGCTGCATCCTAGGCCACATGGAGAAGCACACATGTGTCCAGGACGTGGAGCAGACATAGAAGAGGGAAGAGGGGGACTGATGGGTTCCAGGAAGGCTTCACAGAGGAGGTGTCGCCTGCACTGGGTCCTGATGGCCTACACTCTGAGGAGTTATGGAGCCAACAAGACAGAAGTTTGTCCCCACAGCCCCCTGCTGAGTGGTTTCCTCTCCTGATGCTCCAGTCCTTGTTGGCGGCACCAGCCTTCTCGCCTCTCCGACTCAGAAGCTCAATGCCAGCATGGCCTCCTCTCCCTGCTATGCCTCACTGACCCATTAGGCATCGTGTCCTGTTGCATCTCACTCTATAAAGTCTGCCAGCTGGGCTCCTGCTCTTCTCCCCACTCAGTCACAGCCATTCACAGCCAGACCTACAGGGGCCCTGCCCAGCCACTGTCACAGCCCGCAATCTGGCCTCCCTGCTTCCCATGCCTCCCTATCACACCCATCCTCCAGGACACACTGCACCTGCCTGAATAATCTCCCAAGCACAGCAGAGCTCACAGGACTGCCACCCACAGCCATGGCAGGGTGGGGGCCCACATCCCCCACACCTGGATATGAAACCTCCAGTGTCATCCTCCACCACAGGGAGGCCCAGGAAGGCGCCTCCTCTGCACCCTCGCTTCCACCATTCTCCCTCCCCAAAGGGCACAGGCACGGAGAGTTTCGGCCAACTTGGAGGGTGCTGGGTCCTGAGAGGTGACAGCCCCTCCGTAATAGCTACAGCCGAAACCCAACCAAGTGCCAGGCACGATGCTCAGCGCTTCACATGGGTCCACCCATCCAATCCCCAAGACTACCCATCGGGGAACCATCATTAGATCCTTGTCACCGAGGAGGAAACTGAGACTCAGAATGGCAAAGTGGCTCGCTCAGAGTCACCAGTTAGTAAAAGGAAGGTTCAGGCTGTAAGTGCTGGTCCCTGTCTCCAAAGCTCATGCCCTTCACCCTTATGACACCTCTTCCCAGGCACAAAGTGGGAGCTATGGGTCCCTGTCCAACTGCCTGACTCCCTCTTATTCTTTAAGCATCAATCACCTCCTGCAGGAAGCCCTCCTGACCTTCCCCAAGGCTGGGGTGGGTGCTTCTGCTTTGTAGGTATGGCATACACACTTATGAAAAAATCTCTGCTCCCTGCACCACCACCCCCCAACCTACGCCCCAACACACACACACAGACTGTGCAATCCTCCCAGGCCTTCCCCGCAGCCACCACTCTGCATCACACTGGCACTGCTGAGAAAATCCTACAGGCTACATTAAAAGACGGAGGTGCTAGGGCTGCCACAATGAGCAGAAGATAACAAACACCTGACTCAAGGGACCCGGGGTTTCATGGAAGAGCTCTTTGAGCAGGGCTTCATGGGTCAAGGTGGGTTTAAACAGATCTGGGTGAGGGAGATCCCAGCAGGCAGGCCCGTGTGAAGGTGGGAGGAGGAGGAGCGCCTCCAGGCAGGGGTCAAAACTCTGTCCCTCCTTCTCAGTCTATCTTCCTTCTCCTAATCCGTACATCAGAGGTCACAGGCTGGAAGTCCAGTTTTGCTTGACCAGCTCAGCACTTTAGATTTTTTTTAGATGCATGGCCAACATTTAGTCATTGGGAATTTCAAATTAAAATCTGGATTTCTGGGGTCTGGTGGGAGGTGTTTACATCATCAGAGGGAATCCCTTATGAACAGATTCGTGTTCTCACTTGGGAGTAAGTGAGTTCTCACGCTGACAGTGCCCAGCAGAATTGGTTGTTACAAAGAGCCTGGCACCATCTCCGAGCCTTGTGTCCCCTGTCTCCATGGGAGCGATGCACACAGCAGCTCCCCTTTGCTTTTTGCCACGAGTGGAAGCAGCCTGAGGTCCTCACCAGATGCCCAATCTTGAACTTTTCCAACGTCAGAACCGTGAGCCACATAAACCTTTTTTCTTTATAAATTATTCAATCTCAGGTATTCCTTTATAGCAACACAAAACAGACTAAGACACTCCCACCTAAGGGGACCTTCCGTCACCAACCATCAGGGCACCAGTAATGTCACCTGGCCGGCCACAGGCATTGGTGACCCCTGCCTGGCTCTGAAGGCATTTAGATTAACCCAATCCCAAACCACCTCTGATGGGAAGCCCTGGCTCCTTCAACTGGACTTCCCGCTGGCACAGAAAGGTTTCTGCCTGGAATACACTACACTTTTATACAGTCACATATTTTCTCCCCAAACACAACCACGCCCACTCTCCCTTGGGGCCAGGCAGGTCCACACTTGAATTCTAACCCACATGGAATCAGAGTGTGTCTCACAGCCCTCTGAGCCTCAGTTGTCACTCCAACTGTGACATAGGTCACCTTGCCATGCTTGGGGTTTAATAATGTTTTTTTATCAGGTACACTTGACAGGGCCACAGTCCCCAAAGGACATTTTGTATTTCCACCCTGGGCCTCATCTCCCTCCCCCAACCCCACTTCTCTTTCTCTCTCTCTTTCTCTCTCTAACTAACTCTAACTCACACACATACACACATACACACACACACACACACACACACACACACACACACACACCACAACTCCCAAACCCAGAAGTATTTGGTTAAGTTGAAACTTGGCACCAGAGTCCTGAGCCTTAAGGCAAACATTTGTTATAGAATTTATGGAAAATCACTTGGCTTCTCTTAGCTGGGTCATGGCAAAAAAAATGCACAGCAACCCCCTCTGTGCCTGTTCTGCACCACACTATGCCCTCCCACCCCCACTGTGCACTTTGGCTAATTAGAGGCTCTTGGAATTTCCCTGGGCTAGAGACAGGAGCTACTCTAGGCACGCAACTCAGCAAACGCCTGGAGAGCTTCAGAGTCGGCTAGTCACCACCCACGGCTGCAGCCCATCCGGGCCATAGACAGCAAAGGGTGCCCAGTATTGTCACCCATATCCTTCCATCGGCTGGTGCTCATCAAAGCTGCCTTGAGTTTTGGGTGGATTCTTTGTGCCATCCTTAGATAGATTTCCCAGGACGAGGGTGCATTGGCAGAACTTGGTGCTGAGGTGCTTGGCATATGCCTGAGAAGCTCATTAATGAGAGAAGTTATCCGTTCACTCATGTATTCACTCACACATAAATTCTTCCATTCATCTATTCATTTGTTTCTTTATTGCAGCTTAGACTATTTTACTCATTTTCTCCCTCACTCATTCATTCATTCAGAGTTTTACTAGTTTATGTATAGATACAGATCCAGATCCAGATATAGATATTGATTGATATAGATTCCCTTGTTCACTTACTCTGTATTAATGCATCCATCATCCACTTGCCCACTCATCTATTTATCCATTCATCCATTCATTTATTTCCCCAGACATTGACTCACATTATTAATGTATTTATTAATGCATTCACCCATCCACTGTCTATTTATCCATCCACTCAATCACTGCATTTATTCATTAACTTGAACACATATTCACTCAAGAATCAGCTCCTCCTCCAGGGAAAGCAAGTAAGAACAATCAAGGCGAGGGTGTCACCTGCTCACACCTGGGTCTCACACAGGAGATGAGCTTCAGACTGCAGTCAGCCCACCTCAGGGAAGAAGTGAGTCACAGCAAGATTGGGAAAGGAGAGGCCAGGTTCTTTAGGGCACCAGGGGAAGAGGGTAATCTGGGCCAGGGCAACCAGGGAGCTCTCCCCTAAGGGCGGTGCTCCCTGAGGCCACGGAAAACTTCCAAAGGCATGTGGGGCAGTGGTGAAGACTGCTCCCTCAGGTGCTGGGTGGGCAACTGGGCCAAGGAAGGGGAATCCCACCCTCGTCTAGCAGCCGCCAACTTCACAAGTAAAGATACGGGCTGCTGGGTGTCCTGGCTAGGGCAGAGGAATATGGAGCTGCAAGATCCTGGACTCCATTCTAGAACGGCCACCAAGGAGTCCTGAGACCTTGGGTGGCTTCCTCAACCTGAGTGAGCCTCACATGGTTCCCTGTCCTGGAGCTGTTTTGAGGACACCGATGGATGAAACCATTGTCCGTGTCCCAGCCGTGAGGCTCCCTGAGGGCCCAGACCCGGGACTGGGCCAGGCTTATTCCCTGCTGTCTATCCAGAGCCTAGAACAGGGCTGGCACACAGTGGATGCCTGGTAAATATTTGTTGAATAAATGAATGATTGAACTGGAAAGGGATTTTTGAAATTATCTCGTCCAGTCATTTTCAAACTCTCTTTTTTTTTTTTTTTTTTTTTGAGTCAGAGTCTCGGTCTGTCACCCAGGCTGGAGTGCCCTGGCGTGATCTAGGCTCACTGCAACCTCCGCCTCCTGGGTTCAAGCAATTCTCCTGCCTCAGCCTCCCGAGTAGCTGGGATTAGAGGCACCCGTCACCACGCCTGGCTAATTTTTGTGTTTTTAGTAAAGACGGGGTTTCACCATGCCCCTTGGCCAGGCTGGTCTCGAACTCCTGACCTCATGATCCGCCCACCTCGGCCTCCCAAAGTGCTGGGATTAGAGGGGTGAGCCACTGCGCCCGGCCATTTTCAAACTTTTAAGGGGCTGCAGGGATCACTAGAGAAAGTTTGGGGCTGTATCCTACTTGACCTAAGTACCTCCATTTTTAACTGTTTACATATTGGGCTTTCCAAATTTCATTTGCAAACTGAAATTCTGCACACAAAAAGTTACAAAAATCAAAATTTTGAAAAATTATGGTCTAATTCTTCCCTTTTAAAGATAAGACACTAACGCCCAGAGAGAGAATACAACGTGCCCAAGATCGCCTAGCAAGCTGCTGATGGGGCCAGAAAGAGGATCCAGACCTCCAGACTCCACATCCAGGGCCCTTCTCACACTGCCCCCATCACCTGGCCTCCCTCTATCCTAATGTTGACTCTGCAGGCTTTCAGGGGCCACCTGCCATCCAGTCCCCCTCCTGTGGGCTTATCAGTGGCTGCCTACAGGACTCTGAGATTCCAGATGGAAACGGAAAGAATGGTAAAAAGGAGGTAATTGGGCCAAGTTGTGGAGGGGGGAGCTGTCTCAGCCAGGTATGCAGCGTCTCCTCAGGTGGAGAATCTGGCTAGAAATTCCGAAGGGGACAAAAGCTAACTCCATATGACCATGGTGTTGGGTTTTGAAACCCTATACGTTTTTTAAATCTATAATTATGTGGTACACACCTAATTAAAATGGACTATAATTGTTGAAATATTTTATTGAAGTCATTTTTTTTTTCCGAACGACAGGTTTAACAGATGATAAAACTTGTCTTGTGGTTAACTTGGGCTGCCAAGATCCCCAGGCACAGTACAGAGGGTGGGGCTGTCCGACAGCGGACAGTCAACTGCATCTGAATGCCAGCATTCTTTGCTAAGCACTCCCTTCTGAAGGCTCCTCTTGGGCCCCATGCCAAGCGCTCAGGACGGAGACAAATAGCCTGGGTGGGTGTTTTGTGCACAAAGATGATTGAGGTTTGCTTTTGCTCGATGGAGAAATCCTTTGAAATTGTGCTCCCGGGGAGCAAGGGCAGCTAAGATCAGAGGGAACTGTTTATTCAAAAGCACAAGGAGAGAACAGTGATCCCTCCCCACTCACAACCCACACCCTCCTCCAAACTCCAAATGACCACGGCGAAACAGGCCTCGACAGCGTCAGGGAGCTGCATCCTCACGTCTTCCAAAGGATGAGATGGATGTTTCTCTACCCGTGCCTCCGACAGGAGTTGCAGTTTACTGACAGTCTACCAGGTGCTCAGTGCTTTGTATGCTTTGTTTCTAGTATTTACTACCCACTTTACAGATGAGGAAACTAAATCATAGATAAAATGAGTGGTTTAAGGTCTCGCGGCAAGGAAATATGGCATAGTCTTAACCCCAGCTCTGCCAAACTCGGAAGCCAATGTTTTTCCACTGCTGTGTTCTGTCTCAAAGGCTGGCTCAAAGCGCGCATCTTCATTATTCAAAAAACGGAATCAGCCTGCGGGAGGGAAGGGCAGGAAAGCATGCCCCAGGAGTTGGGGGTTCCTTTTCATTTGTGTTGTCTGTCTGTCCTCCCTACCCAGCCCTGCCGGCAGCATGGGGGAGGGGGCATATTACAAGATCCAGGGGTACTTCCCAGCCCACACCACCAGCACAGCAAGGGCTAGGCCAGGGAGGCAAGGGAGAAGTTTGCTCCCTTTCCTGCCTGAGAACCAGGGGGTAGTCATTTGACCCCCAGTTCTGAGCTCAGCGAAAGTGAGAGCAGTAAGGTAGGGCCCTAGTTGTGAGCCACGTGCCGTTGTCCAGATTTTGTGATGGCTTTATCCTCTGTGATTGTCCCAACCCAGCTGTTAGGCAGCTATTGTCATCCCTGGGCTACTGGTGACCAACAGGGGCCTAGCGGCTGCAACAGACCTAACCTGACCCAGCTAAAACAAAGCTCCAAAACCACCCTAAAAAACGTATTCTGGGAGTTTCTCCATTTTGCGTTGGTGTTTTTTTGTTCCTGTGCTTTCTTTGTTCTTCCTTTGCCTGTCTGCTCTCCCTCAAGCTTGCCCTTCATTTTTGCCGTCATCATTTTTATTGAGCACCTACTATGTGTGAGACCCTCTGCTAGATGTGCACTGTGGAGGAAACACGCTTCTTGAATTCCAACGCCCACTCTCCCCCGGGGAGTTGCAGCATTCGACTACTCTCTGCTTCCTAAGTGCAGTTTCTGCCTTACAAGTCCGGCCCTCGGGGTTGTTGTGTGGAAGGAGGGGACGATGTTTGTGTAGGGCCTGGCTTAGGGCCTGTGAGCCCCTGCCCCTCCTCCAGCCCCCCACCTGCCCCTTCCTTCCCTTGGGGGAGGGACAGAGCAGGCTTCATGCGGGACTCATTCTGACAGCTGTCCGGGAAGGGGGGTGATTTGTACAAAGCAGCCTGACTGTGTCTAAATCCCTCCCTGGGGCACTGTTTCCAAATTACAGTGTGGCAGGTTTGATCCCTGCCACCCCGCCCCACCTGCCTCCGCAGGACTTTCCTCCATCCTGGGCCCTGTGTGATGGGATGACGAGCCCTTCCATCTGCCCCACCGTCCCTCCCAGTCCTCCTCCCTCACTCCTTCCCCACCTATTGGATCTGTCTGTCCATTTGGCATGGGGTGAAGCAGGCGGTGCCTACCCTTCAGCTCTCAACCCCAGGATAGTGACAGCAGCAAGCAGACAATTACATTCTAGAACCAATTAATTAACTGAATGCTCCCCTGCCAGTTGCTTCATATCACTGTCTTATCAAGTCTGAGAGCACTGTCTCATTAGGCCCATTTAAGAGATGCGGAAATGGCAGGGCAAGCAGATCACCACCCCAGGTGACAAATGGCCTGGATACAGGTGGATGGGATGCCTACTCAGGGCCTCCTGTCCTATTTATAGTAGGAACGGCTGCCTTTTGAATGTGCCCTCTGGCCTCGGACATGCTGCGTACAGGAGCACCGATCCTCAAAGGACCAGTGAGGTAGGTACCACCTGGCTCACCTTACCCATGAGAGAACTGAAGTCAGGGAGGGCACATGATGGGCCAGGAAGCCCTGGCTAAGCACACTGGTAAAATGAGACCTCGTATCTTTGCAGCCCTCTAACTTTCCCTCCCTTTGGAGACGCAGATGAAGGGGAAACCAAGCTGCCTTGGAACTGGGCTGCCCCCATGCACCATGGCCATTTGGAACTGGGTAGTGAGAGGCTGCCCTGTCCATTGTAGAATGTTTAGCAGCATCCTCTGGGAGTAGCAAACTCCCCTCTCCTGGGACAGTTGTGACAACCAAAATGTCTCAACATTGCCAGATGTCCCCTGCGCGTGGGGGGCGGGGGGTAAAATCACTCCTACCCCAGTTGAGAACCATTGCCTCACAGTCTTCAGCTTTTTTTCAAGAAAGTCTATGTTATTTCTCTGAAGGACATCTAGAAATTCAGAATGCACAATGCCCAAAAGGGAAAGAACACGGAGCATGTCACAGCAAACACTGATCCCACATGGCATTATTATTATTAATCACTAACTTGACTACAGTCGGTGGGAATGAATCGCTCTGGGGGGGTGGACAATGGGACTTCAGGACATCACAGTCGGAGTGCCACGGCTGACTCATAGGCGACTTTGGACAAGTCTGTTTGCCCTTTTGGGACTCAGTCTTCCCCTCTCTAACATGGAAAGCCTGAAGGATGTGACTCACAATGACCGTTTTAATCTAGTATTGGCAGATGTCCCAGATTTTGCCACCGTGGGACCAATGTTATCACATAGTACAGAAGCCAATGTCCTCTGGGTTCTGATCACCTGGGTGCAGACTGTGGCTTGAGTACTTACTGGCTGGGTGACCCTAATCAGGTCATGTAACATTGCCATGCATCTGCCTCCTGCTCTGTAAAAACTCTGGGATCATAGCAGTATCTGCCTTATAGAACTGTCATGAGCCTTAACTGAGAGGATATATACAATACAACAGTGTCTGACATTAGTAATAGCCTCGTAAGAATTAGTTATCTTTAGAAACCACAGGACCCTCAGTCCCAACCACAGCCCGGCTGAATCAGATCTCCCAGGGAGATCAGGAACCAAGTATATATGGCTACTGAAGGACGGATTTGGTTTTGCCAGGTGGAGATACAGTGCAGAAGAAATGGAGGGAGCATTCTCTGGCTGATTTTTTTAAATCCTCCACAAATGATTCTGAAGCAGTGAGTTGCTGGCCTGGCACTTAGGAACCACTGTAAGTTATATGAAGCTCTCTGACGTTAGGAATATTCCAATAATGTTTTGAGTGCCACTCTGTATGAAGGCCTGAGTGGTGCAAAGATGGAAAAGGTACTCTCTGTCCTCAGAGAGCCACTGCCTAAACCAGCAAAAACAACTCCTAAGCCACATATATAGTCCAAGTGGGCCTCTGTGTTTCAGGAGCACAAGGAAGCCTGAAACATGTGCTCAGCGATGACAGAGGAGACAGTGATCTGCAGGATTATCAGTAGGGCTGTGCAGGTTATTGACTGCACAGAGGCACCCAGAGAAAGGTCACTCTTCTTTCTAATTCGCATAAAAGCTCCATCGGGCCAGTGGCAGGTCTGGAGGTCATTATTCAAGCAGGCTGTTCTGGAAGCTCCTACTCATCCATCAGTGAGAGTTTAGCTGCCCCTTTCTCTAGGGAACCTTCCCGAAGACCCAGAAAACAGAGTCGACCACACCCTTTTCTGTGTCATGCCCTATTAAAGTCTTCCTTACCCCAGATTGTAAATGCATGTTTGGATTAACGTCTCCCCAACTTGTCTTTGAGCCTTTTGAGAGTAGTTACTGAGTTTGTTTGGTTTTTCTGGTGTTCTCATGTTAGCACCCCAACACAAGGTCTGGTACAGAGTAGGTGCTGAGAAGATGCTTGTATTTTGTTTTGTGGGGTTTTTCGGTGGGCGGGGGTTGCCTACTACAACTGCTAGCAGCAGATGCGTGTTGAATGAATAAATGGATGGATGGATGGGTGGATGGGTGGATGGATGGATGGATGAATGATGGATGATGAATGAATGAATGATTAAATAAATAAATAAATCCCAACTAACTAAGAGGATTTTAATGAACCTGGGTAGAAAGGACACTCCGTTACCAATCAAGCGAGCTGGATGTCAGCCAAAGTGACTTCCTGGAGGAGGAGCAAATGGCCCCTGAATGATAGATGCGTTTTTGCCAAGTGGAGACACAGTGCAGAGGAAATGTTGGGAACATTCTCTAGCCAATCTCATGCCCAGAAAATTAGATTTTAAAAAGTGAAAGATACCAGGAGTCGTTAGCGAAGTGTTCATGGTTTGATGGTTGCTGTGGCAACATGCTCTTCATTTGGGATGGAATCGCAAAGTAAATATTTTCATAGCATCAGCAGGATAATAAGACACATGTTGCCATATCTGGGAGAGAGCCAGTCCTCTGCACTCTTGTGTGGGTGTCCTCCGTAACTTGGTTATTTTGCCCACAGCTTCCCCTAAACATGGAACAACTGAAGGACTAGACACTTGGCTCCCATGTGCCCAAGAGACAGAGGAGCTCTGAATAGGGGCCTAAAATGCACTGTTTAGCAGGTATGTTCATGTCAAAAATGTTCCTCCCTGGCCTGGGGTCAGAAATGACCCTGTTTTAGTGCCTCACACATCTGGAGTATGACCTCATCTTGCCATGTGACCCTGGACAAGCTGAATTCTCCTCTGAGCTTCAGTTTCTGTATCCATATATTCCCAATACAAATACCCACCTCTCAAGACTCATAGTTGAATTAAATATAATACAACATTGACTTCATGGGCACTTAATCCATGTTGGTTTTCTTTCTCTAGAATGTTCCATGAATGTCCACTCCACACCCCACTGACAGTGTGAGGCAGATCGTCGAGACAGAAAACTAATAAAGTAGTTCTGGACTTATACTCAATGTTTGACCAATTGAACCCAATAGGCATTTACGGAATATGTTACTCAACCACAGAATATACATCTTCTCGTCTGCACTTAGAACATAGTCTAAGATCGACCACATGTTTGACCATAAAGCAAGTCTTAATAAATTCAGAAAAAGCAAAATAATTCCAAGTACACTCCTGGACCACCATGCAATAAAAAGAGAAATCAATACCAACAGAACCTCTCAAAACTACACAAAAACATGGAAATTAAATGACTTGTTTCTGAATAACTCTTGGGTGAACAATGACATTTAGGCAGAAATCAAAAGTCCTTTGAAATTAATGAAAATAGAGACACAGCTTACAAAATCTTTGGGTTGCAGTTAAAGCAGTGTCAAGAGGAGAGTTTAATCTCCTCTTAACACTGCTTTATTTAACTCTTGATGATAAATGCCTTCATCAAGAGTTAGAACAATCTCAAATTAATGATCTAACATCGTACCTAGGGGAATGAGAAAAAAAAAAAAAAAAAAGAACAATCCAACCCCAAAGCTAGTAGAAGAAAATAAATAAATAAAATCAGATAAGAATTGAAGGAAATTGAGATCCAAAAGTCTATAAAAAGATCAATGAATCCAAGAGTTGGTTCTTCAAAAGAACAAGCAAGATTCACAGACCACCAGCTAGCTAGATTAATGAAGAAAAAAAAAAGAGAGAGAATGTATATTTAAAACTTACGGAATTTCCTTTGAACCAGTAATTTCATCAAGGGACTCTGCATTTCAGTGGCCCAAATGGCAAAGATTTATGCCCAACAATTTCCACTGTAGTGCCATAAAAAATGGTAAAAATATAAGCTATGTCAGCAGTAGGGGGACACTTAAGTACACAGAGAAACGCTCATACAATAGAATATTCTGCAGAACTGAGAAGTATGAGTATGAGGCAACACAGGGAAACTATTCCTATACTCCTGAATTCAACTGGGAAGCTACAAACAAGATTCATAAAAAATTTCACCTTTGGGTTCTTTGCTTTACTGCACAGCTTTCTGTTTTGTTTTGTTTAGATACCATTAAAATAGAATACCTTGGGACAACTTCCTCCAACAACCCCAAAGCAGACTCAGCAACCAAGCATCAAAAAACCACAGCTGTCAAGAGCACACAAGTCGTAGGACATCACCAGGATGCTATGTGCTTCCTCTGAAGTAAATATACTGTGGTGGTACAGAAGACCTTGGGCAAGTGCAATGTACAGGGCACCCTGAACAGCAGCTACATGCCCTGTTTCGTGCTAGAGGCTATATGGAAGTGAGGAGAACAGGTTTGCCCTGGCCAGGAGAGACTGTAGTGAGAGAACAGGGATAATGTATAGAAGCTGCCTGTTATCAAGGGAGCCCTCTCACTGAGTCCTACAAATTCCTGGCCTTACTTCTAAGTCTCATCCCAGATACTCATGCTAGAGGCAGCTTCAGGGTTAGGAGCATGGATGCTGCACTGGGGCTGCCTGGGAGGAAAGCCCAGCTCTGCTAGGACCAGCTATGTGAGCCTGGGCAGGTGACGTGACCCCTCTCGGCCTGGTTTCCCCATCTGGAAAAGTACCCTCCTCATAGATGATGTGGGGTTCCTTGGTGTGTAAAGCTCTTAGGACAGAGCATACCTGTTGGCCAGTTCTAGATGAGGCCTTTCTATTAATATAAGTTCAGAGGCAGCTGAGATAAAACTGACTTCAAATCACATAATCTTTCCACTCAATACAACTGCCACATGTCCACAAATAGCTCTAAAAGAAGACTCTCAGAAGGGCTAACACAGAGGGTCAAATAGGACACCATGAAAGCTTCAATGAGGTGGGAACAGGATCACTGGAATTTGACTGCTTTGGGTTCAAATTCTGGTTCTGCTATTCACTAATGATCTACACTCCCTGCCTAGCTCCTCTGAGCCTCTATTTCTTTGTAAGATGGGGTTAGCTTCCACCTGCTCATGGAGTAATTTCCTTCAGCAATAATCACGCATCAGATGAAACTCAAGAACTGTGCTATTAACCTTGCACCAGCATGCCACAAGGGGTTATAGGAAAGACGACGTAAGAGAATCTATGTATTACAACTGCACGAGCCAGGTACCCACCGGTAAGGACAAGCCGAGTCTCTCGGCTGCAAAAGACTCAAGGAAGCAGCAGCTGAGCCAGTTCTTTGGGGAAGCAGGGGTTTCAGATGACACTGAAGGAAGACAGGACTTTAGACAGTCAGAAATGAGGCAGTGGAAGGGACAAGCCCAGGCAATGATCCAAAGCCCTGGAAGATTCTCAGATGGTCAGACTCAAACAGAGCCCCCAACACATGTCTGGAATATAGCAGGTGGTAGCAGAAAAGAAAGAAAGGAGGATGTAAAAGAGGAAGAAAGGATGGGGGAGAGAAGAACGAAGGAAGGAAAGAAACAAAGAAGGGAGGGAGGAAGGGAAGAAAAAAGGAAAGAAGGGAAAGAGGAAGGGAGGGAGGGAAGAAGGAAAGAAAGAAGAGAGGGAGGAAAGGACTGAGGAAGCAGGGAGGGAAAGAGGGAGGTAAGGAGAAGGATAGTTAGAGTCCAGACCTCTTCCCAGTTCCCCATCTGTGGCCAGTGCGATGCTAACCACTTCTCCCACTGCCTGACCCCACACAGAAGGCCCCTTGTTCTGCAGCCTGCTCTGCGTGATCTTGGGGAAATGTGATTACAAACCTTGACACTCCCATTTCACCCTTTCAAAGACCACTGTTCCCACTCAGGCGTCTGCTTCACCCCTCGTGACATAATGCACCCTGCTCACCACTGAGAGATTTAGTGTCCCCTCCCCAGCCTCCGAAAAGAAAAATGTAGCTTGAGATTTTAATTCCTATTCATGTCATTTTACAATAGCTTCATTCATTCCCACTGGCTGTATGATTTTTTTTTAATTTATGGAGTACATTTGTGATGTATGAATTAGAGAAAGAAAATGTTATTAGAAAGGTCCCAGGGAGTGAGCTGTTTCTTGTCTAAAGGCTGTGAAAGTAAGTGTGAAGAAAGAGGAGTGAGTTGGAAGCTAAGAGAGCCAGGTCTAGCTCACAAAGTGGCCCCCAGAGTACTGTGTGACTTTGGAAAAGGGGCTTAACCTCTCTGAGCCTCATGACTCTCTAAGGGATGGCTTCCCACGCTCGTCAAATAGTGTCTCTGCTAACAATTACAATACCCCTGTGAAGTAGGTATGGTTGTTACCATGTTACCATAATTAACATGGGATGTACCCTTTAGGGGACCTGGCCCCAGACCCCACCCCGTCTCACAGGGGCTCCAGCTAAAAGGAGGACAGGCTGAGCAGCTCTGCACTCCCCGACCCCTGCTGTCCAGCTTCAGCTGTCAGGGCCCCTGTGGGCAGAAGCACAAGTGAAGAAATTTAGTAAGGCTGCAGAGGCCAACGTTCTGGCCTCATAAAGCCCTTTTCCAAAACAGCTGCCCACAGCTGCCCAGAGCTATGTTCTGCAATAAATTGGCCCACTGCCCTGGAAATGGAGGGGCTGAGGGCTGGGGCACAGGGGCCAGGGTCGGCAGGAGGAGAAGGAAGAAAGGCATTCCTGGAGGAGTGAAAAGAGTCTCTCTCTGCCCTCTCAAGCCTCAGTTTCCCCAGGTGTAAAGTACAGAGAATCCCCCTCCCCCACATTGCACAGCAATGGTAAGGAGGAGACAGTATCGTGGAGGGTCCTAGGCGAGGCCTGTCACGGAGTGTGTTCTTGGTAGGTCCCCCCCCCAGATGTTAATATAACGTGCGTTCTTGGTAGGTCCCCCTCGAAAGTCCAGCACAACCACCATTCCCAGTTTCTGCTGTCATACAGCCTACCCCCACCCCTCCCCAGCCCCCAGACTGCAAGGAACATACACACCTCTCTCTCCCTCACAATAGACAAATTGCCAAATTCTGGGGCTTCTAAGCAGGTTGTGCCCTACTGAAAGCCAGGTACTGGCAGCTCAGTCTATGCCTGTTGAAAAGGCCATTCAGAAAGGGAGTGCTTTTCCTGGTTGGCTGCAGATATGTTTTATTTGTACTTCATTTACCAGAATGTCCCCAACAGGTTGCAGCAGAGGAAATAGAAGCATGACCTTGCTGGTCTGCACGTGTTCCCAGGCCAAGTCCCAGGGTGCAAAGTGAGCTCTCAGGCTTCCTTTCTGCTGAGGGTAGAAAATCATCTGCTCAGGATAACTTGGTGCCTTCTGATGTCAAACGGGGAAACACTCAGTCCCTTCAGGGTTTGTCCCTCTCCTCTCCAGGGAAGGTCTGAGCCCGGAGGGAGGGAAGTGCATATTATTCTGACCACAGTGGTCCCTTGTGCCCACTGGCCTTGGAGGGCTGACCCTCATGCCCCTCTGTCCTTGTTTTCATAGCCGGGGATCTGAGGATGACGGCTGCCTTCCTCTGTGCTCTCCATTCACAAGGCCTCCCTTGTGCTGAGTCCCCCAGCCCTCTCCCAGCAGTGCCCCAATCTCAGGGGGCTCAGATTCTCCTGGAGGCTTTGCAGACAGGTGCCATGCAGGGCCTGTGGGACTGTGAGGCCAGGAGACCCTTCAACTCACTGCTCTTTGCTCTGCAGCCTGGCGGGACCTGGCCCTTCCATCTAGATCATGAGCAGAGAAGCAAGATGCAGCTTCCCCCCGCTGCCTCTCTCATGGGTCTGGGCTTGCTGTTGCTGCTTCACCCAAAGTTGATCCAAGAAGGGGACAGGCATATCCTCCAGGTGGACCTATGCCCAGCAAAAATCAGCATTTATAATAATACACAATCTCTGTTTCCTCTGTTGTGAAAGACAGTGAGACACTGCAAAGTGGCATGCTTTGCCCTTGCTAACACAGTCAGGAAGTGGAGAACAAGGACTCACCTCCAATCCTGTATTCCCACCTCTGTCATTGCCATTGCACACCCATCCTGGTGTTTCCTAAAAACAGCAATGAGAAAACACCCCAACTTCCCTGTGCACTGGGTAATTGCCCTCCTCCTCTTACATAGACCGTATGCAAATCCCCTATTACATCACAGTTAGCAGAAAGTGACCCAAATGGAACTGTGAACACCCTATGGGCAGAAAATTAGAAGTAAGATCATATCAGTCCTTCTGACAGTTAAAGTAAAATTTTATGTGAGCAATATACTCTCACTCTGATTACCATGCAGTATAATTTTATTCTGGTTTTCCTGGGCCTGCTGAACCCCTGCTCTTTTAAGTGTTCCAATGCTCTGCTTGCCAAGATAAATGATTATAATTGACAGGGCATTGTCAATCTATCGAGAAGCTGATTTCATTAAGCATGCCAAGGGCCAGCTCTGGGGCAGGTAGCTGAGCGGAGAGGGGTTTGATCTCACCCTCTCCCTGTAGTACAGTCCACACTGGCACCAAAGGCTGGAGGGCAAGAGAACAAAGGGAACGTTATGTCTCTGAATTCAAATCTTTCCCTTTGAAATGAGGCGTCCAGAATGGCCAGTAAAACTGTGGAAATGGATTTCTGGCTGCATTTGATGTTAAACCTTTAGTGTCAAGCGCCAGGTCTACCGGTTGCCTTCCCCCCACCCTTCTTTTCTTTCTTCCTTTTGCTCCCCTTGTCTTCCCCCCTTCTCTGGATGGCCTTGTGGGGAATTTGTCTTTTCATAAATAATTTCTTAGAGTTGGCAGTTAGACAGTTGCATCCCATTTCTGCTTTGACGTGAGAAGAGCAAATTAAGTCTTAAAAGGATGGAGACTCACTCTTGTGTCTGTAATAGAATTGGTCTCATATAGATTGATTAAGACCCAGACTTCTCTGGCTTCAGTGTTAAATCCTCTGTTTATTAAGGCAACTCCATGCATGGAGTCTGTCTTTTCCCATTAAGTCATCATAATCCTGCATTCCATCCCTTTCTACCTAAAGGAAGAGTTGGAGAAAAAGTTCAGTCTGGGGCCTCCTCCCTAATCATCTGTGGCCAGATATACCCAACAAGGAGTCAAGCTTTCATCTTCAGGCTTTAGCCTCACCCTTGACTGAGAGAAGAAGATACAGCCATCCAAAGTGACGTCCTCGCCACCCTGCTGAACTGTGCTCAGGCTGAGGAAGAGGATGGAAAACAGAGCTTTGAACACCCAGCCCATCATCAGCTTGCAAAATCGCAGTGAAACTAGTGTGTAGCCCTCCCCACCCCGGCTATATCCCTGAGTGGGATCAAGCTAATCGGCCCCACTCACACTGTGGTTCATGGTTTGTGATAAGAGGAGAGGAGCTATGAAGAGAACAGGAAGCAAGATATGGAATCCAAAAAACCCAGTTTCCAGTCCTGATGCTGCCCCTGATGGACTGATTTTGGGCTGCTGACTTCTCCCTGGGCTCAGACTTACAGCTGTGAAACGAGACCCCCTATCACAAGTTCCAAAGCAGCTGGGACCCTCCAAATCCGTCATATGAAGAAGAGTTCATGTCCCTGCAAGAACACCACAGCCATTAACCTCATTCATGCTTCATAAGAAGTTAGCTGAGTGTCGTGGCGTGCACCTATAATCCCAGCTATTCAGGAGGCTGAGGCAGGAGAATCACTTGAACCCCGGAGGCAGAGGTTGCAGTGAGCTGAGATTGAGCCCCTGCACTCCAGCCTGGGTGACAGAGTGAGACTATGTCTCAAAAAAAAAAAAAAAAGTTAAGCAGAGCAAGTACTATTTTCTTCCACTCTCAGAGTGGGGAAATTGAGGCATAGAGCACCTGGCAGTAGTGATAGAGCCATTCAAGGGAAGAGTGCCATTTCCTGTAATAAAGCCACCTAGGTTGGCTGGAAATCACACACACACACACACAAAAAAAACTCAGGGTAAACTGTACCAAACAGCTTCTTAAACAGGTAGAACAGCTGGCAAGATAGCAAGAAGTCCTGAAGTCCAAATCTAACTGGGGTTAGAGAAGGAAGCGGAGTTGCAAAGCCCTGAGGACATCTGATAACCATATAGGGACCTTGACCTTGCATTTTCAGAGCCTCCAAGGGTACCGAGACATACGACAAAGCCTAGAGCCCATTCAGGTGGAGTGAGGATAGGAAGGGAGGTGAAGGGAGAGTGTCCAAGAGAAGATCCTCCTTATAAAAAGCCAGATTCTCAAAGGGCACAAGGGCAAGCTCAATGGACACACACACACACACACACACACACACACACACACGGAATATAGCCCGAGTGCAAAGCAGAAATGTCCTTAGAATGTCAGTTGGGGGCCCACAACACAGCGCCCCTCCCTCTCTGGCCTCCCCCTGAACTGCTCCCACACACTCCCCAGCTCTTACCATCCCCTCCTTCCCTGCCTCCCGTAGGCTGCAGTCTCAGGCTAAAGCTGCTGCTGGACACCCTCCACAAATACATCCCTCCTCAACCACAGCCCCAGCTTCATCCACATTGGCCAATCCCCATATCGATTATATCTCTTCAAAATCAGAACCCTGGAAAAAATCAAATCAAGCTTTGTCTGCTCAGGTGTTAGGATTTCTCTCCTAATAATAACAACAAATTCAATGAAAATCATAGACACGTCTTCTAGAAACAGCTTCTCTTATATTTTCATGGACCCAAACCATGTCTGAGAGATGGGACGGGGCACAGATGCCAGTAGAAAGGGGACATCATCTGGGGACACCACCCCTGGCCCCAACTCCACTTCTGGCTGATGCTGGCCTGGTGATGGTCCTAGTCCATTTCAGGGCTATGCCCAACATCAGATTCTCTGCAGCCCCACCTTTTTTCCTAAAGACAGAACCTGCTAAGGAAGGAAGGATGAGCTGCTCCAAACCCCTGGGTGTCACCTTGACCTCATCCAGGCCCTGAGCAACAGGACCAGGCCAGAGACCACAAAGTGCACCAGCAGGGGTAGTGCCCTACGAGGTCCCAGCAGGTCCCCACCTTGGCCACACCACACCACAGCCAGTGTGAAGGGCTGGCCCAATCCTTGGTGCTTTTTTGCATGCAATAGCTTCTTTGCTTCTCATGGCAACCCTGCGGAGTGGGGAGGGGCAGGACAGCCCTTACTCTGTGCATTTACAGATGAGGACAAAAGGCTGGCAGGCAAGACACCCAGCAGAGGCACAAGAGGACTGGGGAGAGGGGAAATGAGGATCTGAGAAGGTGCTTGCCGTTTACAAACAGCCTCCCTCAGATGAACTCAGAGAAAAGCAAGGAACAAGGCAACAGTTTCTAAGTTGACTTTTGCCATTGGAGCTGTGTTTCCTGTCCTTAAGCCCCCGGTGTCTGGACCACATGGTCACATCTTCAATAAAGTGAATTGAGTTTGGTTTATACAGCAGAAGAAGACCATCACCTTCTTGTCACTGGATTGATGGTGCTGAAATGGAGGAAGTAAAAGGGTTGGAGATGGGCCGGGTGCAGTGGCTCACACCTGTAATCCCAACAGTTTGGAAGGCCGAGGGGGGCAGATCACTTGAGGTCAGGAGTTAGAGACCAGCCTGGCCAACATGGCGAAACCCCATCTTTACTAAAAACACAAAAATTAGCTGGGCAAGGTGGCGCATGCCTGTAGTCACAACTACATGGGAGGCTGAGGCAGGAGAATCGCTTGAACCCCGGAGGCGGAGGTTGTAGTGAGCCTAGATCACGCCACTGCACTCCAGCCTGGGTGACAGCGAGACTCCGTCTCAATCAATCAATCAATATAAAATAAAATAAAATAAAAGGGTTGAAAAGGAAGGCAGGGAGAAGTACTGCATGCTTTGCCAGAACTAAAAATTAGTCCTGAAATTTTTGAAACCTCATTTAGGATTGGAAAGGGTGTCTAATTTCAAAGCTTCCAATTGATCTGTTTTTAACATATACATGAAGATGTGAATTTATCATTGGAGAAAGAGAATACTCTTGTTTTTGTGAAAAAACAACACATAACAGGTTCTTTTGGAGCTAAAGCAGAGGCCTGCAGCTGATACAGCTATATCTGTGGAACACACCATTCTATATCCAAGTCAGGATGTATTTGTTGAGACCTACTGTGTACCAGACACTGTTCTAGGCTCTGGAAAATGGCAGTGAATAAAACAGATAACAATTCTCACCCTCATAGAGAAGACAGATAAAAATAAGTTAGCTGACTTTAGGGCACATATCAAGATGTTAAATGCTTTGAAAGAGAACAAAACAAGGAGCAGGGTAGGGAATGCTAGAAGGGCTGCGAATTTAAATACAGCAATCAGGGAAACGCTGTTCTAAAAGGACAGAGAGTAAAGAAATGAACTATCAAGCCGTGAAAAAACATGGAGGAACCTTTCATGCATAGCACTAAGCAAAAGAAGCCAGTCTGAAAAGACTACATACTGTATAATTCCAACTCTATGACACACGGGAAAAGGCAAAACTTTGGAGACAGTAAAAAAAGATCGGTGGTTGGCAGGGGTCGGGAGAGACAGAGATGAATAGACAGAGCCCGGAAGACTTCCAGGGCAGTGAAAATACTCTACATGGTCATAAAATGGTGGATCCCTGTCAACGGAGTTCTTCATCGGCCCATCCCCACTATATTAGTCCATCCTCATGCTGCTATAAGGACATACCCAAGACTGGGTAATTTGTAAAGGAAAGAGGTTTAATTGACTCACAGTTCCACATGGCTGGGGAGGCCTCAGGAAACTTACAATCATGGCAGAAGGGGAAGCAAACACATCCTTCTTCATATGGCAGCAGCAAGGAGAAGTGCCTAGCAAAAGGGGGAAAGCCCCTTATAAACCATCAGATCTCATGAGAACTCACTCACTGTCATGAGAGCAGCAGCATGGGAGTAACCACCCCCATGATTCAATTACCTCCCACCGGGTCCCTCCCACGACCCATGGGGATTATGGGAACCACAATTCAAGATGAGAATTGGATGCGGACACAGCCAAACCATATCACCCACATGGACATAGAAAAAAAGGGACCAAATGCCTAGCCCTATCTTTTTAAGTGGATAATTTTTCTTTAAAGACATTAAGTGGAAAGAAGTAGGATTGCTGGTGTGGGCACCAGTGCCTAGATCCAAGTGCATGAGGATGCCCCAGGTCCACATCTTTCTTCATACAACTCCCTGACCCCAGAGGGGAACCTGCTCATCAGCCAGCTCTGCCCAGATACACAGAGCTCCCTGTTAGTTATCTAGAATCTCACCTTTTTAGTTAGGTGGTTAGTCAAGGCTCTCCAGACATCTTAGGGAAGTCTGAAAATAGAAGAGAAGCCAAAAGAAACAAACTGAAAAACCGATTTTAGAGAAAACAAAGATAATTCAGAGAAAATAAGCTTGTATCCTCTGAGATATGTAAAGAGATATTGCACCTATAAGGTAAGAACAAGATGCTATGTAAAAGGAACAATCATTTAACAAGAAAATGTTCTGGAAATTAAATATATGATTGTCAAAAGGGAAGAAAATTCAATGAAAGGCTTGGAAGCTAACATAAAGAAAATCTAGAGAGCAGAATAAAAATGTTATGAGATGGAAATATGAGAAAAAAAGAGAAGAGGCAAAGAAGCATGATTTAAGAGGTTCTGCATCCAACAAATAAATCTAGAAAGAGAAAACAGGTTAAAATGGAGAGAAAAGTGCCGTCTTAAAAAAATTATAATACAAAAGAAGGTGCCAAAGGTAGAAGACAAAAGTCTTCAGAAATACTGGGCCATTGAGTGGCCAGTACACAAATGTTTAAACAGATCCATAAGTAAGCATATCATTATACAATTTTAGAACACCAACAATAAAGAGATAAATGCTCAATCATCTAGGGATCATCTTCAAAGGAAAGGGAATAAAACCAAGGTCAGACGTGTCATTAGCACCTCTGGGTTTGGCACAATGGTGGAATTCCCTCCAAAGTTCTAAGGGTAAATAAGCAACAACTTGGAATTCTATATCCTGCTAAACTGTCACTGAAGGGCAAGAGTAGAATAATGTGTGAGAGATGAAGAAAGACATAATCAGACATACAAAGATTTATAGGAAACTTTATAGAGGCTATGCTTGTGTAATATAGTGAGTAAATAAGCAAGAAAGATGAATAAGATATAGTATTCAACTCAGGACATAGAATGACAGCTCTACAGCACCCAGAGTAATTGGACGAGACTAGAGCAGAAGAATGGAGGATTCCAGGGGTTGGGAAGAATCTGTGAAAAAGAGGTAGAATTCTATGGGTTTGAATTTATTTTTGAGAATTGGGGATACCTCAAGTAGGTGATGAATACAATTAGAAACTAAAAGAAGAAAAAGAAATGTACAGTATTTTTGGGGGTGGGAGATGGAGTTTGACTCTTGTCGCCCAGGCTGAAGTGCAGTGGCTCCATCTCAGCTCACTGCAACCTCTACCTCCTGGGTTCAAGCGATTCTCCTGCCTTAGCCTTCTGAGTAGCTGGGATTACAGGCACCCACCACCACACCAGCTAATTTTTGTATTTTTAGTAGAGATGGGGTTTCACCATGTTGGCCAGGCTGGTCTTGAACTCCGACCTCAGGTGATCCACCAGCCTCAGCCTTTCAAAGTGCTGGGATTACAGGTGTGAGCCGCCGTGCCTGGCTGAAATGAGCGGTAATTATAGTAGTAATCACAGTATATACTACTTGGCTGAAAATGAAATATTTACAGAATACAGTAAACATAATTTGTTTTCTGAACTTCTAGAATGCCTATATATAGACAAAGTGTTGTAGACTTAAGTTTATAAAATAAAAAATACATGTTATCAATCTTAGCAATATAAAAGCAAAAGTACAGTTGTTAGAAATGAGAAGTAGCAAGGAAAGAAGAGGTGATGAGAGATTTGCAGTGTTCCTATGTCCATTTTGTAAACAGTGAGTCAAATGTTATTGTATACAGTTGAATTAATATGTATTCATATATAATTTACATTTACAAATACAAATAATAAGGGAACTAAACTATTGTGAGGGGTGTGTGTGTATAAAATGAGTTGTAGGGAAAAAGACAAAGATGAAGGTGATGGTTCAAAAGAACAAATTCTTCATCTGTTACAAGAGGAGGCCAGCAGATGATGTCTAAAGCTGATTGTTCAAAAGAAAATGATTAATGTGTATATACACATGAAGTGAATCACCAGGATAAACAAAAACAAACAAGCAAAACTGGTTAACAGAATTAAAAGTGGCTTACTCAGGAGAAAAGGACTAGCATGAAGGGGTGCTGTGATGAAACTATTATTTTTTATTATTAGGTTGGTGGAAAAGTAACTGCCATAACTTTTAATGGCAAAAACCACGAGTACTTTTGCACCAACCTAATAGCAATATATCTCTATGATACGATTTTTTAATCACATGCAGGTATTTGATCAATATTTTTAGATAGCATTTTTAAGGCTGACTTCATGTTGCAGCCACGGTGTATGGTGGACACACCTGCTTGTGTGTTCAGAGTTCCAAGCTAATGAGTCCAGGCGTGGACAATCTGGAAATTCATTCCTTATCTATGAGGAACACCTGAACCCCCCACCTGTCCCTTGGAATGCGGGCCATGAAAGGGATTGAAGCCTCAGTTTTGAGGGTCGGCTAAAGTTCGCCAGGTGGAGGTTGTTAGTGGGAGGGTGCTGAGAGAAAATGCTATATAAACTGCATGCCTTTCGCAAGAGGTTGCAGTTCTTCTACCTCACCCGCCACCATGGGACCACTCAGGAGGTAAGTTCCCGCTAATAAAACCCTATGCCTCTTTTGCTAGCTCTGGGTCTCTTCTTTGGCCTCTTGATCCTGGTGCCTCTCTATTGCAGTTGATAGAGTTCCAGCGGGACACGCAAGTAACTGAAATTGAGCGTAACAATTATATTGATGACTCTTGAGGTGATACTAGTTTGTTGTTGCTGTTGTTCATGACTTTCTTTGATGTAGAAGCAATTTTAAACTCAAATCTAGATTTCTCTGTTTCACCCCATTCACAGATCAAACCTAGAAAGCAAGTTTCACAGAGAAAAATAAGTAGCCTACAGTTTGAAAACACTTTTTGCAGTATGAATATTCCACCAAAACCCTACCATTCACTCATTTATCAGCTGGGCGCAGTGGCTTACACCTGTAATCCCAGCACTTAGGATGGCTGAGACGGGCAGATCGCCTAAGGTCAGGAGTTCGAGACCGGCCTGGCCAACATGGCGAAACCCCATCTCTACTAAAAATACAAGATTAGCCAGGTTTGGTGGTGGGCGCCTATAATCCCAGCTACTCGGGAGGCTGAGGCAGGAGAATGGCTTGAACCCAGGAGATGGAGTTTGCAGTGAGCTGAAATAGTGCCACTGTACTCCAGCCTGGGCAACTGAGTGAGACTCCTTCTAAAAAAAAAAAAAAAAAAAAAAAAAACAGGCACAGTGACTCACGCCTGTAATCCCAGCACTTTGGGAGGCCAAGGTGGCCAGATCACCTAAAGTCAGGAGTTCGAGACCAGCCCGGCCAACATGGTGAAAACCCCTCTCTACTAAAAAAAATATAAAACTTAGCTAGGCATGGTGGCACACGCCTGTGGTCCCAGCTACTGGGGAAGCTGAGACAGGAGAATTGCTTGAACCCAGGAGATGGAGGTTGCAGTGAGCTGAGATCGGATCATCACACCCCAGCCTGGGCAATGGAGTAAGACTCCGTCTCAAAAAAACAAACAAAAAAAAAGGATTCATTCATTTATCTATACCCATTGCTTAGGAGGCCCCTACTGAGAACAAGATTTTCAATACAAAGTCTTGCCAGACTCCATTTCTGTCCTTGAGGAAACATGTGCAACTCTTCCCCAAAACCAGGTCACAGGGGAAAGTTGCAGAGGCCGGGTGCCCTTCTGCCCACCTTCACCCACACCTGGGTTTCATACACTATGTATGGAAAGAACTGAAATGAGGAACCTGAAAATTTTAGACCCAGGTCTTTCACTTTCTCTAGCTGTATCACCTAGGCAAGTTGCCTCTCTTATCTGAACCTTGCTTTTTCAAAATATGAAATAACAGTGTTTGAAACAGTAGCATCAGACCCTGTGGCCTTGAGCTAACTGGTCAACCCCAATAGCTGGCATGTGGTGGGGGAGAAGCAGGGACAGGGGGCATCTATCTGACTCTGCAGGCAGACAGGGCCAATTAGTGATATTAAAGAGGACTGTTAAGGCACCAAAGGGCAACCTGCGGTCTACACCTAAGCGATCAGGTGGCAGCCTGTGAAGCAATCCCATATGATGGAAAGATCGCAGGCCCAAGGGTCTCGAGACCCTCGGGTTTAGTTCCAGCTCCACCAAAACTTTGCTGGATGATCCTGAACAAGTCGGTACAGCTCTGTGGCCCTCACTGTCCTCACCTGGAAGATTAAAGAGTTCAACCAGACAATCCCCAGAGTCCCTTCCAGCTCTGACATGCTCTCATTCCATGATTGCGTGACCACCAAATTAAATTAGAATCAGAGCTTTTGCATCACCTCTGTGTTGGCGAAGACAAGAAACACGCCCATGCGTACATGAAAAAGCCTTCCACAGCGGGTTGCTCAGCTTTTTCTTGTTGTTGTTGTTGTTTCTTCCCTGCACTTATCAGCCCATGATCAAGGGTTCCCTCTCCAATGCAGGTGCTTATCTGCCAGCTGAGGCCAAGGGCGCATCTTAGTACCCAGCAGCTGGTGAGGCAATGCGGGCGTTTCTGCCACTGTTAAGCCGCCACCGCTGGCTACAAGGCGTTGCCTGATAAACAGACTTGCTACACACACGTCTGCCTGGGAAGGAAAGAGACTGCCTGCCAGCCTACTCCTGCCAAGGTCTGCACCCAGCCCTCTGCAGGGGTCTGAGGACAGGCACATGCATGGGGCTGTCAGGATCCTGCCAGACTTGGGAACAAGACGGATGGGACTTGAGGCTCCTGTGAGGTGGGCTTCCCAGGCATTTGAACTCATGGCCTGAAGGGTCCCTGAGGGGATACCAGAGGTCAGAACAGAGACTTTGCAATAAGGAGTGGGGCATCCCCTGGAAAATCAAGGCTGGGCTTGGTATCAATATGTCAGGGAGAAATGCCCCCACAGATCTGGCTATTTCTTTTTTTTTTTTTTATACTTTAAGTTCTAGGGTACATGTGCACAATGTGCAGTGCAGGTTTGATACATAGGTATACATGTGCCATGTTGGTTTGCTGCCCCCATCAACTCGTCATTTACATTAGGTATTTTTCCTAATGTTATCCCTCCCCCAGCCCCCCAGCCCCCAACAGGCCCCAGTGTGTGATGTTTCCCGCCCTGTGTCCAAGTCAGATCTGGCTATTTCTAAAGGCCAGGATGACTCATTTTTTCAAGGAAAATTTCCAGAGAACTCATATTCACTGGGCATTGAGGAAACAGATGAAGTAATACGTCTAGGTCCTTCCCATCAGAGTTCCCGGCCTGGTTGTAAGAGAAAATAGGTACATTCTGCAAATAATTGTAGTATGTTTTATTCCCTCATTTATCCAGTGAATATAAAATGAACACCTATTGTGCCCAGGCACCATTCTCTGTACTAGGCAAATTCAAGTGAATATGATAGAAATTATGTCCATTCTGACTGGGTGCAGTGGCTCACACCTGTATTCCCAGCACTTTGGGAGGCCGAGGTGGTTGGATCACTTGAGGTCAGGACTTCAAGAGCAGCCTGGCCAATATGATGAAACCTCATCTCTACTAAAAATGCAAAAAATTAGCCAGGCATGGTGGCAGGTGCCTGTAATCTCAGCTACTCTGGAGGCTGAGGCAGGAGAATCACTTGAACCCAGGAGTCAGAGGTTGCAGTGGGTGGAGATCGCACCACTGCACTCCAGCATGGGCGACAGACTGAAACTGTCTCAAAAAAAAAAAAAAAAAAAAAAAAAAGCAGCCTATTCTTTCGGTGCACAAATTGCCCACTCTCTTCTCGCCATCTTCCCAGGGTGATGATTGTGTTTGCTGAGTGCTTCCTAGGGCCTGGGTACCTTGCTGGAGCTCTGTATGTGTCAGCTCTACTCACCCTAAAGGCCAAGGGGGTAGTGATTACAACTCTCCCTATTGCTCAGGAAACTGAGGCCAGAAAAGCCAGGAGCCTTTGCCCTCAGATAGTGGGTGCCTGAGGTGGCATTGGACCCAGGCTTGCTAACCTCCAAAGCCTGATTTCCTTGTACTAAAATGTTATGCCCCAACTCAGTCTTGCCAAATCCATTTTTTCCACCCCTGCCCTCAGCCTGCTCCTCCTCCTTTATGCCCTTGCTCAAGGACCCACATCACCATATCAGTCAGTATGCAGCAGGCTCTGCTGCAAGAACAGGTGACTAAGTGGCCATGGCCTAAAACAACCGGGAATTATTTCCCACTCATACTCGGCAGCAACGTGGGTAGGCAGGTGGCTCCTGCTCAGCCCCGTCACTGAAGTTCCCAAGCTGATGAAGTCTGCATCTCAACTCGTGTTTCCTTGTGCAACAAAGCAAAATGGAGAGCTGAAGGGCCTCACATCAGCTGGCACATGTGCCAGCCCAGAAGTGTCATCTGTCAGCTTCACTCTCAACGCATTGGCCAGAACTAGTCACGTGCCCGCACCTGCCCACAAAAAAGGAGGCAGGATATTGGGAAGCAGCAGTGATGTCTGTCAATATTGCTATTTGCCCAGGACCCCAGGGTGAAACTCTGGTCTTCTGAGATTAATGGACGCTTTTTCCCCCTTCCCTAGGAGTTAGGGGCAACAGAGCTGACTGTGGAGTCCCGTAGACTGGTAGGACTTGTGAGGCTTTGTTACCGAATTTTTGTATGTGTCTCTGCTGTCTTATCTGTAAAAGCGGGCGATAATGCCTCTTTCACAGGGTCATGGTGAACATTTGCAAGCTAGGTCCCTTTCCTTCCCTCTAACCCCTACCACACTCCCTTACAGTCTTCCAGCCTCTCCTCTTGACCCCCCACTGCTGGCATCTCTCAAGAGTGCTGCTGCAATGAGCTCATCCACCCGCGCCTCTGCCCTGAGCCACATTCCCTCCAATCCATCCTCTGCCCCATGGCTTCCCTGATCATCTTCCTGAGCCGCAAACCTCACTTTATTGCTTCCCTGCTCTTGATTTTCCCACAGCCCTTCATCCCCTCCGTGATATGGTCAGAACCGTATCTGTCTCTGCAGCCTCCTGACTTTTCCACAGCCCCATCCTCATACACATTGCACCATTTCCCAGGAAATTCTTCCTGATTTTTTAAACCTGCATATCTTTGGCTATTTTCTCCTTTTACTTGGAATGGCCTTTTCCTATCTCACCTGGAAAACTCCCATTCATGCTTCAAAACTCAGCTCCCACGTCACCTCTCATATGAAGGCTTTCCCAGCTACCCCAGCAGGGTTGATTATATTTCACCTGCTGTTAGACTCAGCGCTGCCTGAAATTCCATCAACAATACGTTCCATTGAGATAAGCTAAAGTTTCATCAACCAGTCCCCTTTGTAAATGGGCAGAATGGGAAGAGCCCACACCACAGACAGCAGACCCAGCCCTGATTTTGAACTCTGGGCTTTTCTTGAGCTCATTTTGTAATCTTAGAAAGGTCACCTACCCACGTGCATCCATCATCCCCTGGAGGAGGGGCTCACTGTTTTTTGGAGCTGCCATAGAAATATCTCGACTTCTTTATGATTACCGCCTGCCCAGGGCTTTTTCTGTCTCAGGATCCACCTGTTTCCGAGGTGACAGAAACTAGAAATGACTTCACCTTTCAAGAGGGAGCCCTCTCTATCTCTACTCTTTGGCGCGACTTCTCCATTGCCGACACATCGTATCCTGAGGTGTCATAGAAAGCACAGCCTTCCCATGACAAAATCTGTACACACAAAGGGAGCAATATGGGGGGTAGGGGTGTGGTTATTTCATCACAAACACATCCTATGTTGAGGACAAGGGAGTTTTGTATTTAATACTTAGACCCTTAGGTGTGGGGGCAGCTGGAGCTATGGTGGAACCTCACGTTTATCCACATAATTCATTGACAAGCAGTATTCAACTTGATAAGATAGGCAAGGTGAGGCACACAATGGTGAAGTGACTGGCTCAGGGCCCACCTCCATAATTTCAGGTCATGGACAGAAGTCCTTCTGGTTTCCAGGTTATTTTTTCAGAAATTCATTGAGCCAGATTCAATGGCTCACTCCTGTAATCCCAGCACTTTAGGGGTCTGAGGCAGGTGAATCGCTTGAGCTCAGGAGTTCAAGACCAGTCTGGGCAACATGATGAGACCTCATCTCTAAAAAAAATAAAATTAGCCAGGTACAGGCTGTGCTTTCTGAGGCCTACAGTCCCAGCTACTTGGGAGGATGAGGTGGGAGGATCTCTTGAGCCCAGGAGGTTGAGGCTACAGTGGGCTTTGTTCTTACCACTGCACTCCAGCCTGAATAACAGAGCAAGATCCTGTCTCAATAAATAAATAAATAAATACATAAATAAATACAGATCACTGAAAAGCAAGTCATGCATTTGGTGATAACCCATGCCTGTGTGGATAACTAAGAAATAGCAGGGCAGCACAGTAGAATATGTTCAGCCACTGAGAAAAATGCACCTGATCTCTAGCCAGCAACATAAACAGATGCCAGAAACACATCACTGGGGGGAGTATGTTGCTGATGGTTCTGGACGATATGATACACGATATCATTTATGTAAATGTTTAAACACAAAAATAATACATATAATACTTATAAAATACACACACAATTTTTTAGTGGCTTAGAAGGACATGAAACTCATAATAATCACTGCTTCTGGAGACAAGGAAATGGACCAGGTGGAAATAGTTTTAATAGGAGGTAGGCATGAATTGTGTATTTATCTACAAGTTTCTAATAGTTTTTAAAGTACTCTGGTACCTTCATATATTACTTGCAGAATAGCTCAACTATATACACAGAAAAATAACTGAAACATATATAAGAAAAGGTAAAAGGCTAATTATGAGTGGTGAGAATATAAGGTGATTGTAAATTATTTGCACCTTTTCTTCCTTTTCAAATTTCCAAAAAAAATTCTATGAAAATAATTCTGGGTTCAGATCCCATCTCTGCTGCTAACAAGTTATGAGGATCTTGGCAATGGCCTTTCTCTCTGTGTGATTCAGTTTCCTCACTGGTGACCAAAGGAGTTGGGTTAAACAATCACTCAGGTTAGCTTCCAGTTCTTAGCCCCGTGAGCTCCACACACAGAGGTGAGGGCAGATCCCTTCCCAACCAAGTGACATTTTCCAGCCAGACTAAAAATAAACTAGATGTTTCATATGGTAAAAGTATCAATTGCTAAATGTAAGAAGGAAAATGGACGGAAGAGGAAATTATCCACTTAGGATCCGTGTTGAGAAGTAGCAGCAAGGTCTTATCAACCCAGCAACACAAGTGTCTCTATGTGATGCAACTCCACCTGTCTTCTGTGCACACAGGACATGCACACCCCACTGGGCTGTACAAGTGACAGCTAGAACCTTAAGCCTGTCTCCACTGAATGGCCCCTGGTGAATTCTACTTCAGTATCTCAATCAGGGAGGTCAGACCAGTTCAGCCTAGAGAAAGTACCTTTCTCCAGGTTCTGTACATCCCACCACCTCCAACCCCTCTCCCCCAGGTGCATGTGCAGAGCCAGCCACCCTTCCCCATCTAGTAGAGTCAAGACCAGGCAAGCCACTCTTATCTCCCTATTCTAGGCCACCTCTCAGTGGGCTTGGAATCAAAGCACCTCACTCAGGTGAAGCACTCCAAGACAGCTGTTGTCTGATCTGATCCCAGTGGTCACCAGCCAAGGGGTAAGGAAAGAAACTGGCCTCCTGATCCCATAATCATAAAAATCAGCACACTGGCTGTGAGGCTGGCCTTGTACTAAGCACACCACCTGCTTTTTACCATGGGTCCTCACAACAACCTAATGTCACAGGCAAAAAACTACAACTCAGAGGAATCTGCCCAGTCCACACCCAGCCAGGCCAGGGGCTAGCTCCAAGTTCAAGGCTTTTTGCCCTGGACAAAGTCACTGCATGTTAGTAGCTTGGCAAGTTCAAAAGCCATGTGAGGATGGGTTCCAGTCCCCAAATCTTCTGTGGTCACATTCACACCCTTTCAATGCAAAACATCCCCAGCGTTCCCAGGCAACAGGCTGTGATCACTGGACCATCTGTCCATCCCCAGGAAGAAGAAAGGGCGCTCTGGAGTCATCAGGCAAGCTTTTGCCATCCTTGCCTTCTCTCCCTATAAATGGCACAAGGATGCCCATGTCACAGTGTTTTACTGAAGATCAAGCAGAGGGCAGGTAAGAGAGTTCTCTGCAGCAGGAAGGTCCTCTGCAAATTCCTCCCGCTTCGGGTCAGCCTAAAAACAGTCGCAGCTGCTCCTAACCTGTCCTAGTGGCTAAGACAGGCCAACGTGTCCCAGTGAGAAGCGTTGGCTGCCCAAGTCTAGCACTGCCTGTGGAGTTGCAGGATGTGGTTGGCGAAAAGAACAAGGCATGTAGAGAGAGGCTTCCCAGAGGCCTTTGCAGCAAAGCCACAAGTTGGCGGGGCGGGGGGACAATTTGCTGCCTTCACTCTCTTTTGGTAATGCAGATTTTTAAGGCTACCAAAAGGAAAAAAAAAAAGTCATTTTCTTCCAAAATACTCTTCCTTCTCATGAAAGGGTAAGCATGGAAATTATTAGGCCTAAGAGACAATCTGCTGTGCCAGCTTTGAGATCTCATCAGGACACTGGACAGCCTGCCTTTAGAAAAGAGGCCGAACTCCTTCCTGAGCACGCCGGGCAGTCCTTTCAGTCTTAGTAAAGCGTAAATCATTGGGTCAAGGAGCAAAAACAAAACAGCTTTTAATGCCTGCTTGGACATCAAACCCATCTCACAAAACAGCACTTTGATGAGTTTCATGTACGTGAACCCAAAACATGCAGTTTAAAGATCCCTCAAAGCACAGGAGGCTTGGAAATTAGCAGAGAAGTACACTTTTTAAGAAACATGAAAAACAAAAAACCACACTTGGGGCTTTGCCAAGCCCAAAAGTTTGAAAAGATTTTTAACTATAGCCTGGTATCTGAGCCACTAACTGCAACTAGAGTGGACTCCGGGTGCCTATGGGAGAAGCTACTAGAATCTACTGACCATAAGCCCTCCTGGGGTGATCAGCTCATCTAGCCACGTGTCTTTAGAAAGGAAAGTGTGTGGGCACTCCCTACCCTGCACCTCACTTCCTCTGTCTTGTCATTCCCCAAGCAATGTGGCTTTGGGGAGTAAATGATTCCCAGGTGACAGGGAGAGCAGGCTCCATGCACTTGCACTTTTACTGGGTATCTTCCCTGGGCATTCTTCATCAGCAGGTTAATGCCTCCTCTCCTTCCTGTTTTCTCTGCAAAACCAGGACTTATTTTGTAGCTGGATGGACCAGCTGGAGAGGCTAGAGCCCAGGGTGCTTGAAAAGTAGCAGAGGTAGCTAGTGGGAATAGGGCCAGAGAAGCGGGTGGCAGGCACAGAATTATAGCAGCGTCCTTGGGGAGTTTGGGGACAGTGAGCAGGGACCTTGTATTTGGAGATTAACCCAGGAGAGAGATGGAGGGGACAAGAGCTCCTGACCTTAATATGTGTGAAGGTCTGGTTCTCTGGGAGTCCAAGAGCAAGACTCTGAGAGCTACATGGAGAAGGGTTATTGATGAGTGCTCTCTGGCACAACAGGTTGGGAGGGGTGGAGGGAGCATTGAGGAAAGCAGGATTGGGCAGAGGAGAAAGTTGTACTGTGGTTCAGTTGCAAGGGGTGCTGCAGCTGATCTCACAGGAAATTCTGGAGTTAGGAGAGACCTTCAGGGATGCCCCAAATCAAAGCAAAGGGGTTGGGCATTTGTACCCCAGCATTAACTGGACATTGGATGCAGGTTGCCTATAGAGAAGGCATGTTTTGGCCAAGCGCAATGTCCAGAGAGCAATGACACAGCCAACACTCCAGGCACCTGAGGCAAACTGGGATCAGGGCTGCTCCCCACAGTATCCACCATTGTCTACCCCTTGTGGTGCCTACACCCATTTATTTCACATACTGAGTTTACTCTATCTGGGAATAGCTGCTCTAGGATTCTGGTTGGTCATTTTCCCTGGGAGGACTTACAAGAGAAAGGTTAATGGGACAAACTGCAGCCACCACTACCGTTGTCATAGCTGCATCTGACACTCGTGGTCCCTCCTATAGCACATTTTACACCCCTTCTTATTGTTGTCAGCATCTCTACTGCATGGCGGGGAACAGGGGCTCACCAGAGGGAATGAACCACCCCATCTCACCACTGTAAAACTCTCACTTGAAGGATGAGGGCAGCAGGACTGGACAAAGGGAGAAACTGAACTTCGGTGGGTCCCATGCCTTCCTAATTAGGGATCCGACCTTGGCATAGCAGACCTGCAGGGTTTGAGGATCTGACTTCCTCTGGAACACTCTGCCACTTTTATAATTATGACCTGGGCCTGATCCTCAACTCTCCATCCTCCAGGAGGGCGAATCTCTTTATCTGCTGCCCTCTGGCTTTCACACTTAGCCCTTAATTGGTGATTAATCACTCTCAGCCTAGCATTGACTCTGTAATGCATTCGTTGCCCCCAGCGACAATTCCATAATACTTTTAATTACTATCCCCTCCCTCCTCACCTGAGAAATTGCACCTGCCAGTGCATCCCTTCCCCCAGTATCCCATCTCATTTCACCACCAGCAAAAAGGTCGAATAATTGCATTGCCACTGCATGCTGGGGTCTGTCCATGCAGCACCTTCTCCGGTTATGGAGTCTTCACCGCCAGTTAGCCAGCAGGTGATCCAGTGCCAAAATCAAATTCTGGAGTCAGCATCATAGGGCCACTGCAGGAGCATTGATTGTTTAGTGGGCTCCTAGGTAATAGACCATGAGATGGAATTTACATCCTGGAGGTTTGTTGACGAGATCTCTGATATGGTTTGCCTGTGTCCCCACCCAAATCTCATCTTGAATTGTTAGCTCTCGTAATTCCCACGTGTTGTGGGAGGGATCTGCTGGAAGATAATTTTATCACAGGGGTGTTTTCCCCCATACTGTCCTCATGATAGTGAATAAGTCAAACAAGATCTGATGGTTTTATAAGGGGAAACCCCTTTCACTTGTTTTTCATTCTTTCTTGTCTCCCATCATGTAAGATGTGCCTTTGACCTTCTGCCATGATTGTGAGGCCTCCCCAGCCACATGAAACTGTGAGTCCGTTAAACCTCTTTTTCTTTATAAATTACCCAGTCTTGAGTATGTCTTTATCAGCAGCATGAAAACGGACTAACACAAGCTCTCAAGAACCACGCCTGTGATGGAGCAAGGGGAGGACAGGGCAGAGGGAGAAACTGGACTGGGATCCAGTTGCAATAAAGGCCTCAGCCAACCCCATGGGGAACTCTCAATCTGGCGTCACCCATCAGAGCTGTCCTGGATTGAGACAAGGGGGCCAGGCCTTTATGTTCCCATATGGCACGGTTAGTAGAGATGGGATACACCCAGGGAGAGGGAGAAATTTAGGGCTAAGCAGCTTCCTTCAGCCAAGAGAAATTTCCAGAAAGGGATACAGCTCTGAACCAGCCCTGACCAACAACCCCAGCAGCTGGGAAGTGAGTTCCTGGGCCCTAACAGAGTACACACGCCATGCATCACAGCATCCACTACAATGTCCACCTTCCCCAGGAGATGAGACAAAATTCATTGCATGGACACACGAATGAGTATATGATTACAAGCCCTGTGAGGTGCTCAAAGGATTGGGCACCAGTGAGAGTCTCTGTCTTCGTCTGGAGGGTTAGGGAAGGCTTCTTCAGGGAAGAGAATTTGAGCTGAGGGATGAGCAGGCCAAAGTTGGGTGAACATAAAAGGGGATGAAGCCATCCAGCAGAGGACCTGAAAGCTGTGAGCAAGAGCCAAGACACAGGAGGGATTGAGGTACTGTTGAAGAACTGCAAGAAGGCGATGGTGGCTGGAGGAAGAGCAAGGAAAACCCTGGCCTGAGATGAAACCCAATAAAACCAAAAAGGGAAAACCAAAACCAGGCCTGGTTTGATGAAGCCAGTCAAAATCAAAAAAGGAAACCAGGCCTGGAGAGCCACAGGGAGGGATTTTGGTCTTTAAGGAGCTACTGAGGATGAATTTAAGGCTTGGAGAGGCACAGCAGCAAAAAGACATGGCACACAGGCCACTTACTGGGGGTCTCCTGAGGATCATCCCCTGCTGACAGCAACCCTTGGCAATGCAAATCCCTGGTGTGGTCATGCTGAGGTCAGGCTTGAGTTGTGGCTAAGATGGGGCCACATCTGGGTGGAAGGGGCTGCCGGGGGATAGGCACAGGACAGTGAGAAGGAGAAACATGCAGGACCAAGTCCCAGCAAGTGGATTCTGTAGAGGATGGAGAACAAGGCTGGCTGGCCAGGACCAGATCACAGGGCGCACTGTTCACCAGGCTAAGGAGACTGTCCCTCGTCAGGTAGGAGACGAGAGCTAGCAGCCTTGGGATGACGCAGTGTGGGATTAAAGATGGTAACTGCAGGCAGCGTAGTGGAGTCTTGTGCTCGACAGAATAACGGCACCCAAAAATGTCCACATCCTAGTCCCGGGACCTGTGAATATGTCACTTTACATGGCAAAGGGACTTTGCTAACATAATTAAATTAAGGACCTTGAGATGGGCAGATGATCCTGGATTATCCAAGTGGGCCCAGTGTCATCACAAGGTTCTGATAAAAGAGAGGCAGGAGGGGCAGGATTAGGAGATTCCAGGTTGCCAGGTGGCTGGCTTTGAAGATGGGGGCAGGAACAAAGAGCCAAAAATTACAAGCAGCTTCTGGAAGATGGAAGAGTCAAGGAAATAAGTTCTCCCCTAGAACCTCCAAGAGGAAGGCGGCCCTGCTGAGTCCTTGATTTGAGCCCAAGAGGACCCATTCAAACCCCTACTTCTGGGGTGAGATTAAGGAATAGTGAACATAAGGATACGGACAGTGGAGAAGGAGGGGGAGCCATACATGAGAGAGGGTCTGGGAGATAGAAGCCACGGGACTGAGGGGCACCACCAGTCATGAGCAGTGAGAAAGAGTGGGAGCCCCCGTGATTTCTATGGGGCAACATTCACAGAGAGGAAAGAGAAGAAGAGACAGGAACTAGAGGAGAGGCTGGTGTCTGCACTCTGTTGCTGTTCCTTTAGAGGGGAGCCAACCAAGCTCGCCTCTGGGAGAGTCTGAAAGTTTCTGGCATGGCTAGACCTGCATGGCTCATTCAATACTCTACATTTTCCATGTACTTGAGACTACGTGGATGCAGAAGCAAAAGGAAAAGATTATAACTCCCAACACAAAACTTCATCCATAGGCTGCAAGCTGGAGAAGTGTGGGCCTCCAGGATATCAGCTGTCTCGTGCTGGGGACAGTCACCTGTCCTAGTGTGGGGCAGGGAAGTAAGAAGGGATGGAGGGCAGAACTGCATGCTCTGTGACTCAGCCCTATGAAGGTGCCAGCAAGGGAAAGGTTGGGAGGCAAAGAGACAAAGTCTACACCTGGGATGCCAACTGCTCTGCCCAGCCCCCTAAAATGGGCATTCCTGCTTGATCACCTCCAGTGTCAGGGAATGGCCTCCCTTGGACAGGATTGGCAGAGTAGGCTTTGCTGGTATCAAAGATCTTCCTTAGCCTGTGCCAAAGTTGGCTTCCATATTGATGTCTTCTTGTTTTGCTTTCAGGCCCTACTGAGTGCCTTCACTCCTTTTCTCAGTTAGCCCCTGAAATCTGAGGGCAATGGCATGTGTTCCTCTAGGGGCAGCAGGCTCTGTCCTTCCACAGCTCAATTCTGCCCCTCCTCAGTATCCGATGAGATGGAAGTCTCCCCTCCCCCACTCCTCATCACCTTCTTATAAAATGTCCTGCCATTTGCTGCTTTTTGGGGAGGGAGAGCCCACTGCCCACTCTGAAGTGAGCACAATGCCTGCAGCATAAGGGAGCAATGCAGAAATGAGCAGAGCGTCCATCTCCCCATCCTAAACCTGAGCCCGTTGTAATGCAACCTCAGATCTCAATCACTTTATATAAGCCACCACAGCATCTGTTGACTTGTGTTGAGTACGATTCCCAAGGCATTTGATTCATGCATTTCTACAAAGCTGAATTTACCCTACCCTGATCTTCCTTGTGCTCCTGTTCTTTGACCCTATGTGTAGGAGGTTGCATGAATGCAGCTCCAGAGCCCAAAAGGTTTTGTGGTCATGGGTCATTGCTCTGTCTTCCCCATCAGGCTGGAGCTCCTCTAGGAAGTGACTCAGTCTTATGAATGTCTGTAATGCTAGAATCTGCTATAAAATTTAGGGGCTGAGAAAAGAGAGAAAATGGAAGAAGAAAGGAGGGATGACAGGAAGGGCAGCAAATGTGAAAGGAATAGAAGAGGGGACCACAGGAATGTGCCACACTTGGGTAGGTGCAGGTAAGCCTGAGACAGGAAGGGAGGAAGCCGAGGTGGCAGGGGCCTCTGCAGAAACAGGTGTGGCTGAGTGTTAGGCGGGCTTAGAACATGGGGAGATGAGTAGAGCCGGGGCAGAAGGCAGAGACTGGGCCACACTGGACCACACTCAGGCACCACTCAAGGCAGCGTTGTCTGTCTGGTCTGTCCAATCTCATGGGAATGTACCCCAGCCTCTCTCTGAGGCAGTGCACATTGGCTTACTGGGCTGCAAAAAGTATAGGTCCAGCCCCTGGAAAGTGAGGCCAAAGCTGGAATCAGAATTGCCATGGAGCCTGGAGCATGCCTGGGCTGAGTCCTACCCATCCCGCCCCTCCAAAGAAAAGCCATGAGGCTGGGCAATGAGGCTGGAACACAGCAAAGAGGGGAAGAAGAAGGGAAACCTAAGGACATGGAGAACTCGATGAGATGATCTGTGTAGAGCACTCAGCACAGGGCCCAGCACTGGGTAAATGCTCTTTAAACCATGACGATGGCAGAGGTGGTGGTTAGAACGAGAGAAATCAAGAAGAAAACTAGTACAGATTGAGTGTCTACTGTATGCACTTGGCATCTACTAGCTGCCTTCACCATTGGGATTTCCATTAACCCTGCTCAGCAATTTTATGGGACGGGTAATCTTATCTCTGTTTTACAGATGAGAAAGCCGAGGTCCAAAGTGTGGAGCTCTCTGCACAGTTTAAAATGGGCAGGACAGGAGTCAAACCCCGGTCTTTGTGACTCTGCAGCTCCTGTTTTCTAGTGTGGAGGGAGACAGTGGAAGAGAAACAGGAGGAGATGAATAGCATCGGAAAACTACTTAGTAGGGCTGGTGCTTTTCTAGCCCACAAGGGGCCAAACCCTGAGCGACGCACAGAAAACCAAATACGGGCTCTGACCCCAGGGAGTTCACAAAGGTGCACTGGGAGGCAGGAGGTGGTATGAACAATGATCGTACTAAAGCGGACCATGCCACTATAGGGAATGCACAGTGTTCTTGAGGGCACAGAGGAGACAGTGTGAGAGAAGGCTTCCTGGAGGAGGTGACTGAACTAAGCCATGTGAGTAACCATCCATCTTCCCAGAAGATCAAGGCATATTTGGTTCAGGGCAACATGTGAATATTGGCAGTGCCTGACACATTTTCCTGCCCTGCCCTGCCCCTTATTCACCCACTTTCCACAGCAGAGTCCAAACCAACAGTAGACGCCACAGTTGCTCTAAAACCATCCTACTAACATCTTCCTCTGTCTTTGTTCTTCCTTCTGTCCGAGGAACTTTAAAGACTCCACCAGCCCTAACACAAGACATCCAGTCTCAGACTAGGAAAAAAGCTGTTTCAGCCAAGCTGGCTACAGGCAAAGCACCTCACCTGGAAGAGAGAGAAGGTTCCCAGGTTTGGGGCAGGGGGCGTAAATCGAGCCACAGCATACAACAGGAAATAGAATAGTACCTCACCCAAACCAGTTATGTAATGTTTAAAAGGCAACTCTCAAATGGGAAGAGCATTTATCTATTATGAACATTTTCCATTTTTAGTGGTAATTGAAGTTTCTCGTCGGAGGCTCGTGCGAAAAGCGCCGGCGTATTGTGATCTTCCCCACCCTTTCGAATGCAATTAGAGAATTTAATCAAACTCCACTGCAAGTGCAGTGCCAGCCAGGCTATTTTTGCATTTTTCAATCTAGAATCATTTGGGGACTTTTTAATTGTTAGTTGGGTTTATTTATTGAACTCGGGCTTAAAAGAAAAATAAACAGCAAGAAGGCAAGAAGTAGCTGGAAATGCAAGGAGAACCCAATCCTTGTGATTTAATAAAGTCTGTCCTTGTTAGCTCCAGCAAATGCTAAATTCCAATGAATTCAAATTTCAACCGGGTCTCTAAACATCACATTATTTACATCTTTCATATATTATGGTATTTCAAATAAGATTGTTATAAAATTGCCCCAACTTTGGGCAACCGTAGATCATAAAGTGGGAACATTATTGCATTAAAGGAGAGGGGCTGTATCTCATTGAAAACACATAAGCACATAATTTCATAGACATATATCTGCAGCCAGATATATATCTATGAACAATGAAATTGCCCCAAAATTAAAAGCCTTCTGGCTATATATTTGTAAACACAATCAGATCACAATCCAATGAAGGGGCCCTTTTGAATTAATGCGCATCACGTGATCTTCCTATCATTACATTTATAACTTTCCTTTTGAACAGCTCACTGCCTTCTCTTTATCTCCATAAAAATACGGGCATTTATGTGTGGATTTTCTTGTTTTCTTCGGTTAATGGTATGTATATATATACCATTCTTGTTTTTAAAGAAAGGGGATTAGATCAGAATTGTGAAAAAATACACAAAGAAAGAAAGTCACTCTTTTACACCTGCAGATAGCGAGAGTCCCCATCTAATTTCTTAGAACTTCTGGCATAAAACACTTTGCATTTTAAAAAGAAACTGTCATCTCACTCATTTTTATGATTTTGATAATGAGAATGGAAACTATATTGTTAACCAGAAAAGTGCAGTGATTTTATACGCACATTAAAAGGGAAAGACCATTCCTTTAATTTAGATCATTTAAAACAAAACTTTCCAAGTGACAACCTTTTAGTTGTAATTTATTCATCTATTGCAGTTCAGTTTTCATGGAGAAAGCGATACCTGAGATACAGGGTGCACAGTAAATGAGTAAGACTTCCTCTTCCACAAACAAAGCCACAGAGGTACTCCAGAGTCTGGTAGGAGTCCACACTGGTCTGGTAGAAGGAGTCTGGTAGAAGGAGTCCACACTGAGAGTGAGAAGATCTAGCTTCCACCTTGGCTCTGTTTAGTGTGTTGTTTCCAAATGCATAAGGACCACTAAGCCTCCAGTGACCAAAAGCCAAATGGATAAAGTATCTTGTGTATCGCCAAAATCCAAGGTGCACTGGGTGCAGGCATGGCTGGATCCAAGATCTTCAACAATGCAATGGGAATTAGTCTATCTTTCTCTCTTGTCTGTTTTCCTCCGTGTCAGCTTTATTCCTGGAACCTATGTGGTGGTGCTTAGCAGGTACAGATTTGTGTCATCTGCACTACTCTTGTGCATCTGTACTACTGTCTCTATTGGGCACACTAGAAAAAGGCCCCGTGTTTGTTCCCATGGGCCACCTTGGAGTCCTTGCCCATCCCTGAACTAATTCATGGTGCCCAGGCAGGTGGGATGCACTGAATTCCAGAGCCCAGGTCACCTGCACACTCTTGGGATTTACAGAAGGAGGCAAGCCTCATCCACATGACATGGATGGCAGAAGGGGCTATTGCATATCCTCAGGTGTGTTGGAGCTTCAGAAAGTAACAAAATGGGTGATATATGGCTTTCTCATCAATTGCTATCAAATTGAGATTATAAATGTGAAGGTATTTAGCAGAGTCCAAATGAAAAGCTTCATATAATACCAGACTTAAACTACACATTATTATTATGGGATACTATGAGAAGTGAATCAGCAGATGACACCAAACTAGTCTCTGAATGAGTCCACAGCACACACATTTACCCTCTTCACACCTGCTTTGTGTCAGGCAACTCCCACAAGAAAAGAGGCATTGGGGTTCATGATATCACCTCAATGCAGTTAAATTAATGCATTCTTTATAATTAACCTAAATGCAAGTGCACTTGAACTTTATTCCATTGTATGGCTCCATTTTTTTTTTAAGATGTAGCCTGAGCTTCAAAGCACATCACATATTCTTGAGAAAAATGGTTGGAAATAGGTTTGCAGCCACCATTAGAATTTGAATGCCCAGAATGGGCGGCCCAGAGAGACACCTCCCTTTATAGAGTGGGGATAAAATAAAATTAGTTTCTCTTTTTCTTCCATTGTGATAGCATGCTTTTTTTTTTAAGAATATTGACTCTGTTTAGTAAATATGAAACATATTCATTGTGAAAATACCCCGATAATACAAAAAAAAGTACAAAAAAGCCAGTTAAAAAAAAAAAAGAAAAACTATTCAAAATTCCACCGCTCAAACAATGGCCACCAGTATTTGGTAAACATTATTCTAAGCATTCTTCTATGTGTAAAAATAGATAAAATGATAGTGATGATGAAATAAAAGAAAGATAAAGGGACAAAAATAGAAACATTATGCACACTCTTTTTAATATTTAAAAGTTCTAGATTATATTTTACTTGAAGTTAATGGAATAAAAAAGAAACTAAAGTAAAATCGGAAGGCTTGTCTCAGATCCATTCTCTTCAGTATATGGGATATGACTTCCTTCCTAAAAGGCCCCTCTAAAGGAAGACAAGACATTATACCACACATTGGGTTTGAGTTATCTTTAAATTACATTTTAATTTTAGACTATTAGCTTCCTGCAATGAAGGAAGTGGAAATTAACACCGTATATTTCTCCTTCTCTACCTCTTAGCTCTTTTTAATTGTATTATTATTGTCTAGCTTTATAATATTTACATTTCATTCAGTGAACAAAATTTTGGTTCAGTCAGTTTTGATAACTATTATGTTCACCATCTGGCCATGATACCATCATTCCTGCATTATTTATTTTAGTTCATCTTTGTGTTGTGTAGATTTGAAAAACAAAATAAATTGGGAGTTTCCATTTGGGGAATGTTTATTTTTACCTGAAATGTTCATAAGTATTGTGATCTGTAGCCCTGATTTCAGTAATGTTTTCTTCAGTTACATCATTTAATGTTTTTCTGTGTCATTTGTTCTGGTGTCTTCCCAAAGAACACAAATTATGCATTTATCTTATTTCTCCTTTCTGCCTATCTATTATAAAAATATACCGAAGCAGGAGGATTGCTTGAGGCCAGAAGTTCAAGACCAGCCTGGGCAACATAGCAAGACCTCATCTCTACAAAAAATTTAAAAATTAACTGGGCATGGTGGTATACCCCTGGAGTCCCAGCTACTCAGGAGGCTGAGGCAGGAGAATTACTTTAGCCCAGGAGTTCGAGGCTGCAGTGACCAATGATTGTGATGCTAAACTCCAGCCTGGGTGACAGAGCAAGAACCTGTCCCCCACCACACACAAAAAAATTATATTAGTAGTATATCATCTTTACAATCATTTTATATCATCATACATTGAAAATGGGGAATGGTATTTTTGCTTGACACAGTAACTGGAGAGGCTGGGGGTTACATAAGGCTCCTAAATATCTTTCAATATGTGGGAGTCTTGTGCTATAATGAATGTGGTGCTGAAGATGCCAATAGATGTTAGAGAGCTGGCCAGACCACCACGTCCTTGATGATGTTTTTCTAGTATGTTGATTCCCACTTTCAGATTCTAGTGAAGCTTAAATTTGTGTAGCATTTTTCTTTTTCACATCAGTTTTTTTTCTTGAGTTCTGCCAGATCCCTTTTCATCGTCTCTTTATATCTTGCTTTATAATTTTTTTTAATTTATGGAGAAGTATTTGTCTAAATTTTTTCACTCTTTCCTTGGGCAATTTATGTTAGAAATTCCCTTTATCTGCCTTTTGATAAGGGATTTCTTCCCACCATGGCTGTGATTATTTTATTTTCGCAGTACAGTAGGTCATGGGCTGGTTTCTCTGTGTAACCTTTCATGTTGAATGGAGCTAGCCACATATTGACTTGAGAGAGAGTGAGGTGAGAAAGATCATGAATTGGGACATCATGAACTTGGACACAGGCTGGGGTCCTTGTTTCTTAAATGTGATTTCCTTTGCCCTGAAACATGTCTCTATCCTGTTGGCCTTGAAGGGGAGCTTTTCCTTTTCCAGGGGATGTCTCTGTGTTTGATCCAGTGTTCGGCGTCTATCTCTCCTCCTCCACATTTCATATATAACCAGTGCCCGAGACCAGGGGCCTTGGTCGTAGGTACTAGCACTGGCATGCTGAGTCCATTTCTCCTGCACCTCCACCCTCTCATCATTGCATGATGTCATCTGAGTCTCCACAGGACATTGCCCACCCATGCTTAGATGATGTGGTCATAATCCATGGTTCATTCAATTTGTCTTTTAGCCCTGGGTGACTCTTTCTTAGGGAAAGTTGTTTCCTGCTCAAAGTCCAAAGAGTTGGTACTAGCTCTGGGTACCTTCCTCTTCAATTGCATTTTGCAGGATTTAGGAGATACGCATGACTTTCCACGGTTTGGGAGTGTGGTTTTTCCTTATGTCAAGGAAAGAGAAAAATTTGTTTCTCATTTTCATTGTTTGTTGGCTGAGATACATTTTGGCTAACAGTAATAGAGACAAATGCCCCAAACCCACTTTGTGTAGCCAGAAGCCTGGCTTGAGTCTTGTATAGAAAAAGGGTTTCCCGTTTCAAAGGGTCTTCATCCAGCTCAGATCTAGTTTTCTAGTTGTGTAAACTTAGCCCTCAATTTCTTAACTGTGGCACAGTTTCCTCATCTGTAAAATGGGGAGAGTCATCATCCCTAATCTTCACAGTTGTTATGGGGACCAGCGAAGGAATCTATGAAAAGATCTCAACGCAGCCCATCACAAGTACTCAACACCTCCTATTGTTGTGATAATGATCCCACAACTTCATGAGGTAGACACAATTGTCTTCACGTGACAGATGTGAAAACTGAAGCACAGGTCAAATGACTTTCCCAAGTCTTCCCAGTACCTAAGTGTCAAACCTTGGCTTCAAAATCCAAACCTCTGCTCCACCCTGTTCCCAACCTGGAGAGACAATCTGTAGAGCATGCTCTACCAACACTTGTGGGTTCACTAGAGCTTTAGATCAAAGTGTACCCATTTTATGGATGAAGGAAAACAAAAGGAGAGTTGTCTAAGGCCCCACAGCTAGTAAGCCACACAGTCAGGACTAGAATGCTGACCTTCAGCAATCTAGAGACTAATGGAAGAATGCAATGAGCTAACCGATCCATGACCAGAGTAGTACCTGCACCTGGATATGGGGACAGAAAGAGAAGAGGAGGAGGAGGCAGGATGGAAAGCTGGTCCTGTCCACCTGCATGAGCCATGAGCATAGACACGTCATCACACCCTCTGAGCCACCAATGCCTCATACTGAAAATGGAGATAATAACTGCGTCATCAGCATCAAGTGAACCAAAGCCCCTTCTGAAACAGAATCTACTCTGTTATCTCAGTTGTGTTTTTAAAAACCATTTATCCCTCAGTGTGTGTGTCTGTAAGGTCATTTCTCCGTCTCTTATCTATCTACCGATCTGTCTAAACACAGGAACAATGTAAACAAAACACTCGTGTATTTTTCTGGGTGGCAAGGATACAGGTGATTTTAATTTTCTTTCTGCATTTCTAAATTTTCAAACGTTCCTGTAAAGAAAAGAGCATGTGTTATTTATATTACCAAGGAAAAACACAAGCCTTCCATGAACACTGATCTCGGTAGTGTTGCTGCAGGATGACTGAGATATCGAGGGGGCTGAGGTGCCAGGGGTCTGCACTCTGACAAGCCTGACGTTACTTCCCTTTCCCTGGCCTGAGAGCTCTGGTTTGTGCCATGTCATCCCTGAGCCTCCATTTCCTCATCTGTCGAACGGGGATGATACTGACTCTTGGAGCTGGCATGAGAGTTTAATGGGACAGTCTATTCAGATGCCTCACACGGGGCCGTAATTACTCCCCAAATGTCAGATCCTTTGCCTTCGACAAAAATTCCAGCTGGATCCTCTGCAAGCCTTTGCTAATGGGCCAAAACTGTAGCCAGGAAGAACTCCTGAACAATACTGTTTATTTATACAGTGGGAAGATTGAAATCATTATGCTTTGACTGGCAGGAGTTATTTATAGGCCTCGTTCCCAGTGAGCTGCTGGGATCAGGGCTCTCCCCAACAAATTCACCAGCTCCCCTGCCTGGCCATGAAACCCCACGGATATCTGAGTGGGCCTCTGCTTCTCAACCACATGAAAGCGGAATTCCTTCCTGGTTCTATTAAGCTAAAATCACTCCCTGCAGTAAACAAGGCACGAGAGGGAGGAGGCCAGAGGAAACCCTCCAAAAATGACTGGGCGGAGCTGAGCGGCAGGAGCAAACGCCAACATCCCTCTGTACAGCAGCTCTGTGTCCTGAGCAATTAGAGATTCCAACCCAAGAAGCCAGATCTCCCTGCGAGTCCGCCATTACTCCCAAGAGTTGATGCGGCCCAGAGTCTGCAGAAAGCACCACAGTGAACATTATGGGTGTGAATGGATGAGATTTGGCTGGATAAAGATCGGAAAAGGGGATGCCAGGTAGGGGAATCTACACAGGCCAAGGCAGGGCGGCTGGAACGTTGAGGCGCTCGGTTGGGTAGAGCACGGGATAAGAAAGAGCAAGCAGTAGGCATTCACATGAATCCACTCAGAATCCTGGCGCAGAGGAGGTGTTCAGTAGATGTTGACTGGCTGGACATTGATAGACTTTGAGCAAAATTAGGATGAAAGGGGGAGGTCTCTGGAAGAGAGGAGGTTGCAGCATTTTTTCCCTTCTCAAGTCTTAGCCCTCTCCCCATGTTCGGAGGTGCACAAAGCTGATTTGAGTCCAGTGCAGAAGGGATCTGAGCCCCCACCCCCACCCCACTCCTGCACAAGTCTCTTCTGCCTCCCCACCAATCAATTTCCAGAGGGCCCAGGAGAGCCCCTTTGGAACTTATACACGGCAAATACCTTACGCCAAGTTTTCAAAGTCAGGGCATTGAGTAAAACCCAGGCTGTTTCTCCAAATCCTTTAAAAAAAAAAAAACTTTCCTTTAAGTTCCACATGCATCTGAATTCAGGGGAAACTCGGACCACATGTTTTTGATCCATCGACACTTAAATCATCAAAATGCTATAGACTGATGGTTTGGAGGCCAACAGGAACACCAGAGTCTTTTAAAGACTTTCTTCTATTTCTCTAGCAATCAGGAAGTGCTCGTTTTCCAAGAGGAAACCAAAGTTTGACTCCAAAGGGGCTGCTGCATTTAGTTCCAAACTCAGCACCCTCAGAGGCCAAGCAGACTCAGAATTTGGCAAAAGCTGCTGTTGCAATCACCGCGGAGAAAGTATTTACAGTCCAAGGAGCTCCACGTTCCTCTGCCTGTTCTGCTGCCCTGTTCTGCCTGGATGCAGCAGGCAAAGGGGGAGGAGGAGTGGCTACGGGCTGGGAGAGAAAGGGCCAGCGACGAAGGGAGTTAGTACCAGGAACTGCTGGCAGACCCACAGGAAAATGTAGATCCTGGCTTCACACATGGGACCTGATGCTGCCACCCACCACACGTGGCCCTGGTGGGGAGCATGGGCCACTCCATCTCTATGTGGTCTTTGGGAGAGTGAAAGTCAACATCTATTTCATGAGACTGTAGGAAAAAGGAAATATTCAATAAGAGGGAAGTAAAATAAAACAAAGCAAAGTACACGTAAATGCATGCCAGGAAACACACTTAGTCAGGAAAACACCTGGCCAGACAGAATTCCATCAGATTTTACCAAAATCTTGCCCCTGGTAGTCATCGTACCTCCATTCCAAATGCCTACCTATCCACTCTGGCTCACTGGCTGGAATAACATTGGCAGGGATTCTGCAACTCACACAACCAAACAGTGAGTGAATAAACATTGAAAGCTCCCTGTGGAGCAAAGAACACATCGTTTCTAGAGCTTAATGTGTCATGAACAAAACTACGTTTCTAGTGGTTGATATCAACCACTAGAGCCTCTTTGCTAAGAGATGATAACAGTAACAGCAATGATAATTAATAATGGTGTATCCCCATCCCCATGAGATTTGTTCTGTAGGCCTCTTCCTGTGTGCCCCACACTGACATTTCCTCAAAGCAGGGGAAAGTTGGTGACTTATGACATAGACACATCCACCCCCAACCATGCTGGTTTGAGAGAGATAGATCCCAATTCATGCTCTGGCCCATGCAGGCACAATGGGCAGGAGCATGTTCCCATTGGTGGCCAAGCTGAGGTCTGGCTGTGCAGCACTGCCATGCCTACCCATCCCCAGCTGACGTCACCTCACCTCCTGCAGCTACACAATTCTGAGGGAGGCTATCCCTAAGGAGTAAATTGCAGTCTGACTAAATGGATAACAGCACAGAGTTATCCTGGAGTCAGACAGTTGCAGTTGGACTTCTGGCTCCACCACTTCTGAGCTGTGTGACCTTCATCAGGTTACTAAATGTCTCTGTGCTTCAAAATCCTCTACTGTAGAATCAGGATAATAATAGTTTCTACTTCATAAGATTGCTGTGAGGCCGGGCGTGGTGACTCACACCCATAATCCCAGCACTTTGGGAGGCCGAGGCGAGTGGATCATATGAGGTCAGAAGTTTGAGACCAGCCTGGCCAACATGGTAAAACCCCATCTCTACTAAAAATACAAAAATTTGCTGGGCATGGTGGTGCGCACCTGTAGTCCCAGCTACTCGGGAAGCTGAGGCAGGAGAATTGCTTGAACCCAGGAGGCGGAGGTTGCAGTGAGCCAAGTTCATGCCACTGCACTCCAGCCTGGGTGACAGAGCAAGACTCTGTCTCAAAAAATAAGAAAAATAGATTGCTGTGAAAATTAAATTAGCTAGTACATGCAAAGTATGGAGACACCGGCAGGCACCCAGTGCCTCTCCCATGTGTCTGCTATCATCATCATTCTTAGGGGACCAAAGAGTAACAAAATCTGTGGACACACAAAAAAAGCACGTGGCACAAAGTTAGCTCTCCACAAACATCAGTTGTCTTTCCTCATACCCGTGCATGTTTCCGGCCAGTCAGGAAAGTTTGCATCAACAGCAAATTCTGTGGTTCCACGGAAGCCTGGGATCATGGAATCGGAACACCAGGGTAGCAGGGGAGCAACGATGGGGTGAGGTCAAATGATCATGTCCAAATACTGCCTTTGGGAGATTTTGCCTTTTTTTTTTCTTTTTAATTCACCATCAACAGTTCAGTCTCCAGTGCTTTGAAATCTCCTGGGAAGATTTTCCCACTGATGTCAGCTGCCTGAATCCCCAGAGCTAGAGATACAGAGAGAAAATCCTCTCAAAGGTCTGGACCACCCACAATGTGCCCTTGACCAAGCAGCCCCTCCTGTCTGCTAATTGGGGCTTGGGGAGGAGGCCAAAGGAAGGTGGGCCGGGTGAGAAAGGAAGAAAGAGAAGGCAATGAGGAGATAAAAGGGAAGTGGGGCTAGGAGGAGCTCCAAATCTTAATCCTTTCTTTCTGCTGGCCTGTCCAGAAATGAATCATCGCTATTTGGTTAAAAGATGTTTTCAGATCCTGGAAGCAAGGTTAAGTAAAAACAATAGGTCTTAGCTCAGGGGGAAAGGAGGGGGCAACATTGTGTCTGGGGACAAGAACTGTCCCTAAGCATCAGAGTCAGCCCTAGGTAACCCCAAGGAGCTGAGAATTTTCCTGCCTTCAAACTCTTAGGGGAACAAAGAAGTGTCGCAAGGGCTATTGTGTCAGGGAGCGAGAAGTCACTCTGACAGTTGGGAACGGCTCTGACCAGAGAATAAAAAGATGGGAAGGCAATTACCATGGATCTCGTCTTTCCTGTTGCTGCAGTGGAAATGCAGGCGAGTGCCAACTGGCCAGCTCATTTGTATGAAGATGAACTAAAGATGAACAAGACTCCTCCCTGCCTCCCCTGGGGGCTTCACACAACAGGACAGACCACAACATCCAGGGAGCCCAGGCTGAAGAGACAGAACCTGACAGCCCAAGTGGCAGCTAGAAGCAGGGGCTGCAACCCCATCCAAACCCCAAGTTCATCCCTCCACATCCAAGTGTCCATGGTCACAAGAGAGGGGCCGGGACAGGCACTCAGACCCAGGCTTGAACCCAGCTCACTGTCTACATTGGCTGTCCAGGCCTCTGTGTGCTCACTGGGGAACCCGGGAGAGTCACACGCCTTGGTTGTGATGAGGGATGGTGAGAGTCTATCCAGTGACAGTGAGTGTCTAACTTTGGGACACCAGGCCCAAAGTGGGCCCGGAAACAAACAGGTTTGCAGACTGAAGCTCAGTCTTCTCCTTCTCAAAGTCTCAGAGCCCTATTTCCCAAAGAGTCTTTGGCCTTTGGTGATTTGGAAAAGAGAGAGGGAGAGTGAGCAAGACAGACAGACAGAGACCGAGGGACATGGGGTGAGATAGAGATACACAGGAAGAGACAGAAAGAGAGAGATAAAGGAAAGACAGGAGAAGGGAAGGGAAGGGAAGGGAAGGGGAAGAGAAAGGAAGGAAACGAAAGGATGGGGAAAAGATAGGAAAGGAAAGAGACAGAAAAGGAAAGGGGAGGGGAGAGGAGGAAGGGGGGAGGGAGGGGAGGAGAGGGGAGGGAGAGGAGGGGAGGGGAAAAGGCTTCCCGTGGTCTAACAAATTGGGAGACTGAAGATTTGGGCAGAATTCAACCTCCTGTTGTGGAACAGGTGTTCTCCTGGCCTGCAAATGCCAGCTGGCCTTGTCAACCTCCAACAGGACGCAGAGTTTGTGTCTGCATGGCTTGTGCACCCTTGGTGGTGAACACACCATGACAGACCCTGGGCGGCACTGTCACTCCTATCACTTGGCCCACTGGTGCCCCCACAGAGCCCCTGCCCCCCTCACAGGTGAGCCTGGCCACAGGGGTTGGAAGGAGCTTGTGGTAGGATCTGGCCAGACTGGGCTGCAGTCTTGGCCAGGCTACGCCAAGCTGGACCATGCCAAGCTGGTCTGTCTTGAACAGTCAGGATGAGTCATCATGAACAAGATGCCTTAATTATCTGTGTGCCTCAGTTTACTCTTCTGAAAAGATAAAATAAAACTCAGTTCCTAAGGGTATTTAAGAGGAAAAGAAATGAACTGATAGATGTGAATAGTTAACTGTGAGTCTCACAACCTAGAGGGTAGTTCACGCGGGTTCATCCCCTCCTGAGGCCATCCCCATGTGATGGGGGTAGGGGTGTTAGAGGAAGGATGCTGACCAGGGATATTTGGTGCTTAAATGGGAGACAACTCATTGGAACTCTTAACTCATGCTTCCCAGAAAGACCACAGGAGGTCTGGACTAGGGAGCCAAAACCTAGCCCCATTTAGGCTGGGAAAAGGTCACTTTTTGAAGCTGCACTTCCCCATCTGTCATCTGTCAAGCCTGGGTCTATGAAGTCCTACCTCCCCTCACTGTGAGGGGGAAACACATAGGGAAGGAGAACGCACCTGTCAGCCTCAGAGGGCCAGAGAGGCCAGGAGGGAAATGGACATTTCCTGAGGGCCCATGCAGGGAGCTCGCCATACATTTACACGGGGCAGCATTTGCTCAGGATGCCCATTGACCCTCCAAGCCAGCATTGTAGAGTCAGGCCTGGGAGACAACTCAAAGGCAGAGGTGATCGTGTGTGAGAAGATAAACAAGATGGGAAAACAGTCTCACAAACACGACCAAATGGTCAATCCATCCATCAGTGCAGAAGCAAGGCCAGGATGGATGACAAAGTCCTTTCTCCCCACCTGGAAAATCTTCCATATTTTATAATTTGGCATGTCCTCAAAGCCCTTCAGATGGAATCACAAACTTGTTCAGCCCTGAGCCACAGTGGTGCAGCTTGAAGAAGTGAGACCCACCTTCTTGAGGCCACTTAGCACCTTCCACCCTGCAGGTAACCTGAGTGAGGCCCCCAAAGGCAATGAGGAGAAAAAAAGCGGTTCTGGTCAGGAAACGCTGAGTTCAAATCCATGCTGCACCACTTCAAAGCCAAGGCCTCAGTTTCTTCACCTTTCTGAAGGAGAAGTTAACACTGGCGTCTCAGGACAGTCAACAGGTTGACGCATGGGTGGGAACAGGCGCACCCAGCTCAGGAAGCCACATGGGGCTGAAGGCAAACTGGCCACATCCGCCCCCCACTACCCCCAGCTTGGAAGCCAGGAGCTTAAATCCAGGTACTCTAGTCTGGAGATTTCTCAAATAGCTTTAAACAGAACTACCATTCCACCCAGCAATCCCATTACTGGGTATATACACCCGAAGGAATAGAAATCATTCTACCCTAAAGACACAGGCACTGGTCTGTTCATCACAACACTATGCACAATAGCAAGCATAGAGAATCAACCTAGCTGCACAGCAACAGTGGACTGGATAAAGAAAATATGGTACATATACACCATGGAATACTATGCAGCCACAAAAAAGAATGAAATCATGTCCTTTGCTATGACATGAATGGAGCTGGAGGTCATTATCCTAAGTGAATTAGTACAGGAACAGAAAACAAAATACCTTATGTTGTCACTTTAAAGTGCAAGCCGAACATTGAGTACACATAGACACAAAGAAATGGACAATAGATCATGGGACCTACTTGAGGGTGGAGGGTGGGAGGACAATGAGGATTGAAAAACTATCTTTCAGATATTATGCCAGTCACCTGAATGACAAAATAATCTGTACACCAAACCCCCACAACGTGCAATTTACCCATGTAACAAAGCTGCACATGTACCTCCCAAACCTAAAATGAAAAATTAGAAAGAAAAAAAGAAAATACATCTTAACAAAAAAAAAAAAAAAAAAAACATGCTGAGCCTCCCAGGAAAGTCCAAGAGCCCTGTCAAAGGGATTGGCAAGCAGTTTAGGCTTTTCCAGGAAAAAAGGGGAGCCCAGCTCGAGGCCACAGAAAGCTCAGTCCCCAACCCTGACTCAGCCCTGAGTCATAAGCTAAAAACACGCCTTTGCCAATTGCAGCTCTCATCAGCCATAAGTAATACGGGACTGATGAAAACTGGGTTTTTCACTCAACAGAGGAGGGTATCTCAGGTAATTAGCCATAACCTCATGTATAGATAATTTGCCTTTTCACATGAGCTCTGGCCGCCATGTCTGGGCCCTACCTCCAAAAAAAACTTACACCAACATTAACCGGCAAGATGTGTTTGATTTCAAAGGATTACCCTTCCCCTGTAAGTATTTTGAGTGCAAAATGCTAAATACACAAACACCCTTAATTGGTTTGTTCTAATCCGCCGACTTGAGCCTCTCTAAAAGAATCTTTGCACTTGGTCTCTGCAGCCACCTTGCATTTGCTGACGGCTCTGCTCTGAGCTCATCTCTGAGCTAAGCATTCCGTAGGCTGGAAAGAAGTGGAGAGGTTCCTGTTTTGATCTATCATTTGTTCATTCATTTCTTCACATCACAGCTACTGGGAACCCACCATGTACCCTAGATGAGGAGCAGAGAACTCAACTTGGAGAAATTTAAAATTGAAATGGGTGGCAGAGACCAAGTCTGATCACTTCCTTTTACAGATTGGAGCCCTGAGGTCCAGCCTTGCCTAAGTTCACCCAGCAAGTTGATGGAGGAGCTAGGAGTAGAAGCTGGATCCATGCCTCCTGGCCTGCTGAGGAGGCCACAGAAATCCTAGCTATGACCTCCCCTGCTTATGGGGGGCAGGAGCAGCCCCCCACTTTCTCTTGGGCACACCAAGACCTCTGAGTTTGTGCAGAGGCCGGGGATGCTCCTGCCAAGTGGCTAACTGCACAACAAGGTCTTCCCCGGCCAGGCCCCTGACTAACCGCCGATCCCGCAGTCCAAGCCCTGCCCCAACTGCAGGACACTCCTGGGAGAGGTTCCCCAGGTTCCCATGACTAAGGCGGCTCTCCCAGGACAGCTCTATTTTTCACATTGTGCCGATGTCGCAATGCCCAGCCAGATGAAGCAAGAGGGACATTCGGTGTCTACCCAACATTTCCAGAGAAGCTCAGGGAAAACTGCCAAAAGCCAGAATTCCTCGGGGCTAACTCCCAGCTCCCCTAATTCCCCAGCTCTTTCTTCAGCATCAAAACCCCTTCCTTTCCTTTTAACTCTAACAATCTCGGTGGAGAAGTGGAAACAGAAAGAGCCGCCTGTGCTGGCTGAGCAGCTCCCGGAGCAGGGCAGGAGGCCAGGCTCGTGGCACCAGGATCTCGGGGTATGGCTGGGGGTTACTGTCTGCCTCATCTTACACATAAGGAAACCGAGGCGCGGAAACTTTAACGGATTTGCCCAAGGTCACCTGGGGAGTGATTGGCAGACCTGGGTCTGGAACCAAAGGTTTCTCTGATGATAACATTAAAAATACGAGCCAACCATGAGCATTCACTTGTGTGGCACAGGTTTGAGTCCTGGCTGGGTTATTACTCATTGGATCCTCACAACAAGTGTATGAGGTAAGAAGCTTCAGTTCCCCATTTTATACCCTAGCAAACTGAGATGCACACAGGTGAAATACCCTGCCCCGGCCACACAGAAGTGCGGGGCAGAGCTCAAACCCAGGTTCCCCATCACTACAGCAAAAGCGCCTAACTTCTCTCCGGGTGGCTCCGCCATACCCTCTCCACTCATGGGAGCTTTGGTGCTACTCAGCCCTGCATGCTCCTGGGGGGCTCCCTTCTCCTAAGGTCCAGGTTTCCATCGGTGAAATGGAACCCTGATGGCTCCCTCACAGCACACAAGATGACAAGGACCTGATAAGAAATTGTGAAATCTCTCCTCTCCTCTGTTTTCTTGTCCACCCCCAAATCCACATCTCACTCAAGTCATACATGTCCTGGAAGCCCGGGTTACTCATACCCATCCCCTAGACACAGTGAAGAGCAGTTAGTCGGTGAAAGGAAAACAACAAATGGTAAGTCTAAAGCCAGAGGGGCCAAGTCCAGGCTTGATCATGGAGCTATTGGGTGGCCCCAAGCAAGCCCTTCCCTGAGCGGGCCCACTGTTCTCATCTGTAACATAAGCCCATGGATAAGAACAATCACATGTGTCCCTTTCAGTGTTACCAGCTTAGGGCTCTGAAATTCAAAAGATGATTTTAAGCCACTGGCTTCCTAATTCAATAGACCAGAGGTATCGATGTGTTCATTCCCTCCTCCTCAAGAAAAGACAGCAGAAAACCTCTCATTGAGCAGCTAGGATGTGCCTGACACATGAAAAATACTCAATTAATATTAGTTTAGTGAACAAAGGAATTCTTTTGTTTCACTGATTTGTGCATTCCCTCATGAATGAGTGAATGAATGAATTAGTGAATGAATGAATGAATAAGCGAGTGAATGAATGAATGAGGGAATGAATGCAAGTCCTAGGCCCAGAGTTTGGTGCTCTCAGATCCAAGCATTGAGCTCTCATAATTAAGGTGCACTGCCTCTGGCTCGGAAATAAACTAGCCTCGCACCCTGGAGGCATATCTATAAACATCTCCGCACCTCTGTTTTCCTCTTTGTAAAAAGGACCCATTGAAACCTACATGAACCAGGTCCTCGTGTGGCTTCAACAAGGTGCCTGGCCTGCAAATAAGAGAGCCTGGCTGCACTCAACAACCACCCTTATTATTTATTTTATCATAAATAGCTATAATTTAAGGCTGACAGTAGTGAGCACTGTTCGAGGGGGGTAGACAAAGTGTTGTGGAGGTTGATTGGAAACTGAAACCATCCCTTCTTCCAGTCGGGGGGCGGCATCTGAGCAGAGAGCTGACTTCAAATGGGACCCATAGTGAGGTGTGGATGTAGGAGAGGGAAGGTTCTAGGGTGGAGAACAGCAGGAAGGACAACAGAGGGAGGAATCATGGATCGCCTAGGAGAGGGGCTGGTTCATCTACCATTCAGTGGAGCATTTGGCAAAGGTGAGTTGAGAACCTACTAGCACAGCTTCCCCACACTGAACAGGTAAGATTTGCTCCTGGCCTCACAGATCTCACGGTCTACGGGGTGCCTAGACAGCTCTGGCCACCACAAGTGTGCCCCATATTGCAGCAGGGAGTGGCCTGGGAGAAGGAGAAGTTCGCACTGTCGTGGGAAGTTGACAGCCCAGTCGCAAGGAGCCATGACTCCCAAGTTAGGGAGGTAGAAAGACCTTCCCTTGTTAGCAAGGGGAGCCATGGAGGAGTTTTGACCAGAAAAGTAGTACAAGTGAAAAACAGCTTCAGAAAGATGAAGTTCACAGCGGTTCAGACAAAACATTTCACACAAGAGAATCCTGAGGAGACAAGGAAGAAGACAGCTCGAACGGGATTCCAGGTAGAAGGGAAAGGATGACAGAAGGCATGGGCAGGGAAGGGAAGGACAGAAAGATGGTGGTGGTGGAGTGGTGAGAAGGAGGCCAATGAGGTGAGAGAATGACAGGGGGCTCAGGCACACCAGACCCACAAGGAGCAGCAGGCTGGCAGGGCAGGTGCTGGCCTGAGGTCGGGACACATTGCATTTTGAGCTATGGTGGGAAACCCAGGTGTCACTTCCCACCAGCAGTGAAATGTGGGAGAATCGCCCCAGGTAGAGATCAGGGCTGCAGAAGCAGAGTGGGGTGCCACATGCACCCGGAGCAGGGAGTAGGTGTCATCACTGCCCCTGGGGCAGGAGTCGGGACAGCCCGGGGCTGGCAGCGATGGGGCCTCCCGGAGATGCCACCAGGCTGCACTCTGACTTGGGCACTCACCAGCCCTTCAACCTCAAAATTCAAATCTATCTTACAATTAAAATGGGGTTTTTGTTTTTATGTATATAAACACTATTTTTGAGACCCTCTGGAGGCCTTGTGGTCTAGTTCCAAGGCCTTCATGATACAGCTTCCCTGTATCATGAATTCTCAGCCTGGGCGATATTGATGATTTGAACTGGGTCACTCTTTGTGGAGGGCTGCCCTGTGCTTTGTGGCATGTATATAGCAGCATCCCCTGCCTCTCTTCACCTGATGCCAGTGACACCTCCTGCCCCTCAATTATGACAACCAGAAACGTCTCCAGACATTACCAAACATCTCCTGGAGGCAACACTTCCCCAGCTGAGAAGCACTGTGCTGTCATTAAGGACACTTTCACATCTTTCCCAACTTTCTCATCTGACACACTCATGAGATTTCTAAGACATCTTATTAAATAAGAAATAAATATTTCTAAGAAATATTAATAATAATAATGGCTAGGGCTTTGTGGTCAGACCCCAAGACAAAGCTGCTCTATTGCCCAGGTCCATAAAGCATCAGGCAAGTAGCTGAAATTCTCCTCCACCCCAAGGGTGTTCATCTGCAGATTGTGGGGGGAGAGAGAGCAAATGATCCCTTGGAATGAGGGGGATCCCACCCACACAGCTGGCCAAGAAGAGACAAGGCCCCTCCTCAGGCCAGGGTCTGGGCCATGAAGCCGCTACCATGTTCTGGCTGGAGTCCCCGGACTCAGTGACTCAGCTGGCAAGGATACTCTTGCTTACGAAAGAGGGTGGGTTCGGGTGAAGCAACAGTTGGAGCCTGCATAAAAGGCAGAGAGCTGATCTGAGCCTTTTGACTCACTAATGGAGAAGCCCTGACTTTCTAGAAATCTCCACATTCACCAGTGACAGTTACGTCATGCATGTGAAGGGGAGGCAAGGGCTTTGGTGCTTCCCTGTCCAGTTTGCCTAAAGACAGCCAGCAGGGACGGGACGGGAACTAGTGAGTGTTTATGCTATTCACAAGGCTCACCCTGAGAGCTCAGCCCTGGCCCCACGAGGTCTCAGGTGGGTGGCAACCCCAGGCCATGGCAGCCCTTCTTGGGAAATGGCTTGGTCAAGGCTATATCGTCCAAGGGCAGGTATTTTTCAGGTGGGTGGGAATGGGCGTGGACAGGAAGAAGCTGGCCGGCGAGAGAGTCATAGGGTTACAAAATTGGGAGGCGCCTGAGAAATCCTACATTTGCTACAGGCGAAGCTTAGGCCCACAGAGGGCGGAGGACCAGGGATCCTGGCGAGGCGAGGAAGATCTCATTACGGCACCCGTTTCTCAGATGAGGAAATAGAGACCAGAGAAGCCAAGTTCGTATCCTGAGAGCTCAGCTAGTCAGCAGCACAGCTGAGATTTGACTTTGAAGCTGATCCCATTTCCCTGAGCATGTTTCCACCTGGCTTGACCAAGGGGCTTGGTTGGAGCCATCTCCCCAAGCTCTGAGCTCTGGCAGAGCCTGGTGTCAAATCCTTTTGAACTAAGTCCCACCATGTGTGTGACCCAAGTAATCCCACCTGGCACCTGGACCCACTTCCACCGGGCAGTACGCATGGGAAAGAGGCCATTCGATAGCGCGACATGGCCAGTGGGTCCAGTCAAGACGTGAGGCACATTAGAGTCATTAAAAATCATTAGGATGGTTGAGTTCTGAGGTCAGATAAGCAGGATAAACACACTCCGGAGAAACTAGTTCTCCCTTTTCCTGCAGCTGCTCCCACTCATCCCAGCCAAGCACTCAGCCAGCCAGACTCCCAGGAACCTGCTGCTGAGCTCCAGGGGCTCATTTAAGATCCAGGGTCCACGGGCAGGTCCCCGCGCTGCCTTGACTCTTGAGTCACACCTTGCAAAGCCTGTGGGAGATTTGGTTCATTTGGAGTGGGCTTTTACACACGGACGGGATAAAAAGCCCACCCAAAGAAAGGTCCTTGGGTCATTTTGCCTGGAGACAAGGAAGGGACTGAGGTTCAGAGTGGCTGTGTGACTTACCTGAGTGAATACAGCTTGGTAAGTCAGAACGGTCAAAGGCCAGGACTGTGTGCGTCCACACTTGACCTGCCCACACTGCCCCTGAACACCCTTCAGCCCCGGAACAAGTTTCCTCTCTTGAATTTGGCAATCTGCAAACAGACCTTTGCCCAAGCCTGTATCTCAGGTCTGTTATATACAGATGTAGATGGAGAGATGTACTCTTAAATCACTCTCGGTGCCTCTGTCCATCGATCTGTCACCACCACAGGGGCCTCAGCCACAAGGGCAGGGACCTCGTCTTAGCAGGACCAGCTGCTCCCATGGCTCCATGCACCCCGTATTTTACACATATTATCTCTAATTCTCACAAACAATCCTGCAACGGAAATATTATTATCCTGATTATACAAATGAGAAAACCGAGGGCTCCAGAGCTGAAATGACTTGCCCCAGGTCACAGTTAGTAAATTGCAGGGACCTCTTGGACCCGAGTTTCCTCTTTCCCACAGCTCCAAGCCTCCTCTCCACTTTTTCTGTATAATTGGGAGCAGCCCCCGGACCTCACACATAGGAGGTGTTGACTACTTGTTTGCAGAATAAATGAATGAGTGGGTAAATGAGCAAAATGAATTTGAAAACTTAAATTGCTTTACTTGGGTTTTCAAAGATGAGTCCATCATGAGGCTATCGGGAAGAAAACAGACTGTTGACTAAATAGTCTCCTGGATTTCTGAACTCAGTGAAAACAATTTCTAAATAATTTTGTGACTTTTGAACCATTCTTAACAAACAACAAAAATATTTTAAAGTTGATTTCTAAGCCAAATTTTCTTTCTTAAGAGATGGGAAACTAATGTTCACTGAGCAGCTACTATAAGTACACACACCATCCTGGGCGTATCGACACACTTGATCTGGTTCACAGCAACACTGCAAATGGGCGTTAATGCCAGTTATTACCAGAGGAAAAGACCGAGGTTCAGAGTGGCTGTGCAACTTCCCTGAGTGCATACAGCTTGGTGAAGCCAGGAAGGTCAAAGGCCAGGACTGTGAGCATCCACACTTGACCTGCCCACACTGCCCGGGAACACCCCTCAGCCCCCAAACAAGCTTTATCTCTTGAATTTGGCAGTCTGCAAACAGACCTTTCTCCAGCGTCAGCACTTATCCAGTGGACCTTCCAAATGTGGGCTTGGGACACCAGAGAACACACCTATAGTAAAGTAATAAAGAGAAAGAGCCCAAAAGTCTACAAAGAAGCTGTTTTGTTTTCAGCATTCGTCATGTTTGGTGTCACTTCAATAAAATAAAAGAGTCTCTTGTAGTTTTAGTGTTGGCTTCATTTGGAATGGCAGGTGGAGGGTGGGAAGGAGAACCCAGCTTCTTCAGTATGCTGGATCACAATATCCAACCTTGCCTCTCTCCACAATTGGGCCTTCACCCACAGAAAAAAAGTTTCCAGCAGAAGAAGGAAGTTTGCGTCTGTCAGTTCTTCTGGGGGCTCAGTGGCAAGGCTGCCGGTTCACTCTGCCCTGCTGAAGGGTCTGTCTTTCTTGGATCTGTGCACAAATGAACAACTGCACTCAACGCCCCATCCTACACCCCACTCCTGCCCCAGGACCTGCAAAGGCAGGCAAAGGAGCCTGGGCATCCCAGCCCCCAGGGTCTGCCTGCAGCCCGTCAGGGGAGTCCTTGGCAAACAGCCATCCTGACGACTGCTAGAACCTGGCTACTCCCTGCATGTGCAGTGTTGCTGAGCAAATTCCCGGCTTTGGAACTGGGCAGACAATCCCCTTGTGTTTTCCCACCTTCCCAGCCTGGCTGCCAGGAGCTGGCCCAGTCTTGGAGATGCTGAATAGGCCATTTGTTGTGAGATCAAAGGGACACCTGCGGGAAGCGCCCCACCACCTGGAGCAGGCCCAGGCTGCGTCCTGCCCCATTGCCCGCCACCCCGCCTGCCAGGTCCCAGGCCTTTTCAAACACCCCACACCTTGGCCCAGGCATTGCTCCACCCCCACCACCTACTCGCATTTCTCTTTCTAACAGCACCTAACCACCTTCCTCAGATAGCACGCTCTCCAAAGTCTCCCCCTTTTCAAGTTTGCTGTTTCCTCTATTTGGCGCACCCTTCCTTGCCTTCTGCACCCAGATAACGCCCAAGCATCAGCCCAGGCAGAAATCCTTCCCTAGCCCCCGTGATTGGTTTAGGGCTCCCGGGGTGTGGAGGCAGCACCACTGTCACTGCTATGTGGGCCTCCAGGTCATGCTGGCTGGGCTGTGAGCTTCCTGAGGACCCAGGGCTGGCCCCAGAGCACCAGGCACAGTCCTTTCGTGGTTGGCATCAAATGCTGATGGACTGAGCGGGAGGCAGAGAACACTTCCATTGCTTCTCCTCCAGGACAGAGCAGGTAATAATAGATGAATGGGCATTGTCTCAAAACTCATCTGGAAACAGCTTTGGATAGAAAATACCATGACTCAGGCCTCCAGAAGCTTCTGCTCTTACTGCTCCCATGAGTGTGATCCTTTTCAATGCTAATCTGGCCACACCATATACACCCCACCTAAAGCAGGATAGGGTCCTCCTACCAGTGCTTTTGGGGTAGAGATGGAATCTTTACTCAGGCCCGGACGCCCATCATTTTGGCATCAAGGCATTTGGCGTTTGCTACCTTTCTATTCTTTCCCTCTTTCTCACTCCATCCCTGAGTCCACCCAGGATGTCCCTGAGTCAGGGGCCCAGCCAGTCATTTAACAGGTCTGATCTCACCATGTCACAACAGCCAAGGGCCAGGGTGGGAGAGGATGCCTGGGGGGTTTCCAGTGAGCACCAGGTGGTGTGAGATCCCTGGTGGGTGGGATAATGTCCTTCCAGCCTACCTCCTGCCACTCAACTCCCACTCTTACCACGCCACCCAAAATGGCCCCCTCCAGGGCCCCTCCTCAGGCCCTTTGCACCTGCACTCTCCCCTCTAGTGATGTCCCTGCCCTACCTGGCCTTCTTACCTTCACATGAGTGGAGACTCCTGGCCTTGCTGACCAGGGAAGACCTCACTCCTAATGGCATCTCCAGCACTTACTAGTGATGCTTTGATGAATGGCTAGCTCTTTCACTTACTGAAATGGAAGCTCTTTGGAGCAGGACTTTAACTGTCTGATCCATGCTACTGGGCACATACACATGTTTAATCCATGCATGTGTGTGAATGGTCATTTCACAGGGCAGACAGTCTCTGTAAAGTAGGCTCTCAGTGATTCTAGGAGGCTTTCATGCACTTGATCATCTCCATATCTGTCTGCCTCTTTCACCTGTGACCTCCCAGGGGCACAGGGTATGATTTGTTCACCTGCTCCCCTGGCCCAGAGCACAAGGCCCATCTCATTGGAGGTGCCCCCAGAGCTTGTATTCCAAACGACTAAAGGAATAGCGGCCACTGTGCCAGAATAGTCCCATGCACCCCCTGACATAACATCTTTGTCCACTGCCCAGGATGTCCCAGCAGTGGGGCCAGCCCCAGCCTGGCAGACCTGGCTCTTCCTGCCTCATTTCATTTTCCTTTGGCCCTGCCTCAGCTCTTCCGGTCCCACCTTTCTGAAAATAAAACCACTAACTGTGTTGGAGGTGAACTGTGGCCAGTGGAACCACGGAGCAATGGGACCCACTCTCAAACTCGGCAAAATATGCACCTGATTCTTGATGCAAGGGAGCGGCCTGGAGGTGAATCATCTTGCTCCACCCTGTCGCGGCTGGGCTCGCTCCCTGTAAGATGGAGAAGAACGAACTTGGGAATAAGTCATCCCTTTACCTTTCAAGTCCATCTCAAAGGCCACCTGCTCCTGGAAGTCCTTCTGGGTCCCCTGGAGAAACTGCTGCTTTCTCTGGGCTCCCCCAGTGCATCACTTACCCGGCTCTTGTCACGTTTGGCAGGACGGCCCAATCGCCCTGTGTCCATGCTTATTCCTTCAGGCAGGGACTGTGATCTCTTTTTCTTTATGTCCATTCATTTACTCAACAAAGCTGGCCTTTATTCTGTGCCACATCCTGGGCTGGACACTAGGGTCATGGCTGGTGCCCTCCAGCCACTGACAATCCAGTGGGGGTTGGACAATCACCTCCTACCACACAGTGAGATGGGCATCCGATGGTGCAGGCCCCAGCCATGGAGGCAGAGAAGCACTAACCCAGCCCAGGGGAGCACGCGCGGGTCAGGAAATGATTCTCAGAGAAAGGAATATATGAGTAGGATTTTCAAGGATGTATAGGAGTTGGTGGCATCATGAAGGAGAAAGGGCACACATCAAGTTCAGAAATAGTTGCCAAGACCGGGCGCAGTGGCTCACGCCTGTAATCCCAGCACTTTGGGAAGCGGAGGGGGGGGTGGATCACAAAGTCAAGAGTTCAAGACCAGCCTGGCCAATATGGTGAAACCCCGTCACTACTGAAAATACAAAAATTAGCCGGGCGTGGCGGTGGGCACCTGTAGTCCCAGCTACTAGGGAGGCTGAGGCAGAGAATTGCTTGAACCCAGGAGGGGGAGGTTGCAGTGAACAGAGATTGCGCCACTGAACTCCAGCCTGAGTGACAGAGCAAGACTCCATCAGAAGAAGAAGAAGAAGAGAGGAAGAGGAAGAGGAAGAAGAAGAAGAAGAAGAAGAAGAAGAAGAAGAAGAGGAAGAAGAACTGAAGAAGAAGAAGATGAAGAAGAAAGAAGAAAGAAGAAGGAGAAGGAGAAGGAGAAGGAGAAAGAAGAAGGAGAAGGAGAAGAAGAAGAAGAAGAAGAAGAAGAAGAAGAAGAAGAAGAGGAGGAGGAGGAGGAGGAGGAGGAGGAAGAGGAAGAGGAAGAGGAAGGAGGAGGAGAAGAGAAGAGAAGAGAAGAGAAAAGAAAAATTTGCCAAATAGTTCAGTAAGGCTGACTATAAACAGCCTGGGGTGACCCTAGCATACGTGGGGTGCTAAGAAATTTCTTCTTTCTCTTATTCACATTTCTGGGTCCCAAAGAAGACCCAGGCCAGTGCTCAAGACACAACAAGGTATTAAGACAGCAGATCTCTCTGCTGTCCCAGCCCATTAGATCATAAACTTCTGCTTGCCAAGTTCCATATATGTCCACATTCCTGCATACAGCAATTCACACAGACACTAAATATTTGTCTTCACTGACAAATGAACAGCATGTGGGATGTGCCAGGTACTTAGGCTAATAGCAGCAATTAGTAGCTTCCCCCTGCCCCATGCCTAGCACTATGCTTAGCTACGTGTGCTTCTCATTGCATTCCATTCGATACCCACTACAACACAGTGAGACTGGTGTCACTGTCTCTGTTTTGCAGATGTAGAAAGTAGGAGACAAAGACAATTGCCCAAGGGCATGGGTTGGGATATGAAGCCAGGCCCATCTGACAATGTGACACTAAACTTCCACACTAGTTCCCATTTGACAGGTTAGGCAAACTGAGGCCATACGCCTTGCCCTGGTGAAGCACAGTTAATCAATCAGTAAAATCCCCAAGGCATGAAAACGTGATTTTACTTGGCAGTGTTTCCAGCTGAAGAGAGAAGGATACAAGCCCATTTCATCGTTTATAATCCTTTCAAAATGAACCCTCCAGGACCGAGGGGCTGATCAGCACCCCCAACCCTTGCTCAGATTGCTCTGGAGGGCTTGCTGAGCCTGAGCAGGCCCAGCCGGGGTCTGTCTGCCAAGGTCCTGGCCACCAGGAAGGATCTGGCACCCACACGCCCACTCCCTGTGCAGCCTGCCCTGCCCCACCCTGTGCTGCAGGAGATGGCCTCCCAGCGAGCTGTGGGTAGCCCTAGAGGTGAGAGTAAAGAAACCGAAGTCGGGCTCCCACCCCTCCCCTTCAGTCTCCTCCAGGTCTTGGCTTTGTAAGACCACAGGACTGCGGCTCTGCACAGATGCCAGCCTGGGCTCAAACTGTATGAGTCTGGGCAAGCCACTCACCTCCCTGTGCCTCAGTTTCCATGCCAGTAAGAGGAAAATCCACCAGGACTTTCCTTGGATATGGGAAGGATGAGCCTCCCTCTGCGGGTATCACCTGGCTCGGGGCCAAGGCGTCTCTCCCTCTCCTCCCCCGTGATCCCTGTTATCCAGTCCTGTCCTTCCTCTGCAAGAGCCTCAGGACTTCTGCCTCCATTCTCCTCTCCACTGGGACCCAGACCCTCTTAACTTCCCACCTGGACAACACAGTAACCCCAACAGGTCCCCATCTCCAGCGTCTCCCCAGTCCAATCCATATCACTGCAGTCCTCTTCCCAGAACAAGGCTCTCCTCTCTTCACCCCATCAGTGGATGCTCATGTCCTGTGGAATCAAAGACCCTTCACGTGAGGGACAGGAATCAGCCCTCCCTACCCTCCTATCTGGTCCAGCCTGGGCCCCTGTCCAATCCAGACCCCAGCTCCTGGCCTTACCCACCCCGACTCTGAACTTGAAAACTCCCTCCACCCAGATCAAGCGTCATCCCCCAACTCTTGGACCCCAGCCTGCTGCTCCACCAGCCCAAATTCCACGGCCACCCCACCCAGGCCATCTCAAAGGCCACGCGCTCTACAGACGTGCTGCCCCTTGGTCACTTGTGAGCACCTGCTATGCTGTGCAACTTGCTGAGCCACAGGAGACCTGCTGTTGCTGCTGCTGCTGCTGCTCAGCTCTGTGGGAAGGAGAGTGAGGTGGGCGGGTATTTCCTCCCCAGCACTCTCTCCCAGGCTCACCACAGGCAGGTGGGCTACATCTCCCCATCCCCAGCTCTCTCTGCATCCCCATCCCAGGGAGCTCTTCCTCCTGCCTCTACTGCAGGTGCTGAGTCCAGGGCACTGCACTGTCTCTTATCATGACCCTTCTCCCTCCTCACCCCTTTGCAGATGGCACATCTGCTAAATTCTCCTCAAATGACCCAATTTGAGGGTGTCCTATTTCCTGCCAGGGCCTGACCAATACACTTCCTGTAGCAAAACAGCCTCATTAAATGGCCATATCAAGTGGATGCTTCCAAATATCTTGCTTCATTCCGGTAGATAATATCATTTCTCCACCTAGCTCCTGGGGCACCTATCTCCCCTGGAGAATAATTTTCTAGACATCTGAGAAGTCCTGGGGTGAGCTCAGCTTCTAGAAGCAGGAAGACAAGGCTGGCTGGGCACTGGTGGGGGTGTTGGAGCCCATACTGCTACAGAGGACAGGAATGTGTCAATGTTCCCAATCCAGTGAATGCCAACCTCTAGAAAACACCTCTGCAGACTCTTTGAGTGGAAGGAAGTTTGGAAGACAGAGCCCCAAGAGGGACATGGAAGAGTAGGAACGAGGAGGTGAAAATATTCCTGATGCATCCCCAGACAAACAGAAACACTGGAGTGGACAGATCACCTATGGGGCTGGACCGGACCCACCTACCTGCCCAGTCAGGACCTTAAAGAAGCAGTAGGAAATGTGAATGTTTGCAAAGCTTCCCAAGGGGATTCTGATCAGCAGCCAGGCTTGGTGAGTAAATGACTTAAAATTCCTGAATGCCAATCCTGAGTATCTACAGCCCTATGATCTAATATTAATCAGATTCCGTGAAGATTGCAAGTTCCAATTCTACTCTAGTCCTTGGAAGCACCCAGAAGGAATTAGACAGGAGTGTGTCATAACCACCCCACACCTCCTCCTTGATATTCCCAACCACGCTGCACTCTGAAGAAGCTTGCTCCAAACTCAGACTTTATAAAGATCAAAAGATCCCTGTATTTGGCTTCCAAAGAGGGGCAGACCTCATTGTGACACCCAGACCCATCTCCAGTGTGAATTCCACTTACATTTCATGAACCAATAAGTACGTGTCTGAAGTAATATAAATATTTATTGGGGTTGAACAAGAATCCACAACAATGTGTATCTCTGGGCTTTATCTACATGTCCCTTATAGAGTTATTAAAACACCAAAATATAATTTTAATAATCAGTGGGATTTTAATTAACACACAGTAATGATTCCCATTCAATGGAACGCCTCAGATTCAGAAAGTAATTACTCACTCACGACACTTAATTTGAAGTGTTGCCACAGATCTGTATCTCCTGAAGCCACAAGAAGTTAGATCATAATGTTTCTTGTTAGAACTCATAGAGCGAGTTCACTTCAGAGGGAGGATGGAGACCAGATTCCAAGGGAGAAGGAAGAAAGTGGAAAGAGCTGAAGCCAGTTGGACAGCCTCCAAGGAAGGAAGAGAAGTGTTGTCCCAAGAGGGAGAACTTGGTGGCATGGCCCAGCATGCTCTCCTGCACCATGCCAAGGTCCCCAGTGTTGGGTACTTCCAGGAATGGAGAGCTCATTACCACAAAAGAAAAGTGTCTGGTGTAACCTTAGAAAGTTAATTCTCTCTGAGTCTCTATTTACTCACCGACCCAAAGGAAGGAATGAAACCTGGCCCTCGCTGCTATGAGTAAAAGCTGATTGAGTACTGGTCTCTCCAGACACATGAGGTACTCAGGATTGGCCTGGAAAATGTTCTAGGGCCACAATTCCAGAGGACGTTGGCAGGCTCCAGGGAATGGGGTAGGTAGAGAGAAGTGAAGGCTAGGCAACCTCCACCCACACAATCATGTTTGGGCACCAGTGAGACTGGCTTCACAGTCCCTGGGCTGCTTCGCACCACCCTTGTTATCCCTACTTCATAGGCCGATCCCAGGGGGAGGCCACATTGATACTAAAAGCAGAGCCCTTTAGAAGTTCAAGGCAGGTGTGCAAAGGAGACCTGTACAGTGATGGCCACTGCTGCAGGCCCTATGGCAGCAGACATGCAAGTCCACCTGCACACCCAGCAATCGGGAAATAGCCTATTGATTTAAATGTGCTACAGCCATCACCAGGAAGATGAGGATTTTAGATGAGGTAGATAACATCCCACCGAATCTTTTCCACCTGCACAAAATTCATCCCCATACTGACAGCTCAGAGTGAAGTTCTAGAAAAGCACCTTGCTTGCTTCAGAGCAGTGGTTCTCAGCCAGGGAGGATTTTGTGCCCCAGGGCACATTTGACCCAATCTCAGTGCTGCTGGCATCTAATGGGTAGACAGCATGATGCTGCAATGCACAGGACAGCCCCCCACAGCAAAGATTTCTCCCATCCAAAATGCAGGAATGCTGAATTTGAGAAATCCTGTTCTAGATCTGTATGTGGCCCCCGCTTCATTAATGAAAAAGAACAGGTCTGCCAGGCACTGTTCATATGTGATCTCATTTGATCTTTACCTTATGTGAGGTAGGCATTAGCATTCCCTATTCTACAAATGAGAAAACTGAGGCTCCTCATGATAAAATAACTTGTCTGTGGTTACATAGAAAGTGGCAGAGCTTGGTTAATTCATCAACTGTCTGCTGCCCATGATCTTTGTAAGACACCATGCTGTGTCCCCAGATCGATGCTAAGGCATTTCAAAGACTACAGCCCTCTCTCCAAGGTAGAAGCTCTAGCCCAGTGCATCTTAAAGCCATGTAAACTCTTTGAAACTGCTATGGTTTGTATAGAAGTGTCCCTTCCAAAATTCTTGTTGCAACTTAATCCTCAGTACCACAGTATCAAGAGGTGTGGCCTTTGAGAGGCACCCTTATGAAAGGTCTTGAAGTTGAAAGGAGCACTATCCTGCCTTTTCGTTCCTTCTGCCATGTGAAGATACAGCCTTCCTTCCCTTTAGAGGATGCAGCTACAGGGTTCCATCTTGGAAGTAGACAGGAGCCCTCACCAGACACTGAATCTGCCAGCACCTTGATCTTGGACTTCCCAACCTCCAGAGCCATAAGAAAATAAATTTCCATTCTTTAAAAATTACCAGTCTCAGGGATTTTGTTATAGCAGTACAAATGGACTAAGAAACCAAATTCAAGATCAACAATTTCTCACATGGCCTGGAGTCTCACTATAAACAGAAAACTCAGGTCACTGTGGGTCAAAACTTGTCTTGAGATTCGCCATGTTGAATCCATTTTGAGTGGAAACAATGGTTTCCCCTCATTTTGACTCCCAAAGAGGACAAACCGTATATGTTCAAGCAGCTGTAGTTGTTTGGAAATTTACATATATGAAAAGGGGATCCCCTGGGAGACTCTGGAAATGGGCAAACTCTGTCAAGTCAAGCATGTACATTTAGCTACGAGGCAGGCACAGAACAATTTCATGCTGTTTATCTTTGGGGTTAGTCCAAAATCAGATGCCTTGGGGGGAAACACATTCATCACAGTTTTGAAGGGCCTAAGAAAAGAAGACAACTATATTCACCAAAAATTGATTACATTCCACTCATTAAATGAATTGTCCTCCAGCAGATCCATGGGGTCCCATAGAAGGGGGAGGAGAATTTGGCATGCATGGTCCAGCCCCTACATATGGCAGATGGGGAAACTGAGGCACACAGGGAGAAAGGATTCACCCCAGGTACTCAGTGGGCTGGTGGCATAACAAGCCCCTAACCCCCAGGGTGGTGCATTTCTGCACCCCAGAGCAAGGCTATTCTGATCAAAGGAGTGTGTATTCCTTTATGTATTCTTTTTTTTTCTTTTTTTAGACAGAGTCTCACTCTGTCACCCAGGCTGGAGTATAGTGGCCGTGATCTCGGCTCACTGCAACCTCCACCTCCCGGGTTCAAGCAATTCTCCTGCCTCAGCCTACCAAGTATCTGGGACTACAAGGTGCATGCCACCATGCCCAGCTTATTTTTATATATATATATATATACATATATATATATATGTATATATATATATACACACATATATATATGTATATATATATATGTATGTGTGTGTATATATATATGTATGTGTATATATATATGTATGTGTATATATATATGTATGTATATATATATGTATGTGTGTGTGTGTATATATATATATATATATATATATATATATATATATATATTTGTATTTTTAGTAGAGATGGGGTTTTACTGTGTTAGCCAGGATAGTCTTGATCTCCTGACCTCGTGATCCACCCACCTCAGCCTCCCAAAGTGCTGGGATTACAGGTATGAACCACTGTGCCCAGCCCTTTTATGTATTCTTACAGGATTTTTTTCTGGCCCCAAACACTAAATATCATGACCCTTTAATGTCTTCAACTGAAGAGAGGGGAGGAATTGAGGCAGGTGTTTATTATTCCTCTTTTTATAGCAATTTCAAGGATAATTCTTAGAATTACGGTGCTAAAAAGGCCATCCAGGATGTCCACTCTGACTCCTACCCACCCATCCTGCATAGGAAAGACTGAGATTAAGGGAATATTCACATGATGGACACAAGCAGGAGGGACAGAGAGAGAGAAGGGCAGAACTGATGGAGCAGAAAACCAAATCAGCCAAGTAGAGCACTGGCTGAAAAATCCTCCTGTAACCCAAAAGAAAGGATCAATAGACAGCATGAGGAATAAAGTGATATGTGTCAAGAAAACTATGCTAGTGGCACAATATTTGTGCAACTGAAATTCTAGAGAGTCCAGATCAGACAGAAAGCAAGTACTAATTTAAGGACTAAGGGGAAAATAGTTGCCCTGGGATCAAGAAAATCTCTCCTTGTGTTGATTTTTCATGTTCTTTTTTAGACAAAATCAAAGAGACTAATGCCAAAGGATGAAGAAAAAAAAAATGTACTGGCATCCTAGGTAGGGGAAAAATGATTTGGCTCCAAAATTTTCCTCCATATTCCCAAATGATGGAACACAACAGGGCCTTCTCCATAGACTAGGAGGGAGAGTTAGTGACCCAAGAATTTTTCCCTGCCAAGAAATGGATCAAAGATGAAGAAGAAGAAAAAAAGAATGAAAGAAAGGACTCTGGAACTCTGAAAATATATTTCTCACATGGCTTTGAGGAGAAAACATTTACTCTGAGAGATATTCTCTAACTTGAACCAGGAAATAAGAATCCTTCCTGCTCTAAATTATCTATTTTTTAATCATCCCTTATTTCATTTCAAAATAAATCATCTAATAACCAGAAATATATAAAAATGCCTCTGTAAGGTGGGAGAGCTCCATCAGAGACATGCCCAATTTTCTTAAAATTTTTCCAAAGTATATTTTTGATATTGGTGTCCAGATGTTGGATCATGTTTCTGAAGAAAGGATTAATAAAACACATCTTCAAGACCTGAAAATACTCAAGGTTCTCATAATTAAAGAGAGATCTTTCTTTCCTTCACTGTGCACCGTTTTTTTTTTTGTTTGTTTGTTTGTTTTTTGTTTTTTGAGATGGAGTCTCGCTCTGTCGCCCAGGCTGGAGTGCAGTGGTGCGATCTCGGCTCACTGCAAGCTCCGCCTCCCAGGTTCGCTCCATTCTCCTGCCTCAGCCTCCCGAGTAGCTGGGACTACAGGCACCCGCCACCACGCCCAGCTAACCTTTTGTATTTTTAGTAGAGACGGGGTTTCACCGTGATCTCGATCTCCTGACCTCGTGATCCGCCCGCCTCAGCCTCCCGGAGTGCTGGGATTACAGGCGTGACCCACCGCGCCCAGCCTGTGCACCGTTTTTCATGGCAGATAACCACCCACCTTCAGGGAGTGTTTGGTTCTGGAGGACTGTGTACCCGAAACTGTGCTGACTTCGTCATCTATTTATATGCATTCATTCTTCACTGGAACTTTATAAAGTAAATGTTAGCACCAGCATCATTTTTGAGATAAGAAAACTAAGGCTTGCAGAGATTAAAGAATTTGCCCATGGTCACCACTATTGAATGGAAAAGAAAAAATATACACTCAGTTCAGTGTATCCTAAAGTCTGTTTTCGCTCCTTCATTATACTAACTGTTACATTCCCACCAACACACGCAGGGAGGGGCTGCCAGGATGGAACCACTCCTTTATGTTGCTTTTTTTTTTATTTTATTCTTTGAAGAATATTTTACAGATAGTAAAATGTACAGATCAATGAGTTCTGACAAATGTATACATCCTTGCAATCATCAGCCAAATAAAGTTACAGACTATGTCTCTCATAAAAAAGAAATTCTCTAGACAACCAAAATCTCTACCAAAATAAACAAAAACTGAATAATCATATTGATGCTAAAGATAGGTAATATATATTTAACCTTACTAGTAAACAAAGAAATGTAAATTAAAATAACTGAGGCATCACGTTTGCCTACTAGCTGGTGTCAATTATTTTTTTAATGTAGGCTCACAGCTATTTATCTGATATTCTTGAGGCCAAATGTGAGTCTAAACTTAGAAATTTTCAGACTTTAGAAAGGAATTGTGGTGCATATGCTGGACATAAACAGCCCTTTCACCCTGAAATGTCTGGAGCAGCACCCCAAAATCCAACAGCAAGATATTTCTAAAGCAAAATATGAATATCCACACTAAATGAGACAGATGAAGGCTGTTAATGTCTTCATGTCAATTGAGGTCAGATTTTGATGCTAAATGATTGATGAAAAAATTTTGGGTTTTCAGAGCCTTTTGGATATCAGAATTACATATGAAGGGTTGAAAACTTATAAATAATATCTAGAATTGAAGAGGTGGCTAGAAAAAGATGTACTCTTACTTTATAAATTGAAGTTTATATTCATAAAACCTTTTCTGGAATTTGATTTGGAATGTTTCAATACCTAAAATAAAAGTAAATGTTCTTTGTCCCAGAAATTCTGCTGCTAGAAATTGATCCTAAGGAAATTATTATAGCTGTGTACAAAATCTCCACTTTAAGGGACTCAGCATAGAATTGTTCAAGGCAGTGAAAATTTGCAAACCACTCAAATGTCCAAAAACAGGAGCTGGTTGAATAAGTCATGACACATCTAGAAGCAAATATGTGGTAGGCATTGAAAATGCATGGTGAAAGAATATTTAATTATGTAGAAAGCTGATTACAGAAAATGTTAAATGAAAAAAATTACAAAGCCAGTTATCCTGTATAATACCATTTTATAAAGGAAAAATAGAAATGTATGCATAAGGATATATAGAGAAGAAAGACTGGAAGGATATTGTACTAATCCTTTCTTGCATTGCCATAAAAAAATGCCTGAGACTGGGTAATTTATAAGAAAAGAAGTTTAATTGGCTCACAGTTCCACAGGCATACAGGAAGCATAGTGCCAGCATCTGCTTCTGGGGAGGCCTCAGGGAGTTTTACTCATGGCACAAGGCAAAACCAGAGCAGAGGCATCTTCATATGGCCAGAGCAGAAAGAACAGAGAGAGAGGAGGGAGTTGCTACACACTTCTTTTTTTTTTTTTTTTTTTTTTTTTTCAGTGGAAAATAACTTTTATTGAGACCCCACCAACTGCAAAATCTGTTCCTGGCATTAAGCTCCTTCTTCCTTTGCAATTCGGTCTTTCTTCAGTGGTCCCATGAATGCTTTCTTCTCCTCCATGGTCTGGAAGCGGCCATGGCCAAACTTGGAGGTGGTGTCAATGAACTTAAGGTCAATCTTCTCCAGAGCCCGCCGCTTCGTCTGCACCAGCAAGGACTTGCGGAGGGTGAGCACCCGCTTCTTGGTTCCCACCACACAGCCTTTCAGCATGACAAAGTCATTGGTCACTTCACCATAGTGGACAAAGCCACCCAGAGGGTTGATGCTCTTGTCAGATAGGTCATAGTCAGTGGAGGCATTGTTCTTGATCAGCTTGCCATCCTTGATAAGGTAGCCCTGGCCAATCTTATAGATCTTCTTGTTGATCTCAGTGCGGTGATGGTAGCCTTTCTGCCCAGCGCGTGCCACAGAGAATTTGATGGCGTGATGTCTCACAGAAAGTTCTCCGCTCCCAGACATGGGTCCCTCGGCTTCCTGCCTCGGAAGCGCAGCAGCAGGCATCGTGGGAAGGTGAAGAGCTTCCCTAAGGATGACCCGTCCAAGCCGGTCCACCTCACAGCCTTCCTGGGATACAAGGCTGGCATGACTACACACTTCTAAACAACCAGAACTCACAATAACTCACCCACTCACTATCACAAGGACAGCATGGAGGGGATGGTTATAACCCATCATGAGAACTCTGCTCCCATGATCCAATCACCTCCTACCAGGCCCCACCTCCAACATCGGGGATTACAATTCAACATGAGATTTGGACAGGGACAAAGATCCAAATCATATCAGATATATAAGCAAAAATTTAAAATAGTGGTCATTTCTGGACAGTATGATTTTTGTACAGATATTTTCTTCTTTTTGCAAATCTGTATTTTCTTAATTTTCTATCATTCACATGGCTATTTCTGTAATAGAAAAAATAATTTTGAACATTAAACAAAATACCTGTTTTTATTACGAGAAAGCATAGGAATGGAATTTGCAACACGCTCGACACATGCAAAATATCCAATGTGAGATTATGCAAGGGAGAGAATGCATGGAATCTGGAATGGTGCATCGATTTGAAATTAGAGTTGGAAAGGAAGTCATTAATCCATTTGCACAGCTGAGAGACTGAGGCCTAGAAAGGAGAGTGGTTCAGATGAGCCAGCCAGGCCTTGACCTTGAGACAACCAGACTCTGAAGATTTTTCCATGACCCAGGCTTTGATTGTTTTTGGTTTTTGTGGCCCTTCCCTCTAAGTTCTATCACCTTACGAAATCAGTTGGGCTTAAGTGTCAGTACCAGGATTGTTCAAATAAGCAATATGCACCATAGGGGGAAAATATTGATCTGAAAGCATGAAGGTTGTTTGTCTAGTTTCACACAGCCAACCAAATTAACAAGACAGAATGACTCAGAATGTCAACTGAACCAGGGAGGTGTTGCCTTGGAGGACAAGGAAAAGGTGATCTGTGAAACCAGCCACAGGTACCATAAGCCAAGAGGACAGAAATCTCTCACAATTTCTGCAAATCTAGTTCCTTCTACACAGCATGAAAGATAGACATGACTTTGATGCTACATGGAAACCTAAAACTTTGTCACTGAGGCACAAAAGATATTCATTTTCTGGTGGCAAAAAATTTATCACCACAAAAAAATTTGTCTCAGTGAGGAGATAGTTAAGAAAAAAAATACTCTTCTCCTCCCCTGGCCATGTCAATCTTATTAGTGACAAATTACCCTCTCCCACACACTGTCCTTTTGTTTTCTAATTATGACTCCTGCTGTCAGAATGGAGAATCAGCCACACTGGCTCCTGCCTCAGTGGATGCTCAGACACATGCAGATTCCTCTATGCCCTTGTAAAATATTCTGCACAAAAGAAATAATTCTAAATCCTACCATTTTTTTTGCACAATCCTCTTAGAGCCTTGAGGGGCAGTAAAAAAGAAAAAGGGAATTGTTGGTAGATTTGTTGAGACTTTGAGACTGTCCTTCAGTGAGTAGAGGCAAAATAAAGCCTTTTTTCAGACGTATAAAAGCTAAAAGAATTCATCACCAGCAGACCTGTGCTACAAGAAATGTTAAAGAAAATCCTTCATGCAGAAGGAAAATGATAGCAGATGAAAACCTGGATCTACACAAAGGAATGGAGAGCACCAGACGTGATAACCATGTGGGTAAATATACAGGCACTTTTCTTATTATCTGAAACTCTTTAAAAGACAATTGACTGCTTAAAGAAAAATAACAACAATGTATTATGGCGTTTATAATGTATGTAGAAGTAAAATGTATGGCCACAATAGTGCAAAGGCCAGGAAAGGAAAAATAGAAATATAGTGTTATAAGCAACTTATACCATATGTGAAGTGATATAATAACACTTGAAGGTTGACCATGATAAACTAAAGTGCATATTAACCCTAAAGCAACTATTAAAATAACTGAACAAAAAGTTTCACTACTAAGCTAATAAAGCAAATGAGACAACATGGATCATTAAAAAAATACTCAATCCAGGCTGGGCGCGGTGGCTCATGCCTGTAATCCCAGGACTTTGGGAGGCCGACGCAGGTGGATCACGAGGTCAGGAGATCAAGACCATCCTGGCTAACGCGGTGAAACCGCATCTCTATTAACAATACAAAAAATTAGCCAGGCGTAGTAGCGGGTGCCTGTAGTCCCAGCTACTCAGGAGGCTGAAGCAGGAGAATGGCGTGAACCCGGCAGACAGAGGTTGCAGTGAGCTGAGATTGCACCACTGCACTCCAGCCTGGGCGACAGAGCGAGACTCTGTCTCAAAAAAAAAAAGAATATTCAATCCAAAAGAAAGGTAGAAAAGAAGAAAAAAAAAACAAACAACAGATGAGAATAATAAAAGACTAATAGCAAGATGGTAGATTTAAACCTAACCATATCTATAATGGTATCAAAAATTAGTCATCCAAACATCACAATTAAAAGACAGAGATTGACTGTCAGATTGGATAAAAACAAAACAAATAGACCCAACTCTATACTACCTATAAGAAACTCACTTTAAATATAAACACACTAAAAGGTTAAAAGTAAAAGGATGAGAAAAAATATACCACACTAACACTAATTAAAACAAAGTAGGAGTGGTTATATTAAAAATCAGACAAAGTAGATTTCAGAGCAAAGAATAACAAAGAGATAGCAAAGGTCATTTTTAATGGAAAGGTATTAATTCATCAAGAGAACATAATGATCCTAAATGTTTACGCATCCACTAACAAAACCTCAAAATATAGAGGGAAAAATTGTCAGAACTGCATAAAGAAACAGACAGTTTCACAATTCTAGTTGTAGATTTTAATGTCCCCTTTTCAGTAATTGACAGAACAAGTAGATGTGAAATCATTAATAATACTTGAAGAACACTATCAGCCAACCTAATCGACCCATATAGAGCACTTCACCCAACAACAGCAGAATATTCTTTTTCAAGTGCACTTGAAACAATCACCAAAATAGAACATATTCTGGGCCATAAAACAAGTCTTACTAATCCGTGTCATACACAGCATTTTCACTGACCACAATAGAATTAAGTTGAACATCAATAACACAAAGATATCTGGAAAATCGTCAAGTACAGTCATTCCTTGGTATCTGTGGGGGATTGATTCCAGGACCTCCCACAGATACCAAAACCTGCAGATGTTTAAGTCTCTGATATAAAATGGCATAGTATTTTCATATAACTTATGCACATTCTCCTGTACACTTTAAATCATCTCTAGATTACATGTCATACCTAATAAATACAGTGTAAATTCTATGTAAATTATTGTTATTCTGTATTGTTTAGGAAATAATGACAAGAAAAACTAAGTCAATACATGTTCAGTACAGATGCGATTTTTTTAAAAATATTTTCAAGCCAATCTATGATTCAACCAATCTATAATTGGTTGAATCCATGGGTGTAAACCCACAGATACACAGGCTAACTGTATTTGGAAACTAAACACTCTTCTAATGCTCCACGGGGCAAAGGAGCAATCAAAATAAAAATGAGAAAATATTTTAAACTGAGTAAAAATGAAAACACATCAAAATTTATAGAATGCTGCTAGAGCAGCACTTAGGGAGAAATTTATGGCATTACGGAATAAGAAATGTCTCAAGTCAATTATTTCAGCTTTCAGCTTTAGAAACTAGCTAAAGAAGAATAAATGAATCCAAATTTAAGCAGAAAATAGTGAAAATAAAAACAATCATAGCAGAAATTAAAGAAATAGAAATCAGTAGAAAAAACTAATAAAACCAAAAACTGTTTTTTTGACAAGATTAGCTGATGAAATTTTAGCCAGTCTGACCAGGAACAAAAAAGAGAAGAAAAAATTACTAATGTCAGGAATAAGAGAGGTGATATCACTACAAATTCTATAGATATTAAAGGGATAACTAGTGGACATTATTACATTTTATGCCAACAAAATCAACAACTTGGATGAAATTCGACAAATTACCAAAGCTTACTTAAAAAGAAGTAAATAACCCAAATAGCACTTTGACTATTGAATAAATTCAAATTTTTGTTTAAAACTTTCCCAGTAGAAAACACCAGGCCCAGATGGCTTCACTGGTAAATCCTACCCAAATATTTCAGAAAGAAATAATACCAAATTTTTCCAGAAAATAGAAGAGGTGGGAGTGTTTCTCCACATATTCAATAAACCAGCACAATCTTGATAATAAAACTAGATTACTACAAGACAGGAAAACTATAGAACAACATGATCATAAATGCTTACATAATCATAAATGCAAAATTTCTTTAAAATTTTTTAGCAAATCAAATCTAATAACAAATATAAAGGATTTTCTCCTTGGAATAACAGATTGGTTTAATTTTTGAAAATCACTACAGTTCATTATATTAACAGACAAAAAAATTTTAAAAAACATATGATCATCTTAATAGACACATAAAAACCATTTGGCCAAATGAAGCATCCATTTCTGAAGATGTGTAGTGAATGAATAAATAAAAGAGCCGATCATGTAAAAGAAAAAAAGAAAAACAAAGACACTCAGCAAACTAGGAATACAAGGAAACTTGCTCAATATAATAAGGATCATTGTCCAAAAACTTTTGCTAATAGCATATTTAATGGTAAAATACTAAATTTTTCCATCCTTAGTTCAGAAGCAAGTCAGAGAAGCTCACTCTCACCACTTCAATTCACCATTGAACTGGAAGTTCTAGGCAGTGCAATAAGGCAAGAAAAAGAAATAAAAGGAACTATTGAAAGAGAAAGCATAAAACTGTTTTTATTCATGGACATATTGCCCATATAGAAAATTCTATGTAATCTGCAAAAAAAAAATTGATTAAAACTAAATAAGTGAGTATGGCAAGGTTGCAGAATATAAGATCAATATAAAAATCAGTTATATTTCTATAGACTGGAAACAAACAACCAGAAATTGAAATAAAAATTGTTTATGTAGCATTAAAAAATAAGAAACATTTAGGGGAATAAATCTAACTAAAGATGTGGAAGACCTGAGTACAGAAAACTACAAAATGTTGCTGAGAAAAACTAAGAAAGATCTAAGTTAATGAAGGTTTTCATAATCATAAAACAGAAGATTCACAATTTTAAGATACCACATCTCTTCTAATTGATCTATAGCTGCAACATAATCTCAATCAAAATCCAAGCAAGCCTTTTTGTAGAAAGCCAACGTTAAATTTTGTATGGAAATGCAAATAACCCAGAATAGCCAAAACAACTTTTAAAAAGAAGGACATAGTAGGGTGACTAACACTGACTGACTTCAAGACTTATTACAAAACTACTGTAATCAAAAAAGTATGGTATTGGTGCTAAAATAGACAACTAGATCAAAGTTCAGAAATCAACTCACATAGATATGGTCAATTGATTTTCAACACAAATATTAAGACAATTTAGTGAAGGAAAGACAGTCTTTTCAATAAATAGTGCTAGAACAACTAAACAATTTTATGCCAAAAAAGAACTTCAATCCATACCTCACACTATATACAAAAATTAACTCAAAATGAATGATAAAACTAAATGTAAAAAATTAAACTATAAAACTTCTAGAAGAAAACATAGAAGAAAATCTTTGTAACCTAGGGTTAAGCAAATATTTCCTAGCTACAACACTAGAAGCACAATTCTTAAAGGAAAAAAACTATAATTGACCTCATCAAAACTATGAACTTCTGTTCTTCAAAAGACACTTTGGAAACTTAAAAGGCAAACCACAAAATGAGAGAATGTATTAGCAAATTGCATATCTAATAAAGAACCATAACCAGAATACATAAAGAAATCTCAAAAGAGTAATTTTTAAAACAAAGTTAAAAAGAAATGTTGTTAAGGATGTGGAGAAATTGAAACACTTATGTACTGTTGGTGGGAGTGTAAAATGGTGTAGTCGCTGCAAAAATAGTATGTCACTCCTTCAAAAAATAAAAAATTAGAATTACCCTGTGATATGGTTTGGATTTGTGTCCCCGCCCAAATCTCATGTCAAATTGTAATCCTCAGTGTTGGAGGAGGGGTCTGGTGGGAGGTGACTGGATCATAGGGGCAAACTTCTCCCTTGCTGTTCTCATGATAGTGAGTGAGTTCGCATGCTATCCGGTTGTTTAAAGGTGTGTAGCACCTCCCCCCTCACTTTCTTCCTCCTGCTTCGGCCATGTAAGATATGCCTCCTTCCAGCCAGGTGAGGTGGCTCACGCCTGTAATTCCAGCACTTTGGGAGGCCAAGGAGGGTGGATCACGAAGTCAGGAGATCAAGACCATCCTGGCTAACACGGTGAAACCCCATCTCTACTAAGAATACAAAAACTTAGCTGGGCATGGTGGCACACGCCTGTAGTCCCAACTACTCGGGAGGCTGAGGCAGGAGAATCACTTGAACCCAGGAGGCAGAGGTTGCAGTGAGCCGAGATTGGCACCACTACACTCCAGCCTGGGTGACAGAGTGAGACTGTCTAAAAAAAAAAAAAAAAGATATGCCATCCTTGCCTCCTTCCTCTTCACCTTCCACCATGATTGTTAAGTTTCCTGAGGCCTCCCCAGCCACGCTTCCTGTACAGCCTGTGGAACTGTGAGCCAATTAAACCTCTTTTCTTTATAAATTACTCAGTCTCAGGTAGTTCTTTATGATAATGCCAGAACAGACCAATACACCATGTGATTCAGCAGTTCCACTTCTGGCTATACTACTGTCTGAGTGTGTGTGTCCCCTCAAAATGTATACGCTGAAACCTAATCTCCAATGTGATGGTACTAAGAGGTGGGGCTTTTGGGAGGTGATTAGGTCAAGAGGGCTCCACTCTAATGAATGGGATTAGTGCCCTCATAAAAGAGACTAAAGGAGCTTTTTTATCCCTTCCACCCTGTGAAGATACAGCTAGAAAATGCCATCTATCAGGAAGAGGCCCTCACCAGAAACTGAATCTGCTGGTACCTTGATATTGGACTTCCCAGCCTCCAGAATTGTGAAAAATAAATTCCTATGGCTTATAAATTACCCACTCCAAAGCAGCCCAAATGAACTAAGACAGGGTATAGATCCAAAAGAATTAAAAACACTTTCTTGAAGAGATATTTGTACAGCTATGTTCAGTATTTTTGTACAGCAGCATTATTCATGATAGCTAAAGCATGGAAGCAGCACAAGTGTCCACTAATAGACGAATGGATAAACAAAATGAGGTCTATCCATACAATGTGATATTATTCGCATTACAGAGGAGAGAAATTCTGACATATGTTACAACATGGATGAACCGTGAGGACATTATGCTGAGTGAAATAATCCAGTCACAAAAGGACAAATGCTGTCCAGACTTGGTGGCTTACATCTGTAATCCCAGCACTTTGGGAGGCCAAGGTAGACAGATCACCTGAGGTCAGGAGTTCAAGACCAGCCTGGCCAACATGATGAAACCCCATCTCTACTAAAAATACAAAAATTAGCCAGGCTTGGTGGTGTATGCCTATAATCCCAGTTACTTGGGAGGCTGAGGCACGAGAATTGCTTGAACCTGGGAGCCAGAGATTGCAGTGAGCTGAGATTGTGCCACTGCACTCAAGCCTGGAGGACAGAGCAAGACTCTGTCTCAAAAAGAAAAAAAAAAGGACAAATGCCGTATGATTTCACTTACGTGAGGTATCGGCAGTAGTCAAATTTATAGAACCAGAAAGTAGAATGGAGGTTGCCAGGGTTGGGGGAAGGGGAATGGGGAGTTAGTGTTTACTGGGGACAGAGTTTCCAATGAAGAGTCCTGGGGGCAGATGGTGGAGATGCTTGCACAGGATTATGGATGTATTTAATGCCATTAACAGCATGCTGAGAAATGGTTAAGATGATAAATTATATGTTAGGTATATGTTAACACAATGAAAAAAACAAAACACATGCATGGGCCAGGCACAGCGTCTCATGCCTATAATCACAGCACTCTGGGAGGCCAAGGCAGGCAGATCACTTGAGGTTAGGAGTTCAAGACCAGCCTGGTCAATATGATGAAACCCCGTCTCTACTAAAAATACAAAAATTAGACGGGTGTGGTGGCAGGCGCCTGTAATCCCAGCTACTTAGGAGGCTGAGGCACGAGAATCTCTTGAACTCAGGAGGTGGAGGCTGCAGTGAGTCCAGATCTCACCACTGCACTCCAGCCTGGGTGACAGAGTGGGGCTCTGTTTCAAAAAAAAAAGAAAAAAAAAGTATAAATGAACCTTCATGTACTTGTCCCAGGGAAAGGCCCTCCAATTCTCTCTTAAATCTTACTTTGGCTCTTTTGTAATAATCTTGCTTATTTACTTTTTTTTTTCCATGCATAAAGACCTAAGGCAACTTCTTGTATATGTTTCTTCTTTCCAATCCACAATAGATTTCAGGGAGGGGGAGGGAGGAGGGATGCTGAAAGATATACTGGCCAACATCTTTCAGTGTGACGGCATCACTGGGCTAGAAGGGACCAGAGGTGATGACCTGGACCAATCCACTCATTTACAAACCAGGAACCCAGAACTCGGGGAAGAGAAGGGATCTTCCCAAGCTTACCTGGTAAGCTAGTGGCCAACCTGAACCCAGAATCCCAAATCCTCCAAAATTCCTCTTAGGCTCTTACCTTTATGGAGTAGCGTGAGAAAGAGATAGAACGACTACAAAAAGCAGACAGGAAACCTGAAAAGGAACTGAAGTCTGGGGCCATTTAGTGTCACTGAAAAATAGTAGCCCCATGTAAAAGTCACACAGTATTTTAGAGTGGTACAAGCTGATATTCCCAACCGGAGCTCGGAATTTCACAGACAATGCTACATCATATTCCACTGTCTCTGCCTAAGCGGAAATTATTTCCACTTAGAGTGGTTAAAACAAAAGGTGGTAGACGCCTAAATTGCTGAGCTTCTGTCATCTAGATATAGTTTGTGAGCTATTTCAAAGCAGAGACGGAATGTTCGAGCATGGACTTCCTACGTATACCCTTCTTTATAAATTAAACACATGTATTGTTAAGCATGTGTTTTTATTTATACTGAGCTGAGTTAACCATAAATAAAAGTTCTAGTGTTTTTTCCTTGTCTTCAGTGTTAACTCCCTGCATGTACATCTACCCCGTTTGGAAGCCACCAGTGTAGAACATTCAATTGTGGGGAACAGAGTGTTGGCATGGGGTCAGGAAACCTGGATTCTACTATATCCTGTGCCACTCTATCTCACCCAGTTCTTACCTCCATTATGCAGACTAGGAATCTGAAATGCAGAGAGGTGGAATGGCTTGCCCAAGGTCACATTGAGAGTAGCCAGAGAGCAAAACGAGGACTTGGGTCCAGATGTAATACCAGAATTGTTTCTTCTGGGATCGGGCTACAGTGCTACAAGGCAGCATTCAGAAAGAACAGGAGATCTCAAAGGTGCCAAGGTAGAGGAAACACCCAACTCCTAGAATGTCTTGGCAAAAACACTGTAGTCTACAGCTTAGCTGGAGTGACAGACATCACACCAAATAAATAAACACGTAAGTTTTTACAGGAAGTGCTACAGAAGGGGAAATCACATGTATGCCCTGAGAGAGGAAGATGAGAGGAACATTGGAATCCAGAAGTCAGGGACTTAGACCTGTCTTCTTAGCTTGCTTTTTCAGACTTTACCAAATAATATATCAGCTATCGGGGGATGGAGGATGGTTTTTAGCACCCCACATTCCCTAATCGGTTAAAATTCTCCACTTAGTACAAACCAAGATGCCAGCTTCCCTCAGCTGTCTGTAAAGAGGCTAACAGCCAATTTGTGTTAGCAGGAAATCTGTTGCGAACGTATCCAATTCGCTGCCACTGTATGTATGTTTAATGTTTCCCGTTAGGAATCATCTTCTTACTGTTTTGTCGCCATCATTTCAAGCTCTCCTCCCCCCTCTTCATTTTATGAACATGGCACATCAATTAATATTCCCGCATTTTTTGTTATTGTTCTCAACCCATGTGAATAACGACCCCTCATTGTATTGCGCGTTAATTTCTACAGCCTGTCAGCCTGTATTGGAATGTTCTTTCTAGCAGGGTCCTGGGCCGGTCCTGGAGCTGCTCCTTAGTAGATGAGTAAAAATTGATTCCCTGGCCCCCTTGAATAATTCCTTGGCCCCCAAAATGGGCCCTTTCCTCAAGCTGTGGCCCCTCCCACAGAAGAGGGAAGAGACAGAAACAGAAAGAGAAGCTTCCTTTGACATTTGAGGTGTCTGGACTCCTCCAGGTAGCAAACTGGTTTTCATGGTGCACACAGAGGAGGGATGATATCGGAGCTCAAGTACAGTGCCCCAGCAACACGTACAGATCGTGTACTCACAGGGACACAGTTTCACATTGTGAAGCCGCATCAATAGGAAGGGAGGGAGGAAGGGAAGAAAGGGAAGGAGGAAAGGAGAAAGGGAACGAAAGAAGAAAGAAAAGAAGGAATGAAGGAAAGAAGGAGGGAGGGAGGGAGGAAGAGCAAAAAGCCTGCAGCATTTTGACAAACCAAAAAGGAAAGGGATGACTTCTGACGTTTACCTATTTTGAGGACTGAACCCAAAGGACTGAGGTGACACCAAATAGGACAAATGTTGGTTCCTAGAGCATGGTGACCTCATTGCATAGCTATCAAAGAGCACAACGTCTTCAGAGTCAGGCAGATCCAGATTGGAGTCACACCCCCTGCCCTGCTGCTTACCAGGCTGAAGGCTCCTGGTGGAACATCTCTGGCTGGTCTGGGTGAGACCCCATAGGCCACTTCCCCACCCACAGACTTTACTTCCACAGAGCTCACCCTACTCGTGACATATGGGGTTGATCAACTGTTAAGCCCAGTCTCTTCTCCTGGCCTGGAAGCTCCAGGCAGGGCACTGTATATAAGACTGATTATAGCTGAAATCCCAGAGCTTGGTGCAAGGCTACAGAGCTCAAGAAAGATTCTCCAGAGAGCAGAAGCCAAAATCAGACCAGGATAATGAGTGATGGGACAATCATGATGAATAGGGCGATGACACAAAGTGTAGCCACCTTTGATTGAGCATCTATTCTACACCCGGTGCCCTCGTAGGAACTTCGGGTTCACTGACTGCTGAACGCCACCAATAGTCCTTTGAAGTTGGGACTGATAACTCCATTTTATAGATGGGGGAAGGATGCTCAGAGTAGCAAGGTGGCTTTGCTACAACCGCATAGCTAACTAATAACATAGGCAAGACTGAAACCAGCTCTAAGGATCCCCTAAAACACTGTTCTCTCTTTTGCCCCCGCGTGTCTCAAAGGGGTCCTCCATGGACGAGGTGACCCAGAGATGCAGCCATGGAGGGTAGAGCAAGAAGTGCAGCCTCAGCACTTCACTGACCCAGTCAGCGGCCTCTGCAGGGCTGGCCCAGCCGCAGCTTCAGATCCACCCCGCCAGCCAATCAGCCCACGACAGGAAGCTCTTTCTGCAACTCATCTGCCCTTATCTCCTGGCAGAGCGGCTCTGTGAGGTCACGATCACCACACCTTATCAGAACATCTGCACCTACTGGGGACACAGCCCAACAGGCTCAAAACAGCAATTTCCTTTAGGTCTTCTCCTCAGAACTCCGCATCACAGGCACCACAAATTAAAATAAGAACCCCAAACTGAAACTTTAGGGAGGTCCTCCCTTGTAGGGCCTAGCCTGGAGCAGAGGCCATGGGAAACTATAGGTAGCAAGTACCTTGTCTTCCACCATCTGGTGAGCTCTTGGCTGTCCTGCAGAAGCCCAGCTCAAATGTCCTTCCCCCTAGATTTCCCAGTGTCTCCTCTGTCAGGCCTCTGAGCCCAAGCCAAGCCATCGCATCGCCTGTGACCTGCACGTATACGCCCAGATGGCCTGAAGTAACTAAAGAATCACAAAACAAGTGAATATGCCCTGCCCCACCTTAACTGATGACATTCCACCACAAAAGAAGTGTAAATGGCCGGTCCTTGCCTTAACTGATGACATTACCTTGTGAAAGTCCTTTTCCTGGCTCATCCTGGCTCAAAAAGCACCCCCACTGAGCACCTTGCAACCCCCACTCCTGCCCACTGAGCACCTTGCGACCCCCACTCCTACCCGCCAGAGAACAAACCCCCTTTGACTGTAATTTTCCTTTACCTACCCAAGTCCTATAAAACAGCCCCACCCTTATCTCCCTTCGCTGACTCTCTTTTCGGACTCAGCCCGCCTGCACCCAGGTGATTAAAAGCTTTATTGCTCACACAAAGCCTGTTTGGTGGTCTCTTCACAGGGACGTGCATGAAATTTGGTGCCGTGACTCGGATCGGGGGACCTCCCTTGGGAGATCAATCCCCTGTCCTCCTGCTCTTTGCTCCATGAGAAAGATCCACCTATGACCTCAGGTCCTCAGACCGACCAGCCCAAGAAACATCTCACCAATTTCAAATCCGGTAAGTGGCCTCTTTTTACTCTCTTCTCCAACCTCCCTCACTATCCCTCAACCTCTTTCTCCTTTCAATCTTGGCGCCACACTTCAATCTCTCCCTTCTCTTAATTTCAATTCCTTTCATTTTCTGGTAGAGACAAAAGAGACATATTTTATCCATGAACCCAAAACTCCGGCGCCGGTCACGGACTGGGAAGGCAGCCTTCCCTTGGTGTTTAATCATTGCAGGGATGCCTCTCTGATTATACACTCACGTTTCAAGGGTGTCAGACCACGCAGGGACGCCTGCCTTGGTCCTTCACCCTTAGCGGCAAGTCCCGCTTTCCTGGGGCAGGGGCAAGTACCCCTCAACCCCTTCTCCTTCACCCTTAGCGGCAAGTCCCGCTTTCCTAGGGGGCAAGAACCACCCAATCGCTTATTTCCACGCCCCAACCTCTTATCTCTGTGCCCCAATCCCTTATTTCCGTGCCCTGACCTCTTATTTCTGTGCCCCATCCCTTATTTCCACGCCCCAACCTCTTATCTCTGTGCCCCAACCCCTTTTCCCACTTTTCTGGAAGGTAAGAACCCCCGAACCCCTTCCCTCCATTTCTCTACTCTCTCTTTTCTCTAGGCTTGCTTCCTTCACTATGGGAACCTTCCACCCTCCATTCCTCCTTCTACTCCCTTGGCCTGTGTTCTCAAAAACTTAAAACCTCTTCAACTCACACCTGACCTAAAACCTAAATGCCTTATTTTCTTCTGCAATGCCGCTTGACCCCAATACAACTCGACAGTAGTTCCAAATAGCCAAAAAATGGCACTTTGAATTTTTCCATACTGCAAGATCTAAATAATTCTTCTAAAATAGGCAAACGGTCTGAGGTGCCTGATGTCCAGGCATTCTTTTACACATCAGTCCCTTCCTAGTCTCTGTGCCCAGTGCAATTCATCCCAAATCTTCCTTCTTTCCCTCCCGCCTGTCCCCTCAGTACCAACCCCAAGTGTCGCTGAGTCTTTCTAACCTTCCTTTTCTACAGACCCATCTGACCTCTCCCTTCCTCCCCAGGCTGCTCCTCGCCAGGCCGAGCTAGGTCCCAATTCTTCCTCAGCCTCTGCTCCTCCACCCTATAATCTTTTTATCACCTACCCTCCTCACACCTGGTCCGGCTTACAGTTTCGTTCCATGACTAGCCCTCCCCCTCCTGCCCAGCAATTTACTCTTAAAAAGGTGGCTGGAGCCAAAGGCATAGTCAAGGTTAATGCTCCTTTTTCTTTACCCCAAATCAGAAGCGTTTAGGCTCTTTTTCATCAAATATAAAAATCCAGCCCAGCTCATGGCTCGTTTGGCAGCAACCCTGAGACGCTTTACAGCCCTAGACCCTAAAAGGTCAAAAGGCCATCTTATTCTCAAAATACATTTTATTACCCAATCTGCTCTCAACATTAACTAAAACTCCAAAAATTAAATTCCAGCCCTCAAACCCCACAACAGGATTTAATTAACCTCGCCTTCAAGGTGTACAATAATAGAAAAAAGTTGCAATTCCTTGCCTCCACTATGAGACAAACCCCAGCCACATCTCCAGCACACAAGAACTTCCAAACACCTGAACCGCAGCGGCCAGGCGTTCCTCCAGAACCTCCTCCCACAGGAGCTTGCTACACGTGCCGGAAATCTGGCCACTGGGCCAAGGAATGCCCGCAGCCCAGGATTCCTCCTAAGCCGCGTCCCATCTGTGTGGGACCCCACTGAAAATCGGACTGTTCAACTCACCTGGCAGCCACTCCCAGAGCCCCTGGGACTCTGGCCCAAGGCTCTCTGACTCCTTCCCAGATCTTCTCGGCTTAGCGGCTGAAGACTGACGCTGCCCGATCGCCTCGGAAGCCCCCTAGACCATCACGGATGCCGAGCTTCGGGTAACTCTCACAGTGGAAGGTAAGCCCGTCCCCTTCTTAATCAATACGGAGGCTTCTCACTCCACATTACCTTCTTTTCAAGGGCCTGTTTCCCTTGCCTCCATAACTGTTGTGGGTATTGACGGCCAGGCTTCTAAACCTCTTAAAACTCCCCAACTCTGGTGCCAACTTAGACAATACTCTTTTAAGCACTCCTTTTTAGTTATCCCCACCTGCCCAGTTCCCTTATTAGGCTGAGACACTTTAACTAAATTATCTGCTTCCCTGACTATTCCCAGACTACAGCTATATCTCATTGCCACCCTTCTTCCTAATCCAAAGCCTCATTTGCTTCCTCCTCTTGTATCCCCCCACCTTAACCCACAAGTATAAGATACCTCTACTCCCTCCTTGGCGACCGATCATGCACCCCTTACCATCTCATTAAAACCTAATCACTCTTACCCCACTCAATGCCAATATCCCATCCCGCAGCATGCTTTAAAAAGATTAAAGCCTGTTATCACTTGCCTGCTACAGCATGGCCTTTTAAAGCCTATAAACTCTCCTTACAATTCCCCCATTTTACCTGTCCTAAAACCAGACAAGCCTTACAATTTAGTTCAGGATCTGCGGCTTATCAACCAAATTGTTTTGCCTATCCACCCCGTGGTGCCAAACCCATATACTCTCGTATCCTCAATACCTGCCTCTACAACCCATTATTCTGTTCTGGATCTGAAACATGCTTTCTTTACTATTCCTTTGCACCCTTAATCCCAGCCTCTCTTCACTTTCACTTGGACTGACCCTGACACCCATCAAGCTCAGCAAATTACCTAGGCTGTACTGCCACAAAGCTTCACAGACAGCCCCCATTACTTCAATCAAGCCCAAATTTCTTCCTCATCTGTTACCTATCTCGGCATAATTCTCATAAAAACACACGTGCTCTCCCTGCCAATTGTGTCCAACTGATCTCTCAAACCCAAGCACCTTCTACAAAACAACTCCTTTCCTTCCTAGGCATGGTTAGCGCGGTCAGAATTCTTACACAAAAGCCAGGACCACACCCTGTAGCCTTTCTGTCCAAACAACTTGACCTTACTGTTTTAGCCTAGCCCTCATGTCTGCGTGCAGCAGCTGCCGCTGCTTTAATACTTTTAGAGGCCCTCAAAAATCACAAACTGTGCTCAACTCACTCTCTACAGTTCTCATAACTTCCAAAATCTATTTTCTTCCTCATACCTGAAGCATATACTTTCTGCTTCCCGGCTCCTTCAGCTGTACTCACTCCTTGTTGAGTCTCCCACAACTACCATTGTTCCTGGCCCAGACTTCAATCTGGCCTCCCACATTATTCCTGATACCACACCTGACCCCCATGACTGTATCTCTCTGATCCACCTAACATTCACATTTCCCCAAATTTCCTTCTTTCCTGTTCCTCACCCTGATCACACTTGATTTATTGATGGCGGTTCCACCAGGCCTAATCGCCACACACCAGCAAAGGCAGGTTATGCTATAGTACAAGCCACTAGCCCTCCTCTTAGAACCTCTCATTTCCTTTCCATCGTGGAAATCTATCCTCAAGGAAATAACTTCTCAGTGTTCCATCTGCTATTCTACTACTCCTCAGGGATTATTCAGGCCCCCTCCCTTCCCTACACATCAAGCTCGAGGATTTGCCCCACCCAGGACTGGCAAATTAGCTTTACTCAACATGCCCTGAGTCAGATAACTAAAATACCTCTTAGTCTAGGTAGATACTTTCACTGGATAGGTAGAGGCCTTTCCTACAGGGTCTGAGAAGGCCACCGCAGTCATTTCTTCCGTTCTGTTAGACATAATTCCTCAGTTTAGCCTTCCCACCTCAATACAGTCTGATAACAGATGAGCCTTTACTAGCCAAATCACCCAAGCAGTTCCTCAGGCTCTTGGTATTCAGTGGAACCTTCATACCCCTTACCGTCCTCAATCTTCAGGAAAGGTAGAACGGACTAATGGTCTTTTAAAGGTACACCTCACCAAGATCAGCCTCCAACTTAAAAAGGATTGGACAGTACTTTTACCTCTTGCTCTTCTCAGAATCAGAGCCTGTCCTCGAGATGCTACAGGGTACAGTCCATTTGAACTTTTATATGGATGCACTTTCTTGCTTGGCCCCAACCTCATCCCAGACACCAGCCCTCTAGGCGACTATCTTCCAGTACTCCAGCAGGCTAGACAGGAAATTCGCCAGGCTGCTAATCTTCTCTTGCCTACTCCAGATCCCCAGCCATATGAAGACAACCTAGCTGGACGATCAGTTCTTGTTAAGAATCTGACCCCTCAAACTCTACAACCTCGATGGACCGGACCCTACTTAGTCATCTATAGTACCCTGACTGCCGTCCGCCTGCAGGATCCTCCCCACTGGGTTCACCGTTCCAGAATAAAGCTGTGTCCATCGGACAGCCAGCCTAATCCCTCCTCTTCCTCCTGGAAGTCGCAAGTACTCTCCCCAACTTCCCTTAAACACACTCGTATTTCTGAAGAACAGTAATAACCCTTATGAGCCTAATACATCCCTTCATTCTATTAGGTCTGTTCATCCTTACCCTACTTTTTGCAACAGGGCTTTACGAAGTCACCCCACCACTTAGGCCGAGCCCCAAAAAACTAGTCATCCCTACTATCTTCTGTCCGGTCATACTCCTATTCTCCATTCTCAACTACTTATAAATGCCCTACTCTTGTTTACACCGCCGGTTTACACTGTTTCTCCAAGCCATCACAGCTGATATCTCTTGGTGCTATCCCCAAACTGCCACTCTTAACTCCCTCTTAGAGTGGATAGATGATCTTTGCTGGCAAGGCACCCTCCAATACTTCCACCCTGATGAAGTTCTATTCTTTACTTTTATACTCACTCTTATTCTCATTCCCATTCTTATGTCACCCTCTACCTCTCCCCAGCTATCTCCACCACACTATCAACCTTACCCATTCTCTCCTAGCTGCTTCTAATCCCTCCTTAGCGAACAACTGCTGGCTTTGCATTTCCCTTTCTTCCAGTGCCTACACAGCTGTCCCCGCCTTACAGACAGACTGGGCAACATCTCCCATCTCCCTACACCTCCGAACTTCCTTTAACAGCCCTCACCTTTACCCTCCTGAAGAACTCATTTACTTTCTAGACAGGTCCAGCAAGACTTCCCCAGACATTTCACATCAGCAAGCTGCCGCCCTCCTTCGCACTTATTTAAAAAACCTTTCTCCTTATATTAACTCTACTCCCCCCATATTTGGACCTCTCACACACAAACTACTATTCCTGTGGCCACTCCTTTATGTATCTCTTGACAAAGACCCACTGGAATTCCCCTAGGTAATCTTTCACCTTCTCGACGTTCCTTTACTCTTCATCTCTGAAGTCCAACTACACACATCACTGAAACAATTGGAGCCTTCCAGCTCCATATTACAGACAAGCCCTCTATCAATACTGACAAACTTAAAAACATTAGCAGTAATTATTGCTTAGGAAGACACTTGCCTCGTATTTCCCTCCATCCTTGGCTACCTTCCCCTTGCTCATCAGATTCTCCTCCCAGGCCCTCTTCTTGTTTACTTATACCCAGCCCTGAAAATAACAGTGAAAGGTTGCTCGTAGATAGTCGACATTTTCTCATACACCATGAAAATCAAACCTCCCCCTCTACACAATTACCCCATCAGTCCCCATTACAACCTCTGACAGCTGCCGCCCTAGCTGGATCCCTAGGAGTCTGGGTACAAGACACCCCTTTCAGCACTCCTTCTCACCTTTTTACTTTACATCTCCAGTTTTGCCTCGCACAAGGTCTCTTCTTCCTCTGTGGATCCTCTACCTACATGTGTCTACCTGCCAATTGGACAGGCACATGTACACTAGTCTTCCTTACCCCCAAAATTCAATTTGCAAATGGGACCGAAGAGCTCCCTGTTCCCCTCATGACACCGACATGACAAAAAAGAGTTATTCCACTAATTCCCTTGATGGTCGGTTTAGGACTTTCTGCCTCCACTATTGCTCTCAGTACTGGAATAGCAGGCATTTCAATGTCTGTCATGACCTTCCATAGCCTGTCTAATGACTTCTCTGCTAGCATCACAGACATATCACAAACTTTATCAGTCCTCCAGGCCCAAGTTGACTCTTTAGCTGCAGTTGTCCTCCAAAACCGCCGAGGCCTTGACTTACTCACTGCTGAAAAAGGAGGACTCTGCATATTCTTAAATGAGGAGTGTTGTTCTTACCTAAATCAATCTGGCCTGGTGTATGACAACATAAAAAAACTCAAGGATAGAGCCCAAAAACTTACCAACCAAGCAAGTAATTATGCTGAACCCCCTTGGGCACTCTCTAATTGGATGTCCTGGGTCCTCCCAATTCTTAGTCCTTTAATACCCACTTTTCTCCTTCTTTTATTCGGACCTTGTATCTTCCGTTTAGTTTCTCAATTCTTCCAAAACCATATCCAGGCCATCACCAATCATTCTATACGACAAATGTTTCTTCTAATATCCCCACAATATCACCCCTTACCACAAGACCTCCCTTCAGCTTAATCTCTCCCACTCTAGGTTCCCACGCCGCCCCTAATTCCACTTGAAGCAGCCCTGAGAAACATCATCCATTCTCTCTCCATACCACCCCCCAAAAATTTTCACCACCGCAACACTTCAACACTATTTTGTTTTATTTTTCTTATTAAGAAGGCAGGAATGTCAGGCCTCTGAGCCCAAGCCAAGCCATGGCATCCCCTATGACCTGCACATATACGCCCAGATGGCCTGAAGTAACTAAAGAATCAGAAAACAAGTGAATATGCCCTGCCCCACCTTAACTGATGACATTCCACCACAAAAGAAGTGTAAATGGCCAGTCCTTGCCTTAACTGATGACATTACCTTGTGAAAGTCCTTTTCCTGGCTCATCCTGGCTCAAAAAGCACCCCCACTGAGCATCTTGCGACCCCCACTCCTGCCCACTGAGCACTTTGCGACCCCCACTCCCACCCGCCAGAGAACAAACCCCCTTTGACTGTAATTTTCCTTTACCTACCCAAATCCTATAAAACAGCCCCACCCTTATCTCCCTTCGCTGACTCTCTTTTCGGACTCAGCCCGCCTGCACCCAGGTGATTAAAAGCTTTATTGCTCACAGAAAGCCTGTTTGGTGGTCTCTTCACAGGGACGCGCATGAAATCCTCCACCCCCAGTTACAGTGGCCAGTACTCTGACAATACCATGTCCACTTGTCTCACTGGATTTTGATGTCTGTGTCCCGCACCAGACTATAATTAGAGGATATAAACCTCCTCGTGGTACAAACATAGGTTAGTCATGTAGAATGAATGTAAGATGTAATTGTGGTTCATCAGGTTATTAGCTCTGTGACCTTGGGCACAATCACCTTTCAGAACCAGTTCACTCATCTGTCCAAGGGGGATAAAACAGGTATCTCTATCACTGTGGGGATTAAATAATCACTTCAGGCCAGGTGTGATGGCTCACGCCTGTAATTTCAACATTTTGGGAGGCTGAAGCAGGCAGATCACCTGAGGTCAGGAGTTCGAGACTAGCCTGGCCAACAAGTTAAACCCTGTCTCTACTAAAAATACAAAAATTAGCTGGGCGTGGTGGCAGGTACCTGTAGTCCCAGCTACTCAGGAGGCTGAGGCAGGAGAATCACTTGAACCCGGGAGGCAGAGGTTGCAGTGAGCCGAGATCACGCCACTACACTTCAGCCTGGGCAACAGAGCAAGACGCCATCTCAAAAATAAATAAATAAATAATCATTTCAAGTGCTAGAAACATAGAAGCTACTTACTACATGTTAGGACCACCCCCTTCCCCTCCCACCTCTCCCTTCCAAACACTATGCCTGGCAGGTTAAAATGCTCACCAATAAATCACTGAATGGATGGATTTTAAGAAGGTGCTGAGGTTTTACTCAATACAGAATCCTTAAAAGAGCCAGGAGAGATCTAACTCAGGGGAGAACCCCCATGTCTTTGCCACAGAAAAAGTTCTAGGATGGATCCAGCGAGATTCTCACCACTCCTGTCTTCTTGGACACACAGGAAGACTACACTTTCCAATGTTGCTCACAGTGATGTTAGGGCCATGTGCCTCGGTTCTGACCAATGGAATGGGAGTGGACACACAGGCACCTGTCAAGTCCAGCTCCAATTCACTCTATAGGCTACTTCATGCTCCCTCTGCTTCCTCTGTCCTTGTGGCTGAAGGTAAAAGGCTGTGGACATAGGGGAGCTGCACTGTGGAAGAAGCCCAGTCAGTACTCAGAGGAAACTCAATGGACTCTAACACAAGTCAAAAGTAAGCTTTTGTTATGTTAAGGCACTGAAATGCTGGATTGTTTGTTATAGCAACTACTGTTTCTTATCCTGATTAACAAAACAAGGAGACAAAAGAGGGGTGCAGATTTCTTTATATTCTAAAATAGATGTCATCAGATTATCAGTCAAGTATCAGGAGGTGAGGAAACAGATTTTGCAGGATAGATGGCTAGACATTTAAGTTATCCAGGGAAAGGCACTTTCTAAGACTGTTTCCTGTGATTATGTGGCAGGCAGAACTTGTGGCTACTGAACTTACAGCTCTAGAGAAGCGGTTGGAAAACACAGCATTCATAATCTGCATGTTTCAGCTACATTTGAGTGCATCTGGAAAACTATTAAAGAAAGATAAGCTGAGGAAAGATTTGACCAGTTTGCAAGCAGAATGGAAGGAGAATTAGAGCATCCAGAAATCTGGGATTTTGCCAGGTTAGAAAAGCCAAATGCTTCAAGTCCCCAGGAGTCAGAAATGGGATTTTAAAAGGTTTGAAGGGCAAAGGCCTAGGAAATCTTCTGAGTTGGGTAAAGGAACTTGAAGCAAAGATTCAGATTAAGGGTGTGGCATTTCTATTCAAGCCTTTTAACTCCAAAGAAACACCAGTAAATCGAAAGAGAGTGAGAGAGAGAAAGGCAGGGGAGAGAAAGCAAAGAAATGAAACCCATCTGAGAACCACACCTCAAAAGGGACTTTGGGTGTGGCTACCAGTACACAGAATGGAGCCAGGCAAATGGATCAGAAGCTTACTAAATTCTTAAGGGTTATGCGTCTAAGGAAAGCAAAAGTCTGAGTTCTAAAGGCCTTTCACTATTCAAGACTTAAAACACATTTCGTTCTAGAAGAAAACAGGAGAAACACTTTGTGACCTTGGCTTAGGTAAAGATTTCTTAGATACAGCATCACAAATCACAACCTTTAAGAAAGAAATTGATAAATTAGACTTCATCAAAATGAAAGCTCTGCTCTTAAAAGTCACTGTTAAGAAACAGTAAAAGACAGACCAGGTGCAGAGGCTCACGCATGTAATCACACTTTGGGAGGCCAAGGCAGGCAGATCACCTGAGGTTAGGAGCTCGAGATGAGCCTGGCCAGCATGATGAAACCCCATCTCTACTAAAAATACAAAGATTAGTCAGGAGTAATGGCGGACGCCTGTAATCCCAGCTACTTGGGAGGCTGAGGCAGGAGAGTCGCTTGCCACTGCACTCCAGCTTGGGTGACAAAGCAAGGCTCTGTCTCAAAAAAAAAAAAAGAAAGAAAGAAAGAAAAACAGTAAAACACAAGCCAAAAGACTAGGAAGAAGTATTTGCAAATCACATAACAGAGAAAGGACTTGTGTTCAAAGTAGACAAAGAACTCTCACAACTCAAAATAAGAAAATAATTCAATAACAAAATGGGCAAAAGATTTGAAGAGATCGATCCTGGAATAAGATTGATAAAGGTCAAATAAACACATGCTCAGTTATTAGGGAAATGCAAATTAAAGCTACAATGAGATACAACGACACACTTATTAGAATGGCTAAAATGAAAAAGACATACACCAGGTGCTGACAGGACAGAAAGCAACTGGTACTCCCGTGTACTGATGGTGGGCGTGCAAAATGGTACTGCTGCTTTGGAAAACACTGGCAGTTTCTCATAAAATTAAACATACACTTACAATATGACCCAGTAATTCCATTCTCCATGTACCCAAAAGAAAAGAAAACTTAAAACCTATATGTGAAAGTTCTATTTATTCACAGCAGCTTTATTCTATTTCCAGCCAAAAAAAAAAAAAACAGAAACAACAAAAATGTCCTTCAAGAGGTGACATCTATATACTTAGAATATTACTTGGCAATAAAAATAAACTGTTTCATTGATATGGGAAACAACTTGGATGAATTCCAAATGCATTATGCATGGTGCAAGAAGTTAGACCCAAAGGCTACATACTATATGATTCCAAAACAGATCAGAGGTTGCCAGGGCCTAGAGTTGGGGGAGGGGTTGATGACAGACAAGATGTGGAAATTTGGGGAGGTGATGGAACTATCCTAATTCTCAATTGTGGCAATGGTTACATGATTATGAGTCTTTGTCAAAAGTCAGAAGTATGCACAAAAGGTGAATTTTACCATACTTAAATTATACCTCAATTTTTAAAAATATGAATAAAAGCTTATCATAGGCAATCAATAATTGATTTGGATTAAAAACATTTAAGCCCCCAACCTCCCCTCAAGGAGAATGCAGCCTTCAAAGGCTGCTCAGCCCCCAAGAAGAGTATGCCCCCAACAACAACTTTAGAGGTGGCTAAGGAGAGAGATGAACAAGGGGACTCCCCTAAAGGATGGAGGCAGGAGCGGCAGAGAAACATGTACCCAGGGGTTTCTCTCAGAGACCAAGACCAGAACTTCATCAGTGACAGTCCCCAGAACTCAGGTGCAGAGAGCCTTCATAATGCACACCCAGGCTGAGGATCTCAGACCTGCTATGAATCAGGGGCTGCTAATGTCTTCCACTCATCTGTTTTCCTAAAGGAAGTATTTATTGCAATGACCTAGCCTTTGTTCTACCACCTCATGTTGGGTGTATGGGGACAAGTAGCTTGTCATTGTGGTGCATAAGTCACTGGCTCATGAGAAGCCACATTTAGACCAGATGTAGAGAATAACGTAGCACTCAGAAATCCTGGACTTTCAGCTGGATGTAGAGACTGAATGGAAACTGGATGGCTTTTGAGGTTTTTCCCCGTGGGAAGGGGGTGAGTGTCTTCTATGTGTAGGAGGAAAAGTCAAACAGTGATTTGACAACCAGAAAGATGGACTGTGGCCATCATTATCTTGAGGCTCCTCAATCCCATTCCCTCTTCCAGGATGCATGGGGAGATTATAATTCCCAGCCCAACTGTAGTCAGGTTGGGTCATGTGACTAAATTCTGGCCAACTGAATGTGGGTGTAAGAGTCATATACATCAGTTCTCTGCCTGGTCCCCAAAAAGTCCCATATTACCTTCATTGTCTCTTTCCCTCCAATCCACATGGCTGGAAGCAAAGGAATCCAAGGCAGTGTAGCCACACAGTAGAAAACACCAGGATCCCCGAGTCCCCACTTGAAGATAATCTGCCCAGGAGAGGCTTGTGAAGGTCATCAGATGATGATATGAGCAATAAGTCAACTTTTATTTTGTAGCTCCTGAGAGCTGGTTTAAGGATTGGTTATTTCAGCAACCAGTATTACTTATAATAACCGATACACCTGGTCATATTTAAGGAAGTATATGTGAGCTTGGCATGCGTGTATCTAACATCTGAGCCAAGGCAAAAGGCTGGTTGACATCCAAGGAGCTTGTGTAACTTCTGCAGGGCACAGGTGGCATGGAAATGGCCAGACACCAGAGTGAATGCAGGACACTATAGCAAGGACTGTGGCCAATCAAAGGTCCTTCAAGCAGAAGTCACTGTGTTCCAGCAATAACAGTTTGAATTGACCTCTACATCCCAGAATGGCCTATTCCATAAAATGCCCTGCCTCACAGAGGATCAGGGTCACAGGTACCCAAGGACAGGGTCGGGGAACAGGCAGGCAACATCTAAATGGTCTGCCATTCACTGGTTGCTAAGAGCCAGGATCCAATATCTGCAGGGAGAGCCTATACCAGCACAAGGAAGGGCAAAGTGTAAAGGGATTGGAACAACCTGAGTCACCAGGAAGTACCACAGCAAAGAAGCCCAGTTTCCAAACCTGGGACTCAGGAGACCAGGACCTGGGACAAGACCAAAGCCCACAGGCCACAAACAGTCCACAAGTGTGGAGGTGGATTAAATCCATGAAGACGCGAAGCTGAGCTAACAGAGTAGAGAGCTCCTTGCTCCAGGGCCCCCACTACATAGGCAATGCTGTTCCTGAAATCTAGCTTTGGGGTTAAGCCTGCAAGTAGGGGTGAAGTGGTTCCAGCTGGAATGAGAGGAGCTCAGAGGAGGCAGGAGCCAGGCAGGACCTGCTATTTACGGTTCTTTATTAGTGCTTTCTCCTGCATATCAAAGTTCTCTAATTAGCAACAAGGGGTGTGTGTGCGTGGGCTGGGGTTCTTCGGAAAGTGGGAAGTCTAAAGGTTAAAACAAGTCAAAGGAAATATTGCTTTCAAGAACATCTAAATTATAGATCAAGTTATAAATGGTTACCTCTAGCAGGAGAGTAACTAGGCTACAAGTTCCCTGAAAGGGGAGACCATGAATCCCTCTCCACGTGTCTTGCACACTGCCTAGCACCCATGGTATATACGCAGGTGTTTATCATGAAGACCAGGGTTACAAAGAACACACTTTATTCTTTTTTGTGGTGGTTTTATGTTTTTTTGAGACAAGATCTTGCTCTGTCACCCAGGCTGGAGTGTAATGGTGCAATCACGGCTCACTGCAGCCTCGACCTCCCGAGCTCAGGTGATCCCCCAACCTCAGACCCCCAAATAGTTGGGACCACAGGCGTGTGCCACCACGCCCAGCTAATTTTTTTGTATTTTTTTCCAGAGACAGATTTTGCCATGTTGCTCTAACTCCTGGGCTCAAGCAATCCACCCGCCTTGGCCTCCCAAAGTGCTAGAATTACAGTCATGAGCCACCAGCTCCAGCCGACACTTTATTTTTTGAATGAGTAAACTGTCTTTCATTTTTCTATTGAGCGGTAAAGTTCAGAAGGCACAGTCACGTCTACTGTCTCATACGGTTTCCCCAGAACTCTTGGAGGCAGTTGTTCATGCCCTCCAATTGGCAGATGAAGGAAGAGGAGCTCAGAGTGGTGAAATAAGAATAAAGCTAGAATGTGTACTATTCTATGGATTAGGGTTTCCCACCCTCAGCATGATGGGCATTTGGGACTGGAGTATTCTTTGTCTGTCCTATGGTATTGTAGGATGTTTGGCAGCATCCCTGGACTCTGCCTAGTAGACGCCAGTGGGAACCCTACACACACATTACAATCATAAAAAATGTCTCCAGGTATTGGTACATGTTCCCTGGGGAATAAAATCACCCTGGAGAGAATCACTGCTCTAGGTTGATTAACTGACATCCCAGAGGAAGGCTCTGGTCCAAAATCCCTATTCTTAAATTCCTGGGGCCCAGTGTGGTTTAGAATCCAGGATATTTTGGATTTTACAAAAGTAAACATATAATATCCCAATGGAGTCTAGGGCAGCCTTCGACTGTCCCAGACAGGACTATTTCCACAGCAGAATGAATGAGTACCTGCATTAAGCAGCATAAATAAAGATTACAAATAGTCTCACGTCAGCTCAGGTCAGGCTTTGCCACCACATGAGTCTGCTATGAAATTATCAAAGCGTTGACTTTTGGCACTTTCATGTTTCAGAATTGCAGAAGAATCCATGAGCAAACTGCCTCACAGAGAGGTGGAGTCACGTGCCCGAGGTCACATGACGGCTGTCGTGAACCTGGTTGCTTGGTGAAAGCCAGTGCTGTTCCCATTACTCACACCTGCCTCTCCTAACTGCCTCTTAAACCTGCCAATCCCCATGCTGGTGAGAGGAAGATGAGGATGCAGGTCCTTGGCCCTTGGCCACGGCCCACTTGCTCCCTCTGCCTCAGCCGGCTTCCCTCTGGGCCCCCCGATGTCATTGGTCATGGGCTTTTTCCTTCTCAGGCTGACCCAGTGTGTAAATCAGTCTTCCCATGTGGTCAATTCTCAAGACGATGATCAGCAAAGTTAGAGACCCAAGGATTTAACAAAAGAAAGAGAGGAAAAAGCCTCAGCTGGAAAAATGGTTTAGTGAGCTTTCCACACTGGTCTAGGGGCCCATGACATTTTTGCTCTGTCCTGATGGTGAGATTCCACTCTAAAACAAACCCAACAGGGTCAGGGCTGTTTACTCAAATATTTCCCCCCCAAAACCGAGTTGTGAAAACTGTCAACCTCACCAACGTTGGGGACACGGATTTGCCTCCAGCGTGAGAAGCGAGTCCCCTGCCTTTGCACTGGGGACCAATCAGAAGACAAGACAAGCCATGGGGTGCGGGCGCCCATGGTATCTGGCCATCTGGGGGCCCCCGCTTCTCTCGGCCGGCTGTGGAGGCAAGGGAGATTTTTTTTCCAGAGCTTGGTGGGGCTCCATATGGTCGAGATCAAAGGTGTTGCTGGGTGCATGGTTCTGCTTTATTTCCAAGCACTGCTGTTAATTAGAAAACAAGATCAGAGGCAGTATTAAAATCCAATTAAATTGATATGAACAGATTGCCAAGTGATGTTCACTAATGTATAATTGAGCACCATGCAAATTTCGGTGGCTGGCTTTTGTTTTTTTCCCCCACACTCTGGAATGAATGATGAGGCTATGAAGTTTTTCTTCATTGTAAAAAACAAACAAGTTAATGCATTGATCTAGGGGGTATTGCCCTGGTGATTGATGAAAATGAGAGAGAAATAGTAAAGTGTGACTTTTTGAAGGGAGGGAGTAAAGATTCTTCTACTCTTCCTCTTTTTTCTCTCCTTGGTTCCACACCCATTTCTTATGCACAGTGGCAGGCCTCGCTTTCTGTTGACATTCCATTGTTAATGATCCAGAGAAAGTTCCTCTGGATTTCAAGGATGGATTGAAAACAAATTTTGGAAGTTTGAAGACAAACATCACAGATAAAAAAGGATCTGTGTGCAGGTAGGTTTTGTTTTAGTATTAATGTTTTGTATATGCCTCCGTGTATTAAAAAGAGGGAATTTGCCTGATTTGAGCTTATGAGCAAACCCCCCAAAGGATGTAGACTCTGGGAGAAGATACCGGGAAGATGAGGAGAGGCCAATTTCACCAACAGAAGGGAGATGGCTGCCTGCCGAAAAGAAAGCGGTTAGCATGAACGTGCGTCAGGAGTTGCCTGTTATTGTTGCAAAATGAAATTGTTTGCTCACTGCAGATATAGCAGGTTTGTAAGCATGCTGTCAGTGCTAAGGTTTTTTTTTTTTTTAAGTACCACCAAAGACAACAGCGGATGGCAGTGTCTACATATTCGTTATGCGCTCATAGCATTTGGGTTTTTGTTTTAATTCCCTTTAAAAAGAAAGCAATCTAATCAGCTCACTCCCAGGATTACAGCCTGGGTGTCAGGCAGTGAGGAAGACTCAGAGATAAGAAAGACCCTGGCCTTGGCCTTCAGGCATCCAGAAAAGGGGCACAAAGTATAGATAGGCAAGCAGGATGAAGCCCAGGGAGAACGTACGGCTGCTTCCCAGCATGCATTCGCCTGCTGTCTCTTCCTATCAGAAGCCCTGATGGTGCTCGGGGAAACTGCCAGCTCACCATGGAATTCAGGAACTGGCAAGCCCCGTTCTGGGGGAGACCCTGATTGGTCTATGCCAGATGGCGTAACTCCATGTCTTGAGCCAGCAATGAGTTCTGGTGTGAACATGTGACTCACTTCTGGCCAATGAGATGTGGCATGAGGGGCCTCTCCCTGGTGCTTCTGGGAAAAGTCGTCCCAGATGATAAGAAGAGGCTCATGGGAAGCAAGAGTTGCTGCTGCCACCATTTTGCTACCAGCCCAAGGGTGAAGCTCACACATCAAGCAGGACCCAGAGAATCACAAAAAATCAGAACCAAGCACCCACCCAACCCCTGATATTCAGCACCTGAAACTCACATACCTCTGGACTTCTCTTTACATATGAGGGCCATTATGTATGCCTCACTGGGCCAGATTTTCTGTTCAATGTCACCAAAAACAACCCAACAGAGCCAGGATGAAACATCAGGGAAGACGGCACGTTTCATCCCCCTCGTGAGCGTAGGGGAAACTTCCTAAAGAAAGTGGCCTTGTGTGTCCTTGTTCACAGCAGCTGTGGAATACAAGCTTAGGTTTGGCTGTTTGGTTATTTAGCTGACTGGTTTTAGAGAAGCCCTTCCGCAGATGGCTGGAGGACAGAATATAGTTATTAGCAGCCCCTCTGCTCATTTTAACAAAAAGGGGAGAAGAGTGACATTCGGTTTTTGGAGAGGTTTTTTCAGTCTTTTTAAAAACCGCTTTATTGAGATATAATTCACATACCAATATACTGTACAATTCCTCCGTTTAATTCATTGGTTTTCAGTGTATTCACGGAATTTTACAACCATCGTCTTTATTCAAGAATTTTTAATATTAACTTGTATGTTACAACAGGAACTAGAAGAAATGTTTCTTTGGAACCCTTTTTAAGTGATCATTTAGAAATGGTTATACTTTAACATTTTATGGGTTTTTTTTGGTATATTTTATTTTCACGTAAGTTTCATATGATGCTGTTTTTATTCCCCAGGTAATCACTGAGTTTTCCTAGTCATTTTCCCAACTTCTATCATGATACAAAATACAGTTCCTGGTGAGAATAAATATTTAAGCATATAGTCCTTAGAAGAAAAATATTACTATAAACAAGAGATTAAATATTCATAAGAAAACTATGTGTTAGTACTTTATATTATTTAATTGAATATATTTATTATAGACCATTGTATTAGCATCGGCCAAAAAAATTATATACAAAGCAAGGGCCCTGTCTCGAGGCTTGAATAAGACAAAATGTAGGTGAGGTTACTCACAGTGGGATCTTTCCTGTAGGTGTCTAGATGATGTTATTAAATAGAAGGAACATTTAATTGATGAATGATCCAAGTAAACACCATCATATAGTGCTTGGGAGAAATTTAAATTTTTACCCCAAATGTTTTGTGAACTGTTAGGGTTTTTCCAGATTCTTTTAAACTACAACTCTGTCTATAATAAATATAGCTAACAGTAATTATTAATAGTTGAAAGGCAACTTCGTTTATTGAGAATAAATATAATAGTTGACTTTCTTTCAAAGATAAAGTATGGACATCGTATGTTAAAGGAAGGCAAAAGAGTTCAGTGGTCCAAATTTGGGCCAAATTTGTGCTTCCCAAATAGTTCCCTTTAAAAGCAGCTAGTACACACATAAGGTACCGATCTCTCTTTTTTTTTTTTTTTTTTTTTTTGAGACAGGTTCTCACTCTGCTGCCCAAGCTGGAGTGCAGTGGCATGATCTCGACTCACTGCAGCCTCCACCTCCCAGCTCAAGTGATCCTCCCACCTCAGCCCTCCATGTAGCTGAGGCCACAGGCGCTCACCACCACACCTGGCTGATTTTTGTATTTTTTAGTAGAGATGGGGTTTCGCCACGTGGCCCAGTCTGGTCTCAAATTCATGAGCTCAAGTGATCTGCCTGCCCCAGCCTGCCAAAGTGCTGAGATTACAGGCATGAGCCACCACACCTGGCCTGAAGTATCTCTCTTAATTCTCCCCATGAACCTCTGAGATAGGTTTTATTATTCCCATTTTGCAGGTGGGAAAATGAGACTTTAAAAATTTGGTAACTTTCTCTGTTACAATCTCCCTTTGAATCCTGCACATTTCCTTCATAGCCTTTACCACAGAGTAAATAAATATTTTTGTAGTAGCTTTGTTGATGTCTATCTCCCTAGCTCTAGCCTCCAGGAGGGAAGTGCACCCATCTGCTCACTGCCATACTAATGGCCCCAGGCAGGGCAGGAACTCTTCAAATGCTCTATGGATATGGCCAGCATCACTTAGCTAATGAGGGGGAGGGCTGCCCTCTGAACCCAATTCTGTCCATCTCCAGAAACCAAGCTCATAACCAATAGCCCACACTCCTTGCTAGCACAGCTATCTCCCCAGCACCAGGCCTGTGACCCAACACAAGGTAGAACTCACTGAATGTTTGAAGAATGAGTGCACATTACACAATCAAAGAGGCACAGATGAGGAAACATGCCCACCTGGCTTCCAAGTGTGGAGTAGAAAAGATAGGCTGAGGACTCTGGCCATCAGGATGTAAGATGCCTGAGTTCAGGTCTACCCTGCAGCTGATGAACTGTGTGACTTTGAGTGGAACACTGCACTTCTCTGGGCCTTAGTCCACCACAAGAATAATCACACCACATATATACAATTCCAAGGAAAATCCAACTTCCAAAAGGAAGAGATTCCTTCTCACCAATTCCCACCACCTGGTTATTCCTATGAAGCCTTGGTAGAGTAGGTTCAACTCTAATTCTGGACACTTTGTTATATGAGCTTCTGCAAACCCTCATCCTGCTAGAATATGGTGTAATACATCTGTGTCTCAATCCCAACAAAAGACTTGGTCAGCAGTGGCTGCATAATCTGTGGGGCACAGTGTAAAATGTAGAAGCAGAGGCACTTGCTCCAAAAGCAGGAAAAACGTGCCCTGCAAGGTACTGAAATGTACCCTCACTGTTCCTTCCTCTCTCTCCCTACTTGTCACGGTGTCTTTGTTTGCTATGTATTTGTCATTCTAAGTAAAGAAAAATTAAACTTAAATTATTAGCATGAAGTGTATCATACATCTTTATATCGTGCAATTCCAGTTTAAACACAAATATAAGAGCATTTAACTCATGCATAGAATAAACAAAATTATACAATTTGTACTTTGCAGCTTGTATATGCATGTTTATTTCATTCTTACCAGAAATATGGAAACGCTGCAGAAAATTAACTCCACTTTTTTATTTCACTTCTTCATACGTGCATATTCTGCCAACATTCTATGGAAGCTGAAAGTTTTCCAGGACATGCTCACCTTGTATTGGCTTTTAATCTTGCTGAACTTCTACACACCGGGGGGTCCACTAACATTCTGTCAAGAAGACATTGAGAAGGCCACATGTGAATGGGACAGCAGGGAGCAGGGACATGCACGTTGCACTCAAGGCACATGCTCCATTGTCCCATTGAACTTCACTTACAAAACCTAAGTTTGGGAATAAAATTAATACCATTTGACCCAGCAATCCCATTACTGGGTATATCCCCAAAGGAATATAAATCATTCTACTATAAAGATACATGCACGCGTGTGTTCACTGCAGCACTATTCACAATAGCAAAGACTTAATCAACCAAAATGCCCATCAATGATAGACTGGATAAAGAAAATGTAGCACATATACACCATGGAATGCTATATAGCTAGGAAAAGGAGCGAGATCATGTCCTTTGCAGGGACATGGATGAAGCTGGAAGCCATTATCCTCAGCAAACTAACACAGGAACAGAAAACCAAACACTGCATGTTCTCACTTATAAGTGGGAGCTGAACAATGACAACACATGGACACACGGAGAAGAACAACACACAATGGGGCCTGTTGTGGGAGGGTGGCGGGGGAGAACATTAGTGAAAAGAGCTAATGCATGCTGGGCTTAATACCTAGGTGATGGGTTGGTAGGTGCAGCAAACCACCATGGCACGTGTTTATCTATATAACAAACCTGCACATCCTGCACATGTACACCAGAACTTAATTTTTTTAGAAAAATTTTTTTAAAAAAAGAATTTCAAGACACAAAGATCAGAGCATTAAAGCAAGCATGGGGCCCTTTTGAGCACAAGACCTCGTGTGATTGCCCAGGTCGCATGCCTGTGAAGGGAGCCCTGGACTCTATGCCGTTGGCTCAGCCGTTTTTAATGGTCAGGCTGTCCAGCCTGAGACCTAGAACTCTCTAGAGCACCCAGAAGCCCAACACTCCAATGCCAAGAATGCCCATGGCTCGCGGCATAAAACTGGACCTTAACAATCATATTTCTTCCAGATGTTTGATTATTTCAAACACTAGAGCTAAATTATTTTGTCCCCAGCCTTATTCCAAATATATTCTAATTTGATTTAGTAAATACATTTAGTAAAATAAAAATAAAGAAATAGCCTAGGGTGAAGGGACCTTGCCATTATCAATACCACGTCCTCTTTCTCTTACCAGACAGTAAGATGGTATCTAAAGCCATTTTATTTTCAACAGAATACATCGCACGTCATTGAAAACAGATGGTGCCTAATAATTGCAGAATGACTAAATGAAACATGCAGGAGTCACTTTTTTTGACTAAACAACATGCCTTGTGATGGCCAGCTCATTTTTTAACTATTTAACTAGCAATACTTGAGAAAATGTATACAGTGTAGTTTGAGTTTTTATTAAACCTGCAAAGCCTTTTTATTTGCTGTCTCATCTGATGCAAAAAAATACGTTTCCAGTGTAAGCTATTTTAGCCCCATTTGGCATATGAAACCCTGGAAAGGAAAATGACTTGCCAATCATAACACAGAAGATACACGACACATTTCAAATTCGGTTCTTTCTGACTCCAGGACTTTCCAGGACATAAGCCTCAGAGTAATCACTTTTGGCTAGAGGAGTTCTTAAAAAGGGAGTAAAATTATCTGGAGAAAGCAAAAAAAGTGGGATTTTTCATAGAATGCAAATCAACAATTGCCTTTGGCTGGAGCCCCACGGATGAGTCGAAACTCCAGCGAAGTGTCTGGTGGGCCCCCAGTGAGTCTTGGCCAGCAGTCCAGCCCAACTCCTGAGTCAGGATGACTGACAGTTCCACCCCATAAAGTAGACCCATATTCGAATTACATCACAGTGCATTTTTCACATGCAGGAAAGAAACAATTGAAACCGACCACAGAAAATGGTTAGTGAGGCTTCCAAACCAGCCATCTAATAAATGCAGGTTTCCCTTGTTTATCAACTCTAATTACAAATTGGAAGCAAATCCAACATGGGTTGCTGTATTGTAATTGGTATATATGGAGGCTTTCGGACACAGGTTGGAGACCTTTCACAGTTCAATATCATGTATGTTGAGTGACTAAGGCCTGGGCCATCCAGACTGCAGGGAGGGTCCATGGTGAGGTTCTTCCAGACGCTTCCCGGCAGGCCATGGGCTGCAGACCTCACAAGGAGGCCGAGTGCCCCCTGCTCTCCTCTCTTCTCAAAGGCTTCCTTTGCTCAAGAACACTCATTCTTTAATCACTGCAAAACATCCAGCCATGTTCTGCGGGCACAAAGCTGTCTCCCTGAGTTCAGAGTCAAGGAGGAGATGCATGGGAGTGGGGCAGCAGACAGAGGGCAGGACAGGACGCCGAGGGAGCTCGGGGCCCAGAGGGTTCCCGGGGAGTGTGGGACTCCTGGGCCTTTATCCTCAGCCCCTCCAAGCCCTGTGTCCTGCAGTCCTTGCCTGTCAGGGAGGCCCAGCTCTTGGCCCACACTGGGAGGAACACACAAGAAGGAGCCGGGTTGGAAACAGGCCGGACACTGGCCTCAAGGGACTCGTGCCCAATCTCTGTTCCTGGACTCCTTGCTCAACCCAGAGAATATCCACCTGGAACCCAGAATTCCAATATCTGGTTTGTGATCCCCAAACAGGCCCCTGGCTCCAGGGTGTGGCCAGCCAAGATCAACAGAGAAAATGGCCTTAGCTCATCAGCTCGGCCCCTCCTTCTGAGGCATTAGAGAGCAGGCCGCCTGCTCATCCTGACGCTGTCTCCACTGCCCACGCCAGGAGCCAGTGATGGTCCTGCTCTGGAAGCCACCCACAGAGAGGCAGCTCGAGGGTACGGGAGGCTGACAGGTGCCCAGGTGTCGGACGTGACGGCCCAGACACCTGCCTGGCTATTACTGAGCCTCGGTTTCCATGAACTAGGGACACCAGCTTGGTGTTTTCCGGACATGATGACCACCGGGAGAGGAATCCCACTCAATCTGCTCAAACAGGGGACAGAGGGTGAGGGGATGAGGCAGGGGAGGGGCAACTGAAATCTCGGGGCAGGAGGACAACAAAATGGGGCTGACACTTGGGGCCAACCGTGGAGAACAGAAGTTTGTGTTTTTCTCTGGCTTTATCCCCCATATCTGACACACACATACACGCACACACACATCAACAGGCACACATGCACACACACATTCATATCCACGCATTTATGCACACATACACACATTCACACCATTGCATGTGCGTGCACACACACATTCACACCCACACAAATTCACCCACGCACACACACATTCACACATGCATACACATTCACACACATGCACATGCACACACACATTCACACCCACACAAATTCACACATGCACGCACACACATTCACACACGCACACACATTCACACATGCACATTCATACACACACACACATTCACACACACACAACCCGTTTCTCTGGGGTCTCCTGCCCTCCTGCCTCTGCCTCTCCCCTCTCTCTTCTCCACAGATTGGCTTCACCTGCTGGGGCACAGGCCACCAGAGGCAGTCGCCATGGCTGTCAACCCCTCACAGGTCAAGCCCACAGAGCCACCCAATTCAGCCTCCCTGGGTTCTAATTCCAAGAGAAGTTTCCAAGGAGGAAAAACAAAATTTACCATTAGGTGAGGTGTCCACCCTAAGCTGGTCCCGCCAGCTGCAGCCACAGCCACGTGGCCATATGTCCAAAGGGCTGCCCCTTGGGCTCTGTGGGCTGGTCAGCAGGTCCCTAAGGTGGAGCATGGGTGGGCTGCCGTGTCTGACACATCCCAAGCTTCCTCAAAGGGCTAGTTGGGGCGACAGTGTTTGCTCGTAACCCTGGGAACTGAGCTATAGGCCCCCCTGAGCTGCCGAGGACAAGAGCATGGGGTCTTTTCACTGCAGAGCACTGCTGCCCACTCTCCTGCCTTTGCTCTTCCGTCTCATTCCATTTTATGGTCAAGAAAAACTGAAGCCAGCTGACCTGCCCAAGGTCATCCAGCCAATAAGAAAGTGACCTCAGATTTAAACTAAGACCATCTTATGCTGAACTTAGTTCCTTTCCCACCCCATCACAATTTCCTCTGGGCTTGTTTCTACAGCCCCGTCCTATCACCAGGACACTTTTCAGGACCTCACTGGAGCGCCCTGCAGCCTTGTGAGTCAGGACGTGGTCTTCCCACCTTCCAGATAAGCAAACTATGCCAGGGAGAGATAACCTGGCTTGCCCGAGGTCACATAGCTGTGAAGTGGTAGCACCAGGCTTCAAACTCATGTCTGTCTGGCTCCAAAGGATTTTTTTTTTCCAACATCACATCAGGTCCATAGAGATATCTTAGAACCACTAAATTGTAAAATTTTGTGGGCTGAGAAATCAATGACCTATTTTTCCACAGATCCATTTAATACCGCATCACTGGGTGTCATGAGACCTGGTGGCATTGAGGTGAGGATAATTGCAATGATGTGTCCGGTGCTTTACAGGTGGCAACTTGCTTTCTCATGGAATATCTTGGAAGTCATCTAATCATTCCCTCTACCTGATTTACAAATACCCTACCAATGTGTGGTGTAAGGTACCAATATGGTTTGGCTCTGTGTCCCCACCCAAATCTCATCTCAGATTATAATCCCTGTAATCCCTACATGTCAAGGGAGAGATCAGGTGGGAGGTGGCTGGATCATGGGAGCAGTTTCCCCCATGCTGTTCTCCTGATAATGAGGGAGTTCTCATGAGATCTGATGGTTTTATAAGCATCTAGCATTTTCCCAGCCTCACTCTTCTCTCTCCCGCCACCATGTGAAAAAGGTCTTTGCTTCCCCCTTGCCTTCCACCATGATTGCAAGTTTCCTGAGGCCTCCCCAGCCATGTGGAACTGCGAGTCAATTAAACCTCTTTCCTTTATAAATTATCCATTCTCGGGTATTTCTTTATAGCAGTGTGAGGATAGGCTAGTACAGGTACTCACATCACAGTTGAGGGAGAAAGAGAGCATTCGTTCCACCCTAGCTCTGGCAGGCATTGTGAGAGCAGAAGCCTGTTTCATTCTCCCAACAGCCCAGTGAGGTCTATGATCTTAGCTCTATTTTATGGATGAAGAACTGGGGCTCAAAGAAGCAAAGACGCCTGAGCTGGAGAAGGTTTATGCAAAAGGCCATGAGGAGTGAAAGGATGCTGTGTTCGTCTGTCCTTGTGCAGTTTCACTTTGTTCAATCCAGGGTTTACCTCCCTTGACTGACTACAGGGCATCAGCCTAGTAGCATCTGAGGAACGCGCTTGCTGAAGCCTCATTCTGTGGCATACACCCTGGAGCCGACTGTGTATTTTTATATGTAACCACAGTCATGGTTCCTGCTTTGAAGTGGAGATCTATGCATGCCTCTCCTCGCCCTCCCCAGACAGGGGCAAGCCTTGCTGCAGGCTGTACAGGAAGCATAACAGCTTCTGCTTCTGGGGAGGCCTCAGGGAGCTCCCAATCATGGCAGAAGGCAAAGGGGTAGCAAGCACTTCACATGGCCAGAGCAGGAGGAGGGCGGGGGAGGTGTTACACACTTTTTTAAACAACTACATCTCATGAGAACTCTATCATAAGAATAGCACCAAAGGGACAGTGCTAAGCTATTCATGAGAAATCATTCCCGTGATCCAGTCCCCTCCCACCAGGCCCCATCTCCAACACTGGGGATTACAACTGAACGTGAGATTTGGGCAGGGACACAGATCCAAACCATATCAGGTGCCTAGGGCACCTCCACACCCTTCAATTACTTTCTTCTGCCATTGCTAAAATATATTTGCCTGTCCTCTCCTTTGGCAGAAAAGAGGGGCCTGTCAAGCTTACAGTGTCACTGAGTACCAAGGCAAAAATGTCCCCAGCACCAAAGAAAGCACACCTTCCCACATTGAAAAGGCTGTGTTTGCCATCAGGATGGAGGTTTTGCCCCTTTATGTATTCCAGAACTTAGGAAAAATTGAAGGGTCGAGGTTAGAGGGGCCTGGGAAGTAAGATAAAAGCAGGGAAGATCACCCCAAATGGGATCCAAAGAAAATGGACCATTGGCTGCAATGAATCCTGAGAAGGCTCAGCTCTGGAACAGTAGTTGAGGCTTAAGAGAAAAATAGAAACAGAAAAGAGAGGCATTGTGGCCAGCTGAGCTTGAACAACCGCAGCAATCACAGAGACTGCCTGTCATCAGGGCACTCTCCCACACTAGCATTGCAGGCCCATTTCAGCCCCTTTCTCTGCCTGGCATCCAGCACCTTGCTGCTGAGCTCGGCTTTAAGAAGCTGCCAATGTGTTGGTTCTGTCCTTAGAAATCCTTTTGATCTTGATCTTGAGAACTTTCATCATTCACTAAAATGAGAGGGAAGTGGAGGACACATGGGGGCCACCCAAGTAGACCTGGGGGAGAGGGGTCTCTGCATTGGTGGGGAGAGAGCTGCCAGGGTGAGTCTTCATGCAGGAAGCACTGGGTCCCCTCCAGGAGCTCCAGCAAGTTGGAATAATAACAGCATGGCTGGGCCCCAGCCAGAAGGCAGAGGAGCAGGGAGAGCGCCCCTCTGCACATGGGTGAGGCAGCCCTGGCTTCAGAAGAGGCCATCTACCCCAGAGGGCTCCAGGAAGTCCAGCTGGCAGCAAGGCGCCACATGCACTTCGTCTGGGAGGGCAAGGAGAGGCATGAATTGATCTTCACCTCGAAGCAGTGACCGTGACTGTGGTTACATATAAGGATACACAGTCGGCTCCAGGGTGTACGCCACAGAATGAGGCTTCGGCAAGCGTGTTCCTCAGATGCTGCTAGGCTGATGCCCCATAGTCAGTCAAGGGAGGTAAACCCTGGAGTCAACAAAGTGAAACACATTTCTTGGCTGCAGGACTTCTCAGAGCCTTTACTATGTGAATTTCCACTGTGACTCTCCAAGAGGGGATACAAAATACAAGGTTTCCCAGACTTACTTGGTCATAGAATTTTCTCTCCAGATATTCATGTTCCACTTTGGGAAATGCCATGGGTCAATGATGTGGAGGCCTGAGACCCAACATTGGACAGCACAGTGCCTAGGCAGGGAGCCCACAAAGACTTCTCAGGTGTAGCCAGGACACCTCTACTCTGGGGATCTCGAGCCAACATAGGTGGTGGTCAGGAGAAAGAATGGATGGAAGGTCCCATTGTTGTGCCTGATGCAGGTACTCACTCTGCAGTCTCAGCCCCTCACATGCCCCTCTCACCCCCGAGGGTGGTCCTGCAAGTGAAGCACACACAGACCCCCTTCCTTCAGCCCTGTGATTTGAGTGCGGCTCTGGTGGTCGCCTCCATGCGCTTTGTCAATACCCCACCACCAGTACCCACAGTGGGGTCTCACTGCTCCTCTGAAGCCACAGAAGACTGCGTTGCCCAAGAGCAGGTGCAACCCGGAGCATGGGATGTGGCATTCCCCAAAACAGTAATCACCCAAGAGATCGGGAGCCCCTGCCTCCCATCCTTCAAGGGAACACCCAAAGGCCTGCCCTGCACACTTCATCGGAATCCCCAGAGACCTGGAGCCCCGGCTGCCTGCAGTGGTGACCAGCGGGGCAACTCCTTTTTATCAGCTTCTCCCCTTCCCTACCTCACTTGCCCAACTCCCTCCCAAACAAGCTGTCTGCACCTGAGTCCTTGCCCTGGTCTCTGCTTTCAGGAGAACCCAAACAAAGACCATAAGTGGGTGCTATGTTACAGCCTCAAAGCGTCAGCTAAGCAGACTGGCCTGAAATGGAACAGCCACCCTGGGAGGCAGTGAGCTCCAGTCCCTAAAAACACAGAGGAAGACGCAGGTCCAATACCAGGCCTGTCAACAAACAGCCTGTTGTTGTAAGTGGGAACCCAGCCATGGGTTAGGAATTTGGAACTAGTGACATCAAAATGTCTGTCCATGTCGGTGGCTGTGCCCTCCCTAAGGACAAAATTATTGTATTTTCTTTCTCCTGTGTGTTCATGGTCAGTGTCCAGGTTCTAGATCCTGCCCAAGAGGCTGGAGCCAGCCCATCAGGAGCAGGGAGGGCACAGACCAGGAGCCTGGGATCAGCCCCAAGGATCCGGTGGCGGTCTCCATGATGACTGACCTAGAGGTATGCTCAGCCAGAGTGGGACTAGCAATGGAGCCGGGGAGGCAGCAATGGCCCTGACTGGGAGGCAGAGCCGAGCACAGGGCACATGGTCACTGCCAAGACAGCGGGCATGGCCGAGGTGAGGGCTCAGAGCCATGGCTGGGCCAGGCAGAGCGGGCTGGAAGCTGGAGTAGGTGGCCAGCGCCGGGTGGCAAGTGCAGCCTGCAGGCTTCTGGGAGCAGCACAGGGCGAGGACACCTGCCGGAGCCAGTGGGTGCTATCTGGGGATGAAAAACAGACGCAGGCCACAAATAAGCAACTCCCCAAACAGAAAAAATACACAAGTTCCAAGCTTGTAAAAAACTCTCCAACTTCCCCATCAATCAAATAAATGCAAACTAAAGCGATCCTGCTCTCTTTGTTTTCCTTGTGAACTTAGCAAAGTTATTTTAAAAAGGTAAAATTTTTAAAAACGTTATTTATTGCACTGGCCAAGGAGCAAAAAAAAATGGGGGTGTCCAAAATGTTGATGAAAGCGTAACTTGGTCCTCCCTTTCTGGAATCAATTCAGCAATATGTGTCAACAGACCAAGAGGGTACATGCCCCTCTCAAGAAATATATCTGAAGTAATTGGCAAAATAGAAAAAGGTTTATCTACATGAATGCTCACTGCAGTATTACTAATTATAGCAAAAATGAAAAATATAAAAAAATACTGGCCGGGTGTGGTGGCTCACGCCTGTAATCCCAGCACTTTCAGAGGCCAAAGCGGGCGGATCACAAGGGTCAGGAGATCGAGACCATCCTGGCTAACACAGTGAAACCCCATCTCTACTAAAAATACAAAAAATTAGCCAGGCGTGGTGGTGGGCACCTGTAGTCGCAGCTACTCAGGAGGCTGAGGCAGGAGAATGGCGTAAACCCAGGAGGCGGAGCTTGCAGTGAGCTGAGATCGCACCACTGCACTTCAGCCTGGCGGACAGAGCGAGACTCCATCTCAAAAAAAAAAAAAAAACTGAAATAAACAAAAGGTCAAATAACTGGAAATCAGATATAAGAAATACATGGTATTCTTATACAAAAGAACATTTCAGAAAACAATGTAGAAGACATGTGATTTGGAAATACGTTTATGATGTAGGGTCCAGTGGAGAAGGCAGGAAATAAACTTGTTATATGATTCATTTCATAAACAAGACACAAACATGAAATGTGTCACTTCACTTAAAAAGCTGTGTTCCCTGTGGTCTAGTGTCAGAGCTATGTCCTATTTAGAGGGGCCAGCTCAGGTCCCCCCATCCCCTCACTCGAGATCTGAGAATGACCTTCACCATCCATGACACCCACTAATCCTGAATGTGCGTGTTTGGTTTCACTTCTTACTCACGTGCTAGCTTGAGGGTAAGCCTCAGTTTCCTCATCTATAAAATGGGGGCGACACTATCTGTTTCATGGGAGACTTCCTGAAAGCTGTGGCACATGGCCTGGATCATGGTCATCACTGAAGTTGTATTAGTGCCTCCTGTCCCCTCTTGGTCAGTGCCTATGCCTGGAGAGCCAAACCAAACCACATAGAAAGCAAAAGCAATGGGCGGAGTGCTGGCTAAACTCAGATGCTCCCAGGGCCTAGGGAAGGCCCCACATCACAGCAGGTGCTCCACACCAGTGAGTCACATTTGTAGCTTGTCGGGCCTGGGGGACCTCAGAGGGGATGGGGTCCACCTGACAGCTGGCCTTCCATTCATCACTCCACCGCCATGCAAGTGACTGAGAGACTTGTACACACATTTGTAACACCAAAAAGAAAAAAATATAAAGGCAATCTGAATTCATCAATATGAGAATACAAAGAGTATAATTCATACAATGGATATAATTCATGTAATGGGATACGACACAGCGACTACAGACTCATCCAGCCGCGGAGATGAATCCCAGAGGCACATGCTGAGGGCAAACAGTGGTGCAAAAGAAAGCACATAACATGGCTCCCTCTACATGAGTCTCGACGGGGAAAAGATATTTTGGGTGGCACAAAACAGTAGTCACCTCTTAGCTGGGGCTGGGAGGGAGGGGATAGACCAATAAGGGACACAAAGGAACTGTATGGGCATAGTAATGCTCCATAGCTTAGAGTGATGTTTGAAGAAACGTATACATTTGTCAAAATTCATCTATCTGGACCCTTAAGAGCTTGAGGCTCTGACATATGTCACAAGTAGACCTCAATTTAAAAATAGCATCTGCACGGACACGCAGTGAGCACCTCACATACTTGGTCACCATTACGATGAGTGTGCCAACCGCATGGACTCCCAGGATGTCGGAGTTCGCAGGACCCTTGGAAATCCCTCCCCCAGGCACTCTTGGTCATTTTCCTGCCATGGAATCTTCCGACCAATGAGTGAAGCCTGGGACCTTTTCTCAGAATAAAGTTTTGCCTGCATAAAATAAAATACCATAAACTATATATGACGACAAAGAAAACCAATTATTTTGAAAGTTATCACATATTAAAAACAGATTTGTGACCTAGAAATGCATGTGCTTCTTTATTAACGCATTAAATAACAAGCCCACCAGAGGGTCTAATAACTATCAATCATTTCAAAGTATTGGGGAGTGGAAATGGCATTTTGAATTTTCTACAGCCACGGCCATGGAAAAGGAAAATATCTGAGATTCCAATTAGTACCCGAATCACAGACACTGTGCATACGATGCCTACCTAGTCCTGCACACTCTACAAACTGAGGGTAGAGAAAACAAAGCTGCAGTTTCATTTCCCCAGCCAGGTTCACAGACCTGTCCACAGACCCTTTGTCTCCTTGTAAGACCTCCGCCTTAGTCCAGCTATCTCTAGCTGCAGAGGAGGAAATGGAAACCAAGAGGAGAGTTGTTATTCCAAAGCTGTAGGAAGCCTGAACTCAGACCCTGGGTCCTGCCCCCTCAGGGCAGCCTCTGTCCTACAGAGATAAAACACATAAAGCATTTAGCACAGAGCCTAGCATGGGGGAGCCTCAGCACTAAGACATGGCTGACTATGATCCCAAGCGCTCGGGCAGGCAAAGGCAGGGATTTGTGTTCACACACACACACACACACACGTGAGTACACATGTACACACACACAGGTCCTGCCTGGGGGAGTGCCCCTGGATCCCACAACCCCGGTTGGACCCCAGCCCAGAATGTGGGCAACCCCCGCCCAGCCATGGTGAGCAGGCCCGCGTCCACCCCAGGCTGGCAGGCTGGCAGTCAGCGGACGCCCACCGCGCACCGGGCCTCTGCCCACATTAACTCCCTGCTGGGATAATTCTTCTCCAGCCCTTTTTTTCCAGCCACCAAGTGGGCCTGCCACCACACTGCTGTTTTTCATCTTGTTAATTGAGTCATTTATTTCGTTAAAAGGTGAAACTTTATCAGGGCTTACGTGCCAAGTGTGAGAAGGTGTATTTAATGATACATCAAATGGCCGCTGCTTCAGGTGCCTCAGTGTTTAGAGATGGTGCAGCTGGGGGGTGGAGGGGCATAGGACAGAGCCCAGGCTGTGCAATTTCAATTATTCTGATTGAAAGAAATAGGCCCAAGTTCATTTCCAGGCAATGTCTGCATCAAGGTGCACACTGCAACCTGTGCCCCCATCCAGAAAAACTCCCGATGTGATGAGCATCGGAGCTCAGGGGTGGGAACTGCATCCTATCCATTCCTGTCCCCAGGACTTCCTTGTGGCTCTGCCCACACTGTCTTATGAAACAAGGGCATCTCTTCTTTTTTTTTTTTTTTTTTTTTTGAGATGGAGTCTCACTCTTGTTGCCCAGGCTGGAGTGCAGTGCTACAATCTTGGCTCACTGCAACTTCATCCTCCCGGGTTCAAGCAATTCTCCTGCCTCAGCCTCCCCAGTAGCTGGGACTGCAGGCACCCGCCACCACGCCCAGCTAATTTTTTGTATTTTTAGTAGAGACAGGGTTTCACCATGTTGGCCAGGCTGGTCTCGAACTCCTGATCTCGTGATCCACCCACCTTGGCCTCCCAAAGTGCTGGGATTACAGGCGTGAGCCACCGTGCAGGGCATCTCCTTTTGTTCTGGGCTCCCTGGGGCCCCACCTCCAAATGTTCCAGGCCTCTCAGAGGAGGGTACAGAAGATCAGCTGGCCCCACCCACTCCCGCTGGGCCCACCCCCTGCCCTCCCCACAACACACCACCCCATCTCACCCCTTCACTTGCTCATTCACCACCACCACTCCATTCTGATGCCACCAGAGGACCTCCCAAAGTCCAGAGTTCAGCAGGCCCTTCCCCTGCCAAGACCTTCAGTGCTCTGGCCTGCCCTGGTCCTTTCAGATAAGGTCCAAGTGCCCTGAACAAGGGTCCAAGGCCTTCGTGGCCTGGCCCCAGTGGCCCTCCGGACCTCCCCCTCCGCCCAAACTCCATGCTGTCCTAGAAGTCGGTGCGTTGAAATAAGCCTCTACTCAAGATCATCTTCTTTCCCCTTCTCCTAATTTGGTGTATCTGAGCCCACTAGAATCGCTCATGAAGCTTTTTAAGAATGCCAGCGCCCAGATCCCACCCAAGACCAACTGAATCAGAACCTCAAGGCCCAGCACAGAATACCAGGTGATTCCATGCACAGCCAGAGCTGAGAACCAGGGTTTCACATCCGACTTGCCCTTCGAGGCCAAGCAGGCTCATCACCTCCTCCAGGAAGCCTTCCTGGTCTCTGTCTCCAAGTCTCTCACCACCCAAGGGTAAATGGGGACCCTTCCTCTGGGTTCCCTCTCTGAAAGCAGGTGTTGTAATAATCAGGTTCTCCCTGTATGGGGTGCTCCTGAGGGTCTAGTGGCTGGACCAGTAGGACGAAGCCCAGAGCCTGCCACAGAAGGTCTTCAGGGGTGTCCAGTGGGGTCTGTGTGGTGTGGATAAGCCCCCTACACACCACGATGTGCCATCAAGGGGAGCTGCGATCACAGATGCCCAAACAGTGGATCGGGGGCACAGGGTCTGCTCTGGTCCTACTCAAGCATCTGGAGCAAGTGTCCGGGACAGGAGCAAGGGACTGCAGGAATCTGGAGACTCCTAGCCAGCAAGGGCAACAGGGAATCTTCCAGTCCAATGACAGGAAGCAGCAAAAAGTAGTTGGAAGAGCCAGGACCCCGGAGTTCCACCCAGCCGTGCCACTTACCAGCTGGGTTACCCTGGCTGACTAACTCCGCCTTGCTGAGCCTGTTTCCTCATCTGGGAGGTGGGGTGGTTGTCCTCCACCTCCAGGGATTTGGGGAAGACTTCACCACAAGACCTATGTGAAGTGCCAGGCACAGTGCCTGCATGTCGTAGCTTCAGCGATGATGATGTCCCCGTGAATCCTGTCTTCTTTCACTGGGCTAGCTTTTCCTCTCTTCTTTAGAGTGCCCTTATAGAAGCTCAGACCGCTGGTGGTCTGCAGGCGGGTGCCATGCATCTGCTGCTCTTTCCTTTGCACGTTCAGGAGACTCCCATGGGGAGTGAGGTCAGCCTGTTCCCCTTTCGTTCACTTCGACTTGATGGTTTTCTCAAAAACACAATGGAACTGCTGGGCTGGAGATGTTCAGTTGGTCAGAAGGCTGTAGGCTGCTCAGGACCCACAGTATAATGGTGGCCTTGAAGGTTTATATTTTCTTAGATCATTAAGATGTTAGATGGCCTCATTTCTCAGGTGTGTTTCTAGCTCAGGTGTGTTTTACTCTGGGCAAACACACTTCCATTCCAGCCTGCATTTATTAACCACCAGTTGTATGCAAGGGCCATTGCTAGGGGACCAGGAGGCCAAAGGAGCACATATATTTTGGTGGTTGTGCATTGGCAGTCTGTCTCCTCATTGGGAACATTGGTACGCCATGGGGGTGGGGTCACCAGATGTGTTTGCACCCTGTCCCCAGGACACGGGGAACATGCAGTCACCAGGGCTCAAGATGCTGCTATGGAGCAGATGAGGCTAAACAGAAAACAGTACACATTTCCTGGGTTTCAGTGAGAAACTAAAATGCTCATTCACAAAATCTCCTTCCACAATAAAAAGCCAAAGCTCAAAGACACATGTGTTTTTAAGGAGCGCTCAGCCTTCTCCCAAACATCAGTCATAAGGACAGCCACACCCCTGTTTCTTACCACTGTGTCTTGGTGATTTCTGAAATGTTTGTGGACAGTGAGGGCTTTCCTTTCCAAGGGACACCTGGACCTGATCCCAGGAAAGACTGCGAGCAGGACTGACCACAGGAAAAAAATTAACCTGAATCCATACCTCACACCATATACACAAATCAACTCAAAACGGATCATGGACTTACATGTAAAACCTAAAATTACAAATTTTCTAGGAGAAAATGTAGGAAACAAAGTCACTATGGCCTCATTTTTCTGCCTCTGGGCATTTTCTCCGGCCATTCTCTCTACCTGGATTAATCTCTCCTTAAACTTTATGCATCAAGGTGTTACATGAATAATTTTTCTTTCAAATCTCTAATTTTTCAAGATCCATGTCAAATATGATCTTTTCCACCGTCTCTGAACATTTCAGGTAGAATTTCTCTCTCCTGCTTCAAAATTTCTGAATCTGTTCTAGTTTTTCTGTATTTCTCATTCACTTTCTAGAATTTGTGGTATGGTATGAATATGTATGTCCTAATTTTCCTGTAAGACAGGGAGCTCCTGGAAGGCAGAGAGCAGATCTAATTCATACTGCAATTTCTCGCAGTGCCTAACAAGGCATTGGACACAGAGGAGCATTTCCTGTGCTAACCTTTAGGAAGACTTACCATATGCCAGGGGAGTGATGGAAGTGGAAGCATGGAACCCACCCATGTGTACTGCTGCTGAGATTTAAAGAGCTAGAAGCACACCTGAGAAATGAGGCCATCTAACACCTTAACGATCTAAGAAAATATAAATCTTTAAGACCACCGTTATATTGTGGGTCCTGAGCAGCATACATTTGGGTAGTTCAACATATTTAGCCACACATCCAGTTTAGTGGGCCAATCAGTGCACACATGTAATGGGATTGTTTGATCACTCAAAAATTGCATTGGTCATTTTTATAATTATTCCTTATTTTTTTAATTCTGCCTCTATTTATTGCCATTATATCACTGAAACAGGAGCTTGGCATCAGTTCTAACACTGCTTGACAAAAAAGTAATGTTTTAACATAAATCTACATCCAGGGAGGTAAGAAAACTGGCTTGCAGGACCTGGAAGAATTTTCTGGTGTAGAGTAGCCCCCAGGGAGGTGAATTCAACCATTCCCAACAAGATCTAGGGAATCAGAGGGGAGGAAGGGCCTAGAACTGGTATCCACTGATTTCCCCATTCAATAAATATTTGAATGTGCCAGGCTCTGAGGTGGGTGCTGGAAATGCTGCCAGCAGCACCACCCATCCTCTCCCTCGAGGAAATTTCAGTGCAACAAATATTTGAAAACCACAGTAAGCCCAGGATGCCCTGACCACACAAAGGAAGGCACTTGTATTAGTTCATTCTCATACTTCTATAAAGAGCTATCTGAAACTGGGAAATTTATAAAGAAAAGAGGTTTAATTGGCTCACAGTTCCTCAGACTGTGCAGGAAGCATGGCTAGGAGGCCTCAGGAAATTTACGATCATGGCAGAAGGTGAAGGGGAAGCAGGCATGTCCTACATGGCTGGAGCAGGAAGAAGAGAGCCAAGAGGGAGGGGCCACACAATTTTAAACAACCAGATCTCATGAGAACTCACACACTATCACAAGAATAGCAAAGGGGAAGTCCACCCCCATGATCCAGTCACCTCCAACCAGGCCCCTTCTCCAACAATGGGGATTACAGTTCCACATGAGATTTGAGCAGGGACACAAATCCAAACCATACCAGCACCTAACTTAGGCATATAAAGAGGGAAGACTTCCTGAAAGAGGAGGCAACAAGTCTATAATCCAAGGAAGCCTATGATCCAATCAGACACAGGGAGAAATGTGCAGATCTTTCTGGGCAAAAGGCCACCTGCAGGAAAGCAGAAAGCCACTTTGGGCTCTTGAGAGAAGGACAGGGTCACAGCAACCAAGGATTGAATGAGCTACAAGTGGGAGCCGTCTGGAGCCAGAGGGCAATCAAATCAGTTCACAAAGGGCAAAGTGCAAAGGGCAAAGGGCCTAGGGTGTGGGGCTCAGCATTTGGGCTTTACTTCAAAGGCAGCAGGGACTCTGAGAAGTCAGAATACACAAGAGAGTACCTCTGATGGGCTGCCCTGAGTGGGAGGAGCTAAGATCCCGTTTTCAGGATAGGGGAGGCTTATAAATGGATGGTGTGTGCAGGAGAGGTTCCCAGACAATAGTCAAATCCTCAGAAAACCAAATGTGAAATGCAAACTCAGATCAATGCCAGAAATACTAGTCAGGGGTTCTATGAGGACCTCAGGGGGTCAGGGAAATCTTCCCAGCTGCCCAAAGCAGTGGCATTTGGGCAGGGACCAAAGAGATGAGTGAAATACCTGAGAAATAAGCCTCCAGCCACAGGGAACAACATGTGCTAAGGTACTGGGTCGGGGGGCGGGGCCGCAGCTCTGGCCTCTGCTGGCCTCTCTGGGGTCGCCTTCTGCAAGCCCCATGACACCGCATGCCCATCTCCTTGCTGGTATTTCTCATTCCTGAAAAAATGTATATATTTGGTTTTCCCACTATATCACAAGCTGTTTGAGTGCAGGGTCTAAGGGTGCTTTGGGTTTTTTATTTTGCGTGTTTGTTTGTCTGTTTTTATCTCTGGTTTCCTTCCACTACCTGGCATGTGGTAGGTACTCAGTGAGTGGGGATTCTCATATTAATAAATTAATCTGGGGTTCCTCAGCCTTGACACTGTTGACGTTTGGGGCCGGATGCTCCCTTGTTGTGGGGACTGTCCTGTACATGGTAGAATGTTTAGCAAAATCCCCTGTTTTACCCACTAGATGTTAGCAGTGCACCCATGCACACACACACTCACACACACCAGCGTGACAGCCAAAAATGTCTCTGGATATTACCAGGTGTCCCCTGAGAAGGAAAAATGCTTGCAGTTGTGAACCACTGGATCAGTCCAACCCAAGCTTTGGCTTTTCCAGGCAAGGAAACTTAGGAACAGAGATGCTCTGATGGCCAGGCGTTTTCTCCTTTCTCCCTAGAGGACTTGAAGAGACAAGTAAACGGTTGGGAGAGAAGTGAAAGTAAAGCAAGAAGGAGAGGAAATGGGCCTCTAAGAACATGGAGACATTCTTGTCTTAACTCTTTTGCCAACATCAACTATTTAACCACCGGAGTTGATTCTCATCTTGTAAATAAAAGGGAAGTGTTCACCCAATAACGTTCTCACTCTCAGGCATTAAAAAAGGCCTGGTCTCTCTCCAGACCCTGGGACAGGGTGGCAATTCTTGAGAGTCACCTGGTGCTTCTATGGGAGAGGAGGTCCCATCATGCCGCCCTGGTGGAAGCAGGGCAGTCATGACCCTGTCTCGGAAGCCTCAGCTAGTGCACTGAGCAAATGGAGGCAAGCTTGCTGAGAGGCTTTCTCACACTCGAGTTTTCCAAACTAGAGGAGAAAAACCGTAATTGAATGGATAAGAGTATAGACATGGGGCCATATTACATAGGTTTGGATTCTGGCTCTGCCACCCACTAGCAGTGCAACATTGGCTAAATTAAACAGCCTCTCTGAGCCTCAGTTTCCTTACCAGTAAAAAGGGCATAATTATGGTACCTCCCATGAGTTAATCGTGTACAGTCCTTAGCACAGTGAGGGCCAAGCACAGAGTAAGCACATGTATGTCACCTGCTGTTACTGTTGCCTATACACACCAGCTCAAGAAAGTGGCTCTTCCCTGAAAGATCTAAAATGTTTTAAGAATGGTAAGAAGGCTGCATGACATGCTGGACTTGGGGAGACAGGAGGGGAGGAGAAGCCCAGGTCTGCCACATAATCTGCCTTCTAATTTCAGTTTCCTCATTGATGGAAAGGAGGTAATGAAACCTTCTGCAATGGACTGAATGTTTATGTCCCCCCAAAATTCATATGTTGAAATCCCATTCCCCTAAGGTGATAGTATTAGTAAGTGGAGAGTTTCAGAGATGATTAGGTCATGAGGGCAGAGTTCTTATGAATGGGATTAATGCTTTTATAAAACACACCCGAGAGAGCTCTCTCACCACTTCCACCATGTGAGGACACAATGAGAAGGTGACTTCTATGAACCAGGAAGCAGACTCTCTCCAGACACTGAATCTGCTGCCACCTTGATCTTGGATTTCCCAGTCCCCAGAACCATGAGAAATAAAATTCTATTGTTTATAAGCCACCCAGTCTGTGGAATTCTTTCATAGCAGCCCAAATGGACTAAGACACCACCCCTGCTTGCTTATCAAAGCTGTAGGAAGGGCCAAATGAGATCAGCATTTTCTTAACATTTTTTTCTATAATCCACAATAAAAAATAGATACCAAATCCAGTACACACACACATAATTGAACCAAAAATTTCACAAAACAATTATTACCTTTATTATGTATAATGTACTCTGATGCATTTAATTCTCTTTGATTTAACTTTTGGCACTTAACAAAATTGGTCTTATGAGCTACTAATGAGTCATGACCTTCTATTAGGAAAACACTGAATCTTAGAATAAATGGGAGATTAGTTGGTAAAAGTGCAGAGTGATTATCAAGCATGAGTTTTCATGTTAGTATTGAGTAATGTTCCAGTTAAATGTTACTGCATATCAAGTAACCCTAAAACTTAGTGGCTTAATAAACCAACAATTTTTTTTATTAACTCTCACAGCTGAGAGGATTGATTGAGCACAGCTGGGTGATTCTCTCCTGAATCAGCTGAGGTCATCTGAAAGCTCAATAGGCTGGCCTCTAAGATGGTGCACTCAGATGGTGAAAGTCAATGCTGACTGTTAACGGGACTGTCTATGCATGGCTTCCCCATGTGGCTTGGATTTCTCGCAATATGGTGGCTGGATTTGGAGGGAAAGCAAACCAAGAAGTCAGAAGCAAAACTGCCAGGCCATGAAGAGCCATGCCTGGACCTGGCACTGTGTCACTTCAGCCATAGTCTATTGGTCAAAGCAGCCACAGCATCATCCCAGATTCAAGGAGGTGGAGAAATAGATCCACCTCTTGATGGAAGGGTGGCAAGGTCACATTGCAGAGGAGTTCATGGAATGGGAGACATGGCTGCCTCCATCACTGGAAAATGCAATCGGCCGAAATTGTTGATGGGGCAGGACCTTCTCAATCCCACCTCAACTCCATGACAGTGGGTAGGTCACTTCACCTGTCAGAGTCTCAGTTTTCTCAGCAGTGGAACAAGGGAATTGACTAAATATGTCAAAAGACCTTCCACCTTTACAGCACTGCATTCAGAGTAAAGTTTGGGAATACATATCCACCATCTAACATTTTGTGCATTTGACATAGGCTAAAATCAATGCCTCTAACTCATTTTGATTCTCACTTTGTATTTTTGACAAGTCCTGAACATTTGCCATTGGCTTTAGGGTCAGAAAATTTGCCTCTTTTTCCTCCTATCAGCCTGGCAAAGTCGTATTGACAAGATCCTTATGTGTTCTCCTTGCTTTTCACTCCTCAGAACCACCAAAACATGCACAAGATTCTGATTTGAGGTACCCATTTGGCCCAAACCAGACAGGCACACAATAAATATTTGCAGCCGGCAGGGTAACTTGTTCTCCATCGGTCTTGCACAAGCTACACAGGAAAGAAGCAAAACCCACTAGGATTTTATGAAGCATCATTTTGTCAGGCTTAGGAAAGGTGGAAAAGAAATGCCGCAGCAACAACCACAAAAAGAACATATCTGTCAGACTTCAAGATAATTCCAAATATAAACCAAAACGACTGCTTTTCAGAGTGAATCATATTTCTCGGCCACTGAATCAAGAAGCTATAGGCACTTAAAGTATTTGAATCTGTTCTCCTTCTCCTTGGATACAATCGCTAATCTTTCTTCCTTGCCTTCTTTCTTTTTTTCCTGGGGATGCAACCTGCTTACCTGGCACATAAAATACTCATATGATGACACCCAGGCTTTAGAGATTTCCATGAGAATCAGCAAACCTTATTTTAGCCCAATATAGAGAATGTGCAATGCATGGAGGGAACTCTGGACTGATTCCCCAGATAAGTCATTTATTTCTTTCCTCAAAGAAAAATCCAATATTCTGAGATCAGATGCATATTGAAGCTTTGGTGGAAAGGAACCAGACAGGGGCTGGATTAACATGTTCCCATCAACGTCTCCCCCACACAGTGATCTGTGAAGTGAAGGGAACCTCCGTGGTCGAATGTTCCATATTGGGCAGGAGCAGTGCCTCCCACACAGTCATTCCCACGGAAGGCACACACCATCCTGGGATGGGAAGCTTCCCTTCTTATCAGCACATTTGGTCTCTTAACTCAATGTCACTAAATAATGTGTCAGAGAGCTGAAGCCACCTGCACCCCAGGGCCCCTCCAGGTCTGTGCTCGCCTGCTGGACAGGGATGGGACAGGGGCTTCCATAGCTGTCCAGGGGAGGACAATGGCCAACAGACAGCAAAACATCTGTGCCGATGTTTTGTCGTTACACAAACAAACACCCTGAATAAAACATTTCCACATTGTTAGGAAGATAACTCAATGGGTGCACTGGAGGAAACTTCTCCCCTCTTTTTAGGAATTAATTGAGTAAATCTTCGGATCGAGCAGATGTCTTTTGCCAAGGCAAGGACCCTAACGAGGCTGTGCCCACTGGATGAGGAGTCCCCGTGGCCTCGCCTTTCCCATTTGAGAATCAGCGTCTTGGCGCTCCCCCGAAGTGTGCCTTCATGGCCCAAGCCTAGCAGCGGGAGGACAGGTGCCCCCACAAGAGTCCGGCCCCCCAGAAAAAACCCATCACAGGGCCCTCTCTCTGCTGGGGCAGTTTCCTTTCCCTTCACTTTGCAGTGTATCCATTTCATTCTAGACAAAGTGGTGGGTTTGATGAGACAAGAACAAAGCGAAGAACAAAGCGGCAGAAAAAATCAGCTCAGGCCTGAGTCTGATCACTTACCTCTCTGGTCTTCTATCTACTCACCTTGAAAATAGTGATCCTATTCCAGGCTGTGCCTACCACACAGGCTTACTGAAGGGATCAACCCTCACCCACACCAGAAAAAACATGCAAATCATAGGCAGCCCCCACCCAGGCCTACTGAATCAGACCCCCATGGAGAGAGCCTGGACATCTGTGCATTAGCAATTTTCCCCAGATGATTCTAATATGCAGCCCTGGTTAAGAACCATAGTTTAATCCAACTCTCTTTTGAGAAGGCCAAACAGCTTTTAAAACCGCAAAGTTCCTGATAGCCTTCCCATCTCTGCTGTTATGAGAGTGCGGATTGGCCCCAGTTGCTAACGCTTTTAAACTCTCTGAGGAAAGAGTGGACCCCTGTGGATCCCTGGGTGTCCTCAAATGCTGATCAATTCACAAAACCAGGTCCCTGAGGGAACCTCCAAGAGCAGCTCATCCCCTCTCACCCTCTGGGCACTGTGGTCTGGTGTTGGCCTTAATCACCTACAAAGAGGCATCATCTGTATCTGCCATCTACAGAGGAAGTGCTGTGCTGAGAGGTACTTACAGCCATGTGACTGTTCTAAATGGGAAAGTATGAGGTCTTAAACACTCTGAAGGGAATAAGACAGTTTGGGGGAGACATGCATGGATGATTACCATATGCTGATCACCACACCAGACATCAGTGGTTAAGCAGTGGTGTCCACATGGTCCTGCTTCCAGGGGGACCACTAAGCAGATCGCACAGGAAATGCCCTAGTACTACACACTGGGGGATTTGTTTTCATGTTGCACAGGAAGTGTCCCAGCACTGCACAATGGGGGATTTGTTTCCAGGTTGCACTCTGAGCAGGAAATATATCGTCATGACAAGATGGGTTCAATGGCTCTTACATCACTTACTATCTAAGAACAGCAGTGATCCTGTAGAAACCATAGCACAGTCCTTATGTCAGAGGCCAGGGGATGACACATGGGTCAGAGGGAGAGAGAGAGAGCTGCAGGGTCACACGATCACCTCCAGCCCAGAAGCCATCAAGGGAAGCAGGGTCTCCTCTGGGGCCCTTAAAAAGGCAACTTTGTGAGGACATGTTAACAAAGCAAAGCCTTCCCAAGACAAGCCTTGGAGTGAGAGGGTGATACCTGAGGGTGTAGGAGACAGAGCAGGAGACACATGGCAACAGATCCAGACAGGCCAGGGCTGTTCCCCCAGGCATACAATAGAAGGCTCCTTCCTGTCCTCCACAAGGGAGATAAGAGACCAAGAACAGAGGCCCCTGTTCTCCCTCCAGTGCTTCAAGTATATGAAAAGATGTGTGATGGTGACTGCAGACTCTGTCCCAGGGTGTGAGTCCACCTATGCTCAGCAAGTCTTTCCACCATCTTCCTCCAAGCCCTGGGCCAAGGAGCCCCCTTCCGATCTTCAGCAAGACCACCTGGCCCTTAGAGTCAGGATTCTGGTGTTTAAGATGGGTCATACAAGACACTTTGTCTCCTTAAGAATGTGGTCTCAACCAGACCCAGATCTGTCCCAAGTGTCCAATACAGTCCACAGGTTGTTCTGGCCAGAAATGTATGGTTGGCACCTTGTTCTGGAAATTCCTACATTGTCATAATTAGTCTTCCCTCCTGGTTGACTTTGGAGCAAATTTCAAGTCCATTTGAGAGGGTAATGGATTGGGAAGGCTGCTCGGCTTCGGGTCAACACGTCTACAGGCCACAGAAGTGAAGGAAGAGCAACACTCTCTCCTGCAGGGACCACACCTGGGCATTTACTAAACCCTCTCTCATCAACTGTCTCCCAGGAGCCTCAAGGTAGAATGAGTGCTACTATTGCATTTGCTGCTTTAGGGATGAAACACTGGGGCTCAGGGAGACTGTGAGTTGTTCAACATCACAGGACTGGTGAGGGAGAAAGGAAGGACCTTGACCCAAGCCTTCCTCAAGGTCTTGCAGCCCTGCAGGAGCATGTGTGACCAAGAAGGACAGCAGCCACCTATTGGGAACTTACTCTCAGGAACTACAGTAAACATCCTAGAAACACCAAATTCAACTCTCATAAGACATCAAAGAAATAAAATGCAGAGAGGCTAATTATCTTCTCAAGGCCACACAGCCTGACCATAGCAGAACCAGTATCTGAAGACATCTGACTCCAGATGTGTTCATCTGTACCTATGCAACCTGTCTTAGCCTATCTGACTCCAGAGCTCGGGAGATTCCCCCAACCTCTGCCCCCAAGCAATTTCCAAACTGCACTCTAGGAAGCGCTAAGTTTCCTCTGCAGAACCTCCAACCAAGCACCTGATGGAATGTGGCGGCAGGCGGTTCACTATGACACTGTCCAAGGAAGGACTTGGCCCAGCTGCCAGCTCCTGGGAGATACTGAGAAAGGCACTAAAAGGCTCAAGGAGCCAGGTGCAGTGGCTCATGCATGTAAACCCAACACTTTGGGAGGCTTGAGGTGGACCGATCACTTGAGGTCAGGAGTTCGAGACAAGCCTGGCCAATATGATAAAGTCTCATCTCTACTAAAAATACAAATACTAGCCAGGTGTGGTGGCAAGCGCCTGTAATCCCAGCTACTCCGGAGGCTGAGGCAAGATAATCACTTGAACCTGGGAGGGGGAGACTGCAGTGAGTCGAGATCAAGATCTCGCCACTGCACTCCAGCCTGGGCAACAGAGCAAAATTCTGTCTCAAAAAAAAAAAAACAAAAAGAAGGCTGGGGGAACTGGGCACACTGGAATGGACACATTATGTCACACCAGAAGGTCACCAGATAATTACACTCCAGGGAAGGACCCAGAGGACACGTCATTTACTAAGATCTCAGGAATGGGCTGGCGAGAGGCACACCTGCATCCTGAAATGTACAGCAGCAGTGTCCCTCCTCTGGCTGACGATGGAAAAGGTCCCTGCAGAACTGGACTCCCCAACAGCAAGAGGGATAATAGGTTTCCCAGAAGCAGAGGCCAGGTGGTGACTCCCTCACCACCAGAAGCCAGGTAGACACAATTATCATAAGTAGCCAGCGGGGAGTGGGCAACAGTCTACATTCACAGTTTGGCCCCAGAGCTATTGTAACTCTATTGCCTCTGTCATAATGCTACCCGAAGAGACCTGGGTGGTTGGGGCATTGCACAGAATGTCGTATTTATCTCTTACAGCGATGATATATTGCTTATTGGGTCAGATGAATAAGAAGCAGCCAGCAAAAGGGAGGCCTTGGTAAAACACATGCACCCCAATATCCCAAAAAATGTTAGGGACCCAGTGGCCAGGGGCATCAGAGAACAAAGTAAAATCCAAAGTATTGCATAGGGTATCCCACCACCAAGAAGGAAGCACTGTGCCTGACAGGCCTGTTTGTGTTCTAAGGGCAGATATTCCAGACCCAGGAATATATCAGATGACACAAGCTGCTGCCGACCTCCGCAGGAACCAGGCTGTAGTACAATCAACCCTGCCAGTAGGGCCGTATTACCCAGAAGATGCTATGCTATTAGAAATATTGGTGGTGGGGAAAGGAGCTGTGTGGAGCTTGCAGGAAGCCCCAGAGAAAAAAATCACAGTGCGGGAGGCCCCGGGGGTTCTAAAGCAGGCATGTGCCATCGCAATAGATAACTGGGCATCTTTTGAAAAATAACTCCTACCATGCCACTGGACTTTGATAGAGACATGTTAATACACACACGCTAATAAGTGACCATGTATCCAGAAGTGCCCATCACAAGCCGGCTTCTGTGGGACCCACCATGACCTGAGTCATGCAGGCCTGCAGCAGGCATCACGAAGCAGACCTGGTGCCTCTAGGATGGATTATGAGTAGGATCAGATGCCACAAGCAAGCTGCACCGCAGGTAGCCTGGCCCCTCTTTCAGGCATCACAGCTGTGCCGACCTCTGTCCTCAGCTCACACCAGTGGCTGTGTGTGTGTGGCCTCCCTTACCAATCCTCCTATCGGGCAGAGCTTCGGGTGGTACCACTGTGTGTGGAAGGAGAAGGGGCTCGAGGTTAGAATATGTATGGACTCAGGAACAGTGGTGGACAGGGCTTATAAAGAGACATTGGGGACAAGAAGGTTTGGGGTCACGGCACGCAGGTGGGCATGTGGGAGAGGCACAAAGTGGGATGGTCCCTGTGGCATGTGTTAATTCCCCCCAGAGAGCACCCCGCCCCAGCCACCCCCCATGGTGCATCTGCAGCAGGAGAGACAGAGGCTGTGCATGGGGTCCACCGGCTCCTCCAGGGCTCTCTTTCCCAGTCATATGGTAAATGGATAAGTGCAACAACCCCAGCCCAAGAAAGTCACACTGACCAGGGACTCAGGCCACCAGGTAACCCACTGAGACCAGCAGCGGTTCCAGCTGAGAGGGGAGGGTCTTCAGCAGGTGGTGAGGAGCTCAGCCATGAGCACCAGCTGCAGCACTAAGAGCAGCAACCACACCAGAGCTGTAGCTCGTACAGTTAACTTGCTCTTCTAAGTTCCCTCCAGGAACACAGTGACCAGAATCCTGAAGGAACCACTCCCCAGGTGTAGATACAGTGGCCTGGGGCAGCACAAGAGTGGACACTGAGCTGAAAACAGAGATGCTCCACCTGGATCTCCCTTAACCAAAGGATTTGTTGGCCCAGCTACCAACAGCCAGCCTCCAGCTGTCATCCCCATGGGAGACTGCCTCAGCTGCAAAGACCTGCGCCACCCAAGAGCACACTCTTCCCAGAGCACCCCCACCTGGCCACCCACTGAGACAGGAGCACATGGGACTGGCCATTCAGGCCTGATACAGACAGCACTACTGGGTCCCATACATTCCCCACAGGGCTGGCTAAAGTGTCAGCCTCCATCCAATCCTCCTTCCTCCCCTGCCCACCCATAGGTATTGATCACTAATAAATACTCTGCCTGTCAAACTCCATTGCAGCATCTGCTTCCAACGAGGCTGACTTGCAATTGCCGGGGGTCTGGAGGGGAGGCAGGACTCCACTGAGCTGCTGCACTTTTCCCAGTTTTAGATATTGGGGTATGTCTTAAATTGCATTTTTGAAAGGTCTCCACCGCAGGACTAGAAAGTTGCAAAGACTATTGCGTGGCATAGGACTTCCTCCTAATTGCAATATTCCTAAAGATAGGACATAGGAAGCAAGAGGAAAACAAAAGACGGGGAATGAAAAAGAGGGGAAAGAAGAAAGGTATCGGGGTCCTCATCATAGTACAAGGCTCTTTGGAATGCTCTGACCCCATACTGCCCTTTCTCCCACGGTTACACGCAGGTGCACATGCACAGACACACACACACACATGCACACATGCAGGCATACCGATACACAAACACACACACTTTCTGCATTCAGCTTGTCTCTCCCCTAAGGGCAGGGAGAGTGTTGTATTCCTTTGAGTAGCACAGGTACAAGGCCCAAGCAAGGGACATAGCACTTGCTCAGTAAACGTTTGTTGAATGACCTGTAGTGAGCCGTTAAGAGGTTTGTGCACAAGCATCTTTGAGCTCATAGATCTACATTGCTTTTGATTACAGTAGCTCCAAAAGGAGTCTTGAAGTCAGGTAAAATGATTCCTCTTACTTTATTCTTTTTTTCAAAATTATTTTAGTTATTCTAGTTCCTTTGTTTTTCCATGTAAACTTTAGAATATAAAATCTTGATGTAATGTTGATAATGGTTGTATGAAACCTCTTTATCAATATGGGGAAAATGTATATCTTTATATTTTTATTGAGTCTCCCAACATATGACCACAGCATGTCCCTCCATTTATTTAGACCTCCTGTGATTTTTTTTAATCCACATTTTGTAGCTTTCAGTATAAACATTTTGTTCCAGTTTTGCTAGATTTACACCCAAGTATTTTTGAACATTTCTAAATGGTATTGTATTTATAATAAATGGTATAATAAATGGTATTGTATTTTCCATTTATAATAATAGTATAATGTCTCTATCTTAAACAAATGTATGTAGGAAAGTATGAATTGATTTAAATAAAATTATTAAGTAAGACCAAGTGCACAGATAGGGCAAAAATTGTCATGTGTGACGCAGCTTGAGAAAGCCTGCACTGTATTACATATGCTCACACTAACCCTGCCAGGTGGGTATTACTGGATGTGTTTTACACAGGAGGAAATTGAGGCTCAGAGAGATAAAGCATCTTGTCTAAGATCACACACAAAATAAGCGTCAGAGCTGGTGTGTTAGTCCATTTTCACGCTGCTGATAAAGACATACCCAAGACTGGGAAGAAAAAGAGGTTTAATTGGACTTACAGTTCCACATGGCTGGGAGGCCTCAGAATCATGGCGGAAGCTGAAAGGCACTTCTTACAAGGTGGTGGCAAGAGAAAATGAGGAAAGATGCAAAAGCGGAAACCCCTGATAAAACCATCAGATCTCGTGAGACTTATTCTCTACCACAAGAACAGTATGGGGGAAACCACCCCCATGATTCAAATTATCTCCCACTGGTCCCTCCCACAACACGTGAGAATTATGGGAGTACAATTCAAGATGAGATTTGGGTGGGGACACAGAGCCAAACATATCAGCTGGGATGCAAACCCAAGCCCTCCCAGCCCCAGGGCCCCCTCAGCTTCAAATGTACCATGACTGTGGAAGGACAATGACAGGCAGACCATGTGAGGGAAGATATCAGAGAGATAGGAGAGGAAAGCTGGGGAAACAGGTAGGAAGAAAGATGTTGTTGTTGTTGTTGTTGTTGTTGTTGTTGTTGTTGTTGTCATCGTCATCTTGATCACACTAGCTCACTGTTCTTTAAAAACTCAGAAATTGGCCAGTTAGGTCAGCTGTAGGTCAAGACTTGGAAAAAAGGCTTCCTGTGGGGCGTTGCCTAACCCAGAGGGTCTTTACAGGTGTGTCTGGGACACCAAAGCTCCTCTCTCCACTCGGCCATCCTAATTAGCTTTTATGCAAACAGCCTCATCAGATTTAATACAAATCTCTCTCTCCCAACAAGAAGTCTCATGACATCACCCGGCTCCAGGGAAGCTGGGAAGATGGCCTTCCATTTGACGGAAGAGGAGGATTAGTTTTTATGACCTGCCCCTGCTAATGTGCGTTTAGACGAAGTGGGATGATCAATACAAGTGGAGGATGCTGATTTGACTCGCCGGAGTTGATTGAGGAAAGGGCATTGCTCCCCCTTCCATTTTTATAAATCACTTTAAAGGCCTATCGATCTTCCACTGGACACAGAGGGGCAATGACCCTGGGGGAAGCTTCTTAACCCCTTCTGCTATCCCTGCTCCTGATGTAAGCTCATCGTCTGTATGCTGTGGATGCCGGTGCAGCACCCGTGACTTAGGCCAGTGGCCGTCCCAGGCCCAAAGTCTGAGTCTGGCTGAACCCATTCATCAAGTGCTGTTTTCAGGGCATTTTGGAAATAAGGAAGCACCCCTAACTTCTACACACACGTACACACCACACACATACACACACACACACATATGCATAGGCGTGCAGGTGCCCACACAAGCACACACTTATGAGCACCATCTTAAACATACATGGAATTCTAGCACTAAGGTCAACCGAAGGCATGAAGCTCACATACAAGCAATCAGTCTGTAAACCACCGCTTCACACCAAGACAAAAGGGCCACTTGGTGTTGCTCCAACATGTGCCTCTCTCTTCCAACTGGTGTTTTCTCAGATGTCTTTTCCAGTCCTGTTTTCATTCTCCTTGGATCCCACCACTTGAGAAGGTAAGAGAATGGTGGGTAATGCAGTTTGTTCTGGGCCACCCAAATGTCAGGGACAACTCTGATCTGGAGGGTCCCCTCCTGCCTCCCAAGACATCACCCACACTCTAGGCGTGCTCATTACCAAGCACAAGCACAAGTGCACAAAGGCAACTCTTGCAGTGGCCTAAGATGTTATTTCAAATGCCGCCTTGAAAGAGGGCTTTGGGATATTTTTATAGCTTAGAGCAGAATTGGTCCCTGGAGCAGCGTCACGATCAGGGATCTGCATCCCCACTTCCCTTCTTTTAGGAAAGAAAGTTGGGAATTGGTCACCCCTGCAGGCTGACACATCTCTGCTACAGCCCTTCTTGGGGACCTTCATCATCTTGGAGGATTGGGACCCCACAGGACCACACACGGAGAGGTGGGGCCCAGCTGGCTGCCAGGAGCCCTGTGGGCTTGGGAGGCAGGTGAGTCATTGGAGGTATGGGTGTCGTGCATTACAGTGAGGGACTCCTAAGGACAGTTTCCACTGTCCTGTGATAAGCCGACCTCGGGGACCTCTGAAAGGTCATCTGCTGGCCCAACCCGGGGTCCAGTGGACACGTTTCAGGGGCTGGGGCACTGGCGCTTCTGGGAAGCAGGAAGAGGAAATGGCAGGAAGGTGAGGAGCTGCTCGGCCCCAGTCCTAACCATGAGGATGCCTCCTCCCTAGTCACAACCAGCGCCATCTCTTTTATGGAAGTGAACCCCAAACTTCCAATAGGGTACTGACTTAGACACTCTGGACTCTATCTTTTAAGGAAAGGGGAAAGAAAGGGGAGGGGGAGGAAAAGGAGGGAGGAAGAGAAGGAAGGGAGAGGGAGAAGGGAAGAGGGGAAGCGGAGGACAAAGGCGCCCCTTGCTGCCTCCTCCTCCCTCCCTCCCTCTGCCCCTCCCCCTCCCTGCTCTTTCTGCGCCCATATTGACCCTCCAGGCCACCGTCTCCAACTTGGCTAACAGGCTGATCTTTCCAAAGCACCAAGAGATCACGTCACCTCCCACTTAAAACCCTCAGTCTCGTGCCACCAAGAGGATAAAATCCTCTTCTGTCCTAAGCTTCCGAGCTCCCCTAGAATCTGGCCTGGGAGACCCCTCCTGAAGCCCCGCCCGCCCAGGGCCATGCACACCTCCCCAGACACCAGACGTCTCAGGGTTTACACGGGGTGCCCTCCGCGGCCCCCTTCCTGTCTTCACATCTATGTATTCTGTGTATCATTACCCCAACCTCTGATGGAGAAACAGGTTCAAAGTGATTGAGTCGCATCCCCAAGGTCGCACACGGATAAGCAACCTAAACCCAAGTCCTCATGCTCTCTTCCCCTGGGAGGGGTCGGACATGGAGGCCCGCAGGCGTTTTCTCCACCTTCCACAGCCTTGATTGTGCGGAGGCAGCAGCGCCACCCACAGGCAGCTCTGGCTTGAATCCCAGCTTCCCCACTTCACCTGGGGGACCTTTGGTGGGTCACTGAACCCTTTGGGCTCTTCATCTGTAAAGCGAACTAAGAACACAGCCTGGGCTGACGGGGAGGATTACTGAGAAGGAGAAATGCCATTTCCTGGGCCTTTTGCAAAATGTGTAACGGACATCCGCTAGCAGAAAGTCTGAAACTAGATTTCACCACTTGGGAGGTGGGAGAGCGGTGGGTAGGGGGGTTTGATCTGAGCCACCCCAGATTTCAGGGCCAACGCTGATCTGGAAGCTCCTGGGGACTTCTGAGACTCTCCATCCCCTGGCATTAGAAAATGTACAGGGAAGCACGCTGGAAACCAGGAAGCTCTAGGCAAGTGTAGATTACCATGACCAAGCCTGGGCTGGGAAGAGGAAGAGAGGACAGAGCCAGGCTGGGAGGGAGCCAGAAAACACTCTTGTGGGCTGGGCTCTAGCAAAAAGTGCTGATTTGGGGAATCCGTGGATTAGAGAAGAATCTCTTTGCCTATATCTTGCTGTGTGACCATGGGTAAAGTCCCAAACTTCTCTGAACCTCAGTTCCCACAGCTATAAAACCAGGATATTGGGCCAGCCTCCTAGATCTTTGCAGGTATCAGCTGTCTATGAAGTGTCACCCACTCGTACCACCTCTGTTCCGTGAGACACGGTCACCTCACCACCTTGGGAGGCGTTGTTGCTTCCATTTCCAATGTGAGCAAACGGAGGCTCTGTGAACCGTGTTCCCAAGGTTGCAGAAGGAGAAGGGGCCGGGCCAGAAGCAGAACCAGCTCCATCTGCCCTCCAGGGCGGTGCTCTGCCGCAGTCCCTGAGATGGCTGCCCTCCCTCCGTGCAGGCGCTGGCCTGAACAGGCTGGCCCAGGGCCCCCCAAGCCTTCCATGCTGGTGGGAGGGCCGCCTGCACAGCCAGTGCGTCCTCCTCGGCGGCCCGTGCCAAGCAGCCCTGCCCAGACCGCACGAGGAGCTGGCCACGACCTGCCAGGCCCGCTAAGCCCCTCCCGCCTGTTTCTCATTTAGAGCAAGCCCCGGCTGCAGCCCAGACATTCCAGAGGGGACAGTCAGACGCCAAGCCCGCCCATGGCTTGGGAAACCGGGCTGCAGGCAGCCCCGTGGTCAGGAAGCTCCACAATGTTTTCCCCTCCCTGTCGACATTTTAAAAGTTGCTTAACCCCTGGAGAAGTCTGGTCCACTCTTTTGGGGCCCGGCTGAACTGAGCCATCCCTGACCCTGGCATTCAAGGGCTCCATGGCCAGGAATAAAAATGACTCTGTAGATGAGCTGGACTCCCCATGGTTCCCAGGCTCTCCTGGCTCAGACCTCCTTCTCCAGCTCTTTGTTCTGGCTGGTCTCCACCTCTGAGACAGCCTCCCTTCCAGCTGGGAGTCCTGAGGCTTCCTGGTGGAGGAGGCATCAGAACAATACAATTGCCACTAATTAGGTGTCAGCTGCTGGCTGAAGTGAACACCCCCACTTACCCCCGCTCCCAGAAGATGCAGGTGGAATCGCTCTAGCTGTCCCTGGAAGAATCCTACCCTTCACACAGCCTTGAGTGCGTTAATTATAGATTGCCGCCTAATGACATAAGTAGCGTTCCTGAATTCCGCCAAAGTGACAATTTGCCATCAACATAAAGCCGCTGCCCGCGCTGCTAGCTGGCCGGGCATCCGGGCGCGAGGCTCTGCGCTCCTCCCGGCCCCTCCCTCCGCCACCCTGCCCAGCACCTGGATGACGCTTGCTTGGCTTGCTAGTCAAAATACATCCTTTTCCCTGTCACCGCTGCCATCTCAGCCCCCAAAAGTAGGGCCTCTTCTTTTTTCCTTCATCTTTTTTTTTTGCCCTGATTTATCAACCCTTGCTGATGGAACCAAGGGCTTTTAAAAACTGTTCCCACAGAATGGCAGTTCCTCAAAAAACTAAAAATAGCATGATCATTGGTCCCAGCACTTCCGCTTCTGGGTATACACCCAGAAAATGAGAGGCAGCATCTCCAACAGATATTTGCACACCCGTGCACACAGCCGCGCTTTTCACAATAGCCGAAAGGCCCAAAGACAGCGGAAGCAGCGCCAGAGTCCCTGGACAGATGAATGAGTAAATAAGACATGGTGTATATGTACAGTGGAATATGGTTCCGCCTTAAAAAGGAAGGAGATTCTGGTGTGTTCTACAACGTGGGTGAACCTTGAAAACACTATGCTAGGTGAAATAAGCCAGACACAAAAGGATAAATACTGTAAGACTCCATTTATACAAGATACCCAAAGTGGTCAAAATCATAGACAGAAACCAGAATGGAGACTTCCAGGGGCTGGGGGAGTGGGGAATGGGGAGGTGTTATTTAATGGGGACAGAGTTTCTGTTTGGGAGGACGAAAGGAGAACTCCTTGTAGCAAATGAAGCCAACACAGAGAAAAGCAGAAGTGTGGGGATATGTCAGGGAGAGAGAGAAAGAGGGAGAGAGAGAGAGGGAGAGGGAGAGTCAGGTGGGGGTGATTGTCACTGTGTCTGAACACCTGGATCCAGCCATGCCTGAAGCTAGACTTATCTCCTTGGACTTTAATGCATTCCATTTTATCCTTAAGCCATTTCAAGTGGGGTTTCTGTCACTTGTACCCAAAATAATCCTGTTTGATAAGAAATGGATTTTCACAATTAATCCATGTCAACTTTCGCCCCCTGGGGTTCCCTCTCCCCGTATTCCTTAGGGTATTCTAGATGGATGTACCATTCATGGGACACAACAATGTGAATGTACTTGATGCTACTGAAAAACTGCTGAGATGGTCAATTCTATGTCTATTTCACCACCATTTTAAGCATTGGTTTAAAAAAAAGAAAGCAGTTCCCCATCTCCCCGACAGGGGACCATCTGAGGCTGGGGAAGGCAGAGTCTCCGACAGGCCCTGAGCCTCTCCCAGGGCCCGGGGCAGCCAGAGCTCAGACCCAGCTTGGTCTTCTCAAGGGCCTGCAAAGGGAGTGAGGCGAAGTGGCCGGGCCAGGGATGCATGTGCTGTAAGAAGCAGGGCAAGGATGGGAATCCAACCCTGACACCACTGATGTGGCCTCTCTGCAGGACAGAAAAACACATTCAATAAAGGAGACTCCTCCGCCCCTCCCAGAGACTGCACCGGATGTGATGCAGCTGGAAGAAAGGAAGTTCCTTCCGTAAGATCTGACAATGAAAGTTTGTCTATCTGTTCCCCAAGCCACACACACACACACGGGACAGGGACAGGACAGGGGACAGGGACAGGACAGGGGACAGGGATGAGGGCCACATTCTCCTTGACCAGGTCCCTTACTTAACCACCCTAATGGCCCCCCACAAATGCAGAGCATGATGGGAAAGCACAATAATGGGCCAGGCATGGTGGGTGATGGATGTGTTTTCGTCTGACCAGCCACCCTCCCCTTAACTATGCCTGGGCCATGTGGGTTGGCCAAGGCTGCCCCATCCCCAGCTCCAAGGTGGGCACATGACCCAGGCCTGGCCAACGAGAGCCTGACCACCAAATGACCGTAGATGGCCTCAGAGACAGACATGAAGCCGAAGTGAGTCAGTCACAGGAAGTATACTCCAGACCCTTAGCTGGAATGACTGAGAAATGTGCTGCCTCCTTCCTCAAGGCTGAATGAGCTGCTAAGTTTGGAGCTGCTTGTGCCATCTCTGCCACCTTGTAGCAAATGAAGCCAACACAGAGAAAAGCAGAAGTGTGGGGATATGTCAGGGAGAGAGAGAAAGAGGGAGAGAGAGAGAGGGAGAAGGAGAGGGAGAGGGAGAGGGAGAGTCAGGTGGGGGTGATTGTCACTGTGTCTGAACATCTGGATCCAGCCATGCCTGAAGCTAGACTTATCTCCTTGGACTTTAATGCATTCCATTTTATCCTTAAGCCATTTCAAGTGGGGTTTCTGTCACTTGTACCCAAAATAATCCTGTTTGATAAGAAATGGATTTTCACAATTAATCCATGTCAACTTTCGCCCCCTGGGGTTCCCTCTCCCCGTATTCCTTAGGGTATTCTAGGTGCTATAACAGACAACCTCAAATCTCAGGGTCTCAATACAGCCAGAATTTACTTCTGACTCACACCTCCGTCCGTGGTAGAGAAGGGGAGGTGAGTGGGGGGCTGGCCTGGCTGCAAGGAACCTACATTCCTTCTATCAAGTGGACCCATCTCCTACCCACCCCCCAGGGTCTTAGGGTGCCCCACTGGGGTCTCTGTATCTGCCCTGAGGAATGAGGGGCCAGAGTACCATGAGATGACACAGTTGCTTCTCACAGCTCACACAGAGGAGATGGTCCCAACAACCAGGGGAAGAGGAGGCCCCTGGGGGGCACAGCGTGTCTGTCCGTCCTACCTCTTCCCTGGTGGGCCTCACAGCTGGACTAGCAGCGTCTGCCTGCCTTCCCCTCACCCTCTACCCTCCTGCCTCAACTACAGTTTCAACTGGGTGGCCTGGGGCCTTTCTCCTCCCTACAGGCTACAGGGCTGGCACGACCTGCCCTTGGGAAAGATTTGGTGGGGGCAGAGGCTGGGTAAGAACCTGGAGAAGGATGGAAGTAAAATCTTGGCCCCAGTGCTGGATGCCTGCTCTCTCCTTGCTGGCCTTTGAGTCTTTCCTCTCCTTCCCATCCTCCGTCCTCTGTGGCTGCCCAGTCGCGACTCTCTAATGAAGACCTGAAAAGGACTCGCTACATGTGTCCTTAACCCAGTTCATTTCACAGATGGGCCACTGAGGGCCAAGGCAGAAAAGCACCTCTCTTAGGGTCCCGAGGTGAGTGGGTCACCGGGCTGGGTCCAAACCAGGGTTCCTGCTCCCCGTCCAGTGCTCATACCCTGGGCCAGCTCCTGAGTCCTGATCCCGGAGAGGACAGACTGGGAGAAAACTGCATTTAAGAATCATCTCCAAGTGCCAGAGCCTGTAGAAGTCAGGCTGCATCACTTCACTTCATAGATTCACAATTATAAGTGGTAGGTAATTCCCCGTTGGAGAGAAGGCAAGTTTCAGCTCAGAGAGGTGAGCAGAGCAGCCTGGCCAGCCATGAGGACCTGTAGCAGAGCCGCAGCCCAATTCCGATGCCCAGCGCCTTCCCGGGAGCCTGGCTGCAGACAGGGATGGACGGGGGATCAGTGCAGCCTGTCACTCACCTCCCTGTCCCCTGCCTCTCTTACCAGAGCTCAGCGCCAATGCTGGGGGACTGCTCCAGAGAGCATGTGAGCTGGGCTCGTGCCGGGAAAAACAAGAGGCAGGGAGAGCACGCAAATGCATGACACAAAGACGCCCGACGCCAAGAGGGAGGAAAGGGAGCAGAGGAGACAGAGACACGGCGAGAACGAAGGCACCGCGAAAGAAAAGCTGGGAACAAAGACCTCTAATATTACTAGCTAAAAACCCATTTCACTATAAACGTTAATTCATCTACTAAATGTCAAGTGCTGTTGGCTGGAGCTGCAGTTTCTATACCTCTCCTTGTTATTAATACGTACTTAGCGGCAGTGGGAATTAGAAGCTCCGTAATAATACCCTTCCCAAAACACTTCAGATGAAAATTTCTGTTTGAAATTTAAGGAGAATTCTATTATGGCTGCAGCACGTTATATAAAAGGCCGATGTCAGGAGCGAAGGCCTTCGTGGGTGCCCTCTGATGGCTGATATGCTTGCGCCAGGACGGAAGCCCATGGATCTGGCCATCAGTGGCCAGAGGCAGAGGAACACTCGGGCCGGCGTGGCCTGCATGTGGAAACTCCTCCATTCGGCCAACTTCCGAGCCCTCCCGCCAGCCTCCTTCGCACTCCTTCTCCCTGCTCGGTCGGGGAGCAACCACAAGGGTGTCTGGGGACCCACTCCCCTCCTGCAGGTGGGCACGGCATGTGCCTAGGCCATTGCCCCACCCCCAAACCACCTCAGTGATAGGAGTGGGAGCTTGGAGTGTGAAAATAAAGTCAGCCTTTAGACAGAACTGTTCGTCTTCCCCGAGGACTGCAGGCCTTCCCCTGTGGTTTTTGTTATTTCCTTCGGAGACTGCAAAGGACAGTGACATAATTAAGTCTATTGTCCTTCATGCATCTGTGGAGGCCGCCACCGTGGCTCCCGGTGAAAACCATACTGACCCCCAACCAGCCCCCCTGCACTGTTCCCCCTCCCATTCAGGGCAGGTCTGCTGCACCAAGGACCTTCCAAAGCCTCCATCTGACCCCTGGACACCCAGCAGCAAACCCCCTTATCCACCCACTCCGGCAAATTCCTTTGCCAGGAGCCCAAGCCCCTGCAGATGCTGGCCCACACTGCCCTTTCCCACCTCACATCTCATTCAGCCAAGGCCTTTCACCCTCTGCACTCTGGCCAGACTGGGCTTCTCAATGTGAGTGCCTCCTTATTCCTTAGGGCCTTTGCACGTGCTGCTGCCTGGAACCTTCTTACCTCCTCCTCTGCCTGTTCGACTCCTGCTCCATCCTTCAAGCAGGCCCTCCTCTGAAAAGCCTCTGCTGGCCTCCCACCTCTCCCCAGCCTGGCTCCGTACCTCCAGCCACCATGGACACAGCTCCACACCATCTCTGTGGTAACATCTGCATGAGTGGTGCCTGGTTCTGAGCCAATCCCTTCCAGCAATCTAGAAGGTCCTTAGGGCAGGGTTTGGGCCTGATTCATCTCTGTGTTGCCAGCACGTGACACAGGGCTGCCACATAGTAAGGGCTCAACAAAAGTTTGTTGAATAAATGAAATGTCCTGAACTAGACCTGATGCCTCTTGCTGAGCAGTTCAAGGCCAATGGAGGAATGTGGCAGGTGGGGATGCACCAGCCTGGTGAGGCTGGACTACATTTCCCAGAATTCTGCTCTCTGGAGGTGTCCAGTCAGGATGAGGCCCAAGATACATCCTCATATGGATTTGAAGGGTGGCGGTGAAGTGGCAGCTGCTTTTATGTCCACGCTCAGCCGTCCGGGACAGGCCTTTCTGCAGGCCACATGTGCTGCCTATCTGCAGGCCGGCTTCCCTGAGGTGGGCAGCACTAAGGCCTGCACCTGCTCCACCTCCCACAGGGTGCTCCTGCAGCTCTTTCATTCCTGGGCCAGGCATGTGTTGAGCTCCAAGCTGAAAGGCGTCTGCTTCTTCTCTGGGCAGGACACCCTGAAGAACATCATCAGGAATGGTGGCAGCACAAGCCAACACAGATTCCTGTCTGTCCTCCTCCGTTTCAGCTCTGTGTGTGCTTCTGGCTGACTCCTGACCCCCCACTTCCCACTCTTCTGCCCAACTACCTGCTTTGCAAACTTGAAGCTCCAGCATCAGACACCAAAGCAACAGATTTACAGGGACTGCTCCAGCAGCCCCGCAGCTATGAGGTTGCGGTCAAAACCCAGGTGTAGATCCCTTTCTGTCTGTACTCACATGTACCTTCTAGTGGTTCTGCTTCTTTGACCCAACCCTGACTGATACAAGAAGACACGCCCCCAGCTGGCTAACCTCCTGGACTCAAACATAACAAGTGCTCTGAGTTGTGGATGCTGACACATCATGGAGCAGGGGAGCAAGGGGAAGCTACCGAGGGGTGACGCTTGAGCCAGCCTGGACGAGCCTGCCAGGCGGAGGGGAGGAGGGTGGCCCAGGGTGAGGGTGCAGACCCAAGTGAGGTTCAGCAGTCCCACCAGGCTCCATCAGGAGCCAGCGCCCCCCCCCCCCCACAGTAAAGGAGCACACCCGAGGATCTGCCGCTCCCGCCACAGGCCCGAGGGGTTGTTCAAACCCAGACCAGGTCTGTTCAGCCTTGACGCCTCCCCATAAGCCCTATCACGGAGGATGAAGACCAACCAAGGGAGCAAATGGTCTGAGCCAAAGAGAAAGTCAGAAGGGCGGGTATGGGCATTTTCTATGGAGAAAAGGGTGGCAGAGGAGGAGTTTGGCCCATCTAAGAATAGAGTGCAGCTCTGCTCCACTCCCCAGGAGAACCCAGGGAAGTGGCAAGCCCAACAGCAACCTGGCTGTGGCTGCAGGAGGGCCTGGGGAGGCCACCAACAGCTCTCAAGTGCTCCCGGGACTCTCTGCTGGCCCGAAAGTGACTGGGAGAGGATTTCTCTTGGAAGGCAAGGAACATGGTCAAACCACATAAGAGAAAAGGAGGTGTCAGCAGTGTCAACGTGGACAGACGATGGCTACAGGTGGACATGCCTAGCCCTGCTACAAGCTCCTTAGCATGCAGGCTCATCTCCAGGGAGGGAGGTGACCCCAAATTGACGGGGTTAAGTTTCTGTCGTTTGGAATTTAGTTCAGTCATAAAACCTCCAAGGAGGTCCCTGGCACACCCCCAGGTAGTGGCCTGGGATTTGCATAAGAGACAGGTCTCCAAGTTCATATATCAAAATGCCCCCCGTGAGTTCCCTGGCATTAGAAATGTGGCCACTTCTGGAGGGGCCGACAGCCACGGGGGAAGGATTTCCAGCAACAGTGGAAAAAGCCAAGGCAAGAATTAAAACTAACCAGCAAATCCAATTGGAAACAGCAGGGGAATTTGCTGTGAAAGTTGGTTTCAAGCACACCCCGTCCGTAATTACTCATTTTGAAAGTGTCACGATTTCTCCTGCCAAAATTATGGCTTCCCATCACTTGTTAAACCCCTTTCACACCACTCTTTCTTCACTCTGCAAAAATGGATTTCACTCAAAAAAGAAATTAGAAAAATAATTGATGTAATAACCATAACCTTGAAAATACTTCTGCCAGAATTTCAGAGCAGAAGGGAAAGAAGGCCCAAAATAAAGGCATCTCTCTGGAAATCAGAAACCCAAATTAGTTCTACACCCTGGCTGCACCCACTTCTCCGCCAACTCCCTGCAGGTGAACAGGAGTGAGCTCTGTTCCCACCCCCAAAGAGACAGGACCTGACACTGCCTCTGCATGCACAGAGCTCAGACCTTGGATGCCACAGCCAGAAAGGAAAGGCCAGCTGGCCCTCCCCCCACCCCCTGTTTTTTCAGAAGGGGAAATTTAGGCTCACAGATATGCCAGCTCTCTTTCCAGGTATATTGTAGGATTGCATGTCCCCACCTCCTTTGAACTAATTGTGACCGTGTAGCTTTCCTGGACCAAGGAAATCTGAGTGGAAGTAAAGTGTGTCACTTCTGGGTGGAAGCTCTCGAAGCCATGTACTCATGTACAATTCTCATATTCCCTTTTTGCTGCCTCAGTGATGGTGAAGGCCCAATTGGGGCGATTCTGCCTAGCCAGGGTTTCTGAGTATCTATGGCAGAGCCCTCCTGCTGACCAGTGTCAGACATGCAGCAAAAGCAAAAATAAAAAAAACGAACAACCACATCAAAGAGTGGGCAAAGAATATGAACAGACACTTCTCAAAAGAAGACATTTATGCGGCCAAGAAACACATGAAAAACAGCTCATCATCAATGGTCATTAGAGAAATGCAAATCAAAACGACAGAGAGATACCATCTCACTCCAGTCAGAATGGCAATTATTAAAAAGTCAAGAAACAATAGATGCTGGCGAGGCTGTGGAGAAATAGGAACGCTTTTACACTGTTGGTGGGAATGTAAATTAGTTCAACCATTGTGGAAGACCGTATGGTGATTCCTCAAAAATCTAGAACAAGAAATATCATTTGACCCAACAATCCCATTACTGGATATATACCCAAAGGATTATAAATCATTCTACTGTAAAGACACATGCACACATATGTTTATTGCAGCACTATTTACAGTAGCAAAGACATGGAACCAACCCAAATGCCCATCAATGATAGACGGGATAAAGAAAATGTGGTACATAAACACCATGGAATACTATGCAGCCATAAAAAGGAGTGAGATCATGTCCTTTGCAGGGACGTGGATGAAGCTGGAAGCCATCATCCTCAGAAAACTAACACAAGAACAGAAAACCAAACACCACATGTTCGCGCTTATAAGTGGGAGTTGAGCAATGAGAACACAGACACACAGAGGGGAACAACACACACCAGGGCCGGTTGAGGGGTAGGGGGTGAGGGGAGGGAACTTAGAGGACAGGTCAATAGTTGCAGCAAACCACCATGGCACACATATACCCATGTAACAAACCTGCACATTCTGCACATGTCCCAGAACTTAAAGTAAAAGAAAAAGAAAAGAAGAAACTAAGCTTATGTAGTGTTTAAGCCATGAACTGTGGGAGATGTTTGTTACAGCAGCATAACCTATGTCAACCAGACAGTTACACATTTTTGTGGTGGTGGCAGCCGTGATTTGCTGCTCTGTTTTTCCTCAGTAAGGTCTATAATGTCGGGATTCGTGTTTTGTCCTGGCTACCAAGTCCACCCAATGCCTAGCACACAGTGGGGCTCAGAAGATGTTTGCTGAATGAATGAATGAATGAACAGGCTCAATGGAGAATGAGTCAAAAATAAGATGGTCTGCTGACAGGCATTTCCTGAACTGGAGAGACGGGCTTGACACGTGCAGATCATGACACCCCATGCTTTAGGGATGGAGGACCACGGTGTGTGGGTTTTTAAGTCTATCCAAAAATCCTATCCAAGTAACTAGTTATTACCTTTTAAAGGTAAGGCAGGGAGGGCGCTGTGGCTCATGCCTTTAATCCCAGCACTTTGGGAAGTCGAAGCAGGCAGATCACCTGAGGTGAAGGGTTTGAGACCAGTCTGGCCAACATGGTGAAATCCCGTCTCCGCTAAAAATACAAAAATGAGTCGGGTGTGATGGTGACACGTGCCTGTAATTCCAGCTACCTGGGAGGCTGAGGCAGGAGAACCGCTTGAACCGGTGAGGCAGAGGTTGCAGGTTGCATTGAGCCAAGATTGTGCCAGTGGGTGACAGAGTGAGACTCTGTCTCAAAAAAAAAAAAGGTAAGGCAAAGAGATCCGTCATGCTTGGGTGAATTGCGTAAGGCCACACAGCTAGCAAATAAGCAGCCAGTCTGACTCCAGAGCCAGAAGTGGTCCTCTGCTTGGCTGGACACTCACAGCCCCAGCACAGGAGCCCCAGGAGGAAGTCCACACTCTCATTGTTCACCGGCTGCTTCTGTTAAACTTACACAGGTGAAAGCTCAACGATGCAGTGAGCAAACACATGTCAAATGTCAATCTACTGTCAGTCTTCAGATGCCTTTTGGAGAATGTGGAACTCACAGAAGTCAGGAAGCCTGCAGAGTCAGAAAGAGTGCTGGGTGGTTATTAGGAGTCCTGCATTCGAGCCCTGGTATCACAGCTGTGTCATCACTTACCTGTGCCTTGGTTTCCCCTATTGCTATAGCAGACAGGCTGGACAAAATCACCCCTAGGATCCATTCCAGCTCTAGAGTTCTACAGTTCCTGTGAACATGCCTCCGGCTGATGCAGGAAAGAAAGTCAAACCCTTTTAAGAAAATCACTAAAGCCCTGAAATTGCATGAACGCCTTTGAGATTGCTGAAAGAAAGGCATTTGCTAAATCCCCTCTATTATTTCCTAAGGATATTTTTTATTATTATTATTTACCAAAGGAATTTCTGGACAGAGTTTAAGTGCCCCAGAGCCTACAAAATAATCATCTCTTCGACACACAACAAAAGGGTCTGAATATTCTTGGCTGATGACTTTTTCTTTGAAACACATTCTCCATGGAACAAAGGGGTTTTTTTTCTTTTTTTTCCCCAATCTCTCAGAGTTTAAGTAAAACACACACAGATACACACAAACCTCTTCATGATCACCAACCCAGAAAACTTTAAAAGTTGGCCAGATGGCCTAAGAACACATTCAAAATACTACCGATTCTCCTCCAGGTCATGCCCAGCACCATTCACTATTGGGGGAGTTGGTTATCAGGAACAAGACAAAAATGATCTCTATTTATTGAGAGCAAGGAGCCAGGCTTTGTGCCAAAACTTTTATGTGCATTATCTCATTTAAACTTCTGCATAACCCAGGGAGGAAGACGGGAAAACACAGACTAAGAGAAGTTTAGTCTAGGATCTCACAGGTGGTAGGAGCTGGTGTTGGGATCCAGTCTTGGGTCTCATCAACTCTGCAGTTCATGCTGTCTCCCACACTCCATCACATTTCATCCTCATGCCCAGCCTAGAATGCAAGATTAGAAGGCCCATTCTACAGACAAGGGAACCGAAGATGGGCCCCAGATAAAGCATTGGCCCACAGCTAATGCTTGTGAGTTGTGAGTTGGTCACTGAAGCCAGGGATCTAGTCCATCAGACCAGAAATCCTTTTGCCTGACTCCACACTATTTCCAGGCAATGCAGGCAATCAAGATGCATCCTCCCCTCATTTGGAGCTAACTTATGGGCCAATGTACTGCTAGTGCCAATTCCCAAAATTCTCAAGTGAATGAGAGAACAAGGAAATTATTTGCGGCACAAGTGAGCATGTGCAGTCAAAGGACAGATGACATATCCAGAGCCAGGGTGGAAATCTCTGCATTCGGTAGGCCCTGCAGTGATCCCTACTCCTGCCCAGGGATCTGGGCCCTGTCAGTAATTCCACTGCAGGCAGCTGTTTGCAAAGGTTAATAACTCGGACCATAAAAATTTGTGGCGAGTTGCAACTTGGCACCAGCTGCCTCAGAGTGCGAGAGAAGCTAGCGTTTGCAAAATATGGTTCAAATAATCCAGCCACCACCTCCCCCCTCGCAACCTTATTTTTCTTTAGTTTTAAGAGTGCAAGAAACATAGAAGTTCTGTGGTTTCACACTGATCTTTTTATGGTTCGAAAGACTCCAAAACAGAGTTGATTAAAAAAATGCCTGTGCATAATGCCGACCATTGTGTGGGCATTTTCAAGGAAGCATGTCATCCGGTGCGGGACGTCGGAGACTTGAATGTTCTTCTCGTTGGCTTAAAGAAAAGGTTTTGTTCTCAAACAAAAGAGACATCCTGACTCAACAACTGTTTGTGTCTTGACCTCTGCACCCAAACCCCAAATCTGTTCAGAAGAGGCAATTTGATACGAGAGAATGAGCAGGGACATTGGATCTAGCCAGGAAAACCTGAGGCCTGGCTCTGCCTCTTCCTGGCTCTAGGACCTTGGGGATCATGCTTCTCTGATTCTCACTTTCCTCATCTCTATAATGGGCACAGGAATTTCTACTTTGTAGGGTGGTTGAGAGATTTGCAAGAGATAAAGCATAAAATCAATTCACCACTTTGGAGAAAAAAAATTAAGAACTGACAAAGGACCAGGCATGGTTCTCAATGCTGGAAATCAACAATGAACAAGGCAGACCCAGCCCTTGTCCCAGTAGAGCCCACGTTCTTCCTGCTGGGGGAGCAGGCCATGAGTAAGTTAAGAAATAAATGAGATTATGTTAGATAACAATGTCTTGAAGAGCAAAGTAGTGACTGCAGGGAGGAGTTGTGCTACTTCAGCACCAGGAACCAGCAGAGGCCTCCCTGAGGAGCTGGCATTCAAACTGAGGCTGAATGAAATGAAGGAAGTAGACATGTAAAAGTGGCTGGGCGAAAAGTGATCCAGACAGGAGGATTAGCAAGTGCAAAGGCCCTGGAGTGGAACTGGCAAAAGCCCTGGAGTGGAACTGCGAGGGCCAGGACAGGGCATGTGGAAGCACCAGGAGGTGGAAGAGGTGACACTACAGAGAGATGCAGGGGCATATCGGGTGAGGCCTTAAAAAGCATGATGAGGGGCTGCATTGGGCTTTATTCTAGGCCCAACAGGAAGATACTGATGGGTTTGCAGCTATGGAATTCCAGGGTCTAACCTGCGCTCTGATTCTGCTTGCTAGATGGGGAAAGGATAATAGCAAAATAAGTATAATAGAAAAACACAGATCAGTTAAGAGACTTTCTCAGTCCAGGCAAAAGATGATGGGCTGCTGTGGGAACAATGGAGCTGGAGAGAAGCATATTAACTTCAGGATACAGCTTGGAGGTGCGGCCATGGATGGATGGCAGCCAGAGAAGGAAAGAGAACCCAGGAACACGCAAACTTTAGAAGCTGGATAAAGGAGCATGGATACAGCGGCCAGTAAGGGAGTGGGAGAGAATAAGAGAGTGTGATGTCCTGGAAGCATTGAAAAGAAAGAGTTTCGAAAAGGAGCAAACAGGATCACAGAGAAGACTGATGACCATTGGATTGGCCAGTGGAGGTCACTTGGATGACTTAGATACATGAGAAAGCTGAGATGGCAAATACAGGCAGCTCTCTCACTCAGTCCAATAAATAGATGGTATTCCTAAATACCTTCTCTAGGAATGGATATTGAGCACCTCACACCATCTATTGATAGAGAACTTTACAGTTTACAGAGTGGTTTTATAGCAATTGTCTTATTTCTGGTGACTTATGAGGCTTCTATCATGATAATAAAGATATTCATAAAAATAATGTGGATGTTCAGATGCCCGGTCCATATGGTGGACTGAGCTGGCACAGACGGACTGTCCACTCTGCCCATCCCCAGCCCAAACAAATAAAAATATTGGATACAATACAACAAAAAACTCTTCAAATACAAAGCCAAGCTTAAAAGCAAGGAAAGAAAAATCTCCAAGAGCTCAAAGTGAAGATAAAACTCAAACTGGAGTAATTGATGGAAGCTGAAAATGAACACGTCACAGGATATTGGACTTGATTATAGGAACTGGAGACTAAGAGAGGAGATGAGACTTCAGGCTGAACTGAGGCAGAGATATGTCTCTGAGCCTCTGCACAAAACCAGGGACCAGAAAGCATTGCTCACCCATGAAACTATAAGCTAAAACATTACTCCAAATTGGTCCAGAACTGACAAAACACACAAGATCCTAGCAGAGGCAAATGTAAAACTACTCAGAAGTGATACCTCTAAAACTAGAAAACCAAGCTCTAGAGAAAGCTACTACCCCCACTGAAGATGAGCTCACAATAAAATATTATAATCCATCCAAACAAAAAAAAAAAAACAAAAAACAAAAAAACACCCTAAGGTATGGTACCATCAAAAGACGTAGCAAAGGAGAGAAGTTCACCTTAAGAACTAGAAATAAAAGACAATTTTGGGAAAAAAATCTTTAAAATAAGCATATTTAAAATCTTTGAAGAGAGACAGGAAGAAATACAAACCAAGAAATACATACAAGAACAAAATAGTATGTGAAAGAAAAGGCATATCTGAAGAGAACTAAAAGGAGATTCTAGAAATGAACAATGTAATAATTAAAATAGAAAAGTTCAAAAGGCAGGTTAAACAGAAGACTAGACACATAGAAGCAAAAATATTGAACTCTAACACAGACATTGGGAAATCACACAGGATACAGGAAAAAGAGAGATAAATAACTGGAAAATATGAGAGAATAATTTGAGTTCTGCATGACAAAAAGAGAAGCACCAATATATTAAGTGAAACTATCTTTATAGGTCAAAATGGTTGACTTTCAGCAATGTCATACAGCTCTACCTACTATGTCTAATATGAGTTGCAGAGAAGAAAACAAGAAAGAACGTGGGAGAGATAATTGAAGAGCTGAGAACTGACAATTTTTCAGAATTGGTAAAAAAAAAAACAAACCATGATGCCTCATATTGACTTGAGTAATATAAAATATAGTAAAACTATCAAATGTCAAGAACAAAGAGAAAAGCTTTAAAGTCACCAGAGAGAAAAGACAGGAAGGACTGAAAAACAGCAGACCTCTTGTCAGCACCCTTCAAGAATAAAGGCAGTGGTACAATCTGTGAAAGGCTTACAGAAGGTACTAGCAGCCCACTATTCCAGAGTGAGAACTGAAAAAGACATTTTCAGGCATACAATTTATCAGCCACAGATTTGCACTAAATAAAAGTACTATGAAAAGAAGGGAACCAAAGTCAGAAAGAGGTGTTCAACATCACCAGGCATCAGAGAAATTCAGTTCAAAACCACAGTGAGACATCCCCTGACACCTGTTAAAATGGCTATCGTCAAAAAGACAAGTGTTGGTGAGAGTATGGAGAAAAAGGAACACTTGCACACTGTTGGTGGGAATGTAAATGGGTACAGCCACCATGGAAAATAGGATGGAGGTTCTTCAAGAAACTCAGGATAGAACTACCATGAGATCTAGCAATTCTACTTCTGGGTATGTACCCAAAGGAGTATCTCGAAGAGATATCTGCACACCCCCATGTTTATTGTGGCATTATTCACAATAGCAATGATATAGAAACAACCTAAGTTTCTATATCATAACAGATAAACGAGTAAAGAAAATGTGATATACAGTGGAATATTATTCAGCCATTAAAAAGAAGGAAATCCTGCCATTTGCAACAACATGGATAAAACTGAAGGACATTATGCTACATGAAACAGGTCAGACACAGAAAGACAAATACTGTTTGACCTCATGTATGTGCAGGATCTAAAAAAGTCAAACTCATAGAAGCACAGAGTAGAACAGTGTTTACCAGGGCCTGGGAAATGAGGGAAATAGGGAGATGTTGGTCAAAGGGTACAATGTTAAGTTATAAAATGAACAAGTTCTGGGGATCTAATGTGTAGCATGGGTGTTGATGGATATGTTAACTAATTTGACTATGATAATGATTACATAATGTGTATATGTGTATCAAATCATGTATGCGAAGAAGCTTCAATATATTAAGTGAAACTATTTTTACAGGTCAAAAATTGTCGGCTCTCATCAATTTCATACAGTTCTCTCTACTATGTCTAATATGAGTTGCAGAGAGGAAAACAAGAAATAATGTGGGAGAGATATTTGAAGAGCTAAGAACTGACAATTTTTCAGAATTGAAGAAAAAACTGTGAGGCCTCATATTGACTTAAGTAATATAAAATATAGTGAAACTATCAAACATCAAGAGCAAAGAGAAAAACTTTGTACATACTGTACAATCTTTGATGACTAAGTACTTTACGAATTGTTTAAAAACCAGAAAGAAAGATGGGACTACAAGAAGCAATGTGAGACCATAAATTGGTAAATGTGTTATAAGGCTAAATAAGTATTAACTGCAGAAAAAAAAAGGATGACTAATGTAAGGGTTAAAATAAGGTAGAGCTAAAATATTAAACATCAATAATATTTTTTAAATGGAGGGAGAGTTCAGAATTAAAGAGCTGTGAGATAAATTGTTAGGGAAGAGGATAGAGATAGCTGTAGATTTTTGTTAATATTCACCTTAAAATTTGGGGTGGGAGGGCAACTGCTAAAAAAAAATATGTAGAATGTATTACTTCCAAACAAGTAGTTACAAAAAATAAAATCAACGCTGTAGACAGGGATTATCAACCATTTTCTGTAGAGGACCAGATAGTAAATATTTTCATCTTTGGTAGCCATACAGTCTCTGTGAAAAGTACTCAACTTCACCACTGTAGTGAAAATGCAGCCAAAGACAGAATGTAAAGGGCAATGTCTCAATAAAATGTTATTTACAAAAATAGATACGTGTCTGGATTTGGCCTACAGCCCATAGTTTGCTACCCTTTGCAACAGATGGCAAATAAAGGGACTGTAAAAAGTAATAAACAAAAGTATATATTTAGAAAACAAAAAATAAGTCCTAGAATCACAATAAATGTAAATGGATTAAAATCATCTATTAGAATATCCAAGTTGTAGAATGATATGGTATGATGTCATGTATATACAGGTTTAAAACACACGTACAATACCATTTGTTGTTTATAGATATGTTCATGTTTAGTAAAGCTACTGAAAGGGACACATACAATTTGAGAGCATAGTACCTTAGACAAAGCATGAGGAGAATAGATTTGGAGAGGGATACAAATGCCACAACAATCTGTCAAAGATTTTGTTTTCAAAGCAAACAAAAAAACCAAAGCCAATTTAGTGAAACAATAATATTTATTTATTCTACATAGTGTGTACATGGGTATTTGTTACAATACTCTATATTTTTCTTAGGTTTGAAAGCATTTTATTTTTTAATCACTTGCATCTCATTTACACTTTAACAATCATTAGGGGAGTTGTATTATAAACTTCATTTCTCCAGATGAAAAATGTGAGGTTCTAGAAGGGTTAAGAGGCTTGGAAAACTGAGACCATGATCTTAGAACTCAATTAAATGAGGTCTAGATACTGCAAGACACTTTGTGAGAACTTGAAGACATGTGTTTAGCAAACACTTACCCTCCGTAATCCCTGAGGCACCTACCTTTTGCCAGATACTCATTCTCTTCTCATTCTCTTCTAACTATATTCCTGTGTCAACCACTTCCTATCCCTCCTCTGCTCTCTGGAAATCTACGGTATGAAAATATAGCTTGAATCACACCCTACTCCAGCTCTTGAATACCAGCTGTAGGCCCAAGGATATAAAAATAAAAAGGATACTGCTCTCTCCAAGTGGTTTAATTTCCAACTCGACTATCCTCTACCTGGACAGGCATTAACTTCTTCTCTAAGCCTCCATTTCTTCATCTGTAAAATGGGAATTAGCATCCCTAACCTAAATGGTTCCCAGGATTTTTGTAAGAATAAAATGAAATTGCCTAGTAGATTACTATTCTGACAGAAAAAGTCCAAACTCCTGAGCATGCCACTCAGAGCTGCCTTGAATCTCACCCCTTCCCGCCTTTGAGTGTTTTCTCCTGTGACACTCACTCTACACCCACTCCCCAGTCATTCCATTTACTCCACCACTTCCAGGCATTAACTGGATTGATGTAAAAGTAATTGCGGCAGTTTTTGCCATTGAAAGTGATGGCAAAAACCACCGCAATTACTTTTGCTCCAACCTAATACCAGGATATTTCCTCTTTCTGCACTGCCTTCTTGCCCCAGCTCTTCATCATTAGTCAAAATTAAATTTTACCTGAAATAACGTGACTTTCAAGAAGCTTTCTCAACATCTTCAGTGATGAGTAGATGTCTCTTCCATCCAGCTTTCATAGTCTTCGCTTATGGATTACTATAAACATTCTTCCTTATATGCAAACTGTTTCAGTGACTAAATTATGAGTTCCTGGATGAAACAGCCTTCAGAGTGTCCAGCTTTGGTGCTCAATAAATGCCTCTGTGATTGACTGAACAAAGCTGTGGCCAACTGAGCTCCATTAGGTTGAGTAGGGTTGAACTGAGTAAGGTGAGTACCGTTGGGCGGTGTTGAATTGAGCCAAACTGGGCGGTGTTAAAGACAGCATGTTGGGCTAAGCTGAGCTGATGTGAGCTCTGAGCTGAGTTGAGCTGAGCCTGGCCAGCTAAGGTAACATGAGCTGAGGTCCACCGAGCTGAATTTAATTGTGCTAAATTGTGCTAGGCTCCACTGAGCTGAGTCAAGCTGCATTGATCTAACCCTGGAAACTGAAGATCTCACAACAGTTTGGGCTTCTTTAGATAGAAACACTCTGGCACCTACTCCCAATTATACACTGATAGTTCATCCACTAAGAATTAAACCACTTCGAGAGAAATACAAAGGCTGACTTCCACCAAGTACAAGGGCCTAGGGCGAGCTATGTTGCTCAGTGAATTGTGTACATTTTCTAGGCATGGGATCACAGAAACCAACTGGAATGAATTTCAGAATGTTTTGTGTAACTGCTGTCTTCTGCCTGGTTGCTGTATTCCTTAGGCAGAGCCCAATGGGGGAAAAGAATTTGCGGGAATAGCTCCCACCCAGGAGGGCTTGCAATGGCAAACTGCTCCCAAGGAGAGATCAAGGTTGAGTGCTGACGTACCAAAAAATAATAAATATCTGCTACATCTAATATCCCCCACAGTCAACAAAAACATCAAACAATTCCATCAGAAAAGAATTAGGTTTATAAGGCAGCATGTTGGAGTGAAGAAAAGATGGACTTTGAAGTCAGGGAAATCCTTGTGACTTGTTAGCTGTAGAAACTTAGATTATTTCATCTCTCTGGATTTTAGTTCCCCTGTGTATCAAATGAATAAAATAAAATTAAAACAAAAGCCACCTACCCCATAGAGTTGCAAAAAGAATTAAATAAAAGGGTCTTTATGAAGCTCCTCAAGTAGCACTTGACATATGGTAGATATTTAAACAGAACTGTCGCTCCCCTCTATAATGGTTTCATCTGCAACTGCTGTGGACATTCCTTTGAAACTGCTCATTGAGTCATCTGGGCTCTGTAGACTCACCCTGGTCATTCAGGGACTTACATTTGAAGAAAAGCAGTGAGTAGTTTCACACATACCTGGCCCTCCCTAGAACACGTTAGGCCAGTCACAGTCTCTCACCAGGCTCCATTTCCCAGTTGTTAAAGGACGGGTTATACTGGACGGCCTCTAAGAGCCCTTTCAGTTCTAACACTAGGGTCACCTGCTGATTTCCCCAGGCACCCAGGAAAGCAGAAGCCCTCAAGGCCCATCTTATGTACACATGGGCCCTGGCCACAGTAAAGAACGTGCATCATTAATAATGCTCATGCTAAGTGGGACGTTCTGGAAATGAAAAGGCTTATTTATGGGGGCCTGGAATGGGGAACCAACATTCTTGCTGTGGCCGCCCATCACACTGGCCCCTTTCAGCATCTGAAAGGGCCGCACACCTCCCACTCTGTGCATTTGCACCCACACCATCCTCTCTGCTGGAAGGTGCTTGCCTACCTTTCACCTAGTTAACACCTCATCTACTCTTCCACCAGGGCTTAGCTCAGTCTTGATTTTTTTCAGGGACTCCCCACCTGGCCTCCAAGATAAGTCAAATTCTCTGATTATACATTCTCATAACAGCGTGGATCTCTCTGCATCTGCCATGTATTGCCACAATAAGGCTGCGTAACAAAACCACCCTGAAACTTAACACAGCAACCATACATGGTTTCTGTTTGTCTGTAAGATGACTGAGCAGTTCTGTCAATTTGGGCCAGGCTTAGCTGATCTCAGCTGGACTGGCTCTTGCATGAACATTTCGCTGCTGAGTTGGCTTGGGGGTTGGCTGGTCTATGACACTTCAGCTGTTGCGGCTCTGCTGTACTCTCTGTGGTCTCTTTTCTGCAGCAGGCTTGCCTGGCCACATCCTCACGGGGTGGCAGTAGCCTGCAAGGCCTCTGGAGGCCTAGAATCAGAACTGGCACGGCATCACTTTCTCTGCACTCTATTGGACAAAGCAAGTCACAGATCATCCTGTATTCAAACGGTAGGGAAATAGCAGCCACCTCTTAATGGGAGGAACTGCAATGTCACTTTGCAAAGGGCTTGGATACAGGAAAGGGTGGGCAGGTAGAGCTGTTTCTGCAATCGATGTACCTCATTCCCCCTTTAAAGTACCTGTCAAGGTCATTTTCCCCTCTACATATGTGACTATTACATACATACCATTACATGTAAGTCCCAGGAAGGCTTGAACCAAGTCCTGGGGTATTTTTTTTCTCATCAGTCTATGCCAAGCATTCATTCATCAATTTACAGATGAACTACAAGGAAATGAGCATTGTGTTTAGTATTTCTTAAATATATTATCCCAACCTTCACCTTAACCTATTGAATAAACATTATGTTCCCTCCTTTACCTGTCGGTGCTTTGAGACTCAGAGAGAAAAGACAACTCCCCTAAAGTTAGAAACTGAGATCCAGCAAGATGGTTGTATTAGTCTGTTTTCACACTGCTGATAAAGATATATCCGAGACGGGGAAGAAAAAGAGGTTTAATTGGACTTACAGTTCCAATGGCTGGGAAGGCCTCAGAATCATGGCAGGAGGTGAAAGGTACTTCTTACATGGTGGTGGCAAGAGAAAATGAGGAAGATGCAAAGCAGAAACACCTGATAAAACCATCAGATCTCACGGACTTATTTACTAACATGAGAACAGTATGGAGGAAACCGCCCATCATTCAAATTATCTTCCATCAGGTCCCTCCCACAACATGTGGGAATTATGGGAGTACAATTCAAGATGAGATTTGGATGAGGACACAGAGCCAAATCATCAATGGTGTAGTAGTCACGAGTACACAGTATACCAATATTCCGAGCTCTTCTCTGAGAACATAATAGGAGTTTTTCTGGTGCCTTGAAGTTAAGTGGACGATGTAACAGGCTTTGGCAAATGAAATGTAAGCAATAGTAATGTGTGTCACTCTCCAGCGGAACCTTTATGAGCCAGTGTGCAACTTACCCTGTAATGGCAATAGATGACATTCCAGGTGACAGTTGCTCTGTTGACCTGAGTCCCTGAGTGAGGGCAACACAGCCAAGCCCCCAGTTGATTTAATATGCATAAGATGTAAGTCTATGTTGGATTAAGCCATCAAGATATTGGAATTATTTATTACTGCAGCATAACCCAGCCTAACCTGACTGACACAAATGCCAACAGCCATCCATGGACCCCAGATCACCAGCTCTGTTCCCAGCCTATGACATCAACAGAAATGCATATCCCTGAGTCTGCACAGTCCAGCGAGTAAGAGAGACTCTCATGGAAGCCCCTGCCTTATTTCCTGCCCCAGCCCCATGCTGACCAAGGGGATGGACAAGGGACTGGGAGAGTTCAGATGGAGGAAAGAAAAGACCCTGGGACATGGCCACATGTGGGGCCCTTCCCCTGGGGCCTTCACACAGACCACAGCAAGGAACTTCTAATAGCAGGTTGTAGTTGGCATACTCTACTAGCCACTTGGCTTGGAAAATAAATCAACAGCTTCTGTTGCCAGAAAAGCCACAGCTGCCAAACCCTCTTTGAGGTTCGGGGCCCTTACATGCTTGATGCTTCCAGCCATTGGGAACCAATGTGCATTTCCAGAGGGAGGGTCCACAGGAAGCCACTGGTAAAACCCAGGGCTGTGATTGGCTGACACAAGGCCTCAGATTATCCGGCCAAAGTCCAAGTCTCTGGTCAGACCCTCAGACCCATCTTCAGCATGCCGCATTGCCCTCCACTGGTCCCAGCAGCCTTGAACCTGGGCTCAGGTGGGCGAGGCAGAAAGAGGACTCTGGCAGATAAAGCAAACTGCTTTGGCTCCACTCGCCTGTGCACTCCCCTCCCTAAGCCTTATTATGATTTTTTAAGTGGGATGACATAGACCATAGAATTGGAAGCTGGCACGTATTTCCTGACATCAAGACCTTACAACTCTCCCCAAGTTCCTACCATGACCCTAGCGCAGGGCACAGCTGTTTTCATGCATTGTGCCATTCTATCGTTTAATGTCTGGGTGGAGATTTTTATTGTTCCTGTTTCATAAACACTGAAGCTCGGAGAGGCTCACTGTGAGCATGGGGTTAGAAGTAGTAGGATAAGACCCAGAACTCCAGAGTATGGGAGCCTCACTGGCACAGGAGGCTGCAGAGAGAAGCCAATGGGCACATGGTGGGGACAGGCCCCTGACCTCACTCTTGCCCTTGACCTTGATTTTTCTTTTTTTTTTTCCAGCAACAAGGGTCACCCCAACACCCAGGCCTCTCACCAGGCCTGCCAAAGGTGTTTGGGCAGCCTCCAAACACCTTGCATTCACAGGCAAACCAGAAGCGCAGGCTCCAAGATGGTGGGACCCCAAAGCTGACACACCCAGGCCTGTTAGGGAAGAAACATGAAAATGCATCAAGCGGGGTGGGAATGGATGTTCATGATTCCACCAAATGTCTGATAGTGGGAACATCACCCACGACAAGTATGTATCAACACCAACAGAGACAAAGGAAGCATTTTGCGACACTGTGCGCTCAGGCCTGGAGATGTCAGCTTCGGGGGTGGATTATAAAATAGCCCAGCAGCCTTTCCTGGGAGGCTGAGAGGCCCCTGCTGAAAAGCTGCTCTGAGCACGGGTCTCACTCTCAGCCTCTGCTCAAGCGCTTGCTCCATCTTCCTTTTAACCAATCATTCGTACAGCCCTTCACAAGTCAGCTCATATAAATCCCAGTCTACAGATGAAGAAACTGAGGTTCAGGGAGGTGACATGACCTGGCTCACACAATAAGTGGTGAAGCCAGGACTTGGCCCATGTCAGTCTGGCTGCAAACTCACACTCCTAACCCTGACCATCCTTGACTGTTGCCATGAGGCCTAGGCTCAGAAACAGGCAACGTGCTGGTGCGGGAATCAATTCCGGCTGGGACAGGCTTGTTCAACTGGGCTCCATGGAGCTGTGGCCTCTGGGCCACATATGTGCTGTGAGACCTTGAGGTAGACATTCACCTTGGTAACCCTTAGTTCCAACATCAATAAAAGTAGACTTGTGGGCTCCCCTGGGAGAGTCAGGTGGGGCTGTGGTGGTGAGGTTCCCTGCAGCTGGTAGGGAATCCAGGACTTCAGATTGCCCCTCTGAGACAGGGGCAATGTTAAGCCCTCCACCCACATGAGCTCCTGTTTCTTGTCTTGAGGATGGTGATTCTTATTCTCACCCACACGTCAGCAAACCCATTCTGAGGTGTCTCCAGGAGAGTAGAGCTACCTTCTAAGGACAAACCATTTTCCAGAAATTGTTATTTGCTCTAAATCCCAGAAACTAAGGCAGGCACTGCATGACGCGTGCTTATTAAACTCACCACGTGTGATCTCCTCAACTGCCAAAGACAATTCGAAGTGTCACACTCGTACACTCATACCCTAGGATGTCCAGCAAAATTTAGCATGCCAGCCAGAATGCAGACTTCTGGGAAGAGGAGGCCTGTCCTATTCCCCTCCTTATCCCCAGGGTCTGAGAAAGTCCTGGCATAGAGTAGGTGCTCAACAATTCTAAAATGAATGAATGAATGGACTAAGAATACTAATAGACATTTGCTTAAAACATTATCATTTACATGGCACATTTACAGCTATTGTCTTGTTCAATCTTGATTAGAGGTAGTCGACCTCATGCCACTTTGCAGATGAAGAAATGGAAATGGAAGCTGTGGGAGGGAGGAGCAGGAACTGCTTCACTTTAACGGCAAATCAAATCTCTGCTTATTGGATTCCTTTTCATCCATCGAGGCTTAGATTTCACACCAGCTCCTCTGTGAAGCCTTCCCAGTCTTCCCTGTAACTGGTATTTTCCTTCTCTGACCTCCCAGATTTCTTTACCCAACATCTATTATTTTTTTTCACACTCTGGCTGCTATTAGGATTGGTCAAGGACATGCCCATCTCCTCCTTAATGGCTGTGTCTTGTACTTCTCATGTCCCCACACACAATAGGTCCTCAACCAATGCATGCCAACTTAAAGATGTCCTTGACAAGCTGCTTGTGGCTAACATGTCAGGGCTGGAAAGGACTTTAAAGATCAGCTGTCATCCTCTCATTTAATAGAGGCTTACCTGTGTTACCCAGAGAGTTGGCCTGTCTCCTGACTTCTAACTTAAGGCCCTTCCCAATGAGCAGACTCTAACTAACACCAAGACTGACTCTCCCATGCCAACTCCAATGGACTGGTGATGGTTGCTCCTGGCTCAAGTGAAAAGAGAGTGCCATGATCAATTAGTAATATCTGCCACTGATACAGAAGTGGTATGTGATAGAGGGCTGTCAGCTGACCCCGGCCCTAGGTCATGCAATAGCTATCAATTAGAATTAATGTTTATTGATGGATTCTGCAACTAGGATGGAATGCGAAAGTGACCCACTCCATATCCTATTGTTAAATTTCTCTTACCCAGCCTTCTCTCCTTCTCCACCTTTGTCTCTCCAATTAGGTTGGGTGTTCCTCCTTAGCCAAGGATGAGTCTGGTTCATTTCTGGACTCTCACTGCCAGCATACAACACAAGGTCCTCGGTGAGTGTTTATGGGGGGAAGGTTAATGTAATTAAACTTGGTTCAACAATGATGGGTCCATAAGATGAATGGGTGGACGCGCAAATGGACAACAGAATCTCAGCTGACACCCCCCAAATGTCTGCATCAGCCTCGCTGCATCAGCCTCACTGAGAAGTGAAGAGGACAGAGCCTGGCCCCTTAGAGTTCCTGGATATGGGACTCTCACCAGCCACTTTATGCATAAGCTCACATTTCAGGGGTGTAGAAAAAGCGTTCCCATCTTTCCAGCTGCGGGTTGGCACATTAGCAAAATATCCACAAAATATAGGTTTGGGGAAATCATTTTATAAAATGGAATAAACCATTATCCAAAAGAAAATTGCCCAATCATTAAAGGGATTTTTTTTTAACCATTCAAATACCCACGGTCTTTATTCCCAATCGCCCTGTTCCTGCTGTGTTATAGACGGAGGAAAATGTGAATTTATTTGTGTCTTCCAATATGCCTATTCTCTGTATGAGGCATCCATGCCAACTATGTGTGAAGAGATATAAATATTCCAATTCAGTTATAAAAGGATGTAGATTTGGAATTCTGAACCTCTTGATTTAAATTGTTTCCAAAATCTTTCTCCATGTGGTGATTTGTTCTAGGTATTTAATAAGCAGACAAGTCTATAAAAAGACAGAAGGTATATTGTTTTTTATTAAAGATGACCCTGCAGTCTCAATCCCTTTGAAATATATTCTTTTTCTCCCTTTCCTGGAAGATTGGAAACCTTTAGGTTTTTATAAGCAAGAAAGGGAAAAATGAAGTGCATAAATTATAAACAAACAAATCCACACAAAATGAAATATTTTTAATGAAGTCTAAGTTACAGTTCTAGAAGGTACTAAACATGCCTTTCGCAGCTCCATTCATTCATGCATCTGAGAACCACAGAAAGAGCCTAGTGTCTCCTCCTGGAATACAGACCCTCGTGTTAGTTGGAAGGGATGCTTATGAGGATCAGAACTGGATGCTGTGGAGATCCCAGCCCAGGCAATTGGTTCAAGCCTCCTTTGGGGAGGTTCATGCTCCTGTGTTCCCTTCTAGCGTCTTCCATCAGGCATTCATTCCTTATTCCAAATCATATGCAAAGCACCTAGTTGGTGCAAGGCAATGGGCTGGGCTGTGGGGATCCCAAAATAGATGTGATCAATTCTTGCCCTGGAGATACTGACAGCCAACAGCAGATGCCTCCAACTCCACTGAGTAGAATACAAGCACCCAGTGGCATGTTGGAGTCACCTGTGGGAGCTTTGGGGGTCTGGGGCCCTGGGAAACACACACATACAGTCTTCTTACTCAGAGGCCTTCAAAGATTTTTTTATATGCCTGATTGTGATTTTTTTAATTTTTTTTTTCATAGATTCAGTGCCTACCATGTGGTAGGCATGGTGTTGGGTGTGCCTCGGCTGTTTGCTCATAGACTCAGGGGACTAAGGCTCAAAGACATGAGTAAACTCCTCAAGACACAGAACACATACGTGGCTGACCAGGCTCCAGCGCAGCGCTTCAGGCTCCAAACCCAGGGATGGTCTCTTTCCCATACCACAGAATGCATGAGAGGATGAATCTTGAGGATCTTTAAATGCCTGCTGACTTCCAGGCTTCAGATGAATAAACACATGTGCAGAGCGTGTGTCGGAGAGGATGCAGGAACTGGCTAAGCGAGCCGATCACTTTACTTGCAAGATAGGAACCTAGGGTCCAGGGAGGGGAACTGACCTACCCAGGGCACCCAGCACAGAGCTAAGCCTGGAATCCAGGTCTTCTGTCTCCCAGGACACCATGCACAGCTCCACGCCACCTGTATGTCCTCCCTTCCCACGCCTCCCTCATCCTCCGCATGACACGTGGATACCAAGTCAAAAACCATCCTAATGAAGTTGCTGTAAATATTTTCCACTCAGTTTGCAGGTTAGCAAGATTTTTTTTCTGCCTCGCAGTTTTAGACAATTTACGCTTCCATTCTCAAAACAGATTTTTATCCTAATAAAGGCTTTTATTACTATTATTCACCTGTCATTACACAGCATTAGACAATTACAGAGCGCAGACTGACTCTCCCACCACGAACCTTCCCCTCCGCTCTCAGTGGGGGGAGGGGGTGCACACAAACAGAACATTTCACTAAAAAATAGAGAGAAATCTTTAATTTTTAAGCGCTGCCAAGCCTGCTACCTACGCTTTTTAAAACTTTGTTGTGAAAAGTCACTGGCGTGAGCGAGAGGGAGATAATAAAGAAGTGTGGGCTAGAAACCATCTCCAGCCCCATTTTGATTGCCAGACGATTGACAAAATAATTTGTACCCGTCGATGCTCATGAAGGGAATTTTTACAATGGATTTGCCAAGCAGATTTTTAATTTTAATCAGTAATGAAAAAATGACAACATGGATCACAACAAGACATCAGTTGCTGAACGGGCTTTGCAGTCCCTGTCAGGCAGCCTCTGTCAGGAAGCCGCACCTCCGTGAGCATCAATCACTCGTTTCAAACTCCTGTACATCTTCAGGATTTAATTAGACATTTAAGTTCTTTACCCGCAATTTGCAAAACTGTCACTTACCAAAAGTGCAAGACGCTAAAAAATATTCCGCGTGAGTCCTGTGGGACTGTTTATCTCCTTCCTGGGAGAGGATTAGAAGTTAATATTTGGACACACACCCTCCGACCAAAAAATATTATATATATTATATATATATATATATATATATACACACATATATACATCCTCACTCAGCTACTATGCCTGACCCACAGCTACAGATATTTTCAAAGAGCAAAAAAGTAAAAGATCAATGATTGTGGTGAAAACCAACCCCAAACTCTCCGTGGAAGGACAAGAGGAAGAGAGTGGGTGAGACGGAGGTTTATTCTTTTTGTCAAGAACTTATTCTAAGACGGTCTTGATCTTACTGACTTGCTGTGGTCTGGAAAGCAGAACTTTAGAGAAATGTTGACGGACATGACCTTGAGCCAATTGGCTTTGCCTCTCCCAGCCTTCATTTCCTACCAACCTAGAAAATAAGTAAATAAGTAACCATCTCTTATTAATGAATTGCAACAATGCATATAAAGTCCCTGCGGAGTACGTCAATACAGGTTAACACCTTGCTTAAGAGGCACTGCCTCTCCATCAGCAAGCTGCAGAGAATCAGGAAACATCCCACCCATCTGAAGAGGGAGGCGGATGGACACTGGGAATGCCACAGGGACATGAGATCGAGGGACAGGTCAGCATCTCAGCCTACTGTGGCAGGAACCAGGCTGCTGCCAGCCAGCTCTGCTAGCTGGCCCTGTGACCACCTGTCCCAGAATCGCCAGCCAGCAGCTGTGACCAAAGGCAACCACGACATATAGTGTATTTTGCTGTCTGGGGCTTTCACCTTCCACCTTCAAAAGCCCCTGAAGCTGTGTTTGCTTTGAAATCGTTGGGGCTTGGAGCTTTGGGCCTTTTGTTCTGTTTGGTTTTCTGGTCAAGATTGAAGGGACATATTCTTGGTTTAATTTTTCAGGGCTGGGAAAGTGGGTTGGAGGATGAATCTTCCAAGGTTTGCCTGGACTCTTGGCTCAGTTGCGTCACTCCCAAACCAGAGCAGGAAATAAATAAGGCCTTCTCCTTTAAGAGAACCTTGGCTTCCCAAGGCACATTATTGAAATGAGTATAAAAGGTGGATTGTGAAAAAGTCATTACTCACAGATAAGAAATGCACTCCAGGCGAAGCTGAGGAGCACAGACTTATTTTCTAGCTGAAGTTTCTTTCAAGTGATCTTCACTCTCCACCCCTAAAAGTGGTGGGATGGGTATGAAGGGGCTTAGAAAGGTTGTTTTCACCTTTCATGCAAGTCCAGGATGGTGAATGGCCGAACTGCAAGCCTTAAGCCAATTTACTAGTCAACATGGACAAAATGGACTTTGTAAACCCGCCCCTACCAGGATTACCTGTTCCCACAGGGTAAATCCCCACTGCTCTGCTGCAGGAGACAGACAAACGCTGTCTGCTTATCCCATTAGCCTTTCTTCATCTTTGCATCCAAATAACCTCCGGGCCTTTCCCGGAAGGACATAACCTGTCCTGTCTGTACTGCAGACTCACAGAGCCCAAAATCCCATGATGCAAGAGTCAGCAGGAACTGAGGCTTGGCAAGTCTGGGGCTGGGACTCTGAGGCCAGGATTCGGGCGCTAAACCACTGTGTGACACTAGGAAGCCATCGCCCCTCTCCCAGACTCAGCTCCCCAGCCTGAAACCCAAAGGAGCTGGCTGCGACGACCACTAAAACGCCTTCAACCCACTCTATGAAATCATGACCTTGGGTGAAAAAATGTTAATGTAGAGAAAAGCAAAATGAAATAAACACAGGTTTTAGAATCAGCAGACCTAGGTTCAAATCCCAACCCTGCCACAAGTTTCTGCATGCGTTTGCGTGTGTGTGTGTATGTGTGTGTGTATTTGTATAGCAATCGTTCTGCACCCACTGCACCCATAGGGTCACCTCCTCCAAGAAGACCTCCCTGATGCCTCTTTCCCTAGGCTGGGGGATAAAGGAGGTAGGGCCTCTAGGGAGTGCTTGACTCACAAGTCCCCGCCCCCACCTGGTTGTTCTGCCAAGGCTCCATCCTGGGCAAGGCTGGTTCCAGTTTGGGGGCACTTTTCATTTCACATTTCTGGGTGAGCCTTTCCTGGCTCTATGGCCTCTATCACTTTCGCCTCTATCCACCTACGCCTGTGACTCCCTTTAGAGGACAGGCCTGGGCTACCTGAGCTACCCTAGCTGCATTCAGAGAGCCCAAGCGCCCCCAAGTTTAAGAGCCCTGGTGAGGCCCTGGGGCCACCAGCTCCTTGCCTAAACTCGGGACAAGCTCTGAGGCACAATTTACAATTTATACCCCCAGAGCTCCCCCAGGAGATCAGGCTGAGACTGGAAGTGTCCCTGAAATCTCACCCTCTGTGGCTGAGTCCCCTGACCTCTTCTTCACCCCCTACCTCCACCCCTTACTGGTTTCTTCTGGAAGTGCATCCTAATAAACCACCCAACACAGGAGTCCTTGTCTCAGGATTTGTCTGGGACAACCAAAGCTAAGACAACCTGATTGCTAATGAAGGGTGCGGCTCATAGTAGGTGCTGCTCAATAAGCATTTGTTGAATGAATGAATGGATGGATGAGTGGATGAATGAATGAATGAATATCCCTCAGGCTTAATAAGTGTCCAGTGGAAAAGTGAATCATTTCATAGAGCTGGAAAGCCAGAAAAGGCCAGGCGAGGTCTTCTAGAAGTCCTCCCTGGAAGACAGGCTCCGTGAGAGTGGAGATTTGTACCTGTTCTTACTGCATCCACAGTGCCTGGCCCATCGTGAGCTCTCAACAAATAGTTACTGACGGGATGAGTGGATGTGGTTTACCCCTCTGCTGCTCCGGCAAGTTCCACATCCTCCAGCTACACACCTACTCCATTCCAAAAGCCACCCTGGGACCCGGCATTCCCACCTCCCGGTGCTAAACAGAGCCTGGGCATCCTTCCTTCCAGATCAGAGCCTGCCACCTTCAACCAAGACTACACCAAGAGGAAGACAGAGAACAGCTATTCCCATCCCAGCAAAAGAGGGTTCATCCTCCGCAGCCTCAAAAGACGCCCTGGGCGGCCTCACCCCGGGTGACCTCCCTTACCCTGTGGGAACAATGGCTGGGCAGAGCCACTCTAGCCTCTGTGGGCCGGGCGGGCGGGTCGGCAGGTTCACACGCTTCAGACGTGAGTGTGAGCACCCTGCATAATAGGGCTTTGTCCCGGCTCCTGGGAGCCAGCGTCTGCAGAGCCCTGGCGGCGGAGGGCGGTGGAGGGCGGCGGCCCACGTACACAACGGCGCCTTCCAGCTCTGGGAGGCTTGCTCCAGAGCCTGGAAACACGCGGGGCTTCCCAGGAGGAGAGGCGGTCCCAGGGCCACCTGCCAGTGCCCTCCCTAGGCTTGGGGCTAAAGGAGCACAGGGAATGTCAAATAACAGCCTTAGTCCATGACCATTTGCAAAGAGAGATGTGACAAGGACCTTAATGGAGAGGTAGACAATAGCTGTCCACTGAGTGCTTCCTGTATACCAGGTTCTGTGTCTATTCCTTACCTCAGCCTCCACTCTGGGGGCTGTGCTATCACAACTACTCTACCGACGGGCAGGCTGAGGCTCTGAGCAGTAAAGTAACTTGATCACAGTTGCCAAGACCCCAAGTCTCTGCCTTCAAGGCCAGTGTTCATTCCCCTTCCCAAGACCCTTGGAGCCCCACTCCCAGCCCCCACCTCCCTAAACAACCACCCACCTCTCACCTCTGCCAGAGCAGACACAGTTTGGATCCCAGCAGTACCCCAGCCCAGCCCAGCCCACCCCACTCCAGACCAGACCAGGCCAGCCCAGACCAGCCTAGTCCAGACCAGACCAGGCCAGCCCAGACCAGCCTAGTCCAGACCAGACCAGTCCAGCCCAGACCAGCTCAGCCCAGCTCAGCCCAGACCAGACCAGACCAGCTCAGACCCAGCCCAGCTCAGCCCCAGCCCCAGCCCAGACCCAACCCAACCCAGCCCAGCCCAGCCAAGTCCCAGCTTCAGCCTCAGCCCAGACCAGACCAGATCAGCTCAGCCCCAACCCAGCCTCAGCCCCAGACCAGACCAGATCAGACCAGACTTAGCCCAGTCCAGCCCAGCCCAGTCCAGTCTAGCCCAGCCCGAGCTCACCCCAGCCCAGCCCCAACCCAACCCAACCCAACCCAGCCCAGCCCCAACCCAACCCAACCCAGCCCAGCCTAGCCCTAACCCCAGCTCAGCTCAGCTCGGTTCAGATCACCTCAGCCCCAACCCAGCCTCAGCCCCAGACCAGACCAGGCCAGATCAGACCAGACCTAGCCCAGCTCAACCCAGCCCAGCTTGGCCCAGCCCAGGCCAGATGAGACCAGCCCCAGCCCAGCCCAGCCCCAGCCCAACCTCAACCCAACCCAGCCCAGTCCAGCCATAGCCCAGCCCTAGCCCAGCCCAGCCCAGTCCAGTCCAGTCCAGTCCCAGCTCACCCCAGCCCAGCCCCAACCCTACTTAGCCCAGCCCTAACCCCAGCCCAGCTCAGCTCAGTTCAGCCCAGCCCAGCCCAGTCCAGCCCCAGCCCAGCCCCACTGTTTTACCCTCCTTCAGCCAGAGTCTTGCAGAGCATGGGAAACTTTCTACAAAACTCTTTTTTCATTGGCCATTCACCTGCCAGGTGCCCTGTGATACTTTCTCTTCTCCTGAGATGGTGAAGGAAAGGCTCCCAAATCCAGCCTCTCCAAGGCCGAATCCTCTCTCTTCACCAGCCACCAGCAACGACTCCCAGGGGACGGACGCTCACTCAGTGGCTCTCCCTGCAGGTATCGCTGATGTCAGTGACTGCCCCAGGCTGATGGGGGACAATAGAACTGGAGGCTCACCACCAGCCTCTCCTAGAGGCCCAGCCTCTGTGTCCACAGATGCAAGGACAGGCTGAGACTTGCCCAAGGCCATGGACACTGACAGTGGCCCAGCCCAAGGCAGCCCCTTGTTCTCCTGCACCATCTGTGTCAGGCATTTCTTCATACCCATGTGCACTTGGAGGGGCATCCACAATGTAAGTGATATTTTATATAAGTCTGGGGACTAAGAATAGAGATCTTTACCAATAGCAGACTGTAGAAGACATAATGTGATCACTGCAGTACAAGGGTGGTGTGGCAATCTGAGTGTTAGAAGCAGAAAGACCTGGGCTCAAGTTACAGCTTTACCACTCTCTAGCTGTGTGACCTAGGGTGAGTTCCTTAACCTCTCTGAGCCTCTGCTGTGTCATCTTTATTTTGGGCAGAGTATCATGCCCACCTTGTAAGTAATTCTGTTGTGAGAATTATATGAGGGAGTGTCCCTGACACATGACAAACATTCAGTGAAGGTTTTCTATTAATATTACTACTGACCACTTTCCTCCTCCTCATGGTTCAAGGTCCCATCTGCCACTTATTGGCTGGGGACTTACACAAGTTGGTTAAGCTCTCTGAGCCTCAGTTTCTTCATCTACAGAACGAGAGTAAAAGCTCCATGCTATGGAAGTATACGAGAACTGCCCGGGTGCAGTGGCTCATGCCTATAATCCCAGCACTTCGGGAGGCCAAGGCGGACAGATCACCTGAGGTCAGGAGTTTGAGACCAGCCTGGCCAACATGGTGAAACCCCATCTCTACTAAAAATACAAAAATTAGCCAGGCATGGTGGCGGGAGCCTGTAATCCCAGCTACTCAGGAGGCCAAGGCAAGAGAATCACTTGAACCCAGGAGGCAGAGATTGCAGTGAGCTGAGATCGTGCCATTGCACTCCAGCCTGGGCAACAAGAGCAAAACTCCATCTCAAAAAAAAAAAAAAAAAGAATGTGAGGACTAAACAAGATAGTGTATGTGAGTGTTCTTAGCTTGGCTTAGTTTGGAAGCAAACCATACTATCCGCTTCCGATATGTTTGCTTACTTCTTTCATTCAGCAGATCAGCGTGACATTTTCAGTCCTCTAAGATAAAAAATAATGCCAATAATTAATGGCCCCCACTGACTGTGTGCTGTGTCTGCTCCCAGATGCAGCAATGGCACGTCTCAGGAGCTCCTGACTCAGGGTTCAGTGACATCCTTTGGTGGCTTGAAATTGGCCATGGTGGAAGTATTTACACCAAAGAAATTGGCAAACACTACAAACCAGAATTTTTTTCAGATAGCTGGTTGTTACATGCTTGCCAGCCCACCATTGCTCATGGTCATCATTTCCTTTCCCCCACAACAACCTGAGATGCCTGTAAGAATTGGACACCTTCCAGTCAGAAAGCATACAGCAGACACACCAGCCTTGGGTCTATGAGGCCCCATTTCACAGATTAGTCAATTCAGGTTCAGGAGGACTAGGCTCCAAGCAGAGCTGGATCCCACTTCTCAACACATTTCTGAGTCCTCCTGCAGAGCGACAGGAGGCAATTAAAATGACAGGGACCATTGAAAGGCCCCAAGAAAATATACACTGACTGCCCCATGAAGCATGGCAACTCCTAAACCAAGCGAGGCAAGGCTGGTGCCAGCACCCAGAGGACACTATCTCTGAGAGCACCCAAAACCCAATCCATTCCACCAAGAGCAGCCAAGGGAACAGACCAGGCTTCCAGGGACAGCTTATCTGCAGGAACTATCATCTGTGTGTGCACACCAGAAATATAGAAACGGCCCTTCCCTTCAGCCAGTGGCTGTCTGCTGGCCACAGGTAGGGAAGTACCTGCTCAGAGAAAGATGCCAACACCCAATGTGTCACTCAAGCCCCTGGAGGACACTCAGCTCCTCCTGGCCTCACACCAGCTCCCCTTGCAGGCTCCCTGACTCTCTCTCCATGCTCACATCCAGCATGGATAGGTCAGGCCTCCCTGGGTTGGATGGCCTATGCTCAGAGACCCCCTGGTCTTCCTCCCTGTCCTTCCCTCAGTGCACGGTTCTTGGGTTTGTATCTGACCGGCTCTCCCCATCCTCCTTTTCTTCCTTTCTCTTTTCATCTTTTTCCTTCTCCTCCTCTTGTCTCCTCCATCCTAGTAGCTCATATTTGGTGAACACTGAACTCTACAGCAGGTTCTAAGCCAAGTTTTCAAGTCCCTTATGACACCTCCTCATCCCAGAACTTTAGGAGGCAGGCATTGCTATTAAGTCCCAATTCTACAGTCTGAAGAGGTTAAATAACTTAGTTGAGGTCACTTAGCTCATCAACAGAAGAATGACTCCAGGGCCCAAGATCCCTCAATAAAGAACCAACTAATACATATTTGTCAAATGAGTGAATGTGAATGAATTTTTTTAAGCCCAGATCTGATCTTGTTCCTGCCCTGGGCAAAACCGTTCTAGGCTGCATGGCCTTCAGACTTAAGTGGCCTTCAGGCTGGAGCCCAAGCCGCACTGTGGGCCCCAGCCTGCCTGCAGCCTCCTCTCCCCAAGTGTCCACATGGCACCCATGGCCCTGTCAGGGCACTGTGGCAGCCTTCTAGGTCAACCATACTTCCTGAACTCGGCACATGGTCAGCCAGACAGTGTCCTCCCTCCACCCACCTCCCCGCTCTAGCAAACTCCAGCTCAGTCCTTCCCTCCTGCCTGCATGTGGCTTCCCATAAAGGCTTCTCAGATCTTCCTGAGCAGATTCAGCCACTACTTCTCTTCTTCCAAGGTACCTCGCTCCCACTCCTTTGCAGGGGTCCACGGACTTCCTGCCTCCCTCTGGGCCTGGGAGTCTTTATGTCATGTGTTGAATTGCATCCCAAAAAATTCATATGGAAAGTCTTACCCCAGCGCCTCAGAATGTGACCTTCTTTGGAGACAGAGTCTTTACAGAGGTAGTAATTAAAATGAGGGAATTAGGGTGGGCCCTAATCCAGTATGACTTGTGTCCTTATAAGGAGGAGAAACTTGGGGACAGACACACACAGGGAGAAAGCCACATGAGGATGGGGACTGCCATCTACAAGAAGAGAGGCCTGGAACAGATTCTCCCTCACAGCTTCAGAAGGAACCAACCCTGCTGACACTTTCACCTTGGACTTCCAGCCTCCAGACTGTGAGAAATAAATATCTCTTGTTGAAGCCCCAGTTTATGGTACTAGGTCATGGCAGCCCAAGGAACTTACACACCCAGAAACCCAAACTTGCCTGTCACCTTTGTATACATCCTGCTCAGGGCTGCAGCTGGGAAGGGAGACTACTGAGCAAACCAAAGGGTGAATAAACCCAGGAATACCACGTCCTGAGGGCAGACTAATTGCTAATGGATTTTTAAACCAACTCAATCTGACCACTGAGGTGTTTTCCCTCTGCTGGCCAGCAATTTTCACATAATACACCCTGGCAAAGAAAAGTGGGATGTAAAGCAGGGAGCTTCACTCGATCTAATCCAAGAGCAATTATTGAGCACCTGTTGCATACCTGGAACAGGCTGCCCTGGGTCCAACACGCTCCACCACAATAAAAGGCCTTTCAGCATGTGCTCACATGCACACACACACACACACACACACACACACACCATTCGTATAAAGAATTTTTAGTTTCAAATGCTTCGTCTCCTACATGTTTCTTAAACGTTTGAGGTTTTTGTTTGTTTGTTTGTTTGTTTGTTTGAGACAGAGTTTCCCTCTTGTTGCCCAGGCTGGAGTACAATGGCATGATCTTGGCTCACTGCAACCTCCGCCTCCTGGGTTGAAGCGATTCTCCTGCCTCAGCCTCCCGAGTAGCTGAGACTATAGGAGTGCGCCACCACGCCCAGCTAATTTTTTGTATTTTTAGTAGAGACAGGGTTTCACCATGTTGGTCAGGCTGCTCTAGAACTCCTGACCTCAAGTGATCCACCCGCCCGAGCCTCCCAAAGTGCTGGGATTACAGGCATCATCTACCACACCTGGCCAACTTTTGACTTTTATTGTGCTAGTTTCTCACCTAACCTAACCAAGCTTCGAACTCACTGGGCACATTGAGTCGTGTTACGTTTAAAAGGCCAATGATGTTTCATGACATTCCACACAGCACATCTCCATTCTTTCTTTTTTTAACTTGACAACCTCAGGAGTTTCCAAACTGCACTTAAAAACATATTTTTGTTTGTTTTGGGGAGATAAATAGGAGTTGACATTCACTCACCAGCTCAAGTTCATTCACCGTTACTGGGGGCTGAGCATACAGAGCAAAGGAAACCACCAAGAGCAAGAATCACTACACAAGACCAACCTGCCAGGGCCTCCGATGTGCCAGGGCCTGCTCCAGGCACCGAGCGGAGGGCAGTGAGTACAGCCAAGCCCTTGTCCCGTATCTGCCTGGACCCTGCCCATGGCTCCACATAGCCTCTAAGTGCCGGGCAGTGAGGGTGGCACAGGGACGATCAGGGCCAAGCGCATGGGATGAGCGTAGCCACGATGGGCTGCCAGAATCATCAGACCTAACTTCACACGACAGCATCAGTCAGGAAGTGATCAGGAAGGCTCAGTGTCGGGAAGGCCAGGACTTGTTGGATAGGAAGGCAGGAGGTCACAACTTGGGAGAGCAGAGAAGCTGAATTTGTGTATTTCCAAACACCCGCTGTACTGCAGGCTGTGGTGTGCACGTTGTCTGCTTCGACTGTAAACCACTGCATTTGAGAACTCTGCTTGCATCCTGTCCTTACCCAGTGCCTGCACGAGGTAGGCACTCAACAAATGTTGGCCAGACTAAACTAGTTATAACCCATGTCACTACACAGCAGTTAACGTGGGTGCCTGAGTTCACCCAGAGCTCCTGGAGCTCTTCCTTTCTCAACTCAGCACCCCCCGATGAACGTCCCCATGAACGTCCCCTGATATGGAGCAATTGCCCAAGGCCAGGCAGCTGATCAGGGGAGGTGAGTGGAGAACCCAGTTCTGTCTAACCCCTCTGGACTCTGCCACTGCACCAGGCTCCATCACTCATGAGATGTGACAATGACAGCAAGGCCTGAGATAACCACTTCCCACAAGCCAGGCACTCGATGTTCATTATTGTGTTTCATCTCCACCAACCTCTGCCCTTGGAGGGACATGCCATATGACACCCATTTGACAGTTGAGGACACCGAGGCACCGAGAGGATGGAGAGCTTGCCTGGAGGCATGCAGGTAGTAGGTGACCAGGCCAAGACTCCTGCCTGCGACTCTGGCGTGCTCTTCAACCCTCTCAGCAGTACTTCCTCTCTGTGTTGTGAGCTTTGGGGAGCCCACATCCCTATCATTAAAGGAGAGCAGGGACACACGAGGCTAGGGAAGGTGGCTGCCGGCCAGGAGAACATGGCATGGGAGGTTCCCACAGCAGGGAGGCTGGGGGCGGGCAGCTGGGGGTGGATGGTGCCTTGTCAAGAAGCCAGATCCACTTTGCGGAAAAGCCACTCAGATGCAGAGACCAGAACCTGTTTGAAGAAGGCCAAGGACAAAAGCAGCTTTCATCTGACCTCCCCAACAGCTAAGGGCCACAGTTGGAGTTTGAGAAGGAAAAACAAACACCTCCTACTCACACACATCAAAAGGCGAAGGGAACCTCCTGCACCCTGGCCTAGCCCAGAGAGGGCAGGCATTGGAGATGAGTCCAAACCCAACTCCTGTCACCTGTGAGCTGTGTGACCCAAAGAAAGTTATGTAACCTCTCTGAGCGTCTAATGTCCTCTGCAAAGCATGAAGATGAAAATCCTTTCCAAGGGTTATGTGTGTCTTAAAACACTTTCGAGGCCAGGCATGGTGGCTCATGCCTGTAATCCCAGCACTTTGGGAGGCCAAGGCAGGAGGATCACTTGAGGTCAGGAGTTCAAGCCCAGCCTGGCCAGCATGGTGAAACCCTGTCTCTACCAAAAAAATACAAAAATCAGACTGGCGTGGTGGTGGGCGCCTGTAGTCCCAGCTACTTGGGGAGGCTGAGGTGGGAGGATCGCTTGAACCTGGGGGCAGAAGGTGCAATGAGCCGAGATCATGCCACTGCACTCCAGCCTGGGTGACAGAGTGAGACTCTGTCTCAAAAAAATAAAAATAAAATAAAATAAAAACATTTTCTGGACTGAGCACGGTGGCTCACACCTGTAATCCCAGCACTTTGGGAGGCCGAGGTGGGCGGATCACAAGGTCAGGAGATCAAGACCATCCTGGCTAACATGGTGAAACCCCATCTCTACTAAAATTAGCCGGGCGTGGTGGCAGGCGCCTGTAGTCGCAGCTACTTGGGAGGCTGAGGCAGGAGAATGGCGTGGACCCAGGAGGCGGAGCTTGCAGTGAGCTGAGATCGCATCACTGCACTCTAGCCTGGGGGACAGAGCAAGACTCCGTCTCAAAAAAACAAAAAAAAAAAAAAGAAATTCTCCCACAGTGCTTGGCACTAGGAAAAGCAGATCCACTTTTACCACCTTTTCTCAGAAAGAGGGCAAGGCCTTCAACGAAGTTCTTTTCCACCCAGGCTCCCAGCTAACGCGGCTGAGCTGAGTTAATGGGGAGGAGGCTGAAACAGGCAACACTAGTCAGGGTTTCCTCGGTCCCCAGGAAGCCCCACAATGCCCAGCTCGGGGCTTGCCCTTGGTCTGAAGCGGAGGGAAAGAAGCCTCATCTCAATCCCATACTTCATAGGGAACCCTTTACCTCCCTCACCTCTGAGACCCCCCATGACAACTCTCCAAAGACATATTGCTTTCCCCGTTTCACAGATGAGGAAACTGAGGCCTAGATTATGGAAATCACTCCGTCAAAGTCACAACCACGGATGCTTCAGGATTCACATCCAATGCAGCAGAAACCCAACACCCAGCCGTGCACCCCAGGAACCATGTGCGGACCCGTGTCCAACCTGACATGCCAGTGCTGGAAATGAGACACGCTCCTCGGCTGGAAACAGGCAAGAGCCGAATCCAGCCCTGCCAGTCATCCGGTGGAACATATGCATTTCAAGGATGGAACAGTTGTATGCTCTTTTTTACCCAAACTTAATATTTTGCATGTTCCTCTCTCAAACACCACAAGCCTTCCTGTGGCCATGTTGCGCAAGTCCCAGAGATATTTTCTGTCTTATGTTTTACCCCACACAGCGGCTGTCTTCTGAGAAAGGAAATCGACCAAGGGACAAAATCTTGTAAATATTCCAGCCATTCACTTATCCCGCATAATTACCCTGCAAAGAACAACATTTGGGCCTCAATTCACAGGCAGATAGCTGCATTATGCAATTAGCCAACATGCCATTAGCGGAGTTTGCAATGTGCCTGAGCTGATGGGCCCCACAGGCTTCCAGGAGACCCCGTGTATCGGGAAGACGCACGGCGAAGTAGAACCTTCCCCAGGGAAGGTGCCTGGAGGAGGGTCATACAGAAAAGTGGAGGTGAGCTCCTAAAATTTTGTAATCCACCTTCTTCCCTCCAACCAATCCACCTTCACACAGGCTCATCTTCAACATTTCTCCCCTAAGCTATTGTGACAGCCTCCGACCTGGCTTCCCTGCCTCCATCCTTCAGTCAGTGACAGCTTTCTAAAATCCATGTCTCTTCTCTAATTCAGTGTCACCCCACCACCTTCAGGGGACACTCAAGCATGGCCCAGAATTCATGATCTGCAGTCCCTCCAGCCTCTTGTTTTGACACACCCAAGTACTCACTCACCCTTCTACAAACACAGGCATGTGCACACACACGTTCACAAATGCTGGGATACCCACCTCTCCCTTTTCCCACTCTCCCTTCTGTTGGCCAAGGAGCTGCCGACCCTGCAAGTCTCAGATCAAGCATCACATCTTCATGGAGGCTGCTCTTATCTCTCCCTCCACCTCCAGTCTGGAACTCATACCATGCAGGGCTAGAATGCTACGGAAGCTGCCTTCTCTACAGGGAAGATGACTCTGTGTTGCAAAAGAGTATGAGTAACCATTAACAGCCTTGCGATTTCTTCCAATTTGTACAAGAAGTCATTTCTTTACCATGGTGTGCCAAGCAGTGGGATTACCAATCTTTAAACCCATTGCCAAATAGTGCTAATTTCCACTCCCAAAGACAATGTTTAAACAAGTGCGCCTAATTCTTAATGTCATTATCAGTGCTTGAAATTACCATTATTTTCAAGTTTGCTAATTTAGTAGATAGAACATCAGGCATCATTTTATTTTGCATTTTATACCTAGTAAGGTTGACTATTTTTTTATGTGGTTGGGGATTGCATCCCACCTTCTTACAATTATCTATTTAAATTATTTACTATTAGAATCAAGTGGTTTTCTTGATAATCTGCAGCAGTCCACTGTACAAACCAGGGAGGGACACAAGGTTCTCCTCAACATTATTTATAATAGCAAATAAAGGAGGACTTTTAATAAGGGAACAGTTCAAACATTCAGAGAGCAACACTTCTATAGAACATTAGGCACCCTTAGAAATGCTAAGGATAAAGACTGCAGACCATGACAAATGCTTACTGTGTGAAGGGAAGGCAAAAGCAATACAAGATTGCTTCGATATTCTGATTACAGCTATGCAAAATGCACTATATGCTGGGTCCTAGAGAAGCAAGGATGAGCAAGACTGTCCCTTCCACTGAAGAGCTCACAGTCCAGCTCAGGGAGAGAAATATAGCAGCAGACTGTTTTGGTGCAATGTGAAAAATGTTTCCATAGAAGGGGATGCAGCAGGTAGTGGGAGCTCAAGGCATAAAGCCACAGGAAGGCTTCTTGGAGGCAATGATGTCCCAGCTGAACCTTGAAGGACTGAGTGGTTGGTCCTGCTGATGGAGTTGGCATCTGCTGGACTTGGAGCCCCAAGCAACTGTTCAAGTATTGCTGACTGGTCCTCCACCTGAAGGCTGAGCCTCCTACTCTTGGCAAACTGTCAATTCAAAAGTAAAGCAATGTTATGTGCGTGGTCCTATATGTTCCTCAATAACCCTCTGAGGTGGGTATATTACAGCTTATTCCACAGCAGGAGGAAGCAAAGACTAAGGAGGCTAGATCTCTTGTGTTGAGTCATACCAGCTTCAAAACCACAACTGAAAAACTCCAGAGCTCATGCACATAACCCTTGTGCCGATGTTTCTGGAACCTTCTGCACCAGAATCATGTGGAACGACTGATAAACATCAGGATCCCAAGACCCTCTCCAAAGAGACTGAATTTAAACTTCTGGGAATGTGGTGAAGGCATCTGGATTTTTTTAAGCATGCCTTCTAGATTATCTATATAGACACTGAAGTTTGAGAACCAATGAATGGCATGCCACTTACTGACATATTCTCAGGAATGTTTTCACCTGCCTGGATCAAGCACTCACTTTCCATGGCCCAGCCTCCATGCCTGCTGTCATCATTGCTTGCTGCTTAGGACAAGGTGCACGTGAGGCATTGCTAAGAACAAACCAGGCCCTCAGCTGGGGTCCTCCCTCTTCCAAGAATACTTGACCCTCCGGCTGACTGAGCTCATCGTCGTGTTCAGAGCTAGAGTGCAACCTGTCTTCCTTCTCGTTTTTATTTGACACTGGCAGCAATGAGGCATCTCCTCTGCTAAATTAATTATGTCCATCATCACTAAAAGAAATCCACTGAGCTTCATCAAGCCTGGCAAGTTAGGGAGATGCCTGCATCTCAGACACCGACATCAGCAACAGAAACGGATGCTGGAGGCAGACAGAGGAAGGGAGGCAGAGGCTGTCGGAGGTCAAAGGCTCCAGGACTTGACGTCATCAGCCAGGGCTGAGGGAACAACCTGGAGTCAGGAAAACCCAGGCCTAAGTCCTGTCTGCCTTTTGCAAGCCGTGTGACCTTGTCCTTGCCCTTCACCTCTCTGCCTTTCAGTTTCCTTATCTGTTAAATGGGCATAGTAACACTGGCTCACAGGGTTGTTGTGAGGGTCATTTGAGCAGACGTGTAAAGCATGAACTAGAAATAGTCACTGATTCTAAGTGAGCCACTTAGTGGCAAGGATGGGACTTATTTTACACTGAAGAGTAGGTTATTTTATGGGAATGGGAAAACTGCAAAGTTCTTTTTTTAAGGTTATTTACAAATATAAATGTACTTTCTTTAAAGGTGTATTAAAAAGTGGTAAAATACTAAGAGAAAGGAGGCGACAGGGCATTTCCTGACCAAGCTGAGCTACTTGGGGTGTCCTGCAGGTGGGGGCTGTCTGGCTCCTTCCCCTCCCTGCACTCGTCCTTGCAGGCCTCACCCCTGCCCACACCTCTTGGCACTTCATCTGATCCTTAAACATCCGCCACATGAGGCCTCCCCTCGACCACCTGCACACTCTTCCTACTGCCTGTTGGTCTTCCCACGAAGAGCCATGTCCTCACTCCGGACCCCCTCCAGGCCCTGCTCAAATCCCTCTTTCATTGGCCTGGCCCTCCCAGATGACCCACAGAAAAGCAGCCCTGCGCCTGCAATCTTCACCTTGCACGGATCACCATCCCTCACCATCTGACAAGCACCATCCCTCACCATCTGACCAGTTTACTCAGCTATGCTCAGCTGCTGCCCCCAAGTACACAGACTGCCTACAAGTTCCCATCTCAGCACCTGGAAAGCTTCCTGGGCACTCAATAAATAATCAATACTGTCAAATTAATGACTCCGTTACGTGGGCTGTATGCCATTTAATTCATACATCCAGCCGGAGAGATAGTAATGGGCTATTGTTCCCATTTTATAGATAAAGGAAATGAGGCTCAGAAGAAATGAGCAACTGGCCAAGATCCCACAGCCAGTAAGTAAGGGTGTAAGTAATAGGAATTCAAATTCAGGTCCATCTGAATCCCATCCACAAACCCAGCACTTTGTCTCAAGTCTCCAAAGGGCAAGTACATAACGAAGGGGCTGAGTGGCTGAGAACATACTGGACTAATCAAAAAACCAGTGTGACACACTGCACAGCCGTACAACAGGCCCATCCAGATCTAAACCACGGCGAATGAACCCCTGACTTCCTGGCCTCACCACCTACAGCAGGAGCCCCTTTCCCAGGGCCGCAGGCTGTGAGAAACCTAGAGTACTTCGCAGTCCCCAAGGAAGAGCTCAGTGAAACCATCTGGTCCCACTTGTCATGGGAGCAGAAGAAAAGAACTCTCTGCAAGGGTTCTAGGAAATTCACTGCTCCCCACCCAGGGTTCAGGGAAGGCAGGAGGGGAGCAAACCTTTGCTGAGAGTATTCTTGGTCCAGGCTCACACTGGCCCTTCCCCACCATCCCTTTTCTCACCCTCAGGACAGCAGTGCATGGCAGAGGCCATCAGGGCCATGCAGAGTGGGCCCGTCACACCTCTGGGGACACGGTTCACATAGACCATGCGATGAGAGGCTTTACTTACAATTGTGTGACCTGGTAACCCAGGGCATCATCCCATTTTAGAGAAATGAAAGCAGAGGCTCAGAGACAGGACCTGACTTATGTAAGATTCCCCAGTTAATGAAATGCCAAGCTGGGATCCAAACTCGTTATCTGATCCCAAAATCCACACTCAGCCCATCCACCACAACACCTACACTCTCGAGCTCACACATGTTAATTCATTTCGTCTTTGCCATGATCTAGGAAGAGAGGTATTAGAAATTAGCAAACTCCTCAATCGGCCCCAATCAAAGGGCTGTGATAAGGGATCACCTCCTGTGTGATTTCAATCCAAAAAATCCACAGCGTTTCATTATAAACATAATCATCTTAAATAAGAGGTAAGTCTTGCTGCAGGAAAGTCACTGTTAAACACTACACAAACCAGCAACAGCCCACCAGACACACCAGGAAAGGAAAAAGAAGAAATATCTGAAGTGTCCCCCTACTTTTACCCCCACACCTTCTTCAATCAGTCCTGATGGACAGAACCCACCAGAACATGGTCAGCTTCTCTCACAGCTGGGAAGTAGTAGAATCAGAATCGAAATCCAAGCTACTCTAACTCCAAAATTCAAACATTTTCCCCTATACTTCACTGCCTGTTAACATTATTTCATTTATTCTTACAGTGACCCAAACACCCATTATTATTATCCTTATGGTGGCAGACTATATTTTCCAGAAACAGCTGCACCCCATCCCAGAGCCTTACCATGTCCCCAGCAAGAGCTGCAGCCTGTGTCTCCTCTCCTTGAACCTGGATGGGCCTCAGTGAGTGTGTTTAACAATAGATGACCCAGAGATTATGCTGTGAAGAAGCCAAGGGCACACGAGGAGGCTGCAAGTAGATGTCCCTGCTGACAGTCCCTTCTGAAATCCCAGCCAACAGCCAGCAGCAAGCACCAGTTACATGAGTGTGGAAGCTCCGGGTGACTCCAGCCCAGCCACCAACTAACTGCAACTCCATGAGAGGTCCTGCCTAAGAACCGCCCAGCTGAGCCCAGAACCAGATGAGATTATAATAATAAATGAGTGTTGATGGTTTATACTACCAAGTATGACATGGCTTGCTATACAGCAATACAAAACCAGAGGCTCACCTTAAAAATAAGTAACTGTGGCTCAAGGTTATGAAATGACCTGTCCAAAGGTGAAAGGCAAAAAGCTAAATATCCAGGCTAACCATATCTGATATTGGGATGCTCTCCAGGAGCAGGAGGAAGGATGGGGAGGCCATTACTTTGCCACTTCATTCATTGCATGTGTTCCCTTTGGCTTATTAAACCATGAGGCCTTCTTTTACCCAGGGAAATAAAGGAAGGATGTTTGCTGGTGTCGTTTCTGCATGGGAAGATGAATATAATATAATCCTGGTCTGTAATGACTATTCACATAAAAATCATGTTTTCTTTACAAAGAGCCTCTCTCCCTTTTTCTCTCCCCCAAATCAATCCAAACTGCAAGAACTATGAAAAGTACAGCCTCCAAGATGATCTTCAGTCTGTCAGATTTGCAGTCCTTCATTATAAGCATAATCATCATAAATGAAAGATAAGGCTTGGTGCAGCACAGTTCATCATGGAAAGATGCTAACTCACCAGCCCGTCTGCCTGTGAGAACTGCTGTTCCATGTGGGTGAAGTGGGGGAAACAAAACCTGGAGGAGGTGGTTAAATGCCCCCATCAGCCAGGGGACGCTCGGAGGTGGAACCCACCAGAACCGGCATGGCAGCCCAGGCTGAGCGAATTCCTTCCCACACACTTTCTGGTTCCTTCTCAAACTTCTCCAAGGCAACAGATTTTCACTTTCTTTTAAGATTTCTTTTTTGCTCAGAGAAAGGGAAAGAAAGAAGTTACTGCACACTGAGTTCTTACACTCCAGGCATTTTGGGGCCACGCTGCAGACGGTGTCTCAAAAGCTTTATAGCTACCCTGGGAGGTGGGCATTATTTCGGGTAGCAGGAGCGGGGCTGCAGAGTCTAGACAGACATGGGTTTGAATCCCCTGATACTCAATAGCTGTGCAAACTGATGCTCAACAAATGAATGCTTGATAGAGAGAAAATAAAATATAAGGCTTGCTCTCATTCTCATCCCATCCTCTTCCCTCTCACCATCACACATCCCCATCTACAAATGCATAGAAAAGGTTTAATCCTGCATAAAGACCAGGCTCACCATTCCTAAGGTGCAGCCCAGGCAGGTTGCTGCCCTCTAAGCTTATGAATCTCACCCCAGTGGCAGACTTACTATCATCTGTAAGCAGAACATAACCAAGCCTATTCCCCAGACCTGGGGGAGCTGAAGGAAGAGTCCGACCCCCAGGGGAGAGTGAGATGCACAGATTGCACCATCCTGAGAAAACTGCGGGACCCAGGGACAGTGCAGGGGGTGGGGGTATTGTCACAGCAGACTGAAGGCCTCTAGAAGAGTTGGGTGTGATGAGAAGTAATAGAAAATTCCAGTAGGTGCCCAGTAGGAGCCAGAATGCACTGCACTTCCTGTCATCCAGACAACTCTGGAGAGAACAAGGGGACCCAATGGTGCTAACCCTGCTCTCACCAAGAGCACCAGCTATTTATAGGAGAGGCTGTGAATACCCATGAGCTCATCAGTCCCTTCTAATGGCATTACTAATTGCAGGCGTACCTTGGAGATACTGCACTCATAGTTCCAGACCACCACAATAAAGTGAATATCAGAATAAAGTGAGTCACCATATTTTTTGGTTTCCCAGTGTGTATAAAAGTTATGTTTACACCATACTGTATTTTTAGTCCATTTTCACACTGCTGATAAAGACATACCCGAGACTGGGTAATTTATTTTTTTAAAACAAAAACAGGTTTAATGGACTCACAGTTCCATGTGGCTGGGGAGGCCTCACAATTATGGCAGAAGGCGAAAGTCATGGCTTACACGGTGGCAGACAAGAGAGAATGAGAACCAAGCAAAAGGGGTTTCCCCTTATAAAACTATCAGATCTCCTGAGATTTATTTACTACCATGAGAACGTATGGGGGAAATCACCCCCATGATTCAATTATCTCCCACCAGGTCCCTCCCCCAATACATGGGAATTATCGGAATTATAATTCAAGATGAGATTTGGGTGGGGACACAGCCAAACCATATCAACTCTAGTCTATTAAGTGTGCAGTAGTAGTCTGTCTGAAAAACAATGTACATACCTTAATTTAAAAATACTTTATTGCTAAAAAATGCTACCAATCATCTGAGCCTTCAACAAGTCCTAATCTTTCTGCTGTTGGAGGGTCTTTCCTCGGTGCTGATGGCAGCTAACTCATCAAGGTAGTGGTTGTTGAAGATTGGGGGTGGCTGTGGCAATTTCTTAAAATAAGACAATGATGAGGTTTTCCCCATCAATGGACTCTTCCTTTCCAGAAAGATTTCTCTCCAGCATGCAAGCTGTTTGATAGCATTTTACCTACCACAGAACTTCTTTCAAAATTGGAGTCAACTCTGCCACTTTATCAACTACACTTATGGAATATTCTAAATCCTTTGTTGTCATTTCAACAATGTTCACAACATCTTCACCAGGAGTAGATTCCTTCTCAAGAAATTTTCTTTGCTCATCCATAAGAAGCAACTCCTCATCCGTTCAAGTTTGATCATGAGATTGCAGCAATTCAGGCTCCACTTCTAATTCTAGTTCTCTGCTACTTTCACCACATCTGCAGTTATTTCCTCCACCAAAGTCTTGAAACGCTCAAAGTAATCCATAAGGGTTGGAGTCAACTTTTGTTCCAAATTCCAGTTAATGTCGATGACCTCCTCCCATGAGTCATGCGTGTTCTGCATGGTGAATCCTTTCCAGAAGGTTTTCAATTGCTTTGCCCAGATCCATCAAAGGAATCACTATCTATGGTAGTGGTAGCTTTATGGTAGCTTTAGCCCTATGGTAGCTTTAGCCCTATGAAATGTACTTCTTAAATAATAAGACCTGAAAGTTGAAATTACTCCTTGATCCATGGGCTGCAGGACGGATGCTGTGTTAGCAGGCATGAAAGCAACATTCATCTCCATGTACATCTCCATCAGAGCTCTTGGGTGACCAGGTGCATTGTCAATGAGCAGTCACTTTTGAAAGGAATCTTTTTTTCTGAACAGCAGGTCTCAACAGCAGGCTTAAAATATTTGTTAAACCATGCTGTAAGTGACATGCTATCATCCAGGCTTTGTTGTCCCGTTTATAGAGCACAGGCAGCATAGATTTATCACCATTTTTAAGGCCCTAGGCTTTTCAGAATGGTAAACCAGCATTGGCTTCAACTTAAAGTCACCCAGCTGCATTAGCAGTTAGTAAGGGAGTCAGCCTGTCCTTTAAAGCTTTGAAGCCAGGCATTGACTTCTCCTCTCTAACTATGAAAGTCCAAGATGGCATCTTCTTATCTAATACACAACTGCTTCACCTACATTGAAAATCTGTTGTTAGTGTTCCCACCTTCATCAAGTATCCACCTAAATTATCTTCTGGGTAACTTGCTGCAGCTTTGACATCAACACTTGCTTCTTCACTTTGCACTTTTATGTTATGGAGGCAGCTTCTTTCTTTAAACCTCATGAAATAACCTCCACTAGCTTCAGTTGTTCTTCTATGGCCTCCTCACTTCTCTCAGCCTTCATAGAATTGAAGAAAGTTAGGGCTTTGCTCTGGATCATGCTTTGACTTAGAGGAACGCTGTGGCTGGTTTTATCTATTCAAATCACTAATACTGTCTCCATATCAGGAATAAGGCTGTTTCACTTTCTTCTTATTCATGAGTACATGGGAACAGCGCTTTTAATTTCTTTCAAGAATTTTTCCTTTACATTTACAACTTGGCTAATTAGTGCAAGAGGCCTAGCTTTCAACCTATCTCAGCTTTAGACACCCCTTCCTCACTAAGCTTAATCATTTCTAGCTTTTGATTTAAAACGATAGACATGTGATCCTTCCTCTCACTTGAACACGTAGAGGCCATTGTATGGGGTATTAATTGGCCTAATTTCAATGTTGTTGTGTCTCAGGGAGTATAGAGGCCTGAAAGAGAAAGAGATAGATGGAGGAATGGCTGGTCAATGGAGCAGCCAGAGCGTACATTCATGTATGCTCCAATTAATCAGTTAAGATCACGATCTCATCTGGACACACTTCATGGTGCCCCAAAACAGTTACCAGAGGAACATCAAAAATCACTGATCACAGATCACCATTACAAATATAATAATAATGAAAAAGTGTGAAATATTGTGAGAATTACTAAAACGTGACACAGAAACACAAAGTAAGCACATGCTGTTGGAAAAATGGTGCCAATAGACTTGTTCAATAGGAGTTGCCTTAAACCTTCAGTCTGAAGAAAAACAATGAAAACTGTGAAGGGCAATAAAGCAAAGTGCAAAAGAATGAGGTATGCCTACATTAAATATAAATGACACATTGCAAGTCACACATCACATCTGCACCTTAATTCAAACAACTGTCCTAAAACAAAGTTGCATCGCAGTGCTTATAACTCAGGGCCCTCAAGCTCCCATTAATTTATAGAAGAATGGTTATTACTAGGGACCATTTGCTTGGAGGTTCCAAGTCCCAGGGGAAAGTGAGATGCACAGATCTCACCATTCTGAGAAAACTGTGAGGCCCAGGGACAGTGTAGGGGGTGGGAGAATTGTCAAAGAAGCTTTTTTCCAGGACCTTGATAAGGCAAACATCTATTACATATCACCACAGTCCCAGGGTCAAAGGCACTCAATAAGTACTTTCTGAAAGAATGAATGAATAAATGGATGAGCCAAATGTCCCATTAGACACTACTGTATAGTTCATATCATTTAATAAAGTAATGCTGCTCGGTACACTCACTGAGCCTCAGTTTCCTAATTTGTAAAAGAAAGACAACATGACCAACCTTATAGTGTTGTAAGGTTAAGTGATATCATATATGTCCAAGGTTTATCCACCTATAACCATCAGTATATGTTCAATTAGGTTTAGTAAATATTGAATCATCTTTAGTGTTGTTGTTAGCTACTGTTTATTTAGCGTCTACTAAGTGCTAGCAGCTTTCTAGGCATCCTAACGCTTATAATAGTTCTTCAAAGTAGAAAATACGGTCACCTTTATCATGCAGTATTTATGAGAGCTAAAGAAGTAAAAAGGTTAATACAGAATAATACAATAACTTCCACTGCTGGAGAACAGCAGATCAAGTGTGCAAAGGCACTGTCATAAATCAAAACAAGACTGTCCTCAATAACATGGGCTTTTTGACACATCAATGGGCTTTCAAGGTACGTGGAATTCTTCAAACCTGCCAGTCTTCCTCAAAATGTGAGCTAAATCTAAAGTTGGTGATATAGTTTGGCTGTGTCCCCACCCAAATCTCATCTTGAATTGTAGTTCCCATAATCCCCAAGTGTAGTGGAGGGACCAGTGGGAGATAATTGAATCATGGGGGCAGTTACCCCCATACTGCTGTTCTTGTGGTAGTGAGTGAGTTCTCATGAGATCTGATGGTTTTATAACAAGGGGTTTTCCCCTTTTGCTTGACACTTATCTTGGCCACTGCCATGTAAGATGTGCCTTTCCTCTTCCTTCACCTTCTGCCATGATTGTGAGGCCTTCCCAACCATGTGGAACTGTGAGTTTATTAAACCTCTTTTCTTTATAAATTACCCAGTCTCAGGTATGTCTCTATTAGCAGCATGAGAACAGACTAATACAGTTGGGATAAGCTGGCAGTGTATCAAATGAAGAGGTTTGCTGGCCTTGAGGATGAGCACCAATTACCATTGCAATTAGGCTCCTGAGCCTAGGACAAAGAGCAAGGTGGAGGAGTTGAGCTTGGCAGTCCTTGCAGATATGAGATGCTCAAAGGTGATGGATATGTCTTCAAGTCTTCGGTGCACCTGATTCACAGCAGAACTAGACAGAAATCTCTGGAGGAAAGCATCCCTCATTTGGGCCCTCAGGAGTAAAAAATCTGAAAATAAGATTAAAAAATGAGCAGTAAGCTCACAATGAAAAGTCACAGAAAGAGAAGATGGCAAGTATCTGTAAATGGCAGTCAACAAATGTAACAAATAATAGATTTAAACACCTCAGGGTTGCAGATATTAAATAATCCAATACATATTATATCAATGTATGAAATGTAATAAGAATGTAAGAAATGCATAAAGAAAGTAACATTGGAATCACAAAGATAAAAAGTAAACAAGAGACCATCAGGAATGACCAAATAGGTTTGAAAAATAACCAAATGGAACTTCTAAAACTGAAAATTTTTAATTGATTTTTTAAAAATTCAATGGATGCTTGACAAGTTGATTACACACAACTAATAATAAAATATGTGAACCCCAGGATAAGAGTCTGATCAAATTACCCAAAATACAGTATCAAGAGATAAGGAAATAGAAAATATAAAGGTAATGAAAGAGATACAGAGAATAGAATAAGAAGCTCTAACATATCTCTAGTCAGAGTCCTAGAAGGAGAGTGCAGATATATAAGAATAGAGGTAATATTTCAAGAGATATTAGCTGAAAAATTTCTAGAACAAAGAGAAGACATATATCCAAGATTCAGAAATCACATAATACACTCCAAGTAAGAGTAAATGTTTCAGGTCCTCTCAGATGCCTATAGTGAATCTTTAAAACACCACAGGCAAAAATAAGATTTTTTTTAAAGCAGCCAGACAAAAAGTAGAGACAATCTTGAATGGAATAATCAGAAGACTGAAAATAAGCTTTTCACCTCCATAATGACAGCCAGAAGAAATGTGATGGTGCCTTCAAAGTGTGGAGATGCCAACCCAGAATTGTGTACTTCACAAAACTGTGTACCCAATAAGAGCAAAAGTAAAACAAAAATATTCAGATACATGTGGTTGGGAGTAAACCACCACACCTCCCCTAAGGAAGGAAAGAGAATTATCACAAAAAGGTCCTTGTGAGAAGCAAGAAGAAATGGTGAGCAAATAAGCTGATAAACATGCAGGAACATTAACAAAACAATGTGTGTATAAGATAATAACAAAGTCTAATTTATAAAGCCACAGAAAAATCATAGAATTAAAATATTACACAACAGTAACTTGTAGGTTGGAAGGATGGTAACTTGATTTGGGATATTCTAACGTCCTTTTATAATCAAAGGGGTTTAAAATATTGTTTAGTATGTCATTAAATTAAATATGCATGATAATGTGTCCAGGACAATCAGGAAAACAAAAGGGTAAATTTCAAAGCAGTAGAGGGAGAATAAAAATGGAATAAAAATAAGCAAATGAATAATTTTTAAAAATAACCTTTAATCAATACTTCCACCCAGGCAATAAAGAATAAAAGAGGATATTTAAAAAGCGGAAAAAGAAAAATAACAAACTAAGGTAATAGAAACAATAAGAAATAAATCAATAAGTAAATAAATGTAAGTGAACTAAATTAACCAATCCAAGACAAGATAATCCAGAATATTTTTAAAATTACAAGAAACACACAGTTATATTCACTATCTGGTTTAAGAAGTAAAATATTATCAGCAAAATTGAATCATCTATCTGCCGCTTCCTGATCACAAACCCATCCCCTTCTACCTGGGGGGAAGAAAATAAAACTGTATTCAGTTCAGTGTCTATTATAACTAGGCAGACCCATATTGCTACAAATGTAAATATTACTACACACACACACACACACACACATGCTTTTTTTTGTACACCACATTTTTACTCAAAATTACGTTCAAAAGATTTGTCCATTTTGATACATGTAACTTTAGTTCACCAATTTTCACTGCTGTATTATTTTTATGAGAATAAAAAATAATGCCACATAAATAATAATGCCACAATTGATTTATCCATTCTCCTATTGATTGGCATTGCTATTTTAGAAACTACTGCTATAAATGTTCTTATTTATAACTCCTTGTTTACATTTGCAAAAGTTTCTCTCTAAGGTAAATATTTGGGGTGTGGAATTTCTAGTTTATGGAACACAAATATCTTCAATTTTCCCAGATAAGGCCAAATCAAAAGTAGCTGCACCAGATGGCCACATTTCTTCCAATGCCAGACTAGGTAATTGGGACCAACTTCCCCACTTTAAAACCTAGAAAATCTGAATAATATTTTAATTTAAAAATAAAAATTAAATGCCTGAAGGCATTGGAGAGTTATCAAGACAGTGAAGAATTACAGGGCCAAAATCCAGGAAAAGAAGAAAACTCAGTGAGACAAACCCAGCTTGAGATTTTGAAAAAAATTACAACACTACAAGTGTTATAAATTTAAATATAAAATTAAAGTTCAGGGACCATCAGTTGGTGGACTTACTGAACCACCAACACCAGAAGTGGTGTCCACTTTTTCTATGACCCTTTTTTCTCCTTTTCTTTGTTTCGGCTTTTCACAGGGAGACTGATTGAGTTTTGGTTTTTAAATAACCTAAAGGTATATACTCTAGAAGTAAAGGCAAACTAGAAATACGCTGTACCTCAAAGGGATTAAAGTCCTATTTGAAACATCGCCATCCCTAATTGGCTTAAGGAGATCAAGCATTGCCTGCACACCCTGCCACAACCAAACACTAGACTTCCCTAGAGAGGGATATAATATGATCATCCTAGTTCTAAATTTAAATCTACAATTTTTCCAATATTCAGTCAAAACCACACACACAAGAAGGCAAAATAACATAGCTGACAACAAAGAGAAAATATATGGGAACTTTCCATAAGTCTTCCAGACAAAGGAGGTATCACATCCAGACTTCAGAAATAGCTAGCTTCAAATGTTCAAGGAAATAAAAGATTGACAATTACATAGAGAAGCAGAAACTGTAGAGATGATTCAAATATAAAGTCTAGGACTGAAAACTAGAAGAGCTGAATTTAAAAATTCAGTAAATAGGTTTAATAACAAATAAGATATAGCTGAAGAGATAATCAGTAAGCTAAAAGATGTGCTAGAAGAAAAGGTCTAGAATGATTCATGGAGAGACATGAAGATAGGAAAAACAGAAGAGAAAATGTAAGAAGTATATAAGATACATAAAATTGGAGTCCCAGAAAAACAGGAGAGTAAGGCAGAAGCAATATTTAGACGTGAAAAATGACAGAAAGGTAAATGTATAGGTATATGTAAATGAGCCTTAATATATTTAAAAAAGACGTGGGATATGAATAATACAGGGAAATAAAATGCATAAAAACTATAACATATAATCAGAAAAGGAAGTAAATGAAGTTAAAGTACTCTAAGACTTTTGCATTGTCTAAGAAGTGGGGAAAGTACTGTTAAAAAAAAAATCAAAGATGCCTGTTATCATCTCTGGGGCAGCAGTTTTCAGAATGTGGCTCATAGACCCCTGGGAGTCCCCAAGGGCAAAACTATTTTCATAATGCTAAGGCTTATTTACCTCTTTTAAGTTTGTTCATATTTGCACTGATGGTGCAAAAACCACAGTGGGGCCAGGTGCGGTGGCTCACGCCTGTAATCCCAGCACTTTGGGAGGCCGAGGCAGGTGGATCACAAGGTCAGGAGATCGAGACCATCCTGGCTAACACAGTGAAACCCCATCTCTGCTAAAAATACAAAAAATTAGCCGGGTGTGGTGGCGGGCGCCTGTAGTCCCAGCTACTTGGGACGCTGAGGCAGGAGAATGGCGTGAACCCAGGAGGCAGAGGTTGCAGTAAGCCGAGATCGCACCACTGCACTCTAGCCTGGGCAACAGAGCGAGACTCCGTCTCAAAAAAAAAAAAAAAAAAAAAAACCACAGTGGATAAAACTGCTTGTAGCTTGTAGAAAGCATGACGGTGGTAAGAAATTGTACTACTAGTCATTGTAGTCTTCACTGCCATGTAATTGCAGAAAAAAAAAAAGAAAGGGCAATTTACTACTCTTGCTGGAACAGTGAAAAAGTATTAATTTTTATTAAATTACAAACTTGGACTACATGTTTTAAAATATGCTATGTGATGAAATGGAACATAGGCATGAAGCACAGCTGCTTTATCCTGAAATAAAATGGTGATCTCAAGGAAAGCACTTGTGTAATTAAGTTGCAAGGTGCACTGCCACTTTTTCATCCAAGACCATTTTTACTTACAAGAATAACTGACAGGGAAACTGTGGTTATTCCAAATTGAATATTTGACAGACATCTTCTCAAAATTTAACACAGTAAACATGTCACTTTCAGGAAAATAATGTACAGTGTATGTTATCAATGATATATAATTTAAGCTTTCAAATAATAATTAGAATTTTATAAAACTTGTCTTGGCCATTCTGAGCTTGATAGATTCCCAATACTTCTGTGGTAAAATCAATGACAACATAAACAAATGTAATTTTCAAGTATTATATAATCAAACGTGTCAACATTTGGAAGACCTGAATAACTCAATGAAGCAATATTTTCCAAATGACCAGTGCACAGTGATACAAAATTAAACATGAGTGAAAACCTATTCAAATTGCAAGGGAGACCAAAAGATTTTTATGAGAAGTTCACGGATCTGGCTTTAGATTCCACTTTGCTACTAACCTTTAAGAAATTACCACTTGTGAATGTTTTGTATAGGACCTAAGAAGATACCCACATTACTCCAAAAAAGCCATTGAATAGTCCCCTTTTTTTCATCTACGTATCTGAATGAGGCCACATTTTATTTGTGTATTTCAACCAAAACAGCGTATCACAACAAATTTAATGCAGAAGCAGGTATGAGGATATAGCTGTCTTCTACTAAGCTATTCATTAAAGAAACAGAAAAAAATGGAAAATAATGTCATCTTCTCAGTATTTTTTGTTTTAGAAAAGGTAGTTATTTTTCACAAAAATAAGTAATGTCTAATAACTAGTATTTATTATTACTTTAAATTGAATTAATAAATATTTTAAATTTTTCTTGGTTTTAACTTCTATTACAATAATATATTGATAAGGTAATCCAGAAAAATAAAAATCATTTTATCTTTCTAACAATTTTTCAGAATATAAAGATGTTCAGAGACCAAATAGTTTGAGAACCAGAGTTCTAGGATAATCATTGAAAGAATAACAAAAGAACATATAAATACTAAGTTAAGAGAAGAGAAAAAAAGAATAATTTAAAAAAGAGTGAATCCAAAAGAAGGCAAGAAAGGAGGAAAAAAAAACATAGGTTGGACACAATAGACTATATTGGTCATTACATTAAGTGCAAATGCACAAAGACTGTCAGATAAGATTTAAGAAAAGCAAACCAATTGTATGCTGCTCACGTGATACACATTTCAAATATAAGGATACAGAAAGATTAGAAGTAAAAGGATGAAAAGCTATCTTAATATAAACACTAACCAAGAGAAGCTGGTATAACTACATTAATATAAGACAATGTAGACTTCAAGGAATAAAATGTGACTAGATATAAGGACAGATATTTTCTAAAATACAAAGTCTAATTTTCCAGAAAGAGAAAATAATTCTAAATGTACATGCACCTAATAACATAGCCTCAAAATATATAAAGCAAAAACTAACAGAACTAAAAGCAGAAATAGACAAAACCATCACCACAGTGGCAAATTTTAACACATATTTTTCTAATTGATAGAACAAACAGACCAAAAGCGTTATCAAGGATATGGAAGTTTTGACTAACATAATTAACCAACTTGATCTCAATGACATTTATAGAACACCGCACCGAATAATTGCAGAGTATACCTTCTTTTCAGGTACACTTAAACATTCACCAAAATTGACCATATGCTGAGACATAAAGCAAGTTTCAACATATTTGAAAGGATTAAAATCAGACACAGCATGTTCTCTGATCAGAATGGAATTCAGCTATGTATCAATAACAAAGTAAGAAGAATATTTTTGAAAATTAAGAATTTGGGGGAATTAAGAAATACACTGCTAAGAAATACACTGGGTCAAACAAACAAATACAATGGAAATTAGAAAATATTTTAACTAAATGATAGTGAAACTACATGATTTGATAATTCATGGGATGCACAAAAGCCATGTTTAGTGGGAAATTGATATAGACTTAAATGTATACATTAGAAAAGAAGTAAAGTTGGAAGGCCATGATGCAAACTTCCATCTCAAGAATCTGGAAAAGGAAATAGCAAATTAAACCTAAAGAACGTGGTAGGAGGAGTGGCTGCTGGAGAGTCTGGGGTCTGTCCTCTCTTGGAGTCTGCAGACAGACACTGCCCTGGGGAGGCTGTCATGGGCTGCTTGGGGTGCAGGTAATTCACCAGGGAGGACAGCCCCCACAACAGTCAGGTTCAGCCACTTTCTGTCTCCCATTCATTTTCTTTCTCTGTCACATATTTTTGCTAATCTAGTATTACAGGGTTTCAGTGTACATTCTCCTAATTACTAAAAAGATTGGGAATCTCTTCAACTGTTTGGAACTTCATGTGGTTCCTGGTCTATGAACTGTCCATTCAGATATTTTGTCCATTTTTCCATGCGTTTGCTTTTCTATTCTTACCTTGATTTTGTAGAATTCTTCCTATGCTCTGGATACAAATCTTTTATTTGTTATGTGTATGGTAAATGTATTCTCCTCGTTTGTAGCCTCCCTTTTCATTTCTTTTAGAGTACCTTTTATTGAACAGAAAATTTTAAATTTAATACGGTCAAACGTATCAATATGCTTCTTTGGGGTTTTTGGGGTGGAGCGGGGGAGGAAAATTGAAAGTTCTTCTCTACCCCAAAGTCATGAAGATATTCCGTTTTCTAAATGTGTTGAAGTTTCTCTTCTCACATTTACATACTTAACCTACCTGGAAGTTATGTTGGGGATCGTATGAGGCTGAGTCCATTCTTACAGTAGAGGAAATTAAGGCTCAGACTGGTAAATGCATGTTAAGGGTTGTAAATGGCAGAGCCTAGAATCAAACCCTGATCTATCTGGTCCAAACCACATGGTCTTTCCCCTGCATCTCATTCCAACCTTCCGGAAGCCTCCAATCTGAGCTGCACTCAGCTCTTGGCCCTGTGGTGGGTGCTGGGGATGCAAAGACCAATTGGCCCAGGCCTGCCACGGAGGAGCTCCAAGGATGACAGGGACTCACATAAGCGCCAGGCCAGGGAACTATAAGTCTCTGGAGGGTGAGATTTTAGAAGCAAGCACAGGGACACTGCAGGGCCCGGGGGCGAGGCTGGGAAAACCCAGCCGGAAAAGCCAATGGAGCACAAAGAAAGGGCCTCTTTTCTGGTTACAAAAGAGCAAAACAACACTTGGGAAGTCGGAAAGTCAAAGTAACCAGCCCAAAATGATACGTGGAAGAAAGTAGCAGAAGTAAAATTGGAAGCCAGGCCTGTGAGACTTCAGTCTCGCTTCTCTTGCTCTTCCAGCATTTCTGTACAGAAACAAAGAAGAAAACAGCAGGGGAGCCTGGGCAGCAGCTGTGGGCGGCCCATCCACCCCAGCTGCCTGACCCTGTCTGAGCTTGAGGCCTCCGCGGGCTGCAGCTTCCTGGTTCCACGGTGCCCTGCGGCCATGGAGGGGCTCTCCTGTTTCCAGAACACCCAGCCTTGCCAGCTGCAGTCAGGTGTTTCCAGCAACACACACACTCACATGTGTGCACAGACACAAACACATGCACACACATACACACCTTGTGCAGGAGCCACGCCCTCCAGCAGGATCTTAACCCTGGAGCCCTGCACACCTAACTCAGATCTCTAACTCTTGAGCCACCCTCTGTCCAGCTGTCCAAGCCGCTCTGTGGCCAGTGCTGGGTGACCTGCATGGGATCCCAGGCATGTGCCTAGGGGCCGGAGGACACACACACACACACACACAAAGTTCAGCCTCAGAAGCCTTAAGAGGATTTTGCAATTAGAAAACCTTAGAAAAAGTTGTTGTAAATCTCACGATGCATGTAAGTTTTGTGTCAATATGAAAAATAAATTTTGGATTTGAATTATATGGGACTGTAGGCATCATCATCTCTTCTCAGCTAAGATCTTCCAAAGGGCTGAATGTTGCCCTGAACAGTGGGTCAGCCCAACAGAACGTTTTTCCAGCTTAATTCTGAGTTGCACTCTTGCTCTTCTTCTCTCTGGCCCTTCCTTTCCGTATCTTCTTCCTCTCTCTCCTCTCTCTGTCTCCCCTCTCTCTCTCCTCCCTTTCACTGTCCTACACATAATCATTTCCAACCCTAAAGCACTTCACATTTGGTGAAAAGCACTTCAGTTTCAAAGTGATTAGAAGCTGAAGATCCGTCGTTTAAAATTTAAATTAAACCGATTAAAATCGCAGGAGCACTTTACATGTTTTAAGCAAATAATTATTTTTTTCCAATACATCCGGGAGGCTGGGGCGAGCCAGGTCTCAACAGGCCTCAGAAAGCACCAGGAACTGACCTCGGGTGCAGCTGGCCTCCCAGGCCAAGCGCCCGGCCCTGCCCAGGCGGCCCAGGGCAGCTTCTCCAAATCCTGGGAGAGGACGGGTCCCGGAAATTAGTCATGACCCTGGGCCTTCCTTCCAAGATCACTCAAAGATAAGACTCTGAGTGTCTATTTGGGGCTTCCTGTGCAAATGGAGGTGGACCTCACTCACAGGAGAGAGGAGAGATTCTCTCAGCACCAGTGGTCCCTGCCTAGTAACCCACACGCTACATTCCGTGGGCCCCAGCATCGACGACATAGACCTCAGGTCACCAGAATGCAAAGAGCATCTCACATTTTCCAAGCACTTTTTGTGTCCTGGCCAGAGTAACAAATAGGCAAAGTCTCTGCCCTTGAGATCAGCCCAGCAGAAGAGTAAAAATATAAATACCAGAACAGAGCTGTAAATATGACAACAGAAAACTGTATTAGCTACTGAAATAGAACAGAGATGGAAACGATTCGCTTCTGAGGTTCTCTGGATTGAAGAGGGGCTATGTGAGCTGGGATTTGCAGGATGAATAGGAGTTTTCAGGTGGACAAAGAATGCACATTTTCAAAAGACCACCAAGGGCCCATGACACTGTGTTCCTATTGCAGAATAAATAAATTTGCAACAAGGTACTCAAGTTATCTTCTCTCACCAAGTTGGAAACTGAGTCTCAAAGGTTTGAAGCTCCTATCAGAAGTGACAGCTAGAAAGTTGTAGACTCAAATCCCAGTGTGACACCAACATTTCAAGTGCTTTTGATTCCCCCCTTATTGATATCTGGAACCAGAGATGGATGTTTTGAGTCGTTTCTTCTTCTTTTCAGCTAAACAGTAGCCTAGGATGAAACCCAACAAACCAACCAGCCAGCCTTCCCCTGCCCTCTGCTGCTGACTCTCACCAGCATATGTCCATGCCCAGCTGCCTTCAGGACCCCAGTGGGAGAGGGAGCTGATGGTTGGGCCTCAGAGGCAGTTGGAACAGAGAGGAAAATAAATAGTTCATGGTCTGCATGGCGAAGGGAGACAGGCAGCTCCAGCCGCGTCCAGGAGAGCCAGCAGGCCAAGCCCAGCCCAGACATTTCAAAAACAAACCTCCGTCCAGGTTTCCATCTCCTGGGGCAGGCCCCACCCTCCAGGAAGAAGGTAACTTCAAGCAGCCCAGGTTTCTTTCTTTTGGAATCTTTGTTTTTAGTTTCCCCTTTCCCCTAATTAGGTTTCAGAGCCCAGAATCATCCAGGCAGCTTCCTCGTGTTCAGCAGGGTTGGATGTGCACTCTGGTGTTTATTTAAAAAATGTTCCCAAAGAGGGATAGTGGTTCAGGGGCAAGGAGAGGGGCCTTTCTGTAATAAGAATTCGCCTTTGGGGCACGGCGGGGGGGCAGGAAGGGGGAGTTGTTTTTAATAGACACAGAGCTTCTGGTGGGGATGACGAAAAAATTTTGGGTATAGATAGTGGTGATGATTACACAATGTTGTGAATGTATTTAATGCAACTGAATTGTATCCTTAAGAATGGTCCAAACGGCCGGGCGCGGTGGCTCATGCCTGTAATCCCAGCACTTTGGGAGGCCAAGGTGGGCGGATCACGAGGTCAAGAGATCGAGACCATCCTGGCCAACATGGTGAAACCCCCATCTCTACTAAAAACACAAACATTAGCCCAGCATGGTGGCGCGCACCTGTAGTCCCAGCTACTCGAGAGGCTGAAGCAGGAGAATTGCTTGAATCCAGGAGGCGGAAGTTGCAGTGAGCCGAGATCACGCCACTGCACTCCAGCCTGGGCCACAGAGCAAGACTCCGTCTCAAAAAAAAAAAAAAAAAAAAAGAAAAGAACGGTTCAAATGACAAATAATAGGTTATGGATATTTTATGATAATATAAAACTCATTATTAGCTCCTGTGGTGTCTTGCAAGTGGATGAAAGATAAGTCTTCAGTAACAATGATTTCACCAGTGATGGCAGACAGGGAAACACTTCTTCACTTTTGGAAGGTTATTGATTGATCGGCCCAGCAGGGCATGGAAAAGACCAGCTCTTCACACATCCTGGGCTTGGCTGGGAAGCAGAGCAGACCCCAGACACCTCCGCGCTCTGGGGATGTATGTTTAACTTGGAGGTCAGTGGAGCTGTGTCTTTTCTCTCAAGGAACAAACTGATAGTTGTGTCCACTGTGACGGGCGTCAGCTCCTGGGCCCTTTCTGAGAGCTATGCCCCTGTCTAGAAGGTTGAGGGAGGGTGGTGGGAAGGTCAACTTTGGTAGATAGAAAAGCCTCGCTTCCAATCCCACCACCGTCACAGTATGACCTTGCAGAGGCTACTCTGTCTCCCTAGGGCACAGCGTCCTCATCTCTCCCATGACTAAAATCTTTCCATCAGGTTGCCTGTAGCTCCCTGGGGAGTAACTAAGCTCCACCTCTTTTTACCCTTTGAGTGTTGCTCTTACCTATTTATTCACACATTTGACAAACATTTACTGCTGGACAGACTATCAAGCAATTCTCCTGCCTCGGCCTCCTGAGTAGCTGGGATTACAGGAGCGTGCCCCCAAGCCTGGCTAATTTTGGTATTTTTTAGTAGAGATGGGGTTTCACCATGTTGACCAGGCTGGTCTCAAATTCCTGACTTCGTGATCCACCAGCCTCCGCCTCCCAAAGTGCTGGGATTACAGGTGTGAGCCACCGTGCCCAGCCAAAAATGTACTTTTTTAGGCATCCATTACTTAATATCTTAGCCCGGACATCTATATGGGGAGGCTTATTATGTTTCCGATTCTGCAAATGAAAAGAAGAAGGTTCTGAGAGGGTAAGTGACTTGTCCAAGATCAGAGCTAGTGGACGGTCACTGCAGGAGTCCAGCCCATCCTCCTCCAAAGTGCAAACTTTTCCCAGGACAGTCATTAAAATCACATGGGGCTATTAGATCCAGCCTTCTTCCCCATTCACTGAAGGCCAAGGTTGGTCGGGTTTCACCACATGCCCCCAAATCCATTTAGTCCATTGATCCCACTGTAGGCCCCCATCTCTCACTCCTCACCCCTTCCCACCAGCACTCTTCACCACAGGCAACACAGCCAGGGCAGGCTTTGCTTCCAACCCCAGCCCTTTATCTTCAACGATAATTTCCACTCCAAATATGTGTGGCAAAATACAGGAAGCCTCTTTTCACTGGGGCCGGTGTTTGGGGCAGCTTTCCCAGCATGCGTATATTTGCTAGTTCAATCCCTCCTTGAATACACTGGGCCCCTCAGCTGTGGGCACTCTGCACTGACTCCCACCGACACAAGTTGTTAAATCCTTTGTGTCAGACAAGTGGTTGGCACTTCATGAGCACCTAAGATGCATACCACGTGTGTTTCAGCTCTGACCCTATTCCCTGGGCCCAACGGCACTAAGATAGGGTCCTAGGCAAGATGTCCTCTCCCATGGTGGGCACCAGCCACCCAGACTTGGCCACTGCACAGTGGGTGAGAACACAGACCCTGGGCGGAGTGGGGCTTGAAATTCAGCACTGCCAGTTAGTAGCTGTGTGACCTCAAGCAAATCACCTCACCTCACTAAGCCCATTCCTCTAACTGGCAAGTGGGGACCCTAATAGTAACTTTAGGGTAATGCACTACAGTGTTGCAATGGGCTTAGTGCTTAAACTAGTGCATAGTAAGAACTCAAGAAATAGTATTATTTTCTCCTCTTCCTCCTCCTCCTCTTTCTTCTCCTTCTTTCTTTTTCATTATTAAACACAGAATTCTACAAACAAAAATCACCACCATTTGCCCATCACATTTTTACTCTATGCCCAGCCATTCACACGAGTATCTCCATTCCTCAGAGCACGCCCGCACTCCCCCCGACTCCCCCACGGCACAGGCCTTCTCATTAGAAAGGGGAAACCAATGCTCAGAAGGGACAGTCTATGGCCCAAAGTCTCACACCTCAAGATGAATTGTGGGTCCAGAAACCCAACCGTGTTCACTAATGCCCCTGCCAGCCCTCTTCTTCCACAAACACAATCCTAATAAGTCCAGCTTGTAAGTAGCCATGTGCACAGATGATCTGTCATTCTTGTAGGAGTTTTGTAACATTTTTAGATTGCGATTTGCTGACAAAGGTTGGGGATTCTATACTCAGAACTGTCAGCACATTCCTGGGGTGGGAGAAGTCAGCCCCCGCTAGTGCCACAGCTAACCACGGCCCCACCCTGCACCCCACCCCATCCTCGCCCCACCAAGGTGGCCTGGCTGGGTCAGGTGGACCCAGGCCAGTGTCTCAGAACCCCTGGCAGGAGCATCCAAACTGAAGGATTCTTCAGGCGAGGTGGCCCCGGTCCAAGGGATTGACCAAGTGCCCCTCCCTAGCCTCCACGCCTCCAAGACTGCATTTTTGAGGACTGGTCAGGACAAGGTGAGGAGGAGCACTGCTGGCTCTCCCTTGGGCTCTAGGCACGCAACGGAAAGAAAGCTTTCAGGCCCTGGAGGGCAGGGGTGGGAACTCTCATTTTTTCTAGGAGATTCCCAGCACCAAGCCGGGCGGCGTGCTCTACAGGTGTGCTGTTTAGGAAGCAAGCCAACCCATCCCGCCACCAGGGCCAAGCCCCGAGGACGAGGACTCCAAGGAGGAACAGCAGAACATCCCAGAACAGAGGGGCAGTCTTGCAACTGGGACCCAGACACAGCTTGCTTTGAACTTGACTTCAGGAGATCTGGAGCAACCCGAGCTATTCCTCTAGCAGTGGGAAGGGGTAACCCACCCGCCCACGAGCTCCTTATGGGGAAAGTAAAACCATCCATTCATTCACCATCCTGTCCTGGAGACTTTACCACATGCCCGTGGAGCTTGTCCCGCACCCCCTCAATCACTCGAAATGTATTTTAAGAAGCACCTACTGTGTCCTGCTCACTTTCCCCTCAGTCTGAAATCTACTCCCTCACTCATTCACTCATCTCTCGCTTTCAGCACTCACTGAAATGCCTGTGCTTAGTGTGACTTTCACTGTCACTGGGCGTAGACTCCACTCGGTTATTCACTCAGGCATTTATTCACCTTTCCATTCATTCCACACACATATTAAATACCCAGACGTTCTAGGCAAACTCATCTTTTAGTCTGGAATTTCCTTATGAATGAATGAATTCTAAGCTAAGGGAAAATTAGAACTATAGTGTTTTCTCTGTAGGGTGGGTGAATTTTGAACTCTCATAAATGCAGGTTTTAAGTGGGCTTGCCATAGCCAACCTTCTGCTACAATTATACCATGGGACACAGTGACCCTGGATTGCCACTTTCTCTTCCCAAACAAGGACCCACAAAGGAAATTCTATGGGAACTAGAAATGTGCTTCAGAATTTCCCTTTTACAGGGACATCCTTCACGAAGACATACGGAGGCCCCTCACTCTCAGAAAGATGGAGAAATGTCCCCACAGCAGCTTCATGGTTGTGATAAATGGGAGCAAACAAGATCTCCATGTCTTAAAAAATTAAAAAAACAGAAAACAAAAACAATTCCATGCACCACCTGTACCTGAGTCAGCATGCCCAATTTTAAAGTCAGAGTGCAATGGCCTGCAGGCCCAAGCATCCAATTCTATAAATACAGACAAGCTGAAAGCCAAAGGCCAGACCATCCCAATCTGTCACCCTTTCTACATGGATAAATTATGTACAACCCTCTGGATGGATACGCCCAGAGGCCTGAGGTCCTGTCTGAGCAATTTGGATCCATTCTCTGGAGTTAACCTGGGGTCCCACTCTCCCTGCCAACCGCTCCCCAGCCCGCCCTCCCCACCCACCCCTCCCTACCTGCTGTGTCCTTTGGGCAGACCAGGTGTGCTCCGTGATAGATTGCCCAATGGGCCCCTTGGTCCTGGAGGCGGCTGAGCCCTAGGGGTGGGAAGCATTCACTGGGCCCTTGACAGACAGCGGGCACGTCAAAGCTGGAAATGAGCCTGTCTCTAGGGGTTGCGCATTTCATGTGAGTTGCTGGGGCTCCCTCCCAGCTTCTTTCGTGGGAAGCTGATCAGACCACACCCTGTGCCCCCACCCTCCCATTTCCCCTCACCCCCTTCTGGGCCTCACCATGGGCCCCTGAATGCATTTGGCTCAATGTATGAAAACCAAGTTTTAGCCAAAGAGCAACAGAGAGGAACCAAGTTTTCTCCCATTTTAGACTTTTCTCTGTCATCTTAAGATGAAATCAGAAGGGTGCCGTGTCTCCAGCCAGCTCCTGATAATTCAGAAAGAGGGTTGCCAGTCATTTAAAAGGAGACACAGCATCTTTAATAAATTTAATCCACATCTGATTACAGAGGAAGAAAGTGCTCTCTCTCTCTCCTCTCCTCTCTCTCTCTTTTCATCTTACAGGGCTGGAATATTGCAATAAGTGTTCAATCTGGGTTTTTTTTTAAATAAGATTTGCTAAAGGTCAATGTATCTCCTGGCCACATATGCAGCAACATTCAAATTTCCCCAGCTCAGGAATAAAAAGATTCTATCGTTAAAAATAAAAGAATAAGGACATCTCTCGAGCCCATGGGGGATTTTGGAAAGAGGAGACATTTCGTTATCAACGCGCAATCACGTGATTTTTAAGCAGTATCTCTAATCTGCTTCCCCCCTCCTGCCCCCCGCAACCCGTCCACCCCCCACCTCCCTCATATCCCCCCCTTCTTTTCACATCAAGGTCTTTTTATCTTCCAATTTTGCATCTAAAGATGAGGTGAATACCATTAGCTCAATTCAACCTCAAGTGTAGTCAGATGGGCCTGTGATTTCTGAACAGCGCTGTCTAAGGTCACATTAAAATGTATAAGTGCATTTCGATTCCTGAGAAGGGGGCTTATTATCCACCCGTGGTGGAAAAGAGGAATGTCAGTGGCCACAGACTTGGGTGAAAACAAAAGAGATACCAGAATTCCAGTCTTTTGTCAGCAAGCTTCTCTGGTTTCTTTTCAGGAGTCTCCTGCCAGCCCTGTAGATAGCTCTGCAGACTGCAAACCTAGGCCTCTCGCAAAAAAAAAAAGAGAGAGAGGAAAAAAAAAATCACTTAAAAAAAAAAAACAAGTTTAACTGGCTTCCCCTGCACCTCCTAATCCTCCTTATTTTTTCATTTAACTCTTTCAGTTAGTCGGCTTTGCCGCTTACTTTACATTATAAATGGTTATTTCCTTGAGAGAGAAAATGGGGTTTGCTGTGTTCTTATTGCTTGTTTGTTTGTGATAGGATTTGGATGTGTGTCCCCAACCAAATTTCATGCTGAATTATAATTCCCAGTGCTGGAGGTGAGGCCTGGTGAGAGGTGATTGGATCATGAGGGTGGATTTCTCAGGAATGGTTTGATGCCATCTCCTTGGTGCTGTTCTCATGATATTGAGTGAGTTCTCATGAGATCCGGTTGTTTAAAAGTGTGGCACCTCCCCCCCTCCCTCTTCCTCCTGCTCTGGTCATGGACACTGCTCCTCCCCCTTCTCTTTCCACCATGATTGCAAGTTTCCTGAGGCCTCCCCAGAAGCCAAGCAGATGCCAGTACCATGTTTCCTGTAACGCCTGTGGAACTGTGAGCCAATTAAAACCCTTTTCTTCATAAATTGCCCAGTCTGGAGTATTTCTTTATAGCAATGTGAGAACAGCTAGGGCACAATGGTTCACTACTATAATCCCAGCACTTTGGGAGGCCAAGGCAGGCAGATCATTTGAGGCCAAGAGTTTGAGACCAGCCTGGCCAACATGGTGAAACCCCATCTCTACTGAATATACAAATATTAGCCGGATGTGATGGTGCATGTAATCCCAGCTACTCTGGAGGCTGAGGTGGGAGAATCACCTGAGCCCAGGGAGGTTGAGGCTGCAGTGAGCCAACATAGCGCCACTGTAATCCAGCCTGGGTGACAGAGCAAGACCCTGTATCAAAAAAAAAAAAAAAAGAGAGAGAGAGCAGACTAACACAATTTGGTATTTATTTATTTATTTACCTGTCTGTCCTTCCCATAGACAAGAGTCAGCACGCAGTTCAAAAAGTGTGGAATTTAGGGTCAAACCTACCTGTGTAGCCACATCTTGCCACTATCAAGTGAGGTGAGCTGGGGCACTCACCCATTCACCTAGTTCACAAATATCTGTTAAGCTATCTACTATAAGCCAGTCATGGTTCTGGGTCTTGGGAATACAGAAATGAATGAGACTGACAGAGGTCTTGAGAGTTTATGTGCTCACAAGGGAGGGAGGGGCACTGCTCTACAGAGAGGTACATCAACAAGATAGGGTGACATGAACATTATTTCTGAGGAAATAAACAGAGTGCTGTAGAAGAGGGAACTTGAAGAAGGCTGACTTTAGGCAGGATAATTGAGAAAAGCCTTTCTTTTTTTTGTTTTTTGTTGTTGTTGTTGTTTTTTGAGATGAAGTCTCACTCTGTCACCCAGGCTAGAGCACAGTGGCACAATCTCAGCTCACTGCAACTTCTGTCTCCCAGGTTCAAGCGATTCTTCTGCCTCAGCCTCCCAAGTAGCTGGGATTACAGGCGTGCACCACTATGCCTGGCTAATTTCTTGTATTTTTAGTAGAGACAAGGTTTAACCATGTCAGCCAGGCTGATCTCAAACTCGTGGCCTCAAGTGATCCACCTGGCTCAGCCTCCCGAAGTGCTGGAGCATAGTGGCCCTATCATGGCTCACTGCAGCCTCAACCTTCCAGGTTCAAGCAATCCTCCCATCTCAGCCTCCTGAGCATCTGGGACCAGAGCTGTGCACCACCATACCCAACTAATTTTTATATTTTTTGTATAGATGGATTTCACCATGTTGCCTCAGCTGGTCTTGAACTCCCAGGCTCAAGTGATCCAACCACCTCGACCTCCCAAAGTGCTGGGATTACAGGCATGAGCCACTATTAAATTTTCTTTTATGGTTAGTGCTGTTTGTATCCTAAGCATGCATTGCCTACTCGAAGGTGAGAAATATGTTTCCCTGTGTTTCCTTCAGAAGTTTCACCTTTTAAGTCTTTGGCTGAAGCATATGATCTATTCACTTTGATGAGCGACATGAGGCAGAGTCAAGCTTTATATTTTCCATGTGGATATTCAGTTGTCCCAGAATCATTTGCTGAAAAGATTATTTTTCTTCCACGAAATTGCCTATTCCTCTTTGTTAAAATCCACTAATCATATATGTGTGGTTGTGTTTCAGTCATCTATATGCCTATTCTTGCACTGTCTTGAGTATTGTAGTTTTGTTGAATTGTAGACAACATTAGATAGTACGGGTCCTCCAAATTTGCTTGACTCTTCAAAAAATGTCTTGACCAAACTAGGTCCTTTCCATTTTCATATGAATTTTATAAACAGTTTATCAATTTCTCTCAAAATCCAACTGATGTATTGATTGGAGTTACATTAAATGTATAAATTAATTTGGTAGAGATAAAATTGTAGTAGAATAAGCTTATTTTGTCTCTGTCCTTAGTTACTGGCATAGGGTTCCTAAAACCCTTGGAATTTCCTGAGTGATGGGAGTTGATGGGAGTTGATGGGAGTGTCTTTTGTTATTCTTTTTTTTTTTTTTTTTTTTTTTTGAGATTGAGTCTTGCTTTGTCATCCAGGCTGGAGTGTAGTGGCACAATCTCAGCTCACTGAGAACTCCGCCTCCTGGGTTCAAGTGATTCTCCTGCCTCAGCCTCTTGAGTAGCTGGGATTAGAGGCACCCACCACCAAGCCCAGTTAATTTTTGTATTTTTAGTAGAGACAGGGTTTCACCATGTTGGCCAGGCTGGTCTCGAACTCCTGAACTCAAGTGATCCACCCACCTCAGCCTCCCAAAGTGCTGGGATTACAGGCATGAGCCACTGCACCCAGCAGGCCGTTCTTTTGTTATTCTTAACAACTCCTTGTCAATTACACCTGAGTTTATGCTAATGAGGTGATTTAGGGTAAGGCCTCTCCGATGCGATGGGTCACCAGAAAGACCAAGTGACTAGAGTGTTGAAAATTCCAGCCCCACTCACCGACCACCTAGGAGCCCTAGGAAAACGTTTGAACAAGGAAACTGCAGGAGTGTATGGGTTGGAAAACACATCAAGGTTCTGGGAGGGCAGAGTCCCCGGAGAGAAGAGGGGAATCACTGCGGCTCTGCCCCATTCATTGCATCTCTTCCCTTTGGCTGTTCCTGAGTATTATCCTTTATCATTAACCAGTAGAGTATTGTTTTGAGTCATGTGAGCCATTCTACCAAATCATTGAACATGAAGAGATTTGTGGGAACACCCAAATTTGTACTCTGTTGGGCAGAAATGTGAGTAGCCTGGGTAACCCTTTTGCATCTGGCATCTAAAGTAGGTCAGTCTTTGGGTGGGGGGGGGGGGGCTGCACTGTTCCTCTATGAAGTCTGCACTAATTCCAGGGGTTTGTGTCAGAACTGCATTGAATTGTCAGATATCCAGTGTGTGTTGGAGAATTGGAAAATTGGTACAGAAAACCCACACAAGTTTGATGTTAGAGTATTGTCAGGGGAGGGAAAAAAAACCTCTCAGATATCTTAACAGCTTTGATTCTTACCATGTATACCTGCCAGTATATTTCTATCTTCTTTAATTTCCTTCAAAAGTATTATGTAGTGTTCAGCATTACTTTTGTTCAATTTATTCCTATTTTGTTTCCAATTATTCTTGCTTGTATATAAAAATACAGTAGTTTTTGTATATTTGTAACAAGAAATCTTCATTACTCACTTTGTAGCATTTTCAGATTTCTTAGAATTTTCTATGAACATAATCATGTTGTCTGCAAATAAAAATGGTTTTCTTTCTTTCTTTCCAATTGCTATGCCTTTTATTCTCTTTTCTTGTTTTATTGCACTGGCTAGGACCTCAAGCCAGTGAAAATAAATGGTGAAAATGATCATCCTTACCTGTCCTTGATCTCAGGGAGAAACAACTGGTCTTTTCAGAATGGTGTTGGCCATGTTTTACATAGACGTCCTTTAATGTGTTCAGAAAGCTTTCTTCTTCCAACTTTTCTGATAGTTTTTATAATCTATGAATGTCACATATTATCAAGTGATTTTTATGCATCTATTGAGATAATCATTTCTCTCTGGTAATATTGTGAATTACATTGCTTGTTTTTTGACTATCAAAACAACCTTCCATATTAACAGTATCCTGTTAATATTTCTTTTTTTTTTTTTTTCTTTTTTGAGATGGCATCTCTGTTGCCCAGGCTGGAGTGCAGTGGCGTGATCTGGGCTCACTGCAACCTCCACCTCCCGGGTTCAAGCGATTCTCCTGCCTCAGCCTCCCAAGCAGCTAGGACTACAGGCGCCCGCCACCATGCCCAGCTAATTTTTGTATTTTTAGTAGAGACAAGGTTTCACCATGTTAGCCAGATGACCTCGATCTCCTGACCTTGTGATCCACCTGCCTCAGCCTCCCAAAGTGCTGGGATTACAGGCGTGAGCCACTGCACCTGGCCTCCTGTTAATATTTCTAAGTGTAATTTGACAAATGTGGTTAAGGAAGTTCCCTCATTATTCATGAAGGAAATCGGTCAGTACTTTTTTAAATATTTTCTTTGTATTAACTTCCTATCATGCTATCACGGCAGTTGAGAAGCATTCCTTTTTCCTCTGCTTCCTGAAAAAGTTTACATAACATTGGTATTATCTTTTCTTCCTTAGATATTTAACAGAATTTTCCAATTAAACCATCTGGGCATGATGTTCCACTGTGGGAAGGTCTTTAATTCTATTTAATTTAATATTAATATATACAGAATTATTGATATTTGTCTTTTCTTGTGTCTCTTCTGATAAATTGTATAGTTCATGGAATTTATTAATTCTAGGTAAGTTGTTGAAATTATTGATATAAAGATTTTCATAATAGTTTCTTAGTATCCTTTTAATGTCTGCAGACTCTAGTGATAGACTCTATTTTATTCCTGATGTTGGTAAAGAGTCATAGATGCCCTTTTTTGATCAGTCAATTCAGAAATTTATCGATTCATCTAACTTTTTGAAGAACAAACTTTGGTTGTCATGGATTTCTCCATTGTTTTTACATTTGCTATTTCACTGACTGCTGCTCTTATATTTTTTATTCCCTTCTTTCTATCTAGTTTGGGTTTTCATTGCTTTTCTTATTCTAGTTTCTTAACATAAAATCTTAGGTTATTTTACATTTTTCCTCTTTTCTAATATAAGTATTTAAAAATAGAATTTTTTCCCTCTAAAAAACGTAAACCTCACAATTTTATCTTTTGTTTTTATTTTGTTTCCATTCAAAATGCTAACTTCCTTTATGATTCTTCTCTGATCAATGGATTATTTTAAAGTGTAAAAAAAAGTATGTTGTTTAATTTCCAAATAGTTGGATATTTTTCAGATTTATTTTAAAAATTGTTTTCTCATTTAGTTTCATTGTGGTAAGAGAATACACTTTGTTGGCCGGGCACACGGTGGCTCAAGCCTGTAATCCCAGCACTTTGAGAGGCCGAGACGGGCAGATCATGAGGTCAGGAGATTGAGACCATCCCGGCCAACACAGTGAAACCCCATCTCTACTAAAAACACAAACAATTAGCAGGGCGTGGTGGCGCGCGCCTGTAGTCCCAGCTACTTGGGAGACTAAAGCAGGAGAATGGCGTGAACCCGGGAGGTGGAGCTTGCAGTGAGCCGAGATCGTGCCACTGCACTCCAGCCAGGGCGACAGAGCGAGACTCCGTCTCAGAAAAAAAGAGAGAGAATATACTTTGTTAATTTCAACCCTTTTAGACTTATTGAGACTTATTTTATGATTCAGCATATAACCTATCTTAATAAATGATGCACTTGAAAAAAATGTATTTTCTTGCTTCATGTTGTGTGTAGTAGTCAATAACTTAAATATATCAAGCAGGTTGATGATGTTGATTGTTTGAGTCAGCTATATTCTCCTTTTTTTTTTTTTTTTTTTTTTTTTTTGAGACGGAGTCTTTCTCTATCGCCAGGCTGGAATGCAGTGGCGTGATCTTGGCTCACTATAACCTCTGCCTCCCGAGTTCAAGTGATTCTCCTGCCTCAGCCTCCTGAGTAGCTGGGACTACAGGCGTGTGCCACCGTGCCCAGCTAATTTTTGTATTTTTAGTAGAGACGGGGTTTCACCGTGTTGGCCAGGATGATCTTGATCTCTTGACCTCGTGATCCACCCACCTCTGCCTCTCAAAGTCCTGGAATTACAGGTGTGAGCCACCGCCCCCGGCCTCGAGTCTGCTATATTCTTACTAATTTATTTTCTGTTCTATCAATTACTGAGAGAATCGTGTTGAAAATCTTCAACTCTAGTTGTACATTTGTCTACTTTTCATTGTAATTCAGTCCAATTTTTTTCAAGTAGTTGGACATTCTATTATTAGGTTCATATGCATCTACAACTATATTCTTTAGGATATCTTCCTAATGAATTTGCCATTTAAAATTTGCAAATGCCCACCCTTATCTTTGGTAATATCCCTTAAGTTGAAGTCTACTTTATCTCATATAAATCCAGCCACTTCAACTTTCTTATTAGTCTTTGCACTGTGACTCTATTTACATCACTTGACTTTTTAAATGTTTCTTTATACTTGAAGTCTTATTTTCTGTACACAGCATAGAGTTGTAGACTAGAAGATATCCTATTAATTGGACTGTTTAGTACTTTTACAATTAACATAATTGATGATGTAGTTGGATTTGAATCTACTCTATTGCCATTTCTTTCATATTTATTCAGTATATTCTTTGTTCCTTTTCCTCTCTTTCATGCCTTCTTTTGGCTTAATTGAATATTTTAGTATTCAGTTTCATCACCTCAATAGGCTTGGTAGCTCCGTCTCTTCAATTTATTTTTATTGATTTCTCTGGAGTTTACAATATGCTTTTTAAGCTATCACAGACTATCTTCTAATGGTACCATATACGTTTAAATGTGATATAAGAAACTTAAAACAGTATATTTTCATTTTCCTTCCCACATCCTTTGCACTACTGTTGCCATATATTTCATTTTCATGTGTATTGTAAATCCCACAGTGTATTGTCATTTTTGTTTAAACAGTCAGTTATCTTTTCTAAAAAATTTAAATGGGAACAAATGTCCTTCTAATGTCTACTTATTTGCAATTTCTGGCCCTCTTCTTTTCTACAGATTTGAGTTTCCACATAGAATGATTTTCCTTCAGCCTGAAAGACTTGGTTTGACATATATTGGATTAGTACAGGCCTGCTGGTGACACATTTTCTTAGCTTTTGTCTGTCTAAAAATGTCTTTATTTCACCTTCTCATTTTGAAGGAATTTTTGCTGGATATAAAATTTCAGGTGGCAAGGTTTGGTTGCTTTTTTGTTTTTTCAACACTTTAAATATGTCTTTATAGTATCTGGCTTGTACTGCTACGGAGAGAAGCCAGAAGACCTTTTGGTCTCTGTTGTCCTGTATGTAATATGTCTTTTTCCTCTGAAAGCTTTCAGAATTTTTCTCTGTTTCATTGGTTTTGAGAGATTCCTTTTATTCATCTTGCTTGGGGTTCATTGAGACTCTTAAATGTGTGGCTTCATATTTTCCACCAAATTTGGAGAAATTTTGGCTATTTCCTCAAATTTGTTTTCTGCCTCATTGTCTCCTTCCTCTCTCTCTGAGTCTTCAGATTTGGAGATACTGTAAGATATTTTGGACTGTATAGTATTGTGCCATGGGTCAATGTGTCTCTGTTCATTTCTTCAGCCTTTTTCTTTCTGTTATTTGAATAGTTTTTATTACTGTGTCTTCAGGTCTTTATCTTTTCTTCTGCAGTTTCTAATATACTGTTAAGTAGATCCAGTGAGTATTTTTAATTCGTACATTGTACTTTTTAGCTCTAGAACTGCCATTGCCTTTTATTATAGTTTCCATTTCTCTTGTCATTGTCTTGTTTTTAATTCTTTAGCATATTTATAAGAGTTTATCAACATATATGTTATGTAGAATATTTTAGTATTCATTCTTATATATGTTGATAAACATATATATGAATATATGTTTGAGTGTATTCATATGTATGAATATATGTATGAATATATGAATACTAAAATATGTAGAATATTTTAGTATTCATTCATATATATGTTGATAAACTCATATATGAATGCTAAAATATTCATATATATACTAAAATACTAAAATATTCATATATTTGTAGTCCTTGCTTGGTAGTTCCATTCATATACTAAAATATACAAATATTTTAGTATATATATGAATGTATATATGTGAATATATGTGAATATATATAAATATAAATATATGGAATGGAATGGAATCTGTCTCTATTGACTGGCCCTTTTCTCCTGGCTATGGGCAGTATTATTCTCTGCTTTTTCACATATCTAGTAATTATTTGCTGGCTGCTGGACATTGTGAGTGTTCCATTGTAGAGTGGCTGGATTTTGCTTGCTTTCTTCAGAGCATTGACTTTGTTCTAGCAAGCAGTTAACTTACTTGCAGTTTACCATTACCCTTTTGAGGCTTGTCAGAAAACCTTGTTAGAGTTAAGTGTAGACTTGATTTACCCTGTGGTTCATTTGGCCCTGCTCTTAAGTCATGGCCTTTCTAGAGTTTCTACTCAATGCTCTCAGTGTTGAACAAGGGCCCTTCACTCTGGTTGGCTGGAACTCCAATAATTCACAACTCTGTGGGTTGTGGTAGTTGTTTGGCTTACCACTCAACAGTAATTGCTTTGTCTCCCACGGTTTTCTTTGCCCAGCCTCATAGAGTCTCACCCTATGCACGTATAGATCAATAGTCAATCAAAGACACGTGGTCTCCCCAGTCCTCCTTGAACTCTAATTTTTGTTGCTTTAGCTCAACAAATCTGCTGTGCTCTGCTTGAATTCCCTTTCCCTGCATCAGGGTTATAAAATTCCTCCAGAAAGAGAGCTGAGGGTAATAATAGGGCTTGTGTTATTTGTTCATGTTTTCTAGAGATCACTGTCCTGCTCTGCCTGTTGTCAAATGTCTGAAAACATTTTATAGGTTTTGTCTAGTGTTCTAGTTGTTTATGGTGAAATAATTAATCCAGTACCAATTATTCCTTCATGGAAAGGCCAAATAAGGGACAATTTGAGAACCAATATAGTGATAACAGATTATAACCATTGAATAAAATAAAATTCAGGAGCCTATTCTGCTGTAAATAAAAATAAATAAATAAATAAGAAGAAAGGAAAGTTTTTCCTCAAAATAGCAAGCCTTAATGTACAAGGAATGGTAGAATCAGAAAATCGCCATTTAGTAGCCATCATAATAATAATTGATTCAGTCAAGAAACATCAATAGATGATAAAATGTGTAATAAATATTTTTTGAGGAGTGGAATATTTACATAGTTTCCAAGTGTCCCCCAACAAAACAGTTACTAATTACAAAAGGAAAATGAGGAACTTTACATTGGAGAAACTTGACAGACACCACCTGCAATAAAGGCCAGTAGTGAAACAAACCAAATTATATACCACCTGGTGATATGTGTTATGGACTGACTGTGTTTTGTCAAAATTCAGATTTTGTAACCCTAACCCTCAATGTGACTATATTTGGAGATAGGGCCTGTGAGGAGATGATAAAGGTTAAATGAGGTCATTAGGTAGGCCCTAATTCAACAGGGCTGCTGTCCTTATAAGGAGAGGAAGAGCCACCAGAGCTCTCTTTCCCTCTCTCCAATCTTGCACGGAGAATGGGCCATGTGCAGACACAGTGAGATGGTAACCATCTACAAGTCAATAAGACAGTCCTTGCCAGAAAAGGAGCTGGCTGGTACTTTGACCACGGACTTCTAACCTCTAGAACCGTGAAAAAATAAATTTTTGTTATTTAAGCCACTTGATCTATGACTTTTTGTTATGGCAGCTTGAGCAAGCTAATACAGCATGAAAAGAGACAAACACAACATCACTACTGTGGCATTCCTGACAAAGATGCATATTCCTGAATCTGATCATGAAGAAACAGTAGACAGGGCCAAGTTGATTAGGCATTTTGCAAAATGGTTGGTCTGAAATCTTCTAAAATGTCAAGGATATGAAAGTCAAGGAAACACTGAGAAACAGTTCCAGTCTAAAGAAAACTAAAGAGACATGAAAACTAAATACAGCACATGACTCTGGGTCTTTTTGCTATATAGAACATTGTTGAGATAACCGGTAAGACTGAATGGAGTCTATGAATAGATTCTAGTAATGTATGAATGATAATTTTCTGTTTCAGATACTTGTATTGTGACTATATAAGAGCATAACTTTTTTTCTACCTTTCTTTTTGTAATTTTTTTAAGAAAATACATACTGGAGCATTCAGTAATGTTGGGACATAACGTCACCAGTGTCCTGTCAAATGATTCAGAAGTAGTTCTTTGTACTATCTTGCAACTTCTCTGCAAGTTTGAACTTATTTCCAAATAAAAAGATAAAAATAAATACCACATTTGTGGGAAAATTGCAATCATCAAATATTTGAAAGATACAGAGATGATAATCCTTATCACAACCATGTTCAATTCTACAGGCTCCATCAATGCAAAACTGATGAATGTGGAGAACACAGAAGGTTTAGATGACTTTAATCAGGTGATAAATCCAATTACATTTACTGTTTCCACTTCTAGTCTCCTTACAGAAGACTATTTGGAGGAGGGGTGGTTTCTTCTTTTTGCAGCTTCTTAAATTGTACACCTCATTTATTTTCAGACTTTTTTGTCTCCTAATAAATGTACATGATACTATTAATTTTCCTCTGAGTACAGATTTACCTGTATCGCTCAGGTTTTTATATGTAATGATTTCATTGTAATTTAGTTCCACATATTTTATCATTTTCTCTCATGAATTTTCTCTGTAATTCACAGATTATTTAGAAGTATGATTTATATTTAATTTTTCCAAATACATGGGAAATAACTAAGTTTTTATTGTTAACATTTTATTTTATTTCACTTTGGTCAGAGGATGTGGGTTGTATGTTGGCCATTATTTGGAATGTGCTATAACTTCCTTAATGGTCCAAGACATTATTATTTTCTGTAAACAATGCCTGTTAGAAAATAACGTTATGGTCTCTGATGTGCATGTTTTTATTTATTTTCTACCAGGTCACGCTTGTTTTTCTATATTCTCACTTATTACTTGTTTGTCTGATCAATCCATTCCTGGGAAATGGATATTAGAACCTATCTTGTTACAACTTTTATCAATTACACCCTGTCGTTTTGACAGCTGTTGCTCTTTATATTTTGAGGCTGTATAGTTAGATACATACAAAGTAATGGTTGTTATGTCATCTTGCTGGATTATTCTTTTTAGCAATATGAAATAGGTGTCTTTAAATATTACTTTTTAATGCTATTCACATTAAATTCTATTTTGTCTGTTATTACAAACCCTACACTAACTTCCTTTGGATCAGCAAATGCCTAGTATATCTACTGTCTATGCCTTAATTTTTAAATGTCTCCTGAATGTTTTAGGTGTGTATATTATAATCATCATATACTTACAAATTTTTAATGTAATCTGAAGCCTGTATTTTAATTGTGAGTTTAACCTATTTACATTTGTTATGGTTAGTAACATATGTGGATTTATTTTTACCTTCATGCTTTTTTTTTTACCTCTTTCGTTTTTCTCCTTTTACTTATTTTGTTGGATTGATCAATTTTTCTACATTTCTTTTATTTTCTACTACTGGTTCAGACATTATGCATTCTATGATTCTAGTGTTTAGCCTTAAATTTTATTGTTGTTTATTTTGCATTGCATCCCACTCTGGATTTTTTTTGGTTTAGATTCTTCATTTAATAATTATATTTGGAAGCATTCATACATGATACATTTAGCATCTATTCTATGTTCTGCTTTATCCAAAAATGTCTTATGTTATCCTTGCTCTTAAATTATAGTTTGATTAGGTATAGAATTGTAGATTCACAATTATTTTCTCTCAGCTTCAAAGATACTATATCATTTTTTCTTGCATATGGTGTTGTTCTTGAGAAGTTGGCTAACAATCTGATTGCTGTTGTGCTGAAGATAACCCATGTCTTATTCGCTGGCCTTTAGGATTTTCTCTCTATCCTTGATAGTCTACAGTTCCACTGAAAAACATCTAAACATGAAATTTAATGAGTATTTTTGCACTTAGAAAAATTATCAGCTGGGGCTGGAGTGCAGTGGCCCAACCATGGCTCACTGCAGTGTCTACCTCCCAGGCTTAAGCAATCCTCCCACCTCAGCTTCCCAAGTAATGAGACTACAAGGGCACACCATCACGCCCAGCTATTTTTTTTTTTAATTTTTTGTAGAGATAGGGTTTTACCATGTTGCCCAGGCTTCTTATTTCTTTAAATACTGGCTCACTGTCTTTTACTCTGGACTCTCCTTCTTGACATATGTTGGAACTTCATTTTCTGTCTTCTATATCTCTTAAGTTCTCTTTCATATTTTCTATTTCAATAATTTGCATCCTGTTAGATTTAGGTTGAAGCTTCTCATTCTCTATTTTATGTCTCTTTCTCTTATAATTGCTATTTCTTTCATATTTGATATCTATTCCATATTTTCCATCCTATTAGTCATATGCTAAAATAGCTCATTCTGTCTTCAAATTTTCTTAGATTCTCTTTTATATTTTCCATACTTTTAATAGTTGATATCTCTAAGTCTATGTACTAGAGTCTTAATCAGTTCTGTCTCCTACTTCATTTGTTCTTTTCTCAGCTGTATCTGGCTGATAACTTATGCATCTACTGAGAGATTTTGTTTTTAATTCCAATAAGTATTTTGAATTTATTTTTTACCTATACCTAGATGCAAAGAGCTGTGTCAACAATAATATTCATTTGAAAGCATTTGCAATCATATGTTTATATAAGGCACTCATTTTATTCTTTTTCCTTCATTCCTGATCTCAACTGTCAATCTTGTCTCATCCCTTGACAATGATTTCACAATATATATAATATACAACACGTAGTATGTAATTTGGGGTGGCTTATGGTTATGGGTAAATAGGCTGTGGCAGGGACTGATTAGATGCTCTTCCATCTCATTTCCTCATCCTAAGCACTTCATTTTCCAGCCTCCTTTGCAGTCATGTCAAAGTCCTGTGACTACTGGTCAATGAAATTTGGGTGGAAGTGATACAAGGTAACACTGTGTGTATGGGGGAAAGGATGTGTGGGGATACTGGGCTGACCAGGTGTGAACTGTAGTGAATATCTGTGGTCTGCATGCCTGACTAGCATCCACACCCTCCTGCTGCAAACCCCTACTTCATGTGCTAACATTCCCAGTATTGATTTAGGAAAATACCTCATCATCGTTGTATGCAATCTTGATAGGACTGTCAATCAATGTGCCTTGTGTTCACCTAACCAAAGCAAGACTAGCTACATAACTTGCAGGGCCCAGAGCAAAATGAGAACGCGGGGTCCCTTGTACAAAATTATTAGGAATTTCAATATGGCAACAGCAGAGCATTAAACCCAGAGTAAGAACCTTCTAAGGGTAAGGGTTGTATGAGACTGCCCAGGTGATATGCCTGGAAAAGTCACTGTCTCTCCCAAAGGCATAGGTTTAGGAAAATCCTAGAACTAATTTTCCCTAGAAGTCACCATTGGTTTTTGCTACTTGGATCCCCAGGGAAGTACAGGTTCCTGTCTTTTCCAAATATGATTCATTTGCTTCTCTTCAATTCTATCAGCCCCATTTCCTTCCAATTTAACCTTTGACTTAATTTAACTAGAGCCCATTTCTGATAGTTACACCCAAGAATCCTAAATGAAACTGTAAGTAATTTCACTTGAGTCCTCCGAACCTGTTTTCCACCTGCAAAATAGGAATAATAATATATATGTCCAAGGGCTTTGGTTGTAATTTAAAAGAGATAAATGAATGTGAAGTGCACAGTACAAACTCTGCATGCACTAGAAGTTTTCTTTCCTCATCCTCACCCAGCTCTCAGACCATAAGCAGCAAAATCCCAGGCTCTCTGTTATTCAGACAGAAACATTACCCATCTCAGAAACAGGTCTAGAAGTCAAGTCTTTCAAATCTGTCAGGTATTGTGAGAACCTCCCTTGGAGGGACTAAGGGACCTGGAGAGAAGAAAGAGCTAAGGGTGTGTTTTGTGCACTTTCCATCCATTCCCCTGCCTGAGCGCATCTCAGGTTTCTTTGGGGGAATTAGCTCTCCCTCAGAGTGGGGTCTCTGATAGTTACCCAGAACAAGCTTCCCACTTTGAAGCCTAGAGGACCACATTCTAGATCTCCCCACCCCTAGTAAAGCAGGGGGTGGACAATATGACCTAAACTTAGCCAATCCATGCCTGCCTTCCAGGCTTTGAATCTTGAATTATCACATGTGAGGACAGAAGGAGGGGTTTCATGGCAGCTGCAGCAGCTAAAATGTGGGGCTGGTGACCAGCCAGGCCACTCCATGTGCAAGACTATATCTGTACTTCCTGCTGCCTCATCCTCCTCTTCTTAGGTTCTCTTGGTTTCTGCCCACTCCCAAGTCTGGTCTCAGGGCTCCTCCTCATTTCAGGAGCTCCCCCATTCCCCAACACACAGACACCCCATGATATCCTTCCACTAAATCTCCATTTGCTTATGTTAACAACATCAGTTTTTATTTCTTGCAAGCATGACTTCAATTTACTATGGGGAAGCAGACTCCTTGCCCTCTGGCAGAGCCAATCTTATGAAGCCAAGTTTAGGGTCCAGAAGGAGAGGCAAGAATGGGGAATGGAGCCCTGGGTCAGATACGGGGTGGAACTGGATCAGACTCCGAGAACAGGATCTGATAGCCCAACCAGGCACTTGATGGAGGTGGCCTCATTGGATTTCACTGGAATAAATATTCTGATCTCCATTTTCCAGAAAAGCGAACTACACTGCATGGAGTTACGTGAGCTGCTCTTTGAACCACAACTCCGTAAGATGGTATTAGACCCATTTTTACAACTGAGGGGCCCGTGTTTCCACCTTAAAGGCAGTTCACATTAACTAAGCAACAGCCAGGTGCCAGGGGTTGCCCTTGGACAAGTACGTCCATGCACTATCTCATTTAATCCAAGTCACTCCATCTCTGTCTTTCATCAATCACTATGCTGTTATTGCTATATTTCAAATTAACTGTTTCAATGCAGAAATATATAGTGCCACCGGGTGCCCAAAGTACGTGGGAAAGGTTCCAAGCTGTTAGGAACTTACTCTCCAAATGAACCCATGTAGTTGAGTCTGGGCATGTTAGGGGCCGACTGTATAACTTTCATCTAGAATATGATACATATTCTAGATGTCATCAAACCCTGTGAACTTGAAGCTGAAGGAGGTAATATTTAGACTCACTATTAAAATGCAGTGATTGTTTACAAACTTGGACCAACAAAAGAATATTTCAGGGAAGAACATTCTATCACCGACGATGTTTAGAATTGCCAGTGCATAGTGATCATAAAAAGCCAGTTTAGTCTGAGTCAGTTTTAAGGTTTTCAATTCCCTGCAGACAGTGTGCCCCTTCTTGCCTGTGCCTGGGACAGAGTGCCCCCATCCCTGCCGCCAGCCCTGCCCCTTGTACATTAGTTTGATCTAACAGATAAAGAAGCTGAGCTTTGGATTCAGTGATCTGAAATCACTAGTACAGAGTGAAGACAGAATTCAACCTGCAGGGTGTAAGGATGCCAGGTTGGCCTTCCTCCGCCTCTGCCAGGCTGCCTGCCGCAGGCCGGCACAAAAGCAGAGACTTCTTTCGTGTGGGATGAACGTCCCTGCCTCCCCCGTCCCCTTGCTGCCTTTGAGGGGGGCTGAGCAGTAGACTCCTGAAAATGCACACTTGTCCCAGAAGAGAGAGAATTCAAGAACGTGGCCCCAAAGGAGCTGGGTTCGAGTCTCAGCCCTACTGCGGTGTCATCGGAGGTTCCCTCCCCTGTCCCACCAGCTGCTCAATTCTGCATCCCCTCCGAGGCCACAAGTGGGAGAAAGAGTCGTCCGGGTTGGCCCCGCAGGGACGAGGGACGGCCCTGCTTCTAACCCGAGTGTCAGCAGCCACACCCCGCGTCTTGAGAGATTCTGATGCCCGCCATCTGGAGGGAGAACGCCGGACCCGGGGCGGCAGGCCAAGAAAAGCGTGGTCGCCGGAGCCTCCCGGGAGCCAAGCGGCACCATGTGTGCGACGCTATCATTTACACTGAGGAGCCGGGTATTTAGAAAACAGGGCTGGTACCAAGCGCGCCATCTGTGGCCAAGCGTTCCCGGCCCACCGCACCATATTGTGCAAGGCGCGGGCTGAAGGAAACAGCGTCCCGTGTCGCGCAGTGTTTGTTTGGTTTGGGGCTTTTGTTGTTTTTTGTTTTTTGTTTTTAACAAATTCAAATGTGGCTTCCTCACTTCGCGAAGCAGGCTCAATGGCCCCACAGAGTCGCTGGAGGGAAAGAAGGATTGCCGCGTTGTGGGATTTGCACGCTGGCCCTGGGAGAGGGAAAGATTGTCCCCCGCTGCGCGCACTGAGGGCGCATTCTCGGTCAGGCACTTGGCTAAGCGCGGTAGCTATAGATACAGATAGAGACATAGATCGCGCTCGCGCGCGCGCGTGCATGCATGTGTGTGTGTGTATGTGTCTGTGTGTGTGTATGTGTCTGTGTGTATTTCTTTAGTTTTCTTTAATCTGCAAAACAATCTTATGTGGTAGGTACTATTACTATTCCATTATATAGACATGGAAGCAGAAGCACAGAAAGGCCGAGTCACTTGCCCATGGCCACACAGCAAGCAATGGTGGAGCCTAAGCAGAAGCTGAGGGTTTAGTCCACATCCACCCTGGCTAACCTCCGGGTCTTTTTTCTGTCCCTTGGATACACACAGCTCATATCCAGGCCTATCTGGCCTCTTCTACACATGGTCCGGTCACTCGGCTTCACGTGGCCCTGCTGTTTTTCTCTGTGTGCACTGTTGGCATCTGAAATCGTCTTCCTTACTAGGTTGTCTGTTGTCTCTGTTCCCATCACCCCAACGCCAGTGCTGGGCAGGCAGGGCTCCCGTCTGCTTTGTTCACTGCTGTCTCTCCAGCGTCCAGAGGCCCAGTGTCGGTGGGTGGGCACTGGCTGTGCTTCTGTGGAGTGGGGGCGCCCCAGCTTTCTTAGGCATACAGTGAGCATAAGGCCCGCCTCCACACCAGGGCAGCACCGTGAGACAGAACAGGGCCTCGGTTTCCCCATCTGTAAATGGCAATCAAAATACCGCCTAGGGTTTTGTGAGGACAGAGGCAAACAGCCAGCAGGGGGAGGGTGGGGCCTCACCTTTGGGCTCACACATCCCCCATACCCACTCTCCTAGCACCTGTCCCCCTGCACCCAAGTGTTCTGGGTGCTTGGCTGCCCCCTACCCAACATTAGGGCAGAGCCATGCCTAACTCCTCCCCCCGCTATTTGGCATGGAATAGGTGCTCAAGAAACCACTGCTGAATAATAAAGAGTGAGCCCCTATTCCCTCTTGCTTCTCAGCCTCTGTTTCCTTAACTGAAACATGCCCACTGTTCTTTAAAGTCCTGTCTGGCTCTGACACCCAACCCTGAGAGAGCCCTGGCCCAGCCTCGGCACCCAGCACCAGGCAAAGGTGGTGGGAAGGCACACTGTGCTCTTAAATAACGGAGGCCCTAGGTGCTGCCTCCCCAGTGCTCGACAGGCAGGGTCCAGCCATGGCAGCCACCCTCAGAAGCAGCAGCATTAAGGAATGATTATCTCACCCCTGTTAGGTGGCTGCAGGAGAAGCTGGGTTTGGAGAGCAGCAGGCAGGCTTTGCTTCAGGAGCACATGGTAAAATTTGGTGCAATTAGCAGCGAGGGAACACACATTACTACTAGTATTATGTTCTCTTGGCGTTTCTGCCCTATTGCGGGCTGCCTTCTTTCTTTAAATTTTTTTTTAAAGAGGAAAAAAAGCTCTTTGGGAACTAAAGCAACATAAAAATGCCAAGAATTAAAAATGCAAATTCATCCAAGATGTTTTCTGCCCAAGACGGCAATGGCCACATGGCTCGATAACATTTTAAATGTTAAAAAATGGGTAATTTTCAGTAAAAATCAAATTTGCCAGAGCCCGAGTTTAAACGAATCCCATATAGCATTCGGGCACCTGGCCAGTATTAATGAACACCAAGTCCCTTCAGAAGGTTATGTACTATTAAAATGAGAGGAAAACACAAACTTTGCATAGGCAACGCTGGTCCTTGGGAATCCAGAAAACGCGGTCGGCTGCCGGTGGATCCAGCTCAGCCACTGGCTTGAGTAGGTCGGTTGCCCTCCCTGCAGTGGGCTACCCTGTCTGTGAAATGGCCATAAATAAAATCCACCTTTTGGCTTTTACTAAGATTAGCAATAATGTTGTAAAACAGCAATAAAGTTCTCCTGATAAACGTTGAACAAATGTCTTGCCCACCAAAAATATCTTGCTAAACGAAAGCTTTTAAGGACAGGAATTAAATCTTAAACATGCTCCCACCCCACCCCCAAGTACCCGCAGTGCCTGGCAAAGCATCTGGCTCTTAACAGATGTTCAGTAAGTGTTTTGGTAACAATCGGCCTCAAGAGAGCTGGCAAATACACTCTGGGTGCCCGTCATGCCCAGCGCCCAGCCTCATGGTTCAAAGATGAACAGAGCCTCCATCTACCCAAAGGAGTCTAGGCTCCAAGGACAAAAAGCAAACCTCAGGCTGGGCGTAGTGGCTCACGCCTGTAACCCTAACACTTTGGGAGACCGAGGCGGGCAGATCACCTGAGGTTGGGAGTTCGAAAGCAGCCTGACCAACATAGAGAAACCCTGTCAGGCACATGCCTGTAATCCCAGCTACTCAGGAGGCTGAGACAGGAGAATCACTTGAAACCGGGAGGCAGAGGTTGCGGTGAGCTGAGATCACGCCATTGCACTCCAGCCTGGGCAACAAAAGCGAAACCCTACCTCAAAAAAAAAAAAAAAAAAAAAGCAAAACCTCTCCTCCCCGCTGTTCACGTTCATCCTTTGGTTAATTCAGCCAGGTAAGAAATGGTTAGGACAGGTCTTACCATGAGGCACTTGGGCTCAAATCCTGCTGTGCCTCTTATTGGCCATGGGACCTTAGGTGAGGCACTAAACCATTCCAGACCTCAGTTTGTCCATCTGTAAAATGGGGATCACAATGGAACCCACCTGCCAGCGCTGCCATAAGTTGTACACCTGCCTGACCCACAGTAAGTGCTCAAGAAACAGAGGCTGTTTCGGTCATTGTCTTAATGTCCTCAGTGAAGCTGCTGCCCTAGGTGTCCCTTGGTCTGAAACGAATCCTGCACCTGACCAGGATGCTCTCCCTCAGACAGTGAGGCAGAGGCACGTGCCAGGGCCCCGCGAGGTTCAGCCCTTGTGTGCTCCGTCCTAGTCAGGACCCAGCTGGAGACACACTCACCTCAAACTCAGATCTGCCCTCTCCTGTGCCTGGAACGCACCACCTATTCCATCAACTCCGCCAGAGCAAAAACCTGTGCCTTCCAGGCCCCTGGTGCTTTCTGCCCTCAGACCCCCAGCCTGCCCTCACTGGCCCTTGCTCTTTCATAGCACACTCCACACCCACTCACCTCCAGGCCTTTGCCCGGAGCCTTTGCTGGGGCCTCCCCCCAGGTATCCGCAGGGCTCACCTAGCCCCTTCCTCCAGGTCACCCTGCGGCAGCTTTCCCTGCCTGCCTGGGCGAGACAACAGCTCCACCTTGTCCACAGTGGGCCAGCCAGCCTACGGCACTTGTTTTTGTGTCTAGTTCCTTTTTTTCCTCACTAGAATCCAAGCTCCGTGAGGGCAGGGTCTTGGTAACTTAAGTTTCTAAGTTTCTTTTTTTTTTTTTTTTTTTTGGAGACAGTCTCGCTCTTTCACCCAAGCTGAAGTGCAATAGCGCTATCTCCGCTCACTGCAACCTCCGTCTCCCAGGTTCAAGTGATTCTCCTGCCTCAGCCTCCTGAGCAGCTGGGATTATAGGTGGGCACCACCATGCCCGGCTAATTTTTGTGTTTTTAGTAGAGACAGGGTTTCACCATGTTGGCCAGGCTGGTCTCAAACTCAGAGAAGTTGAGAGTAGAATAGAGACTACCAGAAAATGGGGACAACAGAGTGCACGCTGCTTCCTCAGACCCCGCCCACGGCAGATTGCGGGGAAGGCGCTGCCATGCCCACCCAGTCAGGACCCACGCCTCAAGTGATCCACCCACCTCGGCCTCCCAAAGTGCTGGGATTACAGGCGTGAGCCACTGCACCCAGCCGTGACCTAAGTTTCTTTGAAGCCAGAGGAGCTTAGGAGGTAAGGGAAATGGGGTGGGACAGATACCTGGCACTGAGATGGGGCAATGCAGACCCCTAGGTGAGGGGTCTCATCTCACAGTCAGGGAAGACCAGGTTCCAAAAAGGAAGGGAGCTGTCTCAGGCCAAGGCATCAGCCTCCTTCCCTTCCCTGGTTTCGTCTGTGAGCTGATGTCTCGACCAAGCTGGATTCACAAAGTTCAACCACAAGGCGGCTCTATTTTGTCTCCTACTGTTTCTGTAAAATGTGTCCCATGAAGAGCTTCCCCCCGCCCTAGACTCTCCCACAGTCCCAGAGGGCTCAGGACTCTTTAGATCACTCAGGCAATAAAAGTTCTGTCATCGAACTCCTGACCTCAAGTGATCTACCGGCCTCGGCCTCCCAAAGTGTTGGGATTACAGGCTTGAGCCACCGCACCGAGCCAGAAAAAATACAGAACACTTCATGAATTTGTGTGTCGTCCTTGCACAGGGACCAGCCCAGGCAACATGGTGAAACCCGATCTCTACTAAAAATACAAAAAAAGTTAGGCGGGCATGGTGGTGGGTGCCTGTAATCCCAGCTACTCGGAAGGCTGAGACAGGAGAATCACTTGAACCCAGGAGGCGGAGCTTGCGGTGAGCCGAGACCGTGCCATTGCAGTCCAGCCTGGGCAACAGAGCGAGACTCTGCCAAAAAAAAAAAAAAAAAAAAAAAAAGCTCTGTCATCCCCTTAGGCTGCCAGACACTGTGACACTGTCACCTCAGCAACTAAAAGCATCTTATACCTTGACATCATCAAAACTTCCAATGTGATTTAAAGTGAAATCTTTTCCCATCCTGTGCAGGGCCTACTGGCCCTGAGATGAGATCAGCCAGGGCAGGGGGTCTGCTTCACCTTCCCTTCCCTTCCCCTTCCCTCTTCCCCTGCCCTTGACCAACTGCCCCCCAGGCAGGTCCTGTTCCCTGCAGGACAGGGGAGCCTTGGAGCAGGGCTGGCCCCCTCACTGTGCTGAGCTCACACAGGGTCCATGGGACATACACCTCGGCAAGTAGAGGCCACGTCAATGCGGCCAGCTCAGCTGTCAGGCAACTTTTATTCCTCTCAGACAGGAGCTGGCCAGTAGGTCCCCTGTGTCCACCCTGAAAGGAACAGGCAGGAAGCACCTCCCACTAAATTTGAGGTGGGGGCAATTGCAAAGACGTGGAACCAATCTAAGTGCCCATCAACCGACGAGTGGATAAAGAAAATGTGGTATACAGATACCATGGAATACTACTCAGCCATAAAAAAGAATGAAATCATGTCTTTTACAGCAACTTGGATGAGGTGGAGGAGGGATCTCTTCATGCCCCCCCAACATGCTAGCAAAAGGGCTGGGTACACTTCTTCCCAAGGAATCATCCCCCAAAATCTCTCCCTTTGTTCTCCCGGACCCATCTTTTTATATTCTCATCGTGAGTAGAGAGTTTTAAAAGCCCAGATCCGTTTCCCTTGAAACGGCATCTTGTTCCGGGGACTTCACTTAACAGGGCAGGATCTATTAGAACTTGATGCTTCTGTTTCAACTTCCAACCTCACAACCTGTCACAGCATTTTTCTTGGTGGGTGTGTTTCTTTGGAAAAAAAAAAAAAAAAGAGAAGTAGCAAATGAGAAGCTTATGACACCAACGGGACAGATGACGGCTGCAAATTTTCTGAAGTTAAATAAAACATGGTACTTTGGAGATATGGCGTTTGGAGATGTGGAACAACCAAAAAGCCCCTCCAATCCCCACCTTAGAGCTGTATCTTCCAATGAGCAGGTAGCAGAGCTGCAAGGAAGCCCAACTTCCAGCCCCTCCTCCCATTCAACAGGAGAGCCTCTAGGGCACCACAATGATTTACCTGAACATGGTCACTTTATGGGTGGGAGGCCGTAACTATTCTCATTTTACACATGAGAAAACTAAAATAGTAGGAATAGCTTTCCAGAGGTCACGCAACTATTAAGTGGAGGAACTGGGATTTGAACCTGTAGCTGTAGGGTCCCGAGCCCATGCACCTTCCCCTTCTCCACTTCTGCCTCTAAGAATAGGGCCAACAGGCCAAGAGCACCCTGAAATGAAACTCCTATTTCCTTGTAGATGCATCCAGGCCCCCACCAAGCCCATGGGGGACGCCTCCTGGGGAGCTGCCCACTGAGGAGAAGGAGCAGCAGAGGGCAGGCAGGACACAACTGAGCCTCATGCTGCTGCCTTTGTTCTCTTCCCTGCCCCAGACCCCACTGTGGGCATCTCTCATTTCATGGACCTACCCTCCCAGGGCCCTCGCTGGGCCAGCCCCTGGGCCAGGCCTTGGAGGTGCCGAGGAAGACAAACTGTGGTCTTGGCCTTAAGGAGCCACACTGGAGAGGCCATCCCGACAGGCGAGTGGGCCAGCGCTGCCCACAGGTGGGAAATGCTGCCCTGGGCACTGCCAGGCTGTAGGTTGTCAAAGAGATGGTCTGAGCCGCTGCAGCAGAAGATGGGAAGGGACCTTCCTTCCAGCAGGAGGAGCAGCACTTCCCATGCTCCCCACCAGAGTCCCTTCAATGGCAGAGGAAGGCAAGCCTCCAGAGTCTGGACATGCAGCCCAGAGTAGCCATGCCCCTGCAAGTGTGTCCAGCCCCGTTCTCTACCTGCACTTGTTTTATTATAGAAATAACGCTTTCAATCACCTCCCAGCGAGTAAGGTGGGTGCTTCTGGAAATGTGGCAGGGTCTGCTTCTCCAGGCTGAGAACACAGGAGCAGCCCGTAAGGGGTTTTAAACAGAGAAATGACATAGTCACATCACTCTTCCGAAAAGAGACATTTTGGCCACAGTGTGTCCAAGGAGAGACTGCGATGAGGAGCTGCTGCGAGGTTCCAGGTGGAGGCCCTGGGAATGCATCCAAGAGCCAGAGCCTGGGTGCAGCTGGGAGCCGTGGGGAAAGAGAGGAGTGGTAGCGCCTGAAAAATCCCTGAACTGGGACCCTGTCCCACGGCTCCCACTGCTGCCCCTCCACCGGAGGCTGTCATGATGGTGTGTCCTCTCCATCTGAGCAAGGGTCGTCGGTATTTCTCTGTGGGATTTTTCAATGTAGGTCTTTTCCCAACAAGATGCTAAGCTCCACTGTTTGGTCGGTTGGGAGATAAATTCATTTATTGGTTGGTTGGTTGGTTGGTTGGTTGGTTGGTTGGTTGGTTGGTTGCTCAGTTTGTTAGTAAGTTGGTCGGTAAGTTGATTAGTTGGTAGGTCATTGGTTGATTAATTCGTTGGTTTTCTTTGAATTGTGATCATGTACAACATGGTCAGTGAGTACCATGTATATAGTAGGTCTGTGATTGATATCTGCTGAGTATTCTCACCTCTATGTTATCTCGTTTTATTCTTACAACATCTAGGTGCTCCAGGAAGGGAAGGAAGTGATCATTTCTAAGTTACAGGTGAGAAAACCCTGACTCAGAGAGGGATGGCAACTTGCCCACAGTGCTGCAGCCAGGAAGGGGCACAGAGATCCCAGCCTTGGCCCCCTGATGCCCAGCCTAGTCTTCCTACTTCTGGGCATTAAATCCTGCTGTCCCACAGGACCTGGATAGGCTGTCCTCACGAGAAGTGGGTAAAGATTCACTACAAAAACAACATGACTCATGAATGGCTCTGGATCCCAGGATCCAAGGTTCAAGTAGGCTGGGCTGCCTTCAGAGCTATGGCACTCATGTTCTGCAGGCCAGGCTCTCCAAGACCCCTTGGGGAGAACTGCCTGGCAGGTGTGCAAACCATCAGCCCCCCAGAGCAAAAGAAAAGCAAATGGGCCATGGAAAATCCATGGAGGATGGCCAAACCTGCAGCCAAGCAGGATGACAGCACTGTCCACACTACACACAGAGCCTGCCAAAGAGTCACACAGGTGGCCTTGACAGGCTGGAGCAGAGGGTGGGCTGGGACAAAAACAGAAGGGAAAAGCAGGCCTCTCTATGGCCCCTCACACAGTAAGCCGAGCCCACCCCCAGGGCCCCATACACACCCACCATTCTTGAATAGCTCTGACTCTCCCAGAACTCTCTGGGTCATAGCTGGAGGTGCAGAGTGCTGTGGAGTTAACCGCACAGGCTGTGAATTCAGCCAGCCCAGCTGGGTTCAAATCCAGCAAGGCAGAGGCAGTCGTAGAACTCAGGAGTCTCTGGGCCCCAGCTCCCCTCCAGCCCACTCCATGGCTGCCAGTGTAGGCCCTGAGGAAGTCTAACTGTCATAGGGCTTTTATTTCTGATGAATGAGAGGAAACCCTTCATGGCAACATCAAGAAAAAAAAATGAGGGAAAATAGCATGTTTGTTCCCTATTACTAATCGTGCGGCCTTGGGGTTTTCTTAGTCTGTATTTTTGGTACACTGGTTTTACATAAGCTCATTACCCTCACACCACTCGACAAATTCAGTTAGCAGGTCATCACTCCGGCATCCTCAGAACATCCTGCTGTGCTGCGTGGCATGAATAGCACTGAAAGATCATCCATTTCAAATGAGTGTGAATCTGTTCATTGATTACCTTCCACCACGAGGAGCTCCCTACCACCACCTGGAAGAATGCCTCCCAGGTCTCACCTCCCACTTATGTGGAGCTGAGTGAGCTTCGAAGTCCACTGACTACTGTCCTCCCTCTGGCCCACAACGTAAAGGTGGTGAGCATCCCCAGCTAAGACCCTGCAGGAAAGGGGAGACCACCCCCACCCCACAGGAGAGCTCACTGGCTTCAGTGAGTTCCAGTCCCTGCTCTGCCACCAACCAATTGAATGGCCTTGAGCAAGTCACTCAACCCACACAATCTTCATGGGAATAACTGCAGAGTGCCTTTCGAAGCATCCTACAGGGAGAATGTCTGGAAATGGTTTAGCATAAAACCAGGCATAGGGGAATAATAATAGCCAACACTTACTGGCGCTCATCACAGGCTGGACACTTCTCTCTGTATTTTCCATTCGTTACCTTGGATAGTCCTCGCAAATGCTTCTGTGGTTGGCTCTAATGCTCCCATCCCTGCTTTGCAGATGAGGAAACTGAGACGCAAAGAACTAAGTACCTTGCCCAGGATTTTGCATCTAGTGAGTGACAGATCAGGGGTATTAACCCAGGTCATTTAGTGGTGAGTTCTGTGCTCTTGACATCGGTGCTACAGACCCAGAGAGAAAGAGAGACCCTATGCATAGCCAGTGTCATTACTGCTCCTAAGCTGGGTACTCACTGACAAGGCAGCTTTGCTGGACGGTCATGCTTTGGTATTCTAGGCCTGCTTCTGAGGAAGCAGTTCAGGCTCTCTCTCCTTGGGTAGACGAGGGATTCTCTCTCTGGCACACTGCCTTGGCAGTACAATCAACAAGTGAAAGGAGGAGAAACCTGAGCTTACAAAATCAACCTTAAGAACCCTGTTTCCTAATGTGGAAAGGATCAACAAAGACCTCCAGCGATGCGTCACTCTTGCTGCCGGTCGCTGCCAAGCCCAGCCACCCAGCTAGCGGGACGCACACACACTTGTGCTCACACTTGCTGTTGCAACTTGCCTTCCAGTCCCCCCACCCACCCCCATTACAGGATAGGAAATTCATCCTTCACTCCCTTCCTCCCAGTAAGCAAGATAGGAATGCCAGGGCTGCTCCAAGGGGGAGAGAATTTGCTCACTGGAGCCAGTTCCAAGATAAACAGAAACTTTGTCTCTGATAGCCTGTGAAACCAGACACGCTTTCTCTTCCACACGGTGTGTGTGTATGTGTGCATGCACACACATGTATGAATACACTGGTGAGTGTATTTAAGTGTACATCAGTGTGTGCGAGTGTGTCTGGCGTGTGTGTGCGCAGGTGCACGAACATAAGAATGTATTCGTGAAAGTATGTGTTTGGTGTACGTCAGTGTGTGCAAGTATGTCTGGTGTGTGGTACATCAGTGTGTGCGAGTGTGTCTGGTGTGTGTGCGCGCGGGTGCACGAACATAAGAATGTATTCGTGAAAATATGTGTTTGGTGTACATCAGTGTGTGCAAGTATGTCTGGTGTGTGGTACATCAGTGTGTGCGAGTGTGTCTGGTGCGCGAGTGTGTTGTGAGGGTGATTGGAGAGGGAGTCTGTGTTGAGCCAGGAAGCGCCACCAGGAACATCATTACTAAGAATCAAGAGAGCAGGTCTAAACCGAGAGTCCCTCAACAGTGAACCCTGGAGGAGACTCCCCCTCTCCTCCTCTTGCTCCTTTCCATCCATTCCCAAACCCCTTGGGCGGAAAGTCCCGAGCCCCTCCAAGCTGTTTTATGCTTAATGAAGCTGAATTTTAACGAGGAGAAATATCAGAGATTAAGTTATCTGCCTGCCAATGAAGACAGTGCCCTGGGTCCACTGGTCAAATTGGTCTAGCAAAGCCACTAGTGTCAATCAAATCACCAGAGGTCAGAGCTAGCAGCAGCTGAAAACCCATGCGGTCAAGCCAATCCATTTCACAGATGAGGACTTCTGGGGGAAGAGGAAAAGGCAAATCCAGCACAGGCTGGGGACCTACAGCCATGTGCCTTTACATCTGTCCTCCTGAGCCCTGTGCCAGCCTTTAAGACAAGTGTCCACAGTTCCTCCTTGCCCTGGAGGCTCAGGTGGGTGAAGGAGAGCCAGGGATCCAGGCTGCTGACTCCTCACCTAGTGCTCTTTGATCTCAGCTCCTACTGTCTCAGGTTTGGCTTTACTGACTATTTGCCGCACAGTGGGGTGTTCAGATTTGGAGCTTGAGTGGGAAGGGAGATGAGCGGATGTATTAGAGTTGGTGGATTTTGCTGTTGACTGGCTGTTCGCATTCAACCCAGACACCGAAGCCTGCTCGAGAGGTGCAGTCATTGTCCCTTCCTTCCTGTTCCTTCAGTCAAGCCCCTCCCATCTCTGGGCCTTGCTTCCCTGCCTGTGTGACCTCCTCTGAGGCCTCCTGAGACCATGAGGCCTGTCTAGGGAGTCGGGTCCCCTTGTGCAGCACTGGACCTGGCTCCCTGGAGCTCCATCCAGCCTCCTTCCCTGCTCCTCCAGCGTCTATTCCAAGCAGCATCCTCTCTAGGAGGCTGTCACTCACGGAGCTTGGGATGCTGCACAGAGATCAGAGATGGCTGCAGAGGAAGGAGCCAGCCAGAGCTGGAGCGAGAAACATAGGGCCTGCCCTGGGACAACCCCTGCTCGGCGCCTCCCTTCCTGGCCCTGCCTCTAGTCTGGCCTCCATGCTCTCTTGCCTCACTCGACTTCGTCCCCACTTTTCCGCTGACTTGCACATCTATCTGTGTCACTCTCCCTCCCTCTCTCTCGGAGACAGTCTCTATTCTTCCTGCTCCATCTTCCCTCTCTCCTCTTGCTGGCATCTCTCTGCTTCTGTCTCTGGCTTTTCTCCATTTGACTTTGTCTTTATTTCTCCAGGTCTCTCTTCCCTGTCAGGATCTCTCCCATCTGCTCCTTTCTTTGTCTCTACCATGATAGGACGAGAATCCAACAGCCTCGGGTTCAAATCCAGGTTCAACCCCTTGCAAGCTAGTTGATCCTTTTACCTCTCAGAGCCTCGGTCTCCTAATCTGTAAAATGGAGATAATAAAATCTATCTCACCGGAATCTTAGAAGGGTTCAATGAGGGAATAGCAGGAAAATAGTAAAGAAGCAGGACGCAGTGGTGGTTGAGAGCGGGAGACAACCATGGCAGAAGCGTGGGCCTGGGAACTGGAGGGGAAAGACGGCGCCTTCTCCTCCCCACGCCCTCTCCTTCCCCTGCTCCTCCTCCAGTCTCCTCCCCATCCTCTCGCCGTCTCTCTGTTCCTTATAACGGGGCTCAGTAGATGCTCAGCTGTCGCCCCCTTGCTCCTGTGCTCATTGTCCCTCTCCCCAAGAAAGAGCAGTGCCCAGCCGGGTGCAGTGGCTCACGTCTGTAATCCCAGCACTTTGGGAGGCCGAGGTGGGCGGATCACAAGGTCAGTAGTTCGAGACCAGCCTGGCCAACATAGTGAAACCCTATCTCTACTAAAAATACAAAAAAAAAAAGATTAGCTGGGCGTGGTGACAGGTGCCTATAGTGAAAGAAGAAAGAAAGAAAGAAAGAAAGAAAGAAAGAAAGAAAGAAAGAAAGAAAGAAAGAAAGAAAGAAAGAAAGAGAAAGAAAGAGCGAGAGAGAGAGAGGGAGGGAGGGAGGGAGGAAGGAAGGAAGGAAGGAAGGAAGGAAGGAAGGAAGGAAGGAAGGACGAAAGAAGTGCCTGAAGCCCATTCCACATAACAATAAGCAAAAGAAACCTCTAGAAATAACTCCTTGGCCACATGGAAGGAGATGCCCCTTTTTTTGTCTATAAAATTGGCAAAATTAAAGAAGTCATTGTTAACACCCAGCCTAGGAAAGAGAGCAGGGGATGTGAAGGTGCCCATGTGGCTGACGGGATGAAGGAGCAGAGATTGTGTTTGTATACATCTCTGTGTGCCTCCTGCAGGCACTTTTTTTTTTTTTTTTGACAGAGTCTCATTCTGTCACTCAGGTTAGAGTGCAGTGGTGTGATCTCAGCTCACTACAACCTCCATCTCCTGGTTTCAAGCGATTCTCCTGCCTCAGCCTCCTGAGTAGCTGGGATTACAGGCACCCGCCACCATGCCTGGCTAATTTCTGTATTTTTAGTAGAGATGGGGTTTCACCATGTTGGCTAGGCTGGTCTCAAACTCCTGACCTCAGGAGATCTGCCCGCCTCAGCCTCCCAAAGTGCTGGGATTACAGGTGTGAGCCACCATGCCCAGCCTCCTGCAGGCACATTTGAATACATGAGTGGGATATGGACAACAAATGAATAATAATATTTTATATAATGTACCATATAATTTATATATGATGCACATATACATTTAGACATATGATTTTTATATGTGTAACACGTAACGTGTATATATTTATATATACAATACTTAAGGTATGTAAAAAATTGTGACTTATCAGGTGGCTCACGCCTGTAATCCCAGCACTTTGAGAGGCTGAGGCAGGCAGATCACTGGAGGCCAAGAGTTTGAGACCAGCCTGACCAACATGGTAAAACCCTGTCTCTACTAAAAATACCAAAATTAGCTGGGCATGGTGGCATGCACCTATAGTCCCAGCTACTCTGGAGGCTGAGGCAAGAGAATTGCGTGAGCCCAGGAGATGGAGGTTGCAGTGAGATGAGATCATGTCACCACACTCCAGACTGGGTGACAGACAGATTCCATCTCAAAAAAAAAAAAAATTGCAAATGAGAACATTGTAGCAATCTAAAGTGCCTAGAAATGTCACTGACTACCTTGGGAAGTAGTGAGTTCCCCGTCATGGAAAGTGTGCAGGCAGAGGCTGGAGGGCTGCCCATGGGAGCTGCTGGGAAGGTGAGCCGTGTCCAGGAGAGGAGGTACGGAGAACTGGGCACTCCACGGCCCTTGGTTCTCAGTCTTGATGGCTGCTCAGCAGGAATGGGCTGGGGAGGGGGCATTGTCCCCTTGCAAGGTTGGGGGTCTGAGCCCAGGGAGGACAGAGAGGACCAGAGGAAGTGTCAGGAGCAGCCAGCCTTGACTTCTCGTTCTAAGTCTGGGGTTTCAGGCGGCCTGGGAATGCCTGGCCATGCAGGGATGCTCAGCCCTGCTGCAGCCTCCACACTGCGTGGGAGGAAACAGCTGACAGCAAGGCTTCAGATGGGAACCTGTGACTGTCCCCCTCTCTCACCACCACCGGCATCCCCGCACCAAACTCCTCAACAGGGCCAGCAGCGGGAGTGAGTTCGTTCCAAGGAATCGGCAGGCTGGGGGAGGGATTGGGTCCTCCAGAAATGAAACTGGCACCAGCATATGGCCACTCTGCTTGGTACCAGGGCATATGGGGAAAGATGCTAAGAAATGCTGGTTCCTCATGCTCTACGGTCTAACCCCGGGGGAGCTGGAGTCAGGAAGACCTGGCTCTGAATCCCAGCCCTATACTTACAGGCCTAAGTCACTTGTTCTGTTTGAGCCTTACTTTTCTCTATAAAATGGGATAATCCTAGGCCCTGTCTTCTAGGGTTGTGCCAGCTCAGACCTAACACCCTGCAAGTGCGCAGCAGATGTGAATTCCTTCCCCTTTTCCTGAGCAAGCTCGTGAGGGTGTGTGAAATCTGTGAAAACTTAGGGCCCTAAAAACGGACAAGAATAAGAAGGTTCAAATCCTAGACCCATCTCTGCCTTACAGAGTCCCTTCAATCAAGTCCCATTCCCTCTCTGGACCTTGTTTTCTGTTCGAGAAATGAAGGCCTTAGCCCTCCAAATTTGCCCCAGACCTGTGGCATCAGAATGAGCCTAGGTAAGAGCAAAACCTCTGGGCTTTGGAATCCGTATCTTCAAAGCTGCACAGGGAACTCAGAGGCAGATCAATATTTAAGAAGCATGACACAAGATGCTGCCTCATGTCATGACCTGTTTCTATCCTGATGGCCATCCTGAGAGGCAAAGGGGCACTGGGGTTGGTCCCGTTAAAGACGGGGAAACAGAGGCCCAGGGAGCTGTGTCACTCCGGGCGGTAGAGAATCTGCTGTGCTCTGCTCTCACCCACTTTTTCTTTTCTTCAGAAAAATAAAATCAAAGCATCATCATAAGGCCATGACTCAGGTACCCCTCTTTCCCCAGCCACAGGGCACGCTCCCAGCACCTCTCAGATTTGGGAGCTCTTGAGCCCCATCGCAGAAGTCTCCTGGTCACAGCTCTCGCTCCACTCTGGGTGTTTCTGAGAGAGACAGAGGGAGACAGGGTTCCCGCAACGTCTGAGTCTTCTCTCCCCTGCCTGCAGTCAGAAGTAAAAGTCCTTACTCATTTTTGTAGGAAAGAGCCAAGGCAGGGAGTCACAGTCGGGTGGGGGCAGGGGGTGGAATGAGGCCTGTTTCTTGGGGGCAGGGCAGCAGAGTTGTGAGTGCTGTGAAACCCCCTCTGTATTTTGCTTTCTCCCTCTGTTTCGTCGCAAAGCGGTTCCTTATTTGGGGAGCATCTGACTATGATCACGGCTCCATTTGCATGAGAAGTCTTGGGAGGGAAAAAGAACTTGTCACATTTCTCCCACAAGAGTATGTTCACACCAAGAACAAGGGAGATGCCAACAGTGGCCTTTGCCGTCACCAGAAGTGGCAGCTGAGTTGAAGAATTTCCTCCTCGAGGCACGTTCTCCCCCATGTCTCTACGAAGTGACTTCTCTCTAGGGAAAGTGGATCTCCCCGTCACCAGTGAGGCCTCCCCACCCACCCTCTGCACTCAGCGCTCCAGTGAAAAATATGTCCTGTCTCAGCTACAGGTTTATGAGGCCCCGTTTCAAAGATGACAGTCTCCTCTCCAGGCGAGAACGGGAGAGCCAGGGCCAACTGTTACAAAACAGGCTTCTTGGAAGGAAGCCGGTGGGGGTGGGGAGGGAGACCCACAGTCAGATAGGACGGCATTTCCCAGGAGCCCCACAAGACTGCACACGATTTCAATCAGGGGAGGACACTGGCTGTTAGCCACTCCGCCTCCCAGCCAGACCCATCCAGATGTCTGCAGAACATCCTGTCACCCGCAGGTGCCACGCCGCCTCCCTCCGGTAGTCTTCCCTTGCCCCGGGGCAGGAGGGCACACCTGAAACACACCCCAGCCCTCAGGCTCTCCAAGGCCAGGCATCACTGCTCAAACCACTCACACATGGGTGCAGGTTACAGCCCACAGTACAGCCAGCACAATGTTGGACATGAAGTGAGGCACAGGCCCTGAGCTACTCCAGGGCTGCTGTTCTCGGGGGGTGACATTTCCAGGTGTTACATAGGAAGTGGCATGGTGGCCCTGTTTGTACTCAGTGGAGGATGTATTTCCAGAGGGAACTCCCAAGCAGGAAATCAAATAAATGCTCCTTGTAGTCAAAGGGAGGACACAGACGCCATGGCCCTGAGCACAGTAGAAAGAGCCAAGAGGCAGGGAGCTGCAGCAGAGTTCAGGCCCTGCCTCCTGGGTTCTGAAATACTGCTGTGTGCAAAGGCAGAAGCAGAGAGGACTCAGTATGGAGGGCCTGGGGTTGCAAGGCTGGGGACCTGGGGGAGATCAAGGCCAAAGCCACGGCAGCTGATCAGCATAGGCCCAGAGGAGTTTCTGCAGGCCTCACCGGCTCCTCAGTGGGACAGACAAGTACCCTTGTTCAAGCCCCCTCAACCTCCTTTCGAGCCTGTCATGCCTGAAAGACATTCTTGTTCTAGGGTGCGGGTTCCATCATGTTCCACCCCAGGACTGCTAAATCTCCAGGTTGAGAGCTGGTCCCCAGGATAATATTACCATCCACAGATATCCGGACCCAGTGGATCCCACTGGACTCCAGTCATGCCTCACAGCACATTGGGCAAAGTGGAGGGGCAGGCCCCTTTAGAGAGTTCCAGCTGAGCAGCCTCCACAGGGCACCTCAGCTTCTGCCATTCTCCTTGGACGCTGCTGCTGGCAGAACGTCCTCCCTCTGCACCTGGAGTGGGGAATATGGGCCACATCTTTTCTCTGCCTCACCATCTGACCTTGGCGGTCCCCTTCCCATTTTGGGGTCACACTGTCTTCAGCTGATCAAGAGCAGCCTGGCCGAATGATGTCTGAGGCTCTTTTCTGCCTGTTTCCTCCTGAAGTGGTTCCTTTGAATCTGAAGTTAAAAATGGCAAGATTCTGCCCTCTGAATTTTGTTCTCAGAAGGGTCAGGTTTAAAACCTGGGCTCAGAGCAAAGCCTAGGAATTCAGCAAGTTCAGGTCAGCATGGATTCAGTCCTTTATCATCAAGCAAAGGCACGGCCCCGACCTCCCGCAAAGCGTCTCTGTCACTTTCACCGCCGTACTGGAATGGCCCCACTTTTGTGCTCTCTTGTGATCTTCTCTTTCCTCCCTGCCTGCCCCTCACTCTGCTCTGCCTCCTTTCCTCCAACAGCATCATTCTGCAGGGCCAAGGCAGCGCTCCCTCCCATTTGGACATGAGCTGGGCCTTAAAGGTTGGAGAGAATGTCAGCGGGGCTGAGTGCAGCCTGGAGCTCTTAGATCGGGGCTGCAGGCAGCCTCAGAAGAAACTAGCGTCTCTGTGTGAGATTGTGCCCATACCCACTTTCCTGGAGTGGCTTTAGTCAATGTCTTAAAGTGTTCTGTGACCCAGAAAAGGCTCCAAACCCAAGCAATACCAGGAGAACGCTGGAGGTGTGTGATCCACACCTCACACTCTTTACGGAGGACCTGCTGTGGGCCAGGAACCGTGCCGGGTGCTGCACAGACCGTGGTGATTAAAGACTGTCTTCAGCCGGGCACAGTGGCTAACACCTATAATCCCAGCACTTTGGGAGGCCAAGGTGGGCGGATCAGGAGGTCAGAGTTTGAGACCAACCTGGCCAACATAGTGAAACCCCATCTCTATAAAAATACAAAACTTAGCCAGGCATGGTGGCATGTGCCTGTAGTCCCAGCTACTCAGGAGGCTGAAGCAGGAGAATCACTTGAATCCAGGAGGCAGAGGTTGCAGTGAGCCAAGATCGCACCACTGCACTCCAGCCAGGGCAACAGAGCAAGACTCCTTCTCAAAACAAAACAAAACAAACAAACAAAGATGTCCTCATGGTGCTTGCAGTCTCTTGGGAAGTGGGGAGTATAGGTCTCAGGCACAGAAATGCAGGCAATGTACATGGCAGCTCTGCAGGCGAGTGGTCCCTGGATGGGCCCAGGAGGTGGCTGGCAGCCCACTGTGGTGCAGGTAGGGGATTGGGGTCCTGAAGATGGAGAAGCAACAGGCTGCAGCCAAATCCAAGTCCAGAGGGGCCGGCTGGGAGCCTGGCCTGCAGAGGGTTTGGGGTCAGGAAAGAGTGAGCAGGAGGCCAATGGGAAGGCCACGCAAGTAACCCCTGTCAGGGGAGGGTTGAGCGGGATGAGCGACTCCATTTGACAGATGAGAACACTGAGACATGGAGGGATTAGGCAGCTGGAGAATGTCCAGTAGGATCCTGCTGTTGCTTCACAAGAGCCCCCATCTTCCAGGCAACATAATGGGGGCCAGTGGGAAACCCCAGGCATTGAATGAAAGAAACTCATCACCTACCATCAAAACCTGCTCCCTCCTCCAGAGGAATGTTGGTCTGTGAGCTCCTCAGAGGTAAAGCTTGGTTAGCATGTGCCAGGCATGCAATAGAAGGTGGGTAGTTACCTAGATGAAGAAATACACTGTCGGAAGGTGGGGAGGTGACTGTGGCCCCATCAATGACATGGCAGGACCCCTCCTCACTTAGGGGCCGAAGGGTGACCGAATCGCCCAGGGAACAGGTTCTGTATCTCACACCAAACCCTGCCCCCAACCACAGGATGGAAAATCAATACGGAGTCAGAAAAATTAATAGTCAATGGGTGGAGAGTTAAAAACCGCAGCTGAGCTCGTGTTGCTGTTTCCAATGGACAGAGCCCGGAAGCACCGCTTTTTTAGTTCAGAAAATATGGCCCCCATCAGTCGCTGGACAGTAATTACCCATTAGAGCAACAAAATGCCAATGTGCTGCTCTCCCCACGTGAAACGAGCAAACTTTTATGATTTGGAGGGAGGAATAAATTGCTTTAAGTATGACATGTACTAACAGCTGTGCTCTGCCAGAGTGCCCTTAAGAACCCATTTTCAATAAACACCTATAGGGTATTAGAATGGGCTCTGTGCAGAAAGGCCTTCTCCCAGGGATTAAACCCAGCGGTCTGTGTGCAGCAAAGCCCCCTCTCTATCCTGACTCCTTCCCGCCCTTTCCGGCCCTCCCCCAGCCAACAAAGCCAGGTCTCAGGAGCAAATTTCCCCTCCTTCATTTCTCCACCTCCACCCCTTCTTCCCAGCCCACAGCCACATCACCGTCTTTCCTCCTGGGCTACAGCAGCAGGGTCCTCAGGCCTCTCTGCCTCTATGCTCACCCCGTCTGCTACAGCCTCCTCCTCCTGGCTACCAGAATGAACTTCCCCAAATGCAAATCCAGTCGCAGCACTCCTGGCTCAAAACCCACCAATGCCTCCTTAACGCCTTCAAGATCAAGTCCGAGGCATTTTGCCCAAGGCTGAACTTGCTACTTCAGCAGCCACCCACCAGCTCTCAAATCTGTGGTTCCAGCCCCAGTTCCTGCTGCCTCTCGTTGGAGCTTCAGACAATCTACTGCTTCTCAGGCTTCTCCACTAGGTGGTCCACAGATGCTCCAACTCATCATGGCCAGGATCAAACTTGTCACCGCAGCCCCACCCATCCCAAACTATCCCCTTCTGCTGTCTCAGGAAATTGCTCCACCTTCCAGTCAGCCAGAAGCCACCTCCGTGTGGGCCATCTGGGCCCCCCTTTCTGAGCACTTCCTACATCATACCTATCTCTTTGGGCTCTCTCATTTCTCCCACCCCAACAACTCCTCAAATGATTTTCCTGCCCCTAATTTACCCACTTCTCCCCCACCCGACCTGCCACCCCAGGGCAGTGCCAGCTGCTGTTACAAATAAAAACCACAATTTCAGAGGTTTAACACAATAGAACTTCGTTTCTCACTTATGCAACCATTCAGTGCAAGGGCTCCTTGTTGCGACAGGTGCTTTTCCTGCAGGTAGTGAAGGAGAGCCTCAAGTTCCTTTCATCCTGTGGCTTTGCCAGTCCCTGGGACCTCAGACTTCTCTGCTTGCAGATAGTGGAAGAGAAAAGAGTAATGAAGATTTGGTTCTTAAGAGTCCCTGCCTTCTCCTTAACATCCCATTGGTAAGAGCTAGTCATGTGGCTACACCGAACATAGAGGGTTCTGGGAAATGTAGTTCTTCCGTGAATAGCCTCATTTCAGCCCCGTCCAGGCACAGAGGGAGGAGGAGCCTCTTGTGCATAATGAAGTTAGCCCAGCACCCTTGGAGCATGCATAAGGTGCTCTCTGAGCAGGTGTGGTCACCTCCTGGCCTCAGCCCTGCCCGCACATTTGTTCTGTGCTCTCACAGGCTGAACACCTTGAAGGTCTCATGCACTGGGCCCTCTCCCCACCTTTGCACCAGCCACTCCCTCTTCCCCACGAGCTGTAACCACGCTGCCTTATTCACTTCACAGACCCTTTGTGGTCCTTCAAGGCTCAGGGCAGTGCCCTCTTCCAGGAACCTTTTCCCGACCTCCCTCTCACCCAGGCAGCCAAGAGCATCCACAGCCTGCTACTCTACCCCTCCTGTTAATCTGCAAGCATCCAGCTCCCCAAGACTGAGAGCTTCTGGGATGGCAGGGCCTGAACACAGATTCAGTCGGGGAGCTAGTTGAGTCTGGAGTGAGGTGCCCAAGACCTCAAGTGCTGAATGAGCGGCTTAGGACAGACAGAGCCTCAGGGAGCCCCTGGAGGGAACATGAAGATGCCCAGAAGGAACAAGCTTTGGTTGAGGAGACAGATGATGAAACAGCCCAAAGGTTATACAAAATAATACTGGCCCAAAAAAGAAGAGGGGGTCCATGTGCAGGGGACAGGGCCATGGGTGACTGGGGCTGGGGAGGCACCAATGGTCCCTGCTAAGCTGTTCCAAGGGTCGGACTGGATGTGAAATGCACCAGGAAAACCACACAAGGTTGAGAATGTCCTCCACCCAAATACCAGCTGTGTGGGGCCTGGACGGAAGTGTTAACTGACAGTGGTGAGTGCACCAGTGAACCTTCAGATAGCACACGCGGCCCCTCTGAGCACGTCTTAGACCTGGAGGAGGCTGGTGTCCAGGGCACGGCGCTACACTTTGTGGCACTCCTGTCATGGCCAGGCTGTGGACTGGACATTTTCATGCCTTGCTTCGCTGGACTCTGCCCAAAAGCCTGGAGGAGGGGACCCTCACCACCTCCCCATTGCAGGTGAGAAAGCACAAGCACAGGGGGACAGTGGGGTCAGTCCAGTCCCACAAACCCTGTGCAGCTCTAATGTTCCGGGCGGAGAGCACAGGAGGACCCGGGACAGGCAGCCCTTGCCCTGAGCCATGACCACAGGGATGAGCACAGCTGGGCCCCTAGGCCCCTCACCCACACCAGCCCTTCCGCACTCCCCAGCAGGGCCTCCAGCTGGTGCAGGCCCATCCTCACCCTGGAGCTGTGTCTCCCCCTGACCTCCACAGATGTGGGTTGCATCCTGGGCTGTGGAGTGGAGACACCACACGCAGGTGGCCTAGGGAGCATCCTGAAGGCCTAGGGGTACAGGAGATGAACATTACCTAAGAGTTTGAAAGATAAGCAGGATGAACTGAGTAGAGATAGACAGGAAAGGTGATTCAGACGGAAGGATCCAAATGAACAGAATGCGGCCAAGGGCAGGACATGGACATGGTGAGGGTGCAAAGAGCCAGCCCAGAGCACCATGGGGAGGCTGGGTCCGGGGACAATGGAGGCACCCTCAGGCTTCCCCAGAGATGAGCTTTGACTAGAGCAGCAACGTGGTCACAGTCAAGTTTGTAAAAAGAAGACAAAGAAGTTGGGGTGCAGCTGGCCTTCAGAGAGCCCAGCCTGCCTGGCGCCCATCAATTCCCAACCCCATCCCACCAGGAAGTGAGCTTGGGCTTGCTTGGAACAATCCCAAATCAATAATACATCTTAATCAAATAGTAGCAAATCTTTAATTGAAACCTATCACAGAATTGCATTTACCTCCCTTCAGAGTTTTGCTTTTGATTAGGCAGGCAGAAAATGGCATAATTTCCCACCCAGGGACTTGGGGTCCTACCCAGGCCCCACCTCTCTGCTCCATGGCTGCAGAAGATAAGCCCTGTTGGGAGGACTGTGGGCTCTCAGACTGGGCTGGGGTCCAGGGCTGGGCTGTGGTGTGGGTTTCCCTGTGTGGTCCTCAGAGAGTGGAATGCACTTGGGGGTCACCTCCTAAGGTGGGGGAGAGGTTCCATGAGGCGGCCTGGCTAGGATGGCCACCTGGAGGTAGGGACTGTTCTCACCTGAGCTTCTCCAGGGCTGAAGCTGGGTGTGACCATCTCTGCAGCCCCAGCACCCGCTCAAGGGCAGTGTGAAGGCTGGGTGGATGCATGGACATCTGCAGGGGTGGGACGTGCCAGGAGGAGCCTGTGAGTGTCTGGAAGGTGGGGACTGGGAACCCTGACAGAGGGCCAGCAATTGGACCCAGCCTCTGGCTCTTGAGGCCACCATTCAGTTACAACCCTGCCAAATCTTCCTCCTGCTCTGCCACCCATGTTCCAGCCTCAAGCTGTGGGGCACGGCTCCTTAACCATCTGTCCACGTAGGCTGGACCTGCATCAGACCAGTCAGATCCACTAAGCGAGATCTACTCTTACATCCAAGATCATTGGGGGCTGGGCACGGTGGCTCACGCCTGTAATCCCAGCACTTTGGGAGGCTGAGACAGGCAGATCACCTGAGGTCAGGAGTTCGAGACCAGCCTGGCCAACATGGCGAAACCCCGTCTCTACTAAAAATACAAAAATTAGCCAGGCGTGGTGGCGCGTGCCTGTAATCCCAGCTACTCGGGAGGCTGAGGCAGGAGAATCACTTGAATCCGAGAGGCAGAGGTTGCAGTGAGCCGAGATGGCGCCACTGCACTCCAGCCTGGGCAGACTCTGTCTCAAAAAAAAAAAAAAAAAAAAAATCTTTGGGACCAAGCATTTCTGTGGCCCTGGCTCTGGCACAGTGACCCACTCCAAGAGAACTGAGCCCCTGGCCCTTCCTAGCCTCAGTCCTGGGCTCCTGCACATCACCACGCCTCACCCCACCAGGTAGCCTCCTAGTGTGTATAACCACATCATGCCACTTCACGGAAAGAGGTCTCACCAACCGACCAGTCATTCTACCTCCATCTTGCTCACCTGGGTGGCCCCTCCAGACCTCTGAATCTTGCCTCTGACCATCAGTGAGTCCGTGTGGAGCTTTGGAGTAAACGGTATGACTTAACACCCCGTCTACGTAGCACTCTTTCCCCACCCCCTCTCAGGGTTCCTTGGAGGAGTCTTCCATTCCACTTGCTACTGGTAGGACAGTCATTGACCCGTCTTCCCCATTCATCCCAGGGCTAGGCTGCCAATCAGAACATCCCAACACCTGGCCACAGCAGTTTGTTCGGGGATAGGTAAATGAGCCAGGTAAGGCCAAGCAGAGGCTTCTGCCAAGGTTGCTAAGCTTAGAGACTATTGCTGAGAGATGCCAGCTCCATCCTACATGGGATGAAGCCAAAAAGAGGCCAGTAGAACTGCAAGATGTGGGTGGGGGTGGAGCTTGACAGCATTGCTTAAAGCCCTGGATCCAGCCGTACCTGAAGGCTCACCAGAAACAATAAATTCTCTTTTTGTTCAAACCCGTTGGAGTTGGGTTCTGTGACTGTCATCAAAGAACTCCTAGCTAATATGACATGGAGGGGTTTTTAACCCGGTCTTAATGAAAATGTCACAAAGATATGTGAGCATCATAGTGCCCAAATGCTGGGCTAGGAATCAATGCATATACAGTGAACTCCACAGTCACTGCGTCCCAGCCCTACTGGGGATGAGGACCCCTATATAGTGTCAAAACATCTGTAAACCAAAAGATACCTGAGACAGGTCTTAATCAATTTAGAAAGTTTATTTTGCCAAGGTTCAGGATGTACCCTTGACACAGCCTCAGGAGGTCCTGACATGTGGCCAAGGTGGTCAGGGCACAGCTTGGTTTTGTATATTTTAGGGAGACACAAGACATCAATATATGTAAAATGTACATTGTTTCAGTCTGGAAAGGCGGGACAACTCGAAGTGGAAAGGAGGCTTCCAGGTTATATGTAAATAAGAGACAAATGGTTGCATTCTGTTGAGTTTCTGATTAGGCTTTCGCTGAATGCACAGTTTACAGGAATAGTCACCTATACCTTAGTCTGGCTTAGTAAAACAATAGGGCAAAGGAAGCAATCAGATATGCGTTTGTCTCCTGGGAGCAGAGGGAGGGTGACTTTGAGTTCTGCCTTTCCTTCATCCACAAAGAATTTCCTTGTGGGCAAATTGCAAGGGAGGTATCTTATTTTGGAATAGAATGGGAGGCAGGTTTACCCTATGCAGTTTCAAGCTTCACTTTTCCCTTTGGCTTAGTAATTTCGGGGAGATTTATTTTCCTTTCACACATCTCACAAAGCCCCCACAAAAAAAAATACCTGTATCTTTGGTATCCCTTGAATGAGAAAACACACAAAGAAATAAAATCAAATTTTGTTTGTTTGGGGTTTTTTTGAGACAAGGTCTCACTTCAGTGGCACAATCCAGGCTCACTGCAACCTCCGCCTCCTGGGTTCAGGCGATACTCTTGCCCCAGCCTCCCGAGTAGCTGGGATTACAGGCGCATGCCACCATGCCCGGCTAATTTTTGTATGTTTAGTAGAGACAGGGTTTCGCCATGTTGGCCAGGCTGATCTCAAACTCCTGGCTTCAAGTGATCTGTCCGCCTTGGCCTGCCAAAGTGCTGGGATTACAGACGTGAGCTCCCGCGCCGGGCCCAGAAAGCAGTAAACTTTTAAAATGAATTTGTGTTTTCTTCTAAATCAACAGTACAAACATCAGGAAAAAAAATAGTCATTCAAGCACACGTGAGAATGTTAATTATCCATCCTGAGAAAGGCTTGGTGGCACATAGATGGATATAAGGGGTTGCTCACCAGCTCGCTGCTATCTCTCAAGAAGCTGGACGGAGCCTGCATTTCCCAGCTCCTCAGGGGAGAGGTTGCCAATCTCAAGCCCAGGTCCCTGCACTGGGAAACTGGGGGGCACCTTCCACCAGTGTGGCCAGGTGACTCCCTCTGCTCTGATCCTGCCTAATTCTCTTTTCTCAGCCCCTCTTCCCCTCCTCCCAGAGGCCCATGCTGCCCTTGGGCCCTTGGGTCTGGCTGGCCCAGCTAATACCATTTTCAGGGATGTTATCTCTGACACTGTTTAAGGAGTCTGACACTGACGTTTGCTCAAGGCACATGTTCAGGAGTCCCGTCTGCCACTGGCTTCTGGAGTGGCTTCCTTTCTTTTCCCCCAGCATGCCCTGTGCCTGTGCTTCTCAACATCTGCATGTGTCAGACCACCTGCAGGGATTGCTGAAATACAGATTCCTGGGCTTTGTCCCAGCCTTTCTGTAGGTCTGGGTAGAGCCCAACAGTTTGCATTACCTTTTTTTTTTTTTTTTTGAGATGGAGTCTCCTCTGTCGCCCAGGCTGGAGTGCAGTGGTGGGATCCCAGCTCACTGCCACCTCTGCCTCCCGGGTTCAAGCGATCCTCCTGCCTTACCCTCCTGAGTAGCTGGGATTACAGGCACCTGCCATGCCACAGGCACCTGCCACCATGCCCTGCTAGTTTTTGTATTTTTAGTAGAGACAGGGCTTCACCATGTTGGCCATGGTTGGCCAGGCTAGTCTCGAACTCCTGACCTCGGGTGATCTGCCTACCTTGGCCTCCCAAAGTGCTGGGATTATAGGCATGAGCCACCGTGCCTAGCCAAAAATTTGCATCTCTAACAAGCTTCAAGCTGTGGCCTTGGCCAGGGGATCAGGCATTCAGACTCACTAACCTGAATGTTCCTGCCATCCCAAGTCTTGTGCCCTTGGGGCCCTACTGACTGTGGGGATAGATATAGAGGCACTTGAGATAAGGAAGTCACTTCCTGGTTGGAATCCAAATAGGACCTGGGTCCCCTGTGGCACAGCAGCTTCCTGCGACACTTCCTGTGTCACGTGATTAACCTTCCCCAGGGAAGAGCTTGATTACTTCCCACCTGATACTGCCACCAGAGCCAGCCAGGCTCTCCAGGGTCTCCTCTCCCCACCCCCAGGCCTCATCGCCACACCTCCATTCCTACCAACTTGTTTAGCCAGGACAAACCACTTTCAATGTTTCTATAATGCTGGGCTACTGAAGACTAAACCCTGACCTTTTATCTCTCTTGCCTAAATTCCTATTTAAGGGGCCTGAGGCATTGCACTCTACCAACCATAAAATCTCATCAGATGGGTTTTATTTAACCCTGTACAATGTGGCTTACTTTCCAACCTGACTCTGGCATCATATCACATGACGGATAAAGAAGGAAATCCAAACACTTTGCCCCAAAATATGACTCTTTGCCATGTTTCGAAATGCTCCTGCAAAGCCATTTTTTGTGGGGGAAGATTTGCATCTGTAAAGAATTTCTATTAACATAACTAGATCTTTCCCCTTCCAGACCCTCCCAATACTGAAGAGACTGACTGAGAATCTAGCACCTTTTAAAGATCTAAATAGGGAACATTTGCCATCTAAGGGCACCCACCTATTAGACTTCCTCTACATAACAAGAACCTTGGTTTCCATAGCCCCTTATCTTAATCTAGACACTCCTTTCTACTGATTCCAGCTCTTTAGATAATAACTTAACACTTTTTTTTTTTTTTGAGACAGAGTCTCACTCTGTCACCCAGGCTGGCGTGCAATAGCGAAATCCCCGCTCACTGCAACCTCCGCCTCCCGGGTTCAAGAGATTCTCCTGCCTCAGCCTCCCAAGCAGCGGGGATTACAGGCACCCCCCCCACCACGCTCAGCTAAGTTTTTTTGTATTTTTAAAAGAGACGGGGTTTCACCAGGTTACCCAGCCTGGTCTCAAACCCCTGACCTCAGGTGATCCACCTGCCTTGGCCTCCCAAAGTGCCAGGATTACAGGCGTGAGCCAATTGCCAATCAGACAGAACCAATGTATACCTCACAGGTATTGGATGATGTCTTATGCCTTCCTAAAATGTGTAAAACCAACCAACTTGGGCACATGTTCTCAGGACCTCTTGAGACTGTGCCTTGGGCCGTGGTCACTCATATTTGGCTCAGAATAAACCTCTTTAAATATTTTACAGTTTGATCTTTTCATTGACACTACCAATCTCTCTCTCTCTCTCTTTCAATCTCTTTCTCAATTTCTCCTTCTCTGTCTCTCTCTCAATCTCTCTCTCTTGATCTATCTCTCAATCTCTTTCTCTTGATCTCTCTCAATCTATCTCTTGATCTAACTCTCTCAATGTCTCTGTCTGTCTCTCTTAATCTCTATCTCTCTCTTAATCTCTCTGTATCTCTTGATCTGTCTCTCTCAGTCTCTCTCTCGATATCTCTCTCTCAGTCTCTCTCGATCTCTCTCAATCTCTCTGTCTCTCTCAATCTCTCTCTTGATCTATCTCTCTCTCAGTCTCTCTCTCCTGATCTCTCAATCTCTCTCTCGATTGCTCTCTCAATCTATTTTTCTCTTAATTTTCTACCTCTCAATCTCTCTCTCTCTCTCGATCTTTCTATATCTCAGTCTCTCTCCCTCTCTTTCTTTGTTTAGAGGACTCTGTGTCTGACTAGAGAACTGCTGTTCCCCCTTCTGTAACCAGGTTAGGCCACATCTCCTCAGAGAAGCTTCCTTGCTCCACACACCATCAGCATTAGCCAGGCTTCATTAACCCTCTAAGTACTGGGAGCTCACACTAAAGTGTGAGGCCATGGAAGGCAGAGACGGCTCGCATGTCCCCCCTCTGCCTAGCACAATGCCTGCACAAAGACAGGGCATTACAGCTAGAAAAGGGCAAAGTCCAATACCACAGAGATGAGGGCACAGAGGCTCAGGGAAGTGAGGGGACTTGCTTAAGACCACCCAGAGACAAAATGTCACAGCTGGTATCCAAACTCAGGTTGGAATCCAGAGGGCCCAGGCTTTTCCCACCACTCCAGGCTGTTCCTGTCCCTGTGGTGTTTATAGAAATGGCAATTTAGTGTTGAGCCTCTGAACAACTCTTCGGACTTCTGATTTTAATCTTGAGGTCACTGTAAACAGGGTGTGGCTTGTTTTTCCCTCTTTGCTTTGGCAGCGAGGAAGCTCAGAGCCAAGTTTCTAGCAAGCATAAAGGATATACGGCAGCATCTCATGGACTAACCTCACCTCCGATTTCATTTTCTTTCTCTTTTTCCTTATCTTCCTACCCTGATCACCTCACTTAATAATTATTTCCTTTTGTATTGTTTATTGCATTCCTTTAGGTGCAAGGTATAGTATAAATAAATAACTAAATACTGACGGAGCAGACAGAGCAGGACTGGGATCAGAGCTGCCCCTCCTGACCCCCACTCCCTTGCTTTTCATAACGTTCCTCAGCACCTCACACGTCCCTCACCCCCAAGGAGCTTAAGATCTGGGGTCTTCCGGGCCCAACCATGGAGATCTTTCAACAGTCTTCTCACTGTCCTCGTTTAAATTTTTCCCAAACTTTGAGAATTTCTCTGAAAACACAATTAAGCATTTTCCCAGCATACAGCATACAAAAAGCCAAAACTTCCGCATCCATCCATTTTGCCAGTTATTCTTGGGCGAACAAGAAGAGTTCAACAAGAACAGAACAGAAGTGCACTTCATTACCATAAGAAGACACCGGGAACGCAGCGTGATTCACGGAGGTCACTGAGTTCTGACATGCACATTTTGCTCAACAATTACCTGTTTTGTGCCTCGTCGTAAACTACCGCATCTTCCGTAAAATGTCCAAATGTTACCGAGGGTAGAATTAGACCTCGGGGCCCAATTTCCTGCCACATTACAAGGCGGTAATTAACTCAGCTCAGAGGTCCCGTTCCTCCCTCGGTAACTCCAAGCGTTGCCTTTTACAATCCTCCTTCCAACAACAGCGCAGTAGGTTGCAGATGCAGAGCCTCAGGACCTTGTCTAGAAAACGCCCCCCACCTTGCCGAGCATCACAGCACCGTGCAGAAAAAGGGTGGTGCATCTTCATTAACCTCCATCCAGCGGGTCAGCTGCATGGAAAAGGGGTCCTCGAAGATGCCATCAAACAAACACACACCGAAACTCCAGAGGAAATCCTGATCACAGGGCAATACCAGCCACCAGCCCCTCTCCCGTGTGCCTCCGAGACCCTGTTGGCGGCTCTCTCTCTAAAGCATTACCCCTGTCTCCAGGAGGAGCATTCAGGGTCCTCCACGATCTGACAGCCTCTTCATTTTCCATCTTCCTCCACATTCATATTGTTTCAGCCTCACCCAAGCTCCAGGCCATTCTCCAAAGGTGCCTTTATCTATGCCATTCCCTCCGCTTCATCTCCCCCCAATCCCATCTTCTCTTGACAAACTCCCACTCATCCTGCAAGAGCCCATCTCATCATGAGCTTCTCCTAGAGCCTCCCTTGAACCACCCTCAGCAAACGTGAGCCAGATCCCCCTCCTGCCTCCCCCGGTCCTAAGATCAGCTCTGTCCAGCTGAAGACACTGACGGTGAGTTCCAACCTCCAGTACTGCCACAGCTCCTGCCAACCTCTGGCCACAGTTGAACCACCACCAGCGCTGGGATTGGTAAACACCATCAGTGCAAACTTACAAAACCAATGTTCACTAATAAATCACACTTATGATACTTCTTATATTAGGTGCTTGGATTCCATATCAGATTTCTTTCTTTTTTTTTTTTTTTTTTTTTTTTTTTTTGACAGAGTCTCACTGTTGCCCAGGCTGGAATACAGTGGTGTCTCAGCTCACTGCAACCTCCGCTTCCCAGGTTCAAGGGATTCTCATGCTTCAGCCTCCCAAGTAGCTAGGACTACAGGAGCATGACACGATGCCTGGCTAATTTTTTGTATTTTTGGTAGAGACGGGGTTTCACCATATTGGCCAGGCTGGTCTTGAACACCTGACCTCAGGTGATCCACCTACCTTGGATCCCAAAGCGCTGGGATTACAGGTGTAAGCCACCACACCTGGCCAAATTTCATTTAAAAAAAAAAAACAATAAACTTTTGTTTTGTGATCTAAAAGTATATATATATATATATATATATGACTTTGACATTGGCTCCCCAGAGCAGGTGGGAGTGGAGGTGTGTTCCATGCCCTGGGAGGCCTTGTCGGACTACACCTGAGGGACACAGAGGCCCCTGGGGCAGAGAGAGCTGAGTAGGGCTGGCCGGGCGACAGGGAAAGAATGTGTGCAAGGGCCTCACTTTGGACCCCCTGCCAAAGGCCACACAGCTCCCATGATGCAGCCCCTGTCAGCCTCTCCAGCCGCTCTCTCCAGGTCCCAGTGGCCACATCGCCCCTTGTTCATCACCGTTGCTGGCCCTGGGGCATTTCACCAGCCCTTGTTGGTTTCATTCAGCTTCGCCCATAACTTCGCAAACCTCCCCTTCCTAAACCCTCTGCAGTCACACCTCCTGAGTGTCATCTGCTCCCCGCCAGGACCCAGATCGATACTCTGACAACCTCACTTCATCTACTCAGGCATGGGGAAGGAAAGAATCATACTGTGTAGCCAGCACTCACTATGTCCTCTCGCTTCATTCCCGTAACCATGCTGTGTTACAGGTGTGACACAGAGGAAGAAACTGAGGCACAGAGAGGTGAAGTGGCTGGCCTGAAATAATACAGCTGATCGACGGCAGGGTCAGGATTTGAGCCCAGGTCTGGCTACTCCCAAATTCCATGCTTCCTTCACTACGCTCTCCTCCTATACCCATGGAGGACACACTGCTGAGAATTTCCTGGGCACAAGAACCCCGTGACTGGCTCTGGGGAGGAGAGAACACAGGGAAGCAGAAGCCCAGGGACCTGCCCGTCCCTGAGAGAGAGAGAAGCAGATGCAAACCCTGCAGTGTGCAGCAGCGTGTGGCACGGGATGCAGCAGTGACGTTTTCCAAACAGGCTAGAGGTGGCCACACCAGGAGAGCTCCTATGGCTGGGCGCGGGGGCCATGTTTCTTTATTCCGATGAGTCCCCGGGTTCAGAACCACTGAGTGAAAGGAGTTATCCCTGACAAGAGAGGGAGAAAGAGTGGGAGGAAGCCAGTGAGTGTAGGGTCCCGGAAGCCAAGTGAGGATAGCACTCCAAGAAGGAAGGTGGCCCATTCGGTCAAACGCTGCCGAGAGCACGTCAAACACATGTGGAAAATGCCACTGGACTTAGTGAGGGGGTCACTGGAGATGCCGAGAGACCGTTCAGAGAGGAGCAGACAGGAACTAGATGCTCTTCACTGACTTACTGCTTCAGACAGGAAGCCAGCGCAGAGTGGGTTAGCAAGTGGATGGGGCCGGGAGCCGAGGCTCACGCCTGTAATCTCAGCACTTCAGGAGGCTGAGGTGGGAGGATTGTTTGAGCCCAGAAGTTCAAGACCAGCCTGGGTAACATAGCCAGACCCTGTCTCTACAAAAAATAAGATTAGCTGGGTGTGGTGGCACACGCCTGTAGTCCCAGCTACTCGGGAGGCTGACATGGGAAGATGGTTTGAGCCCAGGAGTTCAAGGCTGCAGTAAACTGTTACTGCACCACTGCACCCAGCCTGGGTGACAGAGTGAGATCCTGTCTCAAACATAATAAAATAAAATAAAAAGAATATTGCTAAAAAATATAATGGCTCCAAATTCTTGATTGTTTAAAAATGATCTTTTTTTTTTCTTGGAAGGATCTTTTCTAGACTTGCCATGAAACATGTCTAGCGACCCTCATTCATCTGATTTACTCTAAAGGGATGCTTGAATGATGGTCACTTTTGTTAATGATACTTTTTTGGGGGTGGGGAAATGACAGGATTTGTGGTGGTTGCAATTTTTTTTTCCTTTGCTTTTTATCTTTGTACTTTCATGTGTTGCTTAAAATTTTTAAATAATGAACATTGTTATTTTATAAAAACAATAATAATTATTCTAAAAAGTAAAAAAGTAAGACTTTTTTGAGTGTCTAGGAAGCAGTAAGTCAGTGAAGAGCATCTTGTACCTCTTGTGGCTGCGGACTTGGAAACAGTGCTGCTCCCAACATCACCTTAGCCTGCCAAGTCTGCCTTTCCCATTGAAATGGGTAAGTAGGCTGAAAGCGTTCGTCCTTATCCTCAAATACAGCTTTATAAAAATATTTGTGAATTAATAATGTTGTGATATAGAAACTTGTTTGTATCCTATAGTGGAGTCACATGCCTTGCTAGGGAAAGTGTTTCTGATCCATATGATGGGAATGAAGAGAATCTGTAGCTCCCAGTGAGTCACAGGGAGCCCCATGGCATCCAGTTGAGGGTCCTCCTCCCAAAATAGACTTGCAACCCCCTGGAGGGGGAGAAGACCGAGGCCCAATTTGTCCAGATGTGTCAGGATTCTGTGTGTAAGGCAATGGATCTAGAGATGATCTCTTTTTCAAGGCTATATCCAATAAAATTGTTGTGGCTGCAGGAATCAACGGAGAAGGATTTTGAGGTAACAACCAAGTTCCTGAGGAAAGGGCATGGCTGCTTAGTGAGTCTGCCATGGCTCTGGTTCAAAGTCCTCACATTCAGCAACTTAATCAAAACATTTGTTATATTAATTCTTTGTGATAATTAAAATTGCCTGGAAGCTTGTCAAGTGGCAGACTTCTCCCCAGTTCTGCACCTTTCCTGCTCTCCTGGGAACATCTGAAATTCAGGGTAGGCATTCTTTCTCTTTTTTCAACCAGCCTCAGTGAATATAATTTATAGACAATAAAGTTCACCAATTTTAAGTGTACAATTTGGTCAGTTTTGACAAATGTATATGGTCCTGTAACCACCACTATATTCATCACATAGAACATTTCCATCACCCCGCAAGAGCTCCCTTGTGTCCTTTTAAGGCAGTACCTTCCTTCCAGCCACCTTTCCATCCACTAGTCTGCTCTCCATCACTCCAGCTTTGCCTTTCCTAGCATTTTACATAAACGAAATAACACATATAGAGTCTTGAGCTTCTTTCATTTAACAAAATGCATTTGGGATGCACCCATGTTCTTGAATGTTTGAATAGTTCCTTACTTTTTATTGCTGGCTGGTCTTCTATTTTGTTCATCTATTCAACCACTGATTAACTTTTGTGGTGTTCCCAGATTTTTGGCTATCATGAGTAAAGTCAGGGAAAAGCCCTTGTGTGGGCCTATGTTTAAATTTTTCTTAGGCAGATGTCTAGGAATGCAATTGCTAGGTTTAACTTTATGAGAAACTGCCAAAGTGTTTTCCAAATCTGTGCACTATTTTGCCTTCTCACGGTGATATATGAGCGCCCCTGTTGCTCCTCATCCTTTACAGCACTTTTTATTGTCAGTCTTTTTTTCTGGAGTTGGTCTCACTCTGTCCCCCAGGCTGGAGTGCAGTGGCATGATCACAGCTCACTGAAGCCTCGACTTCCCTGGGCTCAGGTAATTCTCCCACCTCAGCCTCCTGAATAGCTGAGATTACAGGCACACACCACCTTGCCCAGATAATTTTTGTATTTTCTGTAGAAACAGAGTTTCACCATGTTGCCCAGGCTGGTCTGGAACTCCTGGGCTCAAGTTATCGGCCCACCTCAGGCTCCCAAAATGCTGGGATTACGGGCGTGAGTCACTGCACTCTACCATCAGTCTTTATTTTAATGTTAGCAATTATACTTAGTGTATAGTGGCTTCTCTTTCTGTTTTTAATTCACATTTTTCTAATGACTAATGATATGAAGCGTCGTTTCATGTGTTTGACATTTATATATTTTCTTTGGCATCGTTGTTTTTCAAATCTTATGCTTTTTAGATTTTAGTGTTTGTCTTTTATTATTAAGTTGTAAGACTTTATTTTTTAATATTCTGGATGCCAGTTCTTAATTAGATATGTGCTTTGCAAATATTTTCTCCTAACCTGTGCCTGCCTCATCATTTTCTCAGTGGGGTCGTTTGAAAAGCAAATATTTTACATTTGAAATCTGCTGATCTATTTTATTTTCTAGTTCATGTATTTTGTGTTTTATTTTATAAATCTTTGCTAAATACAAGGTCATGAATTTTTCTTACACTTTCTTTAGAACTTTTATCATCTTAGCTCTTACATTTAAGCCTGCAATTCATTTTGAGTTAATTTTTTTGACTAGTTAATTTTCCAGCTGGGGAGGTAATGGCTGAGGTTCTTTTTTTTTCTTCTTGCATACGAATATTCATTTGTTCATTAAATTGACTTGGGACCTTAGTCAAAAATCAAGTAAACGTATATGTGTGGCTCTATTTCTGACTCTAGATCATAGTCCATTATCTATAAATCTACCTTTATGCCAATACCAACAGTCTTGATTATTATAACTTTACAGTAAGTCTTGAAATCAAGTCATGTGAGTATTCCAATCTTTAAAAATTATTTAGGCAATTCTAGGTCCTTAGTATTTCTATATAAATTTTAGAATCAACTTTTCAATTTCCATTTTTTAAAATTATGCTGGAACTTCAATGATAATTGCTTTGAATATATACTCAGTTAAGTGTAAGGAGACTAAATATTGAGTCTTGTAATCCATGAACATAGCATATATTTTTATTTATTTGTATCTTCTTTGATTTGTCTCACTAATATTTTGTAGTGTTCAGTGTACAAACAGGCATTTTTTGATAAATTTCTTTCTTTTTTTCTTTTTTTGAGACAGAGTTTCACTCTGTCACCCAGGCTGGAGTGCAGTGGCACGACCCTGGCTCACTGCAACCTCCGCCTCCTGGGTTTAAGCAATTCTCCTGCCTCAGCCTCCCGAGTAGCTGGGATTACAGGCATGTGCCACCACTCCCAGCTAATTTTTGTGTTTTTAGTAGAGACAGGGTTTCATCATCTTGGCCAGGCTGATCTCGAACTCCTGACCTTGTGATCCACCCCCCTCAGCCTCCCAAAGTGCTGGGATTACAGGAGTGAGCCACTGTGCCCGGCCATAAATTTATTTCTTTAAATGTATCTTTTATATAATTATAAATGATATTGTCTTTAAATTTTTCAAATGACAACTGTTCATTGATATTTTGTAGAAATTCAGTTGACTTTTGTATATTGACCTTGTATCCTCTACCCTTACTAAACTCACTTATCAGTTCTAGTAGCTTGTTTGTATATTCTTTGGTATTTGGTAGAACATAATGCTATCTGTGAAGCAAGACCATTTTATTTCTTTCTTTCCAATTAGTGTGCCTTTTATTACTTTTTTTTTTCCTTATGGCATTATCTAGGACCTCACATATAATGATGAATAAAACGTAAATGCAGATATCATTGTCTTGTTCCTAATCTCAGGAAAAGGATTCAGTCTTTCATCATTAAGTATGATGCTCGCTGTAAGCTTATGTAGATTTAGGAAGTTTTTTTATATAACTAGTTTGCTAAGAGTTTTTAATCATTGCTCAGTATTGATTTTGTCAAATATATTTTCTGCACACACTGATATGACCATATGGCTATCCTTTTTCAGTCTGCTAACATGATGAATTACGTTAATTGGTTTTTCTAAATTCCTGGGATAAAACCCACTTGGTCATGATGCATTCTCATTTTATATATTACTAGATTTAATTCACTAAAATTTTGTTAAGGACTTATGCCCAAGAGGGATATTAGTCTGCAGTATTCTTTTCTGGTAACATCTCGAATGGTTTGAGTTAAATTATTCCCTTCTCTTCTATTTTCAGGAAGAGTTGGTATACAATTAATATTATTTCTTTCTTAAATGGCTGATAGAATTCACCAGTGAAGACAGCTGAGCCTTGAGGGTTTTTAGTTTGTTTGATATTTTGTGAGTAAGTTTTTAACTACAAATTCAATTGTTTTAATACATATAGCACTATTCTGGCTGTCTACTTCTTCTTGGGTGAGCTTTCATAATTTGTGTATTTCAAGAAATTTGTCCATTCATCTATATTGTGGAATTTATTGGCAGAAAGGTGTTCATAGTATTCTTTTCTTATTTCAGTGTATACAGGATATGTAGTGATGTCCTTTCTTTCATTCTTGATATTGACCATGTGTCTCTTCTTTTTTTCCTGGTTGGTCCAGCTATAGACGTATCAAGTTTCTATTAAAATTTTAATAAACTAGATTTGGGGTTTAATTTTCTCCATTAATTTTCTGTTTTCTATTTCAATGCTTTTTTCTCTTATAATTATTATTTCTTCTTTCTGGTTATTTTTTATTTAGTTTGCTCTACTTTTTTCTGGCTTTTTAAAGTGGAAGGTTTGATCACTGATTTGAGACCTTCTTTTCTAATAGAAGCATTTAATGCTATAAATTTCTTCTTAAGTATTAATTTAGTTGTATCTCATAAATGTTGATGTTTTATTTACATTTTCATTCAGTTCAAAATATTTTTTAATTTTCCTTGTGACTTATTCTGTGGCCTATGAATTATTGAGATGTATGATATTTCCAAATATTTTGAGATTTTTCAGATACCGTTTTGTTACTGACTTCTAGTTTAATTCTATTAAAGTCAGAAAACCTATTTGTATGATTTTTAGACACTTAATTTTATTAAGACTTGTTTCGTAGCCCAAAATATAATCTGCCTTGGTGAATGTTTCTTGCATTCTTCAAAAGAATGTGCATTTGGCTTTTGTTGATTGAAGTGTTATCTAGATGTCAAGTAGGTCAGTGAGTTAATAGTGTTAGTTGAAAATGATATCTTCTACATTTTTATTCATTTTCTATTTGTTTCATCAAGTATCAAGAGAGAAATATCGAAATCTCTGATTGCAATTGTAGATTTAGTTTTCTTCTTAATTTTCTCAGTTTTGCTGCATGTAGTTTAAAATAAAGTTCTGTTTCTAGGTACACACACATGTAGGATTACTACATTCTCTTCCTGAACTACATGGCTATAGGTATGCTGTTGAGGCCTACCGTGGTCCCTTTTATAAATGATTCTCAACTCCTCTGTCTGAGATCTGCTTAGGTGGAGCAAATTATCTTGCAATTCATTACCCTACCCATGTCCATTTTCCAAAGCAATTACCAAGAAAAAAAAGATGAACAAAATTAAAACCTAAAAGCTCTTCTACCAATATATTTATGAATATAATACTAGAAACTATTAAAAACCACATGAATTCAAGACCACATTGATAATTCAGTAAGAACAAAGTCCTCAAAATTAAAGAAATTTGAGCTCTTTGGCTACGTTCTTGGCTAGGAGGTTTTTTGCCAAGAATATTGCCAGGGATTTTGCAATATTACCAGGAAGTCAGACTTCCTGATAGAATGCTAAAAATAGAGTTCTTGGTAAACTCTAGTAATGCACTAACTGATTTATGAGAACTATATTTGGGTAACCTGTAGTAACTCAGTGAATTACTACGAGGTAGACATCGGTCATGCATAATAACAAAAATAAATAGGATTGTGCATCACTCACTACTAAGAACTGGATTCTGAATGTGCATTTTCATCAGTTTATGACTGTCCAGAAGTCTGTCACCTCCCACCAGTGGGCTGTGGGCCACCCATTGAGAAACACAACTCCATATGAGGACCCATAAGAGAAACCGCTTTCAGATTAAAGTGCCAGGAAACACTTTGCTCCTCCTGAAGAACTACTGTGGTTCTTTCCACACTGATGACGATACTCATTATATCTCTTTTCCCATTGACAGCTGGGAAGCTCTGAGCCAAACTTGAAAATCAAGCTCTAGAACCCTGTGCCTTGAGAGTTTTCATTTTACTTCTTCTCTTCAAATTGGCATTTGCCCTAATCTTATTGCTCATATTGTTCTAATTTATTGAACATATTTCTCAGTAACCATCTCTCTTTTTTCCTTATGTGCATGTGTGTGTGTGGGTGTGGGTGTAACAAGAAGCCAGCATGAACAAATAAATAAATGGAGATCTCTGTCTAAGCATCACTTTAGATATTTCTACAATTCATGCATGCTAAATTCCTGACCACTGTTTTGCGTGATGTTAGTCCACTCCAACCTTTTCCAAGTGGCTAAAAATACCATTGCATATTGACAAGCCTAACCCTTTTAAGTTAGAGGAGAAACAATGTCAGCTTCCTGCCAGCCTTACCAGCAGAAGAACACCAGGGGATTACAGAGCAGCTAGGGCCTGGTGGGCACGGGGTGATTGAGGAATGAGAAGCCATCCTGACTGCACCACATCTCCAGGAACCCAGCTGCCAGGGGATGTTTTGTGCATCCTACTAGGGCAGTTACCGGGGTCTGAAGTCCCGGTGAACGTGACATTGTAATCTCGGTTATGTTTTATTTATGGAGAGTGGTGCCGCAGCTAGTGTGTGTTAACAAACAAAGATGATTGCTTCTGAGCCACTCTCTCGTCCTAAGGTAATTAACACAAAGTAATGTGCCAGTTGGGGGATTCAAAGAGTCGACAACCTTTTCCATAGGAAAGTGATCTGCAACACCCAGGCCAAAAGGGTAGAATGGAGAGAAGCAAGGACATGTTTTATCTTTGGTTAAAGGTGCATCATTAAAAGGCACTGGCATAATTATTCTTCCTTTAAAAAAAAAATCCATATAACATTAAGAAAACTGCAAAGTATAAAATGTCAGGGGCAGAGATGTGTGGATTTGCAGCTGTTAGCAAAGCGGGCCAGGGGCTCCCTGTGTATCTCGAACGGCATAAATTAGAAATATTGACTGCAACCAAAATAGCATTCGCAATCAGCTCAATGTTGCGATGTGTTATACACACCATTTGCTTTTAAAAAAATTAAAATATGAATCAAACTTGGATGACAAAGAAGTTCAACTTCTCAGGAAAAATCAAATACATCATCAAAAGGTCACAATTCGTAGACAAATTGCTGTTAAAATTTATTACTTGTTTGCAAAATGTACTGTTGATCATTGGTAACTGCTAAATGCTTGGGCGCCTCTGACAAAATAAATAAATAAATAAATAAATAAATAAATAAATAAATAAATAAAGCACTCTGCATTCGTTAAGTGGGGAGAAATGTGAAAAAGCCTCTGGAATGCTAAAACCCAGCACAGGGGAGGACAGGAGAAGCAAGGGAGGCCAGGCTGGGTGAAGAAAAAACGAAGCACCGAGGGAGCTAAGAATGAAAAAGGAGAGAGAAACAAGCAGCGGCCCAGCAGAGTCATTCTTACTCCTTTGGAATATCGGAGATGACCACTCATCTCAAAAGCACAAACGTCAGAGCATCTAAACATGAACCATCAAGGTTCATGAGGCCCCAAGGGACGGTGCCTGGAGATCCCATACCATTCAGTTCACAGTCCCCAGTGCCCTGCCTCCAACGCTCACATGTACCCAGTGCTGGCACCTTCTCATTTACAGGTAGGATTTGCTACAGGGCTCTGAACTCCCTGGCATCAGAGACCATCCCAAGGTCAGACTTGTACCTCCAGGGCCCAGCAGAGCAGCAGGCATAGGTGGGGCACTGCCGGGGCCCGGTGGCTTGCTCCCCGGAGTCTCCCACAGCCTTCTCCCACGTGCAACAGCAGAGCCAACTGGCCCGGGGCATTCTTCTGGCCATGGAATTGTTCAGGAATGGCCATGGGGCCCACTTCAGGCCAATGAGATGTGAGGGGAAGTTGGCTGAACATTCTAGAAACGCAGTACCGGAGTCTTCTGAGAGGTCTCACAGTATGCCAATGGCCAGCGCTCTCTCTTTCCTTCACCCGCTTGTGGGGATGAGGCTGTAAGGATGGAATGGCGATGGGAAATGGACAGATGCGTTGGATCCAGTTGTGAAGGGTTTGAGCGCCATGCTGAAGCCCTCTGATTCTGTTGGGGTCAGGTTAATTCAGGGCTTTCTGGCCAAGGAGGCAGGGCAGAAGTGATACTCACCACTTCCAGGCCTGGCCCATGGGGAGCCCTGCATGAGACTCACATGTCTTCCATTGTGAATGGCTCAATGCCGATGACCCAGCAGAGACCCCCAAGGAGACTCTAGATAGCACTCACCAATGGAACTTCCTGCAAGAATGGAAGATTCTGTCTGCACTGTCCAATCTGATAGCCACAAGACACATGTGGCTACTGCACACCTGAAATGTGGAGAGTGCAGCTGAGGAATTGAATTTTTAATGAGGATTTTTAATTACTTTAAATTTAAATAGTTTACTGGATGGCACAACTAGAAGATGGCAGGGAAACAAGACAGAAGGAGCTAGAATCCCTGAAACGCCACGTGGAAAGCTGTCCACCACTTTACGGGACTGTGACACTAGCAAGAAACAAATCCTTATGATGTCAGGTCATTGGAATTTGGAGATTGTGACAGCAGCTGGCATGAAATAGCAGGTGCCTCCTGGGTCCACTGTTCTCAGCCCTTGGCATGCCATATCTTATTTAGTCATCTCCCTACAGGAGGGAGGTTCTGTTATTATCCACATTTTACAGATGAGAAAACTGAGGCACAGAATGGAAACTGAGACACAGATAGGAAGAGGCTGAAAGGGGTTCCGAACCAGGTCAGTCTGGCTCCAGAGCTTCCCTGAGGCTAAAAACCAAGGGATTTGTGAGGGAAGCTCTTGTAGTAGCCCAGAATGGAGACAGTGGCCAGACTGGGGAGGAACCCAAAGGGGCCGGGAAAGGAAGGTCCCATGACAAAAGCAAAGCCCTGCCTGCTTTGCAGCCCACAGAGAAAATCCCTGGTTTGCTCTTGTTTCCTGGTATGAAACCCCTTTTTGCCATGCTGCTCTAATAGTAAGGGAGAGAATGGCTGATTCTCTAGGGTTCTGGACACCCCGCAGGTGGGTGTGCCCCCACCTAGCACAGCAGGACACCACCTCCTTCTCCCACTTCTAAGCTCTCCAGACCTGTCATGCTAAAAGCCACACGGCACGGGCCCAGGGCAGATATGCCTAGAGGTAAGAAAGCACCACACAGTCTGCGATGTGAGGAGTCCAGGAGAAGGGCAGAGGGGACCTGGAACCACTAGTCCTGCTGGGCCTTGTACGGGAAGGGACAAGATTTCCTGAAGGAGAGGAGAGCACAAAGAAAGGCAAATATCTGGAAAGAAGCTGCCAGTGCTCCGGGGGACAGCAGGGCTCATCTGAGGGATGCTTTGTGGCAGATGAAGTGGCTGGGAGTTGCCATCACTGGTTTTTTTTTTTTTTTGGTTGTTTATTTAACACATTCTTCATTTTTGGATACATGTCTAGAAACATAAACTCTTCAGAGCCCATCCTTGCTCGTTACCTCATCGATCCTCCCAAAGATGCTGTGGAGATGTCTTGTCCACCATAATTTGCAGAGAAAGAGACAGGAAGTTATGGGACCTGTCACCTGGGGGACAGCGGCCAGAGCTGGGATTTGACACAGGGCCGAAGACTCCCAGCCCGAGGCTCATGCACTGCACCACCACCACCTCTGGCCGGAGCCCTGAGTCTGCGGGCTCTTCCTGCCTCTCAGTCTGTCGCCTGTCAGCCTCCCTGGGAGTGAAGCCTCAAGAAGAGTGGTAGACAGGGAGCCAGGAGGCCCCAGCTGCCTGGGCGCAGGCAGAGAAGCAGCCCTGGGACCCCCGCAGAGCTTCCTGCATGTGGCCCAGAAAACCCCTGAATCAGACCTCTCAGGAGTTGTGTTGAAAATCCACATTCCAAGGCCCCGCCCTCGACCTATGGACCAGAGTCTCTGAGCAGTGCAAACTGGGAATCTGCATTTTAACTAGCACTGCTAATAAGGATTCTTCTAGTGAAAGTGTGAGCAGGACCAGACTAATAAGGTTTTCTGGCTCCACGTCTTCCAGGAACCTGTGGGGCTTTCTCCAAGAGGCAGCCAGGCCTCTGGACAGGGTCTCCTCCTTTCCTAGAGCTTTGGGAATGAGCCAGGGTGGGGTGCTGGGCAGGGAGGACCAGGGTCTCATAGGGTGAGCGCCCCGAGTGCACCACACAGGAGAGAGCAGACAGAGGCAGGAAAGGCGATGACAGGCAAGAGTGTAAGGAGAGACCGGGAAAGTGACCAGAGACCAAGCTGGAGACAGAGGCAGGGAGACTCCGGGAGAGGCAGCCAGGCAGGCTGAGAAAGCAGGGCAGAGAGGGGCAAGCGAGCATGAGAGGGAGGCGGGAAAACAGACGGGGACGAGGCCCCACCAGTTGCTCCTATCTGCCAGGTCTTCCAGCAGCCCCGGAGAGTGAGGGGCAGGCTGGGCCACGTAGCAGCCCACCTCCTCACATGCCAGCCACCCCTGCCCAGCTGCCAGGCTCTCAGGGCTGTGCCAAGTGCATGTCTCCATGACAATGCCAGGCAAGGCTCCCCTGAGGCACACGCATGGTGGCATAGAGGGCATGGAGTGAGCCTTTACCAACAGCGGGCAAGGCCAAAGGTTCTCAGTTCACTACAAAGTGTGGGGGCTGGGGAGGGGGTGGGAAGCAGGGGCAAAGAGGCTGGAGGGGCCTGGGGTGGGGTCAGGGACTTTCTAGGAACATGGCAATCACAAGTAGAAAGGGAAAGGGAAGGCAAATGGAATTTTGTAGGTACAGCTTTCATGTATCAGGTACCTTGTTTGCATTTTCTTGCTTGATCCTCTCAAGACCTCTGTGGCATAAAGATCCTTGTCCCCTTTTTACAGATAAGGAAACTGAGGCTGAGAGATTACAGACTCCACACATTTAGCTGGTAAGAGGCAGAGCTGAGGTTTCTACTCAGCCTCAGGTGTGTCCAAATAGAAATGCCAGTTTCCTTTCACTGCACTAAACTTTCTAAGCTCATGAGAAAACAGGACACAAGATGTTTTGAAGCAGTGCAATCTCGCAGACCAGAGCTGTCATGAGACAGTTGTGACTGATCACAGTCAGGGAAGTTCAGACATAGCACAAGCAGTATACTGGAATGGCTTTGTAGTGTAGAGGGAGTTATCTCTTTATTTATTAATCATTCTTTACCTTAGCATCTTCTAAGACATACTATGGAAGCTACAATAAGATTACATATACAATAAAGCTATCATAGTGGTAAACAAGAATAATATAGATGGGAGAAAGGATTTCTTAAAAAAAAAATCTCAAACTAATACTGTGGCTATGATTAACCATTAAATCGAACACTGAGCTCCCTAGCAGTCTCAGCAAAAAAGGAAAATGCAACAAGTTATGTGGCTCCAATCCAAAATGAAATGTACTGACTTACCAAGGCAGATATTTCTTTTCCATTGCTAAGTCCTAGAAATCAGTGACAAGACTTCTGGAAGGATAAAATATCACAAACACTTATCCCATTTTATTTGTAGCTACATACATGCACACACACATAAAACAATATGTATATGTGTGTGTACATTAATAAATATGTGTATAGATATCCAACCACAAAAGAAAGAGAATCCCTGAAAGCTGGAGAAATCAAACCCAGAGTGAGGAGAACTGGCTTCATAGTTCATGGGTTTCAGACCCAGAAATGGAACTGGAGATGAGAGCTCCAATGTCCATATGGGCACAAGTCCATGTGTGGCTGGGAACCTGGAATGGAACCCCCTGCATAAAGCCTGGATTTTGAAGAGCTTCTCCATCAGTAAAAACAGGACAAGAAAAGCTACACTCACTAGGAAGTGGTAAAGCAAGAGGGCTGCCCACCTGAGCCGTAGGATGGGGAAAAGGCACTGGGGCCAGAATGTGTGGGATCCAGATTTACACTCCCTTTCCAGAACAACCAGAGGCCTTCAGCAACTATAGAAGCAGCAATGAAACTGCACCGAAGGATATTTTTTAAACCAGGACACATCAGACACACCCCAGAGAAACCCACAAAGATGAGCTCACAATCTGAAATCACAAACCACTAAAAAATCAGATCCATGAGAGTCCTCAGAGGAGAAAACACAGGAGAACTTGGACGAATGGAATGGGCTAAGCAAGACAACAAAACAACCATGTTCAATGTACATCACCAACACAATGGAGGCCAGGCATGGTGGCTCACACCTGTAATCCTGGCACTTTGGGAGGTCAAGGTGGGCAGATCACTTGAGGTCAGGAGTTTGAGACCAGCCTGGCCAACATGGTGAAACCCCATCTCTACCAAAAATACAAAAATTAGCTGGGCATGGTGGCATGCACCTTTACAGGTGCTCCCAGCTACTCGAGGGGCTGAGGCAAGAGAATTGCTTGAACCAGAAAGGTGGAGGTTGCAGTGTGCTGAGATCCCACCGCTGCTCTCCAGCCTGGGTGACAGGGTGAAACCCTGCCACACACACACACACACACACACACACACACAAAACACAATGGAAAGCATCTTTAACAACTTTTCTGTTTATTTTCATCAGCCACAGTAGAGAGAATTGTTAGGTAATAATAATTCTTCTTGTAGCTAGTTTCTGAGACAACCATCAATGGCAGATTAAAATAGACACTACAGTCAACCTTGCTCTGGATGTTGATGTGTGAGTAGCAAAGCTAATGTGCCGCTCCAGTGCAGCCTTGTGATGTCCTACTTGGAAATAAGGGTTAGAACTTGAAATTCAGACAGAGCAGCAGAGTCCTATGGGCTGTCTTTACTGATAAACATGGTCAAACCCTGGTGAGAACCTGAGTCCTACTTCTCCTTAAGAAAGGGAACAGGTATAGGTGCTCAGAATTTTCCAGGTGTTTGGTTCACTGCATACTCAGCCACATTTACAAATAGTAATTAACTGAATCCTCATCGTATCCCTACAAGGAAGGTGCTATTACTTCCCCATTTTTACTGATAAGGAAACTGAGGCACGACCAGGTTACATGACTGGGCCAAGATATCACAGCTTGTAAGTGACAGAGCCAAGCAAAAACCCCAAGCAGTCTACACCCAGCGTGCCTATTAGTGACTACACTGTACTGTTGTTTTGTAGGTCTTTTTTTTTTTTTTTTTTTTGAGACAAAGCCTTGCCCTGTATCTCAGGCTGGAGGGCAATGGCGTGATCTTGGCCCACTGCAACCTCTGCCTCCCAGGTTCAAGTGATTCTCCTGCCTCAGCCTCACAAGTAGCTGGGATTACAGACACGCACCAACACACCCAGCTAATTTTTTTTTTTTTTAGTATTTTTAGTAGAGATGGGGTTTCACCATGTTGGCCAGTCTGGTCTCAAACTCCTGACCTCAAGAAATCCACTCGCTTTGGCCTCCCAAAGTGCTGGGATTACAGGTGTAAGCCACCACGCCTGGCCTGGTCTTAATTTTTGAATTCTCTCAACGACCTGGTGAGATAGGCATTGTACCCACTTAACTAGTTGTCTCTAGCTTCCTGTGCCAGAGAGAAATCTTGCTTCCATTTCCCCTTATCCCACCTCCTCACACATCTCTAGTCTTCCACCAGGTCGATAAATGGCCATTCATCCTGTTGCTCAGCCGAAAAACTCATGATCACCCCTGATGCCTCTCTGTCCTTCACACCCCTACTTAATCCATCAGCAAATCCTATCAGCTCTTATTTGCACCCCAAACAGACACTGGATCAGAGATCTTCTTACCACCTCCTTCTTACCTTTTTCAATTTAAGTACAAGCCACCAACTTCTTACCGTGGACAACCCCTACTTTACATCCCACCATGACAGTCAGTCCCTCCTCATGCAGCCTGAAGGGGCCTGCTACAATGCAACCCACAAACAGCCACCATTATCCCTCCCCTGCATTTCCTTCCCACACTTTCGTGTGATTCATTGCATCTTCATGAGACCACAAGTAGGTAACTAACCCCGTAATGTGTCCATCATGAACACCTCTCCAATACCATGTATGTTATTCTGACAACAGTATTTTTGATAAATGCCTGATGTTCCATTGCATTGACATCCTATCCCTTGCTTATCTAATCCCCTGTTACTGGGCATTTTCTTTATTTCCAGTTTTTGCTATTGTAAATATAGATACAGTGAACATCTTTGGGGCTAAATCTTTGGCTGTATTAGAGCTTCCTTAATTATTTTAGAGATTAATAAAAAAAAAAAAAGATGGCTCGTGATGTGCTTAGTGTTGGTTATGCAGAGAGCAAAGCTTTTCCACATCATCCAGGGGTGATTGCATACAGACCTCCATGGGCGTCAGAAAATCACCATTAGCCAAGCAAATGGCTCCAGGGGATGGAAGATCCTGGCGAGACATCTGTGAGAGTCCATCCAGCACACATTCATTTGAATATTTTCAGTTGCGAAGACAACAAGACTAACTTCCTGAAAATTTGGAAAAGGTAGGAGAAATACCTTCCTGAAGAGCCTTTCCTCCCAAGCATCTGCATCTGATACACATCCATGTCCACACAACCTTCAGCTAGATCATTTAGACTCACAGCCTACGAACATTTTCTCTTCTTTTAAAAGTTAACATTATCTCATACACAGTTTTCCTGTTGCTACCAAAGTCTTCATCCCCCTCATTTTCGATGTGTGTAAATACTCCATAATGAACAGGCTCTTCTTCACTCATTCACTCCTTTACTGTTGAACACGGAGGCAGCTTCCAAAATTTCGCTATCATGCACGTCATTCCCTGGCATATTTTGTCTGCATGAAAAATAAGCAGTGTATCTACGTTTCTTTTTTCCCTTTGGCTAAAAAGAATCTTAGACTCAAATTTATGATTTAAGTATAGCAACGTATGGCCGTCTTCTCTAGGCAATATTTTTGCATAGGTGTAGACATCTTACTAGAGCTTTTAATCTCTCTGATCCTGATATTTCGCTGCTTGTTTATGCTTTATTACATTTCCTATTGGTCTGCTCACAATCTTGAGGAATGAAGAAGGATGCAAATTATTAACAGAGTATTTAATGAAATGCTGAGATGGCCATCCTCCTCTCTCTAGGAATCGCAAATAAGTATTCTTAGTATGGTTTCCAAAAATGACGTCACCAGATCAAATAGTCAGAAGAACATCTGGGCCCTTGATACACACCACCCCAGAGCTTTGCAAAGGGAAGAGGGAAAAGTGGTTGAAACATGATACAGGTAACAAAGCTGAACCCTCAATTAAACCTCCAAACGCAGGCAAGAGGGCTGGGTTGTGCCAAGTGCCAAAGGTAGTCAGAGGTCTGAGGTGATACCTGCGGTCTGCCCCCTCATTTTTTTCTTTCGCTTACCAACCCCTCAGCTCTACACGATTGCTTCCCCGCTGCACCATAGGACAAGGAGCAGATGCTTAGTAAGATCTTGCTGATGGAAAGAAGTCGGACTAGGAAAAGAGAAGGCAGGAAGGAGGCACTCTCCCTATCCTCAGTAGCTCCTAGTTTTGCTGGGAGGCCAGCCTAGCCTTTGCAAACGGCAGCCTGCAGTGCATTTTCAGTCAAAAAAACAAAAAGCCCTTATGGGGCCTGGCCAATGAGCAAATGCATCAGCATCACTTTCTTGTTTTGAGATTTGGATAGGTAGGGAACCACCCACATCCTCTAGACAGCACCTCTGGGCTTACATCTTGGGATGCATCCTAAACTGGGCATTACTTATTTTAAATATTTTTAATTATAAAAGATCACAGAAACACAATTTCATTTTCGTTATGGTCTATGAGAAATAAGCCACAGTAAAGGGTGACAGTTTGGGCTGTGGCCTGGCACAGTGGAGCAAGTGCTGGTTTTCCTTGTCTGTAATGAAGGGCATGAACATTTCCTCCAGCCTCCTGGTAGACCCTATGCTCCTGTCCAGCAGACTGAGCCCTGATTGTCTGTTCACTGCCTCCCCAGCTAATCAGGAGTTCTTCCAGGGCAGGTACTGCACCCCCTGGCCTAGGAGGGTGAGGCATGCAGTAGGAACTCCAGGAGAGTTAAGGGAATAAACAACTAAGCAGATAGATAGATGGATGTCCCATCCTGCCCACTGAAGGGCAAACTCTGGGAAGGCAGGGGGGAGTCGTACTGACCCCTATCTTCCCAGCAGGGTCTGTGATACTGCAGAAATGTTTATTACACAAACAAGCTTGTGGCTGGCTGGATGAATAAGTGGCTGTATGGACAAATGGATGGATGTACTACACGCTAGTGTTTGGGAGACTGTTTCTGATATGGTTTGGCTGTGTCCCTACCCAAATCTCATCTTGAATTGTAGCTCCCATAATTCCTATGTGTCATGGGACGGACCAAGTAGGAGGTAATTGAATCATGGGGGCGGGTCTTCCCCATGCTGTTCTTATGATAGTGAATAAGTCTCATGAGATCTGATGGTTTTATAAAGGGGAGTTCCCCTACACAAGTTCTCTCTTGCCGGCCACCATATAAGACGTGCCTTTTGCCTTCCACCATGATTGTGAGGCCTCCCAAGCCACATGGAACTGTGAGTTCATTAAACCTCTTTTTCTTTATAAAGTACCCAGTCTCGGGTATGTTTTACCGGCAGTGTGAAAACGAACTAATACAGTTTAGATAGGTTTATAATAAATGACTTTTAAGGGTCCCAGCCAGCTCTAGGATCCTGCATCTCTATGGGCTTAACTGGGCTGTTCCAACCTCCATGTGCATTCTCTGCAAGAGAGACCACTGCTCTCTCCCTGGTCCTCATTTTCCTGGTGAATCTTTACTCATCTTTCACACAGAAGCAGAATTTCCCTAATCCTCTCTCTCCTGGGTTGATTGGTCATGCCGTCTTCCCAGTCCCTCTCACTGCCCACACTCCCCTGTCCTGTTTCATAACATGTCTCTCTCCTTGAGGACAAAGACCAGGCCAGAGACCTTCCTGTGCCCAGTCCTGACACCCGGCTCAGTCTTTGCTTTAGGGATTAAAGCGACTTCCAAGCTCAACCTCTTTTGACTTCTTTGGGGCATCCTATATGGTCTGTAACCAGGATCCCATAAAACCATTTTGAAGATTATGCAGGGCAGGCAATTAGTGACTAAGGCTTCATTTGCGCACAAGAAAGTCAGAATTTTTATCTTCCCTAGCTCAAAAGTTACGTGAGACTCATTCTATATTTCCATCACATTAACATTAAAAAAGAAACCCAGCAACTTCTATTCATCTAGTTTTATCGACGAAGCAGACAGGGAGGTTTTCTAGTTTTAATTGCCCCAAACCACAATTGGGAGTGCTTGGAAAACATGGGGACCTTGTGGCTTGCACGGTGGCTGCAGACTCCAAGTCAGAGCCAACAGTAACGTGGGATTTTCTGTTCTTGAGAATCCATCCTCCTCGCCCTGATTTTTGTAACCTGAACAGCAAACATTTCTGACATGACCTTTCCCATCAAATCTTGTGACTCTGTGCACATGTGGCACTCTCATCAGGGTCCAGCTGTTCAAAGGCAGAATGGTTCCTTCCCAACTACCTTAACTCTCCATTTTACAGATGGGGAAACCGAGGTCCAGAAAAGGGAAGGGACTGACCTAAGGTCACAGAGCTGGTTACAGACCAGACAATGGTGAGAACTGAAGTGAGCTTTTCCTTTGTCCCATGGGTAATCACCAAGTTTGGCCAGAAGTATGAATGACAGGTATTCATGAGTGTTAACTCCCTCCTCCCAAGCAATTCTTGGTACTCAACCTAGGAGTTTGTTCCCCATCTCCCCGAGATGAGCATATCCTGCTGTATTCCAGCCAGAAAGTAACTGAGCATTTCAGTTCTGCTATTTGCCTAGTTTTCTGGGTGGGAAAGACAGACACATTAAGGTTTGGCCAGGCACGGTGGGAGGATTGCTTGAGGCCAGGAGGTTGAGTTTGAGATTAGCCTGGGCAACATAGAGAGACCTCATCTCTACAAACAACAAAAAAATAGAAAAAAATTAGTGGGCATACTGGCACACACCTGTAGTCCCATCTACTTTGGGAATTTGAAGCAGGAAGATTACTTGAGCCCAGGAGGTTGAGGCTGCAGTGAGCTGTAATTGCACCATTGTACTCCAGCCTGGGCAACAGAGAAAGACCCTGTCTCAAAAAAAAAATAAAAATAAAAAATAAAAAATAAAAAGGCCCAAATATCTGTGTTTTAAAGCCCACTGGGGAAAAGACTTGGAGCCCAGGACCTATGGAAAAGAGAATTTTCTCTCTGGGAATTCTTATTCCTTAAGACCCTAAAAAGTAAGGCAAGTGTCCCAAATAACCATCAGCTCCATTTCTTGTGCTGGAGTTCAAACCCCACTTCTTGTCCAGCGGCCTTGGGAGAACAATGGCTTGTGTGGGGTGAAGACAGGACATAGAAGAACGTGCTGCCCTTCTTTTTCTTCTCATCTCTGTGAGCAGAGAGCCCACAAATCACCTTAGCAAGCATGGCTTGGTATTTTCATTCTTGTAAAGTCTCTTTATGAAGATTCTTGGGCTGCCTGAATTCTTGGTACCTGGTTCACATCAGTGCCCAATGATAGTTTGCAGAAGTGGTATAAGCAGATTGTTCTTTGTCCCTTTAAGAACAGAAAACATAGAAAAAGAATGGTCAAAAACCCAGTGGGCGCTTTGTTCCTTCATGCTCAGGGGTGGACTCCGCCTCTCTCTTGCTTAAATGGAGAAGACCAAAGGTGCCTTCATGCCTCAGTGTGACTGGAACCCAACAGCCCTGCCTCCTTCCACCCCATCTTGTTGGCTGCTCCAGGCCCAACACTGGGAAACACCGAATTAAAGCTACTTCATTCTGCAAGGCCTGATTTTGATCATCTCCAGTGAAAGTCTCCTCAAATCTGTTAACATCCAGCACATGGGACGGGAAGGATATCCTCCCGTGTGATTTTGTTAAAACTCATTCATGAGTTTTAACAAAATTCATCAACCTCATTTTATAAATGGGAAAACCAAGGGGACCTGCCCAAGGGCACAGAATCATTTAGACTCTTGGGGCAGGGTCTCCTTCTCCCTGAATTTTGATCCCCCCATGGCTCACAACAGCTCTCCCTGGGTATTGAGAAAATGGGAGCTGTATTAGGCTCAACTTGAGTCTAATCATTCCTAGCCAAGTGTATTTTCTTTTCAACTACTTGTTCACAAGCTCAGTTGGATAGGAGAATCACCTGGATCATTTTCAAAAATGCTGATACTGGGACCTGCCTCCAGAGATTCTGACAGAATTGGTCTGGGATGTCTCCCGGGCCCTGAGATTTTTGAAAGCTCCCAGAAGATTCCCATGTGCAACTGGGCTGAGAACCACTGTTCTAGATCACACTGCTGCACAGGAGCTAAGAGAACTATAGGGCTCTCGTGCCATGATTTCCTGTCATCCTCTCGATGGGCTTAAAGATTTGGGTCAGGAAGAAAATGGAGAAAGACTTTCAATTTGCCCTTGGAAATAAGCTGTCCATCCCCCACCTTTAAAAGACACAGAAAAGGACAAGGTTTGGAGATCAAGTTAAATGTCCAATTTATTTTTATAACTTGAAACCAGAACAAACTTGGTTTTGAACAAGCGTACAAATGAAATGGCAGACACATGCTGAACTCAACATTGTGACATTAAGGAAAAAAAGAGGCCCAAAATCTTGTACAGAGAATAAAGGAACAATAAATATTTTACTAAGCCATATTGAAATGACCTCCTGTCATCTCAACATTTTATCCATAATAAAAAAAAGTGCCTGTTTCTTAAACAGAGCACAAATACCAAGCAATAATAAATAGTTCCAAACTTGTAGTAAAAGACAAAACCTCCAAGTAAACAACAAAAGCTCATACAATAAGTAATAGAAAAGGTAATAAAAATATTTTGCCTTGCCAGTACAAATGCAAACAACTTAAATCAATGGGACTTTGCTTTGCAGGGCTGAGTTACAAGGAGCACCAAAATCACGGGTTTGCCTGTGTTCCACGAGACCTTCGGCTGACGGTTACTTAGGACCGGGATGAAAGGCTGATTTCCTTACTTTTCACATTTTGCTTAGAGTAATTCAGTCTCCTTCTCTCCCCATGAAAGACCCTCTAATGCCAAGTGGCAGGTTCCAATTGGGGGCAACTTTGAACAAAGTTGTGGCAGTGCGGAAACCGGCCTGAGGTCGGCTGGGTCACCCATGCTAGAGGCCTCTCTCTCGGGATCATCTGCTTCCGTGTTGGTTTTTTAAACACAAAACAGAAGCAAAATTCTCTCTTCTCTGCAGTCACAGAGACACACAATGCTTGTGCTTTGGGATGGCTTAGTCCTGGCAATCTGGTAAGCTGGTGAGCACTGGCTAGCTGTTATGACTACAGGAAGACCACCCTGGAGGCACTCTAGGACCTCAGTGGGGCATCCAAAGGCAACAGCAGCCCCTGGATCTGCAGGTAGGAAACTGCAGTAGGAAACTGAAATCTCAGCTTTCTCTCCCATTCCCTCCCCCCTTTTTTTTAACTTTGCAAAGGTAAGTGGCAAGGAGGAAAGAGTGCATCGAACAGAAAAGCTTCTGCATTTGGTAAGGAATTGCCCAAAAGGATGCTTGGTTATACTTTCATAACCTGAAATAATGGTTTCTTACATTTCCTGAAATAAAAAATGGCTTCCTGATATTGGTATTTTATTTAAAAATGCATTATTCCCTCATCCAAAAGACCACCACTTTATCTTAAAGCTACTTGGCTTTACAAAAAATAAAAATAAAATAGAGGATTAGGGGAGGAACAGACAGGAAGAAAAGAAATTAAATAAAAAATGAAAGAAAAAAAAAGGACCAATGGAGGATGAAGGATGGAGAGGAAACGCAGGGGAAGGAGAGAGAACGAGATATGGAAAGGCACCAAATTCATCCCAGGCCCTCGCATTCGGAAACTGACGGAATGTAGGTTTCAGAGAGCAAAGCAGCAAAGCAGGGAAGAAAGACAAGAGGCCAACACTCTCCATGGCACGAAAGGTCCTGGCTGTGATGGAGTCTCCTTCCTGAAATCCAATTTGTACCGGTCTCAACAGCAGGTCACTTCACCTGGACCCAGCTGAATCACCAGCTCCTTTTATGATATTTGTGTTTGTTTCACAATTTCTCAAGGACTAAAGCAGCTCAGTTTGCATTGCTTTCTGCTGGTAAGGGCGGGAGAGGTGGTGGTGGTGACCGCCACAGGAGTGATGGTAGAGAAGGAAGATGTTCTCTCGCTCTCTCTCCTCTACATCTGACATCTTAGAGATGGCCTCTTAGAGAAAGGGAGGACGATGTGGAATGTTACTGACATCTTTACAAAAACTGATTTTTTTCCACTCAACACAAATAATTTCCCATCTGGTCTGCTGTGGCCACACCAAGGAGCCTTGATGCAAGGTTCGGGGCGTTCAGAGAGAAGCCCAACACGAACGGTTCTCTGTGTAGGCCAATTCCGACAAAAAATATATACAACTAAATGATTTGTGAACCAAAGCATTTAACTACTTCCTTTTGTTTCTTTTTCTCAAAGGTTGTCAAACAACCCTTTTTCTCCTGTACAATAGGACTTAACATACAAATGTGTTTTTTTTGCAATATTTTATCCTGCCAAATTAAAAAAATATATTATGGCAGCCTGTTTGTTTTTGTTTTTTTTTTCTTTTTATTTCCAAATTCACTAACAAAAAGGTACATTAAATCCCTTTAAAAGGACAAGCTTACAGTTAAAAAATTACGAGCTCCAGTAAAAATACAGCAAGTGCCTACATCATATGAACCAACCAATATATCCATTCCAGAGGGAGGCGGGAAGAGAAAAATAAGTACAGGTCAGAAATGTGATTTTTTTTTTTTCTGCAAAGCAATAACAATATTAAGCACTTTTTTTCTACATACTTTTTCTACATGGTGTAGCAATCCCCTTTGAATCCCCAAATACAAGTTTCTATACATTTTTTTTGAAATAAAAATTCAACACCCAAGGCAGAAAAAAATTTACTAAAACTCCGACTTTACAGTTACTGTAACAAGAACAAATTTATAGACCCACCATTTAAATTTTACTGCAACATTTTCAAGGAAAAGAAAAGGGTATTTTTTTTCTTGTTTTGTAAAATGCCCAGGCATTCTCGATTATTACAAATACTGGTCCACTTTTACAGTAATCAAGAAATTTTAATATATATAATATATACTAAAACCCCGTCACCAAAAGAAAACAATATACACGCGGCCACTGTGGCATTTTTGTATAACCTATTAAGCAAACTTTGAAAAAAAAAGATCGCTCCAACACACATACACACAATTTTTTTTTTACCCTTGTATGTACCCAATACTGTAAACGTATTTTTAAGACAGAGTGCACTAAATTTAACTTTAGAAAAAATTAGCCGTTGTTCCTGAATTGTTTTTGTTTTGCTTTTCATTCAACGATATCAACTTGTAACTTGTGTCACTTGAGTTTTAATTCAGCAGTAAATCACCTCCACTCCATATCTAAGCAGCGTTGTCCCAAAAACAAAAGGGGCTGAGGATAATTCAGCTAATGGATGTCCAAGGTTGTGCTGGGTTTATTTCTTCATTTGATTGGGTCTTATGGCATTTCATATCCTCTATCTTCAACCAGAATTTTTTTTTTTTTTACTTAAAGTAAATGTGGCTTTGTTAGTTTCTAAAGAATGTACTTTTCTTGTTTTACTTTTTTAAAAAGTCTTTTCATTTCAAAAAAAAAGTTTTGCATTTGTCTCAAGAGACTCAAATAGGAAGATCAGTTTTCAAGGCACTCACATCAAATTGAATGGCAGTAGAAAAACTGTCCTATAAATTATTATTTTATTTTGTTCTTTATAGTGCCAGTATTGTGAATGCCACGCTTAGCAATACTGACACTCAATCTCAGCTGTCCCTTACAGTTTAACCCACCTCTGGGCCAAAGAGAAGAATATGCTGCAATTTCTTGTTTAGAAGCCATTTAATTTAAATGCAAACAAAAGCTTTAAAGTGCGGGTCAACAGAATTCAAATGTCTAATCTTAACAGTTCAATATTTAGTACCTTCCAACCTAATGAGATAGGAAAAAAAAAATAAAAACCTGGGAAGTAGCGCTGGGCACCTTCTGATGGAACTCATCCCCTGCTTTTTCAGTAAAAGAGAATAGAAATTTGCAAGATCCCCACCCCACCCATCCCTACAATATCATCAGTGTGCATTAAATGAGAGAACACTAACTTCAATTAATTAGGGCATTCGTCTGCTTGGGAAATGATGGATGACCCCTTGTAGCAACATAGGATTTGAGATTTATGTGGTGGGGGTGATTTAAAAAAAGAGAGAAGCCGTCAAGCCAGAAAACGCCTAAAAGAACACCGCTAGTTTCTTCCTTTCTGTGTCACTGCAGGCCACCCCATCTCCCCAAAAAGGTACCCTCAGCCCATTTTATGTAGCCTAATCTACAGCGAATAGCAGCCATGGCACCCCAGGGCACACCAACAGGATAGTATCTGCTGGTCATGCACAACCTCAGAATGCTGTCGGGCCATTTCCCAGAGGAGCCCTCCAAAAACCCTATCTCTGGCGGCGCTGAGTCTGTGGGGTGCCTCCCCCAGCACCACCACTCAAGGTTTCCCTTATGTAATATGAAAGCCGAAATCAACACAGAAAAGGCCGCTTGACTCGGGACGACATGAGTGCTACATCTCCATTCCAGTTCTGAAACAAAGTGCTACGACTTGAAAGATTGTTATCCGCTGTACATCCACACCCCCCACCCCAAAAACAAAAACCAAAAAAAAAATTAAAAAATAATTAAAAAAAAAACTGCATGCCACTTTTTATTTCAGGACAAAAAAAAGGAAGGAATGAAAAAGTAAACAACTTTAAAAGTCATTTGAGTGTTGGCTTCTTCACAAGAAATTACACATGCTTAGCTTAAATTTCAAAAAAGCAGCACCACCCCTCCCCCCAAATTATAATTTAAAAGATATGCTTCCCCTCTAACATTGCTTGCGAGTCATTGCTCAGGCTACTACCGGGTTAAAAAAAAAACAAAGAAGGGATGGATACCCAACAAAATCTCTTAAAGGAATTCAAACAGAAAAAATAATAATAAAAAGTACCTGCACATGCCAAAAAAATTACAAAACCCAATAAATACAGAAATTATTGCACAGTTAAAAGGCTCCACAATTTGTACTGCCTTAATCAACCCTCGGGTTTCCATAGGACTTCGCAGACACAGGTTAGGTTGGAGTGCCGCCTCCCCTGGGCCCCGGGGACACGCGGGGTGCGGGGTGGCGGTGACACGGAGGCAAGTCAGGTCAGCATTCTCTCGGTTGGCAACGGTTCCACTGTACAGGTGCGGGGCGCCGGGGCCCGCGCGCTTAGCTCCTCTCGGCCTGCTCGATTTTGACGTCGTTAGTCAGCAAGTGCTCGCCGTGCCACTTTTTCATGTGTTTCTCCAGGGTGCTGTAGACGCTGAAGGGCATCTGGCAGATGTCGCAGCGGTACACCTCCTTGCCGATCTGCCCGTGCGTCTTCATGTGGCGCGTGAGCTTGCTGCTCTGCGCGCACGCGTAGTTGCACAGCTCGCACTTGTAAGGCCGCTCGCCGGTGTGGCTCCGCCGGTGCACCGTCAAGTTGCTGCAGTTCTTGAACACCTTGCCGCAGTACTCGCACGTGTCGCTGCGGCGGCCCTCCTTGGAGCTGGGCCGCCCGGGGCCCGGGCCGCCCAGGTGCGGGGTGCTGCCTCCGCTGGCCGTGCCGCTGCGGCCCGAGAGGCCGCCGTCCAGCAGGTCCCCGGGCGGCGTGGAGAAGCGCAGGCTGCCGTTCTCGGACGAGTGCTCGGACGACGTGGCGAAGGGCGACTGTCGTGCGTCCGTGAAGCCCAGGAAGGGGTCCTTCATGAAGTGCCGCGACGCCGCGTAGCCCACCAGCCACTGCGAGTACACGTTCTCGGACGGGATGAGCGCGGCGGGCGGCAGCTCCAGGTCCTTCTCCACCTTGATGCGCTTGGCGGCGCTGTTGAGCCCGGGGCTGGGCAGCGGCGCGGGCTTGCGCGGGAAGAGCCCGGGGAAGGGCTCGGTGCCTGGCGCGAAGCCGCCCCCGCGCCCGTTGACCGCGCCGCCCGCGCCCGCGTCCCCGCAGCCGCCCGCGTCGTCGTCGTCGCCCGCGTCCCCGCCGCCCGCCGCACGCTTCAGGAAGGCGCCGCGCTTCTGCTTGTCGGCCAGGAGCTCGCCGTACTGCGGCAGTGCGCCTAGGCCCACGTTCTCCATGACCTTGCCCAGCACCAGCGCCTTCTCGTCAGCCAGCGCCTTGGCCGCGCCGCCCCCCGCGCCCGGGACCCCGGGCACCCCACCACCGCCGTTCTCGCGGTTGCGGCTCAGCTCCGAGTCCATGCTGAAGCTCGACTCGGGCCGGCTCTCGTTCTCCAGTAGCAGCTCCTCCTCCTCCTCCTCCTCCTCCTCGTCCTCCTCCTCCGGCTCGTGGCCCAGCGACGGGTCGCTCTCGTGGTGGCGGAAGTCACCGTCGGCCGCCTTGAGGCCCTCGCCCGCCAGCTCGCTGGTGCCGGGCTCGGGGGAGCTGGCGGCCGAGAGCCCGTCGTCGGAGCGGCCGGCCAGCGAGCCGGCCTTGTGCATGTGCGTCTTCATGTGGCGCTTGAGCTTGCTGGCCTGCGAGCACGCGTGGTCGCACAGCTGGCACTTGTAGGGCTTCTCGCCCGTGTGACTGCGCCGGTGCACGATGAGATTGCTCTGGAACTTGAAGGTCTTGCCGCAGAACTCGCACGACTTGCTCTTGGCTGGCGGCTGCGGGGGCGGCGTGCCGCCAGGGGGCATGGGCGGCAGCGGCGGCGTGCTCAGGAACGGGGACTTGGGGCTGGGCTGGAAGGGGTTCAGGAGCCGGTGCATAGGGTTGCCGCGGCCCGGGGACACGGGCGGCGGCGTGGAGCTGTTGCCCGCCAGCTCGCGGAGCCGCCGCGAGAAGTCCATGGCGGGCGAGTCGATGGCCATGGGGTTCAGGCGCATGACTCGGTCGAAGGCACTGGGGTGCTGGGCGACGAGCCCCATCTCCTCGGCACTGAGGCGGTGCGGGTCCAGGTGGTGGCGCGGCGGGGGACTGAAGAGAGGCGGCGTGCCCGGCAGGCGGCCCTCGCCGAAGCCCGGGTGGTCCCGCAGGATGGGGCCCGTCATGCGCAGCAGGTTGAAGGGGTTGCTGTCGCCCAGGAAATTCATGAGCGGGGACTGCGCCACGGCCTCCGGCCCGAGCGGCGGCGGGATGGTGAGCCGCGGCGTGAGCGAGCTGCTGGCCGGCCCGGGCTCCAGGTAGATGCGGAAGCCGTGCGTGTTCTGCGCGTGCTGCAGCAGGAACCACGCGCTGTTGAAGGGCTGCTTGCATGTTGTGCAAATGTAGCTGGAAGGCTCATCTTTACCTGGGGAAACACACGGACAGAAAGGCAGAGACAGCGTGAGAAGCGGCAGCGGGGCGCGGGCACCGCAGGGCCACTGGCCTGGGGGACGCGGCCCGGGCTGATCCGGGATCCCAGTGCCCTGCCTGACAGGGGCTGCAGGGCCGCTTGCAAGCAGGCCCGGCCTTGTCTCCTCCTGGCTGGGGGGCCGAAGACGCAGGTCTGTGGGCGGGCCGCCCTGGCCACCCGGGCGCCAGCGACTTACTTCAATTGTGTAAGACCCGCCTTGCTCCCCCAAAGAAAAGGGATTCTGATCTCCATTACCTCCGAGGCCACGGGAGATCGTGTTTGTGAGAATACGGTCCAGTAGTAGGAATTCTGTCAAGGCTGGACTGTGTAACAGCCCTGGCAAATCCCAGCCCTCGAGGATGCTCCACACCCGAAACCATCTAGGCCAGGGCTTCTCAGTCAAGGCACTACTGACATTTACATCCTAATTCTTTGGGCGGTGGGGGCTGTCCTGCGCATTGCAGGATGTTTAGCAACATCCTCTGCCTGCACCCACTAGATAGATGCCAGGAGCATCCACCTCCCCCGGTTGCGAGGACCAAAAATGTCTCCAGGCCTTGCCGAATCTTCCCAGGGAGGGGGGCAAGATCACCGACCCCTTTGAGAACAACCAATTCTGATAATATTTGATTCCAGGGAGTTGTACAGAAACACAAATCAAACTGTACTATCCTGCAAACTTTTTTTTTTTTAAGAGAAATAGCTGCAATACCTCTGCAACATTTGGGATTTTTAGCTATAGGAAATTCTCGTGTTTCCTACACCACCGTCTGTGCAGAAAGCACTGTACACCTGAATATGGATTCCTAGGAACAGAAAAAATTTAACATGCTGTGAAGACCGGCTACTACTGTGACAGCTGCCCCCACCCCGTGTCCTCACACACACGCCCAAACACCGCTTGGAATTCCACCTCCAGACCCCAGGGAAGGCGGGGGCACACTGGCCTACATGAGTCTTTCAAAGTCCTCTGCCAGAATACTAAGCAATGAAAGAACATCCTCACATCTGACAGGGCAGTCAGGATGAACAGTGGCAAATGCTGATGTGTTAGCAACTGGCTCTGGTGACACGGGCAGCAAATTGTAGCGAACACTCGTGGTATGGAGCCAAAACGTCATCGTCTGTGTCCATCACTGAGACAATCACAAAATGGAGGCTGAACATTTCCTCCGGAACCCATCCTGCAAGTGCCCTCCTGCACCTGGGGGTGAAGCTCGCCGCTTTTCCAGTATGTACCTCTCCTAATGCTCTGCATAAAAGAGACGGTGCAGACAGGACCCGTCTTGCAGCATTGCACTCACTAGCTGGGGATGCAAGAGGAACAAGAATCCCAGCTCAGATCCAGCAGAAGACATGGCATGCGAGATCTTGAAAGATCCCTTTTGTTTTCTCAAACTTTCATCTACCTGGAAGATTTTAACACAGATGCTAAAGTACAGGGGCCACAAGCTCTGGTGAAGTCAAACGTGCAAATGAATGACCCTTCCCAATATCGGTAAGTTGCCATGGGAAGTGGAGAAAACAGTCCCCTGTCTCACTCTCTCCACCAATCGATTACAGGCCTTCTGAAATCCTAGGCAGACAGCATTTTTGTTTTCCACCCACTAATTATGTTTCTGGAAGGCTGCACTCTTAGCAGTGTTTATAGGCACATAAACTTTCATTTGGAAACCATCTTTTAAAAATCAAGTGACTCGGGGACCAAATACCCTGAATTCCATCCAAGGTCTTGAGTGTGGCCTGTGCCTCTGCCTGAAACTGGACTTGCCAGTTTCTGAGGGGCCGGGACCTCCCCAAGACATCGCATGCCTGCAGCGTCACAGAAGGCTTCGTGCTGTCCGAGGGGCAGGGTGGAGACTCCCCCCGCGACCTCAGAACCAGTTGGCCCAGGACACCAACACTAGAAACCGAGCCAGGCTGTTACAAGTTTGGCATTACATAGGGATTCTTTCCCTCTCCTCTCCTATTCTGTGTGTTTGGTGATGAGAAGACGGTGGTAGGGAGGACAGAAATGAAAAAGGAATTCTGAAGTTCGGCCTCATCCCTCTTAAAAACAGCTCAAGGAGCACCTCTGAGGCTATCTTCTTTCTCCAGGGTGTCTGGGTCATTTCCCTCTCTTAGTCATCCAGGTAACTCAGTTCTCCCATGAAAGAGCCCCTGAGGGGAAACCTCCCCACCTAAGATAGGGCAGGGACGCCTTCCCAAGGCCCTGGGTGGCCGCGATTCTCCCTGTAAGGCCACCCCAACACCACAGCCCTCCTGCTCTGTGCACTCTCAGCGAACAGAGGAAGTGCCCAGCTTCCCTGGTTCTGTCCTACACTTATTAGTGATTGTACTTGGGGAACAGCACGCCTTAGCTCAGACAGCCTCATAGGAGAGCTGGCCAGAAGCCATATTTAGACGACTCCTCACACCCTTTTTGGGAACAAGGCAGAATAAATAAGTAATAAAAAAAGAAGCTAGATAAACATCCTTTTCTGACACAGGAGCTAATAACACAAATGAAGTGCCCCTTCCTGCAGGGTTATAGATCTTCAAATTAAAGATCGTTCCTGTACCCTGCACCACCCTTCAGCCACTCTAATTAATCAATTCACAGCTTTCCGTCGCTTTAGTTTCTCATGTTTTCAAGTCAGGCCACCTCCCTTCCCCCAATCTCTTTTTCATCATCTCTGTTTCCCTGGGAAGTGCTCCAAAGCACTTCCTGTTTCTTGATCTGGGTGGCCACAGATTTTCTAGAAAGTTCTGTGGCTGGTGAGGAAAGAACATGGCTATCAGAGGAAAATGCAGAGCGCTTACGCAGGCCAGCAGTGAAGGCGGCTCTACAGCTGAAATGGCCAAGTCACAGGTTTTTCAACTCAAAAGGGCAGTTACTGGAAGTCAGGTAGCTACAAGTGCTAAAGAGCTCAAGTGTTTCCACTTCTTGTTTGTTTGTTTTAAATGCTTCTGGCTGGGCACGGTGGCTCACGCCTGTAATCCCAGCACTTTGGGAGGCCGAAGCGGGCGGATCACTTGAGGTCAGGAGTTCAAGACCAGCCTGGCCAACATGATGAAACCCCATCTCTGCTAAAAATACAAAAATTAGCCGGGTGTGGTGGCATATGCCTATAATCCCAGCTACTCAGGAGGCTGAGGCAGGAGAATCGCTTGAACCCGGGAGACGGAAGTGGCAGTGAGCTGAGATCGAACCACTGCACTCCAGCCTGGGCGACAGAATGAGAATCCATCTTAAAAAAAAAAAAAAAAAAAAAAAAAAGCTTCTAAAACTAACTTGGAGCAACATAGGGAGGGCATTACCTGTCCATAATTCACCATCAGGTGAGAAGAGCGATGTTTATTCATCAGGCTGGATTTCAGGGCCACCCGTCCTGCCTGGAAAGCTCTTACTGGACCCGTGTCCGGGAACCGCTTTGGTTCCAATACTTCCCTCTGCACAATGGCAAGATTTCACTTCAGGCGATGGCCTCCAGTGCAGGATCTGAAGCCTTCCGATATCCTAAAAATCACCCAGCCCTCAGAGGCCCGCCCTAGACAACTTTCTTTCCAGTCCCCACTCCCTTCTTTTTTTAATAAAACATTCATTTCCTTATTATCACTCCATGGTTATCTCTTGCCCGGAAGTAGCCCTGAGCATGAGGCTTGCTCACTTTCAGAAATGGAACAATGTCAGAAAGTCTTTGAAGAGCCACTCAGAACATTTTTCTATTTGAAAACTCGCTAAATATTTTAAACACATGGCACGCAGTCTCAGACGGCTCATTTTTAAGTGCAGCAAAAGACCCCTGGTGAGCAGGCTGCTTCTGACTGGGGGCTGGCCCACTCCCCTTCCCGGGACCAGATGTTTCCTGGCTGTCACCCCCCTCCAGGAACTGAGGGCCACCTGCCCACAGGTGAGCTGGAGGCTGCACTGTGGAGAGGGGTGACAACTTTATGCTAGCGGCCCAGACAGGCTGCTGAGATTCCCACTGATAGGTCAAGGCCTAGACTATTTAGAAGCGATTTACCCAGCAACATCAAACCTGGCCTACAGACCTAGAAACGTCAGCTACACTTTGCTCACTAAGTCACGCTTGGCAACTCAGACCCAGGGCCTCGTCTTCCCTTGCTTCTTTCCATCCTTCTTCCTTTCTCAGACATTTTTTGTATCCACTGACAGAAACCCACACTGGATCTTCTTTGCTCCACTGGCTCTAGACAGAGCCCCAGGACATCTTTCTCAAATGCAATACCCTGGGTCATGAGAACCCTGGACAACAGCAGTGCGTCCATACCCCTCTGCCTTGGTGTTCCCAGAAGGAGGAATTCAGTCAATTCATTTAACCTCTCTGAGGCTTGACTTCCTCATCAGTAGAATGGGAATAATATACCTGGCTCCAGAGAGGCCTGGGGAGACCAAATGAGCTCCTGTATGTGGGCACAGCCTATAAATCGCACATGGCTATGCAGGCGTTACGATGGGGTTTGCACGTTTTGTTTTTTTATTATCCATCCTTGTACCTGGTCATGGATGTTTCAGTGATGACTTTCAGTATAACTCCAGCAATAATGAAACCCTGGAGGACATTTAATGCAGCCTGCCTCATGCATTAGAGGTTCTAGGGAAGCAGAAACTTGCAAACATTGAGGAAACATCGTTTTTTATTATGATGCTTGGGAACCGACGTGCAGCTGGACTCCTGCAATGAAATGTGACTCTCCCTCTGCCATTAGGCTTTTTTATGAGCATTTAAATAATTGTTCCTCCTTATTAAGCTGGCTACTCTAATAATACCAATAAAGGTATCAGAGATGTTCAATAAAAAACACACCTTTAATTGAAATTATTATCCAATGAAAAGGCCATAATTGATAGGGGTCCTCCTAAGGCCAAGTGATACCAAAGGGAAGGGCATTCCTGCCTGGGTGAGATTTAGTGGCCCACTGCTGTTCGAGAAGGAGCAGCAAGGAGACACCCTCTCGACTCAAGCAGGGCCCGGGGTGATATCCTGAGGTTGGGGGGCTAAAGTAAGAACTGGATTCTGGCTTTACAGGCCCCTCTACAGGTTGCAAAACATTTTACACTAGGCGTGGCATTTCCCATGCATTCACTCACACCATCTTTGCTCACTGTGGCCTCAAGGGGGGCCAGGGGAAAACTGCATCCCAGCTGGCACGTGAGCAAACTGACGCTCAGAGAAGCAAAGCGGCACGGCCAGAAAGGGGCAGGCCACGCTCCTCCTCAGGCTTCCCAACCCCTGAGCAGGGCTCCAGCCCCGCCTCGGCACACAGCACCACCTGAGGCATTTATCGTCAGGGCCTGTTTCACAATGCAAATGGCCACGAAGGAGGTTCTCCCACCACACTGTGAGTGTCCTCCCAGTGGAAGGCACTGATGATGTTTGGTTGGAACCCGGTCAGGTCCACCACAGGCCTTGACCCTGGAGAGGAGAAGGGGAGACGTTTCACAGAGCGAGCAAGCGAGCCTGCGGGGTATGACACGTCACTGGGGACCTCGTGAGGTAGACACCGAAGTGGCCAAATCCAGGGATGGGAAACCAGATCCCAGGGCCCCCTGTGGCAGCTCCCTTCCCCACTCTGGACTTCAGGGTACCCAGTACCCAAGGAGATGGCTGGTTTCACCGGCCAACCACTCAGTCCGCCTCCAGAATCCGTCTGCTAAAGATGCCGTCTCCACAGTTCCAAAATGATCGTAATTATCAGTGTTATCCCTCAGATGTGTAGATTCCTTATTCATTTAAAAACTATCCTCTTTCATGACGTCAGAAAGGAGATGTCCATTGGGCACCGCAGGGATCTATTTAAGTTTCGTGTCTATATCATTCTGGGCACAGCCATCTGCAGAATTGATAACCATCCCTGCCTGTTCCAAATGTATTCCGTGAAACCTCAGCTCTCTCCAAGACAAAGGCGGAACTGGGGAAATAACACTCACAGTGGTAACAAGAAAGCTTTATGAAATCCTTACCACCTGCCAGGCATGAGCTAAGCACACCAAGGACCTCACATGCTGCTCCAACAACCCCTGCAGTACCCACCGTCATGATGACCATTTTACAGATGAAGAAACTGAGGACGGGAAGAGATAGGGGATCCGCCTGGGGCTGCACAGCTGCCCACGGTAAAGCCTGTGCTCTTGTTATGCTGTTCTGATAAACGCTGGGTCAGAAGAGCAGCAGACACACTCCGGGCAGGGATGGGGCTAGCTACCTGGGCCTCAGTATTTTACCTTTCATTTCAGCCCACGTACTAACAAAAATGTCAAGATGTGTTGCTTTTGGCTAGAATTGCAGTAACTCCATGAAATCATGCTGATTATCTCATGGCAAAAATAATAGATGCCATTTAGAAGAGAAAAACCTTTCAAAGCAAGTGGCCCACTGAGGGGTGTAAGTGCTGATGGTAATAGCAGTGGTACTATGACCAATAAGACATGGTCTCCTCTGGTGGTAATGTGCTGAGCCAGCCTCTGGCTAAGAAAGCCACTGCCCCCACACCAAGGCCTGCGGTAGACATTGCCAGTTCATCCCCGCACTCTCCCTCCAGGCCTTGGACTCCTCTTTAACCCCAGGCTCCAGGCAGTCATTGCCAAATAAAGCATGCCTGCACCTCTTTGCCATTCCTGGATCTCAGTAGATGTAAATCCAGTAAATGTGGGATCAAAATAGATTGGGCTGAATGAGCGTGGTAGCACTGTGTGTTCTGCTGAGAACTTTGTCTACATCTGACTTTCATTAATTCACTGAACAAACAGGATCTGGGCCCCCTTCATCTGCTAGGTACTATGCTGGTAGCTAAGGGTGCAGCTCACACTCCAGGGGGGAGACAGGGAACCCCCAGTAACCACTCCATTATTTAATGCAAATTATGAGTGACGCTAGGAGGAGTTCAGGGTGCTGGGAGAGAGAAGAATTCAAGGGTTTGACTCACCTTGGGGGTTCAGAACCCACATGATGCCAGACCCACCCACATCACCTCGTTTAGACCCCACCTAACTCTACACGCAGTGACCATTGACCGAAGAAATAAGGGAAGCCCAGAGAACTTGGATAAGTTGCTCAAGAAGAAATTAGTGACCTTAGCTTATTTATTTAAAATTCATCTTCCAGACTCCAAGCTCCTTGAGGACAGGGACTGCGCTGGTCTTGTGGACTGCTTGGACACCAGCCTGCAACATGGTGACTCACGCAAAGTTGCACTTCAGGACTGCCAGCGGCCGAGACATCCGACAGACCAGGAGTCTTCTCAGCCTCCTGCCAGCACGAGCCATGTTCCTTCCAGACCCACTTCAAAGCCCAGACACTTCGGCCAAGTTGCTGGACACCACAGGGCTTCAGGGTCCTCATCCACACAGGGAAAACAATACCTGCCTTCCTGGGTCGTTCGCTGTAGGATGAGGGCTCGTCGTGGTAAAATACCCCAAATAGGGACCCACATACAGTAGGCACTGGGTACACGGGAGGTGACAGAGACTGGAACTTGGGACTTTCTCTGCGTTTTCTCATGGTCAGCGTTCCTGAAGTCCCACCAAGACAAGGACTAGACCTGGGAGGACACCGCAACTCCACAGTCCACATGCCGCCCTCCACACCGGGCCCCCTCCAGAGAGCAGGGCTCCACTCAGCACTCTCAACAAAAGGCCTCTCTTCCTCAGCAGAGAACACACCCAGCACTGCCCCCACCCCGAAGCCGGCTGCATCCCAACCACCAAAGCATGCCAGAATCCCAGGGGACTACACACAGAACCAAGACAGTATGCCACCACCTCTGCTACCACCCACCCCAGAACCAGGGACAGATCTTCCCAAATCACAGAGCTGGTGGGGCCTCCCTGATACCCAGGACGATGTATCAGGCACCCCAGCCTTTGGGATCCGGTCCCACTTGCTGCCTGCCTTTTGCACACACCCATGAGCTGCCCACTCGCCCTCTCGGTGCCTCCCTTTGGGCAGCGCATTTTCACACCTCCATGCCCTTGCTGGTGCCATTCCTGCTTCTTGGAATACCTGCCGTTTATTCTCTCCCCATAAAATATCTTTTCAGATCCAGCCCAAGTCTAATCCCCTCAGCATTCCACAGCATTGTATTTAGATCTGCTTCATACTGATCACCATACTGAACTGTCATCTTTTGTCTTTGACCTTGGTGTGTTCAGCATGGCTACAGCCTGCACGTGCCAATGTTGGCCTTTTGCTGTCAGGTGGATGCTCACAGCCACTTTGGAAAGTGGGTTTTAACCCAGGTTCTCTAGAGAAAAGAAACTAAGTCTCATCACAGCTGAGTGAGGGGCCCCAGGTCACAGGGCTGGTAAGTGGCAGAGTCAAGATGCACACCCGGGTCCGTCTGACCCCAGAGCGTGTGCTGGGGTCCAGACTCACAACTGGCTGCCCCTCACACAGGGATGGCAGACCCTGTGGTGACCATCCCTGGGAAGGAGCCTGAGCCAGCCCTGTCTAATCATTCCGCCTGCACCTGGGATTGCCAGCAAGCCAGCCCGGGAGGCCAAGCTGAAGGCCTTCGAGGGCAGGAAATGGCCCAGAAGAAAGAGGCTGCACACAGCGAGAAAACCTCGCTCACCCCATAGTGTTGGGTGACCGTCCACTTACCCTCATGGGACCCCTGCAGCAGAGGTGAGCTGTGCGGCTTCATCTGCCTGGACTTAATTCAGGCTTTGAGAAAAACCTTAGGAAGCTGGGCCTACACCCCTCAAACAAAGAGCCCCAGCATTCCCCTTGACAGCCAGATTTTCACAAAAACGCCAGTGAGTCTTGGTTTCCTCCCTCAGGGTCATAGGTGGGGGTCAGGGAGTGGGAGTGGGTTAAACTGTAGACACAGAGAATTGTCAGACAAAGCAGAAACCTCAAGTGACTTTTGAGTACCTGGGGAGGAGGCAGGCAGCAAAACTACATGATGAGGACGGGCGCGGTGGCTCACGCCTGGAATCCCAGCACTTTAGTAGGCCAAGGTGGGCGGATCACCTGAGGTCAGGAGTTGGAGACCAGCCTGGCCAACATGGTGAAACCCCATCTCTACTAAAAATACAAAAATTAGCTGGGCATGGTGGCACGCACCTATAATCCCAGCTACTCAGGAGGCTGAGGCAGGAGAATTGCTTGAACCCAGGAGGCGGAGGTTGCGGTGAGCTGAGATCACACCACTGCACTCCAGCCTGGGTGACAAAGTGAGACTCTGCCTTAAAAAAAAAGAAAAAAAAAAAAAAAACTATATGACCAGTAATGTTCAAGCCAGACACAGAGAACCGGAGGTGCCCAGGCCAAGGAGGGAAAGGTCCGCAAGGTAGGGAGCTGTGTGAGCACACTCAAGGTGCAGGGCGCTGGGCCACGCGACGCAGAAAGCAGCTCTGTTTGCTATAGAATGAGGCAGGTCGGGGGAAATGGGAAATGCAACCGGAGAGGCAAATATATACCCAAGAGCATTCCACAAAAGGGGTCTCCATCCAGTGCAGGCCTGGCTCATTCCACAGGGCTGTCCTTACTCCCGCACACTCGCCCTCCTGACCCAGGGTAAGTGTTAGGTGTGCAGAAGACACCCTGCTCCCGAGGTGCTTTCCTGGGGAAGCCCTGGAAGAGTATCAGGATGACCCAAGACCTCACCGCATCTGGCAACCCAGAAATGGTATCGTTACAGCAAGAAATGAGAGCACGGCTTCACCGTCAACTTCTCAACAACATTTATTCACTTGTTCCTTCCTCCCTTCCTTCACAGATGCACGATGTGTCTACTCTGTGCCAGGCCCTATGCCAAGAGGAGGGACACACAAAGAAATGAAGGTCTGTCCTCATGGAGCATAAAGTCTAGAGCAAGAGGCCAATGACTCCAGGAACATCTAGGCAGGGTTCAGGCCACTCAGTCACTAGTGAAGGGTGTGCCAAGCAGTGTGGAACCCAGAGGAGGGAGAGGCTGACATCCTCGGGGGACCAGGAAAGATTCTCCAAGGAAGAGACCCTGGTGTTCATTCAGAATGGAAAATAAGAGTGCATCATGCACAGTGGCTCACGCCTGTAATCCCAGCACTTTGGGAGGCCAAGGCATGCACATCACCTGAGGTCAGGAGTTCAAGACCAGCCTGGCCAACATGGTGAAACCTCGTCTCTACTAAAAATACAAAAATTAGCCAGCATGGTGGCAGGTGCCTGTAGTCCCAGCTACTTGGGAGGCTGAGGGAGGAGAATTGCTTGAACCTTGGAGGCGGAGGTTGCAGTGAGCCGAGGTCGCACCACTGCACTCCAGCCTGGGTGATGGAACAAGACTCCGTCTCAAAAAAAAGTGCATCATGCAGAGAAGGGAGGGAAAGCGCATGCCTGGCAGAGGTACTGCATGCCTAAAGGCGGAGGTGGGACTCCAGACTCAAAGAAAGGAAGAACTGAAGGCAAAATTGAAAAGGGAGAGGTTCAGAAAACACGCAAGAAACTTAGCTGGATATAGAGCAAATTCCATTGCTGTAAATCCCATCATAGTGAAAACTTTCCTATTTCGTCCATGAAAAATTTCAAGCCCACACTCAAGGCCTACTCAAGTCAAGAACTGTTCAGTATTAAGGAAAATCTCAATATAACAAAAGGATGCATGTGAACCCTTCAGAGGACCACCTTCCCAAGCTGCTTTCCATAAGGTATAAAGGAATGAAACTTAAAATCCAGTCTATGAAGATCACTAGCAAGGAAGGTGGCTTCTAGGTTACCCTCTCCGGCAGGAGTTAAACGATTCCAGCAAGCCTCACATCTGAATACCCTAGGCCTGTGAATCCACCTTCAGAAACAAGACAGTCCAGGCTGTCGGTGGAACAGGGAAGTATTAAAACTGAACTATGGCTGCATGCACCCGAGATTTCCCAAAACAGTCTGTGTTTCAACCGTTCAATTCTTTGGTTAGCCCAGGTGTGCAGTTTCAGGCTCAGGAAACAGCCACCCAACCCCAAAATAAAGCAACATTGCCAGCCGCAGGGGTATCATGGCACAGGGTGAAAACAGTGGTGTTTGTCAGTAAGATGGAAGAGCCGGGGCAGGACGCACAGAGCAATTTTCCATGTGGCAAGTCATCTGCAGCATTTGTGAAAAGCTACAGCACATTCCTAGAGGTTGTCTTTAGAGGTCCCGCCTTCGGATAAGGCACAGAAATCCACTGGAAATAATAAAGAATGCGTTGTCAGAGTCCCTTGAAATCTGCTTTCTGTGAACTTCCCTGAAAAGGGCCTACGCTGTTCCAGTGGGTTTTGGTGGGCCGATAGCTGAGCTCACTTTGATGGTGACGTTCCCCCACGCCGCCCAACATGAGAGTTTTCTGAAAGGATTCTAGAACTCTGGGGACAGGAATTTTGCAGAGAATGTGAAAGAGAAGCACAGAGCAAACCATCCTTATCATTTAATGGACAAATAAAGAGGGAGTTAGGAGATAAACAGGCAAAAAAAAAAAAAAGGCCAGGAGTCGGCTGCAGGTGTGTGAGCGGGGATCAGTGTGTAGCTGTTTCTCACTCACACGTGGGATCTCAGTCTCCCCAGAAGCACCCCATGCAGGCCTTCCTCCTCCTCCTCCTGGAGACAGGAAGTCTCCCCTCTCCATAATTCAAGACTTCCTTCACCAGGCAAGCCTCCATCTTTCCTTTCTTTAAATCCACAAAAAATCTCGACATTCCACCCCAAGAAGTATGGCAGAGCAGTAAATCTCATTTTAATGGAGTGTACGTTTAGCTCCAAGGAGATAATTGACGTTATGGAGAGCCTCGATACCGAGTTATATAGGTTAGCTAATGCAGAGGGGACTCATTACTGACACACTACAAACAAGTAGTAATATATGTATATTGTTCTGAGTGGCGTTAGAGCAAAAGTGTTCCGGTCTGCGGGGATTGATAAAGCACAAGAAAACAGCAGATATGCACTTGTAAATTTGTCTCATTTGTCTCTGAAGTTAAAGGTTATTCCCTTGTTCTGAATTTGTAATAAAAACATGCTAGCCCAGGGTTTGTGGAGAATGTTTGAATATTTAAATTGTGTATAATGATAGGCAATTATAGGGTAAAAAACTGGACCTTATGAATGGGGGGAACACTGTTTGGATCACCAAGTGTTTTCTTTTATCTTTAATGCATTTTGCAAGTAATTTCCCCCCAGTGGGGTTCAGAGACCATTACCCAGTCCCACAACCACTAACCAGTAACTAACCAAGCTTGGGTTTGCCCGGGTGGATAGGCTCTTTTCCTTCTTTTTTCTTTTCCTTTCTTTTGTTAGTTTTGTTTCCTTCGATATGCAGAATACATCTCTCCAACCAATGGCTGGCCTGGGGCTGGGGCTGGGGCTGGGGCTGGGGCTGGGGCTGGGGCTGGGGCTAGGGCTGAGGCTGAAACCGTGGCCTCTGTCCCCAGCAGGTCAGTTCGTCTTTCTGGGGAAGGACAAGGCTGGCCATAGGGAGAGGTCTGAGGGGCAGGGTGTGAATTTCCTCTGCCCCCCACAGTGGGCTCCCTTCTCCCCAACCCTCTCCCGGGAGGAGGGCCAGGGGCTGGTGGGGAGCCCCAGCTGTACCACCGGCTTGGGGCGGGGGGTGGCGCTGCGGCTCCCGCGGCTGGAGCCCAGGTGCCCGCCTGGCCGAGTCTGCTGTCGGCCCAGGTTAACCAACTGCAGTGCTAGAGTAACTCCAGCCAGCTTGTCACCGAGCACAAAAGTCATCAGCCAGTGAATGTTCTTTTCTGCACCACAATTAAGACGAATCAATACGACGTGCCACAAATGGTATTTTACTCTCAATAAGAACTCGAGCTGAGTTTATTCAGAATATTTTAGCGCTTCCCCGGGGGATTTTGGGCCGACGCAGATGGCAAATAAAGTACTCAGCCTAAGGCTACAGCACATTATGGTAATTCTAATGTCAGATGTACTTTAATATACAGCTCTATTTAATCACCCCATTATTTCACATTTCCATATGAAAAACCTGCGGCACTTCTGCGGCGCTTTGCCTCTGCCACCGTGCCAAGCTTCCTCCAGCCGCTGCTGGCTGCCGGGACGTGGTCATCTCGCCAGGCACAGCCTGACACCACCGAAGTTTCCGGGTGCCCGGATGCACAGCCGAGCTGCCTGGTGCCGCTAGAACATCAGAGGACTCTAAGATGCACCGAACGCCACCATGGGCGGTTATGGAAGAGAAAAGCTGCACGCACACTACATGCACACACACATGCAAGTTCACAATAAAATGCAGGGGGATGTGTGTCCACGTGGGCACACACGCACACCCACACACACAGTGTGCAGGAGAGAAACTAATGTCGACAAGGAGTTACACCCACGCTCCTAACACGGCCCTCTCCAGACACCAACACCCCAGCATGGCGGCTACTGGGTCAGCAGCTGGATCCAATCACAACGCTGGCTCCAGCCTGCGGCCCCAGCAGCTGTGCCCATTGGTTCTCCCAGGACTGCCCCCCACCCCATGAGGGCAGGATAAAGGCATCATCCACACCAAGGGGCAGAAGGAGGCCAGGCTGATGACAAAGCCAGAGGGGAGTGCACGAGGTAGAGCGGGGGATGAGAAGGGCTGGGAAACTGCTGCCCACACTGTGTGGGAGCACCTGGAGCAAGAAGGCCCCCAAGATGACCCTTATCGGGGACTATGGGCACTAGGGAATTGAAGCCTAGAGGTCCAGGCCCAGGGGAGGTGGAGTTCTGTGAATTCCAAGTGGCAGGAGCACCTCAAGGCTGGCTGGGCTGGCCCGCAGAAGCAGGGGTGTGGGCCGAGCCCAGGAAATCACTCTCAAGGCACTCCAAGAAGCCCAGCACAGCACCTGCTGACAATCCAATTCTAGATTTCCCAAAGACAGGTTTTGCTGATGGATGCAATGACACCTGGCACCCGACCCTACTGGGTGTCCCAATAATGAGCCAACACTTAAAGCCACATAACATGATTCACAGAAACAGTTACAGCATATGTCTTTAAAACAAGGCACTTGGGCCAGGCGCGGTGGCTCACGCCTGTAATCCCAGCACTTTGGGAGGCCAAAGCGGGCAGATCACGAGGTCAGGAGATCAAGACCATCTTGGCTAATACAGTGAAACCCCGTCTCTACTAAAAATACAAAAAAACTAGCCAGGCGTGGTGGCATGCGCCTGTAGTCCCAGCTACCTGGGGGTTGAGGCAGGAGAATCGCTTGAACCCGGGAAGTGGAGGTTGCAGTGAGCCGAGATGGCACCATTGCACTCCAGCCTGGGCGACAGAGCGAGACTTCGTCTCAAATAGAAATAAATAAATACTAATTTTTTTAAAAAGGCACTTGTCTGTGCCTTTGTTTTGTTTTGTTTTTTTAGTGAAGTCCCATTCCTAACAATGGGGAAAAAAATCTCTAAGGGAAGGAGGGAAGAGGAAGGAAGGAAAGGAGGGAGGAAGGGCAGTAAAACTGAGAAAGTTCCAACACACACTGCCAAAACCACTGGCAAATTTCTCAAAAGCATCCATTCACCAATAAGGCTATCAGTAAGCTAATTCTAGAAAGAAGAATTGTTCTAAAGCTCGGCATGGCAAATATTTCAGAGAAAAACTGCTCGACTGTTTGAAGGTACAGATGTCTGACCTACCTGGCCATTCCAACTCCTACAGGTGCGACTGTGACAGACAGCTCACCACCTCCACTCCCACCGCCCGCTTCGGCCACACGGGGGGGGTCACCCTCAAATTAGGGTCATCCTGTTACTTCTTTTTAAAATATGCTTTGGGGGTAAAATCTAACAATGGGAATTCAGTCCCAATTTTCAAGGAAGGCCTTTGATTCCACTCTTTTATTATTGGTTATTCTTGAACCTCAAAATAGATACTAATATTCCCCCAGGCCTTTTCCAGGTTGTTGTCAGTTAGAAAAAAACAGCCTAGGACAGTGGTTCTCAACTGAGGGTTGTTTTGCCCCTCCAGGAAACCTGCGGCAATATTTGGAGATATTTGTGATTGTCAAGACTGAAGGGGCTTGGGCTTTGGGGTGCTACTGGCATCTAGTGGGGAGAGGCCAGGGATGCCACTGCACATCTACGATGCACAGGACATCTCCCCAACAAAGGATGAGCCAGTCCACATAGCAACTGTCCCAAAAGTGGGCAGCCCTGGGCCACACCCGTCAACTTAAACACTGGCTTCCTTGTGGGGACCGCACCTAAATCTAAAAAAAAAAAAATAGACTGAAAGAGAAAGTGGGGAGTCAGGAAGAGAGTGGGAAAGGGAGAAAGAGGTGGAGAGAATTGAAAAGACAGAGAGAAGAGGAGGGGCCCACACCATCTACTTCTCTGGCAATAAAGAAACTGTGGAATCCCAGTCAATTTCATCATTGTAGAAATCATTTGAATTCCAGAGTTGCCTGGAGCTGAGAATCTGGGGCTCCTAGGGAGCTCCGAGCCTCGTGAAGGGGGAAGGCAGCCTGAAATGGCAGAGGGGGCAGGGGGACTGCATTTGTCAGCACCCCCCTGCCCGCAGCCCTCCACCAAAAAAAAAAAAATGCTCCGAGTGACTTCCCTCCAGAGCTGGGCTTGGCCACTAAGGCAGGGATGTCAGGGGCTGCCCTAGATTTGGTGGCTCAGCTGTGAGCCCTGCAACAGCGGCTGCAGGAGATGAAAAACAAATATATACTTCCTGAAGTCAAAGAGATAAAAATACAATTTCTGCTGCGTATGCCACTCTTTCACGCAGCATCAACACTTATGTGGGGTGACGGGGGGAGGAGGATGACCACGCAAGCTTAAGTGATTTTTTTAAAAAACACGATCCAGAGAGATTACATAAAAAGTACAATTAAGGGACGCTCAGAATCCCGAGGCCTTCAAGAACGTGCTAGCTCCGGAATATTTTTAGAACAATCACTGGAGTGATTCTTCTTAGTTGTAGAAACACTCCAAATCAGAAAGTCAATTTTTCCTCTATTTGCAGCAGTGCTGGCTCCACTGGACGGAATGCGTGTGTTTTGCTTGGCGGCTGTTCATAATACTGTCTTGGCAGCGTTTCCTTGGAGCGCACACGGTGAACCTGGCTCTCGCATACAGTAGCACTTTCATTTTAAGCGCCCCAGCCACGCTTCCCTAATAACAGCCTGGGAACTGCAAAACCCCTGTAAGCCCAGCCCTTTAAATGGGGAACAGAGCAGGGCTTTCGGGGCCCCGCTCGCCACAATAGGGACTGTAAACTGGGGCTGGTGCTTTCAATCAAGAAACGTGGCTCTCGTTAGAAGGCAGAAAATAAAACAATGCCGGCACGTTCTGGAGACCACAGCGCGCTACCTTTCACCTCGTCCTCGCCACACACACCCAGGCCCAGCCCCGCTGCCTCCTCTACCCTCCTGCTGTCCTGCCAGGTACCAGGTGTACCAGACCGGCTGAAGTTTGGATGGGAAGGGACATGGCAACTTGGGAACCACACTGGGGCTGGGGCTGTGGGCCAGAAAGATCTGATTCTCCTGCTTCCTAGCCTTGGCTGAACATGAATGAGTGAGCTCAACTCTGAGCTCCAAGTTCCTTATCCATAAATGCGAGTGACACCTGTATTGAGGATGTGGAAAGATTCCAGAGCGTGCATGGAAGAGTCCTGCCTCTGGTCAGTGCTCAATAGAGAATGCTATTTAATGATCAAAATGTAAATGAGTGAATGAATGAATGAATGAATGAATGAGTGAATGAATGGATAAAAGAGTGAATGAATGAATGAGTAAATTAGTGAATAAGTGAATAAGTGAATGAATGAATGAGTGAATAAGTGAGTGCAAGACAGCAGGATGGGGCTAAGAGGGGCTAAGATGAGATGGGACCGCTCATGAACAAATCCCCAAACCCCTCTCTGTCACTGATCAGCCACCGTGGTCAGCCACTGCCACCAAGTAGTCGTCATTCAAAAGGGGCCTTCCAGGTACAATTTCAGCCCCTCCCTGGCATCAAGAAACGTAGTGATTTCGGCCTCTTACAACTGGCTCATCACCACTGTCTGTTCGCACACTCCTCTTTCTTTCTCCCTATGTTGTTTACAAAGGTTTCATTATGTTTTCAACTAATCAGAAAGGCCCCGCTAATACACAATTAACATGTGATTATAAAAAAAATTAAAATAGCTTCCAGAAGAAGGAAATGTAATTAAGTAGAGAATGCTTTTCAATAAGTGCTTGCTTTAACCCATTGTCAGAACACAGTCTACGTTCGTCCACAATGCCTAGAACAGATGCCAAGGGCAGAATGTTAAAAGGAAGTTTAAAAAAAAAAGGGGACATTATTTTCTGGGGGAATAATAGCCATCAACTTGGTACAACATGCCGGAGAACTCGGATTCCGGCTGCAGAGGAGAGACCCTCCTCCCAATCCTCTTACCTCTTTTTTCTGGAGAAAGAAAAAAAAGTTTCCCTTCTAAAAAAATGAAATAAATGATTAAAGCCAAATCTAAGATAATAAGAATACATGCAACTAAATAGAGAAACCAACAGCCAAACACACACACTAACGAACCCCACTGCCAACAGAAGTTCTGGTCCAGACCATGAAGAGGGTTTGATAGCACCTCTTTTTCATCAAGTCTGTGATCATTTTGTTTCAAATCATTTCTGGCCAAATTTCAGAAGGGATCTGTCTTTTTAAAACCCCAAATCTAAAATGCGTTTGTAGACTCCTGTTTGAAAAGCAGGCTGACCAATCTGAAGGATTTTATTTCTCCCCCTTCTCTGCAGCCATCCCAAAGCAGTGCTCCAGCCAATGAGATCCGGCCATTTTATTGGCCCCAATGCTTGTCAATATGAATGGGGGTACTGGGGGTTTCAATGGTTTCTGCCAGACAATATGGGCCCAAAGCAAATGGCAAATTCAGTGATTTTGCAAGGAATGGGAATGTCGTGAGAAACGTGCATGACCCCACACATGAATTCTCCCAAACATGATGGAGAAGACGAAATATCAGGAAGCTCAGGGCAGGTGACAGGGCGACCACCTGGACACCTGTCCTCCCTCCTCACAGCCCCAGCACAGAGCAAGTGCTGCTGGCCCCGGACTGTCCCCCAGCAGCAGAAGTCACAGTCAGCAAACCGCCAAGGCCTTCCCCGGACTGCACTGGCTTACAGAACACACCCAGTTCTGGTAAGATGGGCCCGCCAAGGAGCCAGTGCTCCTGGACAACATCCCTAGGGGGTGGCAGGGCCAGGAAGATGCCTGTAGGCATGGCCAGAGCTCTGTCCTTCTCGGCTTCTGCCCTGTGGGGCACCCAGAACCCCATCCAGTGTTGCCCATGCACCTTGAACAAAGGACTGAACACTATGGGGTTCTATTCCCAACCAGCTATGACTCGGCAGTTATTAGCTGGGCAACCCTGGGGAAGGTGCTTAACTTCTCTGAATCTGTCCTTCGGTGTGAAAGGCCTTGTCTGCAAAATGGCCCCCAGAGGAAGCTAATATTTTCCCTGTCACTCAGGGGAGAAAGGTGAGATTCAACCAGGTTGCGTGGCTGGTCCTACAGGAAGTGAAGGAGCTGGGACCCAGGCTTGGATGACTTGGCTCAAAAGCAGTCTCAACCGTGGAGCAGACGGCCTTCGATAATAGCAACCCCCGAGGATGCAGACAGGCCTGAACCACGGGCACCCGACCAGTAGGACCTTGGTCAGTCCTTACCACGATCCCATCTTACCTCAGCTCCCAAGTGCAGAAGCCAAGGCTCAGGAACAAAGCGCGTCTACCCAAGGCCATCCAGGCAACAAGGCAGGTCCAGCCAGCCTGCCCTTGCTCCTTCCACCAATAAGTCACCTTAGCACAGAGCCATCTCCCCCAGGTGCACAGATGGGAAAACGAAGGCTGCCCAGCATGCAGAAAGGGCTTCCTGAGGTCGCACAGCCCAAGGATGAGGCTGGCGCAGGAACTCGAGCCTTCAGACTCCTCTTCTGCCCAGATGATCAGGGGACTGAAAAGTACCTAAAGCAAGCCAAGATGCGTTCTCAGGAAAATATGTGGAGCGAACTACCTGGCTTCCTGACCTGTACTTTCAAGCCCCACTGTCAAATCCACCACAGACACCAACACAGTGGTCCACTCTGACCCAGGGCTCCTCTGGAAGAAAAGGAAGAGAAGCTTCCCAGGGCTCTCCAGTATTCCCCACACCTCCTCTGTGGGGCTCCCCCAGCACCTCCATTTTGCAGATGAGACCAGAATGCTGCAGGCGAATGGTGCACCCAGCATTCTATCCTTGCCCACCCCACCACACACCACAGTCCCCCAAGCCAGGATACTGCACTGGGCTTTGCACCCCCAAAACAATGGCTGGCCCTTGCTGAGCACTTGCTGAGTGCCTCAGTGTATCTTCGTGAACCCCCACAAGGCTCGTATGCCTTGGATTCCACATGGAGGATCCAAGCTCAGAGAGGTAAAGCAACCCACCCGAGGATACACAGCTTACATCCATCCCAGGGCCTGCAGCATGGGAAGTGCTCAAAATAAAGCATAAGTAAGTTTCCTCGAGCTAGCACCCCACCCCCAAGGATAACAGGCCCCTACAGAGTGGGAGCCTCGTCCCAGTCATTCCTGTCACCCTTCACCACCCAACACCATCTGACACATAGTAGGTGCTCAGCCAACACCTGCTAGACTGAGCTGACACAGCCCTCCTGCCTGCTGCCCAGAAGAGCCCTTAAAATTCTGCAGTCTGCACCCGCCCCTTGTGTCTGCGCGGCACAGTGAGAACTGACATTTCTTCCTAGATAAATATCTGGAAAGAAGTCGGGAAACAATTAAAACTAGAAGCTAATAAATGATGAAGAAGCCCATGAGCCAAGTCCTGGCCCGCTTCCCAGTCTTCATTCATGCATCAAAAAAACCCCAGCGGTCCGAGGCTTCGAGAGGGCAGCTGGGTGGTGGGGCTGTCCGGCATAATATAAATGGGAATTAGATAGAATCGAAGGTGCTTGTTGCATTCCCAAAGGCAAACACCATCTCCCAATGCTGCCCCCCAGCCCACGTCTCCCCAGCCAAGCCCTCTTCTCAGGGAACACATGACAGATGATCTTGTAACCAGGCAACCAGGGGAGGAAAGGTTCCAAAGTTCCTCCACACGAGTGAGGACAGCAGTGTTCTGATCATAGTGGTGACTGGGGCGCAGCACCGTGATACCTTCTGTGGACCTGAAAAAAACAGGGGCTGGGGGTGCACCGGCCACTCCTCCAACATGAGGACCTCAATGTCCTGGCATCCTCCCCTTCCCCTCCTGAGCCAGGCCAGCCAGCCCATCTTTCAGGGAGATAGCTCCGTGTCCCCAACTATCCTGGTCAAAGCTGTTCCCAGTGGGTTGAAAACCTAAGGTCCTAGGCCACAGCAGCTTTCACTTTGCAGCGGCTCATGTGCCCTGACCATTCCCTGTCTGCAGCTGTCTTGACAGATGCCCCCCAAGATTCCCAGGAGCTGAAGCCTCAGCAGTTCCACCGGTCAGCTGCACACTGGATAGATGTTTGTCCACCATCAGAGAGGATACCTGTGTCCACAAGAGAGGGGACCTTGCAAACGGAACAGGAGCTCTGTGTGCAGGGAGTGTGCAAACCCACCCGCTCAAAAAATCCAAATGCTTGCCAAGGCTGTGTGATACAACTCGAACACCGAGCACCTTCACATGAGCACCTCATAAACCAGGTGCTTTCTCAACCAAGGCTGCACAGGATCCTCACCAGTTGAGATTATCACATGGTGATGTTGAGGCTCAGGGCTGGAAGGAGGAAAGGGAACATTTACCAAGAACCTTCCATGTTCTGGTTCCTTCCATGTTCAGAACCTGGCCCGAAGGTTTCACATGCATAATTCCAGGGAGTTTATTCTCAGACCTGGAAGCATACTCATTTTGTTACAGGTGAAGGAACTGAGGCCCAACACCAGACCAGAAGCTAAATGCATGCCTTTCCACCTCCCCAGCCTGCACCCTTATCAGGCTACACAACATCCCTTTGCTAACATGGTCTGAATTTGGGCACTGTCTAGGGATACAGTTGGTGGCAGTGGGTCAGAAGCAATGAGCAGATGAGTAAGAAAAGGACCCCAGGACAGAAGGGGACACCTACAGGGACCCAGTGTGTGCCAGACACTGCTCTAGGGCCTAAAGACACCCCTGGCCCCTCTCTTGCCAGTCAGCTGAAGTCAGTATGCAAAGCAGGGTCTCCCACTCTGGATTCAGGGCAGAGCTGTCATTTTATTTCTTTCTTTCCAATATCCATAGTACCCTTAATAAAGAAAATGAGTGAAGTTGGAAAATTGAAGATTGGAAAGAGAATTTTTTTTTCACAAGGCAAGCCTCTCATTCATTCCTTTGGGTGTCAGAGGGTGGTGAGGGGTGCTCCAGGGAGGAAATGAAGCCCTTGCTGTGGGGAGGAGGATTCGCCTCCTATCTAATAAGGTTCTTCTGACAACGCCAAGATACACACCCCGCACGCACTCTTCCTCGCTGCGTGAATAGAATATGATTATTTCTAACGTCTCTATCTGAAAGGAAATGACCACAGCCAGAAACGAAGCAGACAGACGGCTGGAGCGGAGACTCAGAGACGGAGGCCATCAACTGGACAGCTGCGTGCGAGGGAGACATCCTCACCAAGTGTCCCCCTTTCTGGGTCATGCACCCCCAGCCCCAGAAGAGGACAGCAGACTCTGCTGTGCAGGCCCCTGACTTCCAATTTGAAGCCGCAAGCCAGGTATGGAAATCAGAGCAATAAAGAGACGATGCCTCCCAAATGCACAGGACGCGGGCTGTGTCGGGAAGCTATCCATCACAGCTGGCTGACACGCGTGGGCTTAGTGTGTATCCCCCTGATCCATCGAAGGGCTGGATGGTTTTCTGGGAAGTGGGAGGAGGAGCTAATGAAACCACAAGGTTGGCAGAGGCTGCCGATGCAGGGTGCCCAGCTAGAAACTTTTCTTTCCACTGAGAAAAAGTGGCTACAACTTTTGAGATCAGTGTCATTGCACTGTCTGATTTTCAAGGAAACTTTTCTTCTTGTGGAAACCTTTACAGGTACAAACAAGGATATGGAAGGAAATATAATCCATCAAAATAACTTCTCTTAAAATGTCAATGTTTCCTTTCGGTCCCTTTCCTGTGGATGCAGATAGACAAGAACACACAGACATCGAACGGCTGAGCTCTTGCTGTATACAGTTCAAACAGCTGAGCTCCTGCTGTATACAGTTTTGATTTGTGCTTGACATTTTCCCACATCGCTAGAAGTGCCCTGACATCATTATTTTCAATTGCTGGGTGATGTTCCACCCTATGGCTGGGGCATGTTTATTTCACCACTCTCTTTTCCATGATTATAGGGACGCTGCAGGTGTATACGTATGAGCCTATGCGTGTCCCTGGTTAGTCTTCAGGCCGTGGTCCTGGAAGTAGAATTCCTGGATTGAATGGTATGAAAGGTCTCGCGACACATTCTCAGCCATACCCCCAGCCTTCCAAACAGAGTGCACCTTCCGCACCTTCCGCACCTTCCGAAATGCACTGCTTTGCACTCACCAGAACAGCCCCATCTGGGCTAATCCTAAGACACAAGAATACCTGTTCCACCCCACCCCCGGTCAGCACAGCAAAAAACTTTCCACTTAATCAATGGTTTTAGAAAACTCTTCGGCGAATGGGGCTAGCAGGCTTCCGACTCTCTGCATTCCTCCCAGGCAGACTAGGTCAGCCATCCCCAGGTGCACCCCAGCCCCGTGACACACCAGAGCGCCTAGCTCAGACTCCCCGGACACCACTTGCTCACGGCGAGGGACGCTTTGCGCGGGGCCGTTGTCCAAAACAATCATTTTTTAAAAAAACAAACAGAAAGGAAGCATCACTGATACTTTTGCGATACTTGTCCGCTTCCTGAAAATGTGAGATAATGAATAAAAATGTTCATTACCGAATTATTCGCTTTTCCTCCCTGATCCACGTCCTGGTAATTACCGTGACCAGCCTAATAAAAACTGCTACAAACCGAAGGTCAACTGGCAGTTAGAAGTGTTCATTTTCATTTCAATGTATTCATCTCTGGCTCCTAATGGCCTCATTTTCTCCCATGCTCCTTAATAAATACCACTGAATTACAGGTTAAATAGCTAAATTAAATTATTGCAATTACAGCGTGCAGAGCCCTGAATCTGGGTTTACCTTTCCCAGTTCAATTAGAGGCGAAGTTTCAACAGCCGAGGAATTCTGATTGCTGTCAATATTCTCAATGGCTGAGAATCTGCACAGACGCCCAGATATTTGGTGAGAGGGTTCTTTCCCCCTTCTTGTTTCTGAGGGACTGATTGGAGCGCTCTCGACTGAAACAAAATCACACAATCAAAAGTGGTTTTTGGAAAGCGACCACAAGGCATAATTGATTCTTTTTGACTGAAAAGGGAGAAGACTTAGCAGGGTTCTGGCTAAATGCTGTGTGTGTGTGTGTGTGTGTGTGTGTGTGTGTGTGTGTGTGTGCGCGCGCGCGCGCACGTGCACGTGTGTGCGTGTGTGCATGCATATGTGTGTGTGTACACAAAAGAAAAATCCCTGTCTTCTAAAGGGGAAAAGTACATTTCAATAAATACAGATCTTCTTGTTTTTCATGCCACTGGCCCACAATTATTTTATGGGTCCACATTAAAGAACTTCCTCATTATTTAAATATATTCGAACGCTTGTTGGTATTGCCTCGCCACAGGATTAATTATCCAACATCCCTTATAAGACAGAGTGTCTTAATAATACAGCGTGCCTGGGAAGGAAAAAAAAAACCTCACCAGTTCTGTTTCCCCAAATCCCAAGATATGAGAGTCTATTTCTTGTGAAAGAGCTCCCCCTGACTTCTCCATCCCTCGGCTTCAAAAGGCACCAAATTCCACCACAGACAGGGACTCTCGTCTTTTTTTTTTTTAAACAGTCTTATTGACACACATCACGGGTGCGCAGTGAAACCCCATGAGGCCCACTGTGAGTATTTGGGAATCCAGGATGCTGCAGGGGTCCGCAGCCGAGAGAAGAGCCTGCTGTCCTGGTGCAGGAGCACAGGCGCTGGTCAGTCTTGGGGAGCTCAGATTCCACCCAGAATGGGCAGGGGAAGGGGACTGGGCTGAAGCCCCATTCGGAGCTGTGTCATTCCCACTCACAAAGCCCAGGGCCGTGCCAGGCCAAGTGCCAAGAAGCCAATATCTATGGCTGGAGCCAGGGGACATGAGCAGTGCCCCAGATCACAGGCACAGGCACAGTTGGCCCTGTAGGGCAAGGCATCTGCTGACATCTGGAAGCCCTCCAACCACGACAGGCCTCCTCTGGGGGCCTGGGCATCTGTCCCTCAGAGAGGTGAGAAAATCTCTGCCTGGGCCCAGGGATGCCACTTTGCCCATGAGGCAGCGAGGCGGGGCATCTCTCTTCATACCACATGGCCCACCCATCTGGACACCCTGCAAATGCCAGCTCCAGGGCTGGGTCACAGACCCCCATGGCCACATGTCCCTGGCATGGCGCAGGAGGCTGGCACAGCCACTACTGGAGCTAACCCAGGATGGAATGAGAGCCGGCAAGTCCTGGACAAGAAGCTTCCAGAGGGCAGAGACTGCCCTGCGTGTGGCTCACCTCGGGGCCTGGAGCCCTCCCCCGAGGCCTGGCACAGAGCAGCCCCTGGTCAATATTTGCTGACTCAAACTGCATGGGAAGCAGCCCCCCAGTGGTCCACAGGCTGGCCAGGGGAAGTCCAGCCTCCGTATCCTTTATGCTCTCAGACCAGACTTTGCTGGCTTGGGGAAGTGGCACAGCCAGACGCAGCATGGGAGGAGAAGCCAGGGCACCAAGGCAGGTCGGACAGTGGACACACAGCACCCCCCACCAGGCCTCCAGCATTTTCCTAAGAGCAGGATCAAAGCTGCAGAGGATCCCAGTTCTCCGAGGGAAGTGGGCAGTAGCCCGTGCAAATCATTTCTACAGAGGAAAACGCAACCCTCGCCAGGGATTTCTCACCCTGGAAGCAAAACCAAGGCTCATTGTAAAGAATGCCTGAAAAGCAAATTGACCCTCACCAGCTGAAGAGTGGTCGGTAGTTAAAAAGTTGTCACACACAATTAACAGTCCAAATACTGTTTTAAGGGAGGGCAGGACACAAATGGTGACGGGACAATGCTCCCCTCTCATCTAGAGCCTGATGAAGGCCTGCGGCAACATGAATCGCTGTCATGATCATCACCATCCCACAGGGGGCTTCCTTCCTGCTTAGAGATGAGAAACTCAAGGCTCAGAGAGGTGGAGTAACTTGTCCAAGGTCACACAGCCAGAAGCCCCCACCTCCCATGACAAGGCTGCTCCCTAGGGAAACAGACCTGCCCCCAGTCCCTGTCCTGGCCCTGTGTTCACCCTGTTCTGCCCCCAGCAGCCACCCAGGCCGTCTCTCTGCACCCTGTCCCAGGTCCCTGGTGCTGCACCGCCCCTGGCACATCCCAGAAGTGTCTCCTTGCTCACACCCAGCACTGGCATCCCCTCTGCCTTGTGTGGCTGCCCCTCCACTGTGCCCACCTGGGAATGTCTTTGCCTCCTTCACTTCTGGGCTCACACTCCCTTGCAGAGCTCCTGGCCTCCCTTTGACCATCCCTCGGTGCCTCACACTGCTCCCGGGCTCTATGCCAGGGTGCCCCCAAGGAGCTGCACTCTTCCTCTCTATTTCTGGTGACCAGAACAATGCCAGGCTCCAAAGGGGGTCCTTGAGCCCACAACAGGCAGGAAGGAGTCGGGGCATCAGCCAGAAACACTCGCCTCTTTTTTTTCGGTAGAGACAGTTCACTCTGTTGCCCAGGCTGGAGTACAGTGGCTCGATTACCACTCACTGCAGCCTCAACCTCTTGGGCTCAAGCAATTCTCCCCACCTCAGCCTCCCGATTAGCTGGGATTATAGGCATACACCACCACACTCGGCTGATTTTTTTATTTTTTATTTCTGTGTAGAAACAGGATCTCACTATATCGCCCAGGCTGGTCTCAAACTCCTGGACTCAAGCCATCCTACCACCTCAGCCTCCCAAAGTGCTGAGATTACAGGTGTGAGCATGGCCAGCCACTGGCCTCTTTATAAGCGCCAGGATCACTTGTTTCTGGTGAAAGCTCTGCATGCTGTAGGAGCCTCTAAGAGTTCTTTTCTCCTGCTTTTTCTTTTAATAGGCCTATCCCAGGAGGAGGACACTTGAGCCTCCCAGCTTGTCAGCTCACTGCCCTTCCATCAGAGAAGGTGCTGGGTAGCAATTTCATGATCAGCCAAAATGTGCCTTGAAGTAGAAGAGGACAGCCCAGCCCTGGGCCAGAAATGACAAACAAGACAGCTTCCTCCTGAAGCCATGCGCAAGGCAACGCAAGGAGTGCCCTGAGGACTCATGGGGATGGGAGGGAGAGAGAGGGAGGCAGGGCCCACAGAGCCCTGGGGAGAGAGCAGAGGCCACCTGTCGTCGGCCACTAGAGCTCAAGTCTAACAGTCCTCCTGGCTACAGGGCAGTCCAACCTCCCCAGCCTCAGCCTCATTCAGCCTAGCTCAGGCAGGGAATAGCGAGGCCGAGGCCACCTGGAGCCGGTAGAACAAGCCTGGGGTCTCATGCAGCGCTGCCCCTGCTGAGTGACCCAGAAGTGTCCCTTCTCCTCTCTGGGTTCTGGTCTCTGGTCAGGAAGGGAGTCAAACCAGGCAAATCTAATTCAAACCCCCGCCAAGAATCCAGGGCCTCACAGCCCAAGTGCTCTGGGGTCGGACAGCCGGTGAAAAGCTGTTTCCACTAAGAAATACACAGGGTCCCCTCATCCCGGCTCTCAGCTGTTCAATGTCCGCACCCCACTGTGGCACGAAGCTGGGCCCTTCCACACCCTATCTCAACTCCCACTTCCTAGAAGACAAACTGAGGCTGTGGCTTTCCCCAACCACAGATCTGGAAGGCAAGGGCTGCTCCACTGCCCCATGTGTTCCCGTTCTCGTTCCCCATGGCCGCAGGGAGCAGAACAGGCCTAGTCAGCCACATGGCCTGGCACCAAACAGAAGGTCTCCACAGGGCTCAGCTCTGCTCCTGTAAATCCCATCATCAAAGAGGGAAATAACCCGTGAAGCCCCAGGACAGAGAGAGACTTCTGAGATGAAAAGATCTCACTTGACCCCTGAGACCTTCTAGTGGCAGGATGCTGACATGCATGCCTGGGGCCAACAGAACACTGACACTGAATCCAGAACTTTAATTTCTTAAAGGCGAGTTCAAAGAGGTTAACGAAAGGAAAGGTGCACCACGTTCCATCAGTGTCAGTGAGGATGAAGAAAGGAGAAGTGGGTTCGGAATGGGTCCACTGGCTGAGCAGCATTTCCTAAGCATCTACTATGTGCTAGGCACCATGGGGGTCCTGGGAAGGTCCCTACTCACAAGGAGTTCATTCATTCACTCATTCATTCAGTGAGTCATTCTTTACTCTGTAATTGCACAAATGGGTCTGAAAACTGCATCTCCTGGGCCAAGCTCTGTGCTGGACAAGAGAGGACGTGGTTATGAAGGGAGCCCCCCTACCCCCAACACTGAAGGCATCATTACAGGCCAGCACAGTGGGACCTTCAGCTCAGATAGGGATAGAGGGCTGGGGGCCGGGGGAGCGCACAGAAGGAAGCAGCCACCTCCCTCTCGTGGCCTAGTCAATCTTATCGCAACGCCCCAAGCGCCCCTGAACCCCCCGCTCTGAGCCAAGGAGTGCCACAAGAAGGTCAGCAGTGCCCAGGATGCCATCAGCCCCCAGGTCCCCCAGGCCCTTGCAGATGGAAGGACTTCCTCCTCATGGTCTTCCAGCCACTGCCCCCACCCTAGCCTTCCAGGCTCTACCCAGTGCCTGAAGCATGGGCATTCTCCCTGCTCAGTCAGAGCTCGGCCTCAGAGGGGAAAAGGCTGCCTTGTGGGTGATGACTGGAGGTGGGCCCACAAAAGGGGTTCACTAATGAGCCACCTGTGAACCCATCTCTGGGCAGGTTGCTGCAGACAGGATCCATGCACAAGCTGCCTGGTGGGCCTCTGGGGAAGTCTGTGGACTCGTCTTTCCAGGGGGTCTGGAATGAAGGCCTCTCTCTCCCTGGGGTTAGTGCAGAGAGGCTAAGGCACCTGTAACAACCTAGCAACTGCCCCCGATCCCGCACCCCACTGGCCTGTCCTGAGCACCCGAGCTCTTCCATCTGCAGTGGCCAAAGGCATTTTCACCACCCAACAGCCTTGGGGTAGGGGGGAGGGAGGCAGGCAGGAGAACTCAGAACTTTGCTCCCCCAGCCCTATCATTCACTCCACAGTGCTCAGGGAGGTGGGTGGGGGACTCGCCAACACCCACTCCACCCCACATTGCTCCACCAGCTTCCTGCCAATGCCCGGCAGCTATTCATCCCAGGGGCAGTCCCTGGACACCTCCCAGGGGCCAGGCCAGTGCTGGGCATCTGGGAGCCTAACAAGAGTGTCTAGAACCTTCTCCCTTACCAATAATGTCCCTTTTCCCCCACATCCAGACAGAGCGAGAGCTCGAGCCCAAGTGGTAAAAAGAATGTTCTAGACAAAATCGAACAGCAGCATCTTCCTTCCGTCCTTGGGTCTCTGAAGGCTGTCACGAAGGGCTGCCTGCATTTCTCATTCAAAAATGTTCAAAACCTAAAGAAACTCATAAATGTACACACAATAAGGCCACATGGGCAAAGCAAAACACAGACATGTAACTTGGGGCCTAAATTCAGCCCACTTCATGTGACAACACCATTACAGTCTGTGCCCCCTGTCCTTGGATGGAGGGGTACCTGGGACAGGACAGGCGGACCAGGTCCCAGATCACCTGTGGGCAGGTGTTCAGGGGATGCCCCTCCAGTTACATTACTTTGAAAGGGAGCATAATATGATCCTTCCTTAATGGAAGCAGCTCTTTCACAACAGTAGGAAGAGGGAATTAAAAAAAAAACAGGCCCTTGAACGAACCGAGGGCCCTCCTGGGCTGTCAAGAGAGAATTCTACAGCTGGTAGTGATGACGGCTCCATCCTACCCGGCCATTTCTTCATGGAGGTGTGGCCACAGGGTCTCAGACCCTGAAAATGAGCATCCGGGGACAGTCCCTAACTGAGACGGCCCAGGCCAGCAGGGCCAGTGGAGGATTCGCATTCACTCTGGTGCTCCACAAGTTTGACGGTTTGGGAAAATTCGCGGACTCTCCCAAAGCCTGCATCTCCCACTTCTACAATGACTGGTTAAATGCGCCCAAGGACCAGGCGCTCGCTACACCAGCATGCCAGGAAAGGGGAGGAGCGACGTGAGGACCTCCTGTGTCACCCTGTCCTGGGCGCTCTGTGAACTTTGTGATGCCTGAGATGAGCTCCCTTTTCCAGAGGAGGAAAAAGGAGCCCAAAATTTGACAGGACATTTGAAGCATCCGCCCCCCTACCCCCCAGCTTTGTGGAATGAGGTCAGGAATATGTAAATAAACAAACAGAGTACGTGGTAAGGAGCAGAATTCCCAGAAAGTTCTGTTCCCACATTTTACCTCCAAAATTAAAAGAAAATAACAGCACACATACCAGTTCCCGGGAGCAGTATGGTTCTTGACCACGGTGGACCAAGTCCAGACAGCCATAAAGCCACTCCCACCAAGGTCTTCCAGCAAAGATCTCTCATTGCAGAATCAAGTTGTTGAAGGAAGGTTAGCTCCAAAGAGGCAGCCCTTCGTAGCCAGGGGTTGGGAGGGGAGTCTTGTGGGAAGGGAGCCTGAAGTACCCCCGATACCCTCAACAGAGGACCGAGGCTTTGGGGAAGGAACACCTGAGCCAGCAAGGTTCATCCAATGGAGGCCAGGGCCAGAGGCCTCCTGGACCAGATTCTCTCTCCAGGAGCAGAGGCAGAGGGTGATCCAAGGACACAGAACAAGAAGATCTCAGCCTCCAACAGGGTCAAGATGGGAAGATGTCACAGTCATCCATCAGGGTAATACTATCTCTTATCCCTGGGGGCCACAAACTACGGGCCATGGATGTCTGCCTGTTTCTGTAAATAAAGTTTTATTGAAACAACAGCCACACCTGTTCATTAATAGTCCACGGGTACTCTTGCACTACAGTGGCACAGTTGAATACAGTAGTTCCCTGTTACCCGTGGTTTCACTTTCTGGGGTTTCAGCTACCCGAGGTTAACCATGGTCCAAAAATATTAAATGGAAAATTCCAGAAATAAACAATTCATCAGTTTTAAATTTTGAGCCACTCCAAGTAGTGTGATGAGATCTTGCACCACCCTGCTCTGTCCTGCCCAAGACCTGAATCTTCCCTCTGTCCAGCATATCCATGCTGTAAGACACCACCTGCCCCTTAGTCACTAGTAGCCTCCTTGGGCATCGGAGCAACTGTGGTAGTATCGCAGTGCTTGTGTCGAAGCCACTCTTATTTTACCTAATAATGGCCCCAAAGTGCAAGGGCAATGATGCTGGCATATTGTTCCAACTGTTCTATTTCATTATTAATTATTGTTGTTAATCTCTTACTGTGCTGAATTTATAAATTAAACTTTATCATAGGTATGTGTGTATAGGAAAAAGAACACAGTACAACAGGGTTCACTACTACCCGAGGTTTCTGGCATCCACTGGGTGTCTTGGAACATATCCCCCCAAGGATTAGGAGGAGACTACTATAGTTGCAAGAGAGACCACTTGGCCCACGAACCCTAAAGTACTTCACTATCTGGTATTTATCATAGATAAAGGCCCGGTCTTATCTAAAAAACCATGGGATGAAGCCCTCCAAGCTTGCAGTTGATCCAAAACTCTCTATGCTGAACTATTACTTTCTTTCATAAGTGAATCAGAAATCACAATGTTTCCATTTTTGCCAAGGCTGCCAGGAAGCTCAGAGGTAAATTCTAGGTTTTTATGCAATGCAGATTACTAGGACTACCTTTTCTGTCCCTTGATTGTATGATTCTCATTCTTTCACCATCATTTTAATGCTTCTATTACTGGTTTACTTAAAGCAAGAGACTTCAAATTCCTCTTATTATGACATAAATGACAAAGCGAAAAAATACATGAGGACCCAATAGCTGCTCCAGCTCAGGGGGCCCCCTGCACCTTGATGAGCCTTTGCAGACCTAACTCTCAGAAATCACCTGGCCAAGGGCACCTCATCCCTTCCTTTCCAATCTAAAGTCCCTCTAGCTGAGACCTTGGGACCAGAAAATCCCCCATGAAGCTGAGGGAGCTTTGGGCACTCACCTCAGTCACTTCCAGTGCCCTTCCTGTTTCTGGTGGGCAAGAGGGCTCCAAAAGCATCCCCTATTCACTCAGCCCCTCATTGACCTCCTGTGCACCCTGGGTGCTGGGAGCCGGAGCTAGAGGCATCAGGCACAATCTGTGCCCTGGAGGCCTTCACATTCCACACAAAGAGGATGTGACATGACTTATCAGCCGGCCCAGAGGCAGGTGCAAGTGCTGCCTGGGGGAGCTTTTCCCGGAGAGTAAACAGGAGCTCCCTCGGCTGCCTGGGGATGCCCAGGGCTTGCTGGGCAGAGTCTGGCCAGGCCAAAGGGCAGAGGCACCCAGGAGCCCAGTGGAGCAAGGAGCCCAGTGGAGCAGAGCTCAGCTGCCAACAACAGCAGCCCTGAGGGACAGGGCTCTGGCAGATCCTGTCCCCAGATCCACCTGGAACTGAGCTCCCACCAGCTGGGTGGCCCTGGGCAAGTAACAGGCCCCTGAGTCTCCATCTCCCCACACCAGCGGAGCAGCATTATTGGGAGGAATGGAGAGAGCAGATGCACCACGCCCAGCACAGAGCGGGTGCTTTGTAAATGAAGTCTACCCCAGGAGGCCTGGCTGGGTGGTAGCGGACACAGGGCAGCATAGGGAGATGAGTCCAGTAAGTCCCAGGGGCCATGCATGTTGCAATGAGGAGTCTACTTTCCCACAGGGGTGTCTGAAAGCCCGGATGTTTTAAAGCAAGAGGCGAAGGATCCTGTCCCTTGTCCTTTGGAGTGGCACAATTTGAACAAAGATGGGCCTGCTCAGGCCTGGCATCCCTTCCCCCACTGGAAAAGCCTGGTGTGGTCACCTGGGCCACAGCCACAGGGCCTCGGACTTCCCTGAGCCCCAGATCCCAGGAATGGACAAGGACCGTTCCTCCACAGAGGCCAGCATCTTGGAGCTGCAATCCCTGCTAATCACCACATTATTTATTTGGAGTTTATTAAGCAGTTGCTGCCACTGGCTGTTGGCAGCCTCTAATATTTACACCTAGCTTTCCCGAGGTCTCCTGAAGCGCTAAAGTAATAAAAGGGCCATTCCTTCTAGCTGCAGACAGGGAAGCTAACCCAAGCAAGACCGAGCACGGGGCTGCACTTAACAAGAGGAAAGGGGGCCTTCAGGTTCCCTTTGGCTTCAGACTCAATTCTAGCTAATAACACTGCCTCCCTCCTGTCCGGGCAGGCTCGGGGCAGGGCCCCTTCCCAGAATCCACTGGGCCCGTTGTTTGAGGCATTTCTGGCCCAAGACAGCAGCCGAGTCTGCGCAAAGGAGTGCTCGCTGGAAGAACCGCTCTAGTTCCATTCACCCACCCAGCAGACGTGAGGCCCCTCAGGGCTGGACACGACACTGATACCAGGATACAGAGGTCATGAAGCTCGTCCCTGCCCTCAGCTCCAACAGCCACATACACTGCAGCCAGGCCAAGGCCAACGTGGACATGGAAACCTCGAGCCCCCAAGAAGTGGGAGAGAGAGGCTCCATGCGAGAGCCAGGACACCTCCCGGGAAGCAGAGCACAGTGACAGCAGAAGAGGCTGAGATGGGCTCACAGTGGGGAAGAGCTTTACTAAAATGTGTCTAGGATAGAGAAGGGCTACAGTCTGAGACCTGGTTACAACCCCCTCTCTGCCACTCTAGAGCCATGAGGTCTTACAAGAGGCCCTGGACTCCTATGAGCCCCAGTTTCCTCATTTGCAAGACGGGAGCTGCCATCCTGCCACAGAGTCACAATGAGGACTCTGAAGGGAAAGGGCGATAGGCCATGGGCTGGGGAGGGGGTTCCATCTCTCACTCGGCTCATAATCCTACTGGACCCCAAAACTCCGCTTCTTGTTTATGAAAACACTCGGCCTCCACTGACATCCGCAGGGGACTCCTGCGCGACCAGAGAGCAGGGCAGAGCCCTGGGGTGTAATCCATGGAGACCACCGAGGCCATGTGAAGGAACAAGCCTGGTCGTGGGCTGGAATGAGGTCAGTGCCAGGGCCAGCCCAGCCCAGAGCTGTGAGTAACAACAGCTGCCAGGGACACTGGGACAACCAGGGGAGAGAAGCATGCGCCCAGCACGACCTCAGCAAGGTGCCACAGGGATGCAGGATCCAGCCCCTGGGGAGCCTGGCCCCCGGCAGGGGAGAACCTCAGCCTCAGGCTGAGCCAGGGCCATGGCTGCAGGAAGACAGGAGAGCTAGGAGGCTGAGGGTGGGGGAAGAAGCCCGAGGGTGGGTGAGAGGTGAGTGCCCTGGAGTGGACCGGCCAGGCCAGTTGTCCTCTCTGCCTCTAAATCTATGACCTCAGTCTCAAAGCCTTGCCTTCTGTGCACCTTGACTGCAAAACCACTGCAAAAATGCAGTGCTCAGGATGGCCTGGCACCCACTAGCCCTCAACAGGGCAGCCACTATCTCCACAGCTGCAACACTTAGGCCAATGCCTCCAGCTAAGTCCCCTGAATGGTCCCATAACCAGGAAGACCTCTGAGCCCCCCGAGACTCTCATCAAGGGCTGAGGAAATGGTGTGAGGTGGTGCACCCTCTTACCATTTCCTCTGAGGAAAGTCATGCCAGGACAGAAATTAAGTTTCAATTCCTGGGCAGCACGATTGATTAGCAGAGGCTGCCCTACCTCTCAGCTTGAAGCATCCAGGCCAGAGCCCAGGGGAAGGAGGTGCTGTGATTGACAAGTGATGTCTGCTATGGTATAGGAGGGAGCAATGGAGGCACACATGCTACGGACATGCCCAACTCTAATGCGTCTCTGGACAACTGCATCCTATTCCTTGCAGAAGAAACAAACAAAAGAGATAGAATAAGCACTGCAGAAAATAGAAAGGTTGGGAGAGCAGGTCCAAAACAATGGCCAAAACCGGAGAAGGGGAGGAAGAAGAGTTGCCTGCAGCTGCCCTACATCCCTGGGCTTTCTCAGCCCACAGTAAACAGGAGGCACAGATTTTCCAGCCCGTCTTGACTGCGGAAGTGTGTTTACTGAAAAGGTTTTCTCCAGGGAGAAATCACCGAGAAGAGCTCTCTCTCCTCAGCCGGCCACCTCCCTGCTCCAGCCCTTTCGTTCTGGATCTGCAACAGGCTCCCACAGGAGCCCAAGCAGCTCATGCCCGAGGACCAAGAAACTGACTTCCCCAGCTTTGGGTCCACGCCAAGGCTTTTCCTGCTCAGGTGTGGATAGTCACTCTAGGGAAGAGAGAGATTGAAGGTAGGGCTTCCCACTGGGGAATAAGGATGTCCCCAAAGCCAGATCCAGGAAAGCACTGCAGCCCCAGAGTTGGTCTAGCAGGGGTGACTTTGACACTGACGTGCGGAGGAGCCTGAGGTGGGAACCCAGTCTTCACCATCACCTCCTCCTGACTTAGCTGCACTTGGGGCCGCAGAGCCCTGCATCACCATGGAGAAGACACCTTCCCCTCTACCAACGATGACAATGATCCTAATAAGATCAATAGACACCTTCCCCTCTACCAACGATGACAATGATCCTAATAAGATCAATAGACACCTTCCCCTCTACCAATGACGACAATGATCATAATAATAAGATCAATAACAGCTCCCCTAGCTGAGGCCTGCAGATGCGGGCCCCGTCCTGAGCCATCCACACATGCGTACCCAGGTAATACCATGATCTCCTTTTAGCAAGTGAGGAAACTGAGGCTGGAAGATGGAAGTGGGGGCCAAAGTCATCCAGTTAAGAAGGCAAAGCCAGGTCTGCCCCAGGCCTGTCTGGCACCCCGTAGGACTCTCTGCCTCAGAAAGCACCATGGGAGCAGCAGAGGCTCCAGTCCCCAGCCCAAGCCCATGGGCAACCAGGGGAGTAAAGGGGTCCCCATGAGAGCCTGCAGCTGGACAGCCTCTGGGCCCAGGGCAGAGTCATGTACTTGGGTGTTGTCTGGGCCCCTCACTCCATCCTGGCCTGTGCCTTTTGCTGTTCTGTCCTCCTCCTCATGGCAGCCGGCCACAGAGCCTGGTCTCAGGGTATAGCGTAGAATTGCCAATGCCACTCATGCATCCATGGGCACACACATGCACACTCACACATGCACTCGTGTGCACACAGACATATGTGCACACATGCATGTACACATGCACATGCATTCACATGTACACAATGCACTCATGCACAAACACACGTGCACACACACCCCCCTCCACCTGGTTCCTCGAGTCCATCGTCCTTACTTCTCAGGGCTGCACCTGACCTCTTTCACGTGAATGTGTGACTCTGACCTGCTGGTGCATTTCCCACCCAGAGGTTCACACCAAACTCCGCCCTGCCCTCTGGAGTACCCCCCACCACTGGTTCCTCGGTTCTAAACTTGTGTTTATTTTACAGAAAATTTAATGAGTAAGCAAAGTCTGCTTTTCCAGCCTGTCTTTCTCATCATCTATGTGGGCTTTTGCTTCTTACTTATAAGAAGAAGAAACTTCAACTTGATACAAGTAAATGAACTTGAACCCCTGCCCATCCCCACTCCCCCCTCCACACATCCCAGCAGAAGAGTTGGTTCCAAACTCAGAAACCACACTTTGGATCAGATTCCAAGCCCAAAGCTTCTCCCATCCTGCCCACCGACTTCCACTCATTCTCATCATCCCTACACTTTGTCTTCTTTTCCAGGAGGTGCCATCAACCCAAGCAACTGCTCCTCCTACCCAGGGATTCACCTGAGCACTGGGGGGGCTAGAGCAACTTGCTGAATAAAGAAGCAAAAGCAAAATGGATCTCCCCAAAATTTCCAAAAATCAAACGGTGCACCCAAAGCCAGAGAGGTGGCCTTCCAGGTTGGTCAGACAGCTGCAGCATGTGCAGCTCAAGCCCCATGTTGTCCAAATGTGCAAACCTGCAGCCTCCCCTGGGCCTGGGCGGGCAGCCAACACTGCAGGAAACTGAGGCTCCGAATGCACCTGCCCTGGATCTCTGGCCACATTGGGTGTCTGCTTAGTCAGCTTCATTTCACTTGATTTCACTTCATTCACAAGCGCTCACGGACAGCCTCATGGGGGCCAGACCTCCGCCTGGGCCTATGGGGACAAACAGGGTCCAGGCTAGCTCACAGCCTGGTCTCCCAGGACAGCCAGGGAGACAGGAAAGGAGACCCACCCCGTGATAGGTGTCTCCATGGGTAAGTACAGGGGCCCATCGGGGAGGGCACAGGTGACACGGACCTCAGCCCCGACCTCAGCAGAGACTTCCCAGAGAACAACCCCTCCACGCCCCACCCCCAGGAGCTGAAGCTGGAGGCAAGTGTCCACTTGCCTGTGACCCAGGCCCTGACAGGGCCCATGTGAGAGGCAGAAAGACTGCACTGCAGAGGGCTGATCCCAGGGCCATGATGCTCTCCAACCTCCCCCACCTGCTTGGCTCCCTTGCCCAAAGCAGGATGTGCTGTCTTTAGACAAGAAGTCTCTGGGTCTGTCCCCAAACCCAGTGATACTTTGCTTTGATTTCCTGCTTTGGTTCCAGTCTTGGTCATTGGTGGCTTCTGGGAGGATAAAATAACATCACTGAGGGAACAAAACCAAGCCTGTCTCCACCTTCACCTGAGCAGGATGCCCACCAGGGGAGAGGGGACCCTAGACCCTGTGCCAGTGCAGAGTGGGGGACCTACTGCCATCTGCTTAAAACTCACATGAGCAGACAGACAGGGAGGCTTTTCAGCTGGGCAGGAATCATTTGCAAGAATCAGATGCTGAGACCATGCCCAGGCTCTCGATGAGCCCCTGGAATGAAGAAGGGAGCCCCGGAGGCTCGGCCGACCTGGGTGTGCCAGCACAAAAGAGGATGAAGGCCCCGAGCTGCTCCCTCTCAAGTGCAGCAGACACAGCCCCGACTAATCAGACAGCAGAGGCTGCCACCCAGAATGCCCGGCACGTTATTCAGCAATGAGGTATAATTGAATGGATTAACATGAATGCGACGTTTCCCCTCCAAAAATTCGAGGAACACCAAAATGACTCTCATCTGGACTGGTATGACTCATGTTTTTAATAGAAGAACTTAATTTTCACTTCTGAGGAATCTGGGCTCAGGGAAATATTGTCTAAGAAACACTCATTTTACTCCACGGGCAATGGTAAGTCCTACTACCCCAAAAGTACAAATGCAGAACCCCAGCCGGTGCCTGTCTCCCACACTCCCGGACGCCACAGGCTGCAGAGTCCATGAGCTTGGGCAGAGCACAAAGGTCTAAGGGGAAGGCATAGAGTCCAGCGTCAGCCACACGTGTCCTAGCTCAGCGCAGGGACTTGGGGCACATCCTGTCCCCTCTCTGGGGCACTGCTTGGAGAGCATCTGGCAACAAGGCACAGGGGCCCCTGGCAAGGGCCCCCCGAGGGGCTGCCCCGTGCGCCCAGGCACAAGGGTACTGCTGGGGCCAGCATCTTGCTTCTGATGCTGGAACACTCAAGGTGACACATCCCAGCCCTCCGGTGCTCCTCCGAGAGGCTTGGCCCCAGGACACTGACTCCTCCCTCTCCCTAGACCCAGTCCTCAGACCCCACAGAGGGCAGGCAGAACCTGGGCTCAAGTGTCAGAACAACAGGTCACCATTTGTCAGCTGCCTAATTAGTGGAGAGGATATTACTGACCCCCTTGGTGAAACAGCACAGAAGTTCCCCTTCCCTTCTGGCACAGTGAGTGTCCCCCCATCCACGGCCCTGCCTGTTCCTAGCTTCAATTCCCACAAAGACCCTGCCTCCCAGGGACACTCCAGCCTACTGCCCTCCACTCCAGATTCCAATGAGTGGCAACTTCTACATAAAATCTGAATCCAGGTGTGGCCAGGTGTGGTGGCTCATGTCTGTAATCCCAGTGTTTTGGGAGGCCGAAGAGAGAGGATCATTTGAGGCCAGGAGTTTGAGAACAACAGCCTGGGAAACATAGCAAGACCCTGTCTCTACAAAAAATTTTAAAAAATTAGCTGGGCATGGTGGTGCATGCCCATAATCCCAGCTACTTAGGAGGCTGAGACAGGAGGATCACTTGAGCCCAGAAGGTTGAGGCTGCTGTGAGCTATGATCACGCCACTGCACTCCAGCCTGGGTGACAGAGCAAGACCCTATCTCAAAGAAAAAAAAAAAAACATGCAGCAAACCACCATGGCACACGTTTACCTATGTAACAAACCTGCACATTCTACACATGTATCCCGGAACCTAAAATACATTTAAATATTAAAAAAATAAATAAATAAATAAATAAACAGGATGAGCATCTGGATGCAGCCTTCTTGGGAGCATGGGGACCCGGCAGGACGGTGCTGTTCTGCCTCTTTACCTTCCCAGCAGCATCTTATTCCCATGGCCCCAGCAGGTGGATGTGCTTCTAGCTGATGGGTGGCTCCTGAAGCAGGGGAGGGGTCACAGGGGCCAGGAAGTCAGTGCTGGCTTGAGGCTACAGCACCCAGGTACAGCCATCTCCCGGCTGAAGAACTCCACAGGTGAGTTCATCAAGCATGCAGGGGTGGGGGATGCGCCCACACCACCATTCCTCCTGACGGCACTGTCACCTGGACAGCTACAGCGGAATGTCCCTTCTGAGTGCTGCTGACCTCTCACCAAGGGCTCCACGGGCTGCCTCCATGCCCAGAAGGAACCCCATCTCCCCCAGCCCCCCACCCTGCAATGAAGAACAGATATCCACGTTCTCCCTCCCCAGCTCTTCCCCACCCCTGCTCCGGCCAAGGGAGATGCACTAATTTATAAGTTGCAGATAATGTCACCCACCATTCATCCAAATGTGTCACTAACATCCCATTAGACTGTAATTATTTTTTAATTAAAACTAAGAAAACTGGCATGCCTGAGCCGACTTTATGCATCTGTTATGGGTTAAAATAGCTTTTAAAAAATGTTTCGGAGACCGCAGTCTATTGTGGCCGCGGCCCCTGCCAAAGAAAACGCAAGCTTGCTTATTTTCTCCATGGGGCGCAACAGTGCCTATGTGTGCCGGCAGAGAATCGGCTGGCCGTGAAAAGAATTCTAAATAAAACACAAACATGGAATTTGGCAACGCCACAGAAGCAAGCTTAAGACTAATTCCAGCATGCGGACGGCTCTCACATAGTAAGGCTGGCTCCAGCATAAATGAAACCAGGCACTGTAAAATACCAAGGCACGTTGGAGTTTCCACTTAAAGGGACAGAACACTGATTCCAGGTATAAAAGCTTATTAAGCCGGCTCGCACTGCCTCCATAAATCCATAGGTTATTAGCTGTTTGCTTTCAGCCAATCCCTTCTTAAAGACATGTATATTAAGAGAGAGAGAAAGAGGGAGAAAAACAAATGAAAACCATCACTTTGCACTTGACTTTTAGTGCAGTGATTCTGGAAACACTGTGTTCATTATCTCAATTAGAGGAGAAAGAGACCTCAAATACACACAAACCCAAAACGAAGGAGAAAAGCAGGGAAGTAGGGGCGAGACGCGAGGATGAATGCGGCCCCCAGGAACAGAGGGCAGTGCCGGGAACAGAGGAAAAAGCCCCGTGGATCCCGGAAAGCCTCCGCCCAGGGAAGCGGCAATGACAGTGATTGCAATAATAATAATCATAGTTATAACAACGATAAAAAGATAGCAGTAATGCCTGCCGCTATTCAGCACCTTTCACAGGCCAGCTGCTGCTTAAGGCCGCACAATGTAACAGAGAAAGACTCTAAGGTAGAATAAAGCAGTAAAGTGTCTGAAATCGGACTGCCTCCATTTCCTCATCCGTAAAATGGGGATGTGAAAAGTGCCTTCCTCGCAGAATTGGGGTGAGGGATGTTGAAGATGAAGCCCACAATGAACGCTTCTTAGCACAGCGCCCCATTATCACTGCTAGCCGCCCACTCTCAGTCGTGAGATGGTGCTATTCTCATGCCACAGGTGGGGAACCAGATGCACACACAGGCTGGGCTACCTGCCCAAGGCCAAAGCTCAGAGACATCCGAGTCGGGATTTGAACCCAGCCGTCCACTTCCACAGCCCTTATTCTCTCTGCAGCCACTCCTGGTGGGTCACACACCAGACTGGCCACATTTCCCAGCACTGTGGACTGTGGGCTCCCTCTGAGATTGGGGGCGGGGGCTCAGTCTCCCCCAGGAGGTACTAAGAAGGTGAATTCAGCTCTAGAGAGAGACTCGCCCTCAAAGGCCTCAGCAGGCCTCAGGATGGACACACACCACAAATCCAGGAAGAATCAGAAAGTTCAGGGAAGAAAAATAATCACAAGTGCCCTCACCATAAACACAGAGCTTGGGAGGCTGGGAGGGGCCTGTTCTGTGCTGATAGTTCTCCCTGGACTGCACACAGACACATACACATATACACTCAACATGCACATATGCACATACATGCTCACACACAAAAACACTCATACACACACACACGCATACATACACATATGTGCACAGATACCATATACACTCAGACATATACATATGTACTCACATGCACAAATATCCACATGTGTACACACATCTGCACACACGTGTGTGCATACACACAAATACGCGTGTATGTACAAATACATATGCACATATGCTCTCACATCTACACATATACACATGCATGCACATATATACACTTAGTCATGTACACACATGCACACCCCCACATTCACACACTGACATGCAAATACACATACACATATGTGCACACACAAATACGTATGTATATGCACACATATATACAAATATGTATATATACCCTCACATGTATACACATGCATGCTCACATATACACTCAGACATGTACACATATGCACATCCACACATACACATATGCTGACATATGCAAATACTCACATACAAACACACTCACAAATACATACACTTACATATACACGTGTACACGCATGCACATATATGCACATATACACTCTCACGAGTACAAATATACACACACATACAGACACACACACACACACACACACACACACACACGGCCTTTTATTACGGGTCTGTGCCAGGCCCAAGGACCCTGGCAGAGGCAATGGGAAAAACCAGGGAGAAAATTACATGAGGCAATGTTTGGCTCCAAATGAAAAAGCCGTGGAATGTTTTCCCTCAAGTCTTGGTTATTTCTTGCAGGTCCGCTCAGACCCTGTCAGGTCCACCTTATCCAGGGGGAACCCCCACCCCCTGGCCTCTGAGCTGAGCCAGCTGCTGTTCTCTCAATGCTACTGGCTTCCAGACTGGGGGTAGCCAGGACACCCCAGGCTCCAGCACCTACAGAAGCCACGGTAGGCTGGTGGAACACCTCTCCTCAAATGCATGCTCAGACAAATGGTGCTCAGAACTGGGCTCCTTAACCTCTGACCCCGCCGCCTGCCACCACCCCGTCCCCACAGGCTTCAGGTGTGCTCTGACTTGGTGACATCATCACATGCCAGTGGGCTCCGAACTCCACTCCCTGAAAACATGCACCATGTCTTAAAAGATGCAAACTAAAAATATTTCTGGCTTCTCAGAGCCAGTTTACAAAAATAATTATATTTTCTTTTAAAATCTGGATTATAGGCAAGTGTGTGTCCAGTTATTTTTAGCTCCTATTCAACTCTGTTAATTCTCATAATAATCATTGCAGGTTTTTTTTTTTTTTTTTTTTTTGAGACAGAGTCTCACTCTGTTGCCCAGGCTAGAGTGCAGTGGCGCGATCTCAGCTCACTTCAAGCTCCGCCTCCCAGGTTCACGCCATTCTCCTGCCTCAGCCTCCCAAGTAGCTGGGACTACAGGCACCCGCCACCATGCCTGGCTAATTTTTTTTTTTTTTTTTTTTTGTATTTTTACTAGAGACAGGGTTTCACCATGTTAGCCAGGATGGTCTCGATCCCCTGACCTCGTGATCCGCCCGCCTCGGCCTCCCAAAGTGCTGGGATTACAGGCATGAGCCACTGCGCCCGGCCACAGATTTTTTTAAGCCATCTCCCCGCCCTATCGTTAATAGTTGTGTTCTGACTCAGCATGGGGGCAGAGCTGGGGGCCACATGTGACCACACTGCCTTCCATAAACACAGAAGTCTGAGTGCTAGCCGAAGGGCCAGGCATTTCAGAATCACCACATTCCTGAGAAAAAAAGGAACATGTGTCCATCTTGTCAAAAGCCAGCTCCAGCTTCAATGCAGGAGACATTTGGGGAATCCCCTGTAAGTGCCTGAACCTGTCCCAGACCTCAGTTCACCGAGACCAGCTGGGTTTCCTGCCCTGGAAGGGCCTAGAATCCAGCAAGAGGCATGCAGAGAAGATTGGATGGAGCCACCTGAAATAAGCTGTCCACAGCTAGATCCCAGGACCTGTAAATGTGAGCTTATTTAGGGGCAAGGTCACTGCAGGTGTGACTAAGTGAAGGCTGTTGATGAGATCATTCTGGATGGTCTAGGTGGGTCCTGAATCCAAAGACAATTGTCTTTTTTATTTTAATTGTTCAGAAGAGAAGTCAAACCCAGAGGAGAAAGCTGTGTGCCCACAGAGGCAGGGAATCAGGGAGCACGGCCCTGCCGACCCCTCCATCTTGGACCTGTGGCCTCCCAAACTGTGAGAAAATACATTTCTTTTCTTTTTTTTATTTCTTCTTTTTTTTTTTTTGAGACAGGGTCTCACTGTGTTGCCCAAGGCTGGAGTGCAGTGGCACGATCTCGGCTCATGGCAGCCTCAACCTCCCTGGGCTCAAGGGCTCCTCCTGCCTCCACCTCCCCAGTAGCTGGGATTACAGGTGTATGCCACCATTCTTGGCTAATTTTTTTAGAGAATGGGTTTCGCCATGTTGCCCAGGCTGGTCTTGAACTGCTGGGCTCAAGAGATCCACCCACCTCAGCCTCCCAAAGTGCTGGGATTACAGGCGTGAGCCACCGCACCCGACCACAGAATCAATTTCTTATTGTCTTAGGCTACCCAGTCTGTGCCCATTTGCTACGGCAGCCCTGGGACACCAATACAGGACAATAGAGAGAAAGCACAACCACTAATAAGAATCATCGCAATTACCATCCCGATATACAAAGGACCCAAGGCCACTCCCTTGAGATTCCCTGTCCCCAGTCCCTCCCCGCCCAGCCAAGGAAGCAAAACCAGTGTGATGATTCCCATCAGGCAGGGAGACCCCACAAGGCTCAGAGAGGGCCAAAGCGTGCACAGGACACCGAGTGAGCTCTATCTCGCTCCTAGGGATTCTGATTCCAAATACGGGGCTCCTTCTGCTAAGTCACACTCAAATCAACACCCTGAAGACACAACAGAAAGAACAATGAAAATTGTCCATTTGTAGAATTTTCTTCCCCAAGCTATCAAGGTAGCTAAATGTTTAGCTTTGTTATAAAAAATAAAGATAAAAAATAAAAATTAAAAAAAAAAAAGCTGTCCTGGGAGACAGAACTGAGAACTGCCATGGGCAACCATTTCCAAGACAAAGGGGATTCAAGACCCTCAACTAAAATATACTGAAGGTGGTAGCCCCCAGCAGTCCAGTGGTGACTATAGGGCCACACCTAGGCTGGCTGAGGCTGGATTCAAACCGCCCTCAGGTTTATTACCCACCTAACTTGGACCAGTTGTTGCCACATCCCTGAGAGGCAGGTTCCTTGGCTATCAACTCCAACAGTCCAAAAAACACTAAAATTACCCAACAGTCAGATAAGGATGCGGAGAAATGAGAACCTCTGTGCACTGTTGGTGAGAATGTAAAACAGCGTAGCCACTATAGAAAACGGTTTGGCAATTCCTCAAAAAATTAAATATAGGATTACCCTTTGACGCAGAAACTCCACTTCCGCAGAAACTCCAAAAGAACTGAAAGCAAGGATTCAAACAGATTATTGTCCACCCACGTTCTTAGCTGTGCCATTCACAATAGCCAAAAGCAGCCCAACTGTCCATCAATGGATGGGTGGATAAGCAAAATGTGGTCTATCCATATGATAGAATATTATTCAGCCTCAAGAAGGAAGGAGATTGTAACACGTGCTACAACATGGATGGACCTCGAAGACACTATACTAAGTGAAATGAGCTAGGTACAAAAGGACAAGCACTGTATGATTCCACTTACCTAAGGAACCTAGAGTAGTCACATTCAGAGAGACAGAACGGAGAATGGGGGGCTGGGGAGAGGGGAAATGGGAAGTTAGTGTTTAATGGTGCCAGAGCTCTGTTTGGGATGATGGAAAAGCTCTGGAGATGGACGGTGGTGATGGCTGCATAACAATTGCAATGTACTTATTGCCACCGAACTGTGCACTTAAAAATTGTTAAAATGGTAAATCTAATGTTTATCTTACCACAATTAAAAAAACTCACAATCGAAGCATTGTGAGAATCACTGGAGATACACAGAAAGCCCACAGCACACAGTGGACCCTTGATCAATGGTATTTTTTATTTTATTTATTTTTTTTATTTTTAGACAGCATCTCGCTCTGTTGCCCAGGCTGGAGTGCAATGCTGTGATCTCGGCTCACTGCAACCTCCACCTCCCGGGTTCAAGCGATTCTCCTGCCTCAGCCTCCCAAGTAGCTGGGACTATAGGCGCCCGCCACCACGCCCAGCTACATTTTTTTATATTTTTAATAGAGATGGGGTTTCAACATGTTGGCCAGGATGGTCTTGATCTCTTGACCTTGTGATCCGCCTGCCTGCCTCAGCCTCCCAAAGTGCTGGGATTACAGGCGTGAGCCACCGCGACTGGCCTGATCAAAGGTATTTTTTAAGATTAAAATGTTAATAACTGAGTTGGCTAATAAAACCCAAGGAAATTCATGCAAAAGAACTTGAGTCAGAACTGGTTAAATACAACACCAAGAGCAGACTCACGCACCCAGTGGGCCTTGCCCCACTAGCTATTCCTCACTTCTTAACAAAGGCAATCATTTAAAATGTCCAGTTTTATGAAAAGATTCCAGCGGCCCCCGTTTCTGCAGGTACTGACTCCATTTTTGCATTCACCTCCCTGGAGAAGTCCTGAGCGCCACGATCCCTTCCTTGAGAATCATACAATACTGGCGTTCTAATTACCCGGGGCTCAGGCTGGCCCAGTGGCAGCTCTGTGATTCACAAGCTCACTCCTCTCCCTTGGCTGTTCCTACTCACACCTGCCAGGTACAAGGCCAGGCGGGAGGGGCAGGCCAGGACCAGACGCAAGGACAGGAGCAGGATGCCCACGTGGGCCCCAGGCTCGAGGAGGCTTGGATTCAAATCCCACCTGTGCCGTCCACCAGACGCGCAAGGAAAGCAATTTCGCATCTGCGAAAACCAGGAGCGGTCCTGTCACCTCTCACCTGTGAACTACAAGAGAAGCTGCCTGGAAAGCCCAAATTCAGAGCTGGGAGAGAAGGCCCCACCTGGGCACCCCATCGCAGTGAGTTCCTCTAGGGCAAGGACCCTGTCACGCCCATTTCTGGACCCTAGGGTCTAGCCCAGGGTCTGGCACATGTATGACCAGCGTATGAAGGAAGACCTGGGGGATCCTCCCGGGAACCATATCTGAGTTTGATCTGGTTTCCCTGGCATAATGCTGGGCCCCACAGAGGGACCCCTGCCCACCGAGGGTTCCGTCCCACTGCTTTTTGGGTAAAAGTGGCCAGCCTTGATTATGTTTGAATAAACTGTATCTCATGGTTTAGACTATTTGGGTTTAATTGTAAAATATACACAGAACACAGCCCCTCCACCCCGACCCTGCCCTCAGGTTCGAAAAGTCAAGTACATTTTGTTCCCCTCTCCCCGCACCATAAAAACAACAAAGAACACCTCAAGCTTTTTTAAGGGCTATTATTTCTTTCGCTCCCCAGTGGGGGAAAAAAAATGGATTCCACTGTCCTGTGTACAAAAACAAGGAGGATGCTCATACAAGAATGTGGCTAGCAGCGTTTTCTGTGTTTCCTCTTTCTCTCACAGGTGTAGACACTGCCTTTTCTGAGTCTTCATCATCCCCCAGCATCTCCTGGGCACCTGCTGGGACTCATCCCCGCCCCAGCCACTGGAGAGACAGAGATGAGCCTGGTCGAGGAAATCGACTTGGTTAAGGCTGGCGTGGGACCACATGCCAAGTCCCTGACTCCCAGTCAGAACCCCAAAACCCAATTTGAGGTGATCCGATGAGAAAATCTCGCTCATGCTCTAGCCCTCTTCTTCAAGGTCAAAACTGCCTTCTGGTGGACTGAGGATCGGTGACTTTGTTTCCCTCTATGTCCAGCCAGGGCTGGAGGAAGCTTGTTGTCAGCAGGCCCCTTCCCAGAAGACACCACATCCACACCTGTCACTGCCCACAGTGACTGGACCCTCAGCCTCAAGTTCCCCGGTGGTAAAACCCCTGTAGATCTCCCAACCCTCCAGGCTCCTGTAAGCCCAGCCCTTTAATTTCTTTATTTCCCTTTCTTTCTTTCTTTCTTTCTTTCCTTCTTTCCTTCCTTTCTTTCCTTTCTTTCTTTCTCTTTCTCTCTTTCTGTCTGCTACAAGTAAACTTTATTTGATGTAATGTAATACAACATTTTCAAGTTTCACAATGAGCGTTTGACATAAATAATCATTTAAATTAGGAATATAAGTATGCACGGTCACTTGAGCAAATTTGCAGTTCAGGGGTTGGTACGAGCTTTGTCTGAAAGCTTTTTTCTCCTTTAGGAAAAAGTAGCCCTTCCCTTCACCTGGTAAGAAGCACTATCAATGGGAGTTAGAAGAAGTCCATAATCCACCTTGGAATTCCAGCTGATCTGTGAGAGGACAGCTTTCTGTATTCTAGAAAAATAATATTCTCTTTCAGTTCATTCATTTTTCCCCATGGAAGATATTGGCACTCTCTTCATCTACTGTCTTTCTGTCTCCTTAGCTGCTGCTTATTACATAGAACCATTTTTTAAAAATATAATATCTGCAAAGAGACCTCTTCTGTTCCCTTACCTCCCCTAATGTCTATTATTTTGTGGAGAGGGTAGGGTGGTGGGAGCCAGGGGCCAGAATTGCTTAGACACACATTTGATCTCAGGTACAGAGAACACAAATTCTCTGGAAGGAACCCCATGGGGGTCGGGAGCATTTTCCAAGAGTGGTCCAGGTGACCTTCAATTCACACAATTCTGTTTAATACGGCGCTGCTCCATGAGGATGAGCATATGTATGCCCCATTTCCAGAAACAGCACCACCTTTCATGGAAAACCCATTACTCTCTCGCTTCTTCCACATAACATGCGGTTATGGACCAGCCATGGGCCCAATGCACCACTGGATAAAATGAGAGTCAAAAACACGCCAATAATCACGTGGATTCCAATGCAGTCAGGCACCACTTGTGCTTCATTCAGGTAAAAATCCTCACAGAAGGTACCCCCCACCTCTCAGCAATGCGACCACAAGGACAAGCTGTCCTCAGGTGGGACACCTCTCCATCCTGAGATCTGCTCTTGAGCTGCACCATGGCAATAAGTGAGGGAGCACCCGAGCAGCAGCCAATTGATTCATTTTTTTCAAACAGAGAAAGGCGCCATGGGGACATGCATTTCACATCCACTGAGTGAGAAGGCCCTCCATGGGCACCCCCACCACGGTGAGTTCCTCTAGGGCAAGGACCCCGTCATGCCCATTTCCGGATCCCTCAGTCCAGCCCAGGGTCTGGCACAAGGATGACCAGTGCATGAAGGAAGACCTTCAGGACCCTCCCAGGTACCATATCAGAGTTTGATTTGGTTTTCTACCAGCAGCTCCTTCTCTGTTGTCCACTACAGCCCAGTGGGAAGCCAGACGGGAGAGCTCCAAGTACAGCTGGGAGGCTGGCCAGACCTGAGTCTGAATCTCTGTTTTGAGACTCTCTGTCCAAGTTCTGCTATTTGTGTGCTGTGTGACCCCTGGTGGGTTGTGTGGCCTCTCTGAGCCCCAATATCCTCATAAGCAAAAGGGTGGGGGAGTGCCTCTTCTTGGGAGCGTTACAACGATGAGATGTCATGCCTAGGACTGAGCCGGCCCTTTAGCAAACAGTGGCAAGCCCCAGGAACACTGATGATGTTGGCCCTTCCTCTGCCTTCATTCACACTAAGAAACTCTCCCAGGCAAGTGGCTTTCCAAGAGCTAAGTCGTCACTGGGGTGCCGATTACCCAAGGCCAGAGTCTCACAAGGCTTTCCGGCATCTCAGCTTTCTCCCTCCTTCCCTTCCCACCGGCCTTTTCCCTCTGATTCCCCCAGGTGCTGGTCATGGGCTGTGGCCACGCCCAGATGGTAGCTGTTCATGGGACCTGCCAGTAGAGGGATGGTAAGCAAGTACTTCAGTGTCCCCATTTTACAGGTGGGGACACTGAAGATTGGAGAGAGGAAGTAAGTGGCTAGCCTGGGATCACATACTCACTCCCATTCACTGCAAGGGAAGGACCGAGGATGGCCCCATCTCGAGAGCTTCCCACAATGCCTGCAGTCTAACACGGGTCCACAATGACATTTAACTTCAAACACACATCCATGCCACAGAGCCCCACAGGGACAGGGCAGCCAGCTGTCAAAGCACAACCCCAGAGTCTCAAACCCAGGATGTGTCTGGTGGGCTCCCACTGCAGATAGCAGAGCTGAAGTCCAAGGCACCCAACGTGGGGCTCCTCAACATCAGAGCTCTACCTGCTACCAATCTCATTGCAGGGTTCACACCAAGCCTCATGGTCAGGCAGAAATCAATCTTTAAGTGGCTTCCACTGGGCGACGAACTTCCTTTTCTGGTTTTCAATAAAAACTCAAGAGAGGTAGTATGGCCTAGTGGGCAGACCCAGGTATGAGTCAGCTCTGCCACCCATGTGTCATGGCTTCATCCCCACTCTCTGCCTTGGTTTCCCCATTTATATAATGAAGAGGTTGGAGGAGATGATCTCTTGGGATCCCTGGTCTTAGATTGTTATAGACTGACTTGACCTCAGGTCACCCGAGAAGAACCCATTTCTGGGCCAGTCCGCTCCACACAGAGGGCAATGCAAGCCTCCTCTGCCACTTTCCGAGTCCCTTTAAAGGAGAACGGGGCTGCCTTGCTCTGAGGTCTCTGATGTCCTTGGCCAGTGCTGCTTCTTCACATCCACTAACTGCTTGAAAGCGCTGCATCCAGCACTGCATTAAAAATTAATTACACATGCTATCTTATTGCCAGTGCATAATGTAATGAGCACCAGCTGTGCTAAACAGCCAAACTCCTTTTTAAGACAGCTATTAAAAAAAAAGGGAAAAAAAGAAAGAAAGAAAGAAACTGCACTTCCAAATGCCTCTCCTGTCAGAGCAGAAAAACAGCAACATCTTGTATGGATTTGAACAGAATTCTTTGATTTAGCTCTGCCTTCAGAACGTCTGAAGGGCCAACTCAGAGAGTGAAATGGAATCTGGCGAGGCTGCAGCGATCTCCACTCAGGGATTTGCTGGGGCCTCTTTTATCTAAGGACAGTCATGCTGGTAGGTGCCCCAACTGGGGGGCTTCCCCCAACTGGGGGGCTTGCAGCTCTCCATGGCTTCTCCTGGCACTTCCTCCGGTCACAGAAAGAGGCGTCTGGGTTCTCAAGGCAGTCGGGCATGGACAGCCTCTGCAGCAGCGTGACCTCAAGAAGCAGGCAGGTGCTAGGGTGGAATCAACAGCGCTTGCACGCCAGGAAGAGCAACAGCACTGTGAAGGCTGGGTTGCAGATGCTGGGACCACCGGCCCTTGGGCGATGTAGACATTGCAAGGCATACAGATGACTCTCTAAATTTTTAATAACTCCCCTGAAAGCCCTTTTCCTACATGGAGCCAGCCCCCATCAACACTAGGACCTGTCTGGTTAGCCCAGAAGGATCCTAACAACAAACGTTACTTTGCAAAGGGAATCCCATGAGCATGTTTTCCAACCTTCCCACGACGGAGCTCTGCTGTCCACACACGCTCACTCACACGGTTCTTTTTTTGTCTTCACCCCCATACTCACCCCTCCCTCCAGTCTCAGTGGCCGATCTAACACCCTCCTGGAGTGTCTCTGGCACCCCCTGCACCAGAATCAAGGCGACGCATCAGCAGGGGCCTGGTGAGGCTACCATCTCTGTCCGTATCACCGTTTGGCTTCCCATGGATCCTCCGGTGTTAATCGAACCCAGTCCAGAATGAAACTACAGCTTGCTTCTTGTTTGGTATGAAATGTGCAAAGCACAGACCATATCATTAACACAAAACTTCCAGAAATAAGGCCACTTTCCAGGCAGACTGCATTAATTGCATCAGGCTTCCACAGCTAGCGTGGTCTAATCCACGGCGCCCCATTGGACGGCTCTGGTTATAAAACCAACACAAAATGAACACTGGGATATAATTGAAGGAGGAGAAAAGGATAGATTCTATGGTTAAACCCTACTATTTACTTACAGGTATTCTTTTATCTTTATTGTCCCTTTAACCCATGCCAAGAAACCCCAGACTAGTTAAATAACACAGCAAGCACAATTTCAGTAGAAAAGTAAATTGAATTTAACTTTACAAGATTGCCCTGTGATTTCAGCATATACTAATGACTGCAACTGACTCCCTCTATTAAAGCCAAACACTTCCACTTCCCTGAGCTGGGATCCTGTGTGTTCTTGTGTGAGACCTTGAACTTCACCAAGTACACATATTAATCACTGTGGCTGATGACCATTTGCAGCTTTTAAATATGCAATGAAGTGTCTCAGTTCCTATTCCACCTCCCAAAGCTGGTACATGATCTGAGCCAGCCAAAAGGCTAAATACTTTTAAGAATGGAAAGCGAAGATCCAGCTTGAAGTGAGACCTGACAGAGTCTCAATGTCGTGAATCCCATTCCGCTCGTGCATGGACTCTAACTTCGACAGGGCTCACTCAGCACATGGTGTTGTTCTCAGCACCTGGCCCGTATGATCTCACACGATCCCCAGAACGACCCTTCAGAGCCTGTCCTATCCTTAGCTCCATTTTATAGATGGGGAAACTGAGGGATGGAGAGGGGAAATGACTACATGGGGCAGAACAGCCTTCACCCCCAAGCAGTCTCATACACTTGACCACCGCTTTCCAATCATGGAAGCCTCAGAACAGGGAAGGATTCTGGCATGCGGGGCACAAAGCCCAGGAGTGTCCAAACCATTCTCTGAATGTCCCACGCCCTGCCCTGGAAACCTAGCTAGCCCCATGCTCACTCCACCCACAGCAGCTCCACACTGACCTGTCTCAGAAAATAACACGAGCCTCGTTTTCAAATGTTGCATACATACACATATACATACATACGTGTATTTTTACAGAAGGGGAAACTGAGGCAATGACTTCTTTAGGGCCCCTGGCCAGCTGAAGCACAGACCAGGAACACAGTCTGAGGCTCTTGACCCCACAGCCACTGTGCCAAATCCTCTATGTGAAATTTCTCAGGGAAGAAATTTCAGTTCCCAGGAACGCCTAGACTCAAAGCCCCACCTTCCTTCAGCAGAGTCAAAAAGAGTCAGGACCCCCGAGTCCCTTCTCCCCACTGCGACCATTGGAAAGAGGTCTAGGGTTGGGGTCCCGGGAGGCAGGGCCCCCTGGGATGCTGCCAGCCCAGGGTGTGCACAAACACACATACCTGTGTGGTTTTCTCCCCCCGTAAAATCACATCCTTCTATAAATAACTGCAGATGCGGTAACAGGCACGCAATTAACCTGTGTGAAACACGTTTACACTGGGGTTCTCCATGTTAACTTGAAGAGATGGGTTCAATGCATCCTGATCCGAAAAGGGACAAAACCAGGTAAGGACAGCAGGCCCATTCCATCTTTACAAAGGCCTGCTTCTTCCTAACGGGTTACTGGGAACTTAATGACTCCATTCCAACTACTAATTAAACAGGCACTAAAAACACTTAAGCAAACAGCCCAGTGCCAGGGACACAAATCACAAAGGGACAAAAAACACCAGAATAGGATAGTTTCAGGTATTCAAATTGATCGGGAAACATGGTGGTGCAAGCTGGTGAGGGCCAATGAACTGGGACCGAATGAAAAAAGAGAACTGTACCAGACATGGTGGCAGAGGGCAGGAGGTAAGAGCAGGCCCCTTAGAAGGGTCTCCTGGAGCAGTCCTAGGGGCTCAGCCTCCTGCAGTCCCAGCCCCAGGAACAGGACACTGCCCTTCCTCACGTCCCTCCCAGAGCACTGCAATCAAGCACTGGTTGCTCACAGGCTCTGAGTCCTGGCAGCTCTCAAGGCCTAAAATCTAAAAAGGCCTTTAATGCCAGAAGAAGAGCCAAAGCCAAAGATGTGGCAGGTGCTGGATGGAGAGCCTGGGATCAAATCCCACCTCCACCACTCCCTCCCTCCCTGCTCCTCCTTCCCCTTCTGCAGGTCCCCACTCCCTGTCCTCCCCACCACCAGACTGCAAGCTGCACGAGGGCAGGGACCTGCCTGCCGACTCTTCCTGTGTGTGCACAGTGCTACAAGCTAGGTGCCTTCCAAATGGCTTCAAGCTAAAGAATGAATAAATGGATGGATGGATGGATGGATGAACGGATGGGTGGATGGATGGATGCATGGATGGATGCATGGATGGATGGATGGCTACATGGATGAATGGATGGATGGATGGATGGATGGATGGATGGATGGATGCATGGATGGATGGATGGATGGATGGATGGATGGATGGATGGATGGATAGATGGATGGATGGATGGATACAGGGATGAATGGATGGATGGATGGATGGATGGATGGATGGATGGACGGACGGATAGACGTGAGCTGTGAGAACTCAACATCTCTGAACATCATTTTCTCATCTGCAAAGTGAGGAGAATAAAGTATTAGGGTTGCTGTGAGGGTTAAATTCAAGAAGGCACACATGCCCAGCACAATGCAGCACATAGCAGGCCCTCCATACACAGTCCTCATAAGGATCCTAGTGGCATGTATGAGGACTTGCTGATGGCAGAGCCCCCCAGAGCCAAGGCAGTGGAAAGCTCATTCGACCTCCCGTGGATGTCGGCAGAGGCAGCGTGGCTCCACAGGAAGAGGGGTGGCCTTTCAGGAGGCAACCAAGGACAAATCCCAGTTCTGCCACCCTGGCTAGCCACTCTCCCTCCCCAAGCCCTTGCTTCTCCATCTGCAAAATGGGGATGGTAACAGCTCCTGGTCAGCACCATACAAAGATGCTAAGCAGGCCTGGCCACATGAGGGAGCGGCTCAGTCCTCTAGCTGAGTCTCATCTACTTCAGCAACTTCTAAGTAGGGCCAACAGAGGGTTAAGCAAAGCCCTGGGTGAGCCTCTGGTGAGATCAGATTTCTGTGCCACGGAACTTGACCGCGTCCAGTAATAAACACTCAGGCTGATCTTCGATAGCATGGCCCCCCCAGTGGTTGCCGAGGCTGCAGCGCTAATGACAGGAAGCCACGAGAGCAAGGCAACCACCCAGACAGAGCAGGCACCCCCTGCTCAGCAAGCAGGGCCTTCCACAGACTCACAGAACAGATCTACTGAACCAGGACAGGAGGCCTGAGCACCTGGGGACCAGCACAGCCCAGAAAAGGGAGCCGGCGTCTTTGCAAGTGGTTCCGACTCCTTCCCAGGAGATTTTGGGTTTTGCTTTGTGCCTTTAAGGCACAAGTCCAGTAAGAAACCAGAACTCCCTTTTGGAAGCCAGATCCTATGATGTCACCACCTGTCACAGCAGGGAGGGTACACTAAAGCTCCAGGCCACCCTACTAGGGAGCTCTGGAGCCCAGGAAGCTCTGGACCCTGGAGCAGGGGCTGCCTGTGGCCTTTTACAGAGCTGTGGCCATGGCTTTTGCAGAGCTGTGGCTCCATCAGGGACCGCCTGTGGGGACAGCTTCAATTAAAAACACAACCTGCCCAATAAAAATAGTTTTCCTTTCACAATTCAAGTCGAGAGAAAGCCTGCAACATGCCTGGTGACAAAGCAGGGACCAATCAAATCTGCCCCAGCTCTGCACCCCCCTTCTCCTTTCCTGCCCCTGCCACAGAAACCAGGCCACGGCTGCTCACCACATGTGTCTGTGTCAGCATCCTGGTTTGCGTGGCCACAGTGCTTTCACGCCAGGCCCTGCCGAGATGCCGGGGGGACAGACTTGTGAGAGGGCCCTTTGCCCTTGAATTCCCAAGGACCCCAAGGATTCCCAGAGACCCTAGGCAGAATAAGATCTTGGGTTCCACTTGGGGAGAAGCAGGGCAGGTAGAGGCCAGTTTGTGTCACCACACCGGCCCATCTGCCCATCTGTAGAATGGGCAGCCACACCGCCCGCCCGGGAGAGCAGGATGAGTCGGCACAAACAGCTGTGTCTGGGTCTGGCCCAGAGCCGGACGCACAGCAGGTACTCAGCCCCCGCCCCCACCCCTCACACACCTCACAGTGTTTCACTCCCTCTCGTGGCCACAGCTTTTTAAGAGGCTCCTTTTGAGCCACTTTTTTTCTTTTTCAAAGCTAATGGGCAACACATTCTCCCAAAGAGAAACTCAGCATTTTGGACGGCTCCAGCAATGTACACAGTCAACCAAGGAATCTTCCCCTAGCCTGGTCTTGGCGGGGCAGGGGATTGTCTGGGGTGGGGGAGGGGGTGGCAGTGGCAAGGGCCGAAGAAAACCTCAGATGTTAAGTGTTATCCAATTAAGCTGTCGCTAAACAACCCAAAGAAGCGGGATTGGGAGGCTGGGGAATGCATTCTGGGAGCAAGACTCTCAGAACGGGTGGGGGCACCGTGGGGGACTCCTGACCGAGGGGCACCGGGCCCTGGCTCATAGTTCAGCGAACATTCTTTACCACTTCCCCTGGCACCCCAAAAAGCCTTCTGGGTGGGAGCTGCCCTTCCTCCCTGGGTCCCCACCTTGCTCCAGCGCTGCCCATGGCACACCCCGCCATCCCGGGGGCCCGCCCCCCACCGCGGCGTCGTCTGTTACCTGACAACTGACACTGGCATCCAAAGGGAGCCTCCGTCTGACCCTCACCCTGAGTCCCGTCACCCGAGACCGGGCGCGCGCTGCAGCACGGCAGGGGGAGGCAGGGCGGGAGAGCGCCCAGGGCACGCAGAGGTGAAGTGATCACGGATGAGTGAGGGTGGGAGGAGGCAGCTATGGGGGCCACCGCTGGCAGCTGGGCAGGCCTGCACGGCCCTGGAGAAAAAACAATAGAAAAGACTGGTCAGTCGGGCCCTGGACTGTGTGAGGGGCACGGGGTGGGACGGGGCTCGGGGCGTGGGGCTCTGCTCAGGCCACCCTTCGGGGGTGGGAGGCCCCCGGGGTGCCAGGCCCTGCAGGGAAGGCAATCGGGACACAGGCGAGGGAATGGGCTCGGGGAGGTGGGCAGGGGGCACTGGGGAGGGCCCGGTTTCCACAGCTGCCAGGCTGGGCTGTCGGGGAGGCAGGACCCCGCCTCTGGGGGCCTGGTGCAGGGGGCTGGGTGAACGGGGGCTGTGAGGACCCACTCTCAGGAAGGACCCCCCACGTGGGGGCCTCTGGAGCAATCAAATAGGTTCCATTTGGGGATTTGTTTCCAAAACTTCGGGCTACCCCTCCCTGGAAGAGCTGGGAAGCTCACAGCCTCCCCTGTTTGCTGTATCAGGATGGGCTGTTCCTACAGGCCCGGGACACCTTGGGTCCGCCTCCAGCCTTGGGTCCGCCTCCAGGTGTCTGGGCTCTGTTAGCCTCCTGTCTGGCAGACCACCAGCTGGGGGCTCTCTCCAGCCCCAAGCACTGAGCGTGCTGCACCCAAAACGCAATGCCCTTCAGAAGGCTTTCACACCCCCCTACCACACCCCAAGAAAACCCTGGCGCTGCTCACCCCCTCCTAACGTCTCGGCCTGGCTTGGGAGGCCTCCCGCCATGTGACAGCAAGGACACAGGGCCAGGGCCGGCCCCGCCTCTGCCCAGCCCCACAGCTCGCTCAGCTCCACAGCAAGGCCTGCATTTGATTTAGCCGTTTATCTTAAATGGCTAAGAGACCACCAGGGCAAAACATTTGTGTGAAGCCCTTGCCAAAACCACAAGTGAAGAAGCCCAAATTCCCTGGGTAAATAATTGAGCAGGGAAGCATCAGAGAGACAAAAAGGAAACGTCAACAAGAGGATGGGCAGCTGGGCCCAGCCGGCTTTGCCAGGGAGGCCCAGCACAGGTCTGCACGGGTGGGAGTCTGCCCACTCCAGGGCCCCCACGTGGATTCCCCCATCGCAAGGAGAGCCACAGGACCCTGCAAGCCACCAGGAGCCAGGAGCCTGTCAGTCTTCATTGGACTGAACTTCCTAACACACTGACGGGAACTGGGGCTTAGAATACCCATTGCACAGACCAGGAAACTGATGGCGTGACTGCAGAAAACTGCAGACATCAGCAGCCCCATCCAAACCCCAGCTGTCTGGCCCCAGAACCAGGGCTCTTTCTCTGTAGCCCTGGTTTCTCTAAAACATGGGTTATCCAGGATCAAGGCATCAGGGCATTTAAGAAGACCCCCTGCTTAGGGATTGCAAGCTGTCAGTGTCCTGTCAAGAGGTCAAAGCTAACACCAACACTGCTCGGAACCCCCTGAACCAACAAAGACCTCATACTAGGTGAGGCCTCGGGCCCAGGGTATTTCTGAGCTGGGGATAGCCCTGGAAGGATGTGGCTGAGGAACCAGTAAACAGTTTCAGCCTCAGATGCTGAGGGGAAGGCCATGCTAGATTTAGTGCCATCCCTCAAGGAAGGTCAGGACCTGCCTCCTCCTGGAAGCCTGCCCTAGCCTGAACCTTCCAGCACTGGACACTGCATTTGATCCTGTCCACTGGTGGTCTCAAATCCCTATGTAGGCCTTCCCTGCAGACCACCGAGGGCTCTGGGTCATCCATCATCATGACAGCCACCTCGCTCAGAAAAGATCCACATTCCACTGGGGGAAAACTGAGGCTTAGGGAGATCTGAGACTGGAACCCAGTTGTGTCCCCGAAGCCCGCAATGCTCTGCTTCCCTCTAGGGCTGCAGCTGGGTAAGTGACCAGGGGTCCTGGGATCTCTAGAGCAACGGCCACATAGTGGGCGGAAGTCTGAGATCCCTGGGCTCAATCCAGCCATTGGAAGCTGCAAAGGCCAAACCCAGGCTCTGGTTCCTGGGTTCTGGGTGAGGCCACGACACAGCCAGCACCATTTATCACTACTGAGAAACCAGCAGAAGCAGCTCGAGGCCTGGTAAGGGTTGTCCCAGGTGCTAAGAAGCTGACTCTGTCTCCGTGGTGGGAGGAACCGTTGCAGAGCAGGTAGAAAACAGGCATCTGGCCACACCCTTCTCCTGGAAACGTCCAAGGTGGGGCTCAGACCAGGGTCTGTAAAGGCGATGTCACACACCACACGTTGTTCCCTGCATAGGGGTCAGGGGGTAGGCCGCCCTGGACAGGTTTCCCCAGAGTCTCATTAGCAATTGTGACCTTGCTGAAGTCCACCTGCTCCAGGGACCGGCTCAACTGAGGCAGGGGAGGGGGGCAGCCGGGAGAGGGGCTTCAAATCCCAAGCTCTACAGGGCCTCTCTGGGGCTCCCAGAGCACCTTCTACACTGGGAGAGGTTTCCACACGGGGCAGCTCAAACCCAGAGCCCTTCCCAAGGGTGGAACTCAAGAAATCTGAAGCTACTGCAAAAGCCCAAAGTGATGAAAGGAGCCACCTACGGCATGACTCCATGGATACGAAATGTTCATAAGAGGCAAATCCACGGACACAGAAAGTAGCAGTTGCCAGGGGCTGGGGGGAGCCAGTAGGGGTGTGAGGGGTGGCTAATGGGCACAGAGTTTCTTCGGGGGGTGATGAAAATGCTCGGGACTTAGACAGGAGTGACGGCTGCACGACATTGTGAATAGATCCAAAACCACTGATTGTACACTTTAAAATGGTCAATTGTACATCATGTGACTCTTACCTCAACTTGAAAAAACAGCCTCAGTACCTGTCCCAGGCTACCTCCCAGCCCCCATCCTTCCTCAGAGGAGGGGTATTTGCCTTTAAAAGTGAAGCTGGGAAATCCAGAAAGCACTTAAGGAGCGCTTGAGATGTGGGACAGGGTATGCACCCACACACGCACAGAGGAAGCCACCAGAGCTCCCAGGCCGCACAGCCTTGAGGACCGAGAGGACTGGATTCAAATTCCTCCTCGGCTGTCTCCTGGCCTCGTGACTGAAGGTGAGTCACTTTCTCAGAGCCTCAGCTCCCTCAACTTTAAAGGAAGGGTCAGGTCAGCCCTGAGCCAGAGCCGGAGATCCAGGAAACTCACCAAACGGTCACTATCATTCTCTTGCTTTCCATTCTGAAACTTTCCCCACTCCCTATGGTCCTTTCCAAGGCATCATCGCTGCCCAGCGAAGAAAGCAAGAGGATGTTCTCTGAGCATAGCAAAGCGCCCTGCAAAGACCTGCAAGACACTCCCAAAAAAACGCTGGCTTTGGAGGTCTATGCACAAAAAAAAAAAAAAAAAAAAAAAAAGTCTAAAAATAAGGCCCCTAAAATGCCTCTTCTTAGGCTCCAAAACAGGGCAATGCTAGATAAGCTCATTCTTGATGCCTTCATGGGTTTAAGCATTCCACAGGGGTCTGTCACCCGTCTCTCTTCTAGAGGGACTTTGCAGAGGCTCCTGCTCCGTTCCTCACACATGCGCACTCACCCAGCGAACACGCCCACCGCCGAGGAGCGTGGAGACACAAAAACGCCTGGAAAAGCCCCATCCGGGTTTCAGGGGGAATTCGAGCCTTCCCCACCCCTGAAGCCTCTGGGGCGTCCCCTCCCAAATGGGAGGATTACAGATTCCATGTTCAGAGCTGGAGAGAGGTGGTCTGGAATACACTGTGCAGGAGACGAGTATTTTTCTCCCTACTGGTGCCTTTCAATTGATACATTTTTTTAAGCTGAGAACTCCTACTGATAGTGCAGAAATGAGTCATAGATCAAGGAAGGAGACAGCCAGGGAGGCAGCGCGTGTGAGTGAGGGACACTGGCAAGGGAACCTGACAGTCCCCGCGCCCCCTCCCCCCATGCCAAGACATTAATTCTCACAAGTCGGAGAAAATTACTATGCATGAATGCAAAAAGCATGATCAGGAGTAATTAACATGGCTTCATATGCAAATTTTATTAATGCAGAAGTACAAAGTCATTATGCAAATGAAACTTACGTCAACTCTCTTGACAAATATTCATCTCTGAGGCTCAAGTTTCTCCCTTTTTATTTATTTATTTATTTATTTTTCTCTCCCCCCTCTCTTTTATCTTGGGCTTCTTTTTTTTTTCTTTTTTCTTTTTTTGGTGGGGGAAGGACAGCGGGGGGAAGGAGGTGGCGCTGGTGGACGCTACAGCGGTGGCAGCAGCAAGCCACAAGGACTGTTTGACAAGTTTGCAAAGTTGTTTTCCAACCAGAGAAATTTATTCTTGCATTGTTGATTTTTTTTTCTTTTTTTTGGTTGTTGGCAGGTACAAGACAGCTCATAGGAGAAGGGGGAAAAAATTAAAAAAATTAAAAAAAAGCTCTGGGCAGCAGGCAGCCAATCAAAACGCCAGAGCCTGTAATGAGGGCGATTGATGGCTGTTTGGCTTTTACTGCAGGGTAATGAACTAGAATCCAGTCTGAGGAGGGGGAAAAATATGAATATTCATGAGACTGTGCTCCTGCCTTTGATGATTAAAGAAATTTTTAATATTCAAATAAGCGCTTGCCAAGTGATTAACAAAGAACAAGCACGCAGAAATATGGAAATGGGAGCCGGGAAAGATTTGAGAGGCGAACGTACTGTGCAGGAAAGGCAGCGCCAAATTTCATAAACAAGATAGGCAGATAACCCAATTCGCACGCGGGCAAATAAAAATATTTTTTTCTGATCACTTAAATATTTTGCCAGCTACTTTGTCTTAAGGATGATAGAAAAAAAATGCTAAGTATTAAGAGCGTGAGGGGGAAAAGAAATAACGTGAAGTCAAATGCCTGGCTCACATTTAAAAATCATTATCCTGATCCTAGCTCATCTCCTCCCACCCCAACGGGAAATTAGGATTCTTTTTCCGGTTTGCTACAGAGGGAAGATGGAGGAGAAGCCAGCACAGACTTGAAACTCCAGTGTGTGAGATTCAGGCCTGCCTGTTCTGGGTAGGCACAGGCATGAACTGTGGTCATCTGGCACTTCTAGGCTGGTCCAGAGGGAACCCTGATGTCTAGAGGGCAGGGGATGTGACGCTGGAGAGCTCAGGCCTCCTGGAGGCTCAGGCCCTGGTCTAAACACAAGGAGAAGATGGTCTTTAGGAGAGCAGGGGGCACCTCTTGAGAAGCTGAAAGGGCTCTGATCTTCAGCACAGGGCCTGGCCCGGGGATCTTCAGGGCCGTGAGGAAAAGCGCCCTCCACCCATCCCAACGGCTCCAAGAGCTGTCTGCTAAGACTGCACGCTCATATTTTAACAGCTCCACCATGGGTTCACATTGAAGCACATAATAACAGTATTAGCTGGTAAAATGATCCTGCAGTTAAAATACATCTAATTAGCAGCCCATGACATCCATTTTGGCAATTTCCTATTTGAAAGAAGTGGAGTGCAACCTTAAATGAGACAGGAACTGGGTGTTCACCTGACAAGACTGGCCTTCTCTCATCATTTGTCTTTCTCTCAATCCCTTTTTTTGGGGGGCTGTGGGGGGTGTAGAGGGGGAGTGGCTGAGACAGCAGGAATAGAGAAGAACAATTCTAGGGAGACTTCTTCGTTTGCTCAATTTCAGAGCTACACAGGTCTTTGGGGTTGAGGGTGACTCAAAAAATAAATTCCTTCACTCCACAGGTATTATTTCATTTCTTTTTTTTTCTTTTTTTTTTTTTTTAGCTTTTAATTACCAAGGTCTAGGAACCAGCAATGACTGGAACTTGTTTTCCATTTCATTGTAAAATATATACCAACAATCATCATCATAAAGCAGAAAGGGAAAGCAAAGCATTTAAGTGAACACGCAGGTTACCATGAAAAGCTGCAAGTCTAGGGTGGGTCCCCAAGGCAGGACCAGAGAGGGAGTGGGTGTGCCACGTGGCTCAGCTCACTGCCCCAGAGCATCTGGGGGACCTAGAAATGCCAGGCAGGGCGATGGAGCTCCCCAGGCCCCACCTCCCACTCCTGGATTCTCATTCTCCATCAGACACCACTGTTTTGTCTGGGCACCCGATGGCCATTACGGGTCTCTAGTCCCTTGTTGCCACGGGTTTTGGCTTGGGGGTGAACATGTAGGTGTCCTTGGAAAGAAGAGCAACGAAAAGGGAAAGTCAGGTCTCACAAGGGTTTGCACAGCTGTGTTTAAAGAGTTCCTTCGGGGTCATTACACGGGAGACATAAAAACAGTTCGAATCTACGTTTGGCCTCTATGTGGGCGGCTAGCTGAAAGACAGCAGTCCTTGCAGGTGGCTGAGGAGGGTAAGAATTCACATGCAGGTGAAAGAGCCTGTCCAGCATCCTTCATCAACCATCTAGGCCCTAATGGATCCAGAGAGGGTCACTGAGGAGTGCCAGGCTGCAGGAAGTGAGGTGGGTTCACCAGGGGCCTCCAGGAACATGGGCAACTGCTCATCTTTGGGTTGAGACCACTTCTACCATCACTTCCACAAACGGCCATCCAGAGATTCCCCACAGGCCACCCACGACCCTGTGTGGCCACCAGGGTATCCACCTGCACCCACCGTGAGAAGGCTTGGCCGTGAGGGAGACTAGAAGCACACCTCAGGGAGCACCCTGAGCCAGGCTGCCCTACTCTAAGCTCCTCCTCTTGGAGCACTTCCGAAATCTCATCCCAGAAAATGGAGAGGCAGAGCCAAGGAATGATCGCGTCCCCCACCGACACTACCAAAACCTTTCTCCTCCTTCCACCAGAGATTGGAAAGGGAACATCCTCCCCAGCAGCTGCCTCTTGCAATTTAGAGGCAGGCACGCTTGGGCACACCCCTTCCCCAGGTCCAAAAGCACCTGTTTCATTGACTGCCAACTCCAATTTCCTCAAGATGCAGGCAGCTGAAATACTCCAGGGCTGCTGATCCCCTTTCTGCACCCTGACCCAAGGACTGGTGAAGTTACATCACAAATTCCAACACCAAGGCCCCTGTGAGGGAGCAGAGGACACTTCAATGTTGATGGGGAGGAAGGGCATCCCTCAGCCATCTTCTGTGAACCACGGAGGTGGAGGGGGCTGGCCGTTCCAGCCCCTAAGTGGGCATTTGCAGGGGGTAGGGGGGCGCAGTGAGGGACACGCAGCTTGGACTCTTCTTTTGCTTGTCTCTCGGGGAAAATCCTGCAGTGTTCCGAACTACTGAAATGCAAATAAACCACAAACACTTGTCCTCCAGCCGGGACGCTGATCATTCCTTTGCTCCTAGGCATCACGGCTTCAGGACACAGATACAAAAATGAATATAACTCCTCTGGGTGACCTCAGGCAGGCAGGGTCCACCAAATTGGGGCCCACCATCCTGGAATGGGCAGGCCTGAGGACAACAGAAGGTGAAGCCATGTGTCGCACTGGTTAGAAAAATGTGTGCATGCACTTCTATTATCTATAAGAGAGGTTCTATATACATATACATATGCATGTGCACATACACACACAAACACTCATCTATCAGCAACGTGGACATGTTAAGATGTCTTGCGCGCATCCAACCAGAGTCCACAGAGGGCAAGGACAAATTGCAACTGAGAGATTCTCCAAATCTCACCAGCAAAATCAGCCAGTCAATACCTAATGGAGGAATTGCCCCTTTTCCTCTCAATTTAGGTTTTCTGATCAGAGGTGTGGTAGCTGCTTCAACCTTCAGCAGTCTCTGTTTTCTAAGACAATTTAATTCAAGATCCTTCAGTAATTTTCTCTCCAGTTGCGTCCAGAGCCACAAACAGTATACTACATGTCATCTGCATGAAGAATAACTCAACGAAGAGTGAAGGCAGGCTGCAAACCGAAGTAAAGTGTTAGATAAATCATCTGGATACCAAGCATAAAGAATGTGGGACTTCGGGTTGGGACCCTGTAGCCCTTTCCCAGATGGAACTTAGGGGCCAGACTCCAATGACAAGCTTGGCCAGGCATCCCTCAGATATGTTCCTATTTCTTCATTAATTTAGAGCTGGGGGTGGGAGTGGAAATACACAGTTAAGATAGAACTCACATGTCACACAAGGCAAAAACCAGGAAACTCATCTTCAGATTGGGTGCCTACAGTGAGTTTTAAACTAAGGACACCTTTTTCTATCCCCTCAGCATCCACTGTGCCTGACCTTTGAGGAATGACCCGGAAAACACTGAATCCTGACACGTGTTAAGAATCTGGCCCTCCCTAAAACATGTTTACAAACTGGGGAGTTCAGGAAGTTGTGGTTCCAAGGTCCCATGAACTCCAATGCTGGCTTTTGCTCAACGGCCATGTACAGACAGTGCAATGGAATAAACAGAAGGAGGAAGGCTGAGCTGCGAGAATCCCGGAGAATTAAGAATGAAAATAAACAGCACAGCCAATAAAAAGAACATAAAGAAAACGGAGTGCCCAGCAAGGAGGTTATTGGGATGACTCAAGCCCGAAGCAGCCAGAAAAGGGAACAGAAATTTCAGGTGCAGATGGAGTCATGGATATGAGGAATGTAAGCATCATCAACCTTTTTAAGATCAGACCATAAAACTCTACCTGAGCCATAAGGGAACAGACAACCACAGGGCCAGCAGGGTTTCTTGTTTCAGATGGAACAGAAATAAATTTGGTTAGTAGAAGGTTAAAAAGAAAGAAAAAAGGAAAGAAAGAAAGGAAGAGAGAGAAAAGAAATCAAATTGTAAAAAGGAGGACCCTGCTATAGTTTAAATGCACATTTTGTTTTGGGTTGCATTTGATAGAATTATAGGCAATTGATTTCTACTATTGTAATAAAAAAAATACAGCTCTCCCCTGGATTTTGTTTATGACTAAATCTCTTTTCTCCCTTTCATTTTTTTTCCTTTTCCTAATGGACTTATAGAAGACCGAGGTTCAGTGCTTTGCATTACATAAGAACAAAATCTTTTCTATGGCCTCTTTATGTTCCTAAGCCAAGTCTGAAATGTCACTGACTAAAAAATTGAACAGGCCTGTAATTACTTTCAACAAAGTAGTTCCTTTAACTGAGTTTTCTGTATGTAGATGGCATTTAATATACATATCGTAAGCCTTCTTTTCAGCACAGGTAACATTTGATGGCAAAAATCACAAATTTTCTTCTAAGGGAGCTGTCTGACAGCCACCTTCTTACTTATTTTTTGACGTGAAATCCGTTTTCATCTCCTAACACACTAGCGGTGACGTGCAGTGCGTGCACAACAAAATGTGTAAAAATTAACACTTCGCGGGACTAATTTAATAAAGATTGTTAGCACATTAACGCTAGGAATATTGCTCCTTACGATTCATCTAGCCACGCGCGAGACGCCGCTGTAACAGAGGTTTACATTCGGCTGAGGTTTATACCGCTATTTAATGTAATTAAAGAAACCGGCAGCGCAGTCCTCAATGGAAATATCATTTCTATTGCAGACTATTCCCATTAGAAATTGGGGGAAATCATAGCACGCTGACTTTGATTTTGTTGTAATTTTTTTTTTTCCTCAGCTGTCTTTGAAACAGAGCTGATGTGCTGGACCTCAGACAGAATTGACTGCAGAAACCCTGCAAAGATCCCGCGATAAGACAAGCCTCTTCTCCCTACAGGAGTGCCCAGTATTTATATGCCACTTACTTGGTTTTGAAACTGTTTTTTTATTATTTTTTTTAAATCTACAGCCTCTGTTTGGCTGTAATTACCCAGGAAGTTCTCTGCCCAGCACCCCATCATGAAATATACCCCAAAACAACATTGTAGATAAGAGCCCAGAGGCGGGGAGGCCTCCGGGGCCACTCTTACACATAAACAATCATAGTGTAGCCAGGATCCCAACGAGCTCCAATTCCAGATCGGGGCGAGAATCTAGCTGTAATCTCAGAGGAAGAAAGCAGCAAGCATCGCTCAGGAGGCCTCAGAGACTAAACAGACACAAAACCCAAAAGAAAAAGAAAAAAAAAAATCTTCGCACCACATCACCAAAATGGCAGAAAAATTAAGTCTTGGGGCTGAGACGAAGGGAACCTGACTCAGCTCCTCCGCCTCTGACAGCTGCCTCCTGCCCTTGGAGCGGCCAAGTGCAAACAAAAATGAGACCTTTCTTCTCTAAACCTGCTTGCTACGTGTCCCTGTGCTGTAGGGGGGACGATGTCGCTTTTTTCCCCCTTCCCTAAGTGCATTTTAATACCCTTATTCTACATCCTAATTTCTTTGAAAAAAACATCAGTGTCACTAAAAAAAACGTCACTCTGTTTTGCAAAATCCAGCAGCTTCCTTGGCAGCGAGAAAGGCTGGCTGGCATTATCCCCTCATTTGACAAAACTACTATTTCTGGGCATGTGGTCAAAAGCAGGTAGGAAGCAAATGCTGAGAAATAAGGAAGTAAAAACAGCCAACAGATTTTTCACTACCGAAGACGCCAAGCGTAAACATGATTTATTTAGCTGTGTTTAACGTGTCTGTCCTCCACTCGACTACAAGCCCACTTGGGTTTAAGGAAAGGGTGGGTAGAAGGGGACAGGAAAAGGGGAGTGGGGAGGACATCAGGGAGAGGGAGCAGGGGCAGGCGGCGCTGAAGGAAGACTTTCTGAGCGGTTCGGTTCAGAGTTTTAGGAGAACAAGAATCCTCTACCCCAAAATACATGCATGTGTCAAAAGAAGGCAGCACTAATCTGCTGGTTAATTAACGAGCTGCCACTAACAAAAGATGGAAGACCCAGTTCATACAGACAATATTTACATGGGCGTTGCATGATCTTGTCCCCCTGCTTCCCTACCTTTTCTCGCAAACCATGTGGGCTGGGTACAGCGACAGGCGGAGAGGCCCGTCAGGTTGGGAGGGTTACGAGTCCAGCCGTGGAGAGGGGAATATCACGGCCTTCCTTGCCCAGCCTTGCATGCCCACGTGGAATTTACTTAGATCTGTATTCAATTAAGAAGCACCAGACAGCTCCTGGCTCCAAGCCTGCACCATCGCAGACTCCAGGTATCTGCCGTTCCCCACTCCAGCCCCAGTGCCAGTGAACAGGGGCTGGGTCAAGGCCCCCATGGGGAAAGGAGAGGACCACACTCTCCCACCCCTACCCCACAACTCCAGCCCAAAGTCTTGGCCCAGCCAGGGTGAACAAACCAAATACATAAAGAAAGCTTCTGTATTTCCTAACTAACAAGACTAATCCAGAGGTTTTGGACCCTGCCAGAGGTTATTTTATGAAAAATCTAATTCAAGTAATCCAGCTTTTGCTGGAAAAAAGAAATCAAGACACTTCCAAAGAAAAGCAACAACCAAAAAGTAAAATGGAGCCCCAATAGGACACTTAGGCCCTCTGGCTTCCCTAGTGAAGGTACCATTTCATAGCAGACAGCTGTGTGCTCCATGGGGATAAGTGCCAATTTTTGTTAGCTCTGAGAGGCGGTGAGAATTTCCTCACTGGTCCGCTTTGAGTTCCTTCCTCACCGGCACCTAGCAAGCCTGTGCATTTAAAGACTGCTTGCTGTATGCATTCCTCCCTAATCCAAGTCTACATGTCCCCTGTCCAGCTCCTCTCCTTCTGGGGCCTGAGACCAAATATCAGGAAAAAATACCTTTTCTAGGGTATTCAGGTCAAGAGCAGCAGTGACACTATTCAGTATCAAGATTCTGAATCATGTGACAGTCCCAACAATAACAAGGAGCTGGGGTGGGGGAACACTCCTCTAAAATGAATGGGGAAGTGGGGGAGTTTCCTATTGGTATCAGGTTACTAAATTGAAAAACCAAGTGCCCCCCTCCCCACATAAACCTCCTCCCAAAGCCCCTAATTCTTCTTCCTTGCAGTAAAAAATTACACCCTCTAGAAGAGGCTATTTGATTCCTTTCCCTTTTGCAAATTAGTCACCCTGCCCCCACGGACTGAACAATAACAGTTCTCCATTTTTATGATGTCTTTGAAATCAGCAATTGCTTCACTCCTACCTATGGGTTTGTTTTCATATCTGGACAGGGACAGGGAAGTAAACAATTGGCTAGCCCCATTTTATAGATGAAGCAACTAACAGATGAACTGGTTTGCCCTGGGCTGTTTAGGAAGTCAATGCATTCGAGACTATCCGACACCACATGCCAACCTCTAGATTCTGCGGCTTTAACAACGACACGGCCCCTGACGCTCCAGCAACAACAAATATTATTGAACCTCTAAGCAGGACTCAGGTGCCACTCTGGAAGCACCCTTGTAGGAAATCCTATACAAAAATCTAGGCTTCTCAAAGCAATAAAATTGAAGATGCTTAACACAGCACCTCCGAAGGAGGCTTCTCCAGGATCCCTTTGGCTACCAATTGCACTGGTATTTCAACATGATCCAGCTGACAGAACCCCCCATTTCCAGGCAAATCTCCCACACATTGCTCCTAAAAAAAAAAAAAAAAAAAAAAAAAAAAAAAAAAGCAAGGAAAGTGCCCTACAGACACATGGCAGGGCTCGGAAGCACACACTGCAGGGCAGCCTACCCTGCCACTCAGGCGCAGAAAGTGTGCCCTGCAAAGACGCCAGAGCACCCTGGGGGCTACCAGTTCTCCTCGAGGAAGATCCTGAACAAGAGCCTTCCACCACACTGTCCAAGCCTTAGCCCAAACATACAGGGAGAAATCACGCGTAATTCTGATCACTGTTGAGCCGTCAAAATAAAGAAAAGGAAAATGAAAAGTCAGCCTCTCCCTCAGTGTACCAGCCAATACTTCAGCCAACCACAGGTTACCTGTCTTTCAAGCAAAACATGAACAATTACCCCCCCCTCACACACACACACACCCCTAGTCTCCAAAAATCCTAAAATGTACATCCCTTTAAATGAACTGCAGAGACCTAGGATGGGGCCCGTCAAACACACACACACATAATTAGCGTTTCATCTTTCTTTCTGTAAAGGAATCCGGTAACATAAATATTAATCAAACACGAGAATCTGCCAGTTCGTTTTGGACCATTATGAGTGCTGGACTGTGATCTTTACCCGTATTTACAGATATTCAAAGGCGGATTCTATCTTGTTAGACCCACTGTTATAAATGGACGTCTGAGAAATCAGCGAGCAAGTTCAGACAGATATGAAAACCTTCCTGTCCAGGACTGGCAGTAGCTTTGAGCTCCCAAGTGTTGAATTTGTTACCTTTTCCGGAGGGCTTGCAAAAAATAAATTGACAAATGCCTTCAGATTCCTCTACCAGAAAAGCTGGCTGCTCAAAGTTCGGGTTAGCTAAATCTGAGATTTTAAAATCAACTCTTACTCAAAACGCCATGACGGTGCCGTTTACACAATACTCGCCTTGAGAGCCCAGCAAGTGTAACATACTATTTCATATTATAAGTATATAGGTATACGCATATTTTTAATACTACCTTGACTCTTGTTATAGCAAATCAATTCTGCCTGGTTTAGATTTATTTCTGAAAAATGGAAAATAGAGATGTGGGTCCAATCCTAGCCTGGAAAAGCTGTCACAGTGAAGGTAAACTTTTAATCGGCTACAGGCGAACAGTATACAGTTTTATTTCCAGAGTAACAGCTTTGGGAAAATGTTTGAACATTTTCTTAAGAGCTTTGTGGTGGACAGGCTGGGCGTCCAACCACTGCTTTTCTGGGCCTTTAAGGGCCTGTTGAAGTGCTTTAAACAATTGGAGGCCAATTTTTAACACACAAAACTAGAGACTCCTAGCAAGGTGACGATTTGCATACAAATTCTTGTTGGAAGAGGTTATCCTAAGAGAAGTCAGGCTGAAAGGAGGACTGACATTAAATCCCTGTAATTCCAGGAGCTTCGGTGTCCCACTCCAGTGGAGGGTTCCATTCCCACACAATTGGGAAAACACTTTTGTCCTTGAGAAAAGCGGGCTTACTCTTCTCCCACTCGGAAAGAAACTAAGGTCCCCACGAAATCCCCACTTTGAGATGGGGCTGTTGCCCCTGGATGATCACATTTTTGTACAAGGGAACTCCCGGAGGCTCCTTCCGTCCCGGCCTCACCTGGATCCCGGGAACCGCCCGCTCTGTCCCGCCAAGGTGGGCTGAGGAAGACGGCGCCACTCATCAGGGCAATGGCGGCGGGCGGAAGAGGGATCCCCGTGCGCCCCCAGCACCCGGGACGAATGCCACCCCGGCGAAGCGACCCGACCGGCGCGCACGGTTTCGGGGAGGGGACCACTTCCACATTCCCCATGCCCGAGAAGGTCACCCACCCGGGAGAGCGCCCAAGGGCCAGAGAGGAGGCGACTGGTGGAGGAGGGGCGGCCCCGTGCGCACAAAGGGGCCCGGGGCCGGCAGGCTCCCCGCCCTTGACCTTGGGTCTCCGCCTCCATCCATCTCCGCCGGCTGCCAGGGAAGGGGGCTGGCCCGGGGCCAGAGGCGTGCTCGCTGGGCTGCTGCTGGGCTGGGGACCGACGGGGGCGGGGGGGAAAGGAGCCGGGAAAAAAGACTCCAGGGCTGCAGAGTGCTCCGAGGAAGCCTGCATTCCACCACCTTCAGGAGCCGGTCCCGAGGCGGCTCCGATTCACTGCATGCCCCCCGCCCCCCAAAGCAAAAGTTGCACGGATGCACGAGGGAAACCCCTTCCCAAAGCTAGCCCTTCGACTCGCCCACCCCCCGCCTTCCTCGGACCCAGGCCGAGTGGGGGAGGGGAGTGTCAGGGGAGGAAGAAAGGAGCGCGCCTTCCCAGCGAGGCCAGACGCGGGCTGGGTCAGCTGCGCCTCCGCCCGCCCCTCGCCGCCCGGCTCAGGCAGCTGCTCCATTAAGCCCCCGAATTATGCATGGACCTTGAGCCCTCTCGGCCCTCCCGCCCCACCAAGGCACAATCAACGTGCGCAGCGGGCGCGGGTCAAAGAGAGAGGGAAGGAGGTGGACGATGGGCGCAAGGCCGTGGGCGAATCAGAGGCCGGCGGCCAGGCGGGGGCCAGGCGCGCCCGCAGGCCTGGGAACAGTGCCGAGGAGCCTCCCGACCCGGCCAGGGCCAGCCGGGAAAGGGGCACCGCTCGCAGGGGAGGCCCCCGCGCAGTTTTGAAGTTGCCAAAGTGTCCGCGCCGTGCCGGGTGCGGGGTCCGGGAGATGCAGCCGCCCCCGCGGAGCTCTGCGCCCCTGGCCTCGGGGAAGGCCATTGTGTTCTCCTGTGTGGCAATGAAGGGGGCTATGGACCCCAACCATTGAGCCCTTGGAGGGAGGGGCCTGAAGACCCCTCGGGCAGGGCGGGGGAGGCTGTCTTGCGGGCGGCGGAGAGGATGGGTATGATTTGCTCGGGATAGGCACCGTCGCGGGGAGGGGAGGAGGCCAAGCTTGAGGAGGGGCTGCTGGAGATGGAAGGAAGTGAGAGGAGACTTGCAAGTTGCAAACGTCGGGGAAACCGGAAAATTGCAGTAGCGGGGAGGCAGGTGGCGCCCAGAGGTTCGAAAGCAGAATTGGGAGGACTTCGATGTCCACCTCGCAGACAGTGACCCAGGCCCCAGAGGGCTCCGCAGCCTGGAGCCTCGCGTCCCGCCTCCCCGCAACACGCTGTTTTCAGCGTTCCAGACCACAGCGCTGCAGTCTACGCTGCCCTGACGCTGGAGTGTGGACCTTGTTTTGCTCCTCGGGGCCCGTCTGTTTCTGGAAATGACTTCTTTCTCTCTTTCCCCTTCTCCCCAAAGCAAAGGCCAGGTCAGGAAAATTATATACTTCGTTTTCCCAACAAATAAAGTCGCCTAGTTTGCAGGGAAAGTTTTACAAGCCAATGATGCAGAGAGAAGACCACACTGTTTAGCTTTCTTAATTGGCTGGCTTTGAACTTGAGGTGGGAGGAGAAAAGAACCCGCTCCAGCCCCAGGAAAACTTAGTTTTGCTGGGTTTACCAACTCCAACAGTTTTTAGCCAGCTGCTGAAGGTGGCAGGGAGTCACTGAAGGTTTGTCCCATTTTCTCCCGAACAGAGAAGAATTCAGACAGTTGTTGTCTCTCTGAGCCCAGGACAGCCAGTCTCTGCCCTCAAACCCCAAGGGAGGAGCCTGGAATCCCTGGTTGGCTGGCTACACTCTCCAGGAGGTGTGCTCTACCCTGAAAAAGGCTTTGAAATAAAGCCACCTTCTCCACTCCTTTCCAGGATGCCTTTGGCACCTGCAGTCATCAGGAGGTAGACGCGTGTTTTCTGGACACTCTTGTGGATTGGACGGATGGCTTCATCTGTGCCATATCACTAGAGGCACAGCCTAGGCACTGGGGCTACCAGCTCCTAGGGCTCTGTGCCTCTGGATTCATCTTCAGCAGACGCTGACCCACGCACCTGTTTGCCTGCACCTTTGAGGTTGTGTCCACACCCGCAACCTGAAGGCCATGGAAGCTGCCCAGGCACTCAGCCCCCAGGGCAGGGGATGGGGGGAAAACAGCCCTGATCAAACATTGCCTTGGCTTAGAGACAGAGCAGGCGGTCCTGGGCTGGGGGGCTCACCCTGCCCTTGGCTGCTGCCTTTTCTCCACACCAGGAGTGGGGGAGTCTGACTTTTCACCTCCAACAAAAAGGCTATTTTGTTACTATTTTTCCGCCCAGAGGAGGCTGTGGTCCCAGTTTCCCAGCTGTCTGAGCAGCGAGGGGCAGATGCTTTCCCAGACCTGTGGCTGATCAAGGGCTCCCTCCTCCCTCCCTCCCTGCTCTCCTCTCCCAACCCTCAGCACAGACTCCTCCTTTCTGAGACACCCCAGGGCCCTCCAGACCAAAACCAGCGGACCAGCAAGAAGGCGTCAAGAAAACTCAAAAACAAAATAAAATGAAGCCTCGGGTGCCTTGCCTTCTCCAGCAAGGCCTCTTCTTCCCTGGGTCCAACTCGAGGCTTGCAAGTCCTGATCACACCCTCCCCTGAGGAGGCTCCCACTCCCTGTGTGCCCAGAGGTCACTGGCCGCCCCCAGCAGGCTCTGGGCCAGGGTGGGTCCAGATCTTGCAGGGCCCGAGGTTTATACAATTCAGGGTACACTCATCACAAAGAAAAGAATGCCAAACCACACAGGGACATTAGGGACAGGGCCTGGTCACACAAGGGGCTCTGAGCTTCAACTGTTTACCTCACGGTGAGTGGACCAAATTCTCCCATAAGGATCTTCACAGCCTGGGGCAGAAAGACCTAAGCTTTCAATCTAACAGTTTTCATTTTCACCACCAGTTTCTTCAGAGAAAACTGACTCCTAAGCCTCATTAATGTGAAAAATGAGGAAAGTTGGGGGAACTACTGGGTGGGAAAGGAATTGAGGTGGGAAATGCACGACCTTCTGCCTGGCTCTTGCAGCTGTTAGAAACCACTGGTGGCTCCATCTCACATTTCAGCCCAGCAGGCTCAGCCCCAGAGACGGGGAAGATCTGTCTGCTCAAGGTCACACAGCATGCCAGCCACAGTAGGATGCCATCCTAGGTCTCGAGCCAGAGTCCACTGTGCCTGCCTCTCCCCACTCTGGACTCAACAGGGCCACTTGCCTGTAACTCATGACGAGGTGGGGGCCAGCTCCTCCCAAAATGCAGTCAACATGAAACCACAGATGTGTGCAGGACAGGTGGGTGCCTACTGTCTTGGTTCTTTCACCCCACTCTGGAACCCAAGTCCCATCACCAAGATTCGACCTCAGAGTGGAAATCACTCATTGCCCAGCCAGGAGCAGAAAGGGCCTGCACCAGCCACAGTTCAAGAACACAGGATCCCACGAGGCCTGGGCTCCTGGGACATGACACAGTGAAGACCCAGGGCCTCCCTGGGAAGTCAGGAGCCTGTCCTCTTTTTTTATTTTAATTTTAATTTTAAGTTCTGGGGTACATGTGCAGGGTGTGCAGGTTTGTTACATGGGTAAACGTGTGCCATGGTGGTTTGCTGCACCTACCAACCCATCGCCTAGGTATTAAGCCCAGCATGCATTAGCTATTTTTCCTAATGCTCTCCCTCCCAGGAGCCTGGTCTCTAGGCGCAACTGAGCTGGTGACTCACCGGACAACTGTGCAAGGTACCTCTCTATGACTCAGTTGCCTCATCTGCAAAATGAAAGGAATACCTGATTTACCACCCTCGTGGGGCAGAGAGGTGGATGGAATGTAGGCACAGTTATGACCACAGTGAAGAACATAACTGCCGGAGTTGACACCCTGGGACCCTACTCACCGCTGTGTGACCTTGGGTAAATAACTTAACATCTCTGGGCTTCAGTTTCCTCTTCTATAAAGTGGGGCTGATATTAGCATATCATAAGGTCATAGGGAGGATTACACCAGTTAGTATCTGCAGAGTCTTTAGAATAGTGTCTGGCACACAGTAAGATCTAGTAAGTATGAGTTAAATTTAACATCAGGCTGGGTGCGGTGGCTCGTGCCTGTAATCCCAACAGTTTGGGAGGCCGAGGCGGGTGGATCACCTGAATACAGGAGTTTGAGACCAGCCTGGCCAACATGGCAAAACCCCATCTCACTAAAACTACAAAAATTAGCCAGGCAGGCGCCTGTAATCCCAACTACTCAGGAGGCTGAGACAGGAGAATCTTTTTTTTTTTTTTTTTTTTGAGATGGAATCTCCTTCTGTCGCCCAGGCTGGAGTACAGTGGCATGATCTCGGCTCACTGCAAGCTCCACCTCCTGGGTTCACACCATTCTCCTGCCTCAGCCTCCTGAGTAGCTGGGACTACAGGCACCCGCCACCATGCCCAGCTAATTTTTTGTATTTTTAGTCGAGACGGAGTTTCACCGTGTTAGCCAGGATGGTCTCGATCACCTGACCTCATGATCCCCCCGCCTCGGCCTCCCAAAGTCCTGAGATTACAGGCGTGAGCCCCCGTGCCCAGCAGGAGAATCTCTTGAACCTAGGAGGCAGAGGTTTTGGTGAGCTGAGATCGCGCCCTTGCACTCCAGCCTGGGCGACAGCGAGACTCTGTCTCAAAAATAAATAAATAAATTTTACATGAAATTAGGAAAAACTCCATCTCTTTGTTTCCTCAGTGAAAAGATGACCCCAAAGGCACAGGGTGACAGCCAGTCAGCCTTATTTCTATAGATTATCAGCAGAGCCCACTCCTAACAGATTCTAGACCTGGTGGTTAATTCATTAGCCAAGCATGCAAATGAGCAACAACCACTCAAAAAAGCTGTCAAATGCCTGATTAAAAAAACTTTAGTCAATACTAACTATTTACTGTCAAATAGACAAACTAAGAATAATAATATTAACTCAGGCTGAATGTTGGTTAAGTTCACCCCTTGGGAGCCCAGCTGCCTTTCTCTCTTTTTCTTACCTTATCTCTCTCTCCTGTTTCCTGAATTACTGCTGGAAGTATGGAACTACGTACATAAAACAATAAATAAGGCCTCAAACCTTAAGAGAAAAAAAAAACACCCATTTATGTGACCAGTATTGTCTGTCTTTTTTTTAATCCAATAAAACTTTCAACTACAATCGGTGCTGATGTCACCATGTTAGCGGCACACACTCTTGACTCTGGTTTGCACAGTTCACATGGCAGGTGGGTCCACCGCCTCCCTGGAAGGCCAGTGGGACAGGAAGGGCTCACCCCCTTTCTCAGCTGAGGAAACTGGGACTCCACCAGGGGAGATGGCCTCAAGCTACAGGGGTGGGCACCCTGGGATGGCAAAAAGTCACCTGTCCTGACTCGAGATAATTGGGGTCTGGACTCAGCTCTGCCAGTAACTAGTTATGTAAGTTCAGACAAGTCACTGAGCAGGTGAGAAGGGAAGAGTTGGCAGCAAGGTCCTTCCAGGAGGCTAGGAAGCCAGACCCTTCCTCTGGATCCCACCGGCAGGATCTCCATTATCAACAACAGCTAAAACCCACAGGAACCTGTTCTATGTATACCTTGTCTGAATCAAACCTTATAACAAGCCCAAAACACAAGGAACATTATCTCCAGTTATAGGTACCGAGACCTGGGGAGGCAAACAGTTGGCTGACAGTCACATAGCAAGACCCTGGCAAAACCACAATTCCACAAAATAAAACAAATAATTTGTATTTATGGGGGAAAAGTCTATGCAACAGTGAATATAAAATAAAAGAAATAATCATATGTATGGGAAAAAATCTAAAATTCTGGCCCAGGTGCACCTGAATTTACAGTGTACTTCATTCTTTGTCACCACCCATCTCTCCAATGCCCTCATTAGGAAGTACAGGACAGTATATACAAAAGCCACAGACTGAAGGCCATGGTCCCTGGGGGTCTGAGGACTTCTGGCTGTATCCACAGGGTCATATCTGGGATGGGCTTCAAAGACCATTTTGGATGGGGTCAGAGGTGGTGCCCGCCATCAAGGCCCCACCAGCCAGACAGACAGAGTTAGAATACCCATCCCCAAAATCCTCCACACCCCTTGCTATCCAAGGAAACTAGGCCTGACTGAGTCTGACTCTGCTTTGCTGTGTGACCTTCAGCAACTCCCTTAACCTCTCTGAGCCCCAGTTCAAAGTAGGGTTAGAAATATATATTTCAAGGTTGAAGAATTAAGTGAGATAACCCAAGAAAAGCATCTAGCACAATGAGGAATACCAGGTAGCGCCCCTCTTCCCCACCACCCACCAGCCCAGCCCAAACTCTGCCCTGTTCAGCCATCCCAACACCCAAACCCCAGCCTGAGCCCAGGGCCATGTCCCTCAGACAGAACACTGCACTATTCCTCGGTGCAGACAGAACTAATAATTAGCTGTCATGATTTAATAATAAAAAAAGATAATCCATGCCACAACACACATGGATTTAACGCATCTTAATTTGAAGGGAAAATAACAACTCTAAATAGATCAAGTGCAAGTTTTTTAAGGCAACCTGCGAGTGGGGTTTATCTCCAGTTTCCAGCACAAGCAAGTTATTTAGTTTCTCTCACTAGCCAAGCTAATATTTTTTTTCACGTTTATTTTATTTATTTTTAAAAGTCTGGAGAGAACATTCCCAAAGCAGCACGTAAATCCCTGGGCTCGTCAGAAGTCCTTTTCTCTCACACATTTTGCTTAGCAATGGGTCACTGGGGCCCCAAACCAAACCCTTATCTGTGCCCCACCTGCTAAGAGAATCTCCCAGGTAGATCCCGCGTCCTCCCTAGGTTGTGGATGAAGACATATCAAGTGGGCAGGGACATCGCAGCCAGGGCTGCCTGCCACCTCCAAGCCCAGAGGGATCTGCCACCTCCTGTCACCTGCTGCCTGTCTCCGCACTTCTCCAGAAAACTGACATTCAGGACTTGGAGGGTTACGGAGGCAGGCCTATGAGTGACAGCTGATAGTTAATTCCTCCCTCTGTAGCTTCATTTGGTTATGGAAGGGCTGAAAACAGGCAAAACCAAATTCCTGGTGATCAAGCGCCTCCCCTTCAGTGACTATCAAGTGAGAATTATATGGAGGAACCTGTAGGAAATCACCGTGAGAGAGATCCCAGGTAAGTGATCATGGTTTTGACCAAGAAAAACACGTACTCGGCATGCTGCCAAGCAGGGTCCACACTTTCCTGTGTTTGGCTTTCTAGAAGCATCCACTTCTTGATCATCTGCCTCAGGCCCAACCGGTGCCAGGTGGGTGCTTCCTCATTTCATCCTCAGCATAACCCAAAAAGGAGGTGCAGACGAGGAAACGGAGGCCAAGAAAAGTGAAGTGACTCACACAGGTGGCCAGCAGTGAGTGATGGGGCTGGGATTCCACCCGGGAGATGCCAAAGCCTGTGCTCCCTCACCTGAAACCCCCCGCCGGCTCCTCAGAGTGCACCGCCAGCAAAGAGATCCTCAAGGGACAGTCACCTAACAAAAGGCAGAATGGACGGGAGAGAGTCTACTCCATGCTGACACTGCCTGTGATGGTGGATTTAGTCCCACAACCCAGTGGCGGTTTGTCCCAACCCTGACAGGAGCCCATTGCCAAGAAGACCGGTGCAAGCTGCTCTAACGCCTGAAAATGCGGCGGAGGAGGGAAAGCCGAGCGCCAGGAAAAGCTCCTATTTGCAGCACACCTACCCCCACCGTGTGCCAGGCACTCATCATAAATGTCACAATGACAGATGAGGAAACCGCGGCTCAGAAGGTCAAGTGGCTGCCGGAGGCTGGCAGGGAGCAGGGTGGGGCTCTGACTCGGGCTGTGTTCTTTCCCACACAGCAACAGACAGCCTTCAAACCCCAAACACCCTGAAAGCCCCTTTCTCCTCACCCCTCCTCAAAACACCCCTCCCAGATAACGGCTTGGCAGCGCCACGTGCTCTTTGCAAAACCTGGAACACCTCTCAGCTCCCCCAAAGGATGGGTCCTGTGCTCCCCTGAACTCCCACAGAGGCAGGGAGAATGCCACAGGCAGGAACCTTAAGAAACATAAAGAATGTAAACCTATAGGCAGCGATGTATCAGAGGCACCATAGCTGCCCTGAGTCAGACCACCAGCTAAAGACCCTGCCTCTGACCAGCTTCGCCCCATCCCCAGAGAGGCCTGAAACAAATTTCCAAGGACCTCCTCCGTCCACAGCGAATGCTCAGCAGGGAGTGGAGCCCTGGATCCAGAATGCACACGTCAAGAGCAGGGCTGCTGCCAGCTCACACTCTGCCCATTATCCCCATGTTGGACGCCCGCTCCCTCCTCTGGGGGCTGTTTACCTGGGGATCCAGGTGGGGACACCCAGGGCGGAGGATGGGCCCCAGGTGCTCAGTTGCTGAATGAATGAATGAATGCCCTCCAGAAAACAAAGCTTCAGAAACTTCCTCCCTCTACCTTCCTACTTCTCTATCATTTACCAAAAATAAAAAATAACAGTAATTACTCTCCAGAATGACTATCCCGAGGAAACAGCTGATATGGGGTCCCCGACCTAGTGTGATGACTGACAGAATCCCCCTGCAGTTCTCACCCTGGGATCTCCCTTAAGGGTGGGAGGAACCCCCTTCGGGTCTGCCTCTGGAGTCCCCACTTCTAGAAGCACCTGGTAGCAAGGAAGAGCGGGGACCTGCCTGGGTATCAGGAAGGTTGCTGGCCCTGGAAAAGGCAGGACCCTCACAGCCACCAGGACCCTCGAGGTCACCTCACCCTGGACTCCTCTGAGCCTGGACAGCCAAAGCCAGAGGCAGAGTCCAAGAATTAACAGCCACCCGCTCACCAGCTACTGGCCGGGGCCAGCGAGGCCCTGGGGACAATAGCAGGTCATGGAGGGATTGGAGGACTCCTTGGAGCCCCGGCCAGGAGGCAGAAGCCTGGAGGGACAGCCGGCCCGGGGGCCAGGAGCGTGGGCAGCAGCTGGACGGGTTTCCGGAAGCCTGGGCGGAGAAGTGCCCGTGATTCCTAGTCCCCCTCTTAAAATATAAAGACTCAATTATCTCTGAGCAGCTTGCTTTACACATGAATTGACACATTTATTTTACAATAAATAACTGAAAGTTATCTGTGTTTCCTTTACTGTTAATCTACACAGAGAAATAATAAACAGGGCTTGTCTACAAAAATGCAACTACTGCAGTCCTCGGAATTCAATTAAGCTAAAATAATTAATGCTCCCACCATATTAAATTACTTTATACATTTGAGCCACTGAAGTTTTCTTCTTTAATCTTTCCTTTTTATTAAATAAAAAAAGAAAAGTTGCTGCCCAAGTAGGCAGGGAAATAGGAGGAATGGGAACTAGAAGGCAGGCGCATGTGTGCTGTTAAAATGGGATGGTCGTCTTCAGCTGACACAGCATGTAGACTGTTTTGTGCCTTTGATTAAAATAACATTTTAAATGCTTTGAACAAACATATCTCTTTAGACTTCTAAGGGATTATTTTACATATTTCTTCTAGAATGAAGAAATCCATTCGTCCTGTTGCTGAACAGAAAGGCCAAGAATATCTTTCGTCACACATAAAATAAAGATACTGTAGGCTGCTGCAGTATCACAACCTGGAAAAAAAAAAAAAAAAAAAAAAAAAAAAAACAGGGGGGCCAGGGGGTGGAAGGATGAGGACAAAGCTGCCTTGGAGATTAGCTTTGCCTTTTATGAAATCACATTTAGTCACTTTCTTAAACAAACCTGCCACAGTGATCTGCAGCCTCTCATTGGGAAATGCCTTCAATGTGAAATGAGGATTTGGATGTTTTTGGCAAAAGCAGCAAATCTTTCCATGGAAACATAAATAGGCGGCCCGAGTCTCCCTAGCAAGGCCACCCCTGAAAGATCGATGTGCACTGAGGCCAGGCGTCGATACTACAGGTAAAACTGTCCCTGGAATGTGGACCAACAAAGACAAAAGGGACCCAGCACCTCTCTCGCCTGATGGCTCAGCCCGGTGAAGAGACGCTGCTCAGGTGCACATAGCACTCTGAGAAGCCAGTGTTTACATGCCGGTGGCCTGGACATGTCTCAAAGCCCCTTGCATCTTGGAAAGTGTATGAGACACTTCATGCTAGGGCACCCATCAGAAGGCAAGGCCCAGAGGCCAATCTGGTTCACTGATGTCTCCCCAGTGCCTGGCATGAGGCTGCAGGACTCTGCATACCACCACAGTCTCCCCACAAAAGAGAGGGCTCACTAAGCCCCTTGTGCAGGTGAGCAAAGTGAGGCTCAGCATCACAAAGCTTTGGAGACGTGGGGGAGACAGGCTTGCAGCATTACCCTGACTGCGTCCTGGGTGATGGGTCTTGATCAGTGCCCATGCCCATCCATCTCACCCTCCTAGAAGCATCGAAAGCCTGAGTCCCTCCAGAGCCCATGCTACCTTCCATGATGGAAGCATGGTAACGATCAATGCACTCGTTTCCCCAGCCAGCCACCTACTTGCACACCGCAGAGCCAGACGAAACCTCTGAGAGAGAAGTGCCACGGGCAAAAGACTGATTAAGAGCCCCTGCTCATCTAATCCTCACACCAGGCCTGCTGCTATTATCACTTTCTGTTGACAGATGGGGAAACTGAGGCTCGGACCCATGAAGTGGCTAATCCAAAGTCAACCATCAGGATTTGAACACTCGTCTGCATAAACTCTGATGCCCATCTTGCTCCAGCACAGGCTGCTGCTTTTTAGGGAACCCAGGCTGGCCAGGCCCTCCTTTCTCCCCCAGGCCTCCTGGGCTCAGAAGTATAAACCAGAAACAAACACTCTGGTTTGCACAGAGAGCAGCGGCTCCCTGGAAGAGGCTCCAGCATGCCATGGTGCTGGCCAAGAGGGAGGGACTTCATGCTAACTCACTGTGGTGAGCAGACCCACGCCTGGGGACAGAGGGGCCCTAGACCTGTTCTCAAGGTGGTAAAACCAGCTGTCCCAGTGGTCAAATGAGTGAGCATGTCAAAGGGCATATCCAACCTCCCCCAACGGGCACAGTGCTCCAACAAGTTCCCACACCCCTGCCTGGGACCGGCCCCTGGGGTCGGGCAATGTCAGAAGCAACCTCTGAGATCAGGGGGCCTAACTCCTCATTTCACACATGGGAAACTGAGTCCAGAGAGAAAGGAGAGGGGAGAGAATGAGCACTCCCATTCCTAAGTGCCTACCAGGTCATGCCGCATGCAACAGCTCATTCGTCCTCACAGCAACCCTAATGAGGTGGGTTTCCTTAGCTCCATTTCACAGATGGGCAAACTAACATGTCCAAGTTGTGAAGACAAACTCTAACCCAAAACTGTCTGGCTTCAAAATCAGGGACTAAGCCAAGATCAGTAGCAAAGAGAGGGCCAACCAGACTTCCAAATTTTCATTCTGTGCTTCTGACCACCTCTGGATTAGCCCCCGAGACAGAGTCCCCTCACCAAAAGCAAGCAGCCATCAGCCATTTGGGCCTCCCCGAGCCCCAGGCCTGTCTCCTCCTGAAGGTCACCTGGATGGTGGACCCTCAGAAAGGGGGAGCCCCGGCTGGTGGCCCAGAGGCCATCCTGGAAGCCCCTGGGCCTTCCCCTGCACCAGCACACTCAGGCAGAGGGCATGGGACCCAGGAGGTGGCTTCCACAGCAACCAGGCAAGCGCAGCATCCCATACCTGCAATGTTCTCCTGCTTGGGACAGATGCCTTTCGTGGGTGAGAGCAGGTGGTCATCTTCGTCGGGGGTGACTTGGATCCCGATCTCCACCGGCTCGGACACTTTCCTGAGCTCGGAGCGTGAGGAGGGTGGCGGGCTGTCCTTGTCCAGGGCCTTGTCATAGCAGGCACCCAAGCTGCCGCCACACTGCTTCCTTTTGTGCTCTATAAAAACCAGGATGTCCCCCAAGGGGAAGTTCATTTGACACTGGCCACAGGTGAGCAGGTCAGGGTCGGGGCCACCCACCATCAGCCCCAGGCCACTTGGCTCCTCTATCTCCAGACCCTCGTCTTCTTCGAGGATGGCGGCCTCCACATGGTCAGCCTCTGCTGGAGACAGAAAGAAGAAAGGGAAGGGGCAGAGAAGATAGAGATGGGCTTAGGCGGTCACAGCACCCAACTTCCGGTCCACCCCTTCCCCGCCAAGAAGCAGCCCCCTCTGCTGCTGGCTGCCAGAGCTCACCAGGTCCTCCCCGGGGTTGGGGGCTGGTGAGCATCCCCCACAGGACAGATGGGCACACTGAGGCTCTAGGAGCAACGTCGTGCCCCCTGGGCATTGCCACGTAAGTAGTGCCGATCTTACTGCATTCTAGTTTATTTTCTGCCAGTTTCTCCCCAACGTAGTATAAGAACACACACGGACACACGTGCATACACACACACCCTGGCTGCTGACAGCATGAGGTCGTGATGTGTCTCTCAAAGTTTCCAGTATCTGAGAATCACCTGGAGGGTTTGAAAAATCCCAAGGCGCAGGCAGCACCCCTGACCAGTTACACTGGGAACAAACATCGGAATAGTCTTTCAGACTCCCCAGGTGATTCCAATGGGCAGCCAGGGCCGAGAACCAGTGAGCTGGAGCCCTTTCCCCCTGCTGGGCTGGAGCCCCACCCCTCCCATCCCTTACACCTTCATTCATGCCCTCCCCATTCATGCGAATCCCACTCACATTCCTCTACCTGGGACCTGGCCACACACCAAACTAGAAAACAGAAACCCAGATGGGCGTCTAAGGGCCCGTCCTTAGGAGAGAAGGAAGCCCACATGCTCAGAAAGCAACAAGTGAGTGTCAGGTTCCAAAAAAATATCTTAGGAGAAAGCACTGCAGCAGAAGGGAGGCTGGAACCGGCTTGCAGAGTCGGGAAGCAGGCTCTCCTGCCAAGCACCCGAGGCCCGGTCAGACTTCCATTTCTCTGTAGATTTCCCCCACACTCATCAACTCCCCACTGTCCTTTTCTGTTTGTTGATTTTATTTTCACTCCCAGAAAAATGAAAGAAAGAAAATTCTCCAGACTCCAAAAGCATTTCTTGGAAGATATCAAACCACACTTTCAATGGACTGTATGTTTTTATATTTCTTTAGCAGCCGATAGATTTCTCTTGGGTTTTTTTTGTGGGGGAGAGAGTAGGGAGCCTAGGACCCAAATATTTGGAAGCTAATAAATGCCTCAAAAAGCAGCAACCTCCTCAAGGGAAAATTGGAAGACTCGGCAGCCAAAAGTGTCATAAATAAAGAGAAGTGGACAGTGTGGAGGTTTCATATTCCCCTCGGGGTCTGAGCAAATTCGGGCTGGAATTTTTCGAGAGCAAATGTCAGTAGTCGTAGAGAAGACACGAGTGGCGGGGTCTTCAGGGAAGCCAGAGGGCAGCCAAAGGTCTGAAACCCGAGGAGGCAGGTAAATTTTAAGTTGTATGGTATTTAGGGAAGGATAATGAAAACCACAGAGGAACGGCGAGAAGGAATGGGAGGGAGGAAAATACATTCCGTGGCAGTGAAGTTATTGAAGTGCCAGAGCCAAAGAACAGATAATTTAAGGAAAAAATTCTGTGGCATCTCCCATCCTACACATAAATCACTGTTCTCTATTTTCTGAACACGAGCCTATGCAGGGCCTAGGAGAGTCCATGTGTGAAACTGAATACAGAATATACGACGATGTAAGACGTACAACGCGCACGTATGAACTATGTGTGAATAGGTAGCGACGTAGGTATCGCTGAGAAGAGAAACTACAATTTGAGATCCCACCTGTGGTTACAGAAAAGCAGACAGAGCCCTCGATGAATTAAATGCAGAATGCATCAGAAATGTGGCAGTACAGAAACGCCCCGCAGACGAGGAAATCCTAAATCTGTTGTCTGCATCTCTCTAAGAAAAAGAACCTACAAGGTAAAGAAACAGTCCTCACAAAGCCGGTCCCAGAAACCATTAATTACACTTTAGAAAGAAATAGGAGTTTACTTAAAAATGGGTTTGAAGACAATGCCACGTAATTAATTTACCAATTTATTTTATGAAAAGATGCTTTGCTATGGTTAAAATGTAATCACAACCTTCCCACCGAACAGAGGTTCTAGGGAAGACTGGATTCCTGTGAACGGTTTGTCAGAATGTAAAAGGTAATTATTTGGTGCCTCTTTTTCCCTTTAATGATCTAACATTGAGCAATACTGTTTATATTGAAAAGCTCGCACCTTTAATTACCAATTACATATACATAATTTCAGAGCCAAAGGAGAGCACTGTAAAAACAGTTCTTTAGAAATATAAGGATGTATTGTGCGCCATTTTTACAGAAGGTGCTCTAATAAATGGGAGGAGGATGTCAAAATATTGTTTTGTTAAAAAATAGAGAGAGAGGCACAAAAGAAATGAGCTGAAAAGCAAAAAAGGACATAATGAAATTGAGAATTCAAAGGAAACAGGGGCGAGGTGCGGTACCTGGTACTATTTTAAATACCACCCTGTCCAGGCCTGGCAAACTCCTGCATCAGTGGAAGATTTGATAAAAACGTACAACGACAAATCCACATGGCCAGCTGGACCGTCCTTTCTGAGGGCGAAGAGGTCTTCTTGGTTTTTTTAATTTAATCTTCGGTTTACTTTTTTGTTTGCTTTTTTATTAACTTTTTCAGCCTCGTCCGCCCTCCTGAGTAGGAGTTCTAGCAAGCCTAAATATCTCCTCTCTGCTAGGAGGTTTTCAACTACATAATTTCAAACTCATTTTCTAATTCAAAAGAAACACAGATGAATTTAAAAATTAGCAGAGGTCACACGTGCCTGTTCGCAAGCACCCCTCCTCCTCAGCTTCGTCTTTTGCCAAGACTATGTACCAGCACTTTTTCCTTTCTCTCCTCTTTTTTTTATTTTTTTATTTTTGGTAACATCTGGTATTCTTTCCTTTTTTTGGCAGTCTCTGCCTTTTCACTTTCCTCATGCAGCAGCCCTGCGAGCCCCCGTAATTGAGTTTGAAGGTGTCCAAAGCCGTTTGCTGTGCTGCAGCTCTGATTTCTGCGTCAAGTCCTAACAGCCAACCAACCTGGGAGCCAGGCCCTGTTGGCGTCCCCGAGACAGCCCCGGGATTATCCAGGCCTCCAGGGCTCAGTTCTGAGCTGGGATCTCCACGTCCCAGACCAGAGATCCAACTCACTGCCTCTAAGGGAGTCTGGGAGGAAAAGAAACAAACAAAAAATATCTCCTTCCCCTCCCACTTTCAGCGTTGAAAGTTAAACCCCTGAGATGACAGGGTGTTCACCCGATTCCAAAGAACGGGGTTTCCTCTCCCCACCACCCAGGCTGTGGCGCTGTGCCTTGGCCTGCTGTGTGCGACACTTCCCAGGAAGGTAGCAAGGTCACCCTCAACATCAGGCAGCAGAGTCACCCCCAGCCCCAAATTTCTGGGTCAGAGTAAGTGGACCAAGTGGGCCTGAAAGCTCACGTTCAAGGCCTTTGTAGACACCCCCAAAGACTGTGGTTTCACTTCCGCTGGCAGGCAGATACCAAGCTAGGCGTGTAGGGTGCCTGCATATGTGTGCATGTGTCCCTCCTTAGAACTGTATCGATAATGGAAGAAATAAAAGGAGAAAGCCAAGCCCTGGGAAGGGCAAAGTGACACCCCTCTTTCTCTGCCCTATGGACACCTGAGTCTCCCGGCTCTGCACAGCCTCAGAGAGCCAGGCCTCTGTTCTAACAGGCAGAGTGGTCCAACCTGCCACCCAGAGACGAAAAAGCACCAGGAAAAAGACCAATGAAAACAGTCTTTCAAATTCCCAGACCCTACAGGCCAGCCCCTCATGCAGCCTTGTCCAGCAAACTCGGGCCTTAAAAAAATAAAGCCAAGATGAGGTTTTCCTCTGAGATGATCTCTGCTTTCATGAAAAGCTCCCCAAGTGTCGGGCAGCCCTGCAGAATATTGCTGCTCTCAATATATTATGAGCCGAATAAAGTAGAGCAATTGCTGAAATGTTTGACTCATTAAGAGGAAAAATGAATGGATGCAGCAGACAACTTGTTCGAAAGGCAGATATCAGAGGGCTGAGGCGGATTCTGAAATGCTAAATCCTAAAGTGCAGGGACAAATCTGTATTTACACACACACACACACAAACACACGAGTTAGATTTTCTTTTACAACAAAACCACATTTTATTTACAAGGCCAGGCCTCCTCCCAGCTGGTAAATGCATTTAGAAGCAATCACAAATAATAATGGACATCGTTGTTAAGTGAAAGGGGAAGCACTTGATCCCAAGACAAACTTCCCCATGCCTCGGCTTTGCTGGGAAGGAATTTGAGTCAGAAGAAAGAAATGGAAAGACATCGTTAACACAGGCCCAGCCAAGCAGCCAACAAGCCCCCAGCAGCTGCAAGCTTTCAGCAGGGCCTTACCTGGCCAGTGACTCCCCCACACACAGGGTGCCAAGGACCCCGCCCTCCCTGGCCCATCTCTAACAACTGCCCATGCACCTGCCCTTAGGGGAACTCCAGCCGAGAGGTCTGCTGCCTGCTGTCCCCAGAGCACAGGCATGTGCGTGGCTGCCTGCACACACACATGTGCATTGCTACATACACAGTACGTGGGCTGCTGCTCCTCCTTACCCTGCATTAATTCAAATCCAACTCTCTTATCTTTAATGGCTAAGCTACAGTCCAGGAGAAACATACACAGAATTATTGTTTCAGTGATGACGGGGGTGGGAAAGGGAAGGATGTGGGGGGATGGGTCCCAGGCTCTTAAAATCGTGTGCCACCAACGTCACAACCGCCATCATGATGTGTACGCATGTTTACAAGAAATGTTCAGCATCCATCCGCCCGAGCTCTGCATCCGACTGGAGACTTTACACCTGCTTCCTACGAAGAGGGAGCTCTTGCCAGCGAGCCCATGCTTACCCATAATCTACGAAGAGATCTTTTCATCTCCTCTCCGTGAACACTTGGGGAGGGGCTGGGACTCCAGGCGACACGGAAACGCCACCACACGCACACTCGACGGAGCACAACACTTTCTGAGCTGCCATCCATTTTTAATTTATTGGATCCAAGAGAAAATAACAACCGTAGGGAGGGGGGAGGAGAAGGGTGGAGGGGGAGAGAGCAGGAATCAATTCTTGGTGGAGAAAATAATCTATGACTAGATGACGCTTAAAGGCACGACAAGAGATTTTATGAAGTTCCCCTAACGGAGGGAATAATGAAGTGCCTGGCAGAGAAGGAAATGGAGATAAGAGGGAGGCTGGTGTCAGGAGGATGTCCACAGGGGGTCTCGAAGGGTTATTAGGACACAAGTTGGGGGTGGGGACCCTGGGAAGGCACAGCCAGGCGGAGTCTGAAGCAGGAAGCAAGACCCAGATCACACCTCTCTGTCCTGACCCTCGACCCTCTCAGCAGACAGTCAGAGGAGTCCAGCCTGCTCCAGGTCAGCTCTGCACCCTCCTGACACCCTCCAAAGGCTGCCTCCCTGGAGGGACAGATACATACCACAGCCACCACCCCATGAGGTCCTGTCTGCCCCTCCTCAGCTGAGGCACACACCTCGATCGCCGTTTCTGACATGTGAGAGGGAGAGCAAGGGAAGGCGGCCGGTGCAAAACATGCTTCCCAGTGTGGGCTTCCCAGGAAAATGACCAGGGTCCCGCTGACTCCGCCAGCAGCGGAAACTTTGGGCCTGGCCTGCAGGCCAGGAGGTGGAAACTCCAGATCCGTGAAGAGGTTTTAGATGCAGGAAGAGGCTCACTCCCATACCTTCTGGTCTACAGACTCCAGGCGGGAAAGTCGAATGTTTGGGGAGGGTCTCCCTGTGTACAGATTGTTTGCAGGACTCCAGCCTAATTTTAGGATGCTTAAGCAGCTCCCTGAAAAATATCCTCAGTTGCTCTATGGAGTCCAACCGCCTTCTCTCCCCCACTGCACACACCTCTCCAGAACCCCAAAAACTGAGCCCAGGAGTCTGGGTCTCCCCAGCACAAGAGCAGAAAAAAGAATAATGCACACACCTCTCCAGAACCCCAAAAACTGAGCCCAGGAGCCTGGGTCTCCCCAGCACAAGAGCAGAAAAAAGAACAAGTGAATAAGGAAAACATACTCAGGTATATTCACAGGTCTCAGCCATTACTAAAAGGTTACAAATAAAAGTCTTGACAAATAAAATAGGCGCTTTAAAGAAAAAGAAAAGGAAAAGATTTACCACAATAGCAATCCTTCTCAACACATTTAGCAGGTTCTATAAAACTGCAAATGCCTTCAATCTTCAGAGCCACAACGGGCTCCTAACGATGTGATAAAAAAGCACTCTTTGTGGGCAAATGAAGAGATTTGTTTTTATTTAACATTATGCTTTTTTCAAAGGTGCGGAAGAAAAGAAGGGCTTCCACACAGGACACTGGACCTCAAGGCTTTAGCTGGAGGAGTTTGGATTATCTGAGGCCAACAGCAAATAGCAAGGGCAGGAGTGCTTTCGACATCTCTTTTCCAAGGTAGGAATTTAAACATGACACCGCCCCCCCCCTTTTTTTTAATTCTTAGCAGTGCATCCATTTCTGAGGCACATGTTAATCACAATAATATTGGCACTCAACTTTTCTTGAGTCATTTCTGCGTGTTGTTTTAGTAGAAAACTCATTAGAACATTTCACAAATGTATTTATTTGTATTTCAATAAAATAAGTGGAAGGGGGCCATAAAAAAGAAGTTATGTAAAAGAGAGGATTTTTTTTTTCTTTTTTTACTTTGAAGTGACTTAATTTTGTGTGGTCTGGGATTTCATTACAGTAAAATAGCTCAGGCTGGCTATTCAACACCCAAGCAAATTATCAGCTGCCACAAGAAAAAGAAAAAAGAATGAATTTCTTGATTTTCAGCAACTGCACAAAAGACTAGCATATGTCAAAATGCTGGACCAACATCCCGTGAATGTGGCACCATTCATCAAGCCTCCATCTAGTGTCACTTTTGCCAGCAAAAAACAAGGCTGCTCTGCTCACCCTCCTCACTGGCTTGTGCAGAAGACGCAAGAAATGTGTCCTTCTCTTTCCACGCGTCTCCAAATAGCCTGCTCTCGGCACTTTTTACCCACGCCCTGGGAAACATACTTGCTCAAGGGAGGCAGTCAGCACACGGCGTTTCTTGGGGAGGGATGGAGCAAGAGGGGGACCGAGCCTGAGCACATCTCCCTGACATTTGGCTCCCTGGGACCGGAAGGAAGCTGAGTGGGATCAGGGAGTAGGGACAGGACAGAGCACACAGGACCTCAGGCCAAATGGCCTGAGTCAAAAGAGTGCCGCACAGGACCTCAGGCCAAATGGCCTGAGTCAAAAGAGTGCCGCAAAGTGACAAAGCATACTCACGGCAGCTGGATGACACAGACATTCATTCCTAGTGTCTTCTGTACCCTTCCCCATTAATAAATACAAAAGTGTATCTACAGCTAACACCGTCTTCAGAGAAAGATGCTCAGCCGGTATCAATAACTCAACCATGTGGTGCAGGGTACAGTCCCCAAAGACCATTTACTTTCTCCTTGTCCTCCCCAGATGTGAAGCCAACATTAACCTCGAGGCCAAAGTCTTTGGAGAGTTTCAGCTAAAGGTGAGGCCTAACCAGGCAGCCAGAAGGTCCATCCTTAAGCCATGGGAGATGAAGGAGAGTCTCCAACGGACAAGAACCTGACCCCCTCCCATTCCCTCCCCCATATATTTTTTCCTGCATTGTCTTATCTATGATCTGTGTTTAGTTACAGCTTGTGAAACTCCCCTGAGTTCTAAGGCAAAGGATTGGAGATTGCTAAACTGATTTTTAACGGTTTTCTGCAGCTCAGAGACCACCGTCCGGCCCAAGACTTCGAGGTCACCGTGCCTCTTCATCTCTGAGTGGTCCAGTGAGCTCGCTGCCACTACATGCTTACAACTGGCTCGATTCAAACATTAAATGAAGTAGAGAAATCATCAGATAAATTGCTGGCCCTGTGTACTGGAGAGTGAAGGCTCTTTCTCCAGCTGACGACAGCGCTAGGCTTTTGTCTGACCTAATTTATTTCTCTTTCAGGTTAGAATAAAGCACTCTTTCCTGTCGCAGGGTAACCTCTTCTGCTCATATATTGAACTCTAGCATAAGACTCAGGGTGCAGTCTGCAGATTTCTTCAACTTGGGAAAGAAGACATTATAAATCTAGAAATCCTATGATCAAAAGCACATATATTCCCCATCACTAGATTACATGTTTAGGGGAGAAATCCTCTCATTAAAAGCCATCCATAAAGGACAACTGTTTGGGGTGAAAGATGTGATCAAGACTGGCTCTAGCAATCACATACTCTTTCCAAACAAAGTTTTACATGTTATTTGAGTCGGCATTTTAAATCTTTGGGGAACGGTGCTATTTCCCTTAGTTCAGTGGGAACATTACCTAATAAATGGAATTGAGAATCCAAGTGTCATAAAATTTGAGCTAAAAGGATTTCCATTCATCAAGCTGTTTTAGGTACACGACTCCCAAAAGCAGCAACTCTCGACTGTTCCCTGGGTCTGTGACATGCAAGACAGAAATGAGCAGTACGCCTTCCCCAGACCTCCCCAGCCCGATCACCAGCGCCTTAATAACGCAGCAGAATTTTCAGAACGTCAAGACCACGGACGAATCAGGGAAAACACACCCATTCAAAACTCACAATTTTAATTGTTAAAAAAGAAAGAAAGAAAATCAAAGAAAAAGAAAATGCCCCCATCTGCCAAGTGAGGGCTTGTAAATCAATGGCGATAGCTTGAAAATAGATTTCTCAAACTTATATTCTCATTTTGTCCTGCACGAATCTCTGCTGGAAAATCAATATTACAACTTCACACTTAAGGTATTTTGCAGCAACGTAAACTGCCGCCGCTGCTGATGGAAGCCCGTTCCTAGCCCATTGTAGCGGAGGCGCCAAGCCATGACACGGGCACCGAGCTCCCCCTAGCTGCCAAGTGGCGCTAGGCGCGGCTCGGCGTTTCAGCTTGCCATCAACCAAAAGCCAATTCAACTGAAAGTTTATTTTGGAAAGTATTTTATCACAACAAGCAACAGAGAATGCAAAGCAATCGAGATAGGAGATGAAAAGGGGATAAGTGAAGGCTGGTGCAAGCCGTGTTCTAAGCTATAAGACAGTGCCAAGAACTCCATTCTGAGAAGGCGCTAGAAACTGGTATCTGTAAACGACTGTTTTCTGTGCTTCCGTCTCACCTGAGACACAATTCTAATTATTCTCAAATGCACCCAAAGTTGGGCTTCCCTTGGGTTGAGTAGGACCCACTTAGCCCTCCACACTGGTCACTGACACAACACACCCAACCAGCTAACCCAGCCTCGATGTCTCTAAGGCCGGCTTCACAAAAGCAACTGCATTCACCCCAGCACTTCAGAAATGCCTAGTTTTCTGTTATGAAATATTTCAAAGGCCAGACAAAAAATCGCCAAGGCCAAGCACAGGCAGATAGCAACCTCCCCATCAAAAAAAAAGAAAAGAAAAGAAAAGAAAAGAAATATGCATATGTACATCATATCATTCAGGTAGGGAAAAAAGACCCTTTAAAAATATTAGGGGCTGTTAAAATATGCTCACGGCTGTTTTCTCTCAGGTGTGAATTACAAATGAATAAAATCAGCCTGGCATAACACCTTTGGTGAACACGTTTTTATTCTCCCATTGAATCAGAGCAGCTGACTTATATCACACTTCTAATGATATGGGGTTCCCTTCTGTGCAGAAGGGAGAGGAACTTCACCCCCCCCCCACCAACTAACCAAAAAAAAAAAAAGAGGGCTATGTCTTATGAAATTTATCGGAGGCCCAATTCTGAAAGACATGTGGACCACTGGAGATATACTCTACCCTGGGGAGTTAAGATAATTGTGAGCACCGCTGCCTTCAAAACACACAGCTACAGCAAAACCTAATTCAAAAGGTAACCATGGAATTAACACAGTTAGCCTAACTTTTGCATTGAATCTTGCTTGGGTCTCTAGTTGTTTTACAAAATCGTGAATTCATACGGAAAATTACTAATCTTCCTAGGAAACCTGTTGGTGGGTTGTTGAGAAAATCACCTTGACTGGGGTTACGCAGTTTACCGTGGACATCTTATTTTCCTTGGTCTCTTCAGAAAGCATCAAGCTCCTTCTTGGATTTAAGTACTCTTCCCTTCACCCTGGCCCTGTCTGGCACAGCGGGCTCTGGCCCTTTCCTCTGCGTGGTCAGCCGATCCCCCTTAACCTCCCCTCGGCACGATTGCCACTGTGTTGTTTTGTGTTTGTTTTTTTATTAATAGCTGTGTCTGTCCTCTGCTTTTAAAAGCCATATCCATCTGGGTCAAACATTTTGAAGCAAACCAGAAGCCCAGGTTTCCATCACCAGCTGTCTCTCACTCTTTTTTACCTCACTCCTCTTGTCCCTGGCCCTGTCTGTAAATTTAACTAGCTCATTATGGAGCCCTTCTCAGACGCTCCCTCCCCCCTCTCCCCTCCCCACCGCCACCCACCCACAAAGACCATGCGTGCTATTTGTGTGCCCTCTTGTTTCCCAGGCCATCAGTTATTTGCAGTTGCATCATCCCTGAAGGACCTGAGGTTGCTGCCCCACAGGCCCAGGAGCTGCCACCCAACTGATAAAGATGTACCATGTTTTAAGGGGTATCTTTGGAATTTAAAATCTAAAATGTGAACTCCAAGTAGAGGATGCGACAGCACCCGCTTTGCCAGCCAGGGCTCCAAAGCACCCTGAGTCCACGGCTCCTGCATCATTTGTGGAGAGGCACTTCCAGAGGCCAGAGAGGCTAAAGTGCACCCCATTCCTGCCTTTCCCCTGCTTGCTCTCCCACCTCCCTCCCAGGTGACACAGGACAGACGAAAAGCCAGCTGCTTTTGGATAATAAATAGCCTTGTCTGAAAACTGGTTGGACCACTCTCCTAGCTTAAACCTGTACACATAGCCTGGGCTCCGTGTGCCCCTCAAAGGCAGGCCGGCTTTCCTTTGCCCTCTGGTCTCCTTCCCCTTTTTCTCTCCACCTCTCTTCTCCTTTGCCTCTCTCTTTTTCCCTCCCTGCCACTGCTCCAGTGTCAGCTGGCTTTCCCCAGCGTGGCTCTGAGCAGGGCTGAGCGAGACAGGGAACAAATGAAGGATGGGAAAGTGCTGCACCAGGCACCCCTCACCCCCATGCCCAGCTGCCACCAGTCCTCTGGCCAGGGCTCTCGCCTGATGTCCCAGGAATGCCAGGAGAAGGAGAGCCAAAGCAAAGCGAACCTACCTGCTTCTTCCCCTTACACACAACTGCAACCACTCCTGGCTCGCCGCTGCTGCCAGCTTGGCAGTGCACCCCCATCCACTCCCCCTTCCCCGACCCCCCCAATTCCCCCTCCTCAAAAACAACCCTTGCAATTATACAGAGGCTACGTGGGGCAAATTGCCTCCTGGAGAAATTAAGCCTCTGCAAGTATAGACGTTTTAACAACCACCCCATCTAAAGGGGGAAGGGTGTAGAATAAGCGATTGCTGTGGCTTGGTAAAGGATCGAAATGTCAACTGGCAAAAAAGACCTTGATCAAACCAAGCTCAAATCTAGCTGCAAAACATTTTGTTTTAAACGCAGCCGGCGAGTCTTCTTTGGTGTTACAACGGCGAAAAATAAAAGAGAAGTCCTCTTCCCTTCCTCCAAAGAGGCATCCCTCTCCCAAGGCGAATCCCACTTTAATTTCTATTCCCCCCCCCCCAAAAAAAATCATAATAAATCCACAAATTCTTACTAATGTATCTGCTGTAACAAAGGAGAGATGGCAACAGCAATTGCTCCGAGCAGATGGCTCCTATGCTGGGTTTTCAGGGGAGGGGAGAACCACTTTATATATTTATTTATTTATTTAAATTTTTTAAAATATAACATAAATATTCGGCTCTCGGCCGCCCGGCAGCCAGTCCTCTGCGGTGACTGGGCGCGCAGCCCTCTCGAGCTCCGCGCGGGCAGCCCGGCCCCAGCCCGGCGAGGTGCGCGGCGGATTGCAAGCATATAACCTGCCCGCGGTCTCGATGGCACCCAGAGGATGTTTTATTTCTATTGCAGTTAAAAAAAAAAAAAAAAAAAAAAAAAAAAAAAAAAAGGAACGGCGACCCAGGCACCGCGAGAGAAAGAACGGCGGGGAAATGTTCGCGCGCAGCGAAGAAGCCGCCCCGCGGGCTGCGGCGGGCGGGGAGCGCCGCAAAGCCACCTTCCCGGTGCAAGTGTGCGGGGACTCGGGGCGGGTTCCCCTGCAAACACCGTACCTGGCCCGCTCGCGCTCGCTTTTCCCCTCTGCTAAATAAACCCAACAGGGACGGTGGAAGCTGCTGCTTGTCTTGCCCCGCTGCCTGACTTTGCCCGCCCAGCCACATGCTTGAAATCGACACGATTTCAGCCGGTGGATTTCCACTGCGACCTGCCTTGTTTATTTAGATAGGAAAGATGAAAGATACTGAGATAGAAAGATGGATACGAGATTGATGGGTCTCCTTTTTTTCTTTTTTTTCTTTTACTATTTTACAAGCGCATCACTCTCTTCCCACTCCTAACTGACAACCTTTTTTTTTTTCCTCGTGGCGGGGATTTTTCACCAACCCCAATCCCCCCACCTTTTTTGAAGTGGGGGAAAGAAGACAAGATCATCCCAGGAGACAGACGGAGGTGGGGAAGTGGGGGGTGGGGAGGGGGGCTTGAGCCCGGCAAACAGCCGCGCAGCTGGATTATTTTGCAAATAGCAGGAGGAGGGGAGAGAAAGGCGGCTGCGGAATCCTAGGACTGGCGCGGCCGGCACCCTGCTGGGCCGGGCGCAGGGACCGGGGACCCGGAGCCGGCGGCCGCCCCTGGCCCTACGGCTCCCCCAGCCGGAACGCACCCCGCTCTCCTCCGCCCGCGCCGTCAGCGCGGACCCACGCGCTCGCCAACTTTTCCCCACTTCCCGGCTCCCCCTCCCCCTCCGCTCCCCCAGCCCCCTCCCCCTCCTCTCCAAACCCCGCCACCAGCGCCGCCGCCGCCACACACGCCGCTCGGAGGGGCGAGCGTCCAGCCGGGCTCGGCGCGCACACACACACACTCCTCCAGCCTGCATGCCCCCTCCCCGGCCCGGAGCCGGCTCCGCAGGCCCCCGAGCCCGAGGCGCGTCCGGCTGCTCGGCGCCCCAACTCCCCGGGCTGCAAAGAAACTTTCCTATGGCCCCCGCCCCCCGCCATGCTCCAGGCCGACGCCGTAGACTCTGCCAGCCAGCGGGCGGCCCCGGCGCCTGGCCAGGCTCGGCTGTTCCGGGCTCGGTGTCCCCAGCCCCAGACGCCCGGAGCCCCATCTCCGGCCCCTCGCGCGCACTCCGCAGACACTTACGGGTGATGAGCTCCCTCTGGGACAAGTGCTGCGGGTTGCCCTGTTTGCGGCGGGACATTGCCCCGGCATCTATTCTGGCATCGCCCGGAGAGCTGCACTGATGGGGGGAGCCGGGGGAGGGGGTCCGAGCCGCCGCCGCGCCGCTGCCGCCGCTGCCGCCGCCGCCGCCGCCGCCGCACCTCCTCCTCTGCCCGGGTTGGTGTTTTTTTTCCCTTCCTCTCTTTCCCTCTCTTCCTCCTCTTCTTCTTCTTTATTTTGCTCTTTCTTCTATGCTGTTTTTTGTTTTGTTTGCAAAAAGAAAAAAAAGGGAAGAAAAGCAAGAAAAACCTCTCGATCTAAAATAAGAAAAAGAGGCAAAAAAAAAAAAAACTGCTGTTGCTTTCCGCGGACTGGCTGGTTTCTTTAAAAATATATTCTTTCGAAGGAAAAAAAATCTCTTACACTTCTTCAAACTGCTTGGCCTCTTGCACTTGCAAATGTCTTCTTGAACTTAAACTGGGTTTTGCACCGGCTCCTGACACTTTCTTTCAGGGTCTGGTAGGTGGAAAGCGCACTTCTACCAGGAGGGGAAAAAAAATGCAAACAAATAAAAAAATAAAAGAAGAAAAAGCAAAGGAAAAAAAAAAGCAAAGAAAACTTGGGGACTTGTCTCGTACCCCCTCACCCCGCCCCCTCAAAAAACCCAAAGCAATGTAAAACTGCCCCGGTTCGGTTGTTTCTGGGTTTTCTGCGGGCTGCCTGTTTTTGTTTTTGTTTTTGTTTTTTCTCGGAGACTGACCCTTCCGAGGCTCTGGGGGGACACCAGGAGAGGCTCCTTCCCAGTTCACCTGGCAGGCTGGCGCCGGCCGGAGGGGCTGCCGAGTCCCCGCGAGCGCTCCCCAGCGCTCCCCTGGCGCCGCGGGCCCGGGGGGAGCGGGGCGGAGGGGCGGCTCGCCCAGTGCGCCTGGGTCGGTGCGGGCGCAGACTGGGAGCTATAGATTGCAACGTGAAGATGGCGGAGTCCGGGTTCTCTGGGAGCTCTCGGTCTCTCTATGGCTGGGGCTGCCTCTGTACAATGGGATAAAATTCAAGTTCAAGTGCGGACGTGACGTTTAATCTGCACTAGAGACAAAAAGACCCAGAGAGTCGGAGCACTGGGGGCGACTAGCGGTGGCTTTTTAACATTGTACCCTGTAAGAGAACAAGAAAGCACACACAGAGACACACTCGCGCGCGCGCGCACACTCACACACACACACACACAGTCGCCAGTTGCGCACACCCGCAGCCCAAGCCGGACACACGTGCAAACCGCGTTTTTGTGCGCTCATCTCCCCCGAGCCCCGGCTGCGCAACAGCGGGAGGGGGTTGGGGGGGGCCACTGGGCAGCTTATTTTAAAATAAAAGAAAAATCGTCCTTATATCTCCTCCATCCTGGGAGCAGGACCCCCTGAGAAGGGGGGCGGGGTGCTGTGTGAGTGAACTAAATTGAATCAATGCAAGTCTCCACCCACCCAAAAGCTCTTTCGGACTTGGACTTTGGGGGTGGGGGCGTGGACTGTGGAAAAGGGTTGGGGTCGACATGGGAGTTGGGGGGACAGTAAGAATCGCTTCGTTTCCCTGGAAAAGTCGCTTGGTAGTTTTTACTTTTGTTTTATGGTCGCGGGCGGCGAGGGGAGGGGAGTAGATGTTGGAGTTCAACTTCCAAAAAGTGTCTCCATATAAATCCTGGTATTACAGACTCTGGGAGGGTGAGGATGACAAAATAAACGACACTAAGACAACAGAATCAAGAGCACGTGAGGGGGTGAGAAGTGTTTGAGACCTTGTTTGAGTCCCACTTGGAAAAGGATTTTCACTCAAATCTTTGTCCCCTCCCCTCACCTTACCCCGATTAACTCCTGGGGTCAAACACGACCCCACCTCCTAAACTGGGTCTATGGCAAGCGAGAGGGTAAAGGGACCGGGGCGCTCCACGTGGGAGAGGGACTTGGACTTGCCAGCCCAGGAGTAGGTGTGGCCAAATCTCCGCAGATACTCGGGTGGGTGACTCCAGGAGGCGCCCCTGACAATCACAGCAACCTGGAAGTCACACCCCGCCCCCCGCGCTCCTCGGCCCAGGGTAGGACTTGGAAATGCCTGTCAGACTGGGAAGGACGCAGCTGCCTTGTCAGCCGTTTGATCTCCAACCGGCGAGGACAAGAGGAGTTGTGGGGCCTCTCCGTGGCCCGGGGACAAGGCCAGACCACGGCCCCCGTGGACACCCCCCATTCCCCAGGCTGTGGCCAACTTTGTCAATTTGATGACCTGGCCTCCAGGGCTGGGCGCGCCACGCGGCTGGCCTCCTCTCCCTTCTCAGGGTTTCTCTGGAGGCGGCCAGGGCGGGTCGGGGCCTGGCTCCGGCTAGGCTTCGCGGGCGAGTCCAGCTGCACCCACCCCACTCCGCCCCCAGGCCTGGCTCCGGCGGCTTCACCCGGGCGCATGGCGAGGCCGTGACGCCTCAGCGCCGCCTCCCTCGGGGCCTTTTCCTCGGGGGGCACACGGGGGTTTTTGTTTTCGTCCCGAAGGTCTTGGGTGGGGCGATGGCACCAACAATTTAACAGCGCCCAGAGTCCGTGAGCGAGAACAGAAAGAGATCCCTTCCAGTCCCATACCCTAAAAAATAATAACAATAAAATGTGCCCTGGCTTGCAGTTCTGTAAACTGTGGGCTCCACGGTGGGCGGACGCGAGGCCGAGCGGATGGAGACCGGGGGCGGGGCGCGGACTTGCACCTCCTCGCCCTGGCCGGGCAGGCTGCACCCGGCTGCCCACCCCCAACACCCCACCTCCACGTGGTCCAAAGTCTAGTAGGGCCTCCCTCTTCTGCCATCCCTCTCACCGGGAAAATCTTTCCAGGAAAGTGGCTTAAAAAAAATATGCCCACACGCACCTTTAATAAACTTCTTTAAGACATTCATAAACTGGCCATCCCTACTCGCCCGGACTCTAAATTTGAAAGATCAACTCGCGCTCTCTTTCTGAGAACTAGCGATGTGAAGCCCAGAGAGGGTGAGCACTTTGCCCTAGGACACACAGCGCGTCAGGGACAGGTCTGGACCCAAAACACCGCGGCGTGCCTGCAGCCCAGCGCCGCCGGCGGTCCGGGACTCGAAATCCCGACCCACGACCCTCACCTTCCTGGGGTTGATTACAAGGAAGGCAGACCCCGCCAGTGGCAAGGCGGGACGGGGAGGACCCCTCAGGAAAAGGGAGCCCCTCCGCGAGCGGCGCAAGGGCTCTCGGAGTCCCAGCTGCAGCCGCCACCCCGCGTGCGGTAAGGGGCCGTGCCTGGGGAGGGGGCACCCCCTCCCCACTCCCAGCAGGAAGTAGCTGGCGTGGGCCGGCGCGTGCCCCACGGACCCGAGGAGCACTTCCTCATTGGCCCCGCGCTGCCCCGACGGCGGGAAGAGGGACGCGCGGGCGGGCGGACGCAGGGCCGGACACGCCGCCGCCCGCCGGCGCGCTCCACCTCGCGGCAGCCGGGGAGAGGCTGCTCTGCCCCTGCCCAGCCTTGAGCCGGCCCCTTCGCCCTCCTCCTCCCCCTTTTCCTCCGCATCTTCCTCCCCCTCCTCCTCCTTCTCCCCCTCCTTCCCCTCCTCCTCCTCCTCCTCTTCTCCCGAGAGGCGGCCGGGCGCAGGCAGGGAGCGATCCCAGCTGCCACTCCAGTCTCCTCTTTTTCCCTCTGCCCGTCTGGCACGGGCCTCATCAGCGCGCAAAGCTGTTAATGTCTGGTCTCACAGCTCCCCCTTTAGTCTTGCTGCGCTCCATGTCTCACGTTCCAAGCCGGATCAATAGCCGCCTCTCGGCCGACCTTGACCTCTCCCTCGACCCTGCCAGGCTTCCGCAGCTGGCCCCGTACTAATGTTTCCCCACTCTCTAGATGCCCAGACAGCAGGCGGGGCGGGAGGGGGGTGGTCGACCTCGGCCCACAGCCATGTACCCACCCCTGCCTCAGCACCCCAGGCAGGCGAGAGGGGGCTTCAGGACTCTCCTGAGAAGGTCACTGCACCGCCCCACCGCACCCCACCCCACCTCTTCTTCACCAAACCTTTGTTTAAAATACAAGTCACTCCTGCCCCCTCCCCACCCCCAAAAAAGAGGGTGCAGGTGGCTCACATATGAAAATGTAAAAGGAAAAAGTGTGGGTCCAAATGTGGTCCTGAACTAATATCTTAAAACCAGGTTCATTTCTCTAGCACCTGCTGCAGACCTACTGTGTGCTGGGCCCAAAGCTGGGGCTTTGTGCATGCTGGAATCACATGGAAATAAATGCCACCTTTTCTGCACTATCTTTACACACACACACACACACACACACACACACACACAGAGCAGATGTCAAAAAGCTTTTTGAACTCACAAATATTTCCCTGCTATTCTTTTTCTAGCTTCACAGTGCATTCCAGCAGATAATCCTCCATATTCTCAGTCACTTTAAATTTCTTTATAGAGGAATAGTTCAGAAATCAGAAATCATTTCATCAAATCAGAGTGCATTTTTATTAACCTTATGTGGGGCTTTAATTCCCTGTGTGTGCTGCGTGTAACACACCATGCAGTGGGGGCAGATTAAACAGACACGTGACCCCCAAGCCAGGCTTTTTGTTTAAAATTCTTTGAACGATTCTCAATACTTAACTCAGCTGAGGTTGGACTCTATTCGAGATCCTACAATGTTATCTTTGCCTTCTGAGCTGTTATATTTTATCTCTTATGTCTTTACAAAAATTTGGAAAGAATCAAGATAAGACGTGTCAGTAGAAATGGGAAGTCCTAATGTTTCTGCAGAAAGAAAACTGACATTTCATTTGTTTTTGTTGTTTTCTTTTTAACACAGATCCACCCTCTGAAACGCAGTCAACTTTGTAGCAATTCAACAGCACATCTTACCAAATTACTTTGGGCTTCATTTTTGGTGCTTTAAAACAAAGAAGAAGAAGAAGAAGAAGAAGAAAACCATGCAAAGAGAGGGCAAATCGTTTCATATTCACAGGTATAGGGCAGACTCAGAAGCAACCCCTGTCTGTTCATTTCTATTCCTCCGGATCTATAAGTGTTATTGACTGAGAAGATGAACATGAATACGATGTTCCGATCTGATCAGTGGATGGACTTATTCTAACTTGTGAGGAAACCACAGTGGAGGCACCAAGCAAATCATATTTATGTACATATTAATAAGGCTCCCAAGGTGGTCCTTATCTCTTTCCTTACAGTTCTAGAATCTTTAGCAGCTATCAAATCCAGAGGCATAAAAAGACAAAAGAGGCCTTTTGGGCTTCCTGCTGTATCTTCTAGAATTATTTTATGTCATTTCTGAAAATTACAGCAAATTTCTGGGAGCCATAAGCACTCAATTAAAGCTTTGCTGGATTTAGAGGAGTTTTTCACGTTGTCACCTGATAGCAGAGTCAGGACCACAAAACTTGCCTTTCAACAGTTGTTTGGTTGATTCTTTTGGTGTACTGAATTTAACAACATTGCTTTTGTTAAAACATGACATCATTGGCACCTTATTTTTTTCTGCAAGTAATACCTGGCCTTGATACAGTAGTACATTTCTGACCATTGCTTAACTGTATAAGGCATAGGTAAGCTGTAGGAAAACTGAGGCATCATTGCCGGCTGCCTTTGTATCTGCAGCCTGCAAGGGGTTAAATAAAATTCACTGTTCCTGATTCATGTATTATTTTCCTTAAAAAATACTTACCCAGCTCCCCGTATATGAAAAGGACTCACACCCACATTGAATGTTCCTAGCTCTGTCCCTGTCATCAGAAATGATATTGAATGGCTCAGTACTAGGGGATCTGGAACTATTTCTACAGCTTTCTCACCTCATTTGGAATTTTCTTGTCTTGCTAATTTTAATTCTTTAGTTGAGTCATCAATTCAAATTTGGTAGGGACTGGCATCACCCAGTTGGTCGACTTGGGAGAAATATCGTTCATGAAGATGATCAGACTGCACCAAATTCCACCCCCACCCCTCACATATACAGAGATCCGAGCGGCTGTGGTGTGAGTGCACGTGTGTGTTTGTGTGTGTGTGTGTGTGTGTGTGTGTGTGTTATGCAAAAGGGTCTCTCTGCTGCTTTCTCTTTTGTCACTGAGTCTCCAAATTGTGTAACTGAAACTGCAAGGAAGACCGTTTTCCTGAAGATGCTGAGAGCTCTGTTTTGAAGACACACACATATCCGTGAGTTTGAATTCAGTGGTCTATTGACCATCCATCTGCCCTTTGTAGAGAACAGACAAGGAAAATAAAGAGAGTTAAAGTGGTTCAAATGAGGGACTCAGAAAGGAATTTTCAGTTCCGACTCTGGCTGTCAGCTGCTGTCATTGAGACCGAGCAACAATGAGGTGTCTGGTGATAGGAAATGGGGAGGACTAGGGATGGAGGCAGTAATGATCACCTTCCTAACAAGGGTTTTATGAGGCTGTGAGGATTAATTAGTTTGTATCCTTAAGCAGTTTGAGAAAGATGAAGTTTCAGTAAATGCTAAGCTGGAGTTGTAGACATCTGACTCAGTAGAGAGGTCTCCCCCACCCCCAATCCCAGGCTTTGAAAACTCCTATCTGTGCTGTGATGCACTACAAAGGAAGTGAGGGGGAAGCAAGCACTCACTTATGGAAGAACAGAGAAGGAGAGAGAGACATGAGTCAGGCTAGCATCCCTCCAACAGGCTCGGCTAATGAGGATGCTGCAATGGGGGCGCTTACCAAAAAATAAAAATAAAAACCAGCCAACACCTTGTTTCAGATATGCCTTCCAGAGCTAGGAAAGAGAGCTCTGGGGGAGCTCATCTGTTGTTTTGTAGTTTTAGAAACAGCCACGGATGCTTTCGAGTGAATTCAACAAAGGTAGTTTGTATCCTGGAAAACACGTAAGTGGTTTCTCTCTATTTAATAGAGAAGGGTTAAGGTTGCAAGCTGACAAACGAGGCTCTACACCACAAAGTTTTAACTGCAGGCACATTATTGAAAATGAAATCATATTTCTATAGTATGTGGAAGTTATGAAAGTTGTTCCATTATGTACATATTAAAACATTGCCTCTGCTTGAAGATGCACTTTCAGCTTAATTTACAAGGCAGACAATTTGCTACAACAAAAGATAATTAATGCTGCCCAGGGAAAACCGAGACACTGGATTGCTGTGCATTCTGGTATTAGTTTAATCTGGATCCTTTTATAAAAATGATTTCACTGTGATTTCAAGCCTTTGGAATCACTGAAACAAGAATAGCTTCTATAATATGGATGTGGCAATAACATTTCCCATTTGAACTTGTGACAAAGCCCCTCTGCCTGCCTCTCTCTCTCTCTCTCTTTCTCCCCCGCTTCTACCCACCCCGCCGGCCCCATCACACACACACACACACACACGTATCATGAAATTAACACTAGACAGGAGCAAAAAAGATCATCTCTGACCACTCTGATGATCTGGATTCTAAATAAGGCAGATTTATGGTCAATTATTTTAAATCTGTATTTGGACCTCTGGATTCAAATGGGTAGATTCATCAGCTGTTGGGATTCAGCACAGGCATCTGCAGTTTCATTATTTGTATCTGCTTAACAGGAACAATTAGAGACTGAAGAGTGAGGACGCCTGTTTGGGGACCGGTTTGGTATTGTACCCAGACCACACATTCCGGCTGGGAAGGAACACAGTAATGTATAAAGCATTAGTGGATTTAACGCTCTGCATTGTGCTTGGGGAATCGAATTGTTGATGTTTCTGGCAAGAACTCATACTCCAATTGAAATCTATCAAACACCTTAATTAGCTCCGGGTACCTAAATGCACCCAACCAAGAGGCAAGTTGGAAAGCAGCAGAAGGAAAGGGCAGGAGCTGGCACAGAGGTGTCATGGGCCTCCCTGGGTACCTTCAGCACCCTGTGGCCTCACTTTCCAGACCGGAATACATGGGCCATGGTGGAAAGTCAGACAACTTGCAGCTCTCACTGCAGCAGCCACAGGGATGTGATTGAAGGTGTTTGGATGGTTTGACCAGTGTTGGCTAAGGGGATGAGAAGAGGCCGCAGTGACACAAAGCTGTTGCCGATAATAACTGGAGCCTTTTTCTGAGCCAACCGTTCCACCTGGACCTCAGTACAAATTATTGTTTTCAATTACCACCTGTGTATTCCTTCCCATGCAACTTATTGATGTAAAATTACAGCTACACCGGTATAAATAAGTTATGCTGCAGTTGTAAAATGGAAGAAATTTTGTTGTAGCAATTATGTTCAGCAAGATGACAAAATAAATTTCCAGAGCTGTGCCTGCAGTAACCTGGGGAATTTAAACCTCATAATTTCCATTCATTTCAGATAATTTGGAGTAATTTCTATATGTAATAACTTTGTAATGAAAAACACAGCGGTACTGAAGTGATTTCGCTCCGTTTTTTTCTCCTATGGTATACATGGCACAAAATAAATGATAAAAATAATATTTCCTTTTTATATGTGTGTGTGTTGAGTAATTCCTTCAGTAAAAATCATAAACTAATACCCAGACTAAATCTCTGTCCACAAAATGAAAAATAAATTGAGTTAAAGAAAGTGAAAAAGTATGAAGGGCTTTGGATGCTTTATTGTGACTTTATTGAATTGTTTTGTTCCCATGCTCCCTCTGATCCCTAAGGGTTACAGTTCCCAAGTAAGGGGCAAATGCAGGGGAGCCCCAGATGGCTCAGAGGAGGTAGCAGGGGGACCCCCAAAGGCCAGGAAACCCTCGCCAGATGGTGATTTCTCCCCAGAAGCATAAGAGACTCGTTCTCCTCTTGAGATGAGCATCTTTAACGGTTGATTTCACTGCGACTGGAAAGGACCTGGTAGGCTGGTCAGTGGTCCTGTCAGTTCTGACATATTTCCTCCTTTAATTAAAGACAAGGCAAGGTGGAGCACCAGTGCCCTGCCCGACCTATGACGGTGACACCTGCCACTGATGTATGCAGCCCCTGAATGCCACGATTTATTCATCGGAAGCTCCCACTGAGCTGTGAGAAGGTGACAGGAATTACAGCAGCTGCATTAGCTCCCAGATCCACGCGATTAGCCTCTGCCACTGCCACGGTGCACATCAAGGGTTTCCTCAAAGTGAAAAATCGAGGCGTCATTCCCTAAAACCTGCCTGCTAGTAGTCACAGCTAGTGACTGTCAGTAGCCTCCCCACCAGCCATGAGGGCTGCCTGCTGCCTTGAAGTAGAATGGCTCCCCTGCCCTGCAAACCCTGGCCTGCTACATGCTGCCAGGGTGCCCATCTGGAAGCTCAGGCTTTGGCTGAGTCGGCTGGGGAAAGGGCATTCATTTCTCAGGCTCTGTGGTCTCCCTGTCAGATGGGCTTCACCGCTCTGTATAAGCGGTGATGAGTGGGTCTTAGCAAAGCGCCTGGCCCGGTCTCTCGCCATGCAGCAGTCGCATCATAAGCATGGCTGTGATTTGTTCCTTCAACAACACACGCGGATGGGACGCCTGCTGTATGCCAAGCACACCATGGGGGACAGGGCCCAAAGATGGCAATATTGTGAGGTGGTGGTACTGAGGTTCCAAGTTCAGGCAAGCCTGAATCTGACACACCACCCCAGCTCCAAAGAACAGAGCAAGGGAAAACAAAAGTTGATGACATAGTTCAGCAATTATAGTAGTGAGAGTACAGCCCATCACATGGACTCATGGCCATGTGTCCCAAGTGCCATGGGAGCAAAGCAGCAGGGCTCAGGGGTCCTGAGCACAGATTGCAGAATTCTTCCAAGACCCTCAAGACCTACTCATTCAAAGAGACACTCTGTCTAATTACATTGTGAGGCATTTATCTTATCTAATCCTCAGAAGAGAAAGACTTTCATCCCCCTTAGACAGGAAACCCGAAGTCAGCCACCACGAGGTAGAGCCCAAATCACCCCAGGTCTGTCTCTGTGTATAACCACTATGCCGTCCTATACCCAGGTTGGATTTCCAGCCATCCTGCAAGCCAATAACAGGCAGCTGAAAACATCACCAGATGTGGAACCAGAACAGCAAAGACAAAGTCAGTGCTGGATCGAGACATGGAGGAAGGAAGAGAATTACAGAGAAACAAAGTTTGCATTAAGGACACAGTATACTCAGTTAGTAGAAGAGATTTTGTTTGTTTGTTTGTTTGTTTGAGACAGCAAAATCCAACAAGACACACCACGGTTATGAAACCAGATAATTGAGGCAGAGAGAAATGGGGTGGAGAGAGTGGGGTAAGACAGACGTTTCTGCTGGTAAAATTTGAAACAGACAAACAACTCATGTTGGGACAGAGTTTTAGTGTACAAAGCCCTTTTGCTTCCCTGACTTGAGTTTGTCCTCCCAGCAGCCTGTGAGAAAAGCAGGACAGGGCACACACAGCTTGATATACGCCTCCGAGATCGCCAGGGTCAAGTCTCCGCTGCGCCCGCTGCTAGCTGCAAAAGCCTTCATGCGGTTTCTCTTCTCGACATCCCAGGTCCTCCTCTATCAACGCCTCTGTGAGCATCTCATCAGATGACCTCTCAGAAAGCCCCCAGCACAGGCCTGGCACAGAGGAGGCATTGAATAAATGATAGATATTATTATGGAGGCGTTTTACTCATGAAACAAGAGATTCACATTCAACTCAGTCTAAGGTACACACGTCAATATTTCAGGAATGAAATGGGAAATTTCCCCCAGATTTCACTGGTACATAATCGACTAATATTGATGAAGCATCTTGTCTCAGCGCTGCTGTAACAAAATACCTGAGACCGCGTAATGTATACAGAATAGATATTGCCGGGCGCAGTGGCTCATGCCTGTAATCCCAGCACTTTGGGAGGCCAAGGCGGGCAGATCACCTGAGGTCAGGAGTTCAAGACCAGCCTGGCCAACATGGTGAAACCCCATCTCTACAAAAATACAAAAATTAGCCAGGCATGATGGTAGGTGCCTGTAATCCCAGCTACTCAGGATGCTGAAACAGGAGAATCGCTTGAGCTTGGGAGGCGGAGGTTACAGTGAGCCGAGATCACGCCATTTTACTCCAGCCTGGGTGACAGAGTGAGACTCCATCTCAAAAAAAAAAAAAAAAAAAAAAAAAGAATAGACGTTGATTTCTCACATTTCTGGAGGTTGGCAAGTCCAAGATGAAGGCGTCAGAAGGTTCAGTGTCTGGTGAGGGCCCCAGCCTTTGCTGCCAAGATGGTGCCTTGTTGCCACATCCTCCAGGGTGGACAAACACGACAGCTTCACATGGCAGAGGAGCAAACAGGCCTAAGCTAGTTCCCTCCAGCCCTTTCTCTCCTAATCCACTCATGGGGCAGAGCCTCCATGACTCAGTCATCTCCCCAGAGGCCCTACCTCTGAATACCACCACAATGGGGACTGAGTTTCAGCGTGAATTTTGGAGGGGACACATTCAAATCATAGCACACCTACTTTGTGCCAAGGACCAGGCTAACCTTTGCCAATACCCAGAGGAAAACATTATAGTTGTTATCTGCTAGTAGCAGGTCACTGGGCTCTGAGCTTCTCAAAGCAGACAGTCCAGATCCTACCTTGTCTCCTGTGCCTGTGACGGGCACATAGGAGGGTATCAGTGACTGAGCCAGCTGGACCTCACTACAAGACCTAATACACAGGCAAACTAGAAAATCCAAGGCCAGCCGGGCGCGGTGGCTCTCACCTGTAATCCCAGCACTTTGGGAGGCCAAAACGGGTGGGTCACCTGAGGTCAGAGGCCAGAAGTTCGCGACCAGCCTGGCCAACATGGTGAAACGCTGTCTCTACTAAAAATACAAAAATTAGCTGGGCGTGGCAGCAGGCACCTGTAATCCCAGCTACTCAGGAGGCTGAGGCGGAGAATCGCTTGAACCCAGGAAGCGGAGTTTGCAGCGAGCCGAGATCTGGCCACTGAACTCCAGCCTGGGGGACAAGAGCAAAACTCCATCTCGGAAAAAAAAAAAAAAAGAAAGAAAGAAAAAGAAAAACCATGGCCATGGGACAAAAACTGCAAAGAAAGCTCTCAGGGTTCAGAGATGAGCATATGGGAGTTTGAGGGTGGGGAATCATTGTTCATTTTCTTCTCTCGGTCTCCACATTTTCTATAATCTGCATTTATGGTTTTTATTATCAGCCGCCAAAAATTAAAAATTAAAGGTTGTAGCGGCTGAACCTTTTGACTAATTATTCAGGAGGAAAATAATAGACTACATATGAGAAAAAGACCGGAAGGAGATTCAGAAATAACAGCAGCTATTGTGTGAGAATTATGAGATTAGGGGGGATTTTAAAAGAACTTTGTCTCCCACCGGGCGCGGTGGCTCATACCTGTAATCTCAGCACTTTGGGAGCCCGAGACAGGCGAATCACAAGGTCATGAGTTCAAGATCAGCCTGGCCAACATAGTGAAACCCCATCTCTACTAAAAATAAAAAAAATTAGCTTGCTGTAGTGGCGGGCTAATCCCAGCTACTCTGGAGGCTGAGGCAGGAGAATCGCTTGAACCCGAGAGGCGGAGGTTGCAGTGAGCCAAGATCACGCCACTGTACTCCAGCCCAGGTGACAGAGTGAGGCTCTGTCTCAAAAAGAAAAAAAGGAACTTTGTTTCCCAAACCCCCTAGAATGTCACTAAAGACTTGCTGTACATTTTTTTTTCTTTTTTGAAATGGCGTCTGGCTTTATCACCCAGGCTGGAGTACAGTGGCACAATATCTCGGCTCACTGCAACCTCTGCCTCCCAGGTTCAAGCAATTCTGCCTCAGCGTCCCAAGTAGCTGGAGCTACAGGTGCCCGCCACCATGACTGGCTAATTTTTGTATTTTTGTATTTTTAGTAGAGACAGGGTTTCCCCATATAGGCAAAGCTGCTCTCGAACTCCTGGCCTCAAGTGATCCGCCTGCCTCTGCCTCCCAAAGTGCTGAGATTACAGGCGTGAGCCACCGCGCCCAGCCTCGTACATTGTAATAAATAGTTTTGTAAAACTATTCTTTGTGAAAGAATCAAGGAGATGGTTGCCATGCTATGGTGTGAGACCATCCTGGGTGCAGGGAGGTCTGTGGGACGTGGTTGGATGAGACCTTCTTTAAGAAGCTGCCATGCTTTTTCCTTCCTTTCCTTCTGTCTGCAGCCCTCCATTACCTGGGACTGCACGCTAAGGCAAAGCTCTCTCACAGCTGCCAAACAGGCTGATTTTAAAGCCACCTCTGCTCGCCCTGCTGGGGCTGGCTAACCGGCTAACCAGCTACACAGAACCTGCTGGAACCTGGCCTTCCGTGGGGTGGGCGCAGGAAGCAGCTTGGTTAGGCTCTCTGCTGGGTGCTTGCGAAGCATGGAGCACTTTCCGACACTCACAGTGAGGAATGTCCTCTGGAAGCCTCCCCGCTCCCCACCTTCTGTCATGGGGAGATAATTCATTTATGCAGCGTTCACAGAAGACTGACATTTTCGACTTTTTTAGCAGAATAAATTTATAAGGTAAATTAGGGGGTGGGAGCCTTAGTGTCCTAGGCAGATTCAAACTGGTAATTACAGAGGACCTAATTATGTATTCACCACGGAGCCTTCTGGAACAGCGAAGGCTACAGGATGGCTCTTATTCTTCCTGCAGAGGACCATCTCCCCTGGAAGCTTCACAACCAACCTTTGAGAGCTGCGCTTCCAGCCCCGGGCCATGGCGGCAAAGCGCCCTTGTCATCGGCACCCACGTCCTGATATCTGCAGAGAACATCCTGTCCCTGGGCAGGGAGCCCCAGTGTCCCCCAATAGTTATGAGGTCAAATATTCTTCAGACCAGGAGTCCTGACTTGGATAAAGTAAAAGTCAAAATTACAAGGCAGGGTTTGGTTTTTGTTTTTCTTTTTCATTTTTGTTTTTCATTTTTTGTTTTGAGACAGAGTCTCGCTCTGTCACCCAGGCTGGAGTGCAGTGGCACAGTCTTGGCTCACTGCAGTCTCCACCTCCTGGGTTCAAGCGATTCTCCTGCCTCAGCCGCCCAAGTAGCTGGGATAACAGGTGCCCACCACCACACCTAGCTAAGGACAGGGTTTTTTTTTTAATCTGGTTCTGTTCGTTTTCCCCCAATCCCCCAGAGTTCTAGATGACATCGGCAGGCTGTGGTATCAGAAGGATCATTTCCACGGCCTTCTCTCCTGCTTGTCTGGGAGCTGCCTTCTCTCCTGCTTGTCTGGGAGCCACCTTCTCTCCTGCTTGTCTGGGAGCTCCTTGGGGGCAGGAACCGTGTCCTTTGCTTCTCCATCTCGTCAGAGCTCAGTTTGGGATCTGGCCTCAGTACAGTTGTTGAATGAAGGGGAGAATCAATAGTCAACAAAAATGCACAATGACCCTAGGAAGAGAAAAACCCTGGGTTTCGGCAAAGTGGTAAACTAAGAGACTCCCTTTCTCACCCAACACAGCGCCACGCAGTGTTTGAATACTTAGACACATTTTACATGCAAAGCCCTCCTTTCTGTGGCCTGTTCGCCCTCGTTTTCCAATGCCCTCCCTGCTCCCAAAGCACCTCATGGTTCACTTGGTAACTACATTGTTACCAAGCATTGTGCTCTGTTGTGGGTCAAATCATGCCCCCTACCCCCCCATAATATGTTGGAGTCCTAAGCCCTGTACCTGTGAATGTGCCTTAGGGTCTTTGCAAATGTAATTAGTTAAGATGAGGTCATCCTGGGTTAGGGTGGACCTTCCATGCAATGACTGGTGTCCTCCTAAAAACACAGCCATGTGAACACAGAGACACACAGGGAGGACGTCTGGTGACAACGGAGGCAGACACTGGACCCAGACAGCTGCCAGAAACACCAAAGAATGCTGGCAACCACCAGAAGCTAGGAAGAGGCAAGGAAGGATCTTCCCCTGGAGGGGGAACGTGGCCCAGAGACACCGTGATTTCAGACTTCTAGCCTCCCTAGTTGTCAATCAGCACCTCTTGTTTTAAGCCACCCAGCTAGCAATACTTTGTTATGCCAACCCCCAGAAATGAATGTGTGTGCCTGCCCTGTGCTGGATAATGAGCCGGGGCCAGGCCAGCAGAGCCAAGGTACCTGGACACAGACCCTGCCCTCGGGGGCTCAGGGGTCACAGGTCTTTTCTACGAAGTCGTAAAACACTGTGGAAAGTATCCCCAAGGCCGGGGCGCAGTGCCTCACACCCGTAATCCCAGCACTGTAGGTGACTGAGGCAGGAGGACCTTATGAGGCCAGGAGTTCAAGGCCAGCCTAAGCAACATTGTGAGACCTCATCTCTACAAAAATTTGAAAAGAAAATTGGCCAAGCATAGTGGCACAGGCCTGTAGTCTCAGCGATTTGGGAGGCTGAGGCAGGAGGATTACTTGAGTCCAGGAGTTCTAGGCTGCAGTGAGCTATAATTGTACTATTGCACTCCAGCCTGGGTGACAGACTCTGCCTTTAAAATTACATAAATAAAGATTTCCCTGCATTTCATATTTGCAAAGAGAATGTTGACAAGAACTGGTGGCCCTCCTTGTCAACCTCAGAAAAGAGCAATAATGCCTGGACTGTGAGTATCTTGAGGCCAAAACCATGGCAGGTTTGCCCTGAACTCCCACTCAGATGTCCCCTGCCACCCTCTTGTCCTAGCTTGGGACTTTGCACATAGTTTAAGCTCCAGTTATAAAGTCAGGGTTTAGGGGAAAATAATGCTTCAGTGGAGGAAATATTTAAGGGCTGAATATTTGTAGTGGCCTCAAATCACACCCTCCAAGTAACCACACACAAAGTTGACCCTAAAATAAGACTGCACCCCGGTGAAACTCTTCAGCCACTGAAGTGTTAGCTCGGTGTGTAGCTGGGTTTCATTTTCATTTTTGTGTTTAACAAATAAAGAATTAAAAACAAGAGAAACTATTAACTAACTACTAGTAGTAAATTACTGCACAGGAAAATGGAATTACATAAAAGACACATTTTTCTGGTGCTTACTGAAAACCCTCCTGGACATAATAGAGTGAAGAAGCCCCATTTTCCCTCCTCCCCCCAGCGCCCCACAAAATGAAATTATCTAGGCACATAGCTCTACCCCTGCTCCTGCACATGGAAGATGAGGAAGAAACCACTTTACCTTTCTGCCCCATGAGCCTCTTAAGAAAGCTCAGGCCTGGGGCAGGACGGGTTCCTGCTTGGCTCTGCTGCCTTCACTCCTGTGTGTGTGGCTGTGGGGGAGGTAAATTAAGAATTCACACTTCTGCAAAGTGCTGGGTTCACGCCCAACCACAGGCTTCTGCAACTTTGACCAAAGGCATGTATGGTGGGGTAGATGCGCCCTCACTCTTCATGGAACGGTCTCCCCCAGTTGACTGAGCCTTCAGCGGGAGTGAAGTCACAGGGCAGGGCTCACAGAGAGCTGACTCAGACCCAGGCTGTGCCTCTCTTATGCACCAGGCAGCAGCTGGACATTTGACATCCACTCTTCCTACACACCACACCGCCCCCCGGGTTACACATCCATCTCATTTTATAGGAGGGAAGCCAAGCTATGCGATTAGCTCAAGACTGCACAGGCAGTAGCAGCAGACGCAGGGTTCAAAGTCGGTTTTTCCAATGACACGCGTCCTGTTGTGTCTACCTCCTCATGTTAGGGTAACCCAGGCTGTGCTGCTACACAACTTAATCTCTTTATCTAAGAGGACTTCATGTCTAAAACACCAAAAGCAAGGGCAACAAAAGCCAAAATTGACAAATGGGATCTATTTAAACTAAAGAGCGTCTGCACAGCAAAAGAAACTACCATCTGAGTGAACAGGCAACCTACAGAATGGGAGAAAATTTTTGCAATCTACTCATCTGACAAAGGGCTAATATCCAGAATCTACAAATAACTCAAACAAATTTACGAGAAAAAAACAACTCCATCAAAAAGTGGACGAAGGATATGAACAGACGCTTCTCAAAAGAAGACATTTATGCAGCCAACAGACACATGAAGAAATGCTCATCATCATTGGCCATCAGAGAAATGCAAATCAAAACCACAATGAGATACCACCTCACACCAGTTAGAATGGCAATCATTAAAAAGTCGGGAAACAACAGGTGCTGGAGAGGATGTGAAGAAATAGGAACAGTTTTACACTGTTGGTGGGACTGTAAACTAGTTCAACCATTGTGGAAGACAGTGTGGCGATTCCTCAGGGATCTAGAACTAGAAATACCATTTGACCCAGCCATCCCATTACTGAGTATATACCCAAAGGATTATAAATCATGCTGCTATAAAGACACATGCACACGTATGTTTATTGTGGAACTATTCACAATAGCAAAGACTTGGAACCAACCCAAATGTCCATCAATGATAGACTGGATTAAGAAAATGTGGCACATATACACCATGGAATATTATGCAGCCATGAGAAAGGATGAGTTCAGGTCCTTGGTAGGGACATGGATGAAGCTGGAAACGATCATTCTCAGCAAACTATCGCAAGGACAAAAAACCAAACACCACATGTTCTCACTCATAGGTGGGAATTGAACAATGAGAACACTTGGGCACAGGAAGGGGAACATCACACACCGGGACCTGTCATGGGGTGGGGGGAGGGGGGAGGGATAGCATTAGGAGATATACCTAATGTAAATGACAAGTTAGTGGGTGCAGCACACCAACATGGCACATGTATACATATGTAACAAACCTGCACATTGTGCACATGTACCCAAGAACTTAAAGTATAATAATAATAAAAATAAATTCGAAAAAACAAGAAGTTTACACAAGAAAGGTTCACATGTCCTCTTTTGCCATAGGCTGTTGGTGGTCCTTCTATCCCTCTAGCCACCCCTCATGGCCTCCAGGACCTCCATGGCAGGGGAAGAGGGAGACGGAGGAGTCCCACTGGCTCTTAACTGCCTCAACCCAGAAGTGACACTCATCACCTCTATTCACAGCCCATTGGCCAGAGCCAGTCACATGACCCAACCCGACCTCCAGAGAAGCTGGGAAATGCAGAACAGCCCCCGAGTGTGGTTGGCAGTGCCCATTGGCACCATGTCCAGGAAGAGGGTGTGCACAGTTACTCCTTGTTGACTGAAGGGGCCTTCACTAGAAATTTCTTCACCAGTCAATTTGGGAATCAGGACCATGGGTCAACGGAAGTGCCCACACACCTGGATTTGTTACATAACATACGCAGGATCTTATTCTGAGCTGACTGAGGTTTTTCCCTCCGTCCTCTGAAGTTCACTGCTGGCACCATTCCTTTATCCATCACTCACTGTGCTTGCTCCCATCACACTGAAGAAGCATGGGGCTTTCAAGGTAATACAGAGGCAAGAATCTAGGAGACTTTATTCCTGGTTGTGCAATGTGCCCTCAGGAGCAAACCAACCCGCAGCATTTGGAAGTGAGCAGCTAGCTCCTTGGAAACAGAGGCTCACAGTGGGGGCCCCTCCAGTCCAGAAATGTGTCCACTTGACATGCCAATCAAAGGAGATGTTGGAACTTTGGAAGGTGTGAGGTAGGTGTGTGGGATAAGGTAAAAACACCCAGGCTTCACTTCAAAGCCCTCAAAATAGGGTTTGATGGATGGATTTAGAACATAGACTTTTTAAGCTGGAAGGAACCAAGAGATAATGCAGTCCACCTACCTTAGGAGGGAGTCTGAGGCCAGGGAGAGGCGGGGGAGGCACAGGACCGGGGTAGTGCCTGAGCCATGGGGTGGGCCCCGATGCCCTGACTCCCAGGCCCAGGAGGCAGAAGGGCTTCAATGGGGCCTTCCCGTCTACGTCCAGCCTCCTTTATTCTGAAGCAAAGCCAGGGTTCCCGAGCTCACTCCGAAGCCCAGGGACCAGGTGTAAGCCACATAGCTCCCTTGAAGCAGGTCCCGAGGATGGGCGAAGGGGGTTCCCCTCTGAGCTGTGTCTGTGGAGTCAGCCAGGAGATCTTCTCCTCCTCTGGCCTCTGCAAGATCAAACCTCCCTGGTAGTGTCGAGTCAAAAAACATTTCCTGAGCCCCTGCTATGTGCTAAGGCCGCTGGATAGGGATCAGAAAGAATTCAAATCGAGCTCAGCTGCTTCCTGGCAGTGTGAACTCAGGCAAGGCCCTTCAACCCCCCAGGGCCTCAGTTTCCTCCTCTGTGAGATGGAATCCTAGCGGGACCTCCCTCACAACGCAGTTCCAAGGAGGAACTGAGAAAGCTCAGGTGAAAGTACTAAGCTCAGCATCTGGGCGTGGAAGGCGCTTCACCTGTGTGAATGCAATCCCCATAGATAGCCAGTACCAAGTAGAACGCAGCGAGTTCTATGGAGACAAAGATGAGGGGTGTTGTGCAAATACACCAAGGAAGGCTTCCTGGGGGAGGAGGCCTCTTCACCTCCCTTTCAAGGCTCGGCCAGACATCACTTCCTCCAGGAAGGCTTCCCTCTGCAGGCTCCAACCAGGCACTGGGCCTCATCCATCACAGCACATCAGTCCCTGGGCTGTAACCCTGCAGGCCCCAAGCTGCTACTGAACTCAGTGGGTGCAGGAATGGTGTCTTCTTTACCTCTGGGACCCCACAGTGCCCCAGGACTTGGCATGTAAACAGCTCTCATTTTACCAGCTGTAATCAAGACACGCTGTAATTCCTCCATAGCTCCCCCAGGTACCAGCCTATTTCTCCAAGAAGAGCACATTTGTGACAGGGCTGTCTATGCTAACTCTGTTGGGTCTCTGTCTTCCCAGTCCCTGTGGAAGCCACCCCATCCGCCTTGGCTCTCAGGAGCCACCCAAGGGCCCTTGCCAAAGTCACCACTGGCCTCTCTGTTGCTAAGTGCAATGTCACCACGCAGTCCTCATCACCCCAGGCCCGTCGGTTGCCTGTGCCATGGCAGGGCGTTCCTCCTCTTTGCTGGGCTTTGAGGTGGCCACGTGCCCCTGGTTTTTTCCCCCATCTCACCGGCCAGAAATCTCTTTTCTGGTTCTCCCTCATCTCTCAACCTCTGGGCATAGTTCTGCCCCAGAGCTCATCCCTCAGACCTCTTCTCAACTTACACTCACTCCCTTGGCAATACCAACGTCTCATGTGGCTTCAAATGCCATCTACATGCCAATGTGTCCCCAGCCCCGAACAATGCTTCCATGTATCCAGCTACCTGATGGACTTCCTCACTAACAGTGGACTAACTCACTAACAGTGAGTGCCTAACAGGCCTCTCACTGTTAACCTCTCCAAGACTGACTTCAGAGCTCCACTCCCCAAATCTGCTCTGCCCACAGTATTCTCTAATTCAGAATATGGTCACTGCTCAGGCTAAAACCCTGAGAGTCAGCCCTGACCTTTCTCTTTCTCCCACACCCAACATCCAACCCCTCATCACACTGTATGGCTTCTGCCTTTAAAGTCTTTCCAGAACATGGCCAGGTCTCACTAACCCTACTGCCACCTCCCCAGGCCAAGAGCCTCCTGTCTGGTCTTTTTGCTTCTTCCTTGAGGCTACTCTCAACAGTCAGTCTGATATTTTGAAGCATAGCCAGATCACAACACTGCTCTGACGAAAACTTTCTGTTACTCAGAGTAAAAACCAAAGACCCTATGATGGCCCAGAGGGTCCTAGGTCCCAGCCTCCTTTGCCTCTCTGACCTTAACCCCACCACTCTCTCCCTCCGGAACACCACTCCGCTGGCCTGTGGATTATTCTGCAACTCACAGGCAGGTACATGCGTCAGGATCTTTGCATCTTCTATTTCCTCTCCCTGCAATATGCTCCCCAGGTCATGGCCTGCTTCCTCTCCTCCTTCAGGTCTCTGTTCACATATTGCCTTCTCAAGGAGGCCTTCCTGGACCAGTTGATTTATCACTGAAACACTGACAACTTGGATAAAATGAACCAATTCCTTGAAAAATACCAATTATCAAAACTGACATAAGGCACAGTAGCTCACAGCTATAATCCCAGCACTTTAAGAGGCTGAGTTGGGAGGATCCCTTGAAGCCAGGAGTTCAAGACCAGCCTGGGCAACATATCAAGACCCCATCTCTACAAAATTAGCCAAGCGTGGTGGTGTGGACCTGTAGTCTCAGCTACTTGGGAGGCTGAGGCTGGAGGATCACTTGAGCCCAGGAGGCTCGACCGCACCACTGCACTCCAACCCAGGTGACAGAGTGAGACGCTCAAAATACACAAACAAACAAAAAACTACCATCAGAAGAAACAGAAAATTTTCAGAGTCACGTCTGTTTAAGATTGAATCTGTAATTTAAAACCTTCTTCCCCTCCTTCCTCTTTCTCTGCTCTCCCCAGCCCCCACCAAAAAAAAAAAAAATAGGTCCAGATGACTTCATTGGTAAATTTTCCAAATATTTAAGGAAGAAATACCAGTTTTACACCAACTCTTCCAGAAAACAGAGGAAGAAAAAACACCTCCCAACTCATTTTATGAGGATACAGAACCCCAAAACTGAAACCTGACATGGACGTTACAAGAGGCAGGTGGATCACTTGAGGCCAGGAGTTCGAGAACAGCCTGGCCAATATGGTGAAACCCCATCTCTATGAAAATTAGCCAGGCATGGTGGTGGGTGCCTGTAATCCCAGCTACTTGGGAGGCTGAGGTGGGAGAATTGCTTGAACCCAGGAGGTGGAAGCTGCAGTGAGCCGAAATCGTCCCACTGCCCTCCAGCCTGGGTGACAGAGCAAGATTCCGTCTCAAAAAAAAAAAAAGAAAAAGAAAAGAAAATTGCAGACCTTAATCTCTCGTAAGCATAGATGCAGCAATCTTAAACAAAATATTAGGAAGTTGAATACTGCAATGCACTGAAAGGATAATACATCATGACCAGGTATTGGGGGTTAAGGATTCAACATATGAATTTGAGTGGGACATAATTCAGGCCATAGCAGTCACATAAAAGGCTTGGGTGAGAAGGGGGTGAAATGTTCAAAATGATGGGGTCATAACACAGAACACTCTCTGATTATATTTTATATAATCCTGACCATGTTAATGTGTCACGTGCTCAAAGAAAAGAAAATGAAATCAACCAGGAGAGAGGAGAGGACCTGAATTAGAATACCAACAGACTACAGAGCTAAATTTCAAATAAATAGCATAACTGCTGCGGGGGAGAACTGAGTCACTTTTGAACATGGTACTTGGATTATATGCCCTCAGACACTAGACAAAAAGACCCCAAACAAATCTTGAACTGTCTTTAGTAGGCTTCCTTTTTGCAAAGGAATGGGTTAGCAATTCGGATACTCTGTACATTCTATCACTGAACAAATATGTGACTATGTTGTTGATCATGGAAGCCAGTCTTTTCACTATTGAGAAGGGAGTTACAAATATGCAAAAGGAGAAAGATAAGAGGTACCATGAGGTGTTGTTTGGAATTGGAGATATTGGTGTGAACTTATAGGTTTCGATATATAGATAGATAGATAGATAACAGATATATAGCTGATAGATAAATAGGTGATAAATATATGCTGATAGACCGATGATAGATACATAGATATATAGATAGATGATAGATTGATAGATACATACATACATACATAGGTAAATGATTGATAGATACACACATACAGATATGTGTGGATATGTGATGTATGTGTGTGTGTAAAATTTCCCAGTTCTGTCTGCTAAGAGGGCCTCGTAGCAATGAGCATATGTATAGACAAGATCTTGGTTTATAAATGTCATTTTCCACACAAAGGAACTGATGACTGATTCCAGGGCTGGAGCAAGGAATGTACAAGATGAGCTTAGAACATCTTGTAGCAAAATGTAAGGAAGTGCTCCAAAAAAAAAAAAAAGATAGAGGTATGTCAAAAAGGCACAAGAGCCAAACTAAAGAGGCTTCCACTGGCCAAATCTGGGACACTTTGAGTGTCAAAATAAACAATGGCAGTAAATGATTATAACCTATAGTATAAAGTAAGAATCTATGAATCATACTGATATAAATAGATGAATAAATAGGAAGAAAAATTATTTATTATAGTAGAAAGCCAACTAATAAAAATAGAACAAATGATAAAATTAGAAAATCACCATTTGGCAACCATAATAATAATTATAATAATTGATTCAAGCAAGAGTCATTAATAGATGCTAAAACTAGGAGATAAGACTTTGAGTAACAACAAGATATTTACATAGTCTCAAAGTATAGCCTCACATCATACTTTTCAATTACAAAGGATAAAATAGTGTCTACACTAGAGAGGCCTGACAGATGCCGTCTTAACCAAGTGATTGAAGTTATGTCACCAGCCATGGGACTAATGGGCCACACGTGCTTCCTGATAGGATGCACTGAGAACACAGCATCACCGCATGGTGCTCCGGCCAAAGGGCCTTAACTGAATCTACCTATGAGAAACCATCAGGAAACCCATCCTTGGATTCCAGGCCAGGCACGGTGCTCACACCTGTAATCCCAGCACTTAGGGAGGCCAAGGCTGGTGGATCACTTGAGGTCAGGAGGTCAAGATCAGCCTGGCCAACATAGTGAAACCCTGTCTCTACTGAAAATATGAAAATTACCCGACTCTGGTAGCACACACCTGTAATCCCAACTACGCATGAGGCTGAGGCACGAGAATCACTTGAACCCAGGAGGTAGAGGTTGCAGTGAGCTGAGACTGTGCCACTCCAGCCTGGGCAACAGAGTAAGACTCCATCTCAAAAAAAAAAAAAAAGAAAAGACACCCATTCTACAAAATAACTGGACCATGCTCTTCAAAAGTGTCTGTGTCGTAAAATATGAAACTAAAGAGGCATGACAAATGAGAGCAACAGATGACCTTGGGCTTTCTTGCAGTATAAAGGATATTATTGGGACAGCTGGTGAAACCTAAATAAGGAATAGTTTAGGCTACAGTTTTGTACCAATGTTAATTTCCTGATTTTGATCATTGCACTGTGGTTATGCAAGATAAATCCTTGCTTTTAGGAAATACACACGCTGAAATAGAGGCATCTTACTCTTAGATAGTTCAGGAGAGGGGGGGGGGAGAGAGAGAGAGAGAGAGAGAGAGAGAGAGAGAGAGAGAGAGAGAGAGAAAGCGTATGCAGTAAAGTATTCGCATTTGGGGAGTGATATGGTTTGGTTCTATGTCCCCACCCAAATCTTACCTTGAATTGTAGTAATCGCCACATGTTATGGGAGGGACCCGGTGGGAGGTAATTGAATCATGGGGTCAGGTTCTTCCTGTGCTGTTCCCGTGATAGTGAATAAGTCTCACAAGATCTGATGTTTTTCAGGGTTTTTTTGGTTTTTGTTTTTGTTTTGAGACAGAGTCTCGCTCTGTCGCCCAGGCTGGAGTGCGGTGGCGCCATCTCAGCTCACTGCAAGCTCCGTCTCCCAGGTTCACGCCGTTCTCCTACCTCAGCCTCCCAAGTAGCTGGGACTACAGGCTCCCGCCACCACGCCCAGCTAATTTTTTGTATTTTTAGTAGAGACAGGGTTTCATCATGTTAGCCAAGATGGTCTCGATCTCCTAACCTCGTGATCCGCCTGTCTCAGCCTCCCAAAGCGCTGGGATTACAGGCGTGAGCCACTGCGCCAGGTCGATCTGATGGTTTTTATAAAAAGGAGTTCCACTACACATGCCCTCTTGCCTGCCGCCGTGTAAGCCTTTTGCCTTCCACCACGATTGTGAGGCCTCCCCAGCCATGTGGAACTATGAATCAATTAAACCTCTTTCCTTTATATATTACCCAGTTTCAGGTATGAGACTGGGAGTGTGGATAAAGGACAATCAAGAATTATTTGGGCTATTCTTGCAACTTTTCAGTAAGTCTGAAATTATACCTAAAAAGGAATCAAGCAATAGAGTAAAATTGAAATCCCACTCCTGCCACTTCCTACCTCCTGCTTGTGTTTTGATTTTCTCTGTAGCAGTTATTGCCATATCAACATCATGCATTTTATTTTAAGGTTTTTTGGTTTGTTTTTTGTTTGTTTGTTTGTTTGTTTTTTGAGATGGAATCTCACTCTTTCGCCAAGGCTGGAGTGCAGTGGCAAGATCTCAGCTCACTGCAACCTCCGCCTCCCGGGTTCATGCAATTCTCCTGCCTTAGCCTCTCCAGTAGCTGGGATTACAGGCGCCCGCCACAATGCCCAGCTAACTTTTGTAGCCTGTCGTCACCCACCAGAATATAAACTCCAAAAAGGCAGAAAGTTGTATCTACATTGTTCATTGCTGTACCCAGCCACTAGAACAATAATTGCCACAGAATTTTAACAATATTTGTTAAATAAATGATTTGCACAGAGTTGTGCCTGAAGTATATCTGTTGAATGAATGAGTGAATTCATGGGGAAACAATCTCAAGTTGAACCTGAAAGATGGGGTCCTCTCTTGCCAAAGACATCTCTTAGATGAGGCGCAGTTCTGATGGCCTCAAGATGAATATTTGAAGGTCAGCCTTAACGGAAGTACCACAAGAGAGCATCCTCACAGCCTAACCCCGGAACTTATTTTGTTGTGCTGTGAACCCAACCTGGTTTTCATGAGTCTATTCCCACCCCCAACAGGAGTGGCGCTGTTGTTGGCATGGCCCCAAGAGAAATATGCCTGAGATGCAGTTCTCCTTAGCCCTCAGGGCCGAGAGGAGACGATTCTTCAGCAGCCAGTAGGACCCACTCGAAGCGCGTCACAATGCCAGGGTTATGAGTCAAAGCTCCCCAAGTATTATCGCTGCATATACTCAGTACTTCTTTTGCTAGGCAAGACTGGAGGGCAAAGGAAGATCCAAAAATGCCTGGTTTTTAACACAAGTTTAGGAATAACTTGGGAAGAGGCAAAGTGACTCCAGGGAACGAAGGCAGCAGAGAGAAATGCCTGATCCCTCCTCTTCCTCTCTCCACTCCCTCCCGGAAAACGTGGAACCATCTGTAATTCTTTGGCATCTAGGGTCAGTGTATCGTTATCATTCCTATCTCTTATTCTACAGCATGATTCTCTGACTCGTAGAATCAGGAAGCTCACCTGGGAAACAGATTCAGTTGATCTGGAGTGAAGCCCAGGAATCTGTATTTTTCACAAGATGAAAGATCAGATTTGAACCCAGGGATCTTGCTCAGAGTTCATGCCCTCAACCACTCAGCTCTGCTCTTCTAATTCTCTGGCAGGGCTACAAGCATACACAGGAAGAAGCTGCAAAGATGTCCACTGTAGCACTTTTCAATATCACAAAACCAAAAATGAACTTCATGCTTCCCAATGGAGGAGTGATTAATTAAATTCTAATGCAGTGGAACTTGTACTGTCAGCTATGACAGAGTAGCTTATAGAAGACCAAAATAGCTGTTAAGAACAACTGAAAAATCCAGAAAAAGTAAATTTTAAAAATCTTTTTTTGAAAGAATTGGGATCATAGGCTGGACCATATAGTGATTCTCAACAAATTTCAAAAGATTGAAATCATTCAGAGTTTGTTGTGAGATCATAGTGGTATTAAAGCCAGAAATCAATAACAAAAAGAAAATCAAAAACTAGTTTCCAAATGTTTGGAAATGAACTAAAACACTTCTAAATAACCAATTGGTCAAAGAATAAATCAAAATAGAAATTACAAAATACTTTGAATGAAAGGAAACCAAAATACAACATATTAAAATATAATCTAGAGCTAAAGCTGTGATTAGTGGAAAACACATAACCTTAAAAGCAGATGTTGGCTGGGCACGGTGGCTCACACCCATAATCCCAGCACTTTGGGAGGCCAAGATGGGCAGATCACTTGAGGTCAGGAGTTCAAGACCAGCCTGGCCAACATGTTGAAATCCCATCTCTACAAAAAATACAAAAATTAGCCGGGCGTGGTGGCACACGCTTGTAATCCCAGCTACTAGGGAGGCTGAGGCACTAGAATCGCTTGAACCCGGGAGGTGGGGGTTGCAGTGAGCCAAGATCACACCACTACACTCCAGCCTGGGTGACAGAGCAAGACTCTGTCTCAAAAAAAAAAAGGCAGATATTACAAAAGAAGAAAGACTGAAATGTAATGAAGACAGCAGAAATAAATGAAGAGAACAGAAAACAAACACAGAATAGAGAAAATTAGAAAAGGCAGAAATCACTCCTTGAGAAAAGATGATTAAATTGATAAATATCCAGAAAAACCAACCAAGATAAAAAGAGAGAAAAAAAATGCCAATATTAGAAATGAAATGTGGACATCACTACAGTCCCTACAGGCACATTATGAACAACTACTTTCCAAAACATTCAAACATTTTGACAATATATACAAAGTCCTAGAAAACACAACTTTTCAAAACCAATGCACGAAGACATACAAAATCTAACATACGAATATTTTTAAATTATTTTGTAATTTAAAATCTTCCCAAAAAGAAATGTCCAAAGCACAGTCAGTTTCCCTGGTGAATACACTCAAACATCTATGGAAGAAGTAATGCCAATGTTATACAACCTTCTAGAGAATAAAAAAAGAAATGCTTTCTTACTAATTTTATGATACCAGTACAACCTTGATGTCAAAATCCTGATAAACACGTTGCAAGAATGACAAATTACAGATCACTCTCTCTCAAACATAGGTGCTAAAATTCTAAGCAAAATATAAGCAAATTGAATCCAGTGATCTTTTTAAAAAGGATAATATATACATTTTGGCCACATTTGATTAATTTCAGGAATGAAAGCCTGATTTTTTTCATGTTTCAAAAAATCAATTTAACTCCCTACGTTCTCAGAAGATGCAGAAAAATCATATTATCGCCTCAACAGATACAGAAGAAACATTTGATATAATTCAACATCCTAGCTGGGCATAGTGGCTCACGCCTGTAATCCCAGCACTTTGGGAGGCATCAGGGAAGATCACCTGAGGTCAGGAGTTTGAGACCAGCCTGGCCAACATGGTGAAACCCCATCTCTACTAAAAATACAAAAAGTAGCCAGGTGTGGTGGCAGGTGCCTGTAATCCCAGCTACTCGGGAGGCTGAGGCAGGATAATCATTTAAACCTGGGAGGTGGTGATTGCAGTGAGCTGTGATCATGCCACTGCACTCCAGCCTGGGTGACAGAGCAAGACTCCGTCTCCAGAAAAAAAAAAAAAAAAAAAAAATCTCTAAGCAAATACTGAATAGAAATGAACTTCCACACTCCCATAAATAATATTTATTTTAGGCCAGGCACAGTGGCTCACACCTGTAATCCCAGCACTTTGGGAGGCTGAGGTAGGAAGATTGCTTGAGTCCAGGAGCTCAAGACTAGCCTGGCCAATATAGTGATATCCTGACTGTACAAAAAATTTTAAAAATTAGCTGAGTGAGGTGGTGCACAGTCCCTGCTACTTGGGAGGCTAAGGTGGGAGGATTGCTTGAGGCTGGGAGGTGGAGGTTGCAGCGAGCCATTAATACACCACTGCACTCCAGCCTGGGCAAAAAGAGTGAGACCCTGTCTGGAAAAAAAAAAAAAATTATGTTTTAAAAAACCTACAGTCATTACCACCTTATGCTTTCTCCTTGATTAAGAAAAGAAGACAAGGATTCCCAATACCATCATTTATATAAATATTGTTCTGAAGGTCCTAGACAGTGCAATAAAAATAAATAAAATGTATAAGAATGGGGAAAGAGTAAATGAAACTGCCATTTTCTCAAACAACATAATAGTATATGTAAAATTATCCAAAACAATCCACAAACTGTTAGAATTAATAAGTGAAGTTAGCAACACTAACTAGATTGCTAGACATTAGATCAGTATTAAAATTTCATTCTCATTTGTATATAACAGCGGCAAATATTTAGAAAAATTTTGAAAATGATACCATTTAGACTTCGGGCTTATGATAATGGAATAATTGGTCAGACAAATACTCTCAAACATAAAAACTGTAAAATCTGGACAAAATTTATGAAAATAAAAAGTATTTGAAGACACAATCAAAAGAAGGCAGAAACCAAAAAGAATTTATCACAAGGTGGCCATTGGAAAAGAATTTTGAATTTGTGTTTTTTTTTCCTTGAGGTGACTGAGAGTGATCTCCATCTTCACAAATCTTGTGGCTGAAAACCTCATTTTTACAGGCTTGAAGATGTAGAGGAGATAGTTCAGGGCTAGCAGAGTAGCTGGAAGTTTAGGGGGGCATTCCTGGAAGAACAAGAGCAATAAAAGGAACAAGACTCAAAAATCTGCATATAAACTCTGCTCATTTGCACATGCATAAAGGAGAACACAGGGAGTCCAGGGAAAAAGAAGCAGAAATCACTGAGAGAGATTTGTTAAGTTTGCTGCATTTTTTTTTTTTACTAAGGGCATTCCCCAGCATGAAGAGCTCAAGTAGCAGAAGATTGAATCCTTACTGACTTGAGGTATTAGAGGTCAGAGCTCAAGACTGGTGGACCAGCAGGAATTTCAGAGAGGAACCACAGGAGCAAGGAAGTCACAACAAGGGTAGATGTCAAGATGTGGATATAAACTCTATCCAAACTCTTGGCTGACCACCAAACTATGCTGTTGCAAGGAGACCCCAGCAAGTCAAGCCAAAAATACAGCAGCTGGAACCTGAAAAACCAGGACAGAAAAGATGATGTTTAAAGATTGAGTCTCAGCGAACTAACAACCTTCTGGAAGAAAAAATCAACAATCCTTAGAAGAACATAACAGAATCTAGAGTCACTACAATATACTGTACTCAGTATCTAGTTTGCAACAGCATCAAAATACCAGAAATGCAAATAAATAAGAAAATGTGACACACACTCAAGGGAAACAGCAGTCAACAGAAACTGACTCCAAATGGCACAGATGTTGGATTAGTAAACAAAGACTTCAAAGCAGCTATTAAAAATATTTCAGAAAAATAGGGCCAGGCATGATGGCTCACACCTGTAATCTCAGCACTTTGGGAGGCCAAGGTAGGAGGATCACTTGAGGCCAGAAGTTCAAGATCAGCCTGGGCAACATAGTGAGACCCTGTCTGTACAAAAAATTTGAAAATTAGCCGGGCATGGTGGCATATACCTGTAGTCTTCGCTACTCAGAAGGCTGAGGCAAAATGATCACTTGAGTCCAGGAGTTCAAGGTTATAGTAAGTTATGATCACACCACTGCACTCCAGCCTGGGCAACAGAGTGAAACTCTGTCTCTTAAAAAAACAAGAAGAAGAAAAAGAAAAGAAAAAGAGGAGGTGGAAGAGGAAAAAGAAGAAGAAAAAATAAAGATAAATTTGGTGCTTTAATAGATTAAATGAAAACATTGTCTTAATGAGTGAACAAATAGAAAATTTTAACAGAGAAAATGAAACTTTAGAAAATCTAGTACATAATTTTTCATTTTCCATTTGAAATGGAAAATGAAGCACTTACTAGATATGCTTAAAAACAGATTGGAGATGGAAGAAGGAAAATATCAGTGAACTTGAAGATAAATTAATAAAAATCATTCAATCTAAGGCAGAGAGAAAACTGATTGAAGGAAAATGAACATCAGAGGACTTTGAGAAAATATCAAGAAGTCCAACATAGATGTAATTGGAGTTCAGGAATAAAGCAGAGAGAGAATGGGACTAAAAAATGCTTGAATAGGCCGGGTGCGGTGGCTCACGCCTGTAATCCCAGCACTTTGGGAGGCCGAGGCGGGCGGATCACGAGGTCAGGAGATCAAGACCATCCCGGCTAAAACGGTGAAACCCCGTCTCTACTAAAAATACAAAAAATTAGCCGGGAGTAGTGGCGGGCGCCTGTAGTCCCAGCTACTTGGGAGGCTGAGGCAGGAGAATGGCGTGAACCCGGGAGGCGGAGCTTGCAGTGAGCCGAGATCCCGCCACTGCACTCCAGCCTGGGCGACAGAGCGAGACTCCGTCTCAAAAAAAAAAAAAAAAAAAAAAAAAAAAAATGCTTGAATAAATAATGACAAAAAGTTCCCACATTTGATGAAAAATATTAAGTTATAGACCAAAAAGCTAAACAAATCCTAAGCAGGATTAATACAAAGGAAATGCTACTTTGACACCCCATAGTCAAAAGACTGAAAACAAGATAGAGATAAATTCTTGAAAGTAGCCAAGAAAAATGAGAGAAAACAGAATAAAATTAACCACTGACTTCTCATCAGAAACAGTGAAGAACAGGATGTATTTAAATTACATATTTAAAGTACTCAAAGAAAAATAAAACTGCCAACAAAAAATTCCATATCCAGCAAAATAATCCTTTTAAAATGCAAGCCCCACAAGAGAAAAAACGTGAGATAATTAGTCCTACATACAAGAAATGCTAAAAGGCTGGCTGAAGGGAAACAATACCAGATGGTAATTTGAATTTATAGGAAAGAATAAAGTATACCAAAACACAAAATATGTGGATAAATACTATGGATATATATTTTTTCTTCTCTTAATGTCTTTGAAAGGCATATGATTGTTTGAAGCAACATTAAAAATATTGTATTGTGGGTTTATAATGAGTATAGATATTGTATTGTGGGTTTATAATAAAAAATATTGTATTGTGGGTTTATAATGAATATAGATGTAATATATGCTATGATAGCTTTAAATAAAACCATTGTTGGAAAGTTCCTACATTTTATCTGAAGTATTTCAATACAAACTTGAAGACTGTGATAAGTTAAACATACTTATTGTAATCTTTGGAACAATCATTAAAAATGTTACTACATAGCTATAAAGCCAATAAAGAATAAATAAAACACCAAAAATATAATTAACACAGAAGAAGACAAACAGAAGAATAATTTAAAAAGAGAAAATGTATAGAAAACAGATACCAAAATGATAGACATAAATCTTAACAAACTGATAATTAGGCTAACTATAAATATATCACACATTAAAATCAAAAGGCAAAGACTGTAAAACTAGATAAAAATACAAAACCCAGCTAAATATTGTTTACAAGAGTTACACTTTAAATACAATGACATGAATAGTTTGAAAGTACAATGGTGTCAAAAGATGTATTATGTAAACAGTGAGCATAAGAAAGGCAGGGCAGCTGTATTAATGTTGGACAAAATAAACTTCAAATAAGAAGTACTACTAAGCAGAAAAAGGACATCCTATTATGATAAAATAATAGGGCAGGAAGATGTAAAAATAATAAATATATGTGTACTTAAGAAAAGAGCTTCAAAACTACCTATCAGTACTATGCTCACTACCTGGGTAATGGGATCATTCATACCCCAAACCTCAGCATCAAAATATCTACATAACAAACCTGCACATGTACTCCTAAGCCTAAAATAAAAGTTGAAATATAGAAGTTAAAAATTTTTTAAAAAACTTCAAAATACAGGAAGAAAAAACTGATAGAACTAAAGGGAAGAAGAGTCAGATCAAAAATCACAGTTAGAAATTTTAAGACATGTTTCTAAAATCATTGATAGAATGGACCAGGAAAAAAATTGATAAGGAGTAAGAAGCTGTAATAATACTCACAAGTGCATTAACTAATTGATATTTATAACATAGTATACCCAATATCTACAGAGTACATGTTCTGTTTAAGTGTATATGAAATGCTCTCCAAGATAGATCCTACACTGGACCTTAAAATAAATCTCGATAATTTTCAAAAGACTGATATCTCACAGAGCATATTTTCTGACTAAGTTGAAATTATGAAATTAAATTAGTTTTCAGTAACACAACGAGATGCCTAGAAAAGCCCCAAGAATTTGGAAATCAAACAACCTATGGGTAAAAAAAGAAATTACAATCAAAATAGAAAATATTTTTAACTGATTAATAGCCCAAACACAGCATAAGAAAAGGTGTGAGATACAGGTGTGAGACACAGATACAATGGTGCTGAGAGAAAAACTTATAGTTTTAAAAGCATATAGTATAAAAGAAGAAAGGCCTACAATCTATGCTGTAAGCTTCTACGTTAAGAAACTTTTTTTAAAAGAAGAAATTAAAAGTCAGCAGAAGAAAATTTAAGTAATAAAGAACAGAAATCAATGGAATTTAAAAATCAGATGAACAATAGAGAAAAGAAGTAAAACTAAAAGCTTTTTCTTTGAAAAGAATCGATAAAATTACTAAACCTCTAGCTAAAGTAGTAAAGAAAAAATGACCTATTTCAAGAAGGAAAGTGGGGACACAAATACAGATCCTACAGATGTTAAAAAACAAAACAAAAAAACAAGCAGTGTTGTGCTGGTAAGCCAGCTCTTTGTGGCAGGAGAAAAAGATTTGATTTGTAGTGTTTGCCAATTTCCCTGTTGTAAATGCTCCCATCATGGCTGCTTTCAAACTATCAATGTGACGTCACTGAGTGCAGAGTTAGAAAGGGATATTCACATCAACTCCCATGAGCCTTTATAATCTGACTCCATGCATCAATATCCCTCACAAAAATAGACATAAAATGCCTACCAAAATACTATAAATAACTTTATGCCAATAAATTCAACAAGTTAGGTGAAATACACAAACTTTTTGAAAGACATGTTAGCTCAGGCTCCTATATCCAAATACCATAGACAGGGTGGCTTAAACAACAGACATTATTTCTCACAGCTCTGGAAGATGGGAATTCCAAGATCAAGATGCCAGTAGATGCAATTCCTGGTAAGAGATCTCTTCCTTGCTTGCAGACAGCTAACTTCTCCATGTGTCCTGATATGTTGGAGAGAGAGAGAGAGAGCATGCACACTCTGGTCTCTCTTCCTCTTCATATCAGGACACTAATCCCATCCTGAGGACCCCACCTTCATACCTTATTTAAACCTAATTGCCTCCCAAAGCTCCACTGGGGTTAAGGCTTCAACATATGAATTTAGGGGGTGATATGGTTTGGCTCTGTGTCCCCACCCAAATCTCATCTTGATTTGTAATACCCACATGTCAAGGGAGGGACCTGCTGGGAGTTGATTGGATCATGGGGGCAGTTTCCCCCATGCTGTTCTCGTGACAATGAGTTTTCACCAGATCTTATGGTTTAAAAATGCTTGGCAGTTCCCCCCACCCCTTTTTTTTTCTCTCTCTCTCTCCTGCAGCCATATAAGAATGTGCTTGCTTCTCCCCCACTTTCTGCCATGAAAGTAAGTTTCCTGAAGCCTCCCCATGCAGAACTGTGAGCCAATTAAACCTCCTTTCTTTATAAATTACCCAGTCTCAGGTATTCTTTATAGCCGTGTGGAAACAGACTAATACAGGGAGACATAAACATTCATTCCATAATAACATAATTACCAAACTAACTCAAAGTGACATGATCACAGCTCACCTCAGCCTTGACCTTCTGGACTCAATCAATCCTCCCATCTCAGCCTCCCAAGTAGCTGGGACTACAGGAGCATGCCGCCACACCTGGCTAATTTTTGTTTGTTTGTTTGTTTGTTCTTTGTAGAGACGGGGTCTAACCATGTTGCCCAGCCTGGTCTCAAACTCCTGAGCTCAGGCGATCCTCCTGCCTCAGCTGCTCAAAGTGCTGGGATTGTAGGCATCAGCCACCATGCCTGGCCCTAATAACTATTAAAGGAATTGAATTTGTGATTTAAAAACTCTTCCCCAAAAAAACGATGCCCAGGTAAATACAACTTCACTGGTGATTTCTATTAAACATTTAAGAAGTAGATAGTACCAGTCCTACACAAATTTTTTCAGGAAGTACAGAAGGAAGAAATACTTTCTAACTCATTTTGTGAGGCCTTAATACCAAAATCAAAGACATTACAGGAAAAAGAAACTATAAACCAAATGCCTTAGAAAACTACACAAAATCCTAGATAAATATTAGCCACTTTGGGAGGCCAAAGTGGGCCGATCACTTGAGCCTAGGAGTTTGAGGTCAGCCTGAGCAAAATGGTGAAATCCCATCTCTACCAAAAAAAAAAAAAAATATATATATATATATACACACAAACACACACACACACACACACACACACAAATTAGCTGAGCGTGGTGACACACGCCTGTTGTCCCAGCTACTCAAGAGGCTGAGGTGGGAGGATCACTTGAGCCCAGGAGGCAGAGGTTGCGGTCAGCTGAGATAGCACCACTGCACTTCAGGTTAGGCAACTGAGCAAGATCCCATCTCAGAAATAAATAAGTAAATACACATTAGCAAACTGAATCTAGCAATACATACAAATGATAATACATCATAACCAAATAGGGTTTGTCCCAGAAATGAAAAGTTGGTTTCAGATTTAAAAATCAATCAATATAGTTCACTATCTTCACAGAATAAAGGAGTCAAACTATATGATCATCTCAGTAAATGCAGAAAAAGTATTGAAATATTCAACACTTATTCATGATTAAAAACTCAGCAAACTATGAATAGAAGGGAACTTCCCCATCCTGATAGAGGGTATCTAGAGAAAACCATAGCTAGCGTCATACTTAATGTCAAAAGACTGTGTGCTTTTCTTCTAAGGTTCGGATCAAGGCAAGAATGTTGACTACAACTGAATATATGCATCCCCTATAATTTGCTCCTCAGCAGAAATGTGAACATACTGGTACCAGAAGATATGTTGAAGATTGTTCATAACTGTGTTATTTATTATAGCCCCAAACTAGAAACAACTCAAATGTCTATGAATAATAGAATGGGTACATAAATCATGGCATGGTCATACAATGGAATGCTATAGATCAGTGAGAAAACGTGACCACTGCTACATGCAACAACACGGATAAAGTTCATGAAGCCAGATACAAATACCTACATACTATCTGCTCATTTACACAAAGCTCAAAAACAAGAAAACTAGGCTGGGTGCAGGGGCTCACACCTGTAATCCCAGCACTTTGGGAGGCCAAAGCAAGAGGATCACTTGAGCCCAGGAGTTTGAGACCAGCCTGAGCAACATGGCAAGACGAAATATAAAAAAATTAGCCGGCATGGTGGTGCATGCCTGTAGTCCCAACTGAGGTGGGAGGATCACTTGAGCCTGGGAAATCAAGGCTGCAGTGAGCCATGATTGTACTGCATTTCATCCTGGGTGACAGAGCAAGACTCTGTCTCAAAAAAAAAAAAAAAAAAACAAGCAAAATAGGTCATGGTGATAGAAATCAGGAAAGAGGTAACATCTGAGGGACAGCAATGACTAGATGGGGCTATGAGGGAGCTTCTGGGATGCCAATAATTTTCTATTTATTAATATATGTGGTGGTTACACAAGTGGACTGGCTTTCAAGAAACTCATTAAGTTGTATGGTATGGATTGTGTATGTTCTTCTATGTTCGTTACACTTCAATTTTTTAAATTACTTTAAAAATTATGGTGCATCCACAATATAAAATGCCACATAGCATTCTTTAATAAGATAACTCTCTGTGTATATACTAATTATTAAAATCTCTTCAAATCACTTTAAGGGAAATTTTTTATATATAAGATATAAATTATAAAAATATATAATTTTTTATAACATGATATTAAATAGTCTATTTATTATACATTTAAGAGAGTGTGTCTTAGTCCATTTTCTGTTGCTTATAACAGAACATCTAAAACTGGATAATTTATAAAGAAAATGAATTTATTTCTTAATAATTATGGAGGCTGGGAAGTCCAAGAACAACGGGCTGTATCTGGTGAGGGCCTTCTTGCTGGTGCAGACTTTCTGCAGAGTTCCAAGGTGGCACAAACATCGCATGGAGAGGGGCTGAGCATGCGAGCTCAGGTCTCTCTTCCCCTCCTTTTTTTTTTTTTTTCTTTCTTTTTTTTTTTGAGACAGGGTCTTGCTCTGTAACCCAGGCTGGAGTGCAGCAGTGCCATTTCAGCTTACCACAACCTCCACCTCTTGGGTTCAAGCGATTCTCATGCTTCAGCCTCCCACATAGCTGGGACTACAGGTGCATACCACCACGCCCAGCTAGTTTTTGTATTTTTAGTAGAGATGTGGTTTCACTATGTTGGCCAGGCTGGTTTTGAACTCCTGGCCCCAAGTGATATGCCCGCCTCAGCCTCCAAAAGTGCTGAGATTATAGATATGAGCCACCGTACCCAGCCTCTCCTCCTCTTTTATGAAGCCACCAGTCCCATTCCCATGCTAACCCATTCATTAATTCATGGATGGACAAATCAGTTCATGAGAGCAGAGCCCCTCATGACCCAATCATCTTTTAAAGGCCCCACCTCTCAATATTGTCACATTGGGGATTAAGTTTCAATATTAGTTTCGGAGGGGACAAATATTCAAACCACAGCAGAGAGAGAGAGCAAAAGTGTATACATACATTTTAGATGGATAGATAGATACTAAGTTGATAGTTTTGAATGAATTGCCAACACATAATAAACGAAATTCTAAAGTGAGAGTGCTGACCAAGATGAAAATTTTCAAAGGAAGTATTTTAATCAGTGGCATATTGAGAGTGGGCTTGTGAGAGTAGTGTACCCTGTGTGCAGGAAGTTGTCTATAGATAATTTTAAAACAATAATAAAACTAACTAAAAGTGGATCTGCTTTTTATTAATATCATGCATTGGCAATTCTAAATAATGCCAGTGATAAGATATTTCTCTAGGAAAAAAAATTTTTGTTTATTTAAGTACTACATAATTACTGTTATTACAGTTGAATTTTACTAATATGTATGCAAGTTTCAAATTAGCACATTTTTATTACTTATCCTTTATTAAATATTGTATCTTACATGGAAGTTAATATAAAGAACTTCTAGTTAAGTGATTTGCATCCAAAATACATTAGCTCAATTACAGTGTTTATTTAGATGGCAATTTTATAGTGGCTGGAAATCATTCAAGTTTGCAAGCTGAGAGGTGTAGTATTTTGTTTGATAAGTGCAAATTTTCATTCATAAATTTAAAAATTTACTAAATTTAAATATATTTAACATTAAATTTATTTTTTAAATTGTTTTAGAGCTAAAAAATGAAGAAAATAATAATTACTGATACTGAAAATAATTTTGTCATATTGAGGAGGGGAAGTGTTTAAAATGATCTGCTTCAGGTCTCTACTGCCTACTTCACAAAGATGCTGTAAAGATTAAATGAGATAATGCATATAAATTTCATTGCATAGCATCTAGTGTATAGTCGATGCTCAATGCATGGTAGCCTTTGTTATTAACATTCATAAGCAGTTGGTCCCCTACCCACCTTCCTCAACCACTTGTCCCTCTATTTCCAGATTTTGTTGGGCAAGTTGAGAGTCAAAGTCTGATATAGTTTGGATATTTGTCCCAGCCCAAATCTCCTGCTGAATTGTAATTCCCACTGCTGGAGGTGGGGCCTGGTGGGAGATGTTTAGATCATGGGGGTGGATCCCTCATGGCTTGAGATGCTGTCTTCATGATAGTGAGTTCTCACAAGATCTGGTCATTTAAAAGTGTGTGGCACCCTGCCCCTCCAACTCTCTCTGTCTCTCGCTCGCTCCTGCTCTGCCATGTGAAATGCCTGCTCCCCCTTTGCCTCTTGTCATGAGTGGAAGCTTTCTGAGGCCTCCCCAGAAGCAGATGCCACCATGCTTCCTGTAAAGCAGTGGTCCCCAACCTTTTTAGCACCAGGGACCAGTTTTGTAGAAGACAATATTTCCATGGATAAGGTGTGGGGCAGATGGTTTCAAGCGCATGACGTTAATTGTGCATTTTATTTCTATTATCATTACATAATCACCATAATGTAGAATCAGAGGGAGTCCTGAGCTTGTTTTCCTGCAACTAGATGGTCCCATCTGGGAGTGATGGGAGATAGCAACAGATCATCAGGCATTAGATTCTCATAAGGAGTGCACAACCTAGATCTCTTGCAAGCACAGTTCACAATAGGGTTCTCATTCCTGTGAGAGTCTAATGCTGCTGCTGATCTGACAGGACTGGGAGTTCAGCTCACCTCCTGCTGTGTGGCCCAGTTCCTAACAGGCCATGGACCAGCACAGGGGTTTGGGGACCCCTGCTGTAAAGCATTGCAGAACCATGAGCCAATTAAAACTCTTTTCTTTATAAATTACTCAGTCTCAGGCATTTCTTTATAGCAATGCAAGAACAACCTAATACAAAGTATCAACTACATGCTAAGCCCTATAGTTTGTGTTTGATATGCATTATCTAATTTATTTCTCACAAAAACCTGATAAGCACTATTTTTATCCCTACCTGACATATTATAAAACTACCCTCAGAGAGTCGAAGTAACTTTCTCAAACTCATTCAGCTGATAAATGGAAGTTTTATAATCTAAACCTAAGTTTTTCTGATATGAATCCTCAGTCTTTCTATATCATCATTCTGCAAGTTGTATGCACCATCATCATCATCATCATCATCCTCATCCATCACTATCACTTACGAGCACCCATTCTATATACATGCACCAGGTATTATGCATATGACTATATATGACTTTGTTCTACAGAGTTGATATAAAGCAATTTTTGCACATATAGTTACCACTTTTCTTAGTCCTTCATTCCTTCCTGCACTTCATGCCTTCCATCTGGGATGATTTTCCATCTATTTAAAGCATATTCTTTAAAATTCCTTTACTGAGAGTCCATTGGTGGTAAATTTTCTGTTTTTGTCTATGTGAAAATGACTGAATTTAATCTTCATTTTGCAATATATTTTTGCTGAGTACAGAATTGCAGGTTGCCAGTGATTTTTTTCTCAGCGCATTGAAAATATCATTCCATGGTCTTCTGGCTGACTCCTTTTGGTTTTGCACAAAAGTCAACTGTCAGCCTGTCCCTCTTCAATGTATAATCTATCTTTTCTCTCGTACTTAGGACATCTTTCCTTTATTTTTGGTTCCCTGCAGTTTCACTTATGTTTTTTCTTTTTTTGAGATGGAGTCTCGCTCTGTTGCCCAGGCTGGAGTGCAGTGGTGCAATCTCGGCTCATTGCAACCTCTGCCTCCCGGGTTCAAGCAATTCTCCTGCCTCACCCTCCTGAGTAGCTGGGATTACAGGCTTACAGGCATGCACCACCATGCCTGGCTAATTTTTTTTGTATTTTTAGTAGCGACCGAGTTTCACCATATTGGCCAGGCTGCTCTGGAAGTCCTGACCTTGTGACCTGCCCGCCTTGGCCTCCCTAAGTGCTGGGATTACAGGTGTGAGCCACTGCGCCTAGACTATGTTTTTTCTTTTAACTTAACTTGGAACGTATCGGGCCTCTGAGGATTGTTCTTTCTTCAATTCTGAAAAGTTCTCAGCTGTTATCTGCTCACGTTATTGGCTTTGCCCTACCACATACCTCCATCTCCCTTCTTTCCTCCCACTCTTTTCTTTTCTTCTAACCTCTCCTTTTGCAGCTGTGATTAGACTACAGTTAAACTTCTCACTCAGTCTTTTAGATATCTTAACCTCTTGTCCATATTTGCCATATCTTTGTCTCTTTGGGCTGATTTTAAATAATTTTCTTATTTCTGTCTTCAAATTCACTAATTCTCTCTTAAGCTTTGTCCAAACTACTATTAAATCTGTCCATTGAATTTTTAGCTCCAGTTATTCTTTTCATTTCTAGTTCATTTGCTAATCTACTTACTTCTTACTCATCTTAAGCCTCCTGTTTTAATTATATTAAACATATTATAATTTTTTCATTCTTTGTATAATAATCCTAATATCTGAAGTTCTTGTAAGTCTGACTACATAGTGTCTCATTCTACTTTCTCTCTTTCTCTCTCTTTCTCCCCCATTTCCTTCTTTGACTAGTGGTTTTACATAGGAATTGCTTATTTTCTATGGAACTTTAACTGTAGAAAGTTTTTAAAGCCTGGGATAAAGGTGGCTTCCTCCAGAGAGAATTTGTGTTCTTTTCTGTTGAGCACCTGGGATGTTTACCCACATGTGGTAACTTTAAGCTAAAGTCTTGGCTTGAAGTTCTTAGGGCTCCCAGGTTGTGTGAATTCAGGCTACAAATTGGCCTTAGGCACAAATTCTTGGAGGTGGTTTTATTTTCCCTTTCCCCCAGCATCAAGCTTCAAGACAGGCAGTTTTCTTTGCAGTCCCAAGAAGAGGGCATCAGCTTCTAGTTCACTCTTGTATGGAGGTCTACCCCTGGCTCACGGAGGTCTACCCCTGGCTCCATGTTGGATTTTCCACTTGGGCAGGTCCTGTTGTGCCGTCTTACTCCCTATCCTCAGGACATGTGAAATCAATGCTCAGGTTGCCCTAGTTCACCAAGTACCTCCAAATCAAAAGCTGGCTTCAGTCCGCTGCCGACCTTTCTGAGTGTCTGTCTTCGCCTGCTCCCTGTACTGAGTATGCCTTACTGTCTTGTCAGCTATGGATACTTTTAAGAGTTTTTCAGTCTAAGATTTTTAGTTGTTTCCAGTAGGATGGTTATCTACCTGGTCCACAGTGTTGCCAGCAACGGAAGTGCCGGGGCCTCAATTTTCCCAACCTCAAAATGGGCTTCTGCCCCCCCAGGGGTATTAAGGGGACCAAATGAGCTAACAGTTTTGAAAATCACACTTGGACTTGGTGCTGTAAGAGGGAAAGTGCATAGCCAGACACCCTCTAGCCCTTGCCTCCCCAGGAGACAAAGAGGAGAGTTTTGTGATGGTTTTGTTGTGAGAAACGGGTCAAATGCCTTCAGGAAGCAGTGGAAATACACACAGAGGTCCACAATCCAGGGCTTCCATGGCTCCAACTCCAAGAAAAGGCAGTCACTTGTTGGCACCACACGGAGCCTTTTCATTGTCCACTCACCTCTGGCATCTTAGTGCAGGACACCCCATCCCCTGCAAGCAATGAGCTTTGGAGCACAGGCTTCAGAGCAAGGCAGATGTGAGCCGCGCCTTGAAGGGGGATTCAGATGGGGTTAGGGAGAGAGTAGGGGACAGTGTCCCAGGCAGAGGGGAAGGCAGGAATGAAAGAGGCCTGCAAGATGTGCCGCCCTGGTGTGGTGTGCTCCCTGGTGTGGTGCGGCAGTGACAGGCACACCTAGAAAGTTAGGTTGGGCCAGGCGCGGTGGCTCACACCTGTAATCCCAGCACTTTGGGAGGCCGAGACAGGCGGACCACTTGAGGTCAGGAGTTCAAGACCAACCTGGCCAACATGGTGAAACCCCATCTCTACTAAAAATACAAAATTAGCCAGGCATGCATGGTGGCATGTGCCAGTAATCCCAGCTACTCAGGAGGCTGAGGCAGGAGAATTGCTTGAACCTGGGAGGTGGAGGTTGCAGTGAGCTAAGATGGCACCACTGCACTCCAGCCTGGGTGACAGAGCAAGACTCTATCTCAAAAAAAAGAGAGTTAGGTTGTCGTTGGATGACTGATGACTTGTTAGCCAGACTCTGCAGTTCCCACTGTGTCCTCTGGCACTGGGGAGCCCCTGCAGGTTTGTGAGCAGAGGAGTAACACAATCAGGCAAACTGAGGCAGACACTGTCTGCTTCACTCATTCATTTATGTCCAATGCCCAGCACATTGCAGGCACTCAATGAACACCTGGTGAATAAATAAATGAAGGAAGCCTATGGGCCTGGCCTCTTTAAATTGAGGAATCCAGATAATACATCTCTGTTAGTTTAGTCTGGACATATTTGGACAGGACATTAAATAATTTTAATAAAAATTACCAAGCACACATCCAGTGGTTCCCTGCACCACTCATGCTGTTGTTGACTAGTCCCTGGCAATCCCGCAGTTTCCTTCTTGTCCTTGAAGAGCTTCTCCAGACATTCTGTGCGATTCCCTAGATATCTTGTTACTTTCCTAACAAGTCTCACTTTCATGCTGCCTTTTTCAGCCCAACACAGCTTCCCCAAGTCAATTGTCTTTGAGGAGCACAGCCCACCCTTAACCATAGAGATGAGCTCAAGACCCAGACTGAGGCTTCTGATCGTGGTGATTGGTCCAGATGTGGCCACAGGATGCAAGGAGCCAGTTGGATCCTTCTCCAGAATGTTTTCTAGGTGGAGCTGGTGGAGAAGAGTCAACTTTCTACTCAAGTCATGAAGCTGGAAGGGGATGATTCTGGAGCTGCCTGGGGCTGTAAACTCCAACCCTCCCCCGCCACCAACCCCCCAACCCATTCCGCACAAAAAGGCAGCATGCAGAGAGGAACAGAGATTAAGAACATGGGGAGAGAGAGAGAGAGAAAGAGAGAAGATTCAATGTTGCCCAGTGTCCCATGCCCAGGTGTACCCGAAGTCAACTTTACCCCTGACTCAGAGGGTGTTTTATCACTTGAACCAATAAATGATACTCTTTTTCTCCTTAAGCCAATTTAAGTTGAGAGTCTGTCATTTGTGATCAAAAGGATTTTAGCTAATTCAGGAAATTCTGCATGATGTGTTACTTTGAGGATATTTATTCACTTATTCATGTATTTATTCAACCAGTTGCAGACTAAATGTGGACAGTTTTGCACAAATTTCCCCAGGCAACTAGTAGCACAGAATTTTTCCAGACATCATCTCTACCACCCTCCTTCCACCTGCCTTCCTTCCAACTATTGGGACCTCTGGCCAGGCACTCTGGCCTCCAAGTGACTGTGAGATGATGAGATAGGATAATTGTGCCACCAAGCAGTGCTGAGCTTTTCCAGGCTCTGAATGCACCCCGCCACACACACACAAACACACACTCTCTCTGTGTCTCCCTCTCTCTCTCTCTCCACTAGGCGGTGGCATCTTGCCCCCTGGAGATGCCTGGAGCTCCACTAAAGGTGTGAGGCCAACCTCTCCAAGCCCACCTAGCATGCATCTTCATGACGGTGGGCTTATCACTCCCCCTCACTGAAACCTGAAGACGCCAAGGCTCAGAGAGGCTTAGGATGTGCCCGTATTCACACAGCTCCCAGGCGGTGGAGCTAGAAACCGCCCAGGTTTCCCAAGCACATTTGGGGTCATCTATCGACTGTAAGGTTCGTGAGTGAGGATGAACAGAGATGACCTGGTTGCAGGCAGTGTGAGCTCTGCTGTTTCCTGCTGGGTGGTCTCAGGGAATTATTCAACCTGTCTGAGCCTCTGTTTTTACCTCTTTAGACCACAGCGTTGGTCAGTGCCTGGTGACATTAACTATTATTATTTGTACAGAATGGAGAACAGATTAGTGGGCTGGGGGAGGTGGAGGAAAGCAGAAGGGCATGGTATGAAGGGGCAGCCCCTGTGCCATAGGAAAGAGTTCGGCATCTTGATTGTGGTGGGGCGTTACATAAATCTATATGTGTGATAAAATGTCATCAAATTATACACAAAGTCATACCAGAAAAGAAGTGCACGCAAAAAGTGTGAAATCCGAGTTAAGGTCTGACTAGACTACAAGTCTAGTTCATTGTATTGTACCAGTCAGTATCCTGGTTTTGGTAATGTACACAATTATGCAAGATGTCACCGCGGGGGGAAGCTGGGGATGAGTAAATGGGACCTCTCTCCTATTTTTGCAACTTCCTGTGAATCAATAATCATCTTAAATTTTTTTTTATTATTATTTTAAGACAGAGCCTCGCTCTGTTGCCTAGGCTGGAGTGCAATGGCGTGATCTCAGCTCACTGCAACCTCTGCCTCCTGGGTTCAAGTGATTCTCCTGCCTCAGCTTCCCGAGTAGCTGGGACTACAGGCACGTGTCACCACACCTAGTTACTTTTTTATATTTTTGGTAGAGACGGGGTTTCACTATGTTGGCCAGGCTGGTCTTGAACTCCTGACCTCAAGTGATCCACCCGCCTAGGCCTCCCAAAGTGCTGGGATTACAGGCGTGAGCCACCATGCCTGGCCTATCTTAAATACATTTTTTTTAAATAAAATACAGGCCATAAAAAAAACCCAGAAATACAAGGAGTGTCTGTGGCTTTGTTGCTGTAGATAACTTGCAATTTTCACATATCACTCCTTTGAAATTGCAGTAGTCGGTAGACTTGTGGCTAGAACTTGTTATTTAATTCACTCGCAAAGGAACACATGTATTATCTCAAATTTGTTTTTAAATATTTTGATCGCTGTATTTCAATATAATTAGTTTCCTTTGTGATCTTCTGGTTTTATTTAATGCATTAAAAAAACATTCTGAAAAGAGGGTCCTTCAACGTCCTCAGGTCCACAGGACAGGAAGGATTCATAACCCTGTCCTGGAGTGCAGATGTAAGCGAAGCACCCTGATCCAGATGAGGAAACTGAGGTTCAGGAAGGAGGTTAATGGCCCCTGGAGGACTCTGATTCCCAGACTCCCTCGGAAGAAATATATGTCTTCCAGAAGAAAGAGAAAGCTCCTCCCCATTGCTGCCAGCCACCTCTGGGTGGCTGTTTACTCTGCCAGGTGGGGTCCCTCCCAGGGTCCACTCTGAGGCCGCATGATGGCCTTTGAGACGGAGAACAATGCCACATTGTGGCCCTGGCTTCAGATAAAAGAGAAACTTGGCCCAACTGCCCAGGCAAGAGCGACTGTCCCCTTAATATTAATGCAGGGAGGGCGTGCCCTCGTCCACACCCTCACCACTCTCGCCGTTGTGGCGGTTGTGGGGAGTGTGATCCCACTGCCTTCTAATGGGTGGTCAAAGGCCAGCGCGCCGGGCACTTTTATTGTCAGCCGCCTCAGTAATCTTTAACCTCTGCTGGCCAAAGGGCTGAAACCCAGAAAGACAAAACAAACATGGGTTGGGCACCAGAGAAGAGTGACTCAAGTGAACCAAGGCTGGAGGGAGCTAGTTCACCCCTTCATCCCTGCCAAGCCTTCCGACACCTCTAAGCCCACAATGCTGGTCAGAAGGTAGGCAACACATGCCCAAGGCCCACCCACCACGATGCCATTAGCACAACTCCCTTGGTGGTGGAGGGGGTAGGACCCCTGGGTTCGGGGAAAGAGGGCGGATACACTCCAGCCATACTCACCCCTGGTCTGTGGCCAAGGCCAGGCCTGCTCCAGGAGAAACCACTTCTGCGTGGGTCAGCCAAGAAGGAAAAGGGGCCCAGAGGGGTAGTGGAGTGCATGGTCTGGGGCATCAGACAGGCCCAGGGCCAAGACTGATCCCACTGCACCATTCATCTGATTGCCCTCCTGGGGCCTCAGTTTCCTCACCTGTGAAATGGGGATGCTGATGACTCCTTTCAGTGTCATTGCCAGCCGCTGCCACTTGCTGATCACTTGCCACTAGCAAGAACGTACCTTTCTTCAATTCCCCCAACACCTGAGAAGTGGGTGTCACTGTCCTCATTTAAACAGCAAACCAGAGAGGAGTGGACTGGCCCAATGGAGACACAGAGATCTGAACCCAAATCTCCATGATTCCAAAGCTTTCCTCTCTCCACCTGGCTGCATGTGGAGAGCCCTTTCAGCAAACAGGTGCTGATCCCACTCATGGTGGCCGTGAGGATCGTGGCTCCATTTGGCAGTTGAGGACACTGAGGCTCCACCCCCATGCGAGGGAAGAGTGGGTTCTGGTTGAAACCTGATTCATTTGATCACAAGACCTGTGAAGTTTCCAGTGCATCCTGCTTGCTCTTAAACTGAGGAGGGCTGTCCACATTCATAGGCAACTATTCTTGTCACCAGCATGGGAAGGTTTAAACAGAACCAGGACCTGAACCCATTTTAAGGTGCAAAGACAGAGACCCAGGAGTCCCTAAATGGTCCCAGGTGACTCAGAGGTGCCTGTGCCCATCAACTGCCTCACTCTCTGATCACAGCAGTTGTCACCGTACAGAAGAAGAACAGATCAGGAGGAATGGAGCCAATCCAACCCCATGCCCACCTCCCGAGGCACTGGCTTGTGGACAGGGGGAAATGCGTTTGAGGTCGACAAGGATGGGATGAGTCTGGATCCGATTAGCCTTCCAATCCCTTTCCTCCACATCACTGGGCAGCCATGGGTCTCTGCTGGCAGAATTTCCCCCTCTCTGGCCATACAGGGTTGGGGCCCCAGCCAAGCCCTCACTAGCCCTGCTGATAAAGTTACCTTCCGGGCCTGGGGCAGAGGGTCAGGAAAAGCCAGCAGCAGTTTGAAGAAGGTTATGGTCTTAGGGACCTGCACAAGGGTGGGGCATGGGGAGGGGGAAAGATAAGAGTGGACAATAAAAGATAGGCAGAAAGAGACAGTGAGGGGGAGCTGGCATGGAAACCTGGCCCCTGTGGTGCCATTTCTTAATAACCCATACAGGGCATGAGAGCCTTATCACGCCCTCCCAATCTGTAAATGATCATCCAGAGTCCACCAGTGGCCCCTGAAACGACAGCTGTGCTGGCCACACAATGGGAACTGAGCCAGGGATGGAGAGGCAGGGAAGCTGGGTTCCTGGCCAGGAGGTCCTGAGCTGGCAGCTGCTGAGTGACAGGACCCTGGATGTTTCCTGCAAAGTGTGTTCTCTTCTAGGCCAAGGCAGCCTCTGTCCAGGTGCGGGAGAGAAGCTGTCACCTCCCGGGCAGGTGACAGTCCAAGGCAATGCAGGCTGTCAGGGGTTATTCCTTGTAGCTTAAAATGTCACTGCACCACAAGGTTTCACATGCCATGGGACAGTGCTCTGTGCACCTCTGTGAATAACTCAACTGCAGCCCAAACAGCCATGGCACACAGTAGGTGTGCGCTAAATGGTGGCTACTGTGATCATTCATTGCGCTCCTTGCAGTGGGCCTGTAGGATGTGTCTCTTGGGGGCACGGTGAGAATGCATCTGGTGGGCCCCTGACCTCCAGGGGCTCATTCGACCTATGGCTTCCTGCCCCTGCTGTGCTCTGAAATCCATCACCGCATTCTTGACAAGGCCAAGACCTGGCTTCCCACAGGCCACTCCCAGCCAAGGGCCAAGCACACCCCGTCTTTGTGCTCACCCTGGAGCCCCGCAGGCCTGGCTGCCTCTCCCCAGGGTCTTCCTGAAATATGTGAGAATGTCGCAGATACGGAGTGAGGCTTCTCTTGGCACCCTGGAACTGGCAGCCAGGGCCCAAAGCCACCTGAGGGGATTCTCTGTGTGCCACGACCTCCTCGTCCCATGGTTCATTCTCTGCCCTTCTCTGTCCTGCCTAAGGCCCAGGGGCAGACCTCACTCACGGCCTATACCACCTGGGGGACTCAGCCCTCTGGCTCCTGTCAGGCCCAGAGATGGGAAGCCCAGACTGGAGATGGGCAGAGAGAGAGGTCTGGGTATTTCTCCCCTGCTCCCTCCTTGGCTCAGCACCAAGATCCTCACAATGGCCTTGTCCTGTGACTCCAGCCTGTGTCGGGCCCCCTCCGGGTCTCCCTGGACTCTCCGTGCCTTCAGGCTGAGGGTCTCACAGCTTCCCACTGCAGCTGGCCCCTGGGTGAGGCCAGCTTTAAACCCGCTCCCACCTCTGCAAAAAGTCCCTGTGTTATACTCCCTTCTTGTGTGGGATTTTGTTCAAGGCAGGATCCGAACTGGTAGAACCACCATGATGAGGTGGCTCTGCATGTCTCCAAACCTCAGTTTCCTCATCTATAAAATCATAGACCGGGCATGGTGGGTCACGCTTGTAATCCCATCACTTTGGGAGGCCGAAGTGGGCGGATCACTAGTTCAGGAGTTTGAGACCAGCCTGACCAACATGGTGAAACCCCGTCTCTACTAAAAATACAAAAATTAGCCAGGCGTGGTGGCGGGTGCCTGTAATCCCAGCTACTCAGGAGGCTGAGGCAGGAGAATCGCTTGAACCCAGGAGGCAGAGGTTGCAGTGAGCTGAGATCTCACCACTGCACTCCAGCCTGGGTGACAGAGTGAGACCCCACCTAAAAAAATAAGGTCCTATGGGAATCATAATACCCCTTACCCCTGTCTTACACTGAGGATCGAATGGCTGGGAATATCCGTCTCCCCACGCGGGCTGTGGGCCTCCGAGGGCACAGACGCTGCCGTATTTTCCCTGCTAGCGTCTAGACAAAGCCTGGCATAGGAGGGAAGTCCTGGGAAGTGTTTTCTTAGCAAATGAATACAGTTATTCTACTTTACTTAATAATGTTTGACTTGTGATTTTTAAATAAAAGGTCAAAACATACAGATGAATTGCATCTTGTGGAAACCCAAATTTTAAGGGTTCCCTGCAGCATGGCGTGACAACGTGGAGTCTCAGTGAACCCACAGCACTGGTATTCAGGGAAATTCCCCTCCCTGCCCATTTTAAAACCCATGCAGAAAGCACCTAGCTCAATGTGGGTGTGGCCGAGGGCACTGCAAACTCTTCCTGCTCTCGCCACCAGGGGGCGCCACGCTAGCTGCTGAACCCTGGTCCTCCTGCCCCGCTCCACGTTGCACCAGGGTCGCTGTGCGCCGAGTGGCGGGCAGCGCCCGGGCACCAGGGTGGGAGTGGAGACTTCTGGGAGGGGCACAGGGTGGACTCGCCCCATCGGCTGAGTTGAATGGACTGAGGTGGCAGATGGGTTAGGAAGTATCACTCCCAAGGAAGTCAGGAGGCTTCTTGGGACACAGGGATGCCAGTGTCGGAGAGCCAGGGGCAGCTGCGCGGCGTTGCCTGCGGAGCCCTGCACACAGGGAGTGATTGGGGGCGGGGCGGGGCGGGGGTGGGGAGAAGGCGCACCCCCTCCGCAGGCCTTGGGGCTGGGAGGCCGAGGAGAGGTGGCCCGTGGGAGTCAGCGCTTGGGCAGCTGCCTGACTGACCGACCACAGGTGAGAAAACGCCCCGGCGCTAAGCGTAGGCCGAGTTCGCACCTCCACCCACCCGTGTGGCCTCTGCATCTACTTCCTCCCCTGACAGCCTTCAACAGTCAGGGCCCTGACCCCTCACGCTATCAGAGCCCCAGGAGGGGGTTCAGTGGGGAGGGTGAGCTTGCGCTGACCAGACACGCCAGATGGCCAATGGGCAGCTCCTTCCAAGGACCCGGGCACCCCACCCAGGCACACCTTCCCCACAGGGCTGCTGCACCTGCTCCGCCCAGCTGGGGTTCAACAGGAGGTCATGGTCCCGCTCATGTTCAAAGTGCAGGGCTCCGAGCCCCCAGCCAGCCCAGAGGAGGCCTCCCCTGTTTCCCAGGACGCTCTGCGGTGATGCCAAGGTCCCGGGCCACCTCCTCAGGCGCTCCATTGCTCTTCTCAGCCAGCGTGGGTGTGGATGTCACAACCACGTGGCACTGCCACCAAATCACACATGTGCCCATGCCGTCCTCACCCACCCTCAGTGATCAGCAGGTTCCTGGGCACACGGCTGGCTCCTGTGCAGCACCCGCAGGCTCGGGTCCTCGCCCAAACACAACCCAGGCACTACCGACCGTGCTCGGCAGGACCGGCCTTCACGCATTGTTCGCTCACCCAAGGTTTATTAAGGGTGGACACACATGCACACGTGCATGCACACTCACAGCCATGCACCCACGCACATGCATTCACACTCACGCACATGCATTCACACCCACGCACATGCACTCACACTCGCACCCACACACATGCACTCACACCCAGACACCCACGCACCCATGCACACACACACCCACACACACCTATACACATGCGCTCACACACACCCATACTCACAATTCAAGCATACTTATACATGTACTAACACTCCCACACACCCATGCACATGTACTCACACTAACACACGCACGCTCACACATGTACTGTCATACACACACGTACTCACACTCATGCACACACACACCCCTCACCCACAGGCACACCAAGAGCCCTGGGGGAGAAGAGTCTGAGAGGTTTCAGGCCCTGTTGCAGGATGTGTCTGCAGCCCCATTCTCTGTCTTCCCCACTCTCTGGTCCAGCCCTTGAGAGCAAGGACATTCCCTTCCTCTCTGTGCCAAGACACCCTCCCCAGTTCAGGCCCCAGGATGAGCAAATCACACTCCTTCCCCAGCAAACACTTTGGTCACCCTGGCCTGGTTACTGAAGCCTCTTCAGGAATCAAAGTGGCTCTGTGCTCCTGGACAGAGAACCTGACTGCAGGCTGATGGCCTGGGCTCACATCCTGTCCTCACCTGTCTGTTACTAACTGTAAGATCTTGGGCAAAACCCATCTAACATTTCTGAGCTTCAATTTCATTCCAAATACATAGAGGAAAACACACCTCTGTCGCCTCTTCTACTCTGACCTAATTGCACTTTATTTCAACTGCCACCTCCTCCTGGAAGCTCTCCTTGATCTCCCAGGCAGAGTCAATGCCTCCCTCTCTGGCCACATCATCCCCTATCACCTCCTGTTTCTGTCTCTGCCTGCTTGCCACGACCCCCTGAAGGCAGAGGCTGACGAGACCCCAATGCCCCTCACCAAAGCCACCCAGAGCCAGGCTGCAAAGCCCCCATCACTGACCATAGAAGGCACCGGAGGAAACCAGAAGGAGAGGGGGGACGGCCAGGCTGCGTGGGGGAGCCTCTGTCTCCCAAGCTGCATCTCCCGGCAACATGGAGGACGCTGATCTTCCACGTGTTTCGCTCTCTCCTCCCGCCCTGGCATTTGCCTGAAGATCAAACTTTGGGCTCGGCAGTGACCCCAGGACTCCATGGTTCTCTCTTCCTTCCAAGGCTCCAGGAAGCATCTTCTTACTCCAAGAAGTTTGGATCCTGCAGGGGAGATTCCTGGGGACTCTGTGAAGGGGACTCCCCCTCCCCACCGCAGTTCTCCCTCCCAGTCAGCCCTGTTCCCTGCCTCCAGTTCCCTGGGGGAGAAGAGAGGGTTTGGAAGAAGGTCTGGGAAGAGGCTGGGTGGCCTGAGACAAGGCCAGCCCCTGGCTCTGTCCAGCCGGTGTCCCCAGCCCTCCCCGCCCCCTGACGTGCACCTGGCCCTTGGCTCCTGACCTCTTCTTCCGGGGTCTTATGCAGTGCTGGTGCCCCTCCAAGCTCCTGCCTGCTGCATCTCCGACCCAGGCCCTGTCCCTGTGGACGGTGCTGGATGCCGGCCTCTGTGAGTCGTGTCCTAGCCTGATCCAGCCCCTCCTGACCCCAGGCCGGACATACCCAGTGCTCTGCCTGGCTGCCCTAGCCCAAAAAAGAACGTCTGGACACGTTCCTCCCTACCAAGCTGACGATGCGTCATCTGGAAAATCGTCTTGGCAAAGGCTGGTCTCCAGCCCTGTAGGAGTGAAGAGCAGAGACCACAGATCGGGACAGTGAGGTTTGAGCTTGGCCTCCCTGTGACGTCACCGCGGAACATGGGATTCTGTGTCCTCATCTGCGGAATGGGGACATTACCCAACCCAGGGCAGGTGCAGAAGCCCAAAGGACATATGTGCCCAGCCCCTCCCTCCCAATGACCCAGCGGCCCTGCCTGGGGAGACACTGGCTATGAATGGGGGTCCCAATTTGTTCACCTCCACTGTACCCCACACCCATCCCAGGACTAACACATTTCCAGATATTGTGACTAAGGACACAGGCTTGGCCAGACCTTAATTTGAGTACAGCTCCCTATGAATTTGCTGTGTGACCCAAGACAAGTTACTTAACCTCTCTGGGCCTCAGTGCTATCATCTGTAAAATGGGGATAATAATGGGGATTAAATGAAATAATGTGCATAAAATGCTTGGCACAGAGACTAAATGTTAGCTGATTACTATTGTTGGTATTATGATTATAAGTTATCTGTCTGGAAGACTGGGGGGCCAGGCTGCCCAGGCTCTATTTGTCTGAGGGACAGGGAAGCCTCCTGGGAAGGAACTTACTCTAAGGAAACACCAAGGCACAGAGTCCTTTGCCCAGGGAGGCAGGCCCTGGACACGTGAGTCTGGGCACAGGACAGTGGGTGCCTCTCACCCTTACTCCAGGGACTCATGGCTGCACCCAAGAGGGACCAAGCCGGGCCAAGGGATCAAGCGCGGCCAAGCCTTCCCCACACCTCTGTGGGAGACTGGGGGCAACAGTGGACCTCTGGGGTCCAGAGACGTTGGGAACCCCGGCTCTGGCAACCATGGGAGGCAGGCAGGGTCCAAGGGGCCTCTGGTGGGGGCCAGGGCCAAAGCGGAGACTGGCGGCATCCGAAATCTCTTGGACCCCGCTTGGGGGAGTCTTCGCTTTCTGCCACAGGAGGCGACACTGAAACACAGAAATACTGCCTTGTGGCCAGAGTCATCATGCTGTTTGTACCCCCTGATTTTGTGAAATGAGAAACATGTTTGGGTTTCCCTTATCGAAAAAAAGGTTAATTGGGAAATTCGATGATGTCTTTTGTGAAGACACTCTAGCCACCTTTCAGCTGTCTGTGGCACTATAATGCCTTTTTTTCCAGTATAGGCTTGCAAGGGAGGATGCCTGTTTACTCAACAAATATATTTTTTATTTTGATTTTTAATCGACAATAATCCCATCTATTTATGGAGTACAAATGTGATATTCTGATATGTGTAGACATCGTGAAACTATTTCACTCAACAAATAGGCACCTTCCATGCACCAGCCCCTGGTGATTCTGTGTTGGACGAGGCAGACCCAGCCTGCCCACTGGAGCTGGTCGGGGAGCAGCCACCCAGGGCTAAGGGAGCGCAGCCTCAGAGCTGTGCAGGCTCCGGTTCAGACCCCAGCTCGCCACTCACTGTGCAGGGCCTCTGCTCACCCATCTTGCTGGAGTCACAGCAAGCCTGACTCAGCATGGTTCCAGGAACGATGGAAAGAGAAACCTTTTGAAAAATGAAATTTAAAAAACAGTAAAACTAAACATCATACCTTTTCAAATACGTACATATGAAAAACTATATAGTTGTCTTTTTAGTTTAAATGCAGGATTCAGGAGTGTGGTCACCTGGGGGAGGGAGAGCACAGGCCCTCAGTAGAAGCAAGTTATGGACGATGCTCTGATTCTCGTGTTGGTGGCGGGCTCACATGATTTATTATACACACACGCACATAAAATTAACACACTGGACCAGTTGTGAGCGAGCGGCATAAACCAGGAGCTGGAGTGATCAGATCCTGGGTTCCTGAGGTCCTCCTAAGAATTAAAAACCAAAATGGAATGGTGTGGACAGGGAGCGTGGCTCATAGGAGGCATGTCATGCCTCCTCCCTGTCTCCCGTCCTGGAATATGGCATTTCCTCACTTTGGAAAAGCAGATTTGGGCTATCCCAACAAATTTTAAAAGAAACAAAAGGCGTGTTTCCCTCCTGAGAAATCAGGGTTCCAGGAGCCCATCCGTCACCACGCAGGCATGCGACAAACTTCGTGGATGGGCCCATGTCAGGTCCACCCTGTGACACCACTGCCTGGAGTGAGGCCACCTGTGCCCAACACACTGGGCTTGTGGTGCCGGCCACAGGGAACTGCTGCAGCTGCAGGAGGTGTCGGAGCACCTCTCACCATAGCTACCGTGTTAGGGTTCTTCAGAGAAACAGGACCAGTAGGATATGGAGATATATAGCACATATATTAATATATAAAGGAAATAGCTGTCACAGTTTTGGAGATGGATGAGTCCGCAGGCTGGAAACCCAGGAAGAGCTGATGCTTCCATTCAAATCTGAAGGCAGCAGAAAGCCAATGTCCCAGCTCAATGGCCACCAGGCAGGGAGAATTCTCTCTTACCTGGGGGAGGGTCTCCAATAGCATTTTGTTCTATTTAGACCCTCAACGGATTGGAGGAGGCCCACCTGCATTGGGCAGGACCAACTGTTTTACTCAATCCACCAACTCAAGCATTAATCTCGTCCGGAAATACCCTTGCCCACACAGCCAGGGTAATGTCTGACCACATATCTGGGTGCCCCATGGCCCAGTCAAGTTAACACAGTAAAATCAACCAGCACAGCCACCAGGGGCCCAAGTGAGAGCCCAGCATCCACGCGCCTGCTTACCTGGCACAGGAGACTGGCTTTTGCTGGCCTGCACTTTGGCGTCATGGCCCAGCCCACGTCAAGGGCAGCATAAGACGCTGCTGGGAAGGTTCCTGGTGTCGTTGCTAGACTGAGGATGCTGGCAATGCCATCACCCCACCTCCTCTGTGAGTTGCCAGATTTAGCAAATAAAAATAAAAGAACTCCCAGTTACATTTGAATTCAGGTAAATGATGAGCAAGGCTCGAGTGGATATCCCATGCCATCGTTGCATGCATTCCGTGCGTCTACCCCACTCACCACTTCATCCTGTTTTCCTACCATTCTGTTTCCTTCCGATTCCCTTGCTTCCTTCAGATTCAGAGGGATGGACAGAGACTAGGAATGGGGCCAGCCTGTCTGCCCTGCCTTACTGTCTGCATGAGTCTCCCTCCAGTGGTCCTACTGTGTGTGCCGGGCCCCTGGGCAGCCTCCCACCTTTGGCAGAGCCCTCTTTCTCCTCTCTGTCCCCTCTCCTCTCTCCTCTGCCTGGACCAAAGTGCCTTGTTCCCTTGGTGCTCAGCTTTTGAATGAGCCCATGTTGCTGGAGCATGATCTATCCATGCCCATCGCATGATGCTTGTGGCCCTGGTTTTCCATCAGGTGACCTGAGCCACTATGGGTTACCCCTTCCATGGCATCTGTGTGGCCTCCAAGGTTCCTGAAGAGCAGACATCTTGGGCCATGGGCCTGAAGAGCCTTCAGGGGATGCGCTGGTTTTGTGGCCACCAAGTGGGCAAGAGGCTTCTGTTTAGGGGGACTACAAACCTTGAACCCCAGCAGACCTGCTTGATGGCCTGTGATAGACGGTCATAAGGGGCAGGTGTCCTGGACTGAGAGGCAGGACCTCGTCTGCTACATCAGGTTATTGTGTGACCTGAGCGATCTGCTTCACTATCCCATAGTATATCCCATAAATAATCAGGCTGCAAATAATCATTTTCAGGCTGGTTTCCTCATCGCCAGGGCCCTGCTTGTCGATCTAAAGTTTGGTCCTCCACCCAAAACCCAGTGATTCTGCTTATGGATAAAGTAGATGATCTGGCCGGTGTCAAGATTAGCAGAATGGAGAGGCTCAGCTAATAGCCAGTCTTCCCCGGAATAAATATTCATCCATTTGCTCAACAAAAAGCAAAGATTTGCTCATTGATGGAGCCTAGAACAAAATCATCCACACACTTGAGATGCTCACAAAGGCTGACTTTCAGGGATGCCACTTGAGCGGGGATAATGTTGGAAGAGTGATTTGGTCTTCCAAGATTAGACATTGAGCAGCCCTCTCTGGCTAATGCCAAAAGGAGCCAGTGGAACTTGACTTTGGCTGGAGTTCGAGTGTTGCCATTTTATTTGTGCTGTGCTTCGAGGGGCCATCAGAGAATGAGGGCCAGAGCAAGAGAGAAGTGGGGATGGGACTGCCTAACCAGTCGCTGTTCCCTGACTGTACGGTACAGGACAGGGTGAACCTTGCTGGATGTGAGAGAATGGGCACATGCTCCACTGCTCCCCCTGCTGTGAGGTTCAACGTCATCTCAGTGCCAAGCTTTCCCCCAAATGACAGGTTGTGACCAAGTGATCCATAAGAGCAGTTTATAAGGTCTTCACACCCTTCACAATAGCAATAAAATTCATTCAAGCCCCAGGCTTCAAATCTAATACATCACCTAAGCCTGAAACTCAGTACATGGGGAAACTGAGGCTCAGAGAGGAAGGGAACATGACTTGCCAGGATTGATGGGGAGACAGAGCCCTGCTCTAGCCACTGAACCCACTGAAGAACTCCATGTGGCCCCATCACGGGACCCCGGCCCCATAAAACCACCAAGACGCCAGCTTCAGCTTCAACAGAGTGCGAAATGGAGCGGCCAGTGCAGGGAGGAGGGAAAAAGCAGCAGCAGAGTCTGCACAGCCGGCAAGGCTGCATGTTCCCCGCTTTGGGCCACAGGGAAGGCTTTACCTCTGCAGGATGGTGACTCTGCACACCAGTAACTATTAATTGTATGGCTGTGGAAAACCAGACATCAGTTTCAAAGGGACTCCCCCTCCAGTTTCGAGACAAGGACAGTTGGATGATGGAAAGATTCTATGCTGAGACCAAACATATATCAAGCCGGTTTTGGCAGCGTCTGGAATCCAGGCTGCACTTGGGGCCAGCTCACCCCCTCCGCCAAGCTCTAACATGTTGCCAGCCTCTCCCCGGGTCCTTGTGCTTGATGAAGGGACAGCCTGAGTAGACAGAGGAGATGAATTCCAGGAATTTGATCTTTCAACACCCAAGGCACTGGAGCCTGGGGGCGAGAAATTCTTTCCTGTGTCTTTAAGCAGCTTCCATGCTTCTCAGCACCAAGCAGGACAGCCCTAGATCTTCCGATCTCTTCTCACTCACTCATCTACCAACTAAAAGGCAGGGAGCACCTACTGTGTGCCAGGCCACTGCAGCCCAGAACCCTCCTGTGCTGGGGCCCCAGCACCCCCCTTCTCAGGGCACACGCTGCCCCATCTTGCACCTGCCTCTGTCATGTCTCATTCTCCCCCCAGACCATGAATGTTCATGGGCAGAGACATAATAGGGTCCTTGGAGATGATCAGGTTAAGATGAGGTCACCGGGCACGGTGGTTCACACCTGTAATCCCAGCACTTTGGGAGGCCGAGGCGGGTGGATCAAGAGGTCAGGAGTTCAAGACCAGCCTGGCCAACATGGTGGAACCCTGTCTCTACTAAAAATACAAAAATTAGCCGGGTGTGGTGGAGGGTGCCTGTAATCCCAGCTACTCGGGAGGCTGAGGCAGGAGAATTGCTTGAACCCAGGAGGCGGAGGTTGCAGTGAGCCAAGATCACACCATTAACTCCAAAGGTTAGTGGTTAGTGCCCACTCCAGCCTGGGCAACAGAGCAAGACTCTGTCTTGGAAAAAAAAAATGAGGTTATGAGGTGGGTCCTGATCGGACACTGCTGTGTCCTTATGAAAGGGGGAGTCTGGACACAGACAGCCTCCTAGGAGAGCACCACACGATGATAAAGGCAGAAACCAGAGTGATGCCTCTACAAGCCGAGCAATGTCACAGATCACCAGAAGCCAGGAGACTGGCCTAGGACAGAGCAGGAGACAGCCAGCCCTGCCGAACCCTCAATCTCAGAGCCCCAGCCTCCAGAACTACAGGACAATAACCATCTATTGTTACACTGCCCAGTGTGCATTGCTTTGTGACGGCAGCTGATATGGTTTGGCTGTGTCCCCACCCAAATCTCACCTTGAATTGTAGTTCCCATAATCCCCACGTGTCATAGGAGGGACCCAGTGGGAGGTAACTGAATCAAGTAGGGGTTTTCCCATGCTATTCTCGAGATAGTGAGTGAATTCTCACAAGATCTGATGGTTTTACAAGGGGCTTTTCTCCCTTTCTTTGGCACTTTTCCCACTGCCATGTGAAGAAGGTGCCTTGCTTTCCCTTCCCCTTCCGCCATGATTGTAAGTTTCCTGGGGCTTCCCAGCCAGACAGAACTGTGAGTCAATTAAACCTCTTTCCTTGGCCGGGCGCGGTGGCTCATGCCTCTAATCCTAGCATTTTGCGAGGCCAAGGTGGGCAGATCACCTGAGGTCAGGAGTTCAAGACCAGCCTGGCCAACATGGTGAAACCCCATCTCCACTAAAAATACAAAAATTAGCTGGGCATGGTGGCGCACGCCTGTAATCCCAGCTACTCGGGAAGCTGAGGCAAGAGAATCACTTGAACCCAGGAGGTAGAGGTTGCAGTGAGCTGAGATCAATCGAGCCACTGCACTCCAGCCTGGGCAACAGAGCAACAGAGCAAGACTCCATCTCAAAAAAAAAAAAAAAGGAAAGAAAGAAAAAAAAACTCTTTCCTTTATAAATTACACAGTCTCAGGTATTTCTTCATAGCAGCGTGACAATGGACTAATACAGCAGCCTTAGCAAGTGAATAGAGATCTGGGTGGAAATTTGGTGAGAACCAGTGCTAGTTGAATGTGTACAATGAGATAAGCCAACATCTTGCCTTTGAGGTAGGAGGCTTCAGAGTCAGGTGCGGCTGATGACCATGCATGCTGAGCATTTTTTACGTAGCAGACAGACAACCTCTCACGCTTCCGTGTCTGCTCACCTGGCCCTGCTAGGCAGTCACTAGCACCACCCTCTACTTAGACACAAGAAGAAGGGATGTGGGTGGGTGGCTTGCTGGGGTTGGCTGTGGGACGTGAGCCCAGGTGGCCTGACTCCAGAGCCCAAATTCCTAAATGACAAGTTCTCCTATTCCGCCAGCAGGTGTGTGTTGGCCCCAGCTCTGACTTTCACTGGCTGTGCTGTTTAAACACACCTCTGTGATACTCGGTTTTCCCATCTACAAAATGGAGTCTTCCTCGAAGAAGAGGTGAGGAAAGGAGCCAGGTTGGGGGCATGCCCAGGACTGAGCCTGCAGAGGTGACTTCCTTGGGGGACAAATAGGACAAGAACATGTGTACTGATGGTTCTCAGACAAGGTCGACCGTGCTGAGGGCCATCTGAGTCAGACAGAGAGGGGGTAGAGGGGTATGCATGCCACCTGCACAGGTACCATCACACTGTCACCCCTGGCAGGGGAGAGAGCTGGGATGAGGACACTGTCACCACATCCTGAGTCTGAAATCCAGCGGGTGTCCAAGCGAGCCCAAGGGAAAGGGTCTTTCACCCATTGCCATGCTCAGGAGAAGCCAGTGCTTGGGCTTGTGCCCTGGACCTTGGCATGCTGGGTGCTGCAGGTCCCCACCCCGCCATGGACTTTGCAAGGAAGAGTGAGAGCCTCTCCAGCTGGTCATCCCTGGTCCCACTCACGTGGCCAAAGACAGTGCGGGAGGGTGGGAGCAGTGATGGAGAACAAGCTTGCATAAAGGCCCACCCTTAGGCTGCCTATCTGCACAGTTACCCAGCTCCCCACACACACTGGGCGTTTCACCAGCTCCTCTCCCACCATGTCGTCATGGCCTTGGTCCCCACTGAACAGGGGCCACCTGGAGAGAGCGGGCTCCCCTGTTCCCCACTATTGCCCCGGCTGTGCTTCTCCCTGCCCTGGGCAATCCACCCCCTCCACTGCCGTGGGGTATCCTTCCCGTGCACATCAGTTATGGCACATACCCCGGCCTGGAAAGGTCAGAGGCCCTCAGGACCGAGACCAGGAGCCCCACAGCATTCGAGGCTCTCCACTCTGGGCCTGCCTGGCCTCCCAGCTTCCACCTCCTCCATTGCTGACGGGGACCTTCCCATCAGGCCATGCACAACCCCCATGTGCGGCTAGTCTCCCCCCAGGCCTTTGTGCACAGTTTTTTCTGCCAGAAATGCTCTTCCCACCCTTCCCCACCCACAGAAGCCCAGCTCTTGGTTCAAGCATTCTTCAACACACCCCGCTGTTGTGGCTCCCCCAGGGCCCCAGGGCCTGGCCTCTGTCTTGCCTTCCTGCTCCAGAGCTCTCTACTCTGGACGTGGAAGTCAGATGAATTCCCTAAAATACGCCAAAGAGCTTGCATCTGTCCTGCGTGAAAACCAGCCGTGGCTCCTATGTGTGCAGGAAACCCCATCTCCTCACCTGGCCTCCCCCTCCTGTACCTCTGTGCCTGCCAGCCGTCCCCTCTCACACCCTCCACTTGTTCTCCTCCCTCTTTGGGGCTAGACACACCTGGGTTTACATTTCTGTTCCCATGTGACCTTGGACATGTCACCCACTCTCACTGAACTGAGTGAGGTTTTTGTTTTTTGTTTTTTTGTTTTGAGAAAGGGTCTCACTCTGTCATCCAGGCTGGAGTGCAGTGGCACAATCACAGCTCACTGCAGCCTTGACTTCCCAGGTTCAAGCAATCCTCCCACCTCGGCCTCCTGAGTGCTGGGGCTATAGGCACACACCACCATGCCCAGCTAAGTTTTTGGATTTTTTGTAGAGACGGGGTTTCACCATGTTGTGAATTGGAACTTTTTAAGTTTCCTTGCAGCTCTGAGGTTCTCACGAGGGAGGAGACGCCAAGTTGGGAACATCTGTTCAAGGGGTCGCTAGGCCAGTTGGAAAAGGAGTCTCCCAGAGTCAGCCCCCCAAGAACATCTGCAAAGGGCTCATGTGCGACCCTGCAGTTTGATCTACATAAACCACTAACCTTTGGAGTCTTAGAGAGGATTAAAATAGGAAACCATCTCCGCCTCCCACACGGGGTAGACAGTTTTCACAGTTCACACAGCTCTTTGGCTCAGAGATCCGGGGCTGCCGTTCCAGCATTTTCAGACATGACGATCAATACTTTAAAAATGGATTAAAAGGAAAGGTGAATAGCGATGACAGCAGGATGTCTGGTTACCAAGGCCTTCACCTGCCTGCCGGGATATCTCCTCTTGCTTCTGAACGAGCCCAGAGTGGGACCTGCACATGCACACACAAGCACACACATGCCCGCACATGCCAGCACACACACACACAAGCACACACACATGCCCACACGTGCCAGCACACACACACACACAAGCACACACACATGCCTGCACGTGCCAGCACACACACACACACAAGCACACACACATGCCCGCACATCCCAGCACACACACACAAGCACACACACATGCCCACACGTGCCAGCACACACACACACACACAAGCACACACACATGCCCGCACGTGCCAGCACACACACACAAAGCACACACACGCCCGCACGTGCCAGCACACACACACACAAGCACACACATGCCTGCACATGCCAGCACACACACACACAAGCACACACACATGCCCGCACATGCCAGCACACACACACACACAAGCACACACACATGCCCGCACATGCCAGCACACAGACACACACAAGCACACACACATGCCCACACGTGCCAGCACACAGACACACACAAGCACACACACATGCCCGCACATGCCAGCACACAGACACACACATGCCTGCACATGCCAGCACACACACACACAAGCACACACACATGCCCGCACATGCCAGCACACAGACACACACAAGCACACACACATGCCCGCACATGCCAGCACACAGACACACACAAGCACACACACATGCCCGCACATGCCAGCACACACACACACAAGCACACACACATGCCCGCACATGCCAGCACACACACACAAGCACACACACATGCCCGCACATGCCAGCACACACACACACAAGCACACACACATGCCCGCACATGCCAGCACACACACACACACAAGCACACACACATGCCCGCACATGCCAGCACACACACACACAAGCACACACACATGCCCGCACATGCCAGCACACAGACACACACAAGCACACACACATGCCCGCACATGCCAGCACACACACACAAAGCACACACACATGCCCGCACATGCCAGCACACACACACACACAAGCACACACACATGCCCGCACATGCCAGCACACAGACACACACAAGCACACACACATGCCTGCACATGCCAGCACACACACACAAGCACACATACATGCCCACACGTGCCAGCACACAGACACACACACATGCCCACACATGCCAGCACACACACACAAGCGCACACACATGCCTGCACATGCCAGCACACAGACACACACAAGCATACACACATGCCTGCACATGCCAGCACACAGAGACACATGCATGGACGCTGCTCACCAGTGAGTTTTCTGCGAGGCCAGAAGAACTTGAGCTCGGGGGCTCCTCACTTGCAAGGCCCCTTCTGACATCTGGAAGGAGCAGAGGGTCATGGACATAGAGGAACAGCCAAAGTCAAGGCTGGAAAATTAGGAAAAGTCAAATCTAAGAGGAGACCAGAGGGCCAGGGTGAGGCTTTCCATGACAACACCTGCGAGGAGAAAGGACAGTTCAGGTGGCTTCACATTTGGGCACACAGAGTTGGTCCTGAGAGATACCCTTGGGGTCACCCATCCCCACCATTCTGCAGATGAGGAAATCCAGGCCCAGTGAAGCAGTAGCCTGCTGTCCTTACCCCTGCGACCTGGACACAGGTGGCCTTTTCTTCGGGCTACCAGCTGGCGATGGGAAGGACATGAAGGCTTGGCCTCTGGTTCACCCAGAACAACGAGCTCCAGGGAGTGGCATTTGTTCATTGGACAAATATTGATTGAGCTCCTCTGTGCCAGAGCCCCATCTAGGTCCTTCGGGTTGCAAGGTGCAGTCTCTGTCCCTGGGGAGCCCCAGGTCTGGGGGAGACTGCCCTGGCAGTGCTGAGCGGACAGCAGGACAGGAGGCCATTCAGGAAGGGGGATGCTGGAGGTGAGGGGTGAGAGCTTCCAGGAGCCACAAGTGGCTTGGCAAGGCCAGAGCACGGGGGGCGGGGGAGCCAGCCACTCGGCACTCACTGACGCTTGCCTGAGAGTCGGGGTGGGCTCCTGGCATCAAAGCCGCCTCTCCTGGAGCTCCTGGCGCTCCTGGCTCTGAGAACCCAGACGAGGAACCTCCCTCAGTTCCTATCTAACAGTTTGCTTTCTGGGCAACCTTTCCCATCTCCGAGTTACATGCTCGGAGGAGACTTCAGAGTGTCGCGCTGACATTTCAACTTCTCCAAGCTGCTTGTCACCTCCGTGTTTTATTTCTATGCAGCATGTAAGAGGGCGGTATCTGGCCAGCGTGGAGCCCAGTGAACGGGTCTGGCCTTTTCCCATGGAACATTTGAAAGGTTCTTGGCAAGATCCTGAATACCTATCAGAGGGGGCTGCCGAGCCCACTGGAAAAGCTCCAGGGAGAGGGAAGAGAGTTCCAGAAACCAAAGAGACTTTCTGAACCTCCAATCTAAGGAAAGCACCTGCTGGCGGGTTCCACCAACCAGGGGTTACAGGAAGGCAGGCTTGTAAACCTATGAAAGGCGACCTGCCGTCAGAAGCTGTGTGATTTAGGGGAAAGCGGCAGGACCCGGAGCCAGAGGACCTGTGTTCCAGTCTCAGCTCCCAGCTCTCCCTCTTTCTGGCTGTGTGAGGCTGGTCTGCTTGCTGACCATGTCTGGGCTCCAATCTTGTTCTCTACATAAGTGGGATAATAATAAATAGCTCATGGGGGTCCCTGGCCTTTGTAAAATGTCCAAGCTTTTCAAAATAAAAAAACACCATCTGTACAAGAGGGATTATTGCTGTCATTAGTAACAGACATGATGAAAGGAAGATCCTGAATCCCTGAGTCACCAGCAGGAGCAAAACTGCCCACTAAGCTTGACGGCTCACTCAGGACCAACGCAGAAAATGCCACTCTGCGTCTTCATTAAGCCACTACATTTAGGGAGCATCTTTGTAAACAAAACTCAGCCTCCCCAGTACTCACACATGTTCCTTTGTTATTCACCTTCCCAGGGCAGGGCTGCAGCCCCTGAGAGTGCCATTATGTGCATGATGCCAACGATAATGGCAAGTCGCCAGTGACTTCTAGAAGAAGATTTGGGAGGAGTGTAAAGACTTTCAAGTTGAGCTGCATGGGAAGGAAAAGCAGGGGGGTTCATGGGAAGATCATATGGGTTCAAGGGAGACTTTTCAGAAAGTTCTTATGTTTATTACAATATTAATGAGAAGCTGGGCACGGTAGCTCACACCTGTAATCCCAGCACTTTGAGAGGCAGAGACGGGAGGATTGCTTGAGGCCTGGAGTTTGAGACCAGCCTGGGCAACATAGTGAAACCCTGTCTCTACAAAGAATTAAAATTTAAAAATTAGCCGGGCCTGGTGGTGCATCCCTGTGTTCCACGGGAGGCTGAGGTGGGAGGATCTCCTGAACCCAGGAGGTCGAGGCTGCAGTGAGCTGTGATTGTGCCACTGCACTCCAGCCTGGGCAACAGAGTGAGACCTTGTCTAAGTAAATAAATAAATAAAAATATGAGTGGGAAGGAGCCAGATGTTGGGGGGAGAAGAAGACAAACATGTAGGAGGGGAGGCCTTGATTGAATATAAGGTCCCTAGGAAGAGCGGGAGACAGGACTTAGTACGCAGATAGAGGAATTGATCCCTTGTAGGAGAGTGGACCCCACTCAAGTAATTGCTGTGAATATTTAATAATATAAACCGCGTCAAGTACTTAGCACAGCAGCCAGCACTTAGGAAAAAGTATCTGATGTTAAATGATATCATTTGAGATTGGGAATATATGTTCATTTTGATTAAATGCCTTTAGGTATCTTTCAGATAATCATGTATGTTTTTTCTTATGTAATTTGTGGATGTGATTTCTTATACTAATAGGTTTTCTTTAACATTAAACCATTCTTACATTCCTGAGACAAAGTCTACTGGACTTTGATGAATAATTAACATGCTATTGAATTTGACTGGTAAGTATTTTATTTAGAAATTTTACATCTATGTTCACAGGTGAGATGGGTCCATCATTATATTCAAGGGTCAACTTTGGTAGATTTTTGGTGATGAGCTTATTTTAACTTTGCAAGATTATTTGGGTCATTGATCTTTCCTTCTTTTTCTTTTTTTTTTTTTTTTGAGACAGAGTCTTTTCTCTGTTGCCCAGGCTAGAGTGCAGTGGCGCGATCTCAGCTCACTGCAAGCTCCACCTCCCAGGTTCAAGCAATTATCCTGCCTCAGCCTCCCAAGTAGCTGGGACTACAGGCACCCGCCACCACACCTAGCTAGTTTTTTCATATTTTCAGTAGAGACGGGGTTTCACTGTGTTAGCCAGGATGATCTCGATCTCCTGACCTCATGATCTGCCCCCCTTGACTTCCCAAAGTGCTAGGATTACAGGCATGAGCCACCGCACCCAGCCCTGGGTCGTTGATCTTTTCTACACTGTGGAAGAGTTATTTATATTTATATTTATATATACATATATACACACACATACATATATATATATATATATATATATATATATATATACACACTCTGTTCCTTGAATATTCTAAATAACCTATATTTAAAACTACCTGAGTCAGAGGAGACGAAAAAAAAACAAACTATCTGGCCTGAAACCTTCTTTTGAAAATATTTTCATGAAAATTTTAGTGAGTTATATAATTATTAAAGTTTTGTGTATCTTCTCAAGTTTTTGTTGTTGTTGTTGTTGTTGTTGAGACAGCATCTCGCTCTGTCGCCCAGGCTGGAGTGCAGTGGCACGATCTTGGCTCACTGCAACCTTCGCCTCTTGGGTTCAAGCAATTCTCCTGCCTCAACCTCCTGAGTAGCTAGGACTACAGGCACCCACCACCACACCCGGCTAATTTTTGTATTTTTAGTAGAGACGGAGTTTTGCCGTGTTGGCAGGCTGGTCTTGAACTCCTGACTTCTGGTGATCCACCCGCCTCAGCCTCCCAAAGTGCTGGGATGACAGGCATGAGCCACCACGCCCTGCCATTCTCAAGATTTTTGATAATTTATAGTGTTCCAGATAATTGCCTATTTTCATTGATATTTTCAAAGCATTAGCATAATTATTACATATATGTTATTCTTTTTGTAAATCAACTCTGCAAGTATATTCCCTTTGTTGTGTTATGTATATTTTGCAACTTTTTATTTAACTAGAGTTACCAGTTTATTGAAATTCCTTCATTTTTCAAATTAGCTCACATTTATCTATCAACTCTGTTTTCTTCTATATTGAGTTTGGCTTCATCTTCTTTAATTTTATTAGGATTGCTTTTCCCTCCTTTTCTAATTTATTGAGTTGAATGTTTAAATCATACACGTTTTAGCTTTCTTTTTGGTAAACAATGCATTTAATACTATGACTGTCTTGAGGAATGGCTTTATTCTTATAAGAAATAGTGTTTTTATTTTCATTACTTTCCAAATATTCTGTAGATTGTATTTTGTTCCTCTGTGTTTCAGCAGTTAAGAAGATTTTTTTAAAAAAATTACAGTTACTTATCGTTTAATTTTGTTTTGATCAGAAAATGTGATCTGTGCAACGTATGTTTTTTGGGACACAATAGGATGTTCATGACCAGTGTATCCTCGGTTCTGGTCAGTGTCCCATGGATGCTTGAAAATAAGGTGAAAATGAGGTGCATTCTTTACTTGTGTGCGCAAAAGAAGACACGTTATTGATTATACCGTTAAAATCTCCATTACCTTATTTTTTTATCTGTTGATTTCTCATTCCTTAAAAATGATGTGTTGGCTGAGCTCGGTGGCTCATGCTTGTAATCCCAGCACTTTGGGAGGCTGAGGCAGGTGGATCACCTGAAGTCAGGAGTTTAAGACCAGCCTGACCAACATGGAGAAACCCTGTCTCTACTAAAAAAATTACAAAATTAGCTGAGCATGGTGGTGCATGCCTGTAGTCCCCACTACTCAGGAGGCTGAGGCAGGAAAATCTCTTGAACCCGGGAGGCGGAGGTTGCAGTGAGCCGAGATCGCGCCATTGCACTCCAGTCTGGGCAACAAGAGTGAAACTCCATCTCAAAAAAAAAAAAAATTATGTGTCCAAGCTCTCCCTACAATGAATTTCTATCACTTACTCCAAATATTTCAAATAGTTTTGCCTTACAAAGTTTAAGTATTATACCCACATGGTAGATTAGACTTTTATTTCACTCACCAGACCTTTTTAGCCTCGTGGTTGGGATCTACTTAATCTGTTAGTAACACTGAAAATCTTGGGGTTTTTCATTTAAATTGGAATTAGTCTGACATATATTTGCCTTGTGTGAGGGCAGGGTGCGTGCATGCATGCATGCATGTGTGTGTGTGCATGTGTGTGCATGCATGCATGCATGTGTGTGTGCAAGTGTGTGCGTGCATGCGTGTGCATGCATATGTGTGCATGTGGTTTTTAGATATATATACCTGAGCCCCTTGTCTTTGTACTTCATATGCTGTTTCCTCTTCCCAAAATGTTCCTACCTTCCATGATGATCTCAGCATCACCTCCTCTCATCACCTACTCTCTATCTCCAGAGAGCATTACTCCATCTCAGTTCAGTGTTATTTCGATACTTGATCAAAGATCACCTCCTCCAAGAAGCCCTCTGACTTGCTCCTTCCTCTGAACCCAGAACTTTCTCCATCCTTCTCTGAAACACCAGCTACTTTGTAGGATAATGAGTTTTAAAGGTATTTTTTTTCTATGACCAATATATTTTCCAAATTAAAACTTAGTGCGTGGGGTGTGTCCATAGCAAGTGTGGTTTGGGAGGGGAAAAACCAACTTGATGAGCTTGGAATTTTTCTGAAAAGTCTTAGATATTTGGTTGCTAGACGATTCTTCCTCCACTAAGATAAAGCAAAATAAAATACAGCCGGCAGACCTGCCAAACCATTTACTATCTGGGCAAGCCGTACCACCTCCGAACCTCAAATTTACCATCTGTAAAATTAGAATAACAATGCTGTCATCGGAAGTACTTGGTAAGAGAAAGAGAGGCAGGAGTTAATGTGGTTATAATGAATGAGGATGGACTTTGAAAATTATAAACTCTATCAGCACCAGATAATAAATCCCTTTTAAGTAGGTTCCACGAGTGTCTCCTCTTTGTGTACCCTCCGTCCCCAGTGTCCCTGTCATGGGGGACTTGGAAAACCCCTCTATCTAGCCTAGCATTTCTGTCACCACCATATAACTGTTTTTCCTTCTTATGGAAAACAGATGGGATTAACAGATTGTAACTATTGTCTCTTGTTCTTAAGCAAGGTACACAAGGATCTGTGTGTCCCCTTACAGAAGACAGGCTTCATGGCTGCCACAGGGACGGGAACATATGAGGTCTGCAAATACCCTCAGACTTCATCTCTGTTTAGAAATCAAGCTTGCCTGGTGTATCAGTTGGGATCATGTTCAACCACATGTGACTGAAAACCCAAAATAACAGTGACTCAAATACAAGAGAAACTTATTTCTTTTTCACTTTGAAGAGATCCAGAAGTACGAAATGCAGGACTGATGCAAGAGACACATGGCCTTCAGGAACGTGGGCTCTTTCTAGCTTGCTGCTGAACCATCAGCAAGGAGTGACCCTCATGATCTAAGATGGCTGCTAGAGTTCCAGCCATCACATCCACATTCCAGGTAGCAGGAGAGAGGAAGGATTGAAGAAGGGCAAGCTCCTCCTTTTCAGAGATGACTTCCTGGAAGTCACACAGGACACTTCTGCTTATACTTCCTTGGACAGAAGTTATTTACTTAGCTGCAAGGAAAACTAGGAGATATATTTCTTCTTTTGATAGTTAAAATGAGAGCTAAAAATCAAGGTGCTGAGATGGCCATCTAAGATCAGCTGGCAGGAGAAGATTCCAGGGACTTCCTAGAGGGAAAAGTATCGTAGAGCAAGAGATCTTGCCAGTTTAATCTTGATAGGTTTCTTGAGGCTGGGCTTGTTTCTGGAATAGTCTGATTCAGCCACCCTGGCACAAAAAAAAAGGATAATCTAAAAAGCTGTGACGAGGGTTTCCAGTCCATCCTGCTGTGGGACCGTCCTTCTCTAGTAGCAGTTTTGAAGACCTTCAGCTTCAAGGAGGAGTGTCTGAGTGACATTTAGTGGGAACATGGGGGCCAGTGCCTAGGCTCCATCCGCACCCAGAGTTCTTGGATTGTGCCCAGAGATGAGGGGCCCTGAATCTGATTAGTTTAACTACTAAAAGAAATGTGTGTTCATTTTGTATCCTGAGCTGCTGGAAGAGAAAGCATCAGCTGTCTAAGGAAGTACTGAACTTGGTATAAATGTTCCTAGGATCTGAGTTCCTTATTTTCTGGGGAATCCTCACCAAAGGGTGTGATGGGGCAAACTGGGATCCATTTGCATATGTGAATCCTTCACTCTAGCACGACACTCATCCTAGATGTGAAAACGTCCCATACCCTAAACTACAAAACCTGGATGGGCACTTAAAGGTCACACGTGTGCACATGCACACACACACACATAGATGAAGAATGAGGCCAGAGAGGGAAGGACTTGGCCAAGGTGGCACAGCAATGGAACTCATCATTAGGATTCCGAGAGGGAGATAATAATGAGAGCGTCTCAGAGCTACAAAAGTGGGAAATGAACTCCTGCAGCCATTCGACCAGGAAGATGGTGGGAAATCATTCTTCCCAAAGACAGATAAGCCAGTCCCCAAGGAAGCAGGGCCCATCAAGGATATCCTGATGACTGTCACTCCAAGAGGCTTGCTCCAACCCCTGGAGCCCACCTCCTAATTCAACAAATGAGGAAAATGGCAGAAAAGCAAATGCAGCCACCAGAGCAGAAGGCATGAGGAGGTGGGACCAGGTGGTCCCAGGATTGATGGGGAAATCAATTTGTCCTGGGAAAAAAGTGCCAAACCAAGTGTCCCAAAGTCCTCCATGTCTGTTCTGAGGGAACAGAGATGGAGCTGGACATGTGGACTGATGGAAGGAACAGTGACTGGCACCCAAGGACTGGACCCTAGAAACCTGAGGAATCTTGGCCAGGTCAATGACTGTCCCTTCAAGTCTGTGCCCCCATCTGTGACATGAAGCCTCTGGACTATCTGATCTCAAAGTGCCATCCAGCTCTGAGTGTCATCTTCTCTGCAGAGAGGTCAGCAGGGATGGGCATGAGCCAAATGGGGAAAGAAGCACCGGCTGGGGAAGGACGAGGAAGAAGGCATCCGGGGACAGCTGTGCCTCTGCACCTCAGGCTCCATCTCCAAGGAGCCGGGTCTTCTCTCCATGCCTCTGCTTCCTCATCAGCAAAATGAAAAGGAAAGTCTCCACCCTGATTACCTCGCAGAATTTCATTAGGATCCAAGCATAATGCTTTACCAACTGTCAGACGCTAGGCACATGCACAGGTGGGCTTTTCTTAAAATTGCGCTTTTAGTTAATTGGATAGAGAATCAAGAGATACAGACTCCAGTCTTGTGATCATGGAGGAGCCACTTTTCTCTGGCCTCAGTGTCTCCTTGTTCCACGGGAGGCTGGACCACCGATGATCCTGAAAACTCCTTGAAGCTCGTGTGTTGTCATTTCCATCAACCAGATAGTCTCTCACCTGAGCCTAAAATGCTCTGGAAGGCTGGTAGGGCTGGTGCTGGAGTCCTGAGTGCTCTGATCGCAGAGCCTGGACTGGCCATGTTGAGGCACTGATGCTTCTAGCTCCCTTTCTCAGACTCCACAGTGGTAGTGGGGGAAGATAGGAGAGTGTTTGCTGTGTCGTAGTATTTAGGATTGCCCACTAAGCTATTGCATTTGTGTTTTATTTGACTCTAAGTGCCATGTGATGAATAAATATTCCCAGAGGAGGCATCTGTCTTACTCATTCTGGCTGTAGCTCACGTATGTGTCCATCTTGGCCCACTTGAATTGTAAATCATTTTAGGTAGGTGGAAAGAAGTGGATCCTAAGCCATCTGTCCATTTTAACTCCAGCACTCTCTTTAATCATTGTATTTTTAATTTTTATGTTTAAATTAAATTTAATTTATTTAATTGACAAATAACAATTGTACACACTCATGGGGTACATAGGGATGTTTCAATACATATGATGTGGAGTGATCAGATCAGGATACTTAACACAGCCATCACCTCAAACGTTTATCATTTCCTTGTGTTGGTAACATTCAGTATCCTCCTTCTAGCTACTTGAAACTACGCAATGTATTACTGGGTTTTTGTGGTTTTGTTTTGTTTTGTTTGAGACAAGGTCTCACTCTATCACACAGGCTGGAGCACAGTGGCGTGATCATGGCTCACAGCAGCCTCAACCTCCTGGGCTCGAGAGATCCTCCCACCTCAGGGCTACAGGCACGTGCCACCATGCCTGTCTAATTTTTGTATTTTTGTAGAGATGGGGTTTCAACATGTTGCCCGGGCTGGTCTCAAACTCCTGAGCTGAAGAGATCTGCCCACCTCAGCCTCCCAAAGTGCTGGGATTGCAGGCATGAGCTACCACACCTGGCCAAAGTATTATGGTTAACTATAGTCATCCCACAGTGCTCTAGGATGCTAGAACTTATTCCTCCTAACTAGCTGTGATTTTGTATCCTTTAACAAATCTCCCCCATCCCTCCCTTTCCCCTAACCATTGTATTCTTTTAACCCATGAAGACTATCCTCTAGGGGGATGATACAAAACAAGACTTCATAGAATACTGTGGAATTTTGTCAGGGTTTCTTAACCTTGGCTATTGTCCTACGGAATGTGATGGGGCTCTACGCAATGTCCTGGGTGACACTGATGGGGTTCCAGGAAGGCTGGTGAGGGATCACCGAGCATTTCACAAGTTGGGGGAGCACTCCCACGAGATCTGGGATGGGGAAGCCAAGAAGAGCCAGGCTTGTGAATAAGGTGGATGCAGGGGGCAGCCAGGGTGGGGCTCAGAGTTGGCCAGGCCCAGACCCGACACACAGGAGAAGCTCAGTTGAGCTGTAGGTACAGACAGTAGAGTCGGGTCAAAGTGGAGACGGAGGGACCAGAGCATTCTAGAAGACAGTGAAGGAAGGGGCTCTGCCAGGCCGGGGCAGAGGCAAAGGCAGAAGAGCCAGGAAGCACTTGTCCCCAAAGACAATCGAAGACCTCCCTGGAGACTAACAGAATGAGCACTTGGATCTGGACAGCTCACTACATAAAGGAAAAAGATGATGATTACATTCCTGCCACATCCATGTCCTCATGCCGCTCCTCATTCTTATTGTTTCAACCTGCAACCCCCACCACAAGTCACAAGCCAGTCAGTCACCCCTCCTCCCACCTCTTCCCACCCTACAAGGCCGGTTCTGCACAGAGGCCTCACGGTCAGGTGGCAGCACCAAGACCCTCAAGAAGGTGAGAGTGGGGCCAGGACGTCACTCCATATTCCAAAGGACTGAATGGATTCCATTTCAACCATGTTCCAGCCTTGCAAATACATGCTTCCAACTTTCATCGGCCTGGCCACATCATCTACAGCAGCACCCACTAATTATATGTATCTTTGCTTAAAAATCCCAGACAGCAAATCAAATATTCTCCTTACATTTTATTGTGTTCAGTAGACTTTCTTTCCCCCCCACCAAAAACATGAGTTTCCTGGTGATGGTGGTGGCGGTGGTGGTGGTGGTGGTGGTGGTGGTGGTGGTGGTGGTGGTGGTGGTGGTGGAGATGGATTAAGCCAAAAGGGAACCAATGGCCCTTATCCTAAACCCCTACCAGACTCTGAGACCTGGAGAACAGGGGCAGCCCCTGCTTCCTCACTGGGCGCCAAGATGACCCACACAAGACCTCGAAGGCTGTTGCAAGCACCACAGATACATTCATTTAATGAGCGAATGTGGGCCCCAGGTTGCAGTTTCTTGCTCCTAACTCCTAACGTGGACACACAGCCCCCAATAAAGTCACCTTGCTGCACACAGGCATACACACACCACACACGCCCTCCAGCCCACAGACCTTTTGGACTTCCCTAGAAGGGTCTTACATAGACTTATGCACAGAAACAACAGCTTTGGGCAGCCATGGGTGTCCCCCCTTTCCCCTTCCCGCTTTGGGCCCTTCCACCATACACAGCCCATGTGCCTGGCATCACCTCCCTCTCCCCGAGAGGCACCTCAGTGTGCCCGGCTGCTGCCACCACTTCCGCAGGTCACGGCTGCATTCCCTGGGCAGCATGTCTGCTGGCTCTGAGGGCCGGGAGCTGCAACGTCCTCAGGGCTTCTCAGAAAGCTCTGGATGATGGCGAGGAGAAGGGAGAAGGGACTGATCCACTTTACCGTTACCTCTTCCACCAAGCAACAGGGTGCTTGAAGAGTCAGCCCTCATCCAGATGGTCGGACTTTCTGCGCTAGCTAAGTCTGAATGAATGAGGTTTACATTTCTACTCAGTCACTCATCAACAACGTGCCGGTCAAACACAATCCCCTGAGCAGTGCCCGCGAACCATTCTTTTGTGACCGACACCATGCTCGGTGCTTTGTGCAGATGAGTTAGTGAATGAGAACCATAATTACTAGGGTTCAGTCAGCAGAGGAATAAAATGCAGCCATCAGTAATTCAGAAAAGGGCGTTCATGTAAAGCAGCAGTTGGTAAGCTTTTCCCGCAAACAGACAGTTAATACTTTTGGCTTTGCGGGCCACACAGTCTATCACAGCTACTCAGCTCTGCCATGGGAATGTGACAGTGGCTATTGACAACAGGCAAATCAATAGATGTGTGTTCCAATAAAACTTGATTTGGTATTTAATTTTTTTATTTTTATTTATGTATTTTATTTTTTTGAGACGAAGTCTCTGTCACCCAAGCTAGAATGTGATGGTGTGATCTCAACTCACTGTAACCTCCACCTCCCAGGATCAAGCGATTCTCCTGCCTCAGCCTCCCGAGTTGCTGGGATTACAGGCACGTGCCACCACACCTGGCTAATTTTTTGTATCTTTAGTAGAGACGAGGTTTCACCATGCTGGTCAGGCTGGTCTGACTTCAAATGATCCGCCCGCCTCAGCCTCCCAAAGTGCTGGGATTACAGGCATGAGTCACCACGCCGAGCCTTATTTTTTTAGATATAGGATCTCTCTCTGTCACCCAGGCTGGAGTGCAGTGGCATAATCATGGCTTACTGCAGCCTCCAACTCCCGGGCTCAAGCAATCCTCTCACCTTGGCCTCCCAAAGCGCTGGGATTGCAGGCATGAGCCACTGCACTCAGCCTCAATAAAACTTGATTTGCGAAAATAGGTTGGAGGCCAGATTTGGCTTATGGGTTGTGGTTCACTGACCCTTCCTTGGTTTAGGGTAACGTTAGCTGCTGCCAAAAATGCAGCTGAAAATGTACAGCTGGAAGTTTACCTCTCGCTTGTGAAAAGCCCCAGATGGGCATTTCTGGGCAGCAGGCAGCACTCCTCAAAGTTTTGATTGAGACCCCAGAGTCCTGCTGGCCCTTGGCTCCAGCATCTTCTCCAGGAAGGTTGCTGCGGCCACTATGTGTGGCAGTGTCAAGCCCGTGAAAGGGCAAGGGACAGGCTGGAAAGCCCGGCCCATCAGCCCTTGCCCAGAAGCGATGCCACTGCTCCCTGCAGAACCAAGGTGGACAGGTGGTCACCAGGCTCCTCTGGGACGCAGAGAGAGCTGGGAAAATCTCTTCTCAGCCACAACCCCATGCAGAAGGAGGAGGGCATGAGCTCTGGTGCACACTCAGCTCTCTCTGACGCAGACAATGGGTAGGTCATTTACTGGAAGCATCTACAAGGCACAGGAGAAATCCTGATGAAGTTGGGAAAGGGCTGTGGTTTGGAAAGCGGGAGGCACTGAAGTCTCAGGCAGCAGAGAGCAGAGATGGCATGCCCAACCTAGAGCCAGGAGGAGGGAGAGCTGCCGTGCTGAGGGGCAAGGAAATAGGCAGAAGCCCAGGCTCCATCTTTAAGACAAAGGAAAGCCACAGGGAGAAAAATTACAAGATCCATATCATAGAAAAATGCTTCCTGTGGCCATCTCGGGGAGAGCTTAGGGAGGAACAAGATTGGCGGCAGGGGAATGAGAGTTCTTCCAACAGTCTTCCCAAGCGCTAACGGGGGGTGGGGGGTGGAAACCAGAGAGAGCATTCTAAATGGTTTCAGGAAGCAAGTCCATAAAGCTAACAGGGGTTGCAGGCACATAGTTTTCTTGGTTGGGTGGTGGGGACTTTCACAGAGATCAGAAAGCTGAGAGGAGCAGATGTGGGGAGTGGGAATGTTTTTTGGACATGCTGAATTGTAGGTGTCTGAGGAGGATGAGTTTTTTGGACGTGCCAAATGGAAGGTGTCAATCGGACATCCAGGTGATGGGAGAAAGCTGAGAAACCACATGCCCACTGGCACAGTACTGCCCCAGCTGAGACCCCAGGAGCCATTCTGCAGACCAGGCCAGCAGGTCGTGCACCCACTGGCCAACCTTTGCTCTGTGGAGCTGTCTGGAGGAAAACCGGGCCGCAGCATGGTGCAGAGGGCATGTCACAATTTACATGGGAGAATATTGATTTCAAACAGGTGGAAAATACGAGCCAGCGAGGTAGACAGGAAAGAGACCTTGACACCCATTCATCAGGGGCTGCAGATCAAGGAGACCAGATGTTGCTGCACCAAAATATGCAAGGAATTTCATAATTTATCCTGCAGACAAGAAGAGCCTGTGAAGGCCGGGGCAGGCAGCCTGGAGTCTCAGGTCAGACAGGAACTCTCAGGCAGTTGTGGGGAGTCAAATGGGGCCGCCCGTTACCAATTGATGACAGGCAGTGTCAGACACACACCTCCACAACGCCTGCTCTGAGGGCAGAAAACTGCCATGGAAAAGCGGCAACATCTGGATGCGAATGTCCCAAAGATGAGCTTCTGGAGGGATCCTGGTGACCCAGACATTCTGAATAACCCCTCTCTGCTGTGCTTAGGACCTGAAACCCACAGTTCAAGACAGGCAAGTACAAGTGCTGCTGTCCCACCCCTGCCAGGGCCAGGTCTCCTGGGGGCCCCTTCCCATCTCCCGCCTTCCTCCCCACACCCAGGCGTAGGGCCTGCTCCCATCATGGGCCTGGGGAGGAGGCCAAGGTTCGAGGTGCAGAGAAGTAGGAATGTGCCCAGCTCCCATGCTGGGATACAGTAGAACTCATCTCAGCATAAGCTTTACAGTTACAACCGGGAACTAAACAAGTGATCATTTTAACTTGCTTAAGGAATGAAGGTCTGATCAGTGAAAATCTAGGTGGGATCCCAAAGCCCAAGTTTTCCCTATGAAGCTGGACTGGTCCCCACGATGGGAATGTAAGAGGGGCCTGGCTGTTCACACAAGAGCATGGCACGTTATTTCCTTCCAAATTCAATAACACCAGAGTTATGACATTTGCCATCAGAGTCACACAGTCTCCTGTCCTGTGGAGACTTTGTCCAGCTTGTTGGGCCTGGGTTTAAATTTTCCTGTGACACCCATAAGGAGAGACCAAGGGCTGTGCACTGGGAATCCCAGCTGGTCAAACTGCTCCTCAAAAGGGACTTCATTAAAAGTCATCTGCATAACACGGCCCCTCCCCATCCCCAGGCAGCCACGGCCACTACTCTGGAGAGGGTGTCGGCTGCCCAGGTGTTCCATGGAGATGGGGTCTGAGACACACTCCCTATAGGAGACAGCGACAGAGGTGGGGTCAGCACACAAGTCCCCGAAAGCAATAACACAAAGCCAGCAGGTCAGGGAGAGGGCAAGTGAGTGACCGTCTACATGGTCAGGGGGAGGGCGAGTGAGTGACCATCTGCAGGATCAGGGAGAGGGCGAGTGAGTGACCGTCTACATGGTCAGGGAGAGGGCGAGTTAGTGACCATCTACATGGTCAGGGAGAGGGCAAGTGAGTGACCGTCTACATGGTTAGGGGGAGGGCGAATGAGTGACCGTCTACAGGGTCAGGGAGAGGGAGAGTGAGTGACCGTCTACATGATCAGGGAGAGGGCGTGTGAGTGACCGTCGACAGGATCAGGGAGAGGGCGTGTGAGTGACCGTCCACACGGTCAGGGAGAGGGCGAGTGAGTGACCGTCCACACGGTCAGGGAGAGGGCGAGTGAGTGACCGTCTACACGGTCAGGGAGAGGGCGAGTGACCGTCTACTCGGTCAGGGAGAGGGCGAGTGAGTGACCGTCTACACGGTCAGGGAGAGGGCGAGTGAGTGACCGTCTACTCGGTCAGGGAGAGGGCGAGTGAGTGACCGTCTACACGGTCAGGGAGAAGGAGTGTGAGTGACTGTCCACAGGGTCAGGGAGAGGGCGAGTGAGTGACCGTCTACACGGTCAGGGAGAGGGCGAGTGAGTGACCGTCTACTCGGTCAGGGAGAGGGCGAGTGAGTGACCGTCTACACGGTCAGGGAGAGGGAGCGTGAGTGACCGTCTACACGGTCAGGGAGAGGGCGAGTGAGTGACCGTCTACAGGGTCAGGGAGAGGGCGAGTGAGTGACCGTCCACACGGTCAGGGAGAGGGCGAGTGAGTGACCGTCCACACGGTCAGGGAGAGGGCGAGTGAGTGACCGTCCACACGGTCAGGGAGAGGGCGAGTGAGTGACCGTCTACAGGGTCAGGGAGAGGGCGAGTGAGTGACCGTCTACAAGGCAGACATGGCCTTTCTGCTGCTAAATGGAACCCCCTAGAGGGAAGAGCCTCTGCCCACCCCGTGCCTGGCAGGCAGCAGGTGCCCACAAGCCTCCGTGGAGGGGATGCAGGCGGGTGGGTTGAAGACTGTGACCAGGACAGGGGGAAGCAAGAAGGGCCCCCAGTGGCAAGGCTTTGGTAGGAAGGAGCAGATTCCAAGGAGGGATACCCAGCCCTCTGGAGCAGTAGAGGTCCCCGGTGTGATCTGCCTTGGTGGATCTTTGAGAGGACAGCCCGAAGCCCAAGTTCTGGGTGGGCCCTGATCCTGCTCATCTCACGCTAACATGGGTGCCTCTCCTGGTCCCCACAGCCCCTGGGCACCCTCTCCCACAACCTGACTCCATACCACGTTCTGGCCCATTTTCTGACTCCCTCACAAGGCTGGGGCTTCCATGGACACAAGGGCTGTGTCCCCCAGCCCCACATAGGGCTGGTCACATGGGGGGTTCATGTTGAGTGAACAAGAGAAGGAATGGAGCGGCTGTGCAGAACTTTGGAAGACGTGTGGGTGGAATGGGACTCAATGAAAGAGGAAGAGGCGGAAGGAGGCGAGGCCCCCTCCTCCTCTGCCCCCCACGGACCCCTCATCCTGAGTGGCTGGGCCCCAGCAAGTGAGCGGCAGACCAGCAGCGTCCTGACTGCTGGGAGCGATGACTCAGCTGCCATCTGTTACTTAATGAGAAGATGGCAAGCCAATTGGCGTGCTCCCCCGCTCTCTTTAATATGGCACATCGAAAAATGTGACTTTAGTGATCTATCTTTTAATGATTCTGACTTGCTCACTCTTACTTCTTTTAATTCAGCAGCAAATAAGCCTGTGATTTGCCCAGGAATCCCAACAGGGGATTCTTTTGATTTTATGTTGGGGGTTTGGGTCTTTTTTTAGGGGACAGGAAGGCTTTGCCAGGGTTACACCTTCCTCACTCTGCCATCAGAAGGAGCCCGTTCCATCCCAGGGTTTGTTCTTTGAATCACAACGAAATGGGACCCAGGAAAGTCCCACAACCCAGCTCACTTCAGAGAGGACAATCTACAGGCGACAAGCTGGCCTTGCAGTGTGAAGCCGAGGCCACACCGTCAGGGAAGGTGGGGAGACCAGGGTCCCAGGCTGCACCTGAGCCTGCACGACCTGGGGAAGGCCTCTCCCCTTCTCCAGCCTCCAGTTCTCTGGCTGGAGAAGGGAACGGGCCTGGCTGATCCCAGGGTCCTGAGGTTTGATGCTGAGTGTAGGAGAGTTCTTCTGGGCAGGTTTTCTAGTGTTTGGATGGGCACCTGCCTCCTTTGGGAACTAGGCAATGTTTAAGAGTGGACCCTGCCTCCACCTCATGTGTCTTATATGGCCTTGGGCAAGTCCCTGGGTTCAAGTCTGTAAATTGGGAAGGGCGATGGTGCCCACCTACCTGGCAAAGCCCTGGGGAATGAACACATCCATCCGCACAGGTGCTTGGCCCACTGACAGGGAAAAGGAGGCACCCTGAGACATCGGCTGCAGGCTATGACCACCCGCTCTTCTCGGTGAGCAGAGCCCAGCAGAAGGACATCTGGCCAAGAAGTGGTGGCCGTGTGCACAACTCAGCCAGAGGAGGGGGCACAGCCCTGTCACCAGGAACATCCCCTCACCTCCCTAGGCACTGGCCTGACTTTGGCCTGGCCTCTCCTGTGACCCCAGGATTTGGAGAAAAGTCTCAGGGAAGGGCTGACTGACTACCTGGGCTAGATCCTCACCCCTGGACCAGTCAGCTGTGGTCAGAAGGCAGATTGTCCAAGAACAGTCTGTTCCCAGGGATCGTCTAGCCCCAGGGTTTTCTGGCCATAGCTTCAAGCTCAGGAGGCCACAGCCTGTAGCAAAAACAAGGGTTTGGGAGCACAACAAACCAGGGTTTGAGTCTGTTTCTCGGCTTGGGATGGAGACATCTTTGAGACTCAGTTTCCCCATCTGTTCAGCTGGCAAGCCCACTCACCGCTGGCATGAGGAATTAATGAAATAATGAGGGGCTAGGCCATGGCGAAAAATCAGGGGCTCACCGTGTCTCCAAAAGGGCTGACCGGCTTTTCCTTGCTCTTGACAAATGTGGCCCCTGAGCGTCCAGGTGCGGTGCCCCTCCACTCCCAGCACGGAGTCCCCCTCTACCTTCAAGCTGGCCACCAGCGCCTCCCTCCCCTGTCTGGACAGAGGGCCCGTGGGGGTGCTGAGATCTGGCCACGTGCTCTGCCTCAGTCCAAAAGCCACACTCACGTGACCATCGACAGTGGATTGATGAAATTAAGCACAGATGGCTACTTTGTTGTTGTTCTTTGAACTGACAGCTGCTGGTATAAAAATAAATTAAATTAAATTTCACAGAAGTCAGACTTTTTTTTGTATTTTTTTTTAAAAATGATCTAAGTTTTTCTGTGTTGTTGTCGTTAAATTGTTTTCTTTCTTTTTAACATACGGAGGCAGAGAAAACTCCAGGGCAGCAGAAACAAGAATTGCAAGGAGAAGCTCCAGTGCGACCCCAGGATTTGGAGACAACCCCATCCAACCCTCCCATAGCCCACAGCCCTCAGAGCTCCGGAAGGCCACGGAGCTGCCAGGTTCCAATCTTGACTTCTTTGTCTTTCAAGCTAAGGGCCAGGATGTCAAAACAGTCCTGGGTTTGCAGCCAGGTTTGGACACCCACTCACCCTGCGACCTTGGGCAAGTCATTTTCTTCCTCTGCACCTCATTTTCCTCGCCCGTAAAAAGGGGATAATAACAGCGCCTCCCTGAGGACAGTCATCGTGCCTGGCACCTAAGCACTCAGCTGCAGTTCTTGGCTTATTATTATTGGCTGCATGACCTTGAGTAAATAGAGAATCTTTACTCAGTGAAAGGATTCTGAGAGAAGTCTCCAGCCCGCCTGTCTCACAGCAGGCTCTGGAATCTCAGTGCCCCCATAGCTGGTCTCACCCACCCTCTCCACCCACCTCCCTTCCCTCTTCACACCCTGGGCCCCTGGCCGGCGCTAGGCACAGCCATTTGCACACAGAGAAGAAATAGGAGGCTTGGTGGTCTGGGAGCCCGGAGCAGACATCTATTCTCTGCCCAGCCCTCCCTCCCATGTGCCCAGAAACTCCCTTCCCCTTCCCCATGGTTAAGCCAGGTGCAGCCTGTTCTTGGACAACCTGCCTTCTGGCCACAGCTTACTGGTCCATAGGTGAGCATCTAACCTAGGTAGCCAATCACCCTGTCCCTGAGATGTTGCTAATGAGAACTGAGAAAGAGAGAGAGCCACCTTGCATGGAGTGGCAAGCTACAAACCTTCGGAGCTGCCCGTGGCATATTTCCTGCCATGTGGAAGAAGGTGGTCTGGAGAGAGAGTGAGGCTGGCCAAGAGAAGGACAGAGATGAGAGAGGAGGGACGGGCCCCGGTTTCACTCCTTCCTGCATCCTTCCTGAGTCCTCGCCCTTCCCGCAACTCAGGGGCTCTGCTCAGCCATGGGCCTCTCTTTCTGCCTCCGTGGCTCCAGTCAGGCTGTCGTCACTGTGACCAAATTGCTCTACTTGTCCCTCGCTAGCCAGTGGAGGGGGACAGCAGGGCAGGGCTGCAGATTAAGAATGGAGGACTCTCCAAAAAGGGAGAGGCCAGTTCTTTTTTTTTTTTTTTTTTTTTTTTTTTTTTTTTTTGAGACAGAGTTTCGCTCTTGTTGCCCAGGCTGGAGTGCAATGGCGCGATCTCGGCTCACCACAACCGCTGCCTCCCGTGTTCAAGTGATTCTCCTGCCTCAGCCTCCAAAGTAGCTGGGATTACAGGCATGCGCCACCAAGCCCAGCTAATTTTGTGTTTTTAGTAGAGACGGGGTTTCTCCATGTTGGTCAGGCTGATCTTGAACTCCCGACCTCAGGTGATCCCCCCACCTCCGCCTCCCAAAGTGCTGGAATTACAGGCGTGAGCCACCGCGCCCGGCCGGGAGAGGCCAGTCCTAACGGGGAGAGTCCACACTGCCTGGAGAAGGTGGTACCAGCACTGAGACAGAGGAGAGGAGGAGGGGGCGTCCATGCAGAAGGAGCAGCGTGAGCAGCGCAGGAAGGTGGGGAGCTCAGGAAGCCGTGCACATGCTCGGGGTGCTCGCGGGTGCGCGGGAACAGTGGGGAGGAGGCCTGGGAGGTGGACAGGCCAGACCAGGAGAGGCCCAACACCACAGAAGGAACAAATGTTTAGCTTCTGCCCAGGATGGCAAGAGCACCCGCACACACTGCTCCTCCCACCCGGCCCAGGCAGGCGCTTCCAACTGGCCCAAGTATTATTTCCCACTCAGGTGGGGCGCGGCTTCAGAGCCCCACTTCAGGATTACAGCTCCAGGTGCCACGCTGCAAGTAGCTACCGCCAACTGGTTAGAGTCGGCACAGGGGGCACAATCTATTTGCCAGCCCTGTCACCCGGGATAGGAAAGCTCACTACACACACTCACTCCCCCTCCCCAGCCCAGGGCACGACATGGTCTTGTGTGGGTGATAGCAGGGGCACTGCTGACTTCTGGGAGGCAGCCAGGGAGGTGTCAAGGAGGAGGCAACTGCACTAAACCAGAAAGCCATGGCCCAAGTGGAGAGGCAAAGATGGGGAGAGGGGAGACAGGAGGAGGCTTCAGGGCTTGGCTCCTGGCTGAGGAGGAGGAAGAACTGGGGCCTGGAGGCAGGATTTAGTTTGGGCCAATAACAGCTTTGCAGTTAACCTGTGACCCCTCGAGGTGCCGCATTTCCAAGCTAAACCCCAGGGCTGGGTCTCAAGGCCCCACATTTCCCAGGGAAGATTTCTAGAGCTCCTTCGAAGCCAAAGGACCCCAGGGTAGCCCAATGGATGGGTGGATTTATACACAGAGGGCTTAAGGTTAGGAAAGAAGGTGAATTTCCCAAAAAGAAGAGTTCACCTGCCCCCAGAAAACACCTTTCTAAGACTCTAAAGATATGACAGGGACACTCGCCTGAATTTGGACAAGCCCCTGCCCTCATTAAGCCTCCAACTGGTGTCTGTCTTTGTCTATTCTGGTGCTATAATAAAATACCTTAGACTAGGTGACTTATAAACAGAAATTTGTTTCTCACAGTTCTGGAGGCTGGCAAGTCCAAGGTCAGAGCCCTGGTGGATGCAGCATCTGCTGAAGGCAGCTTCCTGGTTCACAGACATCCATCTTGCTGAGCCCTCAAACAGCAAAAGGGTGAGGGGCTTGCTGGGGTCCCTTTTACAAGAGCAGTAACCCCCTCCATGAGGTAACCCCACCCTCATGACTCAGTCCCCTCCCAAAGGCCCCACCTCCTGATGCCATCTCCTTGGGGGTTAGGATTTCAACATCTGAATTTGGGGGGCACACACATGCAGTCTGGAGCAACCTCCATAAAACAAGGTGGACGGGCAAGGCTAGTGGCTTTCAAGGGTATTTGTTAAGCAGCTAAACCCTCAGTCAAATTCCACAACATCCCCTAAGTATATGCAAAGGGTCCCCCTAAAAGGTGCACGCCATCTCTGCCCCAGGGGGAGGAAATGAGAGTCACTTCTGTCTTCACTGGGAGCTCCCTGTCCTGAGGGCACAGGTGTGCCTGACCCCTCCTACTCCACCTAGGGCACCCCTAGGGTGGGCAAAGAGGGGTCATCAGGATTCCAGAGTTTCAAGGGTAGAAAAGTGGGGGAAAGCCACTTGAGAGAGGGGTCCTGAGAGAGGGAAGTGGCTCACAAAGAGCACAGCCCAGTGAGATTCAAGCACCAGGGCCCCGGGTCACTGGGATGATGCCAGCCACGGGATTGAAGTGCTGACACCCAAATCCTGTGGCCCAGGGGCCAGAGGAGGTTCACTCTCAGTCAAGTTTGACCAGGGGAAGTGGCACAGGCCTCCTCCCTTGATGCTCCTGGGCCCATCCCGGGCATGAGCACCAGTGACCCCAGCTCCTCCATCAGACAGACAGGACGGTAGGGAGGGCTGGGACCACCCCAGGAGGGAGCACACTGCTCAGAGACAGATCCTGTCCAGCTCGGCAGGGGAAGAGATGACAAGGACCCAGCACCTCTTTCAGAGTGCATGGGCTCCAGGCCTGGTCAGTTCTGGGGAGAAAGGATCCGGCCCAAGAAGGGGGCCCTGGACATCTGTTGATTGAGGTGCTTGTGATGTTTCATCAGGACAGCGACGGGACTCGAATGTTTGCATTAGAGTTTTCAGAGAGGTTCTTACGGGTTTGATACAAAACAGGACATGGTAAACCACTCTTGTTGAAGAAAGATGGAAGGCTATTCCTGCACCCACCCCTGCCCACGTGCCTCCAGCAAGGTGGGCCCCCATATCCAAAGTGCCCAGTGGGAACCCCGAGGCTAGAGGGCTTCTGAGAGTCCCCCCATGTCCTCCACTCCCACACTTCAAGCTCCATTTTCAGGGGAACCAGCAAGCACCCTGGACTAGAAACAAAACCACAGCTCCTGTCCCCACTCTGCCACCGTATGACTAGGCAGCCTTCAGCAGTTACTTCACCCAGTGTGATCTGATGGAACTTTCTGCAACACTGAAAACATTTTCTTTTTCTTTTTTTTTTATTTTAGAGACGGAGTCTCACTCTGTCACCAAGGCTGGAGTTCAGTGGCACGATCTCAGCTCACTGCAACCTCCGCCTCCTGGGTTCAAGCGATTCTCCTGCCTTAGCCTCCCAAGTAGCTGAGACTACAGGTGCCCATGACCAACCACGCCTGGCTAATTTTTGTATTTTTAGTAGAGATGGGGTTTCATCATGTTGGCTAGGCTTGTCTCGAACTCCTGACCTCAAGTGATCCACCCACCTTGGTCTCCCAAAGTGCTGGGATTACAGGCGTGAGCCACCAAGCCCAGCCTGAAAATATTTTCTATGCTGTGCTGTCCAGTACAGTAGCCATCAGCCCCATGTGCCTATGAAGCACTAATGTAGCTAATACAGGTAAGGAACTGAAAATTTTTTAATTTAATTTAATATTAATTAGTTTTAATTTAAATAGCAACATGTGACTCATAGCTATGATACTGGCAACACAGCCTCAAATTCTGAGCCGCTATTTTCTAATCTATAAAATGGGACTATGAATCTCTCCCTCTCAGGGGCTTCACGGAATGAAATAACAATCATAATAATGGGACATAAAGGAACTAAAGCTAAAAACTGGTGGAAAAATGCTAAGGACCCCATTCAGCAAACTTTTGTTCATTTCTTTCATCCTACCAAGTCCCTGGACACTGGATAGACTCAAGGTACAGCAGCAGGGAATTCAAGCCCCTCCCTCGTGGAGCTTGCGGTGTGGCCGGTGACACAGATTCTGAAGACACAATCACCCCAATAACTGTCAGGACTGTGGTAAGTGCAATGAAACAAAAATAAATGACAATGGTGTGGGTTTATGTTCATCGAAGAACAGCTGCTTCTGAGCAGGGCGGGTGGTCCCAGGAAGGCCTCTTGGACAGGGCCCCTTCTCGCCCCATGATATTAGGCCCATCCCAGAACACACAGCAGTAGAGCCACTGGGACCTACCTCTGGGGGCCTCTGCTGCTGCCTCAACCTTTAGTGACCTTGATAGAGAATGCGGCTCCTCCGGTTATGAGGACAACCTAGTATTCAGCAGGAATTGCGCCGGATGAAGCCTTTCCCATAGAGAGCTGACGTCAGTCCAGCTGTTTTTGGAAGCAAGTGATTGTCTTTTTCCATAAAGAGCATCAGGGAGAGGAGGAGGCGAGATAAAGCAGGGAAAAGCTGGGATCCCGGTGCCAGTCTCAGCTCTGCCGACGCTCTGTAGGACCCAAGTGCAGTATTTCCCCTCTCTTGACCTTGGCTTCCCAATCTTCAAGAAATCAGAGGTGAGACCGCGTGACCTTTTGGCCTATAACAACTGTGGCTTTCTCCAACTCCGGAAAAAATCTACATAAGAACTACAACAACGAGGATGATGGGGATGCGGATGATGATGATAAACAGAAGTAGCAACTACCATTTCAGGAATGTTTACTCATTGCCAGACACCAAGCTGACAGCTTTGCACGTAGGTTTTAGTCTTCACCAATGCGGGAAAGATGACTGCCTTCCCTCTATAGGTGATGAATTTGATCCGGTCCCCTGGTGGCAGAGCTAGCAGGACAACTGTAAACCACTCTTCTATCCAAACTCACAAGTCTGGGGTTGTCCGTCTGATTCTACCTGTAACATGGTATCAGAAGTCCCTGTCTTCCCGCCTCGTGCGTGTTTGGAGGCCCCTGAGAGTGCACTAAAGGCTCCTAAGAGAATGTCGTGCCTGGAATCCCAAAAATAGGACCTGCAGCTATCATCTGATTCTATCCCCACAGTCAAAAGTGGGACCAAACCCCTCAAGGAGGGAAAGAATCTTCTTAGGTTCTGCGGCCAGTGAGTAGTGGTGGATCGGACTGAAACCCACTCAGCGAAGAGCAGGGGAAGGTTTCTGTCCCTCGTGGCAGTCCCCTCCCTGATCTGGGCAGGCCCATGGTGTGGAAGAAGCTTCTGGGGAAGATAGACTGTTGGAGGGGAAAGTCCCACTCTGCCACTGCCATCCAGGGAAGCAGCTGGGCCACGGCACCTCGGTTCTCTGGGTCTGATTCTCCACCTGAAAATGACGGCAACAACTGCTCCTTCCCACTTAGGAGACAGTGGAGGCACAGCTGGCGCAGCAGAGAGCTCCCAGGCACAGCCCTGGGTGCACAGCATTGCTCAGGGAGCACGTCAGCTATCTGAGGACTCAGGACCCCAGGTCCTCATACTTGCTGTGCCCAAGTGCTCATGAGGCTGAGAAGTCCTGGCCAGGAGAAGGCCACACCCTACTGCCAAAGAGGCCTCGGGAAGGGCATGGAACCATGGACCACACCCCTCCCTCTATAGGGCCAGTCCTTAGGGCTGAGTCCCTGGCCACGTGGCCAGAAGAACCTGGCAGCTGCCCATCCCAGTAGCAGCAAAAGAAGAGGATTGCACGTAAATTAAAAACAAGCATGTGTGTTTCTCTTTGGCCCATCTGTGGCAGTTTCTCGAAGCACCAGCTCTTGGAGTGGAGTCGGGGGTGGGGGGGGTGGGGGACAAGGCGGAAGTAAAATGGCTCTTGGAGAAGCTGGAAAAATTAGCAATTAGGAGGGAAAATTGTAATGAGAAAATGAGCCTTAATAAGGCAAACACAATACTGCTGCGGCTTGTTTCTTGTTCTCTCGCTGCAAACAAGCGGTGACTTCATGTCTGGGTTTCTTTGCTTTCCTGCACCAGAGCCAACTGGGAAAAAGCTGGAGAAAAATGTCTCCATTGTCCCTAGACGGCGCTCCTGGCGTCCAGGAAAAAGAAGGCCCACTTACTGCCATTTGTGAAACACTTCCTCTGCTCTTGGCCCCCAAGAGCACGGTGCCCACATACTTCCTTAGTCAGGATGGGCTGGGTCATGCTGCAGTAAGACCTCCACTCTCCCAGTGGCTTAACACAACGACACTGATTCTCATTCACACGATGCATTCCACATAGCTTGGCAGGGAAGCTCAGCTCATCATGGTCCTTCAGGGACCTAGAATAACTGGAGGGTCCACGTGGATCCCTCCTTCCGTGATTGTCATCACGGGAGAAGAGGACCATGGTGAATCTCTCTTACTAGCTGTTAAAGCTTTCACCGGCCAGGTGTGGTGGCTCACACCTGTAATCCCAGCACTTTGGGAGGCCAAGGCGGGCAGATCACAAGGTCAAGAGTTTGAGACCAGCCTGGCCAACATGGTGAAACCCTGTCTCTACTAAAAATCCAAAAATTAGCCAGGCATGGTGGCGAGCGCCAGTAATCACAGCTACTCCAGAGGCTGAGGCAGGAGAATTGCTTAAACCCGGATGGTGGAGGTTGCAGTGAGCCGAGGTCAAGCCACTGCACTCCAGTATAGGTGACAGAGTGAGACTCTGTCTCAGGGAAAAAAAAAAAAAAAAAGCTTTCACCCAGAAGGGCCATTCATCACGTACACTCACATTTCATTAGCGAAAGAAGTCACTTGGCCATACTTAACTTCAAAGGGACAGGGAACAGTATTCCTAATGTGCACTGAGAAGGGGTGTGGAAAATTTGTGACCAGCTCTAATGAGGTCCACACACATTAGCTAATCTTCCCCAGAGGAGGAAGATAGTAGCTCTTAATACTACCTTCCTCACTTTACAGAGAAGAAGGCTGAGTCTCAGACAAGTTCATCCACTCACTCGTGTATTCATTCAGCCTTGGCCACTTACACATTATTCAACAACTAAAAATGAGTTGAATTCCTGATTCTCCATCATTCAGCCACCATTTCTGTTTTAAGTTCTAGGATACTTGTGCAGAACATGCAGGTTTGTTACATAGGTAAACATGTCCCATGGAGGTTTGCTGCACCCATCAACCCATCACCTAGGAATTAAGCGCCGCATGCATTAGCTATTTATCCTGATGCTCTCCTCCTCCCCACCCCCTACAGGCCCCACTGCATGTTGTTCCCCTCCCCGTATCCATGCGTTCTCATTGTTCAGCTCCCACTAATAAGTGAGAACATGCAGTGTTTGGTGTTCTGTTGCTATGTTGGTTTACTGATCATACACCGTTTCTTGAGGGCTAACACTCTGCTGGGCACTGGGGATACCGCAGGGAATAAAACACACACAGTCCCCACCTTCATGGAGTTCACATTCCAGGCGAAGACACAGACAAATAAGAAAGCAAGTAGAGGCCGGGCGCAGTGGCTTACACCTGTAATCCCAGCACTTTGGGAGGCCGAGGCGGGCAGATCATGAGGTCAGGAGATTGAGACCATCCTGGCTAACACAGTGAAACCCTGTCTCTACTAAAAAAAAATACAAAAAAATTAGCTGGGCGTAGTGGTGGGCACCTGTGGTCCCAGCTACTCGGGAGGCTGAGGCAGGAGAATGGCGTGAACCTGGGAGGCGGAGCTTGCAGTGAGCCGAGATTGTGCCACTGCACTCCAGCCTGGGTGACAGAGCAAGACTCCATCTTGGGGGAAAAAAAAAAAGAAAGCAAGTAGATAAACAAGAAACTCATGAAGACTAAGAAGGAAAGGATTAAAATTGTGAGAGAAGTTTGTTGAATGGGCAGATGAATGTTTTCTAGCCTCATCCCTCAACACCCAACTCAAAGGCCAGGCAGGCAGCCCAGAGTTGGGATGAGGGCTTTGGAATCAGCAGCTAAATTGCAGGTTCCATTTCCACTATTTTCTAGAGATATGGTCTTAGGTAAATTACCTAATCACTCTGGGCCTCAGTTCCCTTACCTTCATAAAGAAGACAAGGAAGCATGCCACTGAGGGCGTTCCATTCTTTAGAAATTGTTCATATAAAGCGCCCAGCATAAGCCAGGCACGCAGGACACACTCAGCAAACGGGTGGCCAGCCCTCTAATTATTCCACCCACAGAAATGTGGTTAGGTGAAAGGACACAGGTTCTAGAGTTCATTCCAGTGAAATGAAAAGCGTGAGCACAAGACTAGGTGGTACTGGGCTCTGCTCCTGCCTGGGCTCACTTTCTGGCATGTGAAGTTTGGGTTTCCAGGGCTTTCAGCTCTGATATCCCTGGGCCTATCTATGAATTAATACCCATAGGAGCTGGAAGACAGGCACTCTCAATACAGAAACAGCTGCCTTTTTTTTTTTTTTTTTTGAGACGGAGTCTCGCTCTGTCACCCAGGCTGGAGTGCAGTGGCACGATCTCATCTCACTGCAACCTCTGCCTCCCGGGTTTAAGCGATTCTCCTGCCTCAGCCTCCTGAGTAGCTGGGATTACAGGCACGTGCCCGGCTAATTTTTGTATTTTCAGTACAGACGGGGTTTCACCATGTTGGTCAGGCTGGTATCGAATTCCCGACCTCATGATCCGCCCACCTTGGCCTCCCAAAGTACTGGGATTACAGGCATGAGCCACCTCGCCCAGCCTCAGCTGCCTCTTTTATAAATATTGATGCTGATCAATATCACTAGGCCTTGCAATATATAAATTCAACAGTCTGTAGATGCGAGAAATTCACCAGGGGTGGTACTGAGAGACTGTACCCGGCCAGCTATCACCCAGCTGCCTCTAGTCACCTCCAGAGGCCTGATCTTGGCCCTGGTCAGGGACCTTCCGAGTTCTCACCTTGGGCCAGTGGCACGATCTGTGAATTCAGTCCCAGAACTCTAGCCAGGCACCAGAAGCTGCTGTGGAAGGCAGGGAGCTGCACCTACATGGTGGGGACCCGAGACAGCCACTGTTCCAGAGGAGACGCCCTGGAAGCTCTAGCGCAGACTTCCCTGGGTATTTATAGCCCTGCCCCACCATGAGAGGCTCTGATTGGCTCAGATTGTTTGGCTCCAGTAACGAGCATTCCTATTGGACAGAGCCAAGCCCACCTATGGTGCTCTTTGGCTCCACCCTAAGCCCTGGGCCAATCAGCAAGTGGGCCACAGGGGTGTGGCTGTGGGCGAGGAGCTTGGTGCCACTTTGTCCTCGGCCAGGGCACGTGGTGCCTGCTCCGAGGCCTGGCTCCACCCAGCGTTATTAGCAAGAGCCCATAGCAGGAGAACTCAGTCCCTTGGCTGCTTCCCCTGCTAACTTCTCAGTGATCTTGGGCGAGTCACTTCCTCTCTCATCGGCAAAACTGGGTTAGTGGACGGGACAGTTGCTGCTAGCCCCACTTCGGGTCGCCTTACACATGTGCTCAGGCACTTGTTCTTGGCACATGAGGGAAAGGGCAACTCAGCCACCGCATACATGGGACTGAAAGGACACGAGTGCTGGCGAGAGCAGAGTGGAGAAGAAGGGGACGGCCGGGGAGGCAACCCGAAGCCCCCAGGCCCATGTCCACAAAGCGGGGAAACAAACAGCAGCACCGCTGACCTGTCCCTTGGCCTCTCCATGCCTGTTTGCCTCTAGCTTTTCAGGCATCGGACCAGCTAGTAGGCACCCGCACCATACCTGCTGTGGACAGACGGCTTCTCTCTGCCAAGCAGTTACACGCGCTGTGCATTAAGGCCCAGAGAAGCGGAGTTTCACGGCCCTCCCACGGCCAAACCCTTCCCTTCCAGCCAGGGAGAGGCCAGAACTGAAGAAACAGCTGGGCCGCCTGTGCCGCCTGAGTTAATGGGAGTTGTAATTTCTCCAGTGCCTCCATCTAGAAATGGGAGCGATGTGCATAATTTATGGGGGTCTGGGTCTGCGCAGCCAGGCTAGACGCCTGCTCGCTCACACTTGGACGGATGTGAGAGAGCGGAAAGGCATCCCAAGGGCGGTTTGCCCGAAGCTGCTGCCCTGGCCTGACTCCTCTGCCCTGTTCTTTGGGAAGTTGAGCATCCACGGGTGAAGGATGGGCCTAGAGCTAACACCTCCCTGGGCTCCAGTTACCTGGGACATCAGGGTGAATGGAGATCACCTGATTTGATTGCTGGTGGGAGGTTTTACAGCCTTGAGTCAGCAGCCATGCTCAGGAGGGGCATTTGAGCAGCCATGGGATCCTCTGTCTTTCTCTCTCTCTCTCTGTCTCTGTGTGTGTGTGTGTGTGTGTGTGTGTGTGTGTGTGTGTGTGTCTCCCCCCTTCTCTCTCTCTCTCTCTCACACACACACACACACACCCTTCCCCAGGTGAACACCTGCTCCATGAGGGCAAGGATCCTTTTCTGTTTTGTTGACTGCGATTTCCTCACTACCTAGAATAGGGCCTGGTCCATGGTATGTGCCCAAAAAATATGTATGGAATGACAGAGGGCTCAAGATCTCAGCGGGAATGAGGGAGAGCATGTGGGAAAGTTGAAAGAGCTGTGAGGTTGAATCCCAATTCTTCCACGGACCTGCTGGGACCTTGAACAATGGAAACCCCTTTTGAAACTCTGAACCTTTCCTTCCTCTCTATAACATAGGGGTAACTGGGTTACTCTAGGAACCCTAGGGAGGGACTTTCAGGTTGGAAATAAGGGCCAGCCAAGCAGCTGGCAGGGTGCGCAGGGGGCCCTGGGGAGTCAACACCGAGGCTCAGGAATTCATTCCAGAGACCAGCGGGTCACAACTGGAGGAGATTCTGCCCCATGCCCCCAGGATCTTTAGCAGTGTCTGGAGACATTTTTGGTTGTCACACAGGAGGAATGCTACTGGCGGCCACTGGGCACAGGACGGGGAAGCAGATAAATATCTGCAGAGCACAGGACAGCCACCACCAAGGATTACCCAGCCCCAAGTGTGCATAAGGCTGAGGCTGAGAAGCCCTGGTCTAGACCAAAGAGGGCATTCCAAGGCGCAGATTCCCAGTCTGTAAAATGGGAGGAAGACCAAGGATCCCACATGGGTGGGCTTCCATCCCAAACACAGCCTTCCAAGTCCCCAAACCCCCAGAGCCCAGAGAGCAGCTGGAGAAGACGGCACAGCGGCTGCCTCCCCAGGAAGGTGCGCTCACCTGAGGTCCCGAGGCGGCAGGTAGGTAAAAGGCAGAGTGCCTCTGTCCCATGCAATCAGCTCAGGAAGGCAGCAGCAGTGGCAACCCTAATTGCTCTCTGACCAGCTGAGTCACAGTTGAAAGAACTTCCCGCTATTTCTTCTTTAATTGTAGTATTAACGGCAAAGCAGAGGCACCTGCCTTCAATGCTGCCGGGCGCCCGCTCCATGACCGTGTGTTCCTAGAGAAGCTCTGCCCCAGGAGGGACAAATGAGCGCCACCCAAATGTGAGGCCTTCAGGTTTCCAGACTGAACCGCCCACGGTTCTAGAACCGCTGACTCTGAGGTTCCAGAGCTACCCATGAGGATTCTGGAGCCAATGACTCTGGGATTCCACAAGTCTACTCCCTGGCATGCTGACACTCTACAACTCAAGGGTTCAAGAGGACAAAAGTTCAAGGACAACCAGTTCCCTGATTCTGAAAGCATGGGCTCTGGAAGTCCACATCTTGCTAGGGACCCGGTTCACACTGACCTCATGGGAGCTGAGCCTTCACAGGGGACCAGCGTTTGCAAGCGGATGGGTCTTGTGTGTTTGCAGTCACATGACTGACAATAGTGCCAGGACCAACATGTCCCAAATTCCAGTTTTTCTTCCGGAGGTCCGCTCCCCACAGGAATTCAGGGAAGAGCATTCACCATCCCAAATGGTCCTCCCGGGCCTGGTGCGCTGGGTCCGCTCCACCTAGGAGTGGGTTCTTCCGTGCTTGGGGCTCAGACTCCCACCAGTGGGGACACAGCTGAGCGGTTTTGTCCAGGAGTCTGACTGGAAAGAGCCCTTGTGCTCAATAATGCATTCCCCCCAAATGAGGACATCCATCAGGTGGCGGAGGCAGCCCTCGCCCCCTCCTGGGTCAGGCCAGGACGACACATCTGTCCTAACACGAGGCACAGGCTGCCTCCCAGAGCCCTGCAGCTTCCCCAGCCCGCAGGGGCCTTTTGTGAGGAAGCAGCTCAGCCAGCCCTGACAGGCTCAGTTCCTCTGCCCGCAGCCTGAATATTCCATGGGCTTGAATAATGCAGGCCCCCACATCACATCACAGCAAACCAATTGGGGCTGCTGGAAAACTGCAGAGAGAAAAAGTAGTGGGCTGCTGATTTTTTCCCCATCTCAAGACTGCTTTGAATGAGAGAAGGTTCCTGCTAAGCCAGGAAGTGGGGCTGATACCTGGGGCAAAGGAAGTAGGGCCCAGTACCTCTCCCAACCTCTGCAAGTTGAAGGAAAAGGGGGTTGGAGCTAAGTTAATTCAGGTTTATACCTGCCCCCACAATTTGCTAGCTGTGGGCCCCTGCATAAGTCACTTAACCTTGCTGAGCGTCAGTTTCCAAATCTGTAAATTGAAGATATTGCCTGGGAGCACTAAATAAGGCTGGATAAGGAAGGGGAACTTGGAAACTGGAAATTTCAACATGCTTTAATCCTCTTCTTCCTGCTCCTCCACCTCGTTCTCCATCGTTGCCATTATGGCCACCACCACCATCATCATCCTCACCCTCCGTCTTCACTTCCTAGGCCAGAAGAGCCAAGAGCCATATTCCTGCCTTGCTTGCGGCATACCCAGTGTTCTAAGAAATTTTCCAGACTGCTTCAGAGAGTATATTTGGCCAAGAAATTTGGAGTCTGGGAAGCAAGACTTTTCCAGAAGGCAGTTGAAATATCTAACTGTAAAAGATAAAATAAAAAATGAAGAGAGCCCCTAAACCCTGTGTCCCAGCTCTATTTTAAAAATCCTTTGTTTTGAGGTTTGTTTTGTTTTTTTTGTTTTTGTTTTTGTTTTTGTTTTTTTGAGACAAGGTTTCACTCTGTCACCCAGGCTGGAGTGCAATCACACTCACTGCAGCCTTAACCTCCTGAGCAGCTGGGACTATAGGGACATGCCACCGTGCCTGGCTAATTTTTGTACTTTTTGTAGAAATGGGGTCTTGCCATGTTGCCCAGGCAGGTCTCCAACTCCTGGGCTCAAGTGATCCTCCTGCCTCACCTCCCAAAGTGCTGAAATTACAGGCGTGAACCGCCACACTTTGCCAATCCTTTGTTTTTTAAATGCAAAAGTAAGTGTATGTTCATTATAACAATTCAAACAATAAAAACAAATTTACAAACCTAACAGCCTCTCCCAACCGAGTCCTGTCCCATAAGATAACCAATGTTAATGTGAAAGGGAGTCTTTGGTCTTTGTTCTGTATAGAAATACATAAATATATAAGTTGGCCAGATGCAGTGGCTCACGGTGGCTCACACCTGTAATCCCAGCACTTTAGGAGGCCGAGGCGGGTGGATCACATGACATGAGGTCAGGAGTTCAAGACCAGCCTGACCAACATGGTGAAACCATGTTTCTACTAAAAATACAAAATTAGCTGGGCGTGGTGGAGTGCACCTGTAATCCCAGCTATGTGGGAGCCTGAGGCAGGAGAATTGCTTGAACCTGGGAGACGGAGGTTGCAGTGAACCAAGATCATGCCATTGCACTCCAGCCTGGGCAACAAGAGCAAGACTCCATCTCAATAAATAAATAAATACATAAGTCAAAAATAAAATAAAATTTAGAAATATAAGTTAAGTTCTGCTTCCATTGTTACTCTGTGTATTAGTTTACTAGGGCTGCAAAGTACCACACACTGAGTGGCACTGGAAGTCCAAGATCAAGGGGTCAGCAGGGCCATGGTCCCTCTGAGGGCGCTGGGGAGGAACTGTCCCAGGCCTTCCTCCAAGCTTCTGGTATTAGGTTGATGCAAAAGTAGTTGCGGTTTTTGTCATTCTTTAACCTTAATAGTTCCTTGGCTGTGGCAGCAGAACTCCGATCTTCACCTGGTATTTTCCTGTGTGTGTGACTGTGTCCAAATGTCCCCCCTCCGCCTTTTTTTTTTTTTTTTTTTTTTGAGACAGGGTCTTGCTCTGTCATTCAGGCTGGAGTACAGTGGCGTGATCTCGGCTCACTGCAACCTCTGCCTCCTGGGTTCAAGCCATTCTCCTGCCTCAGCCTCCTGAGTAGCTGGGACTACAGGTGTGTGCCCCCACCCCAGGCTAATCTTTTTGTATTTTTAGTTGAGACAGAATTTCATCATGTTGGCCAGGTTGGTCTCAAACCCCCGACCACAAATGATCCTCCCGCCTCGGCCTCCCAACGTGCTGGTATTAAAGGTGGCCACCATACCTGGCCCAAATGTCCCTTTTTTTTGAGACAGAGTTTCACTCTGTCGCCCAGGCTGGAGTGCAGTGGCGCCATTTCGGCTCACTGCAACTTCCACCCCCCAGCTTCAGGCAATTCTCCTGCCTCAGACTGCCGAGTACCTGGGATTACAGGCGCCCGCCACCTCGCCCAACTGATTTTTGTGTTTTTAGTGGAGACGGGGTTTCACCATGTTGGCCAGGCTGGGCTCAAACTCCTGACCTCAAGTAATTTGCCCGCCTCAGCCTCCCAAAGTGCTGGGATTACAGGTGTGAGCCATCGCATCCAGCCATGTCCCCTTTTTATAAGGACACCAGTCATCTTGGATTGGGGCACACCCTACTCCAGTATGACCTTAACTAATTACATCTGCAACGACCGTGTTACCAAATACCATCACACTCTGAGGTGCTAGGGTTTAGGACTTCAACATAGGAATTTGGGGCAAATCAGGGGAAGGGGAGATGCAGTTCAGTCCTAACACACTGTAACTTTCTTTTTTCAGGAAGCATTTATCATTCAAATCGCTCCAGGTCAACATATTGTTCTAACTCTTCTTTTAAAAAAGAACAAACCAGCTTTACTGAGATACAATTCACATAGCATACACTGACCAATTTAAAGCATACAAATCAATGATTTTTTAATATATTCACAATCTGTGCAATCATCATCACAGTCGATTTTAGAACACTTTTATCATCTCTAAAACAAGCCCCATACCATTTACCATACCAGAGGGTGTGGTTCACCCTCTGACCATTAACCTCTCTACTACCCCATTCTCCACAGCCCTAAACAAAGTTTTTTTCTGTGGTCTGGATAGATTGGCCTATTCTGGGTATTTTACATCAATGGAATCATATGCTGTGTGGTCTTTTCTGACTGGCTTCTTTCACTTGGCATCATGTTTTCAAGATTCATCCATATTGTAGCATGTACCAGTACTTCATTTCTTTTTATGGCATAATATAATACAGTGATCCCTATTGTATGAATATACCACATTAGGCTTATCCATTCACCGGTTGATGGACATTCGAGTTGTTCCCACCCTTCAGCTATTATGAATAGTGCTGCTATAAACATCTGTGCATAAGGTTTTTTTGTATCCATATGTTTTTGTTTCTCCTGGATAGATACCTAGGAGTGAAGTTGCTGGGACATACAGTAGGTAACTGTATGTTTAATCATTTGAGAAACTACCTGGCTGGTTTTTTGGTTTGTTTTGTTTTTTTTTTTTCTTTCTGTTTTTGAGATGGAGTCTCACTCTGTCGCCAGGCTGTAGTGCAATAGCGATATATCAGCTCACTGCAACCTCTGCCTCCCGGGTTCAAGCGATTCCCATGACTCAGCCTCCCGAGTAGCTGGGACTACAGGCGTATACCACCACACCCGGCTAATTTTGTTGTTGTTGCTGTTGTTGTTGTTGTTGTTGTAGTATTTTAGTAGAGATGGGGTTTCACCATTTTGGCCAGGATGGTCTCGATCTCCTGACCTCGTGATTCACCCGCCTCAGTCTCCCAAAGTGCTGGAATTACAGGCGTGAACCACGGCATCCGGCCCTACCAGGCTGTTTTTATAAGTGGCTGTGCCAGTTTACATTCCCACCAGCAATGTGTAAGCGTTCCAACTTCTCTATATCCTCCTCATCACTTGTTACTATCTGACTTTTTAATCTAGTCATCCTAGTAGGTGTGAAGTGGTACCTCCTTGCGGTTTTGAGTTGCCTTTCCCTCATGACTAATGATGTGGACCATCTTTTCATGTGCTTATCGGCAATTTGTATATCTTCTTTGGAGAAGTGTCTCTTCAAGTCCTCTGCCCATTTTAAATTATTTGTCGGATGGAACTATATGAGTTATTTCTATATATTCTAGATACAAGTCCCTTATCAGATATATGATTTGCAAATATATCCCCTCTGTTCTATGGCTTGTCTTTTGCTTTATTGATAGTGTCTTTGAAGAACAAAAGTTTTTATTTTTATTTTTATTTTTTGAGATGGAGTCTTGCTCTGTTGCCCAGGCTGGAGTGCAGTGGTACAATCTTAGCTCACTGTAACCTCCGCCTCCCAGGTTCAAGCGACTCTCGTGCCTCAGCCTCCCAAGTAGCTGGGATTACAGGCATGCACCACCACACCTGGGTAATTTTTGTAATTTTAATAGAGACAGAGTTTCACCATGTTGACCAGGCTGGTCTTGAACTCCTGACCTCAAGCAATTCTCCTGCCTCGGCCTCCCAAAGTGCTGGGATTACAGGTGTAAGCCACCACACCCAGCCAAAAGTTTTTAATTTTGAAGTCTAATATTTATCTATTCCTGCTCTTTTTGCTCATGCTTTTTATGCCATATCCAAGAGCACATTGTCAAAACTGACGTCACGAAGATTCACCCATTTTCTTATAAGAGTTTTAGAGTTTCAGTGTAGTTTAATTTTAGCCTTTGATTCATTTTGAGTTACTTTTTGTATATGGTATGAGGTAAGGGTACAGCTTCATTCTTTTGCATGTGACTATCCAGTTGTCCCAGCACCATTTGTTGAAAAGACTGTTCTTTCCCCATTGACTGGTGTTGGCACCTTTGTTGAACATCAGTTCACCACAGAAACATGGGTTTATTTTTTGACTCAATTCTATTCCATTGATTTATAGGTCGATTGTTTTGCCAGTACCACACAGTCTTCATTACTGCTGATTTGTAGTAAGTTTTGAAATCCCGAAAGTGTGAGTCCTCCAATTTTATTTGTTTTCTTCAAGATTGTTTTGGCAATTCTAGATCCCTTGCAATTCCAGGACCTCCCACAGATACCAAAATCCACAGATGCTCCAGTCCCTGATATAACATGGCATAGTATTTTCATATAACCTATGCATATCCTCCTGTATACTTTAAATCATCTCTAGAATAATTATAAAGGCTGGCACAGTGGCTCACGCTTGTAATCCCAGAACATTTGGCGGCTGAGGCAAGCAAACTGCTTGAGCCTAGGAGTTCAAGACCAGCCTGAGCAACATGGTGAAACCCCATCTCTACAAAAAATACAAAAATTAGCCTGTAGTCCCAGGTATTCGGAAGGCTGAGGTGGGAGGGTCAACTGAGCCTGAAAAGTCAAGGCTGCCATGAGCCATGATCGCACCACCTAACTGCTGCCTAGGCGACAGAGCGAGACCTGGTCTCTAATAATAATAATAATAACTATTATTATTATATAATTATAACATATAATCGTATTATATTTTATTATAACTAATATTATTATTATACCTAAGACAATGTAAATGCTATATAAATAGTTGCTATACTGTACTGTTTAGGGAATAATGACAAGAAAAAAATCTGTACATTGTTAGTGCAGACGCAATTCTTTTTTCAAATATTTTTTATCTGCAGTTGGTTGAATCCATGGATGTGGAACCCATGAATACGGAGGGCTGACTGTATAAGGAGCTGATCCCAGGATATAGTAGGAAGAAAAAGGATAAGTGATTCAAGGAGGGGAAAAAGCCAACAAAGGGTGAGTAATCAAGCAGATCACACTGTGAGCAACTAAGGTTCAGTCTTCTTGGAAAGTCTGGAAGACAGTATAGAACACACCTCAGAAATGGCTGGGTGCAGTGGCTCATGCCTGTAATCCCAGCACTTTGGGAGGCCGAGTCAGGTGGATCACCTGAGGTCAGGGGTTCAAGACCAGCCTGGCCAACATGGTGAAACCCCTTCTCTACTAAAAATATAAAAATTAGCTGGGCACCATGGCAGGCACCTGTAATCCCAGCTACTCAGGAGGCTGAAGCAGGAGAATAGCTTGAACCCAAGAGGTGGAGGTTGCAGTGAGCCGAGATTGTGCCCTTGCACTCCAGCCTGTGGGACAAGAGCAAGACTACATCTCAAAAAAAAATAAAAACAAAAAAAAGAACACACTGGAGAATTATTCCACTCAAGGGGCGAAGAAGTTGGGTTATTTATCCTCAAACTCTTAACTGTCTTTCCCCAAAGACTGTTCCCAGGGCACTAACTCTCCAGCAATTCTTCCCTGTCCAACCGTGGACTTCTTAAGAGAAAGCTATCAGGCAGAAGGTTATAGGCATGTGCAGGATGACATTATGGGCATATACTGGATTGGCAAATGCCTGGGGATATTGTTGGGGTGCTGACAGCACCAAGGACATTAGCTTTGTATACACAATATCCTTGCATACTGGTGCTTTGATTTCCACAGGATAGAGGTCCAGAAGTAGAATTTCTGTGTATGTATGTTTTAACTTTTAATAGGTAGTACCCTAATAATTTCCCAAAAGTGCACAGAAATTACTCCTGGCACCCACAGCGTATTGACAGTGACCATTATCTGTACATGATGTCACCACTGAATTTTTTTTTTTTTTTTGAGACAGAGTCTCACTCTGTCACCCAGGCTGGAATGCAGTAATGTGATGTCAGCTCACTGCAACCTCTGCCTCACTCATTCTGCCAGTGAGCAGCCATTCTCCTGCTTCAGCCTCCCAAGTAGCTGGGATTACAAGTGTGCACCACCACACCCAGCTAATTTTTGTATTTTAGTAGAGATGGGGTTTTATCATGTTGGCCAGGCTGGTCTTGAACTCCTGACCTCAAGTTATCCTCCAGTCTCAGCCTCCCAAAGTGCTGGGATTATAGGCGTTAGCCACCGCAACCAGCACCACTGAATATTACTGATTTTAATATTTGATAATCTGATTACTAGTGTGGCTGAGCACCTTATATATTTAATGGTTATATGTCTTTTCCGTAAATTATCCACTCATATACTTTGCCTTCTTTCCTATTTTTTGTCTTTTTCTTATCAATACTTGGAGATTTTTCTATTTTAGGGCTCTTAACCCTTTGGCAAATGTTTTAGAAATATTTTTTCTCAGTCTGTCATTTGTCATGTGACCATGGGGTCTTTTGCTATTGAGCTATTTTTCACTTTTATGTAGAGAGATCTCTCAGTTATCTTCTTTGGAGTTCTGTTTTCTGATTGGCTTAATAAAGCCAATCCCTTTTAGACTTTACAAATAGTCTCCTCTATTCTAATATCTAATTGCTTTAGCTTTAACATTTGTGATTACTTCATATGAAATTGATTTTTTGTAAAATCCTTTTAAATTAAAGGATTTTTTTGTAAAATCCTTTTAAATTATCTCTTCTTTTCCCCCTGATTGAAACAACACTTTCGTCAATACTAGGCACCGAGGTATATTTGCATCTGTTTCTGAAACCTCTTTTCCCCCCTCAGATCAATATTCACTGATTGTTGTGCCAGTTCCCTATTTATTTGATTAGAAAAGATTTACAAGAAGTTTTAATATCTGGTAGGGCATCTCTCTTTCCACTATCCTTCACATTTTTTCTTGCCAAATCTTTACACTTACTTGTCCATATAAACTTTGAAATTATTTTATCTAATTTGCTCTCCAAAAAAATCTGTAGGAATTCCCATTGGAAATGCATTAAATGTATATATTAATTTCAGAACTATTAAACTTTTTTTTTTGAGACAGAGTCTCACTCTGTCACTCAGGCTGGAGTACAGTGATGCAATCTCAGCTCACTGCAACCTCCACCTCCCAGGTTCAAGTGATTCTCATGCTTCAGACTCCTGAGTAGCTGGGATTACAGGTGCATGCCACCACGCCCAGCTAATTTTCTTGTACTTTTAGTAGAGACAACATTTTGCCATGTTGGCCAGGCTGTTCTTGAACTCCTGGCCTCAAGTGATCCACCCACCTTGGCCTCCAAAGTGGTGGGATTGCAGGTGTAAGCCACCACATCTGACTGATACTTTTCTTTCCATCCAGGAATACTGTGTCTCTTTCCATCTATTCAGGTTTTGTATTGTGTCTTTCAAAAATAATAATTTTGTTCCCATTGCAAATGTGATGACTTCCATTTCCATTCCTAGTTATTTCTAATATAAAGAAAAGCTACTGTGTTGTTGCTTATTTATCTAGTATCCAGCCACCTTAGCTTTTTGTTGTTTAATTGCTTAAATTTTCTAGATATATAATTATATCATCTGCAAATAAAGACAACTTTATCACTTTTTTCACATATTTGGATTGTTTTTATTTTCTTTTCCAATTACTTTAGCTAGAACTAAATAATAGTGTTGATAATAGGCATCCCTTTTTTCATCCTAATTTTAATGACAGTGGCTTTAGAATTACTGTTTGCTGTTCAATTTGGATAAAAGGCCTTTACGTGTTTAAGTAATTTTCTGATATTCCAATCTTACTTAGGAGAATTTGGTAGATAAAAGTGTGTATTCTGGAGTCAGATAGTACAAGTCTAAATCACAAATTACTTATTAGATTTGTAATCTTAAGGAACTTATTCTAACCTTTCTGTTTTCTCATCTGTAAAGTGGGGATAATAATAGTACAAACCTTATAGCATTGTTTCTCTGTCTTCTGACTTTTAGACTGGCAAATGAGAAGTCTGATTTTAGTCAATAGTCTCTTAGTAAGTGAACTTTTTACCTCTATCTGGTTTTTGAAGTCTTTTTAAAAGTTTTCCCTGGAATTTAGAAACTTCTTCAAGCTAATCCTGCCTAGAACTTGGTGTGCTTTCTTTCTTTCTTTTTTTTTTTTTTTTAACAAAGGTATTGGGAGTAGATATACCACTGAGGTAGGACTGGTTGTGTTCTTTTCATCTGAAAGTGTTTGAGATTCTACTGAGGGGAAAAAGGCAGTGACCTCAGAATCCTGTACCCAGTCATATCCTTCATCTAAGAGTGCCAATGATTAAAAATTTAAAAATTTCTAGGCAGCAACAATATCAAGTCTTGAAGACAATGCAGAACAATGGCAACTTCATACTGGTGGAGTCTAAATTATCAAAGTCACATTTTCTATTATGTAGTAAAGTTAAAGAAATGACCCACCCCAGGACCTTGCCGTTCCAACCCAGGGTGTCTACCATAGAGGATTCAGGCTCATGAGCACCAGAAGACTGGCCTTGTATAAGCAACACTGTTATGATAGCAAACAAACAAACAAACAAAGAACTCAAAGAACTAGAAATCATTCAAAGTTCATCAGCAGAAGAATGAATCCATATATTGTGGTCCATTCATAGAACAGAATCCTATACAGTGGCGAAAAAGAATGAGCTGCTTGCTATTCATTCACACAATATGGATAATCTCAGGAATATCATGTTGAGCAAAAAAAAGCAAGGGGCAGAAGAATATACACAAAATTAATCATATGAGATTTAAAAACATGCAAACCTAAATGATGTAATAATGTTCAGGAAAGGCCACAAGCCTGTGATCAAGCAATAAAGAACAGCAAGAGAATGATCAATCAACAAAAATGATTGCCTCCAAAGGAGGGCGAGAAGGGGAGGGGACTTGGGGCAGGGGTTCACAGAGGGCTTCAAAGTTGATGTATTGTCCTGTGTCACAAACGGAATGGTGGGCAGATAAGGATTTGTGCATTGTTACTCTGTATATCTTCTGCGTTTTCATGAATACTATTTTGCAGAGTCTCACTATTTAACTAAGCAAACATTTTATAAAGAATGGGCAGTGAGGAAGTGAAGACAAGGATTTTCTATGAAAATGGGTCAAAAAAAGGCAATGGTTGGAAAATACATGGGGTGAGGGTGGCGGTGCACCAAGCGTGGGTGGTAGTAGCCATCCACCCAGGTGCATTGCTTGTAGAAAATTTCAAACAGTGAGGGGAGGGAGAGCATTGGGAAAAATAGCTAATGCATGCTGGGCTTAATACCTAGGTGATGGGTTGGTAGGTGCAGCAAACCACCATGACACACGTTTACCCATGTAACAAACCTGCACATCCTGCACATGTACCCCGGAACTTAAAATTAAAATTAATTTTTAAAAAAAGAAAAGAAAATTTCAAACATAATAAAACCAGCTACAAATCAGTCTGCTTTTTATTATTACCATGTGCGAACAAGTCTACACAATGCCAGTGATACATAACCCACTCTGACATAAAACCTGTTGGTCTGAGTTCTAAACAATTTCTGCAGTAAATGTTGGGTTTTAATAATAATAATAATCAATGTAAACTTCAAGTCAGTATATTTTATTACTTATCCTTTAATAAACACTGAAGCCCACGTGGAAACACACAGGTGCAGCTACATGGGGCTGATTCACTGGTCTCCTCCCTGTCTCCACCGTGAGGACACACGACTTGCCTGGGGTTTTCTGCATCCAGTCCTGGGCCTCTACCTGACACCTACCCTTGGCACCCTATCCCCCACCCCCAGATGGCACACAGACCCCACCTAGACAAGCCTCAAGCAAGATTCAAGCAGGCTTCATCTCCAACTGCCCTTCCCCGACTCGGGCCACCCCCTCCCAGCCCCCACCCCACACCACTGTGTCTCCAGACATGCCACGTCCTCTCCCTACAAAGCCCCATTCTTGGTGGTGCCTGGAAAACTGACCTATCCTGTGAAGCCCACCCCAGAGACTGTCCCCTCCAGGCTGCAGTGAGGGGCTCTTCCTCAGGGTCACCCCACCCTGCTCCACACCCGCCTTTGGGAATCTGGAGGAAGGTCTTTCAGAGACACGGGAGTTTCTTGCCTGCCCCTGGAGCACCCAGCACCCAGCACCTGCATGGGGCAGGCGCTCAGTGAGCATTTGATGAGTGTGAGCGAGTGAATGGTGTTGGAACCAACCCTTCCCGTCCAGCACTTTGTATCTCATGGAGGCCCCGACAGAGCCTCTGGAGGAATCCCTGGTGTCTGCATGCCTCGGGAGAAAATGACAGCACCTTCCACTGCCCCACACTGAGCATCCTGACCCAGGGCCAGAGAGGGCCTCTGCTGTCCAGAGAGCGCGGGACGCCCACCTTCCCACCTTCCACAGACAGTGGGTCATGACTCCGCAAAAAGTTATGCACGCTTGCCCTGTGCCAGATCCCAATCCTAAGAGCTAATATTTTGCTCCATTTTAATCCCCCAATAAATCTATAAATTCTATACAACCCCAATCAAAACATGATCAAGATTTTAATGGGACTTGACAAGCTGATTGTAATATTCAGATTGGAGAGTAAATGCTCAAGAATAGCCAAGACAGCTTGAAAAAAGAAAAAACAAAGGGGAATTTTGCCTGACAAGATGTCAAAGAATATTATAAAGTAATTTTAATAAATATAATGTGATATTAGCACATGAATGGATAAATACATCCTTGGAAAAAAAACAGAAGTTCAGAAAAGCAGATCCATGTAAATACTGGACTTCAGTATATGAATAAAGATGGCATTTCAAATCAGTCAGGGGGACGAAGATTATTTGGTAAGTGTTGGAACAATTTACTACCTGGAAAAAATAAAATTAAAATTTGCCTTCACACCACTAACAAAAATGAATGAAATAAAGGTAAACATGTTTTTTCTTTTTTTGAAGTGGCAAGAGTGATAGAAGAAAATCTAGGAAAATATGTTTATGACAGGGAAGAGTTTTAAATAAGATTTACTAAAAAGCAAAATTCATAAATTTAACTACAGAATGTAAAAGCCTTTATGAAGAAAGCTAAAAGTTAAAAGAGCACTGGCAGAAAAGAAAATATTTACATCATATTTAACAAACTAAGGATTATTATCCAAAACATATAAAGAATTCCTTCAATAAAAAGTAGGAAAGATAGGCCAGGCACGGTGGCTCACACCTGTAATCCCAGCACTTTGGGACGCCAAGGTGGGCGGATCACCTGAGGTCAGGAGTTCGAGACCAGCCTGGCCAACATGGTGAAACCCCATCTCTACTAAAATACAAAAATTAGCCGGGTGTGGTGGCACATGCCTGTAATCCCAGCTTCTTGGGAGGCTGAGGAGAATTGCTTGAACCTGGGAGGCAGAGGTTGCAGTAGTCCCAGCTACTGGGGGCGGGGGGCTGAAGCAGGAGGAGCCTTGAAGGTCAAGGATGTAGTGAGTCCTGATCAAGCCACTGCACTCCAGCCTGGGTGACAGAACAAGACCCTGAAAGAAACAAGAAAGGAAGGCAGAAAAGAAGGAAGGAAGGAAGGAAGGAAGGAAGGAAGGAAGGGAGGGAGGGAGGGAGGGAGGGAGGGAGGGAGGGAAGGGGAAGGGAGGGGAGCGGGGAGGGAAGGGAGAGAGGCAGATAAGGAGGGAGGGAGGGAAGGAAGGGGAGGGGAGGGAAAGGGAGGGGAGGGGAGGGGAAGGGAGGGGAGGGGAGGGAGGGAAGGGAGGGAAGGAGGGAAGGGAGGGGAGGAGAGGGGAGGGGAGGGGAGGGAAAGGGAGGGAAGGGAGGGAGGGAGGGAGGGAAGGGAGGGGAGGAGGGAGGGAGGGAGGAATGGAAGGGAGGAAAGGAGGGAGGGAGGGAGGGAAGCTTTAGAGGTGTGCAGTGTGTGTGAATGAGGGGGCCTGGAAGACCGGGGCGCAGGAGGAATGAGCACACCCAGCCTCCAGCTCTTGGTTCCTAATACTGTGCTCCACTAAAGGAGATGGCACTCCCCAGGGAGCTGGTGGACTGAGGCCGGGGTGTAGAGAGTACAAAATAAAGCAGGGCATCTTGTTGTAAGAGGAGGTATGAAAGTGCTCAGAGAATGAGGGACAGCCAAGGGCCAGCCTGGAAGGCAGCCCACGCCAAGTCAGAAGCAAGGGGGGCACTGAAACCCTAACCTAATCCTAACCCTAACCTGGTATTAATAGACCAGGCAGGGGATATCTACGTATTACACATGATCTATGCTCAAACACACACACACACAAAATGTAACCACCACCACCTACACACACACACACACACACACACACACACAGAGACACTTATTAATTACAAAGGAGAAAAGAGTAACTCCACAGCTGGCAAGTCTGGCAGAAGCCAATCAAATGATCACATCACACTCTGGGACCACTGATAGGATGCAGGGAGCAGAACACGATGTCACTTCTGTCGTATCCCTGAAAAGATGCAGAGCCTGAATCTAATCATGAGGACGCAAGAGACAAGCCCCCATGGAGTGGGGGGCATCCTGTAAATAGCAGGCCAGGTAGTACATGGAAGTGTCAAAGTCATCAAGGAATGACCGCACAGCCGTTCCAGGTTGAAGAAGACTAAAGAGGCCTGATGGCTAAATGCTAGGCTTGATTCTTCCTGGGGCCGTTAGTGAAGCTCAGATGGGATCTGAGGACTGGATGGGACTCGTGAATCAGTGTTAGCTTTCTCACTTAGATGGCCATAGTGCGATTAAGCAAGAGAGTGTCCTTGTTTGTAGAAAAGGCAGAGGAGGCCGGGCGCGGTGGCTCACACCTGTAATCCCAGCACTTTGGGAGGCAAAGGCAGGCAGATCACCTGAGGTCAGGAGTTCAAGACCAGCCTGACCAACATGGTGAAACCCTGTCTCTACTAAAAATACAAAATGAGCCAGGTATGGTGGCGCATGCCTGTAATCCCAGCTACTTGGGAGGCTGAGGCAGGAGAATCGCTTGAACCCAGGAGGCAAAGGTTGCAGTGAGCCGAGAACGTGCCACTGCACTCCAGCCTGGGAAACAAGAGCAAAACTCCATCAAAAGAAAGAAAGAAAGAGAGAGAGAGAGAGAGAGAGGAGAAAAGGCAGAGGTAAGGCTTTTTTTTTTTTTAAAGAGGAGAGAGGACGATGGACCATCGTGTCAGCCCCTTCAAATACGGAGTTCAAGTTCTCCGGGCTAGTCTTACCTGGCTCATGGCTCTAGCTGAGGAGACAGCAGCCACCCAGAAGGAACCGCTGGGTCTGTCTCCCCATCGAGGTGCTGGCACAGGGTGGGCACTTAAGGAATCGTCTTCCAAAAGGGAGTTTGGAGCTCACCACGCTAACCTGCGTATTCAGGAAGAGCTGTGCCCAAGAACATGTTCATCTCTTGATTCCTTGAGAGACAGGTCAGCATGGTGACTTTAAACAAAACCCTGGGCCAGGCATGGTGGCTCACATCTGTAATCCCAGCACTTTGGGAGGCTGAGGCAGGTGTATCACTTGAGGTCAGGAGTTCAAGACCAGCCTGGCCAACATGGTGAAACCCCGTCTCTACTAAAAATACAAAAATTAGCCAGGCCTGGCGGCGGATGCCTGTAATCCCAGCTACTCGGGAGGCTGAGGCAGGAGAATTGCTTGAACCCAGGAGGCGGAGGTTGCAGTGAGCCGATATTGCCCCACTACACTCCAGCCTGGGCAACAGAGCAAGACTCTGTCTTGGGAAAAAAACAAAACAAAACAAAACAAAAAAAACCCTGCACCAACCCTCACATCAACTTTCTTGTTTGAAAAACTTAAACAATAGGAATTGTTGGATTGGACTGGACAGTCTGTTGCAGCTACATGGGGAGGAAGTGAAGTCCCAGTCTCTGTCCCAGGGCCTTGCACCCCAACCTTGGAACCCTAGACCATCCCCTTTCCACTCTGTGATCTCTGAAGCTCCTACTTCCCAGGCCCTGGGGTAGGCCAGCCCTCAAGCCAGCCGCTGCTGGTGAGTCAGACATGGCCCCGCCTTCAGTCTGGCTTGGGGGAGCAGACCCGTAAACAACCAGGCCACATGGGACACACGCCTGGGGGACCTCGGGAGAGGAAAGAAAGACCGGCAGCTGCCCTGGGTTCAAACAGCAAAGCCAGTAGACTCGGCTTTGAGGCAAGGTTCATCTGGCTAGTTTGTTCATGCATCCCTGGTACTGGCACAGTGCTGGGCAGACACAAAAAAGCAACAAGTACTCCAGCTGGGCAGGTGCGTCTCTTCTCTGTGCTGAGCACTCCACAAAAGTATTTGATGTGAGTCATAAAACAGCCGTGTGAAATAGGTACTATTGCTCTCCCATTTTTTTTTCTTTTTTCTTTTCTTTTTTTTTTTTTTTTTTTTTTGGACAGTCTTACTCTGTCACCCAGGCTGGAGTGCAATGACGTGATCTCGACTCACTGGGTTCAAATGATTCTCCTGCCTCAGCCTCCTGAGTAGCTGGGATTACAGGTGCTGGCCACCATGCCCAGCTAATTTTGTATTTTTAGTAGAGACGGGGTTTCACCATGTTGTCCAGGCTGGTCTTGAACTCCTGATCTCAGGTGATCTGCCTGCCTCGGCCTCCCAAAATGCTGGGATTACAGGCAAAAGCCACAGCACCTGGCCCTTTGTTTTTCTTTTTCTTTCTTTCTTTCTTTTTTTTTTTTGAAACGAAGTTTCACTCTGTCACCCAGGCTGGAGTACAGTGGTACAATCTTGATCACTGCAACCTCTGCCTCCTGGGTTCAGGCAATTCTCCTGCCTCAGCCTCCCAAGTAGCTGAGATTACAGATGCATGCCACCATGCCAGGCTAATTTTTGTATTTTTAGTAGAGACGGGGTTTCACCATGTTGGCCAGGCTGGTCTCAAACTCCTGACCTCAGGTGATCTGCCCTCCTCAGTCTCCCAAAGTGCTGGGATTACAGGCATAAGCCACTGTGCCCGGCCTCCTCTGCCTTTTCTACAAACAAAGACACTGAGCCTGGCCTGCTGTCCCATTTTATAGATGACAAAGTTGAGGCACAGGAAGGTTAAGCTCCCTTGCCCAGGCAGCTGGGATTTGAACGCAGGCAATCCTGTTCTTCATGTTGCAAATGAATGAATGAATGAATGACCACATAAGCCAAGAGGCCCTTGCTGCAGTGTGTCCCAGACCCCGTCCTCCTTGGCCGCAGTGAGGGCCAGCATCAGTCGGCCACCAAGGCGCCCCTGCAACAGGGAAGGCTCTGATGATCACCCAGGTCCTGGCGTCAGCCCAGAAGGATTTACTCTTTTTTATTAAAAATGTCACGGGAAGTCCACTTGAACATTTGAAGTCAACGCCAAGAGTGCACACGTTTGATATTAATTAAAGCAAAAGATGACAGCCCCCAGGAAAAGAAGTAATTTTCTTCTCTTGGATAAATGACCTTTCAGGAGAGCTTGTTCTTCAATTCTTCTTGGTCATTACCAGAAATTACTGAGTATGTTCAATGGAGCTGCAATCACCAGCTCTGTTTGCAGCTTTCGGCCTCCCAGTAAGAGGAGGGTCTTCATTCCACGGGGACTCCTCACCAGGGACTGTTCCCTACTGGTTTCACCCGGCCAGGCCAACAGTGATGTCCTTGGTAAATCTGAGCCCTAAGGCCCCATTTGAAAGAATACTTTGCTTGGATCGCAGCACTCCTGCCACTCAGCAGCTCCCTGCAGCCACCTCTGGGTAAGTCCACCCAGCACAGCAGCTTCTCGGCAATGGCAACACCACCCCCTCACTTCCTGTGCTCTGGTCCCCTGGGCATGGCTACACCCTGATCTTGTCACCACCCCACCAAACAGCAACTCCAGCCTGCCCCTCCCTGACCACTCCCCCAGACAGAGACCCTGTTTCTGGGTCAGTTCTCATCACACCTCTGGGGCCCTCACCTGCCACTCGCCCAGCCAGGAGCCCTCAGATTCCCCATGCCCCTTCCCCCTTTTTCTTCAATCACCAACCAGTAGCTGGGGTTTGGCCAAGCGAGCTGAACTGCACTCTCCATGCCAGCACCTGAGCCGCAGACAGCAGCCCAGACAAGCTGTTCTTGCACGAAGGGATTTTCCTTTAACTTCGAGGCCACCCTTGCACACCCAGAGCCCCTCCCCGGGATGCTGGCTCTCTCCACAGCAGAGCCACCATTCCTCACCTCTCAATTATCCCCTCGTCCCCCCAAGCTGTGCCCACACCCCGCCCTCCCAGGCAACTGCAGCAGGCCAGCTTGGTGGTCACTTCTGCAGGGGAACAGTCATCAGTGTCCCCTGCGGCTGCCTGCTTTTCTAGACGCCCTCTCTCCTCTCGCCCCCGGGCCCCACCCTCCTGGTTCCTCCCACCTGTCTGCCAGATGCCTCTCTCATGATTGGCACTAAGTGTCAGACCCCAGAATCCTGAACCCTCTTCTCCATTCACCCCTGCACCAGGGGCATCCCAAACACACCTTCTGCGCCTCTGTGCACTGCTGCGGTCCTGACACGTGTCGGTCATGGGCTTGGCGGAGGGACAGACCAGACCCAGCCTTGACCCCTTCCAGTGCTGCTGCGTGCACGCGGGATACAGAAACAACCCAGTGTGGGGGCCCACCTGGAGGCTGCACCACTGCAGATGAGACTCTCTGGGTGACTGAGGGTCCCCAGTGCACCTTCCGGAAGCTCCCAAGCCCCTTCCCTGCAAGCCAGCCTAGGCTGGAGGCCTCTGCAGGAAGGCTGACCTGGGTGCCCACCAGAGCCAGGACGAGCGTGCCTGCCTGGGCATCCCAGGAGCCACCAGCCCTAGGACCCTTCGGCTCTCACATCTGTGTCTCCGGCTCCACCTGCAGACACTCCTTTCCATCCACAAAGGACCCTCTGCTCAGCACCCAGAGCTATCAGAGTGGAGCTCTGGACTCCCTCCTTGCGCTCTGAGTGCTCCTGCTCTGGGTGACCAGCTGCACTGCCACCCGCGCAGCGGCTCCCCAGGGACCCAGGCGCCAACCCTGACTCTCCCTCTCCTTAAAGCTAACTCGTCATCCCAGCCCACCTGCCTGCTCCCCCAGCTCCAGCCAAGGGAGCCTTTCTGTGCCTTGACGTCCCCCCACCCCTTGCCATTCACAGCTCAGCTTCCTGGACCAACCATGCAAAGGGCTGTCCCTCTCTGGCCACTGCTCCCTACCAACTTGCTTTCTTTTTGGCACTTACAGTCGTCTGGAATCATCCTAGGCGTTTACCAGTTTGTTGTCAGATTGTCCTTCTGGAATGGAAGCTCCACGTGGACCTGGGACTGCAGCCCCCTCCTCCCTGACACGGGGCCTGCCTCGGTCCAAAAGCTCCAGAACCGGGAAATCAAGGAAGCAGGAGACCCAATTCCAGCCCTGCTTCTTCTGCCTGAGCCTCAGTTTTTTGATCTGCAATCTGCATGCCCTGCATATCTCAGGGCCAGGCTGAAGATCGACCGGACTGCTCTGAGGCCTGGGAGCCGCCCCAGCTGTGAGAGTGTGAAGTGGACTCACGCTGGCACCCACGTGCCGAGCTGCGGATGGAAAGCTGAGAAAGGTGCGGATGGAAAGCTGAGAAAGGTCCCGCTTGCGCGCAGTGTGAATGCGCGGTACGGATCTGTTTCTTTTCTGAATCGCTCCTTCCTCCTGTTCTTTGAGGTTCCTGCACCGGCCCCCGAGCTTTCTGGGCACACCATAAATTTCAGTCCAGCGGACTCACTCTGACTAATAAACATTGTGCCTCTTTTCTGTAATAGAGCGTAAGCTGTCTTTAGAATTACGATGTCTTTTTGCAAGATAAATAGATGGTGGAAAAGTAATACAACATAATAGGATATAGACAAGGAAGGGAGTATTTTCATATAGCTAGATGCAGCGTGTGGGTGGTGAAAAATAGTTTGTTTTTAGTAACAGGAAAGAGAGGTGAGCAGTTTCATCTTCAGTAGACACAGCAAGCACACCGCCCTGGAAGGAATTCTGAAAGCGGAATTCTTCACGCTGGGGAGAGTGTGGTGGAAAGAGAATGGGACTAGAGTCCCGAAGCAAGTGACCAAGTGACCACTCATCCTTATAATGGGCCAACCTTCCAGGTCCGGTCCACGCCTCAGGGCTCTCCTGGGATGCGCTGGAGTCATCGATGCATCACAAGGCCTTCTGAACCTTGCAAAGGCCTGCGCGAATGTGAGGGAATGAGTTGGACCTCTCTGGGCTTCAGTTTTCCTCCTGTGGAAAATGGGGGTAATAAAATCTACATTCTTCCTGGGCATAGGAATTCAGCCTTATCCTTAAAGGGCATGGGGTGGAAGGATCCTTGCAATTTGATGGAGAAGTAAGAAGTGTCCAAGCCATGAGGATTCAGCGAGGCAGTGCAAGGCCCTGGTCACCCTGGGTGGAGAAATGAACACCCTCCGGGCAGAGCGCTGGGTATGACTCAGGGTTTAGAAATAGGAACGTCTCTAAGCTGAGTGGGGCAAGTATCTGACCTACAGGCAGCCGCAGTTTAGTGCTGGAAGCAGACATAAAAACAAACATTCAAGAGCTGCTAAGGCCACGAAGGCAGGGGAAGGGACGACGCATTTGGAGGAAGCACCATCCGAGCCACACCCCGCACAGAAAAAGGACCCAGGCCCACGGCAAGGCGCTTCTTGGTCCTTTCGGAAGGGCCGCTCCTAAACCACCAGGGCTGATCCGCTGCTTGGGTGGAGCACAGGCGGGAAGCCCTGCCCCGTCTCTTTGTGAGCTGTGGGTGCGCTTGGCGAGTCACAAGCCTCTCTGGGCCCAGTTCTTTCTATGGAAGTCATGGGTTGCAGTGTTGTTGAGGGAGCCGGTGGTGCACGTGGTGAAGACCTGGCTCTGTAGCCGGCCAGCTGGGTCCCCGTCACACACTCACACGTGCACACATGCATGCATGCACACATCCTCACACACATTCATACGTGTGCTCTCACGCTCACATGCACACATTCACACACACGTTCACACACCCATGCGCTCACATGCCCATGCACGCACACGTTTGCACATGTACGCGCACACACACTAAACCCGTTGGGCCTCAGCTTACTCATCTGTCAAGCGGAGACCATGGCAGTGGCTCCGACAGGTGCTTGGCACATGGTAAATGCCCAATACATACGACAGCACTTGGAAATTTGTCCCATTATTTCTTCCTCCCATCTCTGCCAGTTGCCAAGGGCGGCCTCGGAAGGAAACTATTAACCAGCACCTATGCAGGGTCAAGGTTATGGAGCTAGTGGGGCCTGCACAGGGAAGGGCTCAGGCAGCAAAAGAGAGGATCACCAGAGTTGGAAAGAAAGGAGGCCAGGCAGACGTAGCGGGAGGGCATTCCAGGACATTCAGGCCCAGAGGGAGGCGGGGATGGGGCGCTGGAGCCCCCGCCTGCCCCTGAGCCTGGTTGGGTGCAGGGGCCAGCACCTGCAAACCCCCACACAGAGAAGGCTCAGCACATGTTCCTCCCCTTCCCCCGGAGATGGAGCACCAGCCTGTGTTGCTATTGGCTGCGTTTTTTAAATTGCCTGCAAAACCCTGTCCTCTTTCCTTTGTGTGGTCTACCAGTCTCTCAGTATTTCATTTGAAAAACAAAGCAACACTTGGACCCTTATGCACAGCTACAGATTTGTCTGCAGTTCTTGCTGTACTTCAAAAAGAGAAATGTTAAAACTCTCTGTGCAGCCTCGCAGTTGATTTCCCAGTGCCCCCAGAATGCAGCCACCAGCCCTGGGCGCTGTTCTGGGAGCTTCCCCACCCGTGCAAAGGGGAGGACTAGGACCTGGACGCACGGTGGGCGGGAGCAGGGTGGGGACTGAAACCCAGGCAGGCTTGGCCAAGACACGGGGTTTGTGTTGTTTTGTTTTTGAACTAATTTCAGGCTTTCAGAAAAGCCGTAGAAATAGTACAGATTCTCCCTATATCCCTCCCCCAGCCCCCGCTCCAGTGCACAGCTTACATAACCCAAGTATAATCAGCAAACCGGGGATGTCACCAATGTGCAATACTGTTAACTCGACTGCACACCTGATTCCGACTGCACCGTTTTCCCACGAACGTCCCTCTTCCCTTCCAGGGTCCTGTCTGGGGTCCCACATTGCTCAGTCCGCATGTCTCCTTTGTGCTCTCCAATCTGTGGCAGCTCCTCAGTCTTAGTCTTGCGTGATCCTGACACTTTGGAAGAGCATTTTTCAGTTATTTTATCAAATGTCCCTCAGTTTGTTTGTCTGATATTCCGTTTTGGATGGAAGTTGTGCATTTTTGGCAAGAATCCCACAGAAGTGACGTTGGGTCCTCCTCAGTGCCCCATATGCGGGTTCATGCTGCCAATGCCTTATCACTGGTGATGTTGACCTTGATTCTGTTGGTTCAAGAGGTGTCTGCCAATTACAATGTTGTAATAAATAACCTGTGTGCATCTATTTTTGTTGGAGTTGTACATTCAGGATAGATTCCTAGAAGTGAGATTGGTGCATTGAAAGGTACATGTTTATGGGGCTGTTTGGTATTGCCAAATTCCCTTCAAAGGGTTATATTAATTTGCATCTCCACCAGCTGCACAAGAAAATATCTGTTCTCTGCAGCCTCGCCAACAGAATGCAAGGTGGTGGTTTGACTTCCGTTAATCTGATAGGTGGGAAATGGTATCTCCGTGTGGCTTTAAATTGCAGTTTTCAGTGAATGAATTTGGACATGTTTTCTTGTTTGATGACTTTTTTATGCGTGTGAATTGTCTGTTCATGCCTTTTTCCCAGGTTTCTTTCAAGTTTTTGGTCCTTTGTCCCTCAGTTGAGTTCTTTATATAGTAGAAATACTAATCCTTTCTCTGTCATAGACATATTTTCTCCCAGTTTATTGGGGAAAATGTCACTTTTCTTATGATGGAGTTTTTTTGTCATGCAATTTTTGCAAATATACTCATTTTTATTGTGTTTGGGTTTTGAGGAATGGTTAGAAAGCTGTTTCCCATGCTTGGATGCAGTTCTTAGTTCACACAGACTCTGTGGGAGCAAAAGAGCAGGCAGGGGACAGAGCGGGTTCTGCTGGAAATGCAAGACAGGGCTAGCTCACTGCAGTGTCTGAAAGGATTATAAAGGGAGTCACTTACACAGGTGGCTCATTTAAATTTGGACAGATTTGCCTAAATTCAGCTAAACACCCTGCTTCATGAAGACGGGGATTTATGTCTTGGTGAGTTCCTGAGGCCATGCTCCTCCCATGTGTACACAGAGGGACGGTCGGAGAAGGGGGAAGGGTCATGTTCCAGTGTGTAGATTCAGCCCTGGTACTTTGTGTTCCTTCACTGCACTCCCATTTTACAGATGGAGAAGCTGAAGTGCAATTAAATAACCCTGCAAAGATCGAAAAGGCAGTGGAGGAAGAGTTGGCATGAGCCCACCTTCCTCCAGGGCTCATACCTCTTGTCACCTCAACCTGGTGGCTTTACAGGGGTGGGGAGAGGGTGCTTATTTCTTCCCCAGGAAACCTGCTCCTGGCCCTCAAGCCATTTAGGATCATGGCATCCCTGCCCCACGCTACGGCCCACATGGTCCTGGGCCCTGCCAGCCCACTGTCATCAGGCTTGCCCCCGTCTCAGACATGCCCTTACTTTTTGTGCTGTTGGAAGGCTGGGCCTCCCGCCTCCCCTGGGGTCCACTGCTGGGACACCTGAGCATCTCTCCAGGACAACTAGTCCCCTAATGCCCCACAAAGATCACGCTGGAATTCAGCGAGCCCCTACCCCCGGCCCCTGAAGGGAGGAGCCGAGCTGCTTCTGTCTGGTATGGGAGACTCTGGAATGAGCCTCCTTTCTCTTTCAGGAGGTTCCTTCTCCACTTCGGCTCAGCCCCAGCACTGCCACGCACTGCCCTGCTTCTTTGTCCACTGGGAAAACTGCCGTCTGCTGGGGCCAAGCTCCCACATCTCCTCCTCTAGGCGCCCCCAAGGGGGGCACTTGCCCCACCGATGTGCCCAGATCAGCCCATCCATTTGGGGGAGTCTGGCCCCTGTAGGTATGGAGCAAATTGTAGATACAATAAAATACCATTTCCCACCTATCAGAAAAGGGAGATGAGCAATGCAGTAACTAATAATGGCATTGATGGACAAGGGGAGACTGGAAGGGCGGTGAATTAGTCTGTTCCCATGCTGCTATAAGGACATAACCGAGACTGGGTAATTATTTATAAAGGAAAGAGGTTTAATTGACTCAGTTCTGTAGGGCTAGGGAGGCCTCAGGAAACTTACAATCATGGTGGAAGGGGAAGCAAACACGTCCTTCTTCACATGGCAGCAGCAAGGAGAAGTGCCAAGCAAAAGGGGGAGAAGCCCCTTATTAAACCATCAGATCTCATGAGAACTCACTATCATGTGAACAGCACGGGGGTAACCATCCCCATGATTAAGTTACCTCCCACCAGGTCCCTCCCACGACACGTGGGGATTATGGGAACTACAATTCAAGATGAGATTTGGGTGGGAACACAGCCACACCATATCAGGCAGGCTGGAGCCAGAGGGAAGAGGAGGGGAAGATGGTATGAGGAGAGACCACCAGGAGGAAGGAGCTAGGAAAGTCGCTTCTTGCAGACTTCGGAGCAGCCCCTGTATGAATGGTGAAGGTTAAAAGGAAGGAAAATGCAAGGTCAAAGTCACCTTTTTGAACAGCTTCCTAGCTAAGGCATGACAGCCTGTTTTAACCCACGAAGGGTTCAAAGCATCAAGGGTGCTCAGGTTTAACATGGTGTGCAGCGTCTGGGGTATTTCAGGAGCCACCAATGCTGCTCTCCGTCTCTTCCTTTTCATGGTATCCCTGTGCAGGTGACATCTGTGGCACACAGCACGAGTTTCCAGGACTGGTTGCTAACACTTGTGTAAACCAAACCCCATTTCTGTCACCTGACTACAAATCTTTGGTAAAGTGATATATCCTTCTTAAAAATAAGTGACCACCCTGTGTTCCCATCCTTCCAAGCATCTGTCCACATGCATAATGTTGATGGAATTGTTAGAGTAAAGTATTATAGTCAAAGTCACCATTCTTAACAGTTTCCCAAAAATTTTAAAGACTTTTTTTTTCTTTTTAGTTCACAGCCTCAAGGCTTCTTGCTGAGCTAAGTGGCTTGAACTTTCTTTTTTTTTTTTTTGTTTTTTTTTGAGACTTAGTTTCACTTTTGTTGTCCACGCTGGAGTGCAGTGGCGCGATCTTGGCTCACCACAACCTCCACCACGGAGGTTCAAGTGATTTTTCTGCCTCAGCCTCCTGAGTAGCTGGGATTACAGGTATGTGCCACCGCACCTGGCTAATTTTGTATGTTTAGTAGAGATGGGATTTCTCCATGTTGGTCAGGCTGGTCTCAAACTCCAGACCTCAGGTCATCCACCCACCTCATCCTCCCAAAGTGTTGGGATTATAGACATGAGCCACTGCGCCCGGCTGGACTTTCTTTTTTCTTCAGCATTTTCTGGGCACCTACTATGTGCAAGGAATAGCCACAACACAGAGCCAGGCTGGACACAGCCCTGGCGATACACAGGGCCTCGAATGACACCTGCAAAAGAAAATCGGTGCAGCAAGGGCACTACACCGTGCAGCGACATGGGGCATCACCGCTGAGTTTAAACACAGAGAACTGGGCTGGACGAGAGGCCAGGGGCAGAGGAGGCAGGTGCTGGCTCCTTGTGCTTGTTGAATACATAGATGCAGCGCAAGCTTGTTTTATATATTGGTTATTTAACGTGGAGCACATCTATACGGAGAAGCCTTTATTTATGCAATAAACAGGAGCAAGAAATCCCAAATGTACCCAATGCAAACAAAGAACAACGAACCAGCTCTTGGCCGGGCATGGTAGCTCACGCCTGTAATCCCAGCACTTTGAGAGGTGGAGGCCGGCAACGTAACAAGACCCCGTCTCTACAAAAAAAAAAAAAAAAAGAAAAGAAAAAAAAGAAAGGCCGGGCGCGGTGGCTCAAGCCTGTAATCCCAGCACTTTGGAAGGCTGAGGTGGGCGGATCACGAGGTCAGGAGTTCAAGACCAGACTGGCCAACATAGTGAAACCCCTACTAAAAATACAAAAATTAGCCGGGAATGGTGGCAGGCGCCTGTAATCCCAGCTACTCAGGAGCCTGAGGCAGAGAATCACTTGAACCCAGGAGGCGGAGGTCGCAGTGAGCCAAAATTGCACCACTGCATTCCAGCCTGGGTGACAGAGCGAGACTCTCTCTCAAAAAAACAAAACAAAACCAAAAAATTAGCTGGGCATGGCGGTGCACGCCTGTAGTCCCAGCTACTCGGGAGGCTAAGGTGGGAGGTTCACTTGAGCCTGGAAGGTTGAGGCTGCAGTGAGCCAAGATCACACCACTGCACTCAGCCTGGTCAACAGAGTGAGACCCTGTCTCAAAAAACAAAAAGCCACCTCTTGTCTCAAGTGTCTGGCCGGGTCCAGGAAGGTACCTGCTCAGTGGAACGGAACCCAAGGCCTCTACTTAGAGCTCCCTGGGCGGCACCCGGCGGGCGGCACCGCCACCAGGGGGCGCGAGCGGAGCAGGGATACGGGAATTCCCAGGGGCGCTCCCCGGGGATAAAGGGAGGGCGTGTGGGTCATTTGGTTTTGACCAGGGTGGACAGGGAGGCTTGGTTTGTACTGCTGGAGTGGCAGAGGAGGGCTGTGTGGACTTTCTCTGCCATTTCCCACACATGACAGGTTCTAAAACCCCCTTCCTCACCCACACAGCTGCCCCGGCCGTCTGGGGGCTGTGCTGGCTGTGGGGTGGAGGAAGGGCGGTCCAGTGCGTCCCGACCTCCCTACCAGCGGGCTTTGGCTGCGCTGACTGTTGTTTGCCCCTCTTTAGATTCATCTGAGGGATGCTGCCTGGTGGGCGACAAACGGTTTTTAACCCAAGTTGTACTTTGTTGCAAGTTTGCAGAAATTACTTATTTTAAAATGTGCAGATTCAATAGTTGAAGCCTGAAGTCTACATAATTGAATGACTAGAATCCTGAGATGATTTAACAAGCGCATATACCCACATTATCCTACTAACTGCACACATTATTTGGGCTTAATTTTTCTATTTCCTCTGCTTGTAATCTACTTTCCTTCCAATCAGATACACAGCAATTCTATTCTTCCAGTATCAGCTGTTTTATAATCACCACCCTGACAGCAGAACTACATCCTTGTACTCATTTAATAACTATTTATCATCCTCTATCTTCCCATTTTCAAAAAGGAATAATTTAAATGCTCCAGAAATTGGAAAAAATTGAAATTTGACCTTTATTAACTGGGTTAATTGTCAAAATCTCTGCTTGTAAAAAAAAAATTAATGACCAAAAAGTGTAACTTTTAGAGTTTCGAAGGTTAGGTTAATGTCCAAGGAAGTATAAACTTTGACCTTTTTGACACATGTCATAAGTAACATCTATCCTAATAAATTGCTACCTGTGAGCAATTATAACATTTTCCCTGTATCCAATCATGCAATTTAATTGCTGCTGGAAATCCTGGCTTCCTTAGAGATAGCCTGGAGGATTATTTGAAGCCTATGGGAGTCATTTTGTTTGTTTTAGGGAGGTTTATTTTTCATTTGGATTTCTAAACATTAAAATGTTCATGAACAAAGATCCTAGCTGCTTTGGCCACAGGCAGCTGGGGCAGTCAACAAAACTTGTCACAGGAATGAAACAGAAACATAAGATTCTACACTCAGATGTGGCCCATCAATGAACACAGATCCTCCAACTGCCTTGTGAACTGCCCATTTAAGATACTGAAGTACGTGTGGCTGGCGTGATTTTTCTCGGTTACTGCTGACAGTCAACTGAACCCCAAATGGGAATAAGAGGTGGTTTTTAAAATGTCATCACTTTAAAAATAGATGTTTGCAAACCAGTACTGGGAAGCGGGACTAGTTCCGTACACCAATATCATAACAGGCTTCAGTTGCAGCAAAGGAAACAGGGACTTCACTGTCACTTATGGGTCACCCCAAAGCTATGATGCCTAGGTCCCCTCTTGTAACTGCATCACTCATTTGGGAGATCTCAGGATGTTAGAAAACTGGAAATGTAGTATCTACAAACATGAAGGTGATCCTAGCTTCCTGAGGCGAGCTTTCAAGTACTTGCATTGTTGGGGGAAAATCAGACACTCAACTTCTCTGTTGTTTGGTAACAGAAATGAACCCCTACGAGGGGAAAAAAATAAGTCAGACTAAGAACATACAGGTAATCCACAATTTTGTATAAAGTGGAGATTAAAAGTCCATCCAGCCTATTTTCCATTAAGATTAGGAAAGTGGAGCATATATTAAGAGCTAGCTTGGACACAGCTCGGCCCAGGAGGCCATCCTGTTCCTCCACAAGCTCCTCGCCGACAAGCACCCTGTGTCATTTGGCCCCAGAGCCTAGTGTGGTGCCCAGCGCATGAGATGCTCAAGTAAGTGCTGGGTGAATCAGTGGACGTCATCACTAACTCAAAGCGTTTTTGGGGAGAAAACACGGACAAGACCATTGGCTAAACATGATGGCTGGGACCCACACTTGTCGCCTGTGGAACAGGGCTTCTGCCCCCCACCAGCTGTGGGGAGAAGCCAGCGGCAGCCCACCACCTGCTTAGATCCTTGAGGGGAGGGCTTGCACCTCAGGGGTCTCAGATCTCCAGTATTCTGTGCCTCAGAGAATACTGAGTTAAGCTGGAGAGGCCGCTGTGTCCCATCCTGCCTTAGGATGCCCTTTTCACCCCTCACCCTCCTCCCGGGCATCTTCAGATCCAGCAGCGCTGAGTAAGCCCCTGAAGAAAGAGACCTCCTCTTTCGTCACCACAAAGTAAAGTTGAAAGGCAAACGTGGCTTGGCTTTTAAGACGCTCAGTACCCAGCCTGGTTAACATACGCCAAGCAGCCAGACCCTTCCCTTCAATGCTCTGCTCCGAGCCGGGAGCTTTTGTGAACGTCGGTGGCGCGTGAGTCACCAGCTCCCATGGCATCTCAACATGTGGCAAAAATGTACAAAACCAGGCTGCTCCACACTCAGTATCCACTCAGGGCTCAAGTCTTGCAAAATAACACTGTAAAGCGCTTTTATGTAAAGCACCACCTTGGTGACAGCCTGCAGTGTGTCGGGGTTTCTGTCGTAGCACCTGCTTTTTAAGAGCAGGGCTGTAAGAAGGGAAGGAGGTTATTAACCACCCTGAGTCTGATCTAGGCTGATACTCATCACGCAAGCGCAAAGCAGGAAATACAATTCCTTTTTCCTTTTTCCCCCGATACAACTTTTCAAAAACACCCATTCTGGTCCTTTGAAAATCCAAGGAGTGTTATGACTACATTTCCTGACTAATTATACTGCAGCCTTAATGGTGTCAACACTTATATTAGATAACATTAGCCCAATGCTAGTTGTTTTGACAATTGTCGATGACCAAAATAAAACAAACATTTTAATTTTTGTATGAGAAAGCAAGAACTGTTTTTCTAGACGCATTTCAGGATTCACCTGACAACATCTTCCGGTGCTAGCGTATTATTTCCTGGTGCCAGCTAGGGTTATTATTTCCAAAACTAGGCTGGTTGGGGTGGCACACAATCGTAACTGCCATCTCTTGCTGCTCAATAAGTTGTCATTTGCAGATGCATTTAGGGGAGGGTTTGTTTAGAGTTGCTTGAAAACTTAAAGCCAAGAAATTCACAGGTGCTTGCTGGATGGTAGCTCATAATGAAATATATATATGTATGTATAAAGTCAGTCACCAAATATTTTCCGTTTGAGATACGTGCCAAGTCTGGGAAAGGCACGGAGAATGTGACAGTTGGGTATGGACAGGAGGTCCACATGTTGAAGCCACGCGGCTGAGGGGAATATTTCACCACCCACAGAAACCCCCGCAACTCAGAATGTGCCTCCAGTCTGCCATTAGTCCAGATCTTGGGCTGACTGACATCGCTCAGCCAGTCACAGTGGGAACCAACCATTGGATAGCTACTGTGTCCCAGGCACTGTGCCAGATTTACATCTATTACCGCAGCAACCTCCTGGGGTTATTCCATTTTGCAGATGAGAAAACCAACACCCTGCGCATCAAGAAACTTGCGCGGGGGTCACAGATGATAGGGGAAGGTAGGGGGTCCGGATTATACTTCAGGTTCTGCAGATTTCAAAGCCCATGTTTGGGATGAGCTGCTTCTCTGGGCTAAAATTTTGTGTATGGGCTAAAGTGCAAACACTCTTCATGGACTAGACACTGAGGGGAGAATCTGCTCATTGGTTCCTTCTTGAAGAGTAAGTTTTGCATGAATGACGGGTGGAGTGTGAGGGTGGGAAGCTCTGCACACCCTGCAGAAAGAGGCACAGCCGGCAGGGGGAGCTCACCCTCACGCATCCTCCAGGTGCCTTCCTAGGACTTTAAACTGACTCTGGGATCCTACAAGGAGCTCCTCCGGAACCTCATTAAAATGGAGAAGAATGGTTGAGGTTCAAGCCACAACTTGATCCTTTTCTACCAGAACACTCTTGAGGAGTCAGGTACAAGCGGCAGAAACAGGAAGCAAAGAGAGGAGAGCGAGGAAATGGAGAGAGAAGAAAGGAGTGTGATTTTAACGCCACCCTGGGACTTCGGAGGCACGCGGGCCTCCCACTTGGTTATGGTTGTTCGGTCAGTCTGGAAGCCTCCCCAGAGCCCGCACTCTGCACCAGGTGCTGTACAAGACTCTAGGAATTCAAACAGCCAGGTGGGGACACACAGGGCCTCACCAGCACCAGCATTTCCACGTTCATTTTCCTGTCAAGTTTGGCCTAACCCATGTTGAGGAGCTTCTCTGTTGCCTAAGGGGGAAGAATATGAGTTTGGGGAAAGTTTTCTATACACACACATATATATGTATTCATATGTGTGTATGTATGTGCTCATATATACCAAGTAGGTTTATACAGAAATAGGTGACACACATGTGCGTGCACACACAGATACGCCTGCATTTGGGCCAAGAAAAGCTGCCCAGAAGTGAGAGGGTATCACGAGGCTGTTAAATAAAGACCAAGAGCTGATGGACAGTGGTGTCATGACCTGAGTTAAGGTTCCCACCTCCATAAACTGCTACTGAGTCCACACACAGGGGCTTCCCAGTCCTTTCACCTTGTTTCTAAGGCATCTACTAAGGGTGGCATCTGTGAAGGGAGCAGCAATCACCGGGAGGCGCCCTCCTGAAGTCCATCCATTACGAGAGTGGCACAACTGCACGCGTGCTCTCCCTGCAGGCACCGGGGCACCAGCACTGCAGTCAGGAACCAGTGACCAGCATCTTCGCTGGATTCCCCCCAAGAAGCCTGAACTTCTCAGCCCCTCCTGTTCATGGCTGGTTCTTCCCTGCCTCCCTCCTTACCCTCAAGGGCTCACCCCACCTCCATATCTCACAAACAGAGCCCTAAGCCCAGCCACGTGGGTCCACCCGTTCACAGCCTGGTATGCTCTGCCACGCCTACCGTTCAGACGTCTGCCTCAGTGCCTCAAGGGCAGGGCTTCTTGAGTCTGAATTACCCACAGAATCTGTGTTCCACTAAGAACACAACTGTTGCTAGGTCCAGGGCCGAGGTTCCCAAATCAATGGACAGATGACACACGCCGCTTGCTGGCAAAGCATGGATGATTTTGCTATCCCCAGTCTCAAGAACATCTCCTGCTTCCTGGTAGTGGCTCCGGCTTAGAAGATGGTCATCACAAGCATTCACTGGCTGTTTAACAGGTACAGGCGCGGCACGCAGCTTTTCAACGCACCCGGCACTGCTGAGGTAGAGAGTGTGAGGCTCCCTGAAGGGGGTGACAGAAGCTCCTAACAACTGGCCCAGGATCCCATGCCTGGAACCAGGTCTGAGTGGTCCATACACCCCGATGGCTGCGCCTGCTCACCTCCAGAGCAGCAGGCATGTGCTCTCTCACAGCAGGCGTTAGGGAGTGCTCCCTCCCTTGGCTGAATTCCGCCACCCAACCCCTGGCCCTAGCTGTGCCTTTTGCAGACCCAGAATGAGTCTCACCCCTCCTTCAGGCAACAGCTCTTCAAATCTGTGAAGACAGGAAGATCATGTCCCTGCTAAGACTTCCTCTCTCCAGCCCAAGCACACCCAGGACCAGCAGGGCAGCTTCATTTAAATAACAAATTTGCCAGTGCATTTAAATACAATTCAAGTTATTCAAATTCAATTTATACACAGAATTTTAGGAATATATTAGATAAGGGGCTGCTGATTAAAATAGTAGGGTGACCCTTAATGACATTACTGGATCCTATCCTACACCCACCTCAAATTGACATTTAAATAAAAATGAGTCAAATTCCTGGGTCAGGTTAGCAGCTCTCCCGCATTACACGCATTTGTTTTGCCAGATCAATAATAACACGAGCACGGTGCAGAAGCAGCTGCTCACTTCAGCTAGGGTTACCGTCAACACTGTCATATCCGGGCTCTCCGCAAAGTACCCTCCAAACCAACCACCACTATCATTCCCTATTTTCTTCACAGTCAGTGCCATTTCGGTTCTGAGCTCAAGTCACATGCACTTTCATTGGACTGGCTTTATTCTTTTGCTCCTACAATGTACGTATTAATCACCAAGGAAATATAACTGGTGGCCGGGTGCAGTGGCTCACACCTATATTCCCAGCACTTTGGGAGGCAGAGGCAGGTGGGTCACCTGAGGTCAGGAGATCGGGACCAGTCTGGCCAACATGGTGAGACTAAAAAATAAAAAAAATTGGCCAGGTGTGGTGGTGGGCACCTTTAATCCCAGCTACTCAGGAGGCTGAGGCAGGAGAATTGCTTGAACCCAGGAGATAGAGGTTGCAGTGAGCTGACACAGTGCCACTGCACTGGGAGACACTGCCTGGGAGACACTGCCTGGGAGACAGAGGGAGATTCTGTCTTAAAGAAAAAGAAAAAAGAAAATATAACTGATGATTTACAGAAAATTGATTCCCTCATTTTTAAGTGGAGGTTTAATTTAGCATAACTCTGTATATTGGGAACCTGGGACTATTTTTAATGTCTTACCCCATCTCTCAAAAAAAAAAAAATTACAGACATCTCTTAGTGAGCCTCTTCTAGAAACTACTGGGGAAAAACCACCTATCAATTGCCAGTTTACATGAAAAACAGGGAGGTTTTTCTAGGCCGGTGAAATCTAATTGCTAACTATTTACACAAATAACACACAGAGCTAATGAAACAGAAGCAGAGCCTGGCATGTTTCCAGTAACTAGCCTGAACAGCCTCTTATCCAAAAGCATTCAGAAGAAAGTAAACTTTAAAATGATTTGAGAGAAAGGTCTATTTTCATGACAGACGGCAATGAGGGTTCTTCAATGCCAATTTAATCACTTTCCCTCAATTTTCAAATGCTTAAGTTGTAGCTCCAAGTGTCTGTGCAGGCAGCACTAGAGCTGCCGAACCGCAGCGGGGCAACGAGGATGACTAATGTGTGCTGTGGTCTCGCCTGCCTTTGCGAGTCATTTTAGGGCAATCCTACCCAACTCAGGAAAGTAATGCTGTTCAATAGATACTGTCTTCTGACATCAAAACAGTTCCGTTCTTGTGGGCGCCATTTTTATGTCATGCAGAGGCTGTTCTCAACTGGAAGCATACTTCATCTCTTTTTGATCCAATAACCTTAATGACCAAGTCTGTCAATGGAGAAATGACAGAAAAAACAGCTGCTAAATTTTTAAGCAGGGACTTTGGACAATTTAGTACCATTCTTTTCACAAGTAAATGAAGAAACTGGGTCCCAGGAACCGACATCACAACACCCATTAAAGGTGGCGCCGGAACAGGAGCTTGGGATCCCGACCCCAGTCTGGCGCTATCCCAGCTCCACGGGAACTCGAACTTTGCCGGGGAATAGTTTGAAAACCCAGCTGTCTCATGATGTTATTTTATGTTTGAACTGTATATATGTTTTCAAAAAAGATTTTTTATTATTAGGCTTGGAAACTTTTAATCCTATAAGAAGATAATTCTATGGACAAATTGGTCATCAAAGTTCTAGAAGGCTCTGGGGCTTCTAGAGTCGGAAACTCAAGCACTACAATGCTATTGCCTTTTAGAAATTAACACTAAGCTTTACAGACTATTTAATATTTTTGGTAAGGTATCTCAGGTGTAAAGCTGATACGAGAGGTGGCAATCACATGCTTCCTCCTGGTATACATCAACAAGCTAGGAAAGGTACAGGCGTCAACGCCAGGAAATGTCCCAGCCTCACGCAGACATGAAGCTTGCCTCCAGCGCCCAGTGCAGCAGGTAAACTAACCTGCTGAGCAACGCAAGCAACGCCTTAAAGAGTTAAATTTATCTCAACTGTCAGGGGGGATTAGGCAATTGATCTGCAGAGCTATGTCTTCCCCAAGAGAAACTCCCAGAGCATCCTTAAGACGACCTGTGTTGCAGCAGCATTTATCAAACACTTGGGGGAATAATTCACGTTTTCAAAATCAGCGGTGTACTTAGGACATCAGAGACAATGTGAAAATTTGTGGTAAAGAAAAACTGGTATCAGTAAACCTGAAAACTGGTGGCAGAAGGAGACAGATCCCTCTCCCACCCCAAGGACATGGTCCCAACCTTTTCCTTCCCCTAAATCCTAAGGACTCCTTTTCTTGAGTTCCCGCTGCCTGCATAGATGGGCACGCTGATGAGGGGGGCTCCTACAGTCCTCTGGGCCCCACGGCTATGTCTCAGTAGCCCCCAGGTTAGCACAGCCCAGGGCAGGAGGTCAAGGTTCCAACAATGCTTGGGCAGTAAGATGGATTGTGTAAAAGCTAAACTCACAGGGCCTGTCCCACTCCAAAAAAAGGAATAGACAAAAATATTAATCATGTTTTTCTTTTAATAAGGGTTTTTACTCAAAAGTGTAGCTTTGAAAATCTCTAGCTTGTTGTGAAAACCAGGAAAGCCAAGGAGCTGCCTCACACTGCACACCACCACGTGAAGCTGTGGGCCGCTGTGTGTTTGCAAACTCTCCATTACCAAGGCTGGAATCAAATGCACCACTTTAAAATCAGAGCCAACATTTAAAATTAGGAGGATGATGCATGTCCTACTTTGATTCAAGGAGAAAGGACAAGTTCTTAGTACAGTAAAACAAAACACAAAAGTAAACAAATCTTTAGAAATCACTATATATATGTGTGTTTATATATATATTTTTATATAATTAGGATTATCATCATTTCAAACTATTAAAAATAAGGTTGCCACCTTACCTTTTCTTTTGGTAATGGGGTGTTATTTTTTTTAAGAGAAAAAACCAAACATTTTGCCCAGACTCTAGAGTTTCCCAACTTCAATTCTGTTTTCTGCTGTGCAACTTCCCCACCTTCACGCTGTATCCCCAAGTCCCGCCACCAATTCTGGCTGGCAGGAGGCAGAGCAAGCTTTCATTCTGGTCATCAAGATGACAGGCCCACAAAAGTACAGCTGAGACGGGAACTGAATTCTTCCCCAGGAAGAAAATACCTATACCCACAATAGGTCTGCAAAATCTCCCACAGGCACCTCTTCTCCCTTTCTTGTGGTTGTTTGTTAATTGGTTTGTTTTGCCTAAAAGCAAGATGGCAATCTTAATCAAAAAGGGAAGCTAGATTTTTAAAATAACTTAAAAAAACCATTTTTATATAAAGCAGCAAAAACATATCTTCCTCTCTGCAGAAAGAAAAATGTTAACAAGGAAACACAGCGATGTGAACGGACTGTCCGTCAACTCCTGCTCCACTGGATCCCCCATCCAGCTTCACCTCGAGCTACTCCTTAACTCCAGCAGTGCTGTCTGAAGAAGATCCTTTGGCGTCTTCAACTGCTCTTTTACTTTCTTGATTGAGACTTTCATTTTCGGACCTGGTCCCATTAGGGATAGAGTTTTCACCGTTTACAAGCCCGTTTTCTGTGGCCTTTGCTTTGCTGATTGCCTCTCTGATGTTCAAGGCATCCTGCACTCCAGCCTCCTCCTCGAGGTTTCTCAAGACCAGGGGGAGCCTCGAGTCCCCCACGCTGCTCTCCAACAGCCCAAGGTTACTCTCTTCATATTTGGGAAGCGGAGCCTTTTCCTCCATCTGTTGGCGATAGTATTCCCGGTTGACAGCTGCACTCTTTACTGCTTTTTCCAAAATCTCTTTCTCACCTAAGCGCAATTTGATGGCCATTTTTGCACGAACAGAAAGATCGTGGTTTTTCAAGACGGATTTATCTTCCTGGAAAACAAGAGCAAAATTAATTACAAGAAGTCTAAACCAGCAAAACTATAGAGACAGAGGGCACAACGGCTGGGGATGGGGACATGAGGGAACTTTTTGGGGTGACGGGAGGTTCTAACACTTGACTGGGCAGGTGGTCGCATGACCAGACACTCACATCAAAACGTACGCTTCAGAAGTATGCCTTTCATTGTATGTAAATTATACCTCAATGGAAATGTTACAAAACAAGAAAGAACAGCCTAAATCAAACAGTGCTACCCCATCTGCCAGGGAACTTCACTGATTTAAAAATCATCCTGTCTATCTTGGGCACTGATGTAGCCCCAGGGCAGCACGTGGGTGAATGGCATCAGTGAAGGAACGAATAAATGAGAAAGATGTATTTGAAGTTAGTGGCTCAGTAGTGAACTTAAAAAGCACAAATGAAAACATGTTTGTGAAATCACGTGAATTATAAATTATAAAAAAGTATTGAATAATCTTAAAAATGTATCTTCTAATAAACAATGCCTAAATATGATTTTTTGGGAAATGAATGGAAAATTTCAAATGCAATCATTTTGCTAAACTATTACAGTAGTTTAGAATTAACAAGAAATCTTTCATTAAATTTTTTTTTTTTTTTTTTTTTTTTTTTGAGACGGAGTCTTGCTCTGTCACCCAGGCTGGAGTGCAGTGTCGAGATCTCAGCTCACTGCAACCTCCGCCTCCTGGGTTCAAGCGATTCTCCTGCCTCAGCCTCCTGAGTAGCTGGGATTACAGACCACACCCAGCTAATTTCTGTATTTTTAGTAGAGACGGGGTTTCACCATGTTGGCCAGGCTGGTCTTGAATTTCTGACCTCGTGATCCGCCCCGCCTCGACCTCCCAAAGTGCTGGGATTACAGGCGTGAGCCACCGCACCAAGCCTCATTAAACATCTTAACAACACAACAAGTTCAAAACCTCATTTATTTAGTGTAATTACCTCAATAGTTGTTTTATATGTTTTTAAAAGAAGTGAGGCTCTATCTTCAAGAAATGTCCAAAGTTTGACCTCGTTGTCCCAGCTAACAGGAAATTCCGAGTTCCCCAAGGTGAAGATTCTATCAATAGCGCTGTCTCCCAGCAAGTGTTCTTTCAGTTCTTCTACAAGAAATACAAATGGCAATCTGTTAGGAGGAAAACATAGCACTCCTCATTTGAACAAGCAATCTACCTTAGAAAATATTGTTTCCAACAACGCCATTTTCCCACGGTAAAAGCTGTCCCTACGCAATGGGCCAGGCCACTCCTAGACTCTCCAAAGTAGAGCAGAGCTAAGTTTTGGGGAGCAACACCAGGTCAGGCCTCTCCATGTGGAATCCTGATCAAGCCTTGGTAGCACTCCAGTTTTCACTGTTTCTATGAGGGACACTGAGAGCCTTTAGACAGTTTCACAAGATACTTTTTAAAGACAATCTACAGCCATGTACCCCCTTATTTTGACAATACCCCTTTTGCTAGCCATGAGCTCCATCACACCAAGTCAAAAAAGACATTTAGGTGAACGATGTAAACGGTGAAAGGAACAAGAGCCACAACAATCCCGCAAGCCCATAACTGTAAATCTGATTGGCACTTATTCTAGTAGATGACCTGACCAAGCTATTTAAGCCACGTTCGTAACAAGCCACAAACTGAAAGAAATAAGAGCCTAAATCAAACAGTGCTACCATAAGGAGCACTATCAAAATCTTAGTTAATGGGCCGGGCGCAGTGGCTCACGCCTGTAATCCCAGCACTTTGGGAAGCCAAGGCAGGTGGATCACTTGAGCCCAGGCGTTTGAGACCAACCTGGGCAATGTGGCGAAACCCCATCTCTACAAAAAATACAAAATTAGCCAGGTATGGTGGCACATGCCTGTAGTCCCAGCTACTCAAGAGGCTGAGGTGCATGGATGACTTGAACCCAGGAGGTGGAGACTGCAGTGAGCTGTGATCGCACCACTGCACTCCAGCCTGGGCAACCAAGTGAGACCCTGTCTCAAAAAAAAAAAAAAAAAATTCTCAGTTAATGAAAAATATGCCCATCTCTCTCACTTGTCAGGAATTTAAATAGGAATTACAAATACACACAAGTGAACATCTCAATTATCTCCAAATATATTTAAGAAGAGGAAAGAATTCAGCAACTGCTCTTAGCATTTTATCTCCCGGCACATTATCTCCAAAACCAAAACAAGCCGATCCTATTCATGCTGAAGAAACAGACCCATGCTTCTTATGTGATTAGGAGACAGTGTCTCTTTCAGAGCAAAATGCCCCACAGCTGTCACTATTTACGATTCAAACTGAAGAACTGCGGCTGCCAGCAAACCAAACTTTTATTAGTATTAGTTAGAGTAATTCAAAGATACAGCAATTGTCTTGACATGACAAATTGTCTATGACTAGAGAGGAACTAAAGAGAATCAACAGACCTAAAAGGATTCAAGCAGTTTTAAGAAAACAAGCTATCTAATGTTCAAAAAAGTTTATTAACTTTTATTTGTTAGTAAAGATCATGATAAAATTCAGGATTTTTAGTTTTGAGTCATTTTATATTCTTTGCATACAACATGGACGTTCTGTTTTTTTAAGCTTTCTTAGTGGCTGAAAGTTCTTTTCAAAGGCCCCCAGTATGAAGGTTACTGTTTCCTTCCCTCATCTCCTTCCTCAATCTGCCCAAGTTGCACTCTGCAATGATGGAAGCTGCAGGTGTGCGGCAGAGCTTTCTCTCCGCTACTTTTTAAAAGTGAAACTGGACTCATTTCACATTTCTGGAGAAATAAAGCCTACAAAAAGGGGAGTAAGACAATGTAGCATGTGGCCTGCCTGCAGGCCAGGAGCTCCTGCAGCAGGTGCCCTCCTGAGCTTTCCTCCAGCAAACAGGGCCTGCAAATTATCCCTGCACCTCATTCTGGCCACCACAGTGTGTGCTCACCCCGGAGGGTACAGAGCCCAGTGCCCTCCACCCTCTCTCCCTAGCTCCTGCTCAAGCTCCTCCCTATGCTAAAGGTCTTCAGTCATACCCCTCCCCTCCTGCTCTACCTTGTCCAAACAGTCGCTGAGCTCCACAGTTTAACTTGAATGCCATTTCCTCCAGACCCCTAGAGCACTAAGACTTTTTTCCATGTACTATGTTATCTGTGAACCAGCAGGAGCAATGTGGGATGTCCTGCACGTGGGCTCTGGAGTTAACAGAGGTGGGTTCTAAGTCAGGGTCATCACTTGCTTACTGAGCAACCTCGGCCAAGTTACTTATCCTCTTTGGGTTTTTTGTTAGTTTGTTCGTTTGTTTGTTTGTTTTAGACAGGGTCTTGCTCTGTTGGCCAGGCTAGGGTGCAGTAGCAAGATCACGGCTCACTGCAGCCTCAACCTCCCAGGCTCAATCAATCCTCCAACTTCCCAAAGTGCTGGGATTACAGGCATGAGCCACAGCATCCAGCCAACTTTATACTCTTCCCCCACTCCCCACCCACCTGGGTCTCACTCTGTCACCCAGGCTGGGGTTGGCTTACTGTAGCCTTCACCTCCCAGGCTCAAACAATCCTCCTACCTCAGCCTCCCGAGTAGCTGGGACTAGAGGCACGTGCTACCACGCCCAGCTAATACTTACCCTCTTTGAAGTGGAATCTACATCAGTAAAATGGGAGCACTTCCCAATCAAGGCTGATGGGATTAAAACTGAGCATGTACCAAATGTAGCATCATGCCTGGCGCACAGTGAATGCTTCACAAATTCAAGGAATATCATCACCATCACCTCTCTTAATTATAAATGCCTTGAGTACATGAACTGCAACATTCAATTCTGTATCCATATATATGCAAGAAAAGCTCACAGTTAACCCCTTAACTCGTGTTCATTACATTGAATTGATGAACCATTACCCAAGTACAAAAAGCACCAAAAGCTCCCACTTGAATAACCGTAAATCTAGCGACAGGGTTGCTTATGAGGAACAATGACTGTATCTCAGTTTGGGTTCTGCGGTTGGTGTGTGAACTGCCTCTCCTGTTTCGGGACTAGGTTTTTTCTGCCTCCAGCATGACGTCAAACCCTGGACTTGTGCTGCACTGCTCCCTGGATCCAGACATTAAAACCAAAGCCAGTGACCGCCGAGCACAGCAGCTTCCCCCACATGGGCCATGACTGCTTCCTCCGACCAAGGAAGTGCTTGGGCAGCTTCCTTCCAGAACACTTGTTCGTCTGTTCACTCACTCAAACACTCATTTACTCATTCCTACTCAGACTGTTCTGTACAGGATTTAAGGTAGTTAACAACAGCAAAACATACACACACACACACACACACACACACTCTCTCTCTCTCTCTCTCTCTCTCTCTCTCTCTTTCTCTCTCTTAAAAATGAAACCTCAGGGCCAGGAAATTTGTAAGATACATTTTAGGATGAAAAATAAAAACACAACCACGAGAGGTCAAATCTCAGCATAAGAAACCCCAAATGACTTGTTTTAAGCTAATATAAAAGTAGATGCTCAATACAAATACTTAACTCTTTCTGGGCATGAAATAAGAGGCTGTAGCCAGGAACATTTTGTGTTCTACACAGATTCTGTTTGCAATGTTATTTACTCTAACAGGATGCTTGGCATTAAAATGCTTGCTGGCAATTTCAGATTTAGAATGCAGAGTAGGTTAACAAATAAAGTCCTACGGTCCACGTATGCCACAGCTGACTACACAACATCACAGCATCAACTGATCCTGAACTGCTCTATGTAAGTGAAAAAGACTAGTGCCCCGTGAGTGAAATGAGGCTCTGTCAGGCTACAAATGTAGAATTTTGATATATTTACCCTATCCAAGATGTTTTAAGTTTTCTTCAAATGCAGTTGAGAATTATTTGCGTATTACAAATTAATACTGACAACACATCGAGGATTTAATAAAACATTTCTAGGGTAAAACAAATCTATTTCTTCTTTCTCCAGTATTGTATCTTCTCTCTTCCCAAAAGTACTGTAGTTTTAATCCACTTTACCTTTAATCTGAATCCCTATGCTTTACACTTTCATGATTTAAAAAGAAAAAAGTCAACATCTCTTTTTTCCTGAAATGACTTACCTTCAGTCATACAGAATACTCGGAGAAAAGCCAAAAGCTGAGCAGAGATGGGCGGCTCGGTAAAATGCAATGCAAAAACACTGGAACTGATAAAAGCAGAAAGCAAGATCAGTCACCCTGCTGCGGTTACCCACTTGCTCCAAACTGAGATTCCTTAAGTCTACAGCACGTGTGGTTGTCCTCAAGGAGAGCTGAGCTGGAATGGGTCATTCCAGCTCCTCATCTCAACTGTGAGCACGATTTTCAGCCCCTGCAAAAGGCCGCAGGCTGGGGCGGAGGCAAGCGGACATCCAGAATTGGAGACCATCCTCACAAGCTTTTCCTAGAGCCTAACAGCTGTAATCTCAGGTTGCACATAATACATTCAAAAATTAAACATACACATGGTTTTTAAAAAGTGTTAACAATAATTTATGTTGAGTTCACACTTTAATCATTAATCAAATATTGACAAGTTCAATAAAAAAAAGGTCTGCATAATCCATTTTCATTAAGAATGGTTCCTCTATTCCCTGGAGAACTAATGAATCCTAATTCCTGTCTTCTTTATCATTTTATGCCTCAAATGCAAGAAAATCTTAAAGAACTTAACTAGAAATTCTTGAAATCACTGAGGATCATGACTTCATTACAGAAACTAATGGTAGCAACGAATTAAATGAAACAAATTGATCCAGGCCATTAACCTTTTCAAGGTGAAAGACATGAATGATACGAAAGTAGTTATTTAACTTAATGAGGATTTCAGGCCATATCCCCCAGAACTGACTGTGAATGCGCCCAACGACACAATTATGTTTACCTGAAAACGCTGGTAAGCCACCAAGCGTCGCCATGGCTTAAATTTGCTGTGCCACGGGGATAAACGGATTAAGACAAACTACTGGAGAGAAGTTTTATTAACACACCAATTAAACACTATGCAACTGGAAATAGTTCAAGTACTGCAAGAAAGGGCCAACCGATGTTTTTCTACGTACGTGGGGATGCCGGCACGAGCCAAGACCTCGGCCTTCATGGCGTAGAGTCTGTCACTTTTACTCACTCCAAGCTTTATTTTCACTCTGTCGTGTGAGTTATTGTCAAAGAAAAAACCACTGTGGATCACAAACTCTGCGTTGGATCGAGTGCCATAAAAAATGTAAATCTGAGATGCAGTAAAGAAAAAAGAAAAGGGCATTAGACAAACTTGGCATGTATTCTTAACACAGGGCAGGGCAGAGGCTTAGTGCTACTTTACATTTAGACACTAAATAGCTGAAAGTATTGATACACCTGTTTGGTATAGGTTGCAAGGGTGAAGCTGTGCAATTTTCCCAACTTTCCAAACTGTCTGAGACCAAGCACCCACTTCCACCACCGTGTGGAGAGGAGAGGGGAGGCCAGGAGAAAGTACCACCAAAGGCCTTACTAGTACTCAAAGGACCCCAGGTGACCTGGGGTCACCAGGCCTCTATTATAAACCTCTTCTCCTTCCAAAGGACAGCAAGGCTATTACTATAAGACTGTATTTTAAAATTCACCAAGTTCTTCCTGTCCTTTTAATACAGCAGGGTCTCTTCTGGAACTGTAAAGCAGTATCTGTCAGAAACTTATTTCTAGATCCTCTGGCAATTAATCCTGCACCTGGCAGGTGGGTTTATAAACTTTTCTGAAGAAGGAACAGATCAGTACTTTGCTAGGCAAGTATTTTTCATTTTGTCTCAACTGGAATGTCAATTATGGATGTGAGTTCCATGACTGTACTGTCTGCTTGGGTGTAGACTGATAGAATGTAGGAATTTATAGACACGTATTTTCAAACTCACCCAAAGGCTTACCCCTCCTCCCACCCAAACTACTAGATTAAAAAATCAGAGATTAAAATGAAAGTATAAGACAACAGATTCCCTTGCTTTTGCCCCTTAAATACTCTTATAAAGTTCTAATCAGTAGAAAAAATAAAGGCAACAGTTTATGAAATGTTAAACATTGTTTAGTGTCATAACACACTTTATTTTCAGTTAAGAGTGTTACAAATATTTACAAATATTAGGCCAATTGTGCAACTAACTGTGTTTAAATCTTTTTCTCTGTGGACCCAAAGCACAATGCAAAGCACAAGTGAGTAAAGCACAAGTGAATATGTGTACTACGGGTTCTGGTCTCAAGATGTGTTCCAGAAAAACAATCCTCAATGTGAATTCCACATTTTTTCCCCTAAGTTAAGTTCCTTTTTAAGATTACCAACACGGTGTTAACGTTAGTGCCCACTGGCTGGCTCACATTTTGTGAGATGCCACGAGACCCACCTGCTCTCCAGCCCGAAAATCCTGCAGAGCCACACACTCACAGCGGTCATCTTCCAGGTTGTAACCAGTAGTGATCTAGCCCGGGGAGGAGGAAGGAAATGATGGTGAGGCAAACACACGCACATCTCACTTAATCTACAAGCTTGTTTCTGGCAATCAGAGGAAAAAGGGGATCCCAAGGTACTCAAAAGGTGGCATCTGAATGCTTTGGAAAATGGGGCAAAGAACTGCTTGAGCACTGAGGTTAACTCTAGTTATATCAGAGATGATTATGGAAAATTACATACCTGAAATAAAGGAAGCACAGTTAGATAAAGAGACTATATAGATTGTCACTTGCTGGACTCAACAAAACATAATCGCCTCTGGGCCTCCCTGGTGGCAGTGAGGGCAGTGAGCCCACAGGCCACGCCTCCCACAGGTGCACCTAAGCCTCCTTTCTGTTCACTGACGATCTGCACTATTCTCATTCATTTGCAAGTATTATCTTTATCTAATGTTTGGCCATTAAGAAATCCAAGTGGGTGTTCCATTGGATAAAGAATCAGGGAAAAGAAAAGCTCTATTTCTGAATTATGGATATATGCTCTGAATTAAAGAAATTAAAACTTTCAAGCATGCAAAGGCAAAATAAAATAACTGCTGTTTTTTATGCCCTCTCTTTCTGCTGAGAAATACAATGTGAGAGTTTCTAAGTCCATTACAAATAAATATAGAAAATCCTCTCATTATACCCCAAACCTGCGTCTCCTTCTAAGCTCCCCCGTCTTAGTGAAGGTCAGCCAATGTCATGGCCTCAGCACACAAGTTACAAGGAAACCCTCGCGTCTCACCTGGTCAGCATTTCATCTTGTAAATACTGTTTGGACTTTCTTCCTCATTCCTCTGCATGGCTATAGTCCTTATTCCTTCTCACCTAGCTTGTTATTTGCAAAAACCTTCCAACTCTTGGAACCTAGTCTCAAAATCCAATACTGTCCTTCTGGAGTTGCTAATTGTACGATGTCACTCTCCTGTTCAAAATCTTCCTATGATTCCGCTCTGCCTTCGGAATAAACCCCAAGTTCCTGAGCACGGCCGAATAAGGAGGCGGCTCACGCTTCCCTCCAGCTTCAGGAACTGCCACCCACCTGCCATCCCAGTTCCCTCCTGCCTGACACTACCTTCTACTCCTGTTGTGGCCTGGCTTCTCAGGGAAGCCCCTCCTTACCCTGCCCTCCTGTGCACTCCCACAGCCCAGTCCTTATGCGCTCCAGCCCAAGTCACGTTATCTGTGCACCTGCCTCCCCGTCGGTCACACTTGGAAGCTGGAGCCCCTTGTTGATCTCTGTGTCCCGAGTGCTCAGCACACAGAACCTAAAACCTGAAGTGGTCTTTGAGAATATTCACGTGATGCATGAACCCGCAGGGGAAAGGAAAGGGTCCCCAGCTTCTATTAAAACCTCCTTCTCAGAGTCCTGTCTTTTAGAGCAGCGCCCAATCTCTTAGGTTGTCTGTCGATGGTCACTGATTACTTTTTGACCTACTCATTTTATCCTGGAGAATCAAAGATTCACAGCAGCTACAAGTGCTCCTTGCTAATAAGGTATCAATAGCTTGGATTCAAAAGATGACTTCTGAGTCTAGGGAATGGCATTTTGGGATGGAAGGCCATGTAACACTAATCTTTAAACTCAATATCCCAAGAATAAATATGGTTTATTAACCATATGTCTAAATTTCCTTCATGCTTCTGATCTGCAAAGACCAGTGATAAATATGCAGCAATGAGAAATAAATGAAGCCAAGTATTCTAGAACATTTCACTCGCAGAACATTTTAAACACTTCAATTGAATGAAAATCAACTCCATGAAGTTCCTGCCCAACATCGGATGTACTTTTCTGACCCCAAAACATCACCTTGACAACAAAGTGGAATGAGAAGCTGCCCATATCATGAACTCCCAGGAGGGAGTCCAGGCACTCCCAGGGTGCTGGCAGTACAGGTACACAGGGACCTGCCAGCAGCACAAACAGGAGGGAGGTTAGAGGAAGGAAGAGAAAATTTAGGGAGATTGTGGAGAAAGGATTATGGGTGTTTAAGGGTATTTTACAGATATTTCCCACTCTCAGCAAACGTCAAGCTCAAGAAATAGTTTAACATGTCCACAGCAACCCGGACAGGCAAACAGGCTGGGATCCTGCCCCGGTCTGCAGCCCTTTCTCAGCAAGGGTCAGAATGTTTGGAGGCTGAGTGTCTAACTTCTTTGTGTGGCACTGCCAAACACTTCCTCTAGGACGGTATCAAGTGTGTCTCAGTGCAAAGAAGTGCAGGCGGAAGCACAGGCCTCGCCCCTCCCTTGCCTGAAGCCAGGTTTCTAGAGGACTCTCTCAGAGCAGAGCCCTCCCAGGGTGGGCCTGCAGAGGGGCCTTCCAAGGCTGTAAGGACCCCACTGCTCAGCAAGGGCCTTCTGGCAGGAGCCCCAGGAAATTACCACCTACGCCCAGAAATCTGCAGACGCTGACCAGGTCTGACTTGAAGCCCAGACTAGGAGAGGAGGGGTTGGGAAGGCCAGGGCTGGTCCAGGGGCAGCCACCCGATGTCAAGCAAGGACAGGGTCCTTCCACCTCCTCCTCGCCCAGCTCCACGTGCCGCTTCCTGCCTCCCACACTGCCAGCTAACTTCCCTTCTACAATACTGAGTGCCATACTATGCCAGGCCCTAAGCGAGGCACTTGGAAAATGGCATGAAAAGTCTCAGTCCCTACCCATAGGGACATCTAGTGGAAAAGACACAGGGAGAAAAAAATTTATATATATACGTATATATAAAAGCAAGTGGAACTGAGAATAGCCCCACAGGAGTCTCAAGTGTGCCCAGGGGAGGGGAGCGGGTGGCAGCCGGAGTTTGTTGGCAATGCTGGAGGAGGAACCCAGCAGGGAGTGGAAGCCTCCAGCAGCTCCATGGAGCCCTGCTCCCTGAAAGCCACCACCTGCCTGCAGCGCACACCACTCACATCTGTGGCTGGCTTGGTAACTCAATGGCACACTTGGTGCACAGCTGTATTCTAGTTTCGTTTACATATTAAAAGTAACATAGGAGGAAGAGCACGATATACATACACACACATCCCTAAGATGGAAACAGAGTGAGGACCATTTACATTTTCTTCTCTGTGTTTTTCAAATTTTCTTCCACAAATATGTATTATATTGATTTCATGGGGGGGGGGAGGATAAAGTAATACAGGCTCATCAAATAAAATTTGGAAAATATTTTTTAAAAAACAAAGAAAAAAGATCACAATCACGTTAACATTTTGGTTTATTTCTTTCTGATCTTTTTTCCTAGGCATGGGGCTTTTACAGTCATTTATTTACCGGTCATGAATTCATTAAAAACCACAGCGATATAGCAATGAGCAAAACAGACCCTCCCCCAAAATCACCCTGCGTTCATGGATCTTCCATTCTAATGGGAGGCGGGGGGGTGAACCAACAATAATTTTTTAAAAAGGCAGAAACAAGCGGATCTGGACAATAGAGGGAAATGTAACAGGACAGGGCAGGAGGGCGGATGAGCTGGAGGCGTAGTCATTCCACATAGGGTGCTCAGGGCAGCCACGCTGGAGGAGGTCTATGAGTGAGTCCCGTAAGTGCCTAAGGAATGGAGGGTCTTAGGCAGAGGCGACAGCAAGAGCGAAGGAATCTTCTGGTGTCTGAAGAATAGCAGGGAACCAGAGGTGAGTCAGACCTGTGTGCACGGAGGGTGTGGGGGGACAGGTTGTTCGGAGAGACTTGTCTGCTATTGTAAAAATGGGCTTTTGAGACTGTAAGACTCATCTAAATATAAATGTTTTAGATTTTTTTTTCAATACACAAACAGAAGGACCCTGAAAAAGAACTTCCCTCCGTTGTGCCTGAATTTCCAGCTGCCCTTTCATCCCACCTGGTAGAGTCGCAGATTCAAATGCAAGCACTGATTATTCCAACATACTCTCTGTATGGGAACTAATACCACTGTCTAACAGTCACTTAGAAGTATCCTTGTCATATCAACCGAAAAATCCTCAACAAAGGAAACCTGCTGCTTACATTAAGTTTGAACAAATCATGCAAGATATAAAGATGTGTTGTTTCTTCCAGCTTAGTACCACACCTTATAACCCTTCCTACATTTATTTCTCTGAGTGGCTAGGAAATTAGTTTATATTCACCAGAATCTCTAGCCTAGGTGTTCATCCAGCCCCTTACTTTCTTTAGCATTTCCTTGCTGTCACTGGTTTGGAATTACTGTTACTGACTTGATTCTTCTGTTTCTACTACCATAATCAGGTTTTTGGGATATTGTTAGAAGCAGACAGCGTTGCTGGGTTACAAATTCTACCTACTCCCTGAGTGATAGTCAGGGTAGACTGACAATAAGAAGATGATCGTCAGGATAGACACACACAAAAAAGAAAATCTCGTCTTAAAAGCCAAGCCTTGATTTCAAGACTTTATTTTTAAAAAGACATTAACTGTAATATATATCATAAACAACTTTGTAGTGTTAAAAAATAGAATTTCTTAAATTCTACTCCAGTAAATTTCCCATGAGATCTTATAATTACAATGGGAAACAGTTCAACAAGAGTGCAGAGTGCAGAATGTCAGGAACATAACCACTGTAAGACAAAGTACCAGCATCCTGAATAAACCTTCTACAGGTTAGCAATGTTTCTGCCAGGACTGTGGTAGGTTAAAAAGTATGTAGTCGTATTAGGGAAAACACAGCACTGGTTGTCATCAATTTCTTTATTTTGAGATAAACCTCTTTTTTTTTTAACACTTGGTAGGGAAAAAGGAATTGTTTTATCCCATTTACATGGAAGCTAAACAAAAACCAATGTGCAGATGAGTGTGTGAGGTGCCAATGGATGGAAGCTTCGCTAGGGACCACGGTGGCCTGGTGGCGGCCTCAACACCATCAGGTGGACTGTGGGGCTGGGGGTAGGGCACTGCTCACCTTGCTACAGAGGTTCCTGGGTTAATTCTTTTTGTTTGTTTAGAGTAAAGCCAAGCATTATTGCTTTAATTTTATTAAAAAGAACTCTAATAATCAATTGAGTTTGGGAACAAATGATCTCATTCAAAAAAAGAAGAAGAAAAACACTACAGTCAGATATTAAAAGCTATTTGAAGATTTCTTAAATTTCAAGCTTACCGTCAATTTAAAATAACTCTGAAGAAAAACAAAACAAAAAATGTAAAATTATATTCATTAATGAAAATAAGTTATAAAACATGCTATTATGTTTTAGTATTCATTACTAATTAAATTAACCATATCTAAATTAAGGCCAAAATGTAATTATAAAAATGGAACTATTCTTTCTTGCCACAATTTAAATACTTTTAAGATTCAAGAACATACTTGTTGCTAGACCTTCCCAAATTAGCACTAGGATATTCTGTCTTCAGTGTCTGGCGCACACTACGTGTGTTCTGGCCATTCCAGGGAATTCAATGTGAAATAATCATTCACGGCATTTCTTTATTCTATTTATAATACTGCTAATAACAAGGAAAGCTGACAGAGAAAAGATGAACATAAAACCTAATCAAACAGTATACTAGTATAAAGTATGATATTTCAAAATGATCTGAAATGTATCTTATTTCTGCCTACTAATATCAGGAAATCTTTATCAGACAACCCTCTCACAGAGCACAGAGCGCTTCACCTATGCTGCTGCCCGGAATCCGAAGAATGTGGAGAAACAGAGCCTGCCTCCACCTCTTCCCAGCTGTGGGGGACCATAATAATACAACTTCCTCCTCCCCAGGCTTCCCAGGTATGATGATGCCAGCTGACTCCTGCAGTCAAGGGCGAGGAGCCCAAGGCATGAGCCCCCTCCTCCCGCCCCACAGCACCAGGGAAAGCAAGTAACAAACACAGGTTCATAAACATGGCCAGGGATTCGTCAGCCCATCAGGGGAAGGGACCGGGGACAAGAAAGAATCAAAGGTACAGAACTGGAAACAGAGTGTCAGCAAAGAAAAGAAGACACAAAAGGGAAAATGAGAAATATGATTTTTTTTCCCCAATAAATGAGCATTTTAAAGAGAATAAGTAAAAAGAAACTTTGGTTTAGTCTGTGGTACAATAAGATAAGAAAATGAATGTTGAGGCTGGAATTATGGCTTAGCAAACACATGTAGTTCACTGTGGCTTTTGAAAATGGTATAAGATTCAAGCTCCCAGTTTTCAGTATTAGTCAATGCAGTAAAAGAAAAATACCAGCTTCTATCTGTGGGCGGTGGGGAGGAGTGGCCGGTTCGGTTTTGTTTGTTCCTTTTGGAGGGAGGCAACGGGGGGAGTACGATGGGTAGGTGGAATAACAGCCCCCTCCCAAAGCTTAGCAACAACAGCCTCCCAGATTCAACACAACACAGGGGAAGAGGTCGTTACCAGGCCGTTGGTGTGGTTACACATATCCCATAAAGGAATCAGAGCCAGGGTCACGCGGGAACCATCCTCTGTGGGAATTTGGTTTTGCCTCGTCATAACAGAAGAGACTGCCCACCTATAACAAGATAAATGGTGACTTAAGGTTGGAACATTTAAAAGCCAATTGCAGTAAGAAATAACATAACCAAAAATTTAGGTTTGATCTCTTACAAACGTACAAAGTCTTTTCCTAAGTAACAAAGGTAATGTTTGGCCTTCATCATCATTTAAAAACAAACCCAGGGTTTGAAAGAGCCAGGGGAAATGCAGGAGTGAGTGTTTAAGGCAGACTGTTCCCAAGAAGCAGAGCCAGAAGGACGGCTTTGCGCAGGGCTCAGGCCCCTTCCCGGATCTTCGTGACTCACAAAATCCACTCCCCGACACCCCCCAACCCAACCCTCTTTTGCCCAAATGCTGACTCTGCACCTATTTTAAGCCTCATTGAAAAGCAAACCATAAAACTCCTTTCTGATCAGAAATCCTCTGTGAATTGTAAGAAATGTAAAATGTGACTTTTTTATTACACTGTGCAGTGAATTAAATCTCTCCGTTCAAAAAAAGTCCCCATTTTACACTAACATAGTCTTTTTTAAATAAGAAAAGAAAAATCCATAGGACCACCCAACACTAATGTTAATCTCAAGTAGCATTTGGCTACCTCAGCTAATCCCCTGCCATGACAGGTTAATGGCAATTTCTACATGGCTATGAAAATGCTGATACTTATCCAAGCTGCTCCTGATAACTTCTGAAAGATGAGCTCTGTTTGGATGCTTTAACGGTCACAGCAGGTCACTTCTCACTGAAGCCCTTCCCTCCCTTCCAGGATCCCACTTCACTTAGAAACCACCCTCAATACACAGACACACTCACAGCCCACACCAACCTGTAGTCCTCGTAAGTGAAAGAATCCTTCAAGGGTAGTTTGTTGGCATGAGGATGGGTCTGGGAATTAGAAGTTTTAGAAAGCAGAGGTGAAAAGAGAAAAAGGGAAAACAGAAATCAGTCAGCAGAATTTCATTATTTAGCTGCCTAACAGATCCTAACAAGAGCCAAATGAAGCAGGCGGCGTCCAGCCGCGCTACAGAGGGATCATCGCGCTGTTATGCTCTCATACATCACTGTCAACTTAATTTGTTGTGCCCAGCAGCCGCCATAAATCTGCTTCTTCATATTTCGATACTAGCACCCACAGACAACGCGCAAAACACAATTTAAGGTGGACCGACTTTACAAAAGGCAGGCACGCCTACGCGATGAGCACTGGATCTAAGCAGAAACGCAGAGCCGCCCAAGCCAGGTCCATCCTGGCCCCGCTCTGCACCTCATGCCATGATGTACCGCACAGGCCTTCTGAGAGGGTTCAAATCCCATGTCAACAAAAGGAAAAATTAAAGGCACTCTAATCGGTTGAAAGCTCTTTCATTTCTCTCCGACTTAAGTCATTTCATGGGAATCAACTTGTTCGCACATGAATCATATACACGGCAAATGCGGATCAAGCACGGAAAATCAGGAGAAGTGCAGGTCTATGAGACTATAAAATAACTTCACAAACACATAGGATAACGACAAAACAGATCAGCATATTTAAATTTTACTTCTTTCCTGGACAAAAGAACATTTGGTAAAAATACTAAAACTTCACTTTTATGAGAAAATTATATAGATTTCATATTCTCTCTTCACCACGTCCTCCACTTTAGGCCTTTCAAGCACTTAAAAACTTTGTCTCAATTAAGAAATTAAAAGCTGTAATAGTACAATTTGGATCTTCAGTTTCAATTACAGTCTGATAGATTGTAGTAAGTGATCAAATGAACAAATGGTTATTTCTGAGATACAAATGAAATCCTGCTGAAGCCGGGTCTCCGCACCACTTTTAATGCAGGAAGCTCCATGTAGCCTGCAGTTTTCACTCGTGACGCATTGGCATCACAAGTGCACTGTAATTTATCATCGCTCACTGTAATGTACTCGCTGGCACCCTACGCAGGACAGTAGGGGATGAGGTAAAAGTAGCTAAAACCGTAAATCAATTAGAAAACAAAAGCTTGTGCTCAGTGCGCAATTTTAGGCAAATTATGTATTACAAAAGGCTGCCAATTAAGTGTTAGTTTTGCTAAAGTTCCTTCACTTGCAATAAAATGAAACTTCGCATTACCCGATCAACTGGGAACTTTGCACATCCTGCCTGTTTTCATACTCTAGGAAGTGGGAAAGTGTTGTTTTTGTTATTTTTACGTATTTTAATTCATTTAAACTGTAGAATTAAACTGTAGAAAGTTAGTAAGTTCCAATGCTAAATCTCTAAGTCTAAAAATTTGGAGCCCCCACTAAGAAGTCTGACTTATTAAATGGCAGAAAAGATGACAATATTCAAAACTGGAATGCTAAATCTCAAAATGCTAAATCTAAAAATAACTTCAAGAGTCTTCTAACTCTCAAATTTCTTTAAGTAGCCTTGGACCCTACACAACTATCCAAACATGGGTGATCTCCATCAAGAGATGGAAAATTAACTCTTCAAAATGTTTCTCTTCCTGCTATTCATACACATTTCTTACCCAACATATAAGTCCATGCTCACAGTCCTGATGAAATCATTTAGGGAAAAAAAAAACACTCAAGAAAAAAATGTGTCACTGCATTCTTCAGATTTTGAAGATCATTTTGGCTGCATGGTTACATAATATTTGCAGAATCTGTTAGAAATAGTTCTTATCTTCTTAAGAAATAGGGTGTACACACTGTACATAAATCTGGTTAAAAAAAAGATTCTGCCACTGACACATGCACTTAACAGTGACACTAAAGCAAAATGTGACACTAACGGAGAAAGGAAATAACTCTCTCCACAGAGCTCTCATTACTGTGACACTACTGCCACCTTCTGGCAACTTGGGAGAGTAGATTACAGTCGCAGAGTTCTTGATATTTCCCAGGGCAAGGCCTTTAAAGCAACTTACTGTAAACCAAAAACTGGGCTTATCAAAAACAGCTACTACTTCAGCTTTACCCAACTAAGATTTGGTTTCTAAAAAGAAAAATCTCTGCTGTCTCTAAAAACTATTATATAATAGTTTTATAAGAATCTTGAGACATTCAAATATCAAAAATATTCATAATTAAAAAATATTTAATTTTGAAAATAAATGGTTTTACTTATTCTGAAGAATTGAACAAGGATAAGACAAATGTCTATGCCAAACAATTTTCATTTAAGCTCAATGTATTAAAAACAAACAAAAAAAAACCTTTTTTCCCTGTTGAAGACCAAGTTAAAACACATCTTCCAAAAATTATTAATCTGAAGTTACTGGAAAGTTCCTAAAATATCCTTAGATGAAAATCTTTAAGCTCATACGTTATACAAAAGATAACTGAGCGTTCCTCACTTAATGAAGCAAAGTGGTGCTTATAAAGGTTTTGTTGATTACAATAGCCTTTTCACTAGAAGACATTCCTAGCTTGCACTTTTAAAATAAAAATATACAATTAAAACAGAAAACGTACTCTCTGCAGCCAATTGGTTTTAGCTTCCAAACCAATTGTAACTGTAGATTCCAAGACACAGACACACATGGGATGGGTGAGGAGGGTCCCTGAGAAGCTTCTGCCTGCCACTGTCAGAAAGACGACAGTGAGAGGGCCTCTCAGGCATGGGGGGCCCAGCAGCAGCGGCAATGGGGTCTCCTGAAGCGCTACCTCCCCTCAGCCCACACCTCCCAGTAAATACAGGCGGAGAAACTAGCCACGGATTTTCTCCAGATTTTTTAAGTGATTAATATTTTTACTTTCTTGAGCACAATAAATATATGAAGATGGAGAAATGAACCATTGCCGTGGCTCATAATCAGACCTGAAGCACTACAGAGCCAGGCAACCCAGGGACGCACTCTTCCCCTTCCCTCTTCCAGCAAAAGGAGGCATTCCATGTTGAGACACAGTAATATTGTACCGAGTACAAAATAATCACTACGTTTGGGAAAGATTAATATCTAAAATTGTTTGTTCGGCTTCAATAAAAAAGAGCAATATTGCTAAATATGTAAGTATGACATTTTGAAGAATTTACCATATTGCATGGGTCTGGTAGCTATGCTTAAGGAAATTAAAAACCACTACAGTCAGCATATTTGATCCTTATTAAAGTTCCGTCTTGAACTATCACTCACATAAAACAAAAATAAACCAAGAAGAAATTTAAATAAAACCTATGGATTATAAGTGTTTGAAGATGAAAAAATGAACAATATTCCGGCTTTAAAAAATTGATTTAGCATGCAGCTTCTCTTTATAGTCCCTTGATAAAAATGAAATCTCCCTAACAAACACTTAATAAAACCTGTCGATATCTCTGGAAAGAAAAATGACACAGATGCATTAAGTATTAAATACCCTTGGAAAAAGTCACATATTCCATGAATTTTTGATGTACTATCTTGACATTAATGTAAAACCTTGATATTTATAATTGACAGATATTTAATAAAGTATAAAAGAAGATGGCTGCTGTGCAGCATGCAAATGTTCCAGGGTGATCAGAAATGAGAGATACAGACATGCACTTAAACTAAACAAACAGTTAATATGTGTTACACAAATCAGCTGCAGGCTTATTTTAAGCTCATACAACAAACCTTTGTGGAGAACCAAAATAAGCAGAATTCATTATTATGTGAATCCCTAATTCAGAAACATCTAGTACGTGAAACAGCTTTGAAACATTAACAGCTCTGCACAGGAACAAAATACATTTGCGTTAAGGTTTTTTTGTTTTTCATGTTTTTCAAACATTTAACAATAAGCATTTTTAAAATAAAAGTATTTCCATAAATACATGGAGAGGTGTTTCCTAAAACAATTCTCAAAAGGCCATATTTAACCTAAAGAATCAAAATGCTCTGAAGAAAAAAATATATTAGAACACACAAATGGCCTCTAAGACACAAACATTTCCCAAAATCAGATATTTACTTTTCTAAAGAATATTCTTCTCTACCCAGACTGATTTTTACTTAAAGAAAAACAAGTTGAACATATTAATCACCTTCAATGAGGCATTTAACTATACAAAAAGGAAAGTTGCTCATAGAAATGACTCTTCTAAATACTGTATGTTAAAGAATTTACATCCTGCCATAATGCAAAATTATTAATTTCAAATATATTTATGGAAGAATTCAGTGACTCTGCCCTGTTTGATGACTATAGTATCAGAAATGACAAAATATAATTTAGAAGTTGCACCTAGCTTGTTCTGATAAAAAAACCATAATGCCATGCAATTAAATTTTTCTGACTAAAATCCAGCTGGATCTTGTTTTGCTTCACTCCTTAAGCATACATTAAAAGAGATAGTCAGGGACTATCTCTTTTAATTAGTCAGGGACTAATTAGCCAGGAACAGACACACCTAACTCACGTGATGGTTTCATTTTCCTTCCTTCTGCAAGGATGAGATCAGTCACAAACTCTCACATTTGGCCTTTTAGGGTGGATGCAATTTTGCAAGTTTCAGAAATGTGACCCTATCTCACATAACCAAGAGATCTCTGGTCTGACAAATTCCTGGGCAGGACAGCCTGTGGCATCCTCCCTAGGCCCACTGTGGATCCATGGCCTCAGCAAATACATGTGCTTTGTAAAAATTGAGAAAGCAGAGGTGCAAAAGACAGCTCCATCGGCCCATCCTATAGGCCTATAGAGACCCCCTTCCTCTTCAAAGCAATACTGCACCAATCAGAGAGAGAATGGGAGCAGAGAGAGAGTAAGAAGATGGACATCCCCAGAAGGAAACAGAGTGAGGAGAAATGGGAGAAGATAAACAAAAAGAAGAAAGCTGAATATTGGAAAGATGGAAAAGATGGCAGGCAGGAGAAAAATTTACACTAAATACCTTGAGGTTTCCCCTTTCCACCCCCAAATGCAGGCTCATAAGCAGCAGCATGCAAGACAGCGAGTTTCTAGAAGGCTGATCAACCCGTCTTCTAAGTGGATATAATACAGTTGAACAGAATGACAAATTGCAAAGTATCTCTTGAATTGAAAATTTAGTTTTGATGACCATAAATCAGAATCAAAACATGGTTCACATGTTCAGCTCTTGAGGGAAAAAAATCAATTTTTAAGACTTTTATTTTTAAGCACAGATTATATCCAACTCTTCAGGGAATTTTTCATCATAAAGTTCTTTGAATTCACTTGATATGATGAAATAAAAATTTAAATACATCAATACACACTGAATTAAGATTTTCTGCCTTTCGCTTATATATAATTTTTCTATGACAAATGTGTATCACCTTATAATTTAAAAAACTTAAATTAAGAAAATGAAATTAGTGGAGAAATAACATTGTTCAATAAATTTATAAAATTATGATGGAAGAACTTTTTCTCCCATTGGAAGACAATGAATGTATAATCTACATCCAGTTAAATTTAATTAAAATTTGTTGAAACATGGCAAAAGATACGTCTGTTTAAAAACCTTTTTATGGCCGGGCGCGGTGGCTCACGCCTGTAATCCCAGCACTTTGGGAGGCCGAAGCGGGCGGATCACGAGGTCAGGAGATCGAGACCATCCCGGCTAAAACGGTGAAACCCCGTCTCTACTAAAAATACAAAAAATTAGCCGGGCGTAGTGGCGGGCGCCTGTAGTCCCAGCTACTTGGGAGGCTGAGGCAGGAGAATGGCGTGAACCCGGGAGGCGGAGCTTGCAGTGAGCCGAGATCCCGCCACTGCACTCCAGCCTGGGCGACAGAGCGAGACTCCGTCTCAAAAAAAAAAACAAAAAAAAAAACCTTTTTATTAGCTACCATTTGTATACTCTATGATGGGCAACCAATTATGAACCAAATTTAGTGATAATCAATCAATATTTTTGATCATCAATTACTCAACAAATATTTATTGACTTAGAAAAAAAGATGAAGATAGGTTAAGACTAGAAATTCATTCATTCAACACATACTTCATTTCCTGAGCACCTCCGAAGTGGAAGGCACTGTACATCACTGATATCATTAGGGGGTACTGCCTAGCAGTGAAGACAGATAAGTGACCAAAAAACCACAAAAGGATGGTAGGCAAGGTCATGCAAATCCCTCTTCTTCCGGGCCACCTTCTCCAATCTCCAGGTCCCTGTTGATCCTCCTGCCCTGTTCCTGCCTTTCCCACGCTGGCCTCAGTCTGCCCCTCACAACTGCATGCGCTGTGGCCATTTGATTAGCATCTCTTCCCCTCCAGTCCCCACAGGCAGGCTCAGCAAGGCAGGGACCATGTCTTCTTTGACCCCCTGTGAGTCCCCAGTGCCTTGCTCAGTGCCTCATTCAAAGAATTCCTCTTCTTTTTTAAAATTTTAAAATTTATTTTTAACTACACCTGCTGGAATGGGACAAAAAAATCTTCTTTCTCCAAGTGACAAGATACACTTCTACTCTTTTTCCTGGGACAGCGGAGGAAAGCTATGACTCCAAAGGTGCTGCTGAGAGGCTGCACCAGGGACTGGCAACCCCAGGGGAATCTGATCTCCACATTCCTCTTCAGAAAGCTCCAGCCCATGTGGGCACCCCTGCCACACCAAGGCAGTGACCATAGGCTTCAAAAAACACAGCTTTCCACATCCTTCTATCCTATGTTCCCTCTTATGAACAGAATATTCTTCTACCATCTAGGGGCCAGAGAATCTTCTCATTTTTTTCCCCAAATCTCTCTTTAAACACATTTGAGAAAGCTCTATTCTAAGAATCCAAAGAGAAACAACAACACAGATCAAGCCCACCAGTCCTCTGTACCAAATGGTCACCAAATCTCGCCCCACCCCCAACTCACCCCGAACATGTAGCACACACCCTTCGAAGAGGTGAGGCTGGGAACCTGCCAGGTCATCCAAGCATGCTGCCCAACCACTTGTGCTGCCATTTCCTCACTGGAAAAAGCCAGGCGAGGGCGGGGGGGGGGGGGGGGGGGGGGGGGGGGGTGGGAGGTGCAGACAAGCTACTGCTGTCTTCTTTAAAGACAGTAAATCTTTCGTTTCTTTGCCTTTTGACACTACCTGTCTCCCCACCCCCACCCCCAACATCTCAATCTGCTGACTGACTTAAGGACTCTAAACGATGACCAAGCCTCATTCTCTGGTCTGCAAAAAGTCAACTCCACCAATCGATCAATGCTTATTCAAAAGATATATATACTTCCAACTCCTCCATCTTATTAAAGAAACTAGAAATAAACAGAACGGTAAAAAGTTATTATTTTATAAGCAGGCTAGAGTGTATCAAAAAAGCAGGCTAGAATTATGTATTATCACCAGTTTCATAATATATTGTTTTAGTTTTAATTTCAGCAATTTTGGGTTTCAATAATTCAGGATAACTACGTTGGACTCTGTTTAAATGAGTCAATCTAGTATGATCAGTCATTTACAAGAGTAGTTGTAATCAGTAGTAGTAATCAGTCATTTACAAGAGAATGTTAGGACCACCATAATGAAACCAACTTCCTTTATAAGGTAACTGACATTCAGAATATGTAGATAAACTCCTGTCCTAGAAAGGTATGACCTCAGCTTGGTATATAAGAAAGCTCTCTGTCATCTCCATGAGAAACAGTGGGAGAGGGAGACAGACACTAGCAGTCATCATTTGCTGAGCGCTCTGTGCCGGGCACTCTATCGAGAACTCTATGTGCATATAATTTAATCATCTCAATTCCTATGAAATGGCACTTATTAGCCTCATTCTACAGATGAGGAAACTGAGGGAGACAGACATTAAAAGCGTACCCAAGTTTACCCAGTTAATAAATGATGAGGCTAGGCAACAATCCAGACAAGAGTTTTCTGGAGTTTACTTCAAGGCAGAGGATATCTAGTTGTCCTACTTTTATAAATAGTCTTATAAAGTCTAATAAAATCAATATATTTTTGCTTGGTGAAATTCCAGAAAAATGCTTGGTAAATACTGTTCTCATTTAAAATTCACCATAGAGGTATTATAAAAGGCATTATGAAGTTTAAAGGCAGGCAACATTAGCAAAACTAAGACAGTGAGTCTATTATTTCCCGCACCATCAGAAAGAATACCATGTTTAGCTGTTAAGTCTTCGGTCATAAAATCTCAGCCCTGGATGGTAACTTAGATTACCTGGTCTAATTCTGTTCACCATGCACATGAAGAAGTTTGGACCAGAAAACATATGTATCAAATACATGTATGAGAGAGGTCATATTTGGCATTTTCTTCACTAGAATGATGCCACATCGATGTCCCAACAATTTCCAATATTCCATCATCTGGAATTCTATCATTTTTCTGATAACTCTTAACAGCCTCAAAGACACCCCACAGCTTTGCCAATCATTAAACCACTATATCAAGTTATTATACTAGCATTATCTTTTTGGCTACTTTCAACTCTCCTTATTGTCATGTTGTTAGGGAAATGAACTTTGGTCCCTTAAACATTCTGCTTTTAAGCCTAAAGGAAGTTGAGTAGTCTATGAGGAGCTCATGAGGAATGAGCTCTAGGGGTGCACCACAGAATCTGAGAACCCTTCTCTGTAGACTGTTGGGGTTCTAACAAAGACAAGCCAAATCCTGATGTAATAAGTCAATCCCACTGATTTAGGAGGACTGCCACAATTGACTGAGCCTGAGACAGCCACATTCTCAAAGAGCACCATCTAAATCCACACATCACATACACTGCCTTGTCACCAGCTGCCAGGAGTTTACTTAGGTAAATCTCACTGATAACAAAATCTAAGGTAAAGGTCCCCACTGTACCATACCGGGCTGCTGGTCACAAAGGAGGGAAGTGGGGATGCAGGGAAGAAAACACAGCTCAAAAACCCTTCCCCCATCAAAGGCTCAGTGTGCGGCTCTGTGGAGCCCCGCGGCCCCCAAGGCGCCTGGGGACAGAGGGTTTGTGGACACCAGCAAGTCGCAGATGCACTGGCTCTGCTCCTCCACCTCAGGAAGCTCAGTTACTTGAGGGAAGCAGTTTCCAGTTATTCATATTCCCTCCTTTTCTCTATTCCCCACGCTCAAAGAGTGTTCAAAAGGTACCAATCAAAGAGAAAATCCGCAACACTGTCCCTGGGTTGTTCTAGATACAGCCAAATTACTGTTCTCACCTACAGCAGGGAGGTGTAAAGGCCTTTCAGAGGGAAGTAACAAAACTTCTTTGTTTATAATATACAGTCACTGAGAAAGAGCTATAGCTCTCAAAATCTAAGTAACCCTTTTTTGTATCCTCTGAGAAGGGAACCCTCAAACATATTACCCTGAAATTTGACAAATAAAATGAATATTTTAACATTACTAGTAAAATGTCCCATTAAAACGGCAACGAACTGAATTATAGGATTATAATTTATTAGAATCAAAATAGAATGGTATTATAGTAAGTCAAGACACTTGAATAACCAAACATAATTTAAAATCTCCATACCTTTGGGTAGAGTACCTGAGAGGTTTGTTATTAAGCAAAACTATTTCATATTATCTTCAGTTGATTTTTTTTAATTGCCTTTCTCATTTCATTAGGAGTCCAAAATAGATACCAGAAGGCTCTTAAGCACTGTTATGCAAAAAAAAAAAAAAAAAAAAAAAAAAGAGCAGGCACTAAGATGCCATCAGTACTTGCTATTTCTCCATTAGCATTAAGATATGTTAGAAAAAAAGTCATTCACAGTACTTCCATAAGTACTGTTAAAGGTACACTCTGTCTTAAACTGAACAGGGTAAAATCTGGAAGAACAAAGAAGCAAGGCCAAATCACACAGAGTGCACCCACCTGTACCTGGTTTCTCTTATGAGAACGGCCAAGGGATATCCAAGTAGCACAAGTTAGAAAATTCAAGTCTGATTACTTCCTTTTTCATAAAAATCATACTTTGCCTTATATTTTCTTCATTAAATGCTCTACTGATCAATAGTGGTAAAATGGATTTCACTCTCTTTTTTTTTTTTCCAGAGGAAATACTATCTCACATTGTTAAGAATGATACCATTTTGTTGGAGCATTCAATTTCTGGAAACAAATTTTCAATGAAAGAATAGTTTAATCAGTGCAGATCTTTTAAGCACTACCTAGAAAACAGGTAATTATTAAATTGTCCACCTGGAATAGAATGCAGGAAATCCAATAGACTGACTTAAGCTATCTTTTACTATAAGATGTTTGACTATAGTCATAGATGAGAAAAGACTTCAGAATTGGGTTTTGAAATCCAGGTCAGCTGACTCCCAACTCGGAGCCCAGAAACTTGGAGAGCTCTTACATTCGGGGGACAGGAATGGTAGGGTCAGAAAAGCCTGGAGATTCAGAAGAGCAGGAAGAACGAAGCAGGAACGTGGGGAGGATGAGGGGACTGGGCAGGGAAAGAAGCCAGACCCCAGGCCCTCCCAGAGGGCATCACACTTCAGGGCGGGGAGAGCCAGGCTGCTGGGGCTGGAAGAACTCTCAGTGTGGAATGTTCTTGATAAATGTTGTGATTAAAGGTGGAAGACAGACAGGACATCATCTCAAAGGCATGGGGGCTGTCTGTAAACCAAGGGGATAAAGCCAGGACAGAAAGAAAGAGTGAAAACACAGGGCCAATGTCGCTGAGCTCCTGACCTGAGTTCCTGACCAGGCCCCAGGGCTTCCCTTAGCTCTAAGGGGGGTCCCTTCCTCAGAGGGAGGGGAGGAGAGGAGGACATAAGAAACCCAGGTGGAGACAAAAGGAAAGGAAGTTCTTGTCACATGGTCTCAGTTTTCTCAGCAGTGCAGGGATGAGGGGAGCCCAGGAAGAGCTGAGACACAGAGACCCTGAATCTGTACCCAGGGAAGTGAGAGAGAAGCCGGTAAGACACAACTGTGCCTTTCTCCAGGCAGGAAGGAGACTCACCGGCCAGGCTGAGAAGGCTAGACTCACCTTGCACTAACTGTTATGGCACCTGGAAACTTCACAACACTCAGCACCCGGGAGCAGAAGCTGAGAAAGGGGATGGTGGGGAGGACACGGGGCTTCGGAGGGTGCCCTATAGAACAGGAGGGATGAGGCAGTCCAGAGGGAGGGCTGATGGACTAAATCACAGCAAACCAGTTTCACTTCTCCCTACTTCTTTTAAATTAAACTGCACCAGACCAAAAGAAACAGGACTATAAATAATAATGGTTAATTTATGCACTGGCACACAAAATAACACTCTAGCAGGTTTGCTGAACTAAGGAGTCCTACCCTCTACAAGATGGTTAGCCAACTATCTTGCCAAAGTCAGAGGTTCAAGGAGGAACTCCGCCATCCACGTGCACACCTTGGTATTTAACTCTCCTAGAGTAGGAGCCACAAGGGGTTAGGCGCATGCAAGAACACGAAAGGCCTGCCAGCGGGCACTGGGAGCTGCCGTGTGGCCCAGCAGAGCCAAGTGGTTAGAGCACCTGCCTGGCATCTAGCCCTGCAAAGCCCAGCGCCAGCTCTGAACCTGGAAGACCTGGAGCAAGTGCCTAAGGTTTCTGTGCTCAGTGGAACATTCTCAGCAAACAGTAAGCAGTCAGTAGGCGTCAGCTGTTATTAGTCTTTAGTTTCTGCCATAATCGCTTTGTACACGGCAGGTGCAGAAGGGATTATCTCGCTCTAAGCAAGGCACTGGCAGATGCCTAGAAATGGACCTCCATTTAAGTGTCAGAAAATAGCAATCCAGCTACCTCTTTTGCAAGAAACATAAGACAATGTGGAGTTTAGATTTAGCCTCCAATTACTCAGGCTGTAAAGATGGTACAGAAGAGAATCTCTTCTTAAGCACTTAATGAATCTACTGCAAAAAGAAAAAAATCTGTTTTCCCATCTGTACTTCCAGACATATATAATAAAGTGACATTTTCCAACATAGGTTTTTCCAGATCATTAGCTTTGTCAGTTAAGACTCTATGCTCAGCAAAATGACCATTATTTTTCCTATTTACCTTTTAATTTCTAAAAAAAACAAGCTGTTGTATTAACCTAGAGGTAATCTTAGATTATTAATCCCTAAAAAAAACTTGGTGTGGAAAACAGTTCAAACCCTCCTCCCCCAAACATACACATTTTCACAACTTTCCAGACTGGAATAATAATCCAATTATTGGAATAATCCGCCCCCCCATCCACTTAGCCAAATCCTAAGACAAGGTTTAAGATTCCTTTGCCTTCAAATCTACATATGACCTCCAGTGACCTCTAAATGTCTAACCCATGCAGTCTACAAAATACCACGTAGCACTCTGGTTTATGCCACGTGAAATTGCTCCTGAGTTGCTTCATGGATTTCATTCATTCATTCACTCATTCAACAAATATTCACAGCACCCACTCTGAGTGAAGTGGAAAAGCAGGGAGCAAGACAGACCTGGCTTCTGCCCTCACAGATCTTCCTGTCTGCTGGATGGTGGACACTGACAAATAGTCACAAACAGGAAGGAAGCAACAACAGGGAACAGGTGCTGGGGTGTGCAGAGCACGGAAAGCAGCAGAGCAGCTGAGGCCTGAATGTGGGGAGAGGGCGGAAGGGGACCCAGCAGAGAGAGTCCTTAGCTCTCCTGCTGGACCTGGCAAACAGAAGGTGCTGATAAATATGAACTGACTCCATATTCACCATTGCCACTTCCTATTTTCCCCAGAAGTCATAATCGTAGGTTGGAAGAAAAGTAAGAGACTGCCCATCTAGTAGTGATCACTGACCAACGTGTAGATTCCCTTTAAAATTTGCCCTTTATTTTTTAAGGTGTCCTCTCCCAGGGGGGAGCATATTTAAATTCACACCAGAACGGCCTGCCAAGCTCAGAAAAGCAAGTTCCCAGGTTCAGTTCCTAGGTTCAGGATCATCCCAGCCTCCAAAGTGTCCACTTACACCTCGCTCGGCCAACGAGGGCAGAGGCCTTGCCTTTCATATTTACCTACTCCCCACCTTCTGCCTCCCCCACACTGCATGCCCCACATGCTGCAATCAGTAACTCAGGTGGGGACGCAGGGAGAAGCAGGCGGTGATGTCAGGGTTTTACTTGGCAGGCAAGAGAGCGTGGGGGGCAGCTGGGGAGCATCCGGAGCGCCTCCTGTCATGTTCCTATGACGAGGCTGCTAACTTTCCCAAGTGTGGTCATTTTGCAAATTAACCTTTTAGCTCGAAAAATAAAGCTAGGTACTTCAAATTATTCACAGAAACTTAATGGTGCACATGATGCTGACAAGGAAAACATACCTTTGTATTACGAAACAGACAACTTCTCCATTTGACTGGAAGATGCCCACTGACTTTCAGTGAAAATACGTTACCCCATCATAAGGATAACCAAAATAACCACATCTTTTAGCCTTTAACTGCTTAAAATATATGCCCATGTTTTAAAAAACAGGACATAATGAAATAAATGTAATATTTACTGTGCTACTCTTGTGAGTAAGTGTGAAAACTGTAGGATGAACTATATCTGCAAAAAAGTAGGAAAAGGAACAGGTGTTAAACTTTCAAGAAAGATTTTGCTTAATCTCAAAAGTTATCAAAGTAAAATAGCTATTATTTTATAGAAAACGATAAAGGAGGCCAAGGCATAAAGTGGTATAATTTTATCCTTGATGTACTAATGCACATTTCTGCAGCTTCAGAGCCACTTTAATCTCATCTTAAAGCTTCCCAGCAAAGCTTCGTCCGTCAACTCCCCAAACCTGCACTGTGTGTCTGCTGCGTGCAAGGCATTGTGGGGGGACAATGAGCAAGATGAGTTCCCTGCTTTTAAGGAGCCAACGACTTTGGAGCAGGGAGCCCAGACAGGCAAACTGTGACGTGTCACACCAGGATACATGACACGTGCTGGAATTCAGAAAAGAAGCTGCAGTCACTGTCGGGAAGAGGGGGATCTGGCAATGACTCACAGAGGAGGTGGCATGCGAGTTAAGTCTCTAAAGATGGGCAGGATTTTCCATGTGGGAAGGGAGACATCCCAGACAGAGAGTACCGGAAATGGCAGAGGCAGGGAAAGGAGGGCTTGTTAAGGGAAGCTGAGCAGCTGGGGTTTGCAGAATCGATTGGCACACAGAGGGATGAAAAGGTGCAATGCCAGTGCAGTCCCAACACATGAGGCCCTGCAGAGGGTGGCACAGTGCCCACGGCAGGAGCATTAGAGTATTAGCTATGTGGCCCCAAGCAGTGCTACCCATCTGGTCTGTTACTTCACATGTAAAATGAAGACAATCCCTGCTACCAGAGTTTGCTGGCACTTGAGAGGTGTCAGTAAGTTAGTATCCATCCAGGAACAAGGACTTTGTAGACACTGAGCACCCCCTGGTCTTCAGCATTTAGGAAAAGTAATCTGCCAAAGGATGAATCAAAACAAGTGGTGGAGGGGTTGGGTGCAGTGGCTCACACCTGTAATCCTAGCATTTTGGGAGGCCCAGGAGGGCAGATCACTTGAGGTGAGGAATTCGAGATCAGCCTGGGCAGCAGGGCAAAACTCCATCACTACCAAAAAATACAAACATTAGCTAGGTGTGGTGGCACACACCTGTAGTCCCACCAACTCGGAAAGCTGAGGTGGGAGGATTGTTTGAGCCAAGGAGGTGGAGTTTGCAGTAAGCCGAGATCATGCCACTGCACTCAGCCTGGGTGACAGAGTAAGTCCCCGTCTCAAGAAAAAAGAAAGAAAAACAAAACAAGTGATGGAGGAAGTGAGAAAATGTGGGGAGGGGGTAGGTGAAGTTTGAGAATCTGATAAAATCTATGGGCCTGATGTGGCAAGGAACTGAGGGTGGCCTCTAGCAACTGCCAGCAAGAAACCCAGGCACTGATGAACTGAAGCCTGCTGCCAATCACAGGAGTGGGCATGGAAGGCACCCTTCCCCAGTCACACCTTCAGATGAGACCACACCCTAACTGCAGCTTTGAGAGAGACCCTGCAGCAGACAGCCCAACTAAGCCATGCCTGCCTTTCTGACCCACACAAACTGTGAGATAATAAATGTGTGTTTTAAGCCTCTAAGCAGCAAAGAAAAAAAAATTTTAATTATGAACTTCTGGGTGTACTTCTCAAAAAAATTCACACAAACATATGACTATTAGTCAAGATGGGCTGGAATCTGCCATAATACGGTGTCTCCAGGAGTCATTTCTCACTCACTGCATGCTCCCTGGGTGCTGCCTGTGCCTCTGCTCCATGGGATCTCCACTCCATGATCCAGGAACCCAGTAAATGTTAGTGCCCTTCTGCACTGAACTGTTCTGTTCACAGGAACCAAACATATTTGCAGGAAAAAAAGAAGAGGATTTAAAAGGATGAAGAAAAAAGAAAGACACAAGGGAGGGCAAGTAAGTGACAGAACACAGACACAGGAGGCATCACACCACCAAGGGCACAGGCTGGACAAGAAAAGAAAAGTGAAGAAAAGGAGCACTGGTGAGACGCAGGGGAAACTCTGAGATGGAATGGAAAGAAGCCAAGAAATCTAAACATAAACAGAGCACCCCGATTCTCTTAAACGGGATGTAAGAGACTTTGCTTAGGGTGCGAGGCATTTGGTCTGTTTCATGATTGTCATTAATATGGTTATACCATTTCTTGTCTCTTTTGTTTCCATATATGTTCAGCATTCACTCAGTCATCTGATAACTAACATCCTATTTCAGTCCTAAATTTATGGGTTTTGGATATATCCAAGTTCTTTGAAACATGTGCTCTGTACTCCAGACAGACACTGGCTAGTTAAAACGTGAGGAAGAGGTGCCTCAACACCAGGAGTCTTGAACAGAAGCAAATCCAATATAGAAACCCATCTGAATCTTTTTAAGTCCCAAAGTTACTTATGAAAATCAAGTAATTTTAAGGCCTCCATAAGGCCTACCTTATATGCTTAAGGATTTATTTTGGTCTCCTCAATTCCACACACCTGTTTTCATTCTTTGAAACAGATGAAAACTGTGAAGTATAGAGGAAATGGTAAGATATTCTGGAGTGGGTCCAAAGACAAGCAGTCACTACCCCCAGCCATTAAACGAGAGGGGAGGGGGAGTGAGCCCAGCCTTGATGGCTCAAGATGGGCCTGATGGGCCCAGAGAGGGAAGCCCAGGAAACAGCGTTTTCAGTAAGTTTCCCAGGTGACTTATGCTCACTCGAGTTGAATCCAGGAACCAAGTTTAGCACTGGCTCCCACTGAGGAGGAGAAGAGTAAAGAAAGATCTCTGCTCTCTGAATAAAGCCCTCCCTGCCCTGGGTGCACAGATATGCACACACACATGCACAATGGGAGTGAAGTCTGGGAGAAGCTGAATTTCACACTGAGGTTTCTGGCCCATCCAGATCTGCCCACTTGAGGTTCTGGGTCACTGAAACCCTGTCAAACAGAATATGTGAAGCTTTAATTTTCTACCTGATGCTAGTTTATATTTTCTAGTGTTTTCTATTCCATGTATATATGACTTAAAATTCAAAAATAATTTCATGTTTTTAAAATAGGGAAAAAAGTCAAAGGTTTCTGACACCAGCACCAAAGACTCCAGCTATATTAATTACTTGTTCCTCAGGGTATTTAATACACCTTTTGACCTGACCTGCAAACAACGAACATTTATTCAACAGACATTTATCAAGTGCCAAACATTAGGCTAGGAACTGTAGCCAGGAAGGGAGTTTGCTCTCAGGCCTCTAGGGGCTCACGTGGCGCCACTGAGGAAATGAGGGAGAGGAAGCAGGTGATGCATCAGCGAGTGACTGAACCTGGCACTGCTGAGCCCAGGCGCCACCTTCTCCTCTCACAGCAGATCCTCCACGAGCACCATGCCCACCTGCCCACAAAGGGCTGGCAACCAGGACTAAATATTCCAGGACAAACCTCACCTGGGTCCAGCGGACTGGTCAGTATGTGCAGACATGGGGCAGGTCCTAAATTTCACTCACTCAAATCAGCTCTAATCTAACAGTAACAATAAAAGTAACAATGAACACTGAGTGCCTACTGTGTGCCAGACACAATAAAATGTCCTAAGCATCTTCTATGTATTAACAAATGTAAACCACACAGTGGCCATCACTCCTGTTTTACAGATAAAAGGCCCAGAAAAGCCCTGCCCCAGGTCATCCAACCAGAAAGTACAGGAGATTCCAATCCTCTTCACCTAACCACCTCAAGTGCTGTCTCTGCACAAATATAACACATAATAGGGATTTTGTTAAATAGGTATTTCCACCAAGTGGGTCCCTTACATTTTTGTGAAGATTTATACTTCATGAAGTGCTCTCATACTTCTCATCCAATCTTTCCAATACCAACCTAAGGCAGTGATTGGCAACCCCATTACCACATGGAGAAACTGTGGCCAAGTGACCTGCCACCCCTTTGTGATTTACAGGCAGAGCTGTGACTCAAACGCAGGAGTTCTGATTCCAACTCTAGCACTCCTTCTAGTGCACACCATTCACAAAAACGCAGAAAAGTACAAGAGGGAGCCAGCAGTGGCCTAAAATAGCAACATGCATTAGTAGGAATTTTTTTTTTTTTCTGAGACAGAGTTTTGCTCTTGTTGCCCAGGCTGGAGTGCAGTGGCGCGATCTCAGCTCACTGCAACCTCCACTTCCCGGGTTCAAGCGATTCTCCTGCCTCAGCTCCTGAGTAGGTGGGATTACAGGTGCATGCCACCACGCCCAGCCAATTTTGTATTTTTAGTAGAGACGGGGTTTCTCCATTGTTGGCCAGGCTGGTCTTGAACTCCCGACCTCAGGTGATCTGCCCACCTCAGCCTCCCAAAGTGCTGGGATTACAGTAGTAGGGATTTTAAAACAAGACCCTAGCGTCTAAACCTAGAGCAACTGATCCCCTTGCCAGGGTCATTCTCACACAGCAAAGCAACTGCCATCCCACAACACACACTGGATGACCACTCTACCACCACAAATTCTTATTACAAGTCAATTTTAACTCGGGAATACTATGAATCTGCTCAACATGGTCATGAATACACAGAGAAGTTTTCATAACACCACTTTTTCATCATGATCCATCTTGAATGACAGCTGTCATTCAAGAACACCTCTTCTGAAAGTACTGCTTCCCCTCCTCTGACCACCCTTAAATGGCACCACCTACTTTACTAAGATTCGTATATTTAAGTGGTCAGTTTTATGGGAGACCTGACAAGTAAAAATACACTGAACTACATGAAAAAAATTAAAGGACAAATTCCCTTCTACCTGGCAAATGTCCAGTTAGTTAATCACGGCACTGAGTGCAAAGAACCCGTAAGAGTCCTGATAAAAATTAACAGCATGCTTTAGAGTCCATTTATTTTCTGAATTGAATATTTTGTGCAGGAAAAAATGTCAGTATTTCAGTCTTCATTACAATTCTAATCTGAAAGTTAAAAAGCAACAATGACAAAAATGCTAAATCAAGTTCTTAATAATTGAATCAAAGCAGGAAAAAAATCTCTGGTTTCTGCAAATGCCAAGCCATTTATATTCACACTTTAAGTATTGCTTTTAAGCCACCAAAAAGCAAAACTTCAGTTCCATATGCTAATATGGTCCACATAAAGCTCCCATAATTAATGTACTGAGCTTTGTTCTAAACAAAAGTCTAAGGGCACAGATGTGGAATGACCAAGATTTCTCTTAAATTCTTCTCATCACATCTACAAGGATTAAGAAGAGATGGATGCAGACGTAACAGTGACACACAAAGCAACAATGCCTCCAGTAGCAAACACACAAGAACACTCTCACCATCTCATGCTGAGAGGCTCCCAGCTTCAACCTGCTGACACTCTGGGACAGACAGCTCTTTGCTGTGGGGATGTCCTCTGTCTTGCAGGGTGTTTACAGCACCCCAGGCCCAGGTGTGACAGCCAAAATGTCTCTATTCCCCCAAGGGATCAGTCATTCTTGGTGGAGAACCGGTGGGCTAAACAAGGAGTTCTTATAAAGGACACAAAAAGCACTATCTTTAAAAAATAAAACTGATAAATTAGACTTTGTTAAAATTAAGAACTTCATCAAATAATATCATTAAGAAAGTGACTAGGCAAACCACAAACTAGAAGATAATCACAAAATGTGTATCTTGTAAAGGACACGCATCCAGAAGAAAAAGCCAAGTTAAAGACAGGCAATGGCAGGGAGGGGAGATGGGGAGTTAATACTTAACAGTCACAGAGTTTCTGTTTGGGGGGATTAAAAATTTTCTATGGTGGTGATGGTTACACAACATTGTCAATGCAATAAATGACACTAGTATACTTAAACATGGTTAAAATGGCAAATTTCATGTTATGTGTGTTTTACAATTTTACAAATTAATAATGTAATATACATCCCCAAAATACACACTGGATTTCCAAAACTTATAAAAACAGTGTAAAATATATTAATAATTTTTATATTAATTACATGTTTAATAGATATTTCAGGTATCTTGAGTTAAAAAATATATATTTTAAAAGTTCTTTTTTTTTTGAGATGGAGTCTCACTCTGTTGTCCAGGCTGGAGTGTAGTGGTGCGATCTTGGCTCACTGCAACTGCTGCCTCCCAGGTTTAAGCGATTCTCCTGCCTCAGCCTTCCAAGTAGCTGAGACTACAGGCATGTGCCACCACACCCAGCTGATTTTTTGTATTTTCAGTAGAGACAGGGTTTTACCATGTTAGCCAGGATGGTCTCGATCTCCTGATCTCATGATCCACCTGCCTTGGCCTCTGAAAGTGCTGGGATTACACGTGTGAGCTACCACATCCGGCCTTAAAAATTCTTTAATGAGCGTAACATTTGAACAGGCACTTCCCAAAAGAGGACATCTAAGTAGCTAATAAGCAAATGAAAACATGCTCAACACCATTAGCCATCAAGGAAAGTAAATCAAAATTACCATAAATAATACTACATGTCCATCAGAATATCGCAAAAAACCAAGCGCTAATGAGGGAGTAGAGCAACTAGGATGCTTGTGGATAGCTGGTGCGAGTGTAAATTGGTGTAACCACTTCAGAGAACGGTTTATCAACATCTACTGAAGCTAAACATACGATCACTCAATACCCCAATGATTCTTCTCCCAAGAGAATACCCAGAAGAAATGAATGTATATGTCCACAAGAAGATAAACACAAGATTACTTCTAGCAGCTTCACTTGTAATAGCCAAAAACTGGAAACCACCCAAATGTCCATCGACAGAACAGATAAAAAACTGGTACATTCATACAGTGAGAAACTATACAGAAATTTTCAAAAAGAATAAACTACAGCTACACACAGCAACATGGGTGAATTCCAGAGACTGAGCCAAAGAAGCCAGAGACCAAGGAGTCCCTACTGCATGCTCCCCCAACGCAAAAACCCCAAGGAGGCAAAGCACCCAAAGGCCTTAGAATGAGAAGAGTGCTTACCCCTGACATGGGTGGGGCACTGATGGGGAAAGGACAGTGGGGAGTTTTACAGAATGAGAAGAGCGCTTACCCCTGACACGGGCGGGGCACTGACGGGGAAAAGACAGTGGGGAGTTTTCTAGGTTGCTAGAAATGTTCCATGTCTTCATCTTGGTTGTGCTACTTGAGTACAAAAACTAACCTGCCTGGGTGTGGTGGCTCATGCCTGTAATCCCAGCACTTTGGGATGCCAAGGTGGGCAGATCACCTGAGATCAGGAGTTTGAGACCAGCCTGACCAACATGGAGAAACCCCGTCTCTACTAAAAATACAAAATTAGCTGGGCGTGGTGGCGCAAGCCTGTAATCCCAGCTACTCGGGAGGCTAAGGAAGGAGAATTGCTTGAACCCGGGAGGGAGAGGTTGTGATGAGCCGAGATCACGCCACTGCACTCCAGCCTGGGCAACAAGAGCAAAACTCTGCCTCAAAAAAAAAAAAAAAAAAAAAAAAAAAAACAACCTACATTTAATATACATGTATTTCATTATGTACAAGTTAAATCTCAATTTTTAAAAAATTAAAAGTTGACAGAAAACTCCCCAAACTGGCTCATCTTTGCTATAGGAGGGTTACTAACTGGCCCCAGCCTTTTAAAAAAAATTATATTTTTATTCTATTAATACCAGCTATTTTAAAAAATTAACAAAGTAGTCAAAGGCCTATTCGTTATTACTCTGATACCATTTACCACCAGGTACATATTTTCATCCTTTTCTGTTATTTGCCATGCATATTGTCATGTTTATTCATAGACTATGAATAAACCTTATTTTAAAAGTTTATAATGCTCAATGTTTGGAAGCTGTCATTGTCTTTAAAGTATAGCTATATTTTTTTAGGTAGTAAACTCATAAATCATTTGACTCTTTCCTGCCTCTCAAGTTTTCTTGGCAATTTCTACCTAGAATTTTGGTAGTTAATCCTATGCTGACTGATAAAATCCTTTGTTGTGATCAGCTGTTATTCAAGTATTTTATTGACATTTAGCTTCTCCCCATGTGTCTTACTTCCCGATAGCTTGTCAACTAGGGATTCAACAGAACGGAGCTGAAGCAGTGCCTTTAACACCCACGAGTGCCCTGAATGTAAACAGTTACTCAATAGTTTACAGAACTGGCAAGGACTATCCTGGGCCATCAACGTCTTTCACACCTAGTCCAAGAATCCCCTCTTCAGCACCCCTAAAGGGCCATGACAGGAAGCTCTATTTGTAAAACATGCACTTGTAAAAATCCTCTGTATCTAGAAATACCTTTCCTTCCATTTCACACCTGGCTTCACACACCTGTAGGAGAAACAAGGCAGGTTCCCCACCCCCCCACCTTTTTTTTTTTTTTTGTAAGTATGGAAACTGAGGCTCAGATTGCTTGAGGGACTTGGCTATGGTCACAAAGTGAATAACTGACAAAGAAAGAAGATGACTCCAGGGCTCCAATGTCTGGTCATCGGTCTTTCCACCTGTATTAGTCCATTCTCACACTGCGATGAAGAACTGCCCAAGACGGGGTAGTTTATAAAGCTAAGAGGTTTAATTGACTCACAGTTCAGCATGGTTGGGGAGGCCTCAGGAAACTCACAATCACAGAGGAGGAGGAAGCAAGGCACCTTCTTCACAAGGCAGCAGGAAGAAGTGCCAAACAAAGGGGAAAGAGCCCTTATAAAACCATCAGACCTTGTAAGAACTCACTATCACAAGAACAACATGGGGGAAACCGCCTCCATGATTCACCTGCCTCCGCTTGATCTCTCCCTTGACACGTGGTGATCACGGGAATGATGGAGATTACAATTCAAGATGAGATGGGTGGAAACACAAAGCCTAACCAGATCACCACCGTACTTCCGCCTTCCAAGTGACTCCCGGGAAAGTTCATCAAACAGCTTGTGTCGAATAGTTTTCTAAATCAAGAACGGCCTGGTCTACATAGAGCTTTCCTTCTCAGTTTTCCATCATCCAGAAACAGGGTCTTCTGCATTCCTGACAGAAGTGTTAGGCAAGACAGGGTCAGGCACAGAGCCTGGACATGGCCACCAGCATCTCACTGCAGCCTGACACCATCCACTAGTACTCCCCAGACATGCTCAGACAGCATTCTCTATTACAGCACAGGGATAAGTGTTAGGCTGAGATTAAGCGGCCCTCCTTAAATTCAAAAGAATAAAAGTAAGTGAGTTTGGCTTGGAATGGCCTTTTCTTAATGCAAATTTGCTTCGGTCCACTGTTGTGTTCTTATGGTGCTTTTAATTCTTCTCGGCAGCCTCTCCAGGAAGGAAGTACCTACCCACACACCAGAAAAATCTAGCACTGTGCTGAAAAGTGTTGACCTTGCAAACAACACAGTCACTACTACTCGTGGCCCCACACAGGAGCTGTATTTTTTTATCCAGTAAGTGTTCCCTGGGTTCTTCAGCACCGGTTTAAGTCCTTCCATTTTAGCAAGATTCCTGAGCACCTCCCTCCACTGCTTAAAACATTTCCACAGCTTGTGTTGAAATGTAAATCAGCAGTAGGTGAGCAGAAGGTCTCAATAAATGTTTATGGAATGAATGACCAGCTCCCATGGTTACAGGATGAAGTCAGCACAGTACCGTGGATAGAGAAGATAGTTCAGTTAGATATGAGATTAAGTCCAGGGATTATCACCAACTAGGTATGAACTGAGGTCCTGAAACAGACAGGCCAGCAAATAGGCCTCAATTTCCTCACTGTCAAATGAGAACAGAAGTACCCAGACCTCGCAGGCACGCGGAGGATTCAGTGGAATTGTGTTAATGTGGATCTTGGCATTGAGTAAAGTGCTACCTCAAGAGTTCTGTTCCCTCCCTTCCAGCATGTCTACCTTGCCACCTCCCTGTGCACACCACACTCCAGGCCCACTGCATGGCCATGCTGTGCCCTCTACCCTCCACCAGGAAAACTCCTACGTCCTCTTCAGGGGTCAGTGACCAGTGCCACCTCTGTGAAGTCTTCCCTACTCCCACTCTTTCTGCTGCTTTCCCTGCCTCTGGGCTACTCCGCCAACCCCTCAATGTGATTACATTATATACTGCATTTGGTTTTCCACTAGACTGAATGCTCCTTGCAAATGGAAACTACACCAGCACCTCTCTGCAATCCCAGCACCTAACGACGTTCTTCACACGTCAGTGGTGCTTGATAACAGGTAACTACCAAAAAAGAAAAGGCACTAGATCAGTGAGACTTGTGTGTGACCGTGTGACTGTGTGATATGATGTGTGTGCGTGCCTGTACGTGTATACGTGTGTGTGTGTGTGACACACAGAAAGATTGATTCGTCTCAATAAATCTCTTTCAGTTTTGAGATACTATTTCAAAAGCCTCAATGTAACTTGGCTCAACACTTCAGTCACTCAAAGAAACTCCATTTCACATCTACATTAACTGAAATTCTTCCTTTGTCACTACGTCACCTACATTCACTTGAGGCAGTACCTGCATTTAGATACCAGCTAACTGTACATAAGCAGTCCCTCAGGTCAGCCCACATGCCCATTCATGAGAAGCCAACCTCCTTCTGGTTCCAGAAACCACAGCCACTAATTCACTTTAAAGACCACACAAGAACAAGGACTTCAAAGCCGATGGCAGCATTTCTGTTGTAAACTCTATCAAATAAAAACTGGCTTATTAATTTTAAATGACTTCAGAGCATTTAAGGAAAAAACATGAGACTGACACAAAGGTTCTGAAACTCATTAGAGCTGGTCTTGAAATCACTGATATATTTAAATTGAAATCTGCTCTTTCTGACAGCTTTTCGTTCAGACATGCTACCATGTGTGTGTCACTACGGTTAAGGTTGGGTGAGCACTTCCATTAAAACCTTCACTTTCACAAGCCTATAATTTAAGAATAAAAATTTGCTCTAGGCTTGACTTCTGCATACAAAAGGTTTCAAATATATATTCCAAAGAATAAAATAAACCTGTCTGAACTGAAAGCTCGGATGCAAAGCATAGTAGATTACCTGTGGTGTGTCTCTGGTTTAGACAAGTTAGAATAAGCTAGGAATTTAGCATTGAAGATTTCCATTCTAGACCATAAAGCTTCAAAACAGAGAAAGGTTAGTAATGTCATGTTATAAGCAAGGTAAACTTAAAACCAATTTATTCCAGAATCCTCAAGATCATCCTTATCTCCCGAACTCTTCACATCCAGTTTGTCACCAGATCCTGTCAATTCTACCTGCAGGTACTTCTCGGATTCACCAGGCTAAGTAGTCTTATGGCCTCCAAACCGTCCACCTCCCTGCCGCTGGGGTTGTCATTAAGCAAGCAACCAAACCAGTGCCAGTCTGACCATGTGCCCCTACAGGATAAGATCCCAACTACCTGGCAAGGCTTGCTGGAGGCTCTTCAGGACCTAGTCCTCTCCCTCTCACCGTGAACAGGCCTTTCTGTTTCATCTTCTTGCCTTTTACATCCAATACAGGGACTTTGCTTTCCAACATCATAGGAAGGTGCTCACATCCAGCTTCAGGTTAATTACATCAGAAGAATGATTGTACTTAAAAAACATATTTATATTCATGATAGCTCAGCTACATTCACAAGTCTGTCACAGAGGGTAGATTGTAAATATGGAAACTGAGGCTCAGAGCATCCGAGTGGCTTCAGCACGTATCACACAAAGAGAACTGCTAAAGCAGCAGCCACTTGATCCCAACTTTGGCGGGAGCCACAGGCACTACAGGCAACCCTGGGAGATTCAGGCGACAGACTCATAGGAGCAGCTCCTGCTGGAAATCCACAACAGGCTTCTCAGCTCCAGGGCTGTGCCCTCTGAGAGGCAAAGGCTGCTCTTCTCAAGTTCTTCCATACATGCCCTTCTCACCCCCAACTCCAGACTGCTGCTGACCTATTTCCTCCAACCAGACAACTTTGCCTTTCAAGCCCCACTCAGGTATCACCTGACTGCCCCAAGCTTCACAGAGATCAGACAACAGAGCACTGCCTCAGTTTACCACTTTTGCTCGTCAACATTTCCTGTTTGTTTTCCTTCAATTTCCAATGATAAACTTCTAGAAGGCAAGGACCTCATGTTGATTTTATATCTCCTTATAGTACCTATGACCGAACCACAGGAGAAGCATTCAGCAAAACTCATTACATATATATTCTGAAATACATATATTTATATATAAATATAGAAAACATATCTATGTATTAAATATATAAACATATTTATATTTTTATATATACATATATAAATATGTAAGTATATATAATACATATTTATATATTTATATGTATTTATATTTTTATACATATAAATATATGTATTTATATTTTTATACATATAAATGTATGTATTTATATTTTTATACACATAAATGTATGTATTTATATGTATAAATATTCTTTTTTGAGACAGGATCTGGCTTTGTCACCCAGGCTAGAGTATGGTGGCACAATCTTGGCTCACTGCAACCATCACTTCCTGGGCTCAAACCATCCTCTCACTTCAGTCTGCTAAGTAGCTCTACAGGCACACATCACCATGCTCAGGTAATCTTTCTGTATTTTTTTTTTTAGAGACAGGGTTTCGCCATGTTGGGGTTTCACCATGTTACCCAGGCTGGTCTTGAACTCCTGGGCTAAAGTGATCTCCCCACCCTGGCCTCCCAAAGTGCTGGGATTATAGGCATGAACCACCAAGCCCAGCAGAAAATATTTTCAATAAGTAGTAATTTGACTTATTTTTAAAAGAATATGAATGTTACTATGTTCTTCCCGATGAGACTGAATGTAAATAAAAATAAACACAGTATCCATGCTATGTTCTCTATTACTAATTTTTAGAACTCACTTTTTCCTTTAAGCTGAAAGGATAAAGTTGATTTGCAAAATGACAAAAGTACGCAAACCATTAACACGTGACCAAGCTCAGGGACTAAACAACACAGGTGGGCCTAAAAGTAGCAGCTCTCCAAAAATATAATTCAGGCTCGAACTGTCGATAATCGCATTTCACTACACGTGCGAAGTGGAAATACCCAGTAATTTCCAGTAGAGCCAGTAGGGGACAGGGTCAGGAGCAATACACACAGCCTCCGGTGTCTACATCATGCGCAGGGGAGGGCGATTCACTGGAACAGCTCAGAGAGCGAATCTAAGTCTCACTGCGGTCAGTGAGCCCTGGCTGGAGGACTCAGGAGTGGAACGTGGCAATGGGAGCTTGTGCGTTTAAAGCAGAGCCAGTAAGAAGGTGCAGAAAGAGGGCATAGGGTGCACCTGAAGAGAGCTCTCGGCATCTGTGGGGAGGTAAGAGGCCTTGTAGGGAACACTGGGTGAAAAAAAAAAAAGAACAAAAGGGGCTTGACAGTGTTGTGGGAGTATATTTCACATCACCCCATTTTTTGGAAAATACAGAAAGCACTTAAAAAAAAAAAGCAACAGAAAAATACAATAGCCCAAGAGAACACAAGCCAGTTATCTGAAGAGATGCTCGATTAAATCTAATAAAAGCTAAGGATCTGATAAATTCCTCCCTGTGAATTTCACTTCTCAGAAGACAAAGAAAGGACAGGAACGCTGATGCTCAGGGCCAATGAGGCCTGTGAGCAGAGTGACAGTACGCTGTCACACCCTCGACAATCCTCACCTAAGCTGCTGTAGACTCCTCTCAGGTTTAGCATTCATCCCAGTAGGGGTAAACCTGTCATAGAGGGACAAAAGTGTCTAACAGGGACCTTTGTACAAACTGGGAAAAGTTGTCTGTCTGTGAGGGACCCAGCCCAGTGGGGACCCAGTGTGGGGTGTGGCGGATGGGCTGGACCTCACTCCTTTTATATCTCCTTATACCACTTACGACTGAACCACAGGACCTAATCAGGTGCTTCTGTGTGCACAGAGGGCTCACAGCCCTCAGAGAGCCTGGCCACACGTGACTTACACGTAGAGAACAAGGCAATCAGTTCCCCATTCAACCAGCGCTGCTTGAGCCCTCCTGTGTGACAGGCACTAGGCCAGGCGGCAGTGCCACAGTGGTGCCCAAGGACAGAAAGGCCCCACTCTTAAAGCTCAAACTCCAGGGAAGGGGACAGATGACAAACACAAAAGCAATCACAGGCAGCGACACATCTGCAAGAGGACAAAACCGCACGCTAGCACAGATGTCAGGGGGTCTTCACGGTCAGAAGAGACTCTATGCCAAGGCTAGAAGAACCCAGGGAAGCCTGCAGCAGGCAGGAAGGGGGTCCACAGCAAAGTCCTGAGGAGAAGAGGCTGGCAAGTCCTGGGCCCTGATCACCACCAGAGGGAGTGGACTGCAGTGAGGGAGGAAGCAGCCCCTGATGAGGCCACAGCAGGGGCAGGGCCATCTGGGCAGCCCAGCCCTCTGAGTTTGTTCTAAGCGTAAGGAAAAGTCAGTGGGGAGACATGGACTACTATTTATATTCCAAAAAGAGCCCCTTGGTGGAGCTACATTGAGGAGGTCAAGAGCACAGGGACCCTTTGGAAGAAAGAAGAGTGGCCAGGACTGGGTGATGGAGTCGTGGCTAAGGAAAATGTATCTAAAGTGAGAGAAATCATGGTAAGAAAGCCCCCAGGCATTTTAAACAGTCCCAATCTCTCCAGACCAAAACTCATGACCTCTGGTGCGCAGACGCCCACGGCATGAATTCTGACTATGAAGCGGCTGTGGAGGACACAGCACACTGACTGAGCACACCGGCTCCGCATCAGATCTCAATCAGCCCCAACCTAGCCACTTCCTGGCTGTGAAACTTCAGGGAGTCTCAGTTCCTCAGTAAAATAAAAGTAATCATACCTTCTCATTGGGTTATTAAAAGAATGAAATGAAATACACAGTTTCTGGCTGAGTTTTATCAAATGTTAGTTGTTTGCTGTTTTGGCTACTGAGTGCTTTATTCATTCAACAGACAATTACAGAGCACCATCTCTGTGTTGGGCACATTCTAGATGAGAATGAAGGAAAGTCCTTGTCCTCAGTGGGCTTACATTCAAGTTGGGAAGATAGACAAATGAAGGAATATACAGGTGACTCTTGAACCACACGGGTATGAACTGAGTGGGTCCACTTATACATAGATTTTCTTCCAGATCTGCCACTCCTGAGACAGCAAGACCCACCCCTTCTCCTCTTACTCAATGTCACAATGACGAAGATGAAGACCCTGATGATAACCCACTCCCACTAATGAATAGGAAATGTATTTTCTCTTCCTTATGATTTTCTTAATAATGTTTTCTTTTCTCCAGCTTACTTTATTGTAATACAGTATGTAATACATTTAGCAGACAACATATGTGTTAATCAACTGTTTGCGTTACTGGTAAGGCCTCTGGTCAACAGTAGTTAAGTTTTGGGGAGTTAGAAGTTATATGGATTTCGACTGCATGGGGTGGGGTCAGCATCACTGCCCCCTGTGCTGTTCAAGAGTCAAATGTACGTGCTGACAGGTACTGACTGCCAGGTAAGAGGGGAGCGAATACCCAGGTGCATCTCTAAGACACTGGAACAGTGGCCCAAAGAACGACCACCAACCACACACTCTGACGCGGACGGGACGCTGATGTTGTGGCACAGACCCCATTTGCCTTGGCCAAGCCACCCCTTTGAGCCTCATTTTCTTATCTTCTGATAGGGAGAGTTACATACCTGTATTACAAGGTTATTGTGAGGGCGAGCTGTGAAGCTGGACGTGAACACATTTTATAAGGATCTAAACAAATGTGGGTTTTTACATCATGATCATTTTCTCCAAATGCCACTTTTCCCATTTAAAAACAAAAATAAAACAACCTCCTCAAATTTCTCCATAAAGCAATCTTCCTTCTCTGAACTCCCATTTTTTTTTTTTTTTTTTTTTTTGAGATGGAGTGTCACTCTGTTGCCCAGCTGGAGTGCAGTGGCACTCAGTTCAAACCTCCGCCTCCTGGGTTCAAGCGATTCTCCTGCCTCAGCCTCTTGAGTAGCTGGGATCACAGGCGCACGCTACCAGGCCTGGGTGATTTTTGCATTTTTAGTAGAGACGGGGTTTCACCATGTTGGCCAGGCTGGTCTCAAACTCCTGACCTCAAGTGATCCGCCCACCTTGGCCTCCCAAAGTGCTGGGATTACAGGCGTGAGCCACTGTGCCTGGTCCCATGATTTTGTTTTTAATCTGTGTCCTGACATCACTTTTTACTGAATTATATATGATTAGAATGTAAGCTTTGGAAGACAGGATTTATTCCGATTAACTGTGTAAACCTGTAATTCCAAGCAGGTGCCTGACAGAGGTTATGAATGCTTCACTGGTGAGTAAAAAGAATTCTCATGCTGCAGATTATGAGATTGACTCTCTTGCTCTAAAAACCAGAAACAAAACTGTAAGATGAAGGTTACAGGGAGGCCTATTTTGCCTCAATATAAGGAATGGCTTTCTAACTATATAGTCTTCTCGCTCTGGAAAGGGCTGCCTTGCAAAATCAGATCTTGAGCAGGGTCATGACTCTTGGAAGGAGGCTAGGACTACACTGCTGAGTACACAGCTCCTGCATCAGTGCAGGACTCAGTCCCTGAGTGCTGGGCCTGTCACAGACATCACCTTCTTTACTCCCACGCAGCCAGGTTGACAATCACAGACCCTTTCTACAGGGAACCTAAGACACCAATTTAACCTGGCCAGGCTGAGCTAGTGGGTCACAAGCTTGAAATCTGAGGTACTGTTCTTCTGGGGTCCACTGCATCCCACAAAAACATCAGTGGAAAAGGCAAAGCTGGCAGGCTGGGTGCAGAACAGACAGGGCAGTCAGGGGATCTGCCATTCACAAGGCTATTTCAGAACTATTAGATTACAAGGGCACTTTTATTGGATAATCTGCCCAGCACAAACTTACAGCTAAAATGAATTTCCATGCTCGCTTAGGCAGCACATATACTAAAACTGGAATAATACTGGGAAGATGAGCATGGCACCTGCGCAAGGATGACACACAAACTAGTGAAGACTTCCATATTTTTGTCCTATGGCACTGTAGGATGGCCATAGTTAACATTAACACATTTCATAGTTTCAGATAGCGAGGATACTGAACATTCCCAACACAAAGAAATGAAAAACTGAGATGATGGATATGCTAATTATCCATCTGCTCTGATCTTATACATTACATGTATCAAAACATCACCAATGGGCCAGGTTCACACCTGTAATCCCTGCACATTGGGAGGCCGAGGCGGGTGGATCGCTTGAGCTCATGAATTTGAGATCAGCCTGAGCAACATGGCAAAAACTCATCTCTACAAAAAAATATAAAAATTAGCTGGGCATGGTGGTGCACGCTGACGTGGGAAGATGGCTTGAGCCTGGCAGGTGGAGGCTGCAGTGAGCCGTGATTGAGCCACTGCACACCAGCCTGGGTAACAGTACTAGACTTTGTCTCAAAAAAAAAAAAACAACTTGATATATGTCATGAATATGTACAATTATAATATGTCAATTAAAGAAAATGTTTTTAACCATCTTGAAAAAACGTAAAAATAAGAGAAGTAAAGTTTTTTTAAAAAGGCCATGATGGTAAAAGATATGGTCCACCTGGAGTGGACTGCAAGCTCGTAAGGACTCAAATGAAGCAAAAAATATTCAAAAACAGTGTTCAGGCCATATCAATTCCAGGTAGAGGTAATATGCGATGCAAATGCAGAAAGTTATCTAATCCTCCTTGGCAAATATCCCAAATGAATACTGGCAGCCAAGCCTCACCAATACTCAGGCTCTCAAATTCGAAGAAATCAGGAAGACGACCTGAACTTGGTCTCATCAATGGTACCTTATAAACTAACGGCAACAGAATATACTACGCCCTCACTCTCTGTCTACAAAGATCCATCAGCACCAGCATTTCCGTTAAGGCAATCATTTCACCAACTCACTATACATTCACTCAAGTTCAACTAAAGTTAAGCCATCTACTATCCACTTGATATTAAAATGCAGCAGGGGTGAAAAGTCACAACTGTGCTTCCACACTGGGCTGCTGAGAGGTCCCAGACTCAGATTCAAAGTCACATGTTAATAATAGCTGATGTCCTGGAGGGTCCTCTAACCCCTTCCTCCTTTTTGTGCTTTTATCACCTCCGTTTTCTTCCTTGAGAGTAGATTATAGCTACAAAGGGCGGCCACAGGATAGCTGCAGTCTAAACCATTAAGAGCAGAAGAAATTACAAGAATTGCACAGTTCTTCAGGGACACCAGAGTATGGGTATACCAATATATCAACGAATGTGAGTGATTACAAATGTGTGTAATGTGGGAGTGTTCTCATAAGGATACTTATTCAGGGTCACCTCAAAAACATTAACAGGTTCCCTCTTCTATCATACACATTAAAAACAAAACAAAAACAAGGTCTAAAAATCCTGTCCCAGAGGATAGAGAATCTACTCAGGGAAGATCTTAGGTTTGGTTTTGTTTTAAAGCAGGTTTCAAAAAGGAATTTTTTGAAGTTTCTTTTGTTTTTAAACTTCTAGGGATTTTCACAAAGCTCTTATTGATCAGACTCATAGGGAGGGCCCAGGACAAGTAAAGCTGGGACTGGAGTTGGGGAGAGAAGGAATCACAGAACGGGACAGGCCTGTGGAGACAGAGGAGATGGAGGAAAAACTGTGTCTAGGGTCAGACAGGTCTCAGCTTCCGCCTTGACTGGGCTTACTCAGTGGCTCTGGCGAGCTTTCCTGTTCCTACACCTGCTTCCTCACTTATAAAATGGGGACGGTGCCCAGCTCTGGAGGAACAGCGAGGGTTAGGGAGCCTCTGTCAGGGCCCTCAGCCCACCACTGGCATTTGGAGGCGCCAAGGAACACTGTCTTAGGAGAAAGCCCTGTATTTCTGGCCTCTATTCTGACTTCTCAGTACACAAATTAAACGATCAATGACAGCCTAGACCTGGTATTGGAGCTTTCTTCTAATTTGTTTAATTCTGTCTCAGATTATTCTAGGAAGGTATAGTTTCAGACACCTCCTTATATAATAGAAAGTAAGAAAAGTCTTACCGTGCTCAGCCCACAGCGGGCATTGCCTAACCTTCCTTGGTTAGGATGCCAGCCCCAAGTTATATCACTTGGGACTCCATGGTAACTGTTTGCCCTTTAAGTCTGTATTCCATGCCCCTATGGGTGCCTCTACTCCCATGCAAACACCTGCGTCACAGGTAAGGTGGGAGGCTAGGGAAAACGTGCATCACTTTGCTGGACATCAGCTCCCAAACTGATTGACAAAAGCAACACTTTTCCTAAAAGGGCCAAGGACCGCAGTCAGGTAAAGAGATGAGGAAGAGGAGGAAGGCCATGGTTTAATAGGAGGACTTCCAGTGAGAAGGGTCAGCGAGGAAGACAGAGCAGAAGCGTTGCCAGTCCCGAGGGCAGGATGCAGATGCTGGGGTCTGACCTGGGAACTCAAACCCGCCTCAGGGGGACACACCAGTGTACACTAGGGGCACCCTCCCCCAGGCTCCAAGGCAGGGACACACACCACCGAGAAGACCCCAGACAGAGCCCCAAGGACAAAGAAAAAGTATTTCATTTCTTTTTTTTTTTTTTTGAGACAGAGTCTCACTCTGTCACCCAGGCTAGAGCGCAGTGGTACAATCCTGGCTCACTGCAACTCTGCCTCCCGGGTTCAAGCGATTCTCATGCCTCAGCCTCCCAAGTATCTGGGACTACAGGCGCACGCCACCACGCCCAGCTAATTTGTGTATTTTTTAGTAGAGACGGGGTTTCACCATGCTGGCCAGGCTGGTCTTAAACTCCCGACCTCAGGTGATCTGCCCACCTCAGCCACCCAAAGCGCTGGGATTAAAGGCGTGAGCCACTGTGCCCAGCCCATTTCATTTCTTCAGTCCCCCAAAAGCCACTGGAACTAAAGCTGGACAAAATAGAAAAAATGAAGAACACTAAATTCACAGAAGGTGAAGTCTCCATGTGATCTATAACATTTACAAAACAAGAACATAGTTAAAAGCACAGATCTTTTAAATGACATAGCTACAGTTTTCATTTATGGAAATGATGAAAATGAGATATGTGTTTAGAATGAGTAATTTACAAAATTGGAAACCTTAAATAGCACACAACGAAGGCAGTGCTTACACACTGAACACAAATTAATCTCAATGTCAGCTATCACGAACAGGCAAGGTCACAGGTCAGGGCATTTCACCAAGACAGCCAGTGGCTCTACCAAACTTTATAAAGGCACCGGCAACTCTCCAGAGAACAGGCAAGCCTGGACTGATGTCCTAAGTCCTAGTTTTTTCAGTCTTTGTTTCATTAAATAAGTTGAACCGGTAAGGATAACAATAAAAGAAAAAAATAGAGCACAACCAGCTTCCTCATAGCTTGGGGGAAAAAAAGCAAATAGGCTTATTACTTCCTCTAAGAACGAGTATCTTTCAATCCCAACACAGAGTAAAACGAAGAGGTGGAGTGATCTTTAGGGAGCTGGAAGAGACTGCCAGCAAGCTCACAGGCTGGACTGACAGGCCCGCAGTCCTCAGTCAGCAGGGCCACACCCAGCTTTCTGTGAAATACCAGTGCGAGAGAGGAGATTTTAAACAAGATTGCTCTGCCCTTAAAACTAGACTATTTCTTTGTCCCAAAATTAAGACCAGACACAACCTTAAAGACTAAGACAGTGGTTTGGTGAGCCCCTGTGGCTAGGAGCACAGGCTTTGGGTCTAACAGACCTGCTTGGAGTCCAGTTCCAAGTGCAGGTACCATAAGCCTCTGGCAGGCTGCTCAACTTCTCCCATTCCCCATTTGAAAAATGAGGACTGAAACTCCCTCACAGGGTAAGGATCAAAGCCTGAGAAGAGAGCCGACACTGCACCAGGGAGAGTCACTCTTACTGAATCCACTGTCACAGTGGCAGTGGCAGTGGCAGAAGCGTCATCTGCAGCTCTCAGCACAGCTTCAGCCCCCTTCTCACGCAGTGTCTTCCATCTGCAGCCACGGGTTTCCTACGACGTGGAAAAGAGCCGCTCCGACAGAACAGTTCCAGGGGCACACTGTGAAGAATGCTGCTTACCTCACTGGAAAAGTCCTCCAGCCAACCTAGATGAACAACCTGAAAACAGACATCATTCTTTCCCTTCTATGCCCCATAATATCTACCCAGTTCCCATGACCATAGAATGCAAGGATTAAATCTAGATTCACGGCTCATCAACCTCAACACCTCCGGCCTATGAAACTGACCGCCTTGTACCCTCACCATCATCTTTGACTCTATTCTGTCCCTCCTCAATTTGTAGCTCATACCCCTCAGTCAGCAGATGCAATGTTACCATGAAGTTGGCTGAGAACAAAAAATGTCACATATGGAACACGTTTGCTTCTAGGGAAACATTTAAGTGAAACTGAGGTCAGGAAAATGGCACACAGGAAGCAGTGGCCACAGTCACTCTTGGAACTCTGAGGCCAAGTGAACTTTATAAATGATCTGCTGTGTTATGCATCAATTTCAGCAATTTTTTATTAAGCACTCCATGCAAAAACTGCACAAGACACATACTCTCAAATTATCAGTGACGAGGAAATCAGGTATCTTTACATGAAGAGCCATCTAAAACCATTTTTGTATCAAATATATAGTAATGGATTACATAGTCTATCAAATAAAATAAATATCCATGAGTCCATACCGATATGAACAGCTGAATAAGTAAATAAATGTGGAAGAAGGGACAGCTCTTCCTTTTAGTAAAATCCCAATGAATGCATGTAGAAGAAATAACGGAGACAGAAAATCACCACTTGGCAAACACTACAGTAGTAACTATTACAGACAAAAATCATGATAGATACAAAAACCAGTATCTATCAGGTTTTTGCATCTGGTGAGAAACAGGATATTTGATGGTGAGAAACAGGACATTTGCATAGTCTCAAAGTATCTTTCTATAAGGTATTCATTAATTATAAGAGAAAAACAGTAACTTCTGATGGAAAAACCAAAAAGACATATTGATTCATGTATTCCCTGAGAAGGACACACTTTACTTCCATGGTATTCTTGCATAAAATGCGTAATTTCAGTCTACACATGATAAAATATCCAACAAATGCATACTGAGGGACCTCTACAAAGTAACCGGTCAGGCCAGCAGTGCTCTTCAAAAGTGCCGGGGTCATGAAAGACAAGGAGAGACCAAGGAACTATCCCAGGCTGGAAGTGATTTGAGAAGATTCGACAACTAAATGCAATACGGGATTCTGGAAGGGAAAAAAGGGCATTAATGCCAGGACAACACTGGTGAAATTCAAACAAGGTCTGCAGATCAGTTAATAGTATCGTACCACGGTTGACTTCCTGGTTTAGATCATTAAACTGAAGGCTGTATAAGATGTTAACTTTAAGTGAAGCTAGGTGAAGTGTATATAGGAGTTCTGTGCACAAATTTTGCAACTGTTTTGTAAGTCTAGAATTATTTCAAAATAAAAAGTTAAAAAACAAACAAACAAATTTCACATCCCCAGAAATACTAGTCCCTATCCCTGGTGTGATACCTCACACTTAAGATAAACCAACAGAATAGAAGAAGCTGAATAGGGAGAGGAGCCCCATGCCAACTCAGAGTGACAATCTGCAATACAATCTATGCATAAACTGGGACACTCCTGTATACAACCTCTGCCACAGAGGAGTCCAAGTTATATAAAGCATATGTGTATTTTCCCTTACAGTGCTAAAGGACACGTAGCTATATACAGCGTATGCTACTGAGCGTCTAAACCCTTTCCGTGAATTTCAGGGCCTTGGGATCTTTAAGCTGATGCCCAGAGGTTTTCACTCTAATTTGGTACACATTCCTGAAGGCCTCATGTATTATCAGAGTTCTAAATGTAGATGAGAGCTTTATGAAAACATAGGCTAAATACATCTCTGGAAATTCACATCTTGTGCTATTCTTGTGTAGCTCTGTCAGAGACAAGTAGAACAGCAGAAAATGTTTGTATTTAGCCACAACTGCCACAGGATGCCAAGAACCAAAAGTGACATCTTCCTCTGCCTCTTGGCGGGCCCTGTTTTCAGAGACAGGCTGCAGCAACAGTAAGTTGTGAACATGGCTGCTTGTCTCTTCTGCCACTCAGCTCTGGCTAGGTAGGAGTTGCCTGTTCGAGGAAGATGGCCAACTTGAAATTGCCTTACTCCATCCTGAAGCATAAGGCAGGAAAAGGGGGAGGCTGCTGCAATGATGCTTGCCTCGAAACAAAATTCATGGCAGTTGATACACATATGAGTTTCTCCATCTCCATACCTTCCCCTGCACCTTTCAAATGGTTGGATCAACACAAAAGAAGAAATCCAAGTAAGGTGTGACAAATCACTTAAGTGATGAGATCAACTGAAAAATAGTAGTAATAAATTTAATAGATATGTCTCTATTCCGTTAAACCCTGTATGCCTGCATTTACTTAAAAAGCATTACATTCAATCTCAACAACATAGAAAAATGTACATGTCTCTAAGATAAGCTAATCTTCAGACAAGCTGGTGCCCCACGTCACAGCACTGGGCCCATTACATGGCACTGATTATCAATTAAACAGTTCATTCACAGGGTCTATTAATTTATTTTTCATTGGCATAGATGAAAAACATCTGAGCTAATCATTCAACTATGTTAAGGTAAGTAAAATCTGATAGGATATACGTTGCTTTCACACAATTATAGTACTTCAAAGTAGGGTTTAAGCCAAACCCTACTTTTCCACTTATTTCTATCACAAAACTGGTCATCCATTTCCAAGCAAAAGTCTCAACTTACAGCTGAACTTTGGTATGTTCTGATCTGCTAGTATTTTTCTAGGGTTAAAGTTGCAACAGTTTTAAATGCCAAGTTCGGCCTTCCACCATGAGCCCTCTCTTCTTCCCTGGCCTCTGTTTCACAAACTGACATAAATTTTAGCTCCATTTCATACAAGCCTCTTCTAGCCTTTGGCTCAGCCACAATTTCTAAACTTAGCTTCTGGAGTTTGGGTGGTAGACTTTCCTCAACCATCAAGCTGCAGTATGATGTTTCAGCAGCAGGTGTTGTATCTTTTTTCTTTTTTTCTTTTTTTGAGACAGGGTATCGCTCTGTCGCTGGATTAGGGTTAGGGGTGGAGTACAGTGGTGTGATCACGGCTCACTGCAGCCTCAACTTCCTGTGTTTAAGCGATTCTCCTGCCTCAGCCTCCCAAGTAGCTGGAACTACAGGCGTGTGCCACCATGCCTAGCTATTTTTTGTATTTTTAGTAGAGACAGGATTTTGCCATGTTGCCCAGACTGGTCTCTAACTCCTGAACTCAAGCCACCCTCCCACTTCAGACTCCCAAAGTGCTGGGATTACAGGCATGAGCCACCGCACCTGGCCCAGGTGCTGTATCTTAATACAACGAATGCTCTCAAAATTCCTGCAGCGTGAGGCTTCTGGTTACACACTATTATCTGTTGAACACCTGAAGGATATATACAGTGAGTGTCAAACATCTCATGAAGAAGATGTCAAGAAGAAGATATTTGACATACACTGTATGTAGCATTCAGGTGTTCATACAGGTGTTTTACATTTTACAATGTAAAAACTGGAAGGACTCCTCAAAACTCGTAAAGCCCAAGCCCCTACCATACACACGAGTTAGAGCAGGGGCCCAGAAAGACTTTGTTTTTTGTTTGTTTGTTTGTTTTTCCCAAAACGGAGTCTTGCTCTGTCGCCCAGGCTAGAGTGCAGTGGCACGATCTCGGCTCACTGCAACCTCTGCCTCCCGGGTTCAAGCAATTCTCCTGCCTCACCCTCCCAAGTAGCTGGGATTACAGTCACGCTCCACCACACCTGGCTAATTTTTGTATTCTCAGTAGAGACGAGGTTTCACCATGTTGGCCAGGCTGGTCTCAAACTCTTGACCTCGTGATCTGCCTGCCTCGGCCTCCCGGAGTGTTGGGATTACAGGCGTGAGCCACTGCACCCAGCCCAAGACTTTTGTTTTAAACAAACTATAAAAGCAAGTTAAAGACAGAAGGTGATCTGAACTAAGTGCCCACACTAAAAGGTCCTGGATCAAGGAAATCTGCTGGGAGGACAGAGCACAGGAAATTATTTTTCTAGTTTTTAGGCAACCACCACCAAAGAGAGAAAAACAATAAATAAAAAATGCAATACAGAGAAATCGACACAAAGAGATGTATAAATACCAGAAGTCAGTACTGATGCTTTTAGAATTAAAAACCCTAAAAGCCTGAAGCAAGCTGTAAGGTTGAATGGACTATTATCACTTCTCCATGCTCCTCTCCCAAAAACCAGGATCACCACCGGGGATGCACAGAACTGAATTGTGCTTGCTGTCACTCCCAAAGTACCCAGAGACAGGGGCTGCAAGCCATGGCCTGTAGACCTCCGAGCCAGCAGGCAGATCGCGGGGGGAGAAAACAAAATAGGTTTCAGTTCACATGCAGAGTTTGGTACAGGCCCCCAAGAAAACTATTTTAAATGGGAAATCACAGATAAAAATTGCGAATGAGGTTCTTGAATTTGGAGCACCCTGCCAAATGATCTGCAAGTTCATTTCTCTAGGGAGAGGGTCCCCATGACCCTGGAAAAGGTTAACAGCCTCAATGCCGAAAACAAAAAAAACTGAGAGCAGGTCACAGTAATGGAATATGAACTGGGAACTGATGTAATAATCCTCTCTCTCTCCCTGAGTGACAATGCACTGATGAGGTGACCTACTAAAAGGAGCAAAGGCCTAACGTCTGATCCTGGAAAAGCATGGGAAAGATACATGGTTTGGTACTGAGATGAGAAAATACGACACTTTTATAAAACAACAGCAATGCAATGTTTACATTTGTGTTCACTCCAATTTATTACTTAAGACTTTTAGAACCGATGAGAACATTCTAAAACTAGAAAAACAGCTAGACTCAAAAGACAATTTTTTAAAAAGATAATTTTTGCTTAAGTGTGTTTTGCTTTGTCATGAACCCTCATTCAAAAGCTCTTAGCCCACAGCCTATTCCTTCCTGCCACCGCAGTGCACCTCATTCTAGGGTGCCTACAGCTCCTATTCCAATAGGAACTTACTTTAAATCATTAGAAATTTTCTAATGATTGGCCAGGCGCGGTGGCTTATGCCTGTAATCCCAGCACTTTGGGAGGCCGAGGTGGGTGGATCACCAGAGATCAGGAGTTCGAGACTAGCCTGGCCAACATGGTGAAGCCCCGTCTCTACTAAAAATACAAAAAATTAGCTGGGCGTGGTGGTGGGCACCTGTTATCCCAGCTACTCAGGAGGCTGAGGCAGGAGAATTGCTTGAACCCGGGAGGCTGAGGTTGCAGTGAGCCGAGATCATGCCACCGCACTCCACCCTAGGTGATAGAGCAAGTCTCCACCTCAAGAAAAAAAAAAAGCTCATTATTGTGTATTATCAATATGTAATGATCCCTTCACAGCTGGTTAGTTTTACCCATGTTAAGTGACTGTCACATTTTCTTCTTCTGAAAAAGAACCACATCTGAACTGCCCACGTGGTCAGCTTCATGGCACTTACTACACGTAAAGACTGCGCTTTTCACACTGGAGCGTGAGACAACCCAAGGTCTTAGGAGAAAGCAGGGTTGTTTTCCTGTAATACCCATCTGACTTGATGGTAAGTCACTTAACATGGTTTTAAAAATAGCAAACATTATCATTTGCATGAATTTTTAAGATTTAAAAACACAAGTCCAAAAACCAACAACAAAAACATGAATCTTGGGAGCAAATGCTTTTTTTTTTTAGATGGGATCTTGCTCTGTTGCCCAAGCTGGAATGCAGTGGTGTGACCATAGATCACTGCAGCCTTGACCTCTTAGGCTCAAGCCAACCTCCCACTTCAGCCTCCCGAGTAGCTGGGACGACAGGTGTATGCCACCACACCTGGCTAATTTTTTGTAGAGATGGGTTGCCCAGGCTTGACAGCAACTTTGAGCTTGTGACGAGTCACTATGGGTTTAGCCCCTAGACTTGCAGGAATGTTATTTTTGGCCACCAGGAGTTTTGTTTTAGTAGAAAACACTCTAAGAAATACTAACATAAGATACTGAAGGGACAGGAGAAGTGATTTAAAACAAAACAAAACAAAACCAAATAACATGGCCTGAGGGTCAAACACAAAATAGTAATAGCATAAATAGAGCATTTCTACAATGAGCACTGTGTGCTAGGCACAGTGCTAAGGGCCTCACGTGGATCAACTCTGCTCGCTCAGCAACCCTGGGAGTCAGGCACTCCATTAGCCCCCTTTACAGATACGGGAAGGAAGGCGCGGAGACCGGCCCAAAATGGCACAGTTCTAAGTGGTGCTGCAGTGATTTCAGCCCGAGCAGGCTGGCTCCAGAGCCTGCCCTCTCAGTTACCACACTGCACTTGCTGAGGGAGCTTCACCCCACCATTTCCACAGTTTCCCAGAGGAAACTGACTCCTAACAACCACAGGTGCTATGGCACCAGGCTAGTTGCTTTGATAAACACTCCAACTTGGGCTGACAATGGTCACACGAAAAAACAGGTCTTCATATTTTTATCTTACAGACTGGGAAACAAACTCAGAGAAGTAAAGCAACTAATTCCAAATTATATTTAATTCCAAATTATATGTAAATAGCAAATGAACTATACAATACAGGTTTGTCTTACTACAAAGCATGTGCTCTTTCCACGCAGCCACAGCGCCTCTCACTTGGACAGTGGATACAGCTGTTTCAACTCTTCCTAACCACACTCAGGAATACCCGGCCCAGGGGCCAGGGTTCCTTCCCTCCCATCACTCAAATGCTCCTTCCTGTGAAGTCCCCCAGCTAACACGGAGAACTGACCCCACCCCATCATGCATATCGCATTTTCAACATGCAATGCCAAGGATCTCAACTCAGCCCCTTACTCCAAATCTGCATGATTTTATAACCTGAATCTTAGGTTTACATTTTTTCAGTGTTTGTTCCCCTGTATTTGTATCCTTAATAAGTCAAGTATCTCTAAACCTGGTCTTTTATTTGTAGGTTCTTAAAAAGAAGGGGTATGTGTTAAATGCCAGTGACCAAAAAAGTGCTCTAAAATACCTTCTCCTCACCACAGGATGCACTTACAGCCAGGAAGGGATCTGGAATCAGCTAACGAGAAGACATTCATGAGAAAATGGTGAAAGTCACTCACAACCAGTGTTGGTAGGCCTCAGGCTTCCAATCATTAGGTGGGAAGAACTGTGATTTTCTAAATCATATAGGTAACTGAGGTGCTCTGTTCTGTATATAAATACAAAGCAGGGTTTCTCAGCACTTCTGACATTTGGGGCTGGAAAATGCCTTTTGTAGGGGCTGCCCTATATGTAGAAGTGTAGCAGCACCTCTAACCTAGATGCCAGTGGTACCCCACACTCCCAATTCAACAATAAAAAATGTCTTCAGGCTGAGCGAGGCGGTTCACGCCTGTAATCCCAGCACTTTGGGAGGACAAGGCGGGCGGATCACTTGACTCCAGGAGTTCAAGACCAGCCTCGCCAACGTGGCGAAACTCCATCTCTACAAAAAATACGAAAAATTAGCCAGGCGTGGTGGCACATGCCTGTAGTCCCAGCTACTGGGGAGGCTGAGGTGGGAGGATTGCTTGAGCCCGGAGGTCGAGGCTGCAGTGAGCCATCATCATGCCACTACACTCTAGCCTGGGTGACACAGCAAGACCCTGTCTCACAAAAGGAAAAAAAAGTCTGATATAAAATAAAAGAACTTATATGTGTGACCAGACACATTTTGCTCTTCTCAGTTTCATACTTTTGACATAAAAGTAACCAGTTTGATTTCTAAATCATGGTACTTTTTTCAAATATTCAGACTGATTTAATTGCAAAAAATATAATCAACTGTGCAGACATTTGATTACCTGGTAATTTCACATTTGTATGTTCCATATTTGATCGTCGTTGACTAAATTTTTTAGTAAAGAGGAATAATTTCTTTAAAAAGATTAGTGCTCTAAGAATGTTGTTTTTAAAAAGGATATTTGTACTCATTATAAATTATACAAATTGTTCTTATTAGTCATGTAGGAATTTTATTACTCTTGGGAAAGCTTCTCAATCGTTTACTTTTAGAATGTTCTCTAATTCCTGAGATGTTTACAATGACACCGTTTATTACATAGAAGGTGGTATAATTTAATCCCCGTAGCATCTCAGCATCATCTAAGGAAGCTTATTTCAGGGGGTTATGAAGACACCTGGCTCTTAAACAAATTGACAAAAAATGGTTCCATCTATATGAACAGAGTATTTTAGTGACTCACAGCCATTGAAAAACTCATCAAATTTTGAAGCAAAGCTGCACTACTTAGTTAATACTGAAGTAAATGGACCAGTTAATACAAAGAAACAGCCAAAGCTCATTCACGCCAAGTCGGTTATCAGAAGACCTGCCATCATCCTAGACCCTCCAACCTGCCAACAGAAGAGAGTCCTCTCAGAGCAGGCTACCAGCGTTTGCAAACTAGAAGCACATTAGTAAAAAGGGCCAGCTTGTAGTTCATTGTCCAGCAAGAGAAAATGACAAATACTTAGACCTACTAAAGTCAGCTTAACCTTTAGTCATGAAAGATATACCATTGAGAACTAAGAATAAAAGTATAACCCTTCCAGGTCATGAAGAGCCAAACCAACCTTAGACTGCAGGACTGCAGGTGCACACTATATGAAGAAGCAAAGTTTTGATTTGGCTTCATCAATAGTTTTTAAATTAAGCCAACTTGAAATAAAAGCTATATACATACTGTATGACCATTCCTAATGACTTCCTAAAGTTTAGAAAAACCGAGTGATTGATTTCCACATGAAGACAACAGTCATGTATAATTTTTGACATATTTGAAGTGCTTGCTGGAGGAGGAGATGTAACTGAGTGTAACATTCTTGTGTAGTAAGCATGCTACAAAGTGAAAATAATAAACGGAAAGCAATATCACCTGTAGCAATGAAATGAGGTTACCACTTCTTGCAAATAAAACATAGCAAGGATAGACCATTTAAGGAACAACCAAATCAAACCTAATTCAGGTTGTCACACCAACCAAAGACAAGGAAAGCGAGCAAGTAGTTCACCTGCCCACTTGTCGTATCTCAAGAACAGCAGCCCAGGAGCTGACTCTTGAGTGATTCAGATTGTGCAGAATCAGGAGAAGGAGCCACACTGCCTCTCAGTCCTGGTGGGGACTGTGGTACTGGCCCTGTTCCTTCTGACTGCTGTTCAACTGCAAATGAAAGATAACGGTGGCCACACCACCAAAATACAGAAAGGTGTCATCACAGGTAATTCAAATACTTGGAGCCTTATAGAGATTTCTATGAGAAACTTTCACTGAGAACAAATTAAAATTAATACACAGTACACGTTGAAAAACATAAATGTTATAATTTGCTAAATTAACTGTCAATATTTTACACTAACATATATAGAAAAAAATTAACCCTCATTTTCTTGAAAAATTTATACACAGAGTAACTTATTGCATTAGATATGCTTTAAGGCTTTTAAAATTTCATTGTGATCTTTTGTTTACAAAAAAACTTGGTGATTTCAATAACTCAGGAACAACTGCTGCTTGTATTAACACTGGGCACTGATGAAATCAGATATATATATGTAACCGCATTTCATTGATATTTCTGTAAAAACAAACGATGAAATGTATTTTATATTTTCAATTTAAAAAGTAAAATGTTTAAGTATCCTTAATAAGACATCAAATGGAATATTTATGGACTCAATTCCTCTTTCCTCCCCACTCTGTGAAATATATACTTAAATTGCAAACAGCTGCTCACCTGGATGACTTTATAGAAGTAGGCGTACTGTCGAGCTGTGTTTTTATACTGGCTGAAGACATCATGTATAGCTTGTGTGGACTGAAGATACCGAACTTCATCTTCTTCAAAGTAGAGAGGAGTGTCATATTCACTGGGGAGGGTTTGAATATAGGGCTGCCAGAAGGAGTTAGGGCTGGCTCGCTCACACAGCAAATGAAAGGCCAGTGCGATGTTTCCCATGGCTTGAAGGATTCGGTCTTGAGAATATAAGGGCCCTGAATTAACCCAGAAGTTAACAGCGTAAGTTCCACAAACTTCTTAAAAACTTCATTTAAATATACGTTTACAAATTACAGAAAAACTAAAAGGTCTTGTAACATTTAAAGTCAGGTACAGGCTGGGCGCAGTGGCTCACACCTGTAATCCTAGCACTTTGGGAGGTCAAGGTGGGAGGATTGCTTGAGCTCAGGACTTTGAGACCAGCCTGGGCAATATAGCAAAACCCCATCACTACAAAAAAAAAAAAAAAAAAAAAATTAGCCAGATGTAGTGGTGCACACCTGTGGGAGAATCATTTGAGCCTGGGAGATCAAGGCTGTAGTGAGCTATGATGGTGCCAGTGTACTCCAGCCTAGGTGACAAAGCGAGACCCTATCTCAAAAATAATAATAATAATAAATAAAGGTCATGTGCATCTTTTTTATAACATTAAATGAAAAACACTTAATGCATATTTGAGGGAATATTTCGCCAGTCGAGAAAAACCAAGTATTATCCTTAGTGCCATAAAATGGAATTTTACATATTTTTGTCATTTGTGCTTTGCCTTGAAGAGTCAGAAATTATTCTCACCCAACACTGAATTTTTAGCAGATTCAACAGTCATTAGCAATTTTCGTGGAACCCATAAAAACAATTCTTCTGCCTAGGGAAAAAAATAATAATAGGAGAATCATCAAAACACGGTACAGTCTTCAATCCAACCATATCTACGGTCAGAAATCCAATCACACATGAAGTACAACTTAAGGCTGCATATCAGCACTTCAAATAAATATTCAAATACATTTTAAAATGTAAGCATTTATCTTATAGTTAAATGAGTAGAAGTATAGCTTAAAATCCTGTTTCCAACAGAAAAACTAAAAACTACATATGCTGAGAAGCAAATAATCAAAAAAGGGACTTTCAACTTTAACCTGAAGCAAATATAACATTTGGAGTAGAGCATAAAGGCGTTTACTGTATACTTTACTGTACTTTTAAGTTCTAAAACCAGACCAAATCAAAACAAAATTCCTGCCTCCAACAAAAACCCTAATCTGTCGATGTGAATTACTACTACTACTGAGTTTTGAAGCCAGAGTAACATTCCTTCCTCTACATACTTATCTTTAAAGCACAACAGTTACTAGTGAAATCACATGCCCAGAAGACACATTGGTTTAGAAATTTGTTTCCCAAAGCTTTTTCTCATTTTTTGGCAATACAGGCTGCTTCCTTTTGCTGTGTCCTGTGTATCTACACTGCAAAAAACATGCACATGGCGCTCCAACATGTGGGAGACAGCAAGAGGGCAGCTGTCTGCAAACCAAGAATGTCTTCACCTAAACAGACCATGCCAGCACCCTGAGATCTTGGACATTCAGCCTCCAAATTGTGAGAAATAAATGTCTGTTGTTTAAGACCTCCTCCCCAACCCTCGCCTCCCCACAAAAGCACATAGTGAGGAAAGTCCACAGCTCGGATCTTCTGGGCAGCATCCACACAAATACTGCCTTGAATCTGTCACAAGAGAAGAACATGTGGCATCTTGCTTTCACCAATGTCAACTATTAAGTTATTTGTACCTGTCTTGTCCCTTACTATATAGATTATAAGCATCATGAAGGAAGAGACTGGTTTTTTTGGAAGCAAGATACTACCATTCACACAGTAGACATTTAACAGGTATCTAATATACCAGCATGTGATTTATCAATCTATCAATGAAAGGTTAACTACAACTTAGCCAAAAATGTTGCTGGAGGTTTGAGGGGGCCCAAATAACACCCCTTCCTCCACCCAAGTTCTGAAGCAACTGAGAGAGAGATAGAATACAACAGATGGTCACCCAAAATATCACCTACTGAATCCCAGAATTAGACAGACTCCCCCACCTAGTTACAGGCAGAGCTGGATCCCCACCGCCCTCCCCACATGTGGCCTGCCCCTGCAAAGCTTCCAGGGCAGAGAGCAGAGTGGAATGAATGCATACGGGCAACTAGCTCCCATCGAGAAAAAGGCCAAGTCCAGTTCCTTCTCCCAAACTTGGCCAACAGATGAAGGAGTGCCTCCTCTTAGAAGAGACATGAGTGAGGGGTGAGAAGAGGCCAGGCATGGCCAGTGACTGCTGCTCCCTTCATGTGGAAAGAAGAACCAAGAACCAAGAGGGGAGAAAAAGCCCTTCTTCCTTAGTAGGTGGCTGTTTCTCTCTCCTCTCCCTATTGCCACTGGTATTGCCATTTCAGTGAGCTCCTAGTACCTTCAGCCTCATAGTCATCCATTTCAGACACTAGTAGGCATACCCACACCGCCAGTCCTCCACCCACTCACCTCCAGTAAGTTACAAAATCCAAACCATGAGTCCACCTCCTTATCTTTAGGTAAATCTCAAAATCCTGTGAGGCATGTTCTATGGTCTCCTAACAGAGGCTCAGAAATGTGAACTGACTTGCCCCAGTCACTGATTAGCAACTTGGCTCCCCAGGAGGATAAGGTGGGAGGAGCTGCTTAGAACATGAGCCCAAGGCCCTTCCAGGCTGCCTATCTGCCCACAGGCTCAGAACTAGAACTCCCCCACCACACGTCTACCTCTTCACCCTGCGCCCTCTACAGCACACCACAGTTCAAACACATAGACCCCTTGAGACCAACATTTTATAAACTCACCTTGATATCTCTTGTTGCTCTCAAACCAAAGCCCTCTTCTTTGAAGTTAACCATTTCAAAACCCTCGACAGAAGCCCCATTTTCAGAGGCCCATTTCATTAGATCAGGAAAGTAATCTTCTCTTTTTCCATCAAAAGTAACGGACAGACCTATATTAATCCACGTTTTAGAAAACAAGAGCTACTTTTAGGACACATATCATTCACACGTCTCTCAGAAAATAAAAACAGGCCATAACTAACACTGGAAATAGTCTTAACACGCCAATCTTGAAATCAAAACTAATCACCAGATGGTCACAGTACATACCTTAACTGGTGACAGGGAAGAAGAATTAAAATCCTAAACTCCCTGTCAGTTACAGTGAAATATATACTGACACTAGGTAATATAAATATTGACTATTAGGTACTATTAGGTAATACGATGGCAAAGGGCAGAGAGCTTCTATTACCACTACTATGATTTACAGAGCAGTTTTCTCCTTAAAAGTCAAACATGCCACCTCTCATGTTCACATTTGCTTTAACAAAATTTCCATTAAAACAAAAATGAGTAGCTCGCGTATGTGCACAAGGAGACATGGGAAAGGATGAGCCCCACAGCCCTGATTCTAAGAACACAAAACTGTAGAGCTGTAAGCCAGAAGGCTGTAAGGCAATTTAAATGAGCTAGAGCTATGTGTATCAACATAAGTATAACACTAAATGTACCACAGTGGCTTTTAAAAAATCACGTAATATGACACCATTTATGTAAATTTTTCAAATATCAATTACAACCATATATTTTTATGGGGTTATTTATGAAGTAGAAAACATTCACAGTGAAGATGAACACCCTGCAAGGAGGGAGGGAATGGAAGGGGATGAAAATGTGAGGCTTTGGCTGTATCTGTGATGTTTTATTTCTTAAAAACAAATACAAAAACAAAACCAAGGGCTGAGGAAGGGAAAGGAAAGCTGATCAGTGGGTGAGAATAAAAGAAAGGACAATGAGAATACAACTTTGACATGTGCTCAGCTGGGGTAGCAGATTCTTGGACATCTGTTATATTAATTTCTGAACTTTTCAGCATGTCCTATGTAGTCAAAAAGATGAAAAGACATGCATAGAAAAAACTATTCTGTTTGGATGAATAAAAGGAGGGGAACAGGAACTTTACTATGAGGAAGCTGGGTGTGGCACATAGCTCAGGCGCCTGTGGCCATCTTACCACAGCATAATTAACAGTCAACCTGATATGTGAAGAGGGCATGCTGGATATGCGAAGATACCTGCTAAATGGCGAAAATGACCAGAATGAGGAATATTCAAAGACGGAACTTCCTATTCACTCCTTGAGAACTGGCAAATGCTTTACCCTCAGTGTCAGGTATAGTAAACAGTATCTACGCAGAAGAGAAACTAAGGCGCTACCCACTTGGTGACAAAGGATTAGCACAGACTCCTATTTAGTGCAAATAAACCCATTATGAAGGAACCTGTTTGAAAACACCCATTATGAACTCACCATTTTGGAGTCTGAGACCATCTAAACTGAAGACTACATGTTTAGAGATGTGTATGGAAGAGCAATAAAACCACTACTTAAAGAGAGCAAATAAAAAACAAACCCTCTCCTGAGGCCCTTCATGACAATAAGAAAGGGCCCCACATTCCAATGCATGCTCCTTAGGATGTTTTCTGCTTCTACCTTCCATGTGGTCCTGCATAATAATCTTTACTTTTTGTGCTTTACAGAACAAAAACAATAGGTATAGTGAATGAGCTTTTTCAAACTCACACTTAGCCCCACGCCAGCCTGGATGAGAATCATTACAATGGCGACTGCATACGTCCTGTAAAAACACAGCTTAAGGAATATGACCACACCTCTTATTTAACTGAGATGTGTGTGAGTTCATTATAAACCTTGCTAATGCATTAACCAATCAGCATTTATTTGTTATTGACGATATACACTATATGCACTGTCCTGAAACTCAAAAGGAAATAACGGTATAATACTTTATAAAATGTAAATAAATAAAATTGTATCATTTTAGCACCCAGATACAAACATTTTATTCTCCTAAAGCTCAACATTCTCACCCTTTCCGAAGCAGGTAATAGCATCTCAGAAAGGGGAGAAATCCCGCTAACTGCTCTCTCTCCCGGTCTGCAAGCCCCAGTACAAGACCTTTCAGAGTGACACCAATGATGCTGAGACCTTTACTACTCGTCAACCCTTTGACCTAATCAAGTTTCTACATGACATTATTAAAATACAGTTATCATTCTAGCAATTTTACCTTTTTGCTTTTTCCGTATTTTCTCAACCAGAGTCCGGATCTGCACATACTCTTCCCACTCTTTTCCTGGGCCAGGCGCCGGACTGCTGCATTCTGTAACATAAGAGGCATGGTACTGAAACACTTCTCTCTTTCAACTTAACCTACTAGTCTGCACAAGAAAGAGGATTTGGACTTTGTTGTTGCTGTTCTGGGGTTGGTTTATTTTTAAAAGACAGACATATGACAGCCATGATAATGAATGTGAGAAGTACAAGGCAGGTACACTTCTCAAAGCAGACAAACCCTGGGGCATCATAAAAACATCCCCCACTTAACGTACCCAAGAGAGAGCACTGAGCAAGCACCTAGCTCACATCCACCTTATTCTTAGTTAACTCTTTTTAGAATATACTTACTAACAGGAAAATCTATGATAAAAAGCTAAGCTAAAATGCAAACTATCCCCCCAAAACTCTTCTATATGGCAAAAAGAAGTTAATAGTAAAAGTTAATAGTAAAAGTCAACCTTTCTTTTTAGTTAAACCCCATAACACTGATTCCCTAAGGGAACCAGTTAAATTGGACATAAGGACAATTAGTCGACAAACATTTCACATCCATGTGTACGGCACTATATTCAGCAGTCTGGGGGAGTTGCAAAATGAGATGGCATAGTCACTGCTAAAAAAGAAGCCAAGATTCCACTGTGGGGCCAGAACCAAAAGACCAACACCCGAGGCTGAGGTGTGAGTTTGAAAGACTGCACACTGGGCACCCCGCCTATTGGCAGCTCTTTCTTTTCACACAACTGCATTGGTTTAGACAGCCCCTTCCCACACTCCTGCTTAACCTTTGGGGCCCCTTTGCTCTCTATTAAAAGAGTATATGTGGCAAATAACTAACAATAACTAGACACACGCTGAGTCTTAACTATGAAGGGTAGCCAGTCTTACTTCATTCTCCAACAATAAGCACTCACTGAGGCCTGGAACAGGCCTCAAAGATGAAGCAGCAGCGAGCCTGTCCTCAAGCTGCCAGAGGCAGGGGAGCTCAGCGAGGAATGGGCAGGACAGCCACACTCCACCGGCCAGTAGGGTCCAGGGCAGCACTCGAGAGGGACCTGACTCCAACTTGGCTGCGGCCTGCTTTCTGTCTCAAAGGGAAAGCTGCATTTTTACTTGAGGTTTAGCCTGCCACATAATCTAAACATGGACAAAGGGCAACGGAGTGACCACAGCTACAGCCAAGGCACTAATTGCACCAATTCAAATTCATAATTTTAAAAAGTTACCAAATTACACTAACTTGCTAAAACAAGTAGAGGCACTTAATAGATATTTCACTTCCTTAAACTAAGAACTCTCAAACTACAGCATGTAAAAATCAGATACACAGCCAGGTGCAGTGGCTCACGCCTATAATCCCAGCACTTTGGTAGGCAGAGGTGGGAGGATCTCTCGAGCCCAAGAGTTCAAGACCAGCCTGGGCAACATGGCAAAACCTCACCTCTACAAAAAAATTAGCTGGGCGTGGTGACACAGGCCTGTAGTCCCAGCTACTCAGGAGAATGAAGTGGGAAGATCACTTGAGCCCAGGAGGTCAAGGCTGCAGTGAGTCGTCATAGTGCCATGGCACTCCAGCCTGGGTGAGAGAGCGGGACCCTGTTTAAAAAAGAAAAAAAATCAGAAGCACTGTTAATTGAATCACCAAAAAGAAAGGCGAGCCATTCCAGTGAGGGGCAGAGCTCTGAAGGCCAGGTCTCCAAGAGGCACGCTGGACTCCCCTGGGCCAACAGCCCGTGAAGTACCTTCACACACCACATCTCACAAGGCCCTTGGCTCATTCCCTGAGACAGTTATTATCTATGTTTACGACAAGAACACTGAGTTTCGGAAGGGTTCAGTAATCTGCCGAGCGGCACACTGTGAAAAAGCAGTAGAGCTTCTTCTCGCCCACAGGTCCTCAGGGAAGACCATGTTCCAGGTGACTGTGCCATGGAAGCTCACAATTACTTCACCCAAGCCTTGTTAACAGCCACACAGTTCTGACGGGTGTTTCCATCCTCACAGGTGAGGACTGCAAGCCTGGGAACCTCTGTGACTCGCCCAGGCCCACAGCTAATAAGCTTGGACCTGAATACCAGCTTGTCTGATGCACGCGTCCCCATTCTGGTGACAAAGAAGAAAAAGGCACAGCCACCACATCAAGGCAGGGAGAGCCCAGAGGAGGACTTACTCTGCAGCAGCTCACTGGTCAGGTTCAAGATTTCCTTTGGTGACACAGTTGCTGTAGCACCAGTGCCAGATTTCTGAGTTTTTACTCGACTCTTCTTACCCATTTTTCTGACTACAGAGAAGAGAAAGAAAAGAGAAAAAAATTACATTACCAAAGAACAAAATCAAGTAATAAAACATGTCCAACACATGGCAGTGTCTTAGTCTTCAGAGGCTAAGATCTTACCTTACATGAAGTTTTCTTCCAGAAAAAGAAATGTGTAGTATTAGTATCTAGAGGTTCTCAAATGGGAAAAAAAAAAATCTGCTTTGTAGTCTCTGGAAGAAAAGTTCGTTCTTTTTCACCTACAAAAACTATAGTAGAGCAAATTTTACTCTAGATTTTTTTTTAATTACATAGATTTCACTGTGCAGACTAACATATTCCAGGATACTAGAGAGATAAAACCCATGCATACATCATACACATATGGGCATAAAGACCTATATATTCTCTCCCCACTTTGCCTTAAAATAATCATTTCCCATTAACCATAACTGTATCATAAGCAACTGATCACACTCTCTGGACAAATGCTGAAGACGTTTTAGAGCTGGAAAAAACTCTGGCGAGCTAGTCTAACTCCTGCATTTTGCTCCATGGGAAATCCCAAGCACCTTGCCTGGGATTTCACAGGAAGCTGATGGCAGACCCGGGACTTGAACGAGGTCTCCCGTCGCGTTCCAGTGTGCCACACACGGGTCCTCTGCGGGCATGTGAGAAATGATGAGCATATTTTCACACGCAGATGAGACCATGTGGTATAGGACACGCCATGGTGTCCTGGGTAAAGACCCTATGAGATAATGCTTGCTTGCAAGTGCTTTTAACAATAGGTCTCAAAGAAAGTAAGGGACATGGATGTGTGAAGAATGGCGGGGGGGGGGGGGGGCATTCAAAGACAGGGACAGGACTAGAAGCGTGAGGGAAGCACAGTGAGGAAGGGAACCCGGCTGGAGAGGGGGTCTCTAGGGAAGCCTAGCGAGGCAGCCACTCAAGACAGGGTGATAGTCACTGCCAGAGGAGTCTGGCTTTGATTCTCCAGAGACAAGGGGCTAAGATCATGACCAAGGAAGATGGAAAAAGTGTCCAGCCAAGAAGCTGGTAGGGCGATCCATAAGCTAATGAATAACAAACCACCACGAGGATGGCCTCCAGGAGCCCCAGTCAGTTACACTTTATCTCAAGTGAGAATCAAAAAGCAGACTTTGGTCCATTTGTTTTTTACAAAAAGTGGTAACTATCACCATGTGAAGAACTATGCTAGGACAAAGGTTTAAAACATATTCTCCCACTATACAGATGATCATTGACTCTGCTGTAACTGAGTCCATGCAAATATGGCCATGTGCTAAAACAGTAGGACATCACATTATTTAACAGGCTAACGTGTGTATCTTCTCTTATGTATCTAACGTATAAAGAATAATGTGTAACACATTAATATAATAAGTCTTCTAAAAATCAGTGTAAAATACACAGTGTCAGTCATCCTGGAATAAAAGGAAACTGGTAAAAATACATAAAACTTTTGCAGCAATACAAGGAATTTTTTTTCTGTGATCAAAAGCAGAAAATTTAAGTGAGGGGAGGGCAGGATGACAGACAGCTTAAGCACCTTTTCCTATGCTTAAGAAATGTCTTCTTAGAAGAGAAAAAAATCTCCCCATGGTTCTGGCTCACAGCCAAGAGCAAGGGCACAGCCTGGACACAGCACCTCCACCCTTCTGGGCATTTCAGGCTTCCCATATCTGCGGAGGGCATCTCTGGAGGACCATCGAACTTGACCTGAAAATAACTAAAACCACCAAGGAGTCTGGTAATAAGGACGTTAATCACACTTCCAAATATAGTGGGTCTGCTGGCTTGGCAGGAGGAGACGCAGAAGCATCCTGTCAGCAATGGCTTAGCTGGCCTCTCCCTTCAGCCTTGCCTGAAAGACCTTCTGCTGTGGGAGCCTGTAAACGAGGCAAGAACGTCACTTTGATGAGGAGCTCCAAGACCCTTTCCCTTCTCTTAACAGTAAGTGAGCCTGGGACAGGGCTGTTCTGCACCGGCCCTCACAGGGTGCCCACCAACAGCTACAAAACAGGCTCTATTCGCTCTGCCTGCAGCCCCTCACCTCCTCCAAAGTCTTCTCTCAGCTATCCACCCAACTCCAGTTGCTCATTGATGTAACAGCAGCTGTTCCCTGGAGCTCAGTATTTACCCTCTGCCAGGTGCTGGACTAAGACAGAGCTCTTCATTTGATCTTCCTCGCACTTTAAGCAGTAGATACCATCCTCATCTTTCAGATGACATTGTCAGAAAGGTTAAGTCCCTTCTCTTTGTCCAAGGTCATGCATCAGGTAAGAGGTACAGCTAGAATCTGAACCCAGAACCACTACCACACTGCCTCTGTTTAAATACAGATTTAAAAAAAAAAAAAAAAAAGTACATGGCAGCAGGTCTTCCAGATCAAATACCATGGGATATGGCCCCACACCCCGCCACAACCCTGCCAGCAGCCACTCAGCCCACACCTAGGCAGCTCCAGCCACTTCCTCCTGCACCTCCTGAACGAGTCCTCATGGTTAGACCCTAACACTAGTCTCGTACATCTCCCTGCCCAAGCCTGTCCCTGCTGCTTAAATCTACCCTCACGCTGCCACCACCCTAAATAGTAGGAAATCACATTATTTAACAGGCTAACATTGCTATCTTCTCTTATGTATCTAATGTATAAAGAATAATGTGTAACATGTTAATCTAATAAGTCTCCTAAAAATCAGTGTAAAATATACAGGGTCAGTCACCCTGGAATAAAAGGAAACCAGCAAAAATATGTAAAACACCCTCCCAGCAACACCAAGGGCTCCCAGTCCCTCTACAGACGTCATCATGTACCTCCTATCTCTGCCTCCCCGTTCACCCCTTGACTGTAATATTTTAGTCACTTATTCACTAACTCTTGGTTCTCTCTAAAAATGCTGTCCAGGAATCCCCTTAAAGTCTACCTGGTCCCCCTAGTCACAATCTTCTCTTCTCTGCACCTCTGCAATTCCTTGTATGTTCTCCCATTATTGCTGGGCCCCACTGTACTAAAAGACGTGCTCACATACCAGCATCCCTTCAGGTAACAGGCTCCTTGAGGACATACAGCCTAGGCCTCAACACATGGCAGGTGCTACACAGAGGATGCCACCCTGAGCTCCCAGGGAAGAGCATCTGCACAGGTCTTAGGTCAGGTTACAATCCTCATTTCTGAAGCTTCTACCCAGGTTTCCATCCCCTTGGAACAGACAGGAAATGTCTAATTCCTGCTCCGCGTGACAGACCATTAAAAATATGGTTACAATGATTTGAAAACAAAATACATTCCGTTGACAGTAATTCTACAGTCGAGTACTTGTAACTCCAATTGTTCTCAAGATTTCTTTTTTAAGCCAGAAAACTGCTGGCTCTTAGAATGAGTAACAAACAGGTGTATAATTACAGCAGAGGTGTAACTTCAAAACACACCAGTACATTAGCCCCTGGGAAGGCAGATATGCTAGAACGCAATCTTCAAAAGTCCTGTTGGGTGATGTTTATGCAGTCACTGAAGCCACTCCTAGCTAAGACCCTCATCTCCAGCTCTTTCAATCCCTTCGTGATTCATTTCCCTGCCTACAAGTCCTCCCCGACCACAATGTCAACAGTCAGCCTTAATAAATTGAGGTATAAAATACAAACTGCATAGGCTGGGCGTAGTGGCTCATGCCTATAATCCTAGCACTTTGGGAGGCCAAGGCAGGTGGATTGCTTGATCCCAGGAGTTTGAGACCAGCCTGGAAAACATGGCAAAACCTTGTCTCTACAAAACAATATAAAAATTAGCTGGGCACCGTGGCGCAAGCCTGTAGTCCCCAGATACTCAGGAGGCTCAGGTGGGAGGATCCCTTCAGCCCAGAAGGCAGAGGCTGCAATGAGCTGTGATGGCGTCACTGCACTCCAGCCTGGGTGACAGAGGGAGACCCTGACTAAAAAAAAGAGAAACCTACAAACCGCATAGTGCACGAATTCATGGACTCATCCCCATGCATGCAAGGCCCCAGCCTTGCAGAAGGCAGCAAACACACCAGTCCTTGCCAGCAGTCCTGACGAACCCTTTCACAACCAGTCCTTCCCCCAGTAGCCCACATTTCAACTTCTATTACCGATTAGTTCTGCCTATTCTTAAACTTCATATAAGTGGAATTCTACACTGTGTAGGTTTCTTTCGCTCACACGTCTTTCCACAGCTCACGGGATAATGCGTAACCTCCCTAGCAAGGTCTTCGAGGACTGAACTGCCTCACTCTATTTTACATGTCCAGCTTCATCCTACCTTTACACAACACAGCTCCAGGGGACTGCTCATGTTCCTCCCTTTTTCTGGAATGCAGCTATCCCACTGCCTGTCCCCTTGTCTTCTCCTGGCAAGATTTTTCACATACTTTGAGGCTCTACCGAAATGTGCCCTGTGGCATTAAGGGAAACTCTAGACTCTTCCATGCAACCCTCACGCCCAACAAAGTCAGTAAGAAAGGGTCAAACTCAAGGTTATTACAGATGCTAAAGAGTTGGCTTATATTGGGATTCTGTCTTTTGGCAACCTCTTTGGGCTGTTTCTCTCCCACGGGGATACAGGCTATAAGGTAGAAAAAGTGGCTAGCCTAGGTTAGGCAGAAAGAATCTTGTCTTAATTAAGGATGGGGGCAGGGGGGCTGCCTATCCTTCTTCCAGTAAATGTATCTCCCTAGGGCACAGGATCCTAGACCCAAGCCATCTCCTCAATCTGTTCCCCCCAAAAACAAGTTTCCAGGGCTCTTCCAGTAAGCCTCCCCACTGGCTGGGTCTACCCTGTCCGAGGGCTCTCCTCAGTCCCCTGTACCCTGAATCCCAGGCAGTCGGGCGTGAACTTAAGTCACTGAAGGCAAGTGTTTCTCGGTACCAGTTCTGTAACCCATCTACTATGAACTTGGAACCATCACTGTCTGTAAGATTCCTTTGTCTCTGGGTTCAGTATGGTTTGGCACTAATTCTAGTATTTCTGGGACACCCCTAACTCAAAGCACCTTGAAGGCAGACGCCCTATATGTACTCCGTTCAGCCCTAAAACATCAGGTTTTCATGTGGGTTTGCCAGCTCCCCACATCCCACCTTCCCTCAGCCCCCTGGCCTGGCTGTCATTCCCTGACATACACACTCTTCGCTCTGTTACTTCAGCCGAAATGCCCTGACCCCTTGGTGAGTATATCAGGGTCCTCCACCTAAAATTTACCTGGCTAAAACCCCACCTCACTAACAAGGTCTCCTCACCACACTTCCACAGCACAGTCCCTGAACCTCTGTGACCTCACCCACTGCAGTCTAAACTCTTTTACCCACTGTCTTGTGGCAGAAAAAAAACCAAAGCTTCCATCTCTATATTACCCATAGGATCTAATATAGTGTCACAGACACATAGAAGGTCAAAATTTGTTGAGTAAAAGAAAATCTTTGGATAGTATATTTGAATATATTGGTGTTACCAATTTTCACATTGCTCCCAACAGTGATTAAACAGTAGTCAAAATGAAACATTTACTGAATATTTAATTCTACTAATGAACTATGATAATTCTTAGAAGTAAAAACACAAATTTATATAGAGAGATGTAGATAATTAGAGATAGATTGGCCATACCATGAAGGACAGGGGTTAGGGTTACGCTTATGTAATATCACACTTAAAAAACGGTTCTGTGGGGCATAGTGGCACATGCCTATCATCCCAGGTGCTCAGGAGGCTGAGGTGGGAGGCTCTCTTGAGCCCAGGAGTTCGAGGCTGCAGCGAGCTATGATCACACCTGTGAATAGCCATTGGGCTGGAGCCTGGGTAACATAGCAAAATCCTGTCTCAAAAAAAACTTTTTTAAAGATGATCTCTTTTCAAAATCCAGTTTTAGATAGAAAAGCTTTAGGACATTACATTTAATAAGAGAGACTCTGAAAAACACACTGGAATTTTTAAAGCATTATTGGTCTTTAGAAAGCAATAAAGCAGGAATTAGTCTGTTTCTGATAGAAAAGGAAAGCTTACGGCCCAAGCACAGGGAAAAGCTCCATGGGCACTTGTGACCAAGGACACGAGCATCCGCCCATGACCTCCCTGCATCCCCACCATAGCCCACTGAGGCCGGCAGTGACCACAGCCAGTTGTCAGGAGGCTTAGAGAGGGCTGTGACTTGGCCAAGAGACCACAGCTGCCAAGCAGCAGACCCATAGCTTCAAACCTGAAATCCTGCATTAGCTCCAGCATATAGGTGGACTCTAAGTATACGCAAGCTTGATTAAACTAAGCTGCACAACGTCTCTCTGCCTATACTATGTTCGCTGTTGCAGAAGACAACAAAATTGGACAAAACCAGGCCTGCAGTTCCCAAGGATGAGGCTGGGAAACCAAGACTCACACTCAAAGCAGCATGGATAATTCCTAAAACACATAAGTAACTAAACATAGAAGGGCAAGAAATAAAGTACAATTCAAGAAGGATGACTAAATTTTAAGATTCAGTGTGAGGTGTTAGTATCCAGTATGTGTGGTTTCCTAAATTCACCCAATATTGCCTTCTTTTAGCAATCAAAAAAGATTCATGCCATGTAAGTTCCCCAACCTTATGGATTTAAATAACTACCCTTTTCATTTATGATTCAAAAGTCTGTTATATACCGTGAATAATTTTCATGATCATTTCAGCTGAATTTGGGGCTAAATTACAAGTTTAAACAAATGAGACACTCAAATAGGTATTCTGAACATACTTCATGCTCTTCATGAAAAAAATATATTAAACATTCATCAATTTCCCACAAAGACCAAATGTTTATTTTCAATAATTATTTCCAATATTTATATTAGGAAAATATAAATGCATACTGAATTAATTATATGTGCATACACATACGAACTCAAGTTAAATTACAGATATTAGCCAGAAGGTACAATGCTAACTCAAAAATTTTTTTCCACAAAGTTTAGACTGAAATCAGGTATAATTTACAAATACTTACTGAATTATCTTAAAGAAAACAGGAAAATAGGACCAAAAAAATGATTTAAATAATACTTAAGACAAAAGAAAATACGAAGAGTAGCAATACAAGATTGATACATGAATTATACAATTATAGTTAGTCATTCAGAGGAAGGGGTATCTATAAAAAGGAACAGCTAAGCCAAGAGTTTCACACATATCTACATTTCTTCACCATCAAGATATTTTTAAAATCTACAGAATCTTCAAACTTTGGCCCTTTAAAACACCACATACCACTTACAAGTCCACCAACAACCTCCCCATCTAACAGACAAGACACACTTTAGAAGACAGAGAAATGAATGACAAACTCAATTATTATTTAAAGTGCTGACTAATATACAGGGGCATCTGTAATCAACCACCACCTCTGCCAATCAAGCGATTCTTTTCCATCGAATCTGAATCGTGGAATAAATGGGTCAGGAGAAACAAGAAAGCACATTTAGTGACCTTGGCTAATGTGGGCAGTGGGAGCGGAGGTGGGGTAAGGGGTGCTAAATACCTAACCCATTTTTACAAAGTATAGTTCACACATAATGAACTGATTTGGATGTAATTCACTTGCATTTTTTTTCAAACACTCTAAATGGAAAGGATATTTATTTGTGTATTTCTTGAGTTCCCTCGAAAATGCTGCTTTCAACTAAACAGAACTAGAATAAACATTTTTGATTACACTTATCTGGCAATTTATCCAGGAAACCTTAGCTCAAGCACAGCATCTGTTTTTCAATGTATCCTGCATTGACCCAACTTCACAGCTGGGTTGACTAAGGGAGGGAATGGTCCTAAGGATGGCTTCCTCCACCTCAGGCTCTCAGCTGTAAAGCACACTCGAGAGAGTGTGAGGGCCTAATCTTCATGTAGGAAGAATAGGAAATACTCTTTTCTCACTCTTACTAAAATACTTTGCCGGCCATCAGGATCAGATTACTACATTCAGAATTAAATACACAAATTACAGGATGACGAGTTAGGAAAATGAAGGCACTCCCAAACTGAAAAGGATTTAATTGTACAATGTTTCCTTTCCTACAGATACCGATAAAGTGCCATGGTACCGTGTTAGCTGAAACTTATACATATCAGAAACGTGTTCTGGCTTTGCACAGTAGCAGGGCCTAGTAGCAGCGCCATGCCATACCAACTCATACCAGTTTACACGGCTAACCGGCACCTATCATTCCAATCTTCTAATTAAAAGAGGAACTGGGCCAGGGGCAGTGGCTCACACCTGCAATCCCAGCACTTTGGGAGGCCAAGGCGGGTGGATCATTTGAGGTCAGGAGTTCAAGACCAACTTGGTCAACATGATGAGACCCCCGCCAGCTCTACTAAAAACACAAAAATTAGCCTGGTATGGTGGCACAGGCCTGTAATCCCAGCTACTTAGGAGGCTGATGTAGGAGAAATGTTTAAACCCAGGAGGTGGAGATTGCAGTGAGCTGAGATCCAGCCACTGTACTCCAGCCTGGGCGACAGAGTGAGACTCTGTTTCAAAAATAAATAAATAAATTAAATAAATAAAAGAACTGATGTGCCACAATTCAAAAGTACCAAGAAGTCAAGGCAAGCAGGCAGGGAAGAAGGTGGAATTAATTTCAACTCAGTAACTACTTAAGTACCAAGATGTATAAAGATCTATAAATTGCATGCAAATAAAATTTTAATTTGATCAAAATTTAATCTTGATACAGAACAATTTGGGCTGTCCCATGTAAGTATTATAACTTGAGATTTTAAAAATACAGTTGTTGGCCAGGCACAGTGGCTCATGCCTGTAATCCCAGCATTTTGGGAGGCCGAGGCGGACGGATCGCCTGAGGTCAGGAGTTCAAGACCAGCCTGGCCAACACAGTGAAACCCTGTCTCTACTAAAAATAGTCCCAGTTACTTGGGAAGCTGAGGTACAAGAATCACTTGAATCCAGGAGGCAAAGGTTGCAATGAGCCAAGATCGTGCCACTGCACTCCAGCCTGGGCCACAGAGCAAGACTGTGTCTCAAAAATAAATAAATAAATAAATAAGCACAGTTGTTGCTTTTCGCAATTTTTTTTTTTTGCTATTTTTCCACTAACACAATAATTTTAGAAATAACTAAACATTTCTGACTGACTTTTCATTACATAGTAGGTTTTAGTTTTAAACTGCCATTGAATGAAGTTGCAAATAAATTAACATGAGGTTCCTATTTAATGGAAGTTACCAAAAAAACCTTTTGTAAAGCAAAAAATCATTGGGTATCATGAATAATCATTTCCTATTATATCTTTCTAAAATAAAAAAGACAATGTTATGTGTGAAGAAACAGCTGTAATCCGTCAAGAAATTACCTTCAAACCACCCACATTCCTTAACATGAGGATTCTGGATTCTAAAACCAAGGAGCAACAGGATTAGAGGAGACCTCTGGGGTTATGTATAGTAGCTCTCAATCCCACGCGTGTTTAAGATCATGGTGCCGGATGTTATGGAGCAGTCACGATCAGTACTTCACCTGATCCAAGTCTGAGAAGGATATAAGACAGGCAGGACAGAGAGAGCGTGTTATTCCTGATTAACAAACACAGCCTAAGGCAGATTGCCAGTAAGAGAAAAAGGCAGCTCCAAAGCTTCGCCTTTAGGCGGCCAGCAGAGCTGCACGTTCACTTCCAAGGCAATCTCCTGCTTTGTGAGCCCCTCCAGTACGATATTGCAGAGAAGTTCACCATCCTCTCTGACCTGTCAGCTTTTGTGTCTCCCCAAAGTTTTGTCTTCTCCAGGCTTAATGTGCCCCTCATTACTACATATTTCTCAAAAGTGAGCAAAACCACTTAAGCATATTATACTTCAATGAACTGTTTTTTTTTTAAGTCAACAAAACCCTTCAGATGTGCTCTGAGATGGACTACCCACCTTCCTGGAACTCAAAGAAATTTGACTAATATTCCTAAGACTGCCCTAGCTTTTCTATGAGCCCAGTGAATTCATTCCCTCATTCCTGCACATTTCCTGAGAATCTAATCTCAAACACAAAGATGATGCAACATGGTCCCATAGCCTTTAGGACAAGACAGTAATCAACTAAAGCCTTTCGTGATCTTCAGCAAGATAAATGTGCTATATTCAACAACTGAGTTTTTGAACCTAAATGCAACTATTCATGCTGTCATGTTATTTCAGGATCATCCTTGCCATGTCCTGTGTCCTATGGAAGTTCTCCAATATGATCGTCCCCATCACAATCATGTCATTTGGGCATTTATTATATGATCAGGAATTGAGGTAAGCATTTTACACAATATAAGATAGGTATTAACAAGTCCCCTTCACAGATGAGAAAGCTGACGCTTACGGAGACTGATTAATTTATGCAAAATGATAGACTCAGTTTGTGTCAGAGCCTCACCAGCACACCTCAATGACAAATCTTACTGATAATAATATTTCATGAGTTCGGCTCAAAACCAACCCATTTATGAGAGCTCCAAAGGTTCACTGTTATCGCTAATATTCAAAATACTATTCCCTTGCACTGATAAAACATACGCATGTAAAGGTTTTATTTTTTGGCCTTTTAAAAGTATAGTTATTTTGCTGGCTTTGTCCAAATACATAGGAGGAGCTGCAGGTTAAATTTGGGACATGGGCAAAACTTCCAAAAGAGCTTCCATCCAGTCCACCATATCTGCAATGCCACATTTTTGTTGCAGGGAAAAACGCAGAACCATGAGGTGACCATGACATGCAGCGAAGCTAAATTTTTACAAACAACAAATCAAAAATGTTATTAGACACTAGTAAATATTTTATGGTAAAAGCAGCTTTTATAAGTATTTGTCAACACTAATCTTTACTTCCTCTCAAATATGTGTAATAGAAAACTGCTGATATTGAAAAGGCATGTCTATTTTCTGAGACTGAACATTGTAAACCATTTAGTCGGAAGACTTTCTTAGACCTGTTATGTCCTGATGAATTGTATTCTTAAAAAATGGAACGTGAAACTCAGGATCATAGACAGTAATAAACCTAAGTGTATATTTTATTAAGAGTTCTATGTATCATATATTTTTGTCAATTAAAAACTAAAAATAAAAAGTTCCGTGTAGACACTTGATTATCTACATTCTCTAGACAATTTTTTTTGTCCTTCTAAAAAACAGTGGAAACATTTCTTCCTGCTCTGTCCCTCTGCCCTCCCCTACTTCCCCATCCCAGTACTGAGGTTAGGCTTGCAAAAGGCTAATGATTCACTTTGGCTTAGTAATCAGTAGATCCCTTTCAAAATCTTAACTTCAAAGATAGATGTGTCTTTCATTGTCAACCAAGACTGTTTGGACTCACTAGTTCACTTCTACTTGGAAAGTACTTGATAGAAGAAAAAAAAAATTGCAAAGTCTTAACTTTGGTATTTGAATTTTATAATCATTTGGAATCAGTTTTCTTCCATTCAAATTTATCTCAGTCGAAACTGTTCAATATCTGTGTTTTTATCTCGTTTTTACAGTCTGTTTATATCCAAAACTTAGAGGAGACTCCCAAGTGGAAACGGGGTCAACACAGCTAATCTCTGGCTTGAGTTAAAAAGCAAGACTTCTTAATCTTGCAGATGCTAATTTTTTTTTCAAAAGACTATTAAGTAACTTTTTAAAAAGCCAAGTCTCAGCCCAGTGCGGTGGCTCACGCCTGTAATCCCAGCACTTTGGGAGGCTGAGGTGGGCGGATCATCTCAGGTCGGGAGTTCCAGACCAGCCTGACCAACATGGAGAAACCCTTTCTCTATTAAAAATACAAAATTAGCCAGGCGTGGTGGCGCATGCCTGTAATCCCAGCTGCTCAGAGGCTGAGGCAAGAGAATGAACCCAGGAAGCAGAGGTTGCGGTGAGCCGAGATCACGACATTGCACTCCAGCCTCGGCAACAAGAGCGAAACTCCATCTCAAAAAAAAAAAAAAAGCCAAGTCTCAACTTCTTTGTAATAGGAAAATATATTAATATATATTAATATTTTGATAGAAATTTTTTACCTTGAGAGTAAATATTATGTAAATTAATTCTATTTGCATATCAAATTAGTTAACCTCTCCAATTTATGAATAGAAAAATGAGATGATAAAAGGAAATCCAATGACAGAAAACCATTGTAAAGGCAACAGAAGTGAAAACTATAGAAAACTGAAAAAGCAAGACTCTTTATTCTAATACTCTCGACTGGTTAAATATGACCCAAAACAAACTGTTAGCCAGATAAACACTTCTATGACTATAGCAGGAGAGAAAAGATGCACGGCTAATCAAAAGATTTTTCACTGATAAAAAAAGGGCCCAAAAATAAGGGTAGGTAATTGAGAAAGCAAATATTATAACTGGCCACAAGCAACATCCAAAGTAACATAAGAATAAAGATAAGTTCACCGTTCTGTTAAAAACATTTAATGCCATAGCAATAAATGACTCCGAGTTCTCTTTGAGGGAACAAAGTCACCACTCCATTCCCAGGACTTCGGTCCAAGGGAAAGAAACACACTTGAAACTCTTCCTCTCCACCCTCAACAGAAGCACAAGGCACAGCAGCCAGGGAACAGGCAAACCAGTCTCTAAAGATAAATAACCTCTCAGAGAAGGATATTCATCCAACTACACAAAAGAAAGATACAGTATTACTAGTTACAGTTCTAAACCCTACTTCGGATTTGTGATAAGAAAAAAGACTCTATGTAATTAAAACATTGAAGAAAACTGGTACGCCTCAAACTACACTGACATCTAGTCACAAAGCATTCAGAGTAACCCTGACTTGGAGGTAGGATTTTTGCTCATATTTTTACTACAACTCTACACAGCACAAACTATGCACCTGGTTTTCATTGAATTCAATGATTGTCTACTAAATATTCACTCCAAGCAAGCCTCCGTCGCTGATGGTCATACCTTCCCCGGCGCCGTCATCCTGTCATTCTCCTCCAGGCAGGAGAGTACTGTGTTCCAAGGAGGCTGTTGTGACCGTTTATCAGAACTCTCAAAACCAAAACAGTTGTCCAGTGGTTAAGCTTTAAATAGGAAAAATATCACCTCCATATTTTTCTCATTATCCAGTGGCTTCTAAAGCAAAAGCTTAATTATCATTTAAAATGTGGCCTAAATGTCCACGGCACGGAAGAGCAGCGCAGCAGCCATCACTTTCTTACTGACAGTCACTGTGCTCTTACGAGAAGCTTTCGCTATAACCGTACATACAGACATAAGATGTTCTAATCTTCAAATCCAACACCACTCCAATTCCAGGAAAAAAAAGCACTGAGATGTTAGCACACTGGAGAAGCAACCATTTTACTCCTTCAGACTACAGTTCCATTTCAGATATTAACTTACAATCACTTGGAGGGCAGACAGGAAAGGGGTAGCAGAAGGCTAAAATCCAAGGTTGTCTGGGGTCCCAATAAAGAGGTTCTGTAGCTGTTTGAGAACTTGGCTTTGCAAACTACTTTCTTAGGCCGAAGAAAAACTCCTCGGTAAACTGTTGGAATTTCACCAAAGTATCAATCACGGCAGCCCTTGGGACTAATCCAGTACTGCTGGACTTTCACGCATGGTAGCCCGTATAAACACAGTACATACAGCAAGGTTCAAGCAAGTCTTGGCAAATTTTAACAGTGGAGAGGAAGACTGCTTTATTTTGCTATATTCTTGGGTTAAATGTATTCGCTTAAAATAATAAACACTTCTCCGAGATTATTACTGGTTAGTTCAGTTTTGAAATACTGGCAAGGTCATTTCAAGAAGAAAAACGGGAGAGGGAGAGGTATATTTTACATAAGATAAAATTCACACTTTTCAGTGTCCGGTTCTGAGTTCTGACAAACGCATTTATAGTGGCCTCATCAGCACCACAATCAGGCTACGAAGATGGGGTAACTCTTCGAGGATTCTTAAAAGCAAAATTGATTTGTCAGCATACTTTAAAAGTATTTTTGCTTTTGAAACATCACCTTATTTATTTAGAAAAGCAAAATAACACGGTCCGAGTGGTCCTAACCCGCGAATGCCTTTGCAACACTGAAATGCCCTCCTCCCAACACCGGCCGGGCAGGGGTGAGCCCCGCAGCCAGGGGCGCGCGTCACTGTCAGCTCCTTTTCCCAAGTGGAGACCGGGAAAAGACAAGAGTTGCATCGCCGGGCTGGAGCCACGAGGAGGAAGAGTTAACGCCGGAATGACAAACTCTAAAGCACCGAATTGCCTCTCCCTAGTAGGGCACTGCGCGTGTGGAGCACGGCCAGGGGCGCGTGGGAAGAAAGACGACCTATTTCCTACGTCCGTCTTCCTAACTGGACGGCGCGGGAGGAGGCGGGGGCTGGTCCCCGGGCACCCTGGTGGGCACCGAGAACTCGCAGAGAGGAACATAAAACCGCACAGCCTTCCCCGAGCAGCGGGGTGACGGGAGGAAGGAAGGAAATGGGAGCGCGACCCGGCCGCGCGCAGAGCCGAGCCGACTAGCGCGAGGGGCCCGGGCCCCACCCGAGAGCAGGCGCGAGGGCCGGGGACAGCGGGGCAAGCTCGGGGAGAGCGCTGCCTGCACCTGGCACCACCTCGAGACCGGGTGGCGCGGGGCCCGGGAGCGTGGGCGCCAGAGGGGACAGGGCAGCGGCGAGCGCGCGCCTCTCGCCCCGCAGGGCGCCCGGGCAGAGGCCGACCGGCGCCCTCCGACCCCGCCGGGCCCTCCTCGCCCTGGCCCCCGAGCGCACACCTGCCCCTTCAAGCCCCGGGGCCACAGCGGCCGGCGGGGACCCTGGCGGGGGCGCGGGCCGGACTTCGGCCGAGGGGCGCTGGCCAGGGCGAGGGACGGCCTCGCAGAGCTCGGAGACGCGGCGCGAGTTTCCCCCGCGGGCCGCGCGGGCGCAGAGACCGCCGCCAGCACTCACCTGCCCGCTTCCCCTAGCGCAGCGGGAACGACGTACTCCGGCCCGGACCCCGCCGTCCGCCTCAACCAACCCCCAGGCGGTGGCGGCGGTGGCGGCGGCGGCGGCCGGACGGGAGGGGCGGGACGGCAGCCTGAGACGGCCCCGCGACCGCGGCCCAACGCTTCTCCTCCCGCCCCGGACCCCGCCCCCGGGCCGCAGCCGCCGCCGTTCATTGGCCCACGCTTCGGACGCATGGGCGCGGCCCCGCCCCGCCACCCAGCCGGCGTTCCGTTCGGGGTCCTCCCCAGCCAGTGGGCTGGCAGCTCCCGGGGGCAAGAGCGGCCGGCTCAGCCGCCGCCAACCACGATGTCGCAACTGGCTGCGTTCGCCCCCGCCAGAGCTTTGATTGGACGAATCTCGACCCGGGCCCCGCCTACGCGCCCAAGTTCCGTTAGCAGGTTCGGTTGCTCCAGAATGCCTTTTCGCCCCGAGGGGCGGGACCGACGGGATGGGCCCTGTGGCTGGCTCCTCCCTCTGTAAGCAGCAGCCACTGACCCGCGGGGCGGGCGGGGAGGAGAGCGGCGGCTCGTTCCTCTTTTGAGAGCTCTGCTTTCTTCCCATTGGTTGACAGGCATCCTACTCTCTCCGCCCCTCCGGTCGCTTGGTGGCGTCTCAGGACGCAGCGTGATGACGTAGGTCCCCGACATTCCATATACAAGATGGCCGCAGTCGGCAAGGAGAGACGTCGCTGAGGGGCTTGCCTGAAGCGAGGGGTGAGTGACCCACCGACTGAGGGCAGCGCCGCCCACCTCCCGCGTATCTGGAGGTCGGAGTAGGTTATGGCCAACCGCCGCTATCCACTGGCGGAGTCTCTCTTTCCGGATTCTGCCTCCCTCCGCTAACCTCCGGTACACATTGAACTTTGCGGGCGACGCGGGGTTGTGGGGCGGGCGTGTAGAGAGGGTCTGAGGCGCCGGGGCGGGGCAGGGAGGCCGGACTCACCCTAGAACTGGTAGCGGCCCTCGCACTGGGGGGCAGTCAGAGTTGGGGAACTTTCTAGGGGTTGGGCAAAAGGGGCAGCGGTGTTAACCGCGCACAGTCTCACAGCCACAGACTTCTCATATCTCCCCGATTATTTCGCGGCGTATTAGTCCCAACCTTGGCTAGGCCTGAAACTTTTTGGAGGTTGTTCCATGTCTAGGGTACTCCGACTTTGGAGTTTTGGAGAGCCACGTAACGAGGGTGCGGCTAAGATGAGGAAAAGGCACTTCCGGGATTAGATTTCGTTCTTGCCCAGACATCGTCTTTACGGACCCGCTCCTGGTGGTTGATTTGGTTTGTTATGAGAGAAATTGTTCTTTAGAAAATTGGAGCGTAAGTCTAGAGGTTATGTGACAGCTCCTAAACGATTGTCTGCCCAAGATAGGCTCGGTAATGCTCCCTAAATTTAGACTGCCAGTTAAACGGAGCTTTCGCTAAGTCATCTGAGGTTAGGAACTATTTCTAAGAGCATTTCTTAAGGGTGGTCTTCTGTGTTTTTAAGAGAAACTTGGTGATGTTTGTGTATCTCGATCTAAATCGCTGTTTACAGATACCTAGCACAATGCCTTGCAGTTGTAGGTGCCCGCTAAAGGTTTGTATGAATGATGTTGCTAGAATGAAAGCGAGGAGCTTTCAGCGCCTAGAACACTGCCTGACGTTTAATAAGCCCTCTGTATTGCTGAATGAAAGAATGGATGGATGATGGTAGTGGTAGTAGTATTGATAGACATTTGGATTAAAGTGCCCTTAGGATGCTTACCTGTTAAATAATCTTGACTATGAATATAATAATTATCCAAGATTGTCTTATTCAGAGTGACCACCGCTGGTGTCTTTTAGGGTTTTTTTCCCTCTTTTATCTCATTTCGATTATATTGTGATGCATTATTCAAGCATATTAGTTGATTTCTGGGCAAATCCTGTTTAAATTTGTTCCATTTTGAAAATGTAGTTTGCACTAACAAGCAATAAAAACTATTCGAGTTGTTAATGAGGTTCTTAAATTTTAAATGCTGTTTCTAAAATTGAATGTCATAAAGAAAAATTGGTCATAGCTGTGGCCTATAAAATGGGCTAGTTCATTTCAGGACATTATATTTGAAAGCAGTGACTCTGCTGAGTGTCTGAAAGGGAGGACAGTGTTTTCTGCTTGTTTTCTTTAAAATTGGATAAGGACAAAAAAATCTAGAGGAATTAAATTCAAGGTAATTGAGGAGATTACAGAGTGATCATATTTTTAAGCTCAGGTAAATTGTATACCAGAGTATTTGCAGATGACTTTATAAAATCGTTATTCTTAGATTTTGAAAAATCCTAAAAGTACAGTTAATGATAGAAGACTAGAATCTGGTAAATGTCTGTTTTCACATAGAACCATTCGATGGCTCTTGGCTACTAGGAACCTATTAATAATCTGTTTTAGAATCTTGTTGGAAGAGCCAACAAGTTTATGAGTACTTGGGAAAGGAGAGCTGATTCCCTGAAGCCAGCAGAGCTTCAGTGAGAAAAGGCCAGGTGAGGCCAGAGGTGGTGGCTCACGCTTATAATACCAGTACTGTGGGAGGCCAAAGCTGGAGGATCACACAAGCTCAGGAGTTCAAGACCATCCTGGGCAACATAGTGAGACCTCACCACTACAAAAAAAAAATCAAAAAATTAGCCAGATGTGGAGGTGCATGCCTGTAGTAGCTACTTGGGAGACTGAGGCAGGAGGATCACTTGAGTCTGAGAGATCAAGGCTGCAGTGAGCCGTGATCGGGTGACTGCGCTCCAGCCTGGGCGACAAAGCAAGACCCTGTCTCAAGAAAAAGCCAGGTGACACAAATCATATTTCCTTTTGTTACAGTTTACTAGACTGGTGGTGATTGGGGATTGTTGGACATAAGTTCATTTAAGTTTATTTAGGACATAGTCTTCCAACAAGATTCTAATACTGTGTGTAGACACAAGAGTTAAATGTGCATTGGATAAGGTGTGGTTAGATGGATTTATATCCATGCAAATTACCAAACCCGAAATGTTGATTAATGAGTTGATGTAAGCCTGGGGAGATGTCTTTGGAGATATGCTACAGGACTCTGGTCTTGCCCTTACTCGGATTAACACTTTCTTAATACCAACTTTAAATAGATAAGCAGCGTGATTCTCAAGTTAATAAATGCACTCAAACCATGTAGTGATAATGAGCAAATTAGATGACACTCAGAAATCAAAGATTTCTTAAAGGCTGAAATATAATAATAGGCCAGAACTGGCCAGATATAAATTTACTAGGTGAGATTGTCTCAAAAAAAATAAAAAATAAATAAATTTACTTGGTGTGATTACATTTACAAAACCTGAGTTTTCCTGGCTTGACAAAAGTGGTTCTAGGATGTAACATTCCACTTAAACAGAAGAAAAGCAGTGTCTAGATTGAGGGAAGGCAGTATCTTGGTATAAAGTAAGACTAGTTGTGATGCTGCTTGCTAGCTGTGAATTAGTCAGGTTGTTTCGTGTCTCTGGCTCCATTTTCTCAGTGATAAATTGTGAGGATAAGAAAACTAGCTTGCAGACATGCTGCAACGCAGCAGACACACAATGGACATGTTACTGCATGTTAGTTACCACCCCCCTCCCATGTGCTATGCACATCATATCTGTTTTGATTCCTAATATTTAGGGAGGACTTGAAACACTAAAAAAAAAGAAAAATCATGATGAGAAAAATGGTTAGATTTGTTTACCCTAGAGAAGAGAATGTAAAAATTGCTTTTACCTGTTTGAAAGACAATCAATAGATAAGGGAAATGTATTTTCAAGGCTTAGTTTAAGGACCCTGGTAGAAGTTAAAGAGTCGCTAAAAGGTAGATTTCATTCATGCATTATTTTATGCCATCTGTGTAGCAGATCTAGGGGATGAACAGGACAGATAAAAATCAATATAGGAATACAGGAATTATGTGAACACCAGTTATTGATACCCAGCAATGCCATAGGCTGTTTTGTAAACTAATGAGGTTTCATTGATAAGTGGCCAAATATTACTAAGAGGGGATTTCGATATTGGGTGAGATAATTGAGTGGTGACATTTACTATTGTTTCCATAATTCTAAATGTTGAAAATATATTTAGTCTTTTATGATGTAAAATGATATTTATGAAGCACATTCCTGAAAGGTGCTGCTAAAATGCCTTGACAGGTTGCTTGTTTATGGATTTTCATTTTGCAGAGTTCATAAATCTCAGTCATTTTCAGAGGAATCACAAGCTACTAATGAGAAAACTTACAACTTTAGGGTCTTGTGAAAAAATAATTGAAGAGTAATAGGGAACAGGTTTATAGACCTGAGGCAAAAACTTTTTCAGGGAGTTCTACGATTTTGAGGACTGTCTCTATTCTGTTTATGTCCATAATATTTTCACTACATTTCATGAATTGTTTATATTCTGCCTTGGAACCTAAAGGGACCAGGAGTTTGGCCAGTTACAGAAGGTAAAACAATTGAATATACTTACGATTTATCCGCTTGTGGACCGAGGTTCTTTTCCATTCCAGTTTCATCCCTACTGGGGTATTCCTAACACTGTTCCCCGTTCTGCCCCTTTCCCCTCAACAGATATCTTGGCATTATACTTCCTAGAGAATATGGAGGTACTCTTGAGATTTTTTAGTTACTTCCTCCCCCTTAAAAGATTATTTAAAAATATCTTTCTCAAACTTTTCCTTCCATTCTCAGGGGAAGAAAGAGCTTTCTTTCTAAGGTTAACTTTCTTGCTGTGCTTTTTATTATCCCTTGACCAGTTAGCCTCCCTTGTTCTGACTCCTCTAGTGATTCCTTTTTGTTTTTACTGGCTGCAGACATTTTTCATTCTCCTTTATGCTGAAAAATATATAAAAACCAAAACAATAACAAAACCTACTCCCTACTATTCCCTGTTACTCTCTTTGAGAACAGATGCCTCAAAAGAATAACCTATTTCCAGCCAGGCACGGTGGCTTATGCCTGTAATCCCAGCTACTCAGGAGGCTGAGGCAGGAGAATCACTTGAACCCTGGAGGCGGGAGGTTGCAGTGAGCACCACTGCATTCCAGCCTGGATGACAGAGGGAGACTCTGTCTCAAAAAATTAAAAAATGAATAAAAAAGAATAACCTATTTCCTAGTCTGTTCATTCTTTACCACCCCTTGCAGTTTCTACACCTTCTGCCCTATTGCACTTCTAAAAATGTTATTTTATTTATATGTGTATATATGTATTTTCTTGAAATATAATCCTATACCGTACAAATTACCCATTTAAACTGTACAAATCAGTCGTTTTTAGTATTTGCAGAGTCATGAAACCATCACAATTTTCAGTGTCTCTAATAAACAACTAATCACCAATTAAAGTAAACTTTCCTTAGTTCCTTGTCCTTTAACTTTTCTTTAGCATTTGTCACTGTTGACTACCATCTCTGGTTTAAAGCTGACATCCCATGGTTTGTTTTGCAACAAAGGATGCAAATTTCCCTACTTCTTGGACCAGTCTTTTTCCCTTTCTCTAATTTGGTGATTCTTAGTCTGCAAGTGGGTAAATCATAAGTGCATTCAAGTCTGTTTTACCTTCCTGTCACTGGGCAAACGCTCGCCTTTGGTGATTCTTCCTACTTGGTACAAGTTCACAGAGTTCTGTACCCAGACCCCTTCCTTCTTCACTCTCCATCCCTCCATCCGTCAACATGACTTTATAGTTATCACCTCTGTGTAGATGAACCCCAAGTAGATATGTTCTGTAGAGACTTCAACTGGCCTATTTATCTGTCTGATAGATATTTCCACAAAAGGATCTTAAAGTTCTTCAAGCTTAGTATTTATAGAGCCAAATTCTTTTCCTCCCTCCTTATCAAAACCAGCTTTTTCTCTTGTCTTATCCATTTGTCTTTTTAGTATCACCCTCTGTGTCAGTCAAACTTGAAATCATCTTTTTCCATTCTTTGCCTCATGGCCAATTATGACACACACACCCCTTGTTCCAGCTGCCATTGTGTGGAGACAGGTGTATTAGGCATTACTTGAACTGCTACTATAATCTCCTAACTCTTCCTCTTTCTGCATACCTCTAAACAGCCCTTACCTCATTATGTTCTCTCCCCTTACATGCGTTATTATTTGTGGCACTTAAGATTCCCTGACAAATATTCATATATTTCTTTCTTATTGTCTCTCCCACTAGAATGTAAGCTTCCTGGGGCAAAGACCTTACTTATCTTGTGCCCTGCCATGCCATTAAGGCCTGGCTCATAGTAAATGCTCAGGAAATATTTAAATGAAAAAGTACATGGAAAACTGTTAGGCGTATGTATATTAAAGTAGCAATTCCCAACTGTGAATAAATTGCTAAGATGTGCTAAGATATTGATTCCCTCAGCCAACTGTCCAGTTGCCTTCTGTTCTATAAGAATATATGTACATGTTTAACACTTATTAATAATCAAACACCAGAAACATTTACATGCCCAAACAGTAGAATGTATAGATAAAGTGTGTTGCATTCATAGGATATAACTGTACTGTACAGCAGACTTTCTCAGCTTTGGCACTATTGACATGTTGGACCAGATAATTTCTTGTCATGGGGGATTGTTCTGTGCACTGAGGACATTCAGCAACATTCCTGGCCTCTACCCACACTAGATGCCAGTGGCAACCCCCCAGTTAGGAAAACCAGAAGTGTCTTCAGACATTGCCAAATGTCCCCTGGGGGGCAAAATTGTCCCAGGTTTAAAAACCACTGCTCTGCGGCAGTGAGAATGAACAAATACTGCTTTATGCAACAACAGGAATGAATCCCATGAACTTAATATTGAGCAGAAGAAACCAAATGTAAAAGTGGTACTGTGTCATCGCACAGTCCTTCAAAAACAGGCAAAACAAATTGATGGAAATAGAGGTCAGAATAGTTATCTTTGGGAGGATAGTCACTAGGAAAGAACGAAGAGAGCTTCTGGAATGTTGGTACTGTTCTCTTTCTCAACTGAATAGTGTTAACACAGGTGTGTTTACTTTGTGAAAAACAATCAGCCATACACTTATAATTAGTTCACTTTTCTTTTTGTATGCTATAATTCAAATCACAGTGTTGTAATTTATGAAAGCAGTACCCACACATAAGCAAGTATTCCTTGGCTATCGAGGGATTGATGAAGATAAGGAGTCCTCCTGGTCTCCTATTCAGTCTCATCTGACTTTTTCCCCAACTTTTTATTGTATGAAAGAATAGTGCAATGACAACTTATTTACCTGTGGACACATGTTCGTTTTTTGCCATGTTTACTGTGTGGTTGTGTTTTAGCTGAACCATTTGAAAGTAGGTTGCAGACATCATGACACTTTACCCAAAATACTTCAGCCTTCATCTGCTAAGAATAAAGTCATTCTCCTGTGTAATCACAATATCATTATTACCCCCAAAGAAAATTAACTGACAGTAATTCCCTCCCTAATACCCTCTAATATACAATTTATACTTAAATTTTTCCAAATTGTTTGAAATTTCTTTTTTTTAAAAAAAAAAAAAAAGCAGGATCTAATCAAGGTTCACACATTGCATTTTGTTGTAGCCCTCTTTAGCCTTTTTAAATCTAAGACAGTCTCTCAAAATGTTTTTTCATAACACTGTTTTGAAGAGACCGGGTCAGTTGTTGAGTAGAGTGTCTCACCTTCTGGATGTGACTGATAGTTTCCATGTTGTGCTTTTTTCACTTACTCTTGTACCACCAGTATTTATTGTAAACTGGAAGTTCGGTCAAAAGTTTGCTTAAATTTAGGTTAAGCTTTTGGGGGACAAGAATACTACATAGGTAGGTGATATTTATTTCACATTGCATCACATCAGAAGCCATGTAATGTCAGGTTTTCACCCTATTAGTGATGTCAAGTGTGATCATTTTGTTAAGGATCAACTGTATTTTTTTTACAGTAGTTAATATCCATGCTAGCAAAGTCGCATTTATTATCAGTAGCATTTTATTATCAGTAGTTATCAGTGCTAGCAAAGTATTATTCTCTATATGTATTAATATTATGGACACTTGGATTGTATGTTCACTATTTTATGATCAACCACAGTTATTTTTCTTTTTGCTATTCAAATTACCTTGGATTAGTCCAGTGGGCACCCATCATGGTGGCTCCTATGTCTTTTTTTTTTTTTTCCCTAGCAAATCATTCCTTCAGCAGTCCTATGTCTTTTGATAAGCTTTGATTAGTCTGAGTACATCCCAGGCAGGCTCCAACCCCAGACTGGAAAGAAACCTGCTTCCTTTTAGAGGGTATTGGTATTGAAAAAGTTAAGATTTCAGAATTAGGAGTGTCATTCCTTCTTGGTACTTGAAAAGGACAGAAATGGGATACATATATATATATTTTTTTTTAACCATGATTTATTTTGATATCTTCAGTTAAAGTTTAACATTACAGATTTGTTTCTTAACATTTGGTTTTCTGCATGTGTGCATTTGTTTTCTTTGCACTGAAAATCTTGGTTCCTAACAACATTAGCATTTACATATTTGCTTTATTCCACAACATGCAAAAAAAAATGTGTTTGAAAATTACAACATTAATGACACTACTAACAGTACACTAATGAAGTTTTAAAATTTCGTTGGGGCCAGCCACTGTGGCTCATACCCATAATCCTAGCACTTTGGGAGGCTAGGCGGGAGGATCGCTTGAGGCCAGGAGTTCGATGCTGCAGTGAACTAGGATCATGCCACTGCACTTATAGCCTGGGTGACAGAACAAGACTCTGACTCTAAAATAAGTAAGTAAGTAAATAAATAAACAAATAAATAATTCTTTTCAGTTATTTTTGTCCTTAGAATATATCTCACTAAGCATGTAACAATATCAGAAATTACTTGGAAGTAAGTTTCTGTGTGATTTTGTTGCCCATTTGGTTTGAGTTTTAGGATTTGCTTTTTTATTTTTAGTTAAGTGTATGAGTATGTTAAATATTTACATGATTCAAACATCAAAGTTATAAAAGTACTCTGCAGGGAGTCAAGCTGAAAGAGCACCTAATGGCCACATTGGAATAATTTGAGCAACAAAATAAATAATGATAGTATTGGATTATAACCCAAAGAATAAAATACTCATGTCTGTACTAAAGTAAATAAACAAATGGGAGAGAAGAAACAAATATTAACAAAATGATTCCAAATAATAAATGTTGAAGCAGTGAAGGAAATAGAAAGTCACCATTAGAACACCACAGTTGTAATCGTCTCAGGTGAATGCTAAAATTAGTAGATGAAACTTGAAGGAGAAATAGACATTTGTATAGTATTTTGCATTGTAAAATATTTCCCCCAAAATATTTACTTACTAGTGGGTGGTTTTAACATATGTCCACAATTTCTTTGATATCTCTGCCTCCAGAAAGTAGAGCTTAATTCCTTTACCCTTGAGTGTGGGCTGGACCTCGTGACTTGCATCTAAGGAATAGAAGATAGGAAGGGAAAAATAATAATTTACAGTGAGAAACCTGGTAGACTCCATCTTAACCAAGAGCTCATGGTTAACAGCAGTAAGTTGTTCTGATATCACCTGCACCCAAATATGATGTGTAGTTAATAGTGGTTATACCAAAGTTAATTTCTTTTTTTGGATAAATGAACCATGGTTATGGAAGATGTTTACATTGGGGAAGCTAAGTGAAGGGTATAGACAAAACTCATCTATCTTTACAGCTCTTCTGTAAACGTACAATTAGTTTAAAATAAAAGCTTTCATAAAAAGGCAAAGCTGTATAAAAAGATATATACATAGAGAAGTCTTGTTTCCATTCCTGTCTTTTCCATCCTGTTTTTCCCCATTCCTTATTGGTAAATATTTTTTGAATTACTTTAAAAAAATAGAGATGTCTGGCTGGGCGCGGTGGCTCACACCTGTAATTCCAGCACTTTGGGAGGCCGAGGCAGGCGGATCACGAGGTCAGGAGCTCCAGACCATCCCGGCTAACACGGCGAAACCCCATCTCTACTAAAAATACAAAAAAATTAGCCAGGCGTGGTGGCGGGCGCCTGTAGTCCCAGCTACTCGGGAGGCTGAGGCAGGAGAATGGCGTAAACCCAGGAGGTGGAGCTTGCAGTGAGCCGAGATCATGCCACTGGCACTCCAGCCTGGGCAACAGAGCAAGACTCCGTCTCAAAAAAAAAAAAAAAAAGAGATGTCTGTTTTTTCCCCTCCTTTCTTACATAGATGCTAACATACTGTGTACACTATCCTATACCTTGCTGATCTGGAAATTTCTCCATCCAGTACTTAACGATGTTTCTCATTCTTTTTAATAGCTGTGGGGTATGCTATTGTGTGCATGTGTCATATTTTACTCAGCCAGTCCCCTGATGATGGGCGTTTGGGTTGTTCATAGTTTTGCCATTATAAATAACACTACAGTGAATAATCTTGTGCACATGTTGTTTCATAGTTGTGACATTTCATAGTTAGGACAATATTTTCAGAGTCGATTCCCAGCAGTGGGAATCCTGGGTCAAAGAGCAAATGCATGTGTAATTTTGTTGGATATCGTCAACTTCTCTGTGACAGTTGGACCATTTTGTACTCCCACCAGAAGCTTATAAGATCACCTGCTTCTCTATAGCTTTGCCAACAGAGCAAATTGTCAAACTTTGGGATTTTTGCCAATCCAGTAGGTGAGAATTGTATCTCAGTGTGATGTCTGATTATGAACAGGTCATATTTTCTGAGGTTTTAATTAACTGGTCTCCCCCGCCCTTTGAACAGTGCCCAATTTAATCAGTCACACACAAAAATGTAAATTATTAGTTCAAGCTTTTCTCCAGGTACTTAATTCTTCCTCTTGGAGGGAAGATCAGATTTCCTTCAGAGCTACCAGGTGCAAGGAGGAGAATATTCAGCCCCACCATGTCACCTTCCCCACCAGAAATGAGGCAGATACACAGAAAAGGTTAGGTTTCCAGATGAACTGGTGGGAGCCCTGGCCCAGAACCTGGCCACAGAGCTGCTGTTTTCTTGCTAACCAGACTAACCTGGCTCCAGCCAGCTCTTTCAGAACCCTTTTGATACCTTATTTGAAAGTATCTGCTGTCTCTGATCCAGGTTACAAATGACTTATTTCTAACAGTGGTCTCTAGATGAGATCCTTCGTTGTTGTTGTTTTTTTCTTTCTTTCTTTCTCTCAGCATGGAGCTTTTGGAGAGTGTCTTTATTCTGAGTGAAAGAAAAGGAAGAGGATGAAAAAGCAAGAACAGTTTAAAGGAGCTCCTTCTCTCATGGACCACTTCCATCCACCCACTCCCCAAATCACAAGATGCACATTTGGTTTACATCAGTGAATTCAGTGATTTGTGCAGATGTGAATTAACCCAATCCCATGACTTGTCTAAGTGAAAGTGCCTACATGGAATAAACTGAAAAGGGGTGCTGGATGGAAGAGATGGTTAGTTTTAGAACATAAATCTTTGTCAAGATTAAGACAGGCCCAGGTTTTGCTGAAGAATGGAATCTGGACCAGCGTTAGAGGACCTGTATGTCTAGTGAAGAAAAACCAGAAGAAAGTGAGATATACTTCGTTTCTTCCAAAACTTTGTCAAATAAGGTTAACCCTTTAATCTCAAGAGAGAGGGAGGAAATAGTCTTATTTTTAAACTACCATGAAATTTGAGATTTATTAATATTAGTACTGGGGTCATCTTACAGTATTGTGTTAAATTGGCTCTGGAGTTAGCCCGGGCTTGTAACTGGCAATTGACAGTGTGGTTTCTATAGGAAATAGTGATCCCAAACCAGGTACAATCTATGATTCTAGATTGCTTATAGTATGGAGTATTCCTTTCCAACTTTGTTTTTCTCTTTCTCATAGGATTCTAACATTTTCAGAGAACCTTTTGGAAAGAACAAGCCTACTTCAATAAATGAAGGAGAATAAAGAAAATTCAAGCCCTTCAGTAACTTCAGCAAACCTGGACCACACAAAGCCATGTTGGTACTGGGATAAGAAAGACTTGGCTCATACACCCTCACAACTTGAAGGACTTGATCCAGCCACCGAGGCCCGGTACCGCCGAGAGGGCGCTCGGTTCATCTTTGATGTGGGCACACGTTTGGGGCTGTATCCTGACTCTCCTTGGAATCTGTTACAGATAGGCTCCCCACTCACCACCAAGAAATAATTAGATTCTGTAGACAAAATATATAGTAATTTCTCTGTACCAGAGCAGTTCTTAAATATCTGTTTGAATGTTGTTTCTGGTGGGGGTTTTTCTCTTTCTGATTTGTCATTTTAAAGGTGTAGACTTAGCCACTGAGGAGGTGGCCAGCCAGGAGGATATGAGGCACCCATTAGGATCACAGTTGAGGCTGGGCACAGTGGCTCATGCCTGTAATCCCAGCACTTTGGGAGGCCTAGACAGGAGCATCCCTTGAAATCTGGAGTTCGAGACCAACCTGGGCTGCAGTGAGCCAAGATCACACCACTGCACTCTAGCCTGGGTGACAGAGATGCTGTCTCAAAAAAAAAAAGATCATAGTTGAAGTGTTTCTAAAGGGTGTTAAAAGTATAAAACTTCAGCTTGCTAATTCTTGTACCAGAATTCTGACACCCTGAGATTCCCATCTCATTACTTTGCCACTAATATTGTTTACTTTACCATTGATTTTGTTGTTGTTGTTTGTCTTTTTGTTTTTCTACATTTAACTAAGAGTATAACCTGTAAAAGTTATTGGTTAGAGTCCTTAACCAGAACAACAGACACTATGATACCCTGGCAACTGGAATAATTTATTTTCATCGCTTCTATATGTTTCATTCCTTCAAGCAATTCCCAAGATATGTAAGTGTTTGAATTTTATTGTAATTCTCTGTCATATGTTATTATTTCCACACAGTTTGGTGGACTAATTATAAGCTCTATTTTTCTCATATTTTCCAGAAAGTATTTATTTTTATATGGTATATACTGCATATAAACAAAATCAAGTTTGAACTTTTTTTATTCCAATTAGCCATGTTCAAATCTTTTCACTTAGGCCAATATGGACCATAGTCATATTGCGCTTTGTATGAAAGTTTACTCCCGTGGTACCTTTCCCAGCATAAATTTGGGCTTATAATTGAGACTCAACAAAGACCAAGAAAGCAAAATGGAACAGAAGTTGTCTATGCCATATCACTCATTCTTCGGTTACTCCTCAAGACGTGCATTGTGTCTTACTCTCTGTGGGAGATAGAGTAGCTTTCAGTCCAGGATAAGTGGTATGACATGCACAGAACACGTGATGGAAAGTGAGGCCATCAGAAGATACTGATAAAAGAGTTGTGGCATTCAAGGAGGAGACAACTTACATCTTGGAGAGAGCAGGGAAAGTGCTAGGAAGAAGGTGCCAGCATTAAGGTAAGCCTTAAACGTACATAGGGCATAGCCATGCCGTGATGGGCTAGGTCAGTGGTCCAACAGAAGCTAGCATAAGCAGAGGCAGGGGGAACCATGTGACACATTGTCAGCCCAGCCAGGAGCTTGATTTGGCAGGAAGGAAATGATGAGACCCTGGGTGGATAGGTAGACTGGGTCAGACCACGATAAGCCTCGAATGCCAGACTTCAGAAATTTGGCTTCAGTGGGTGAACAATGCAGTAATTAAAAGGTTTCGTGAAAATGACAGACTTAACATTAAAGTCATTGTGTTGATTTGTTAGCTAAGATTTTAGTTAGATTTATATACATGCCTTCCTCACTGGTTGTGAAGTTCTTGAAGAAGGAGACCATGTTGGAATCAGTTTTGTACCCCCGGCAGAGTGTCTGACATCTAGTGTGATCAGGATTATGTGAGGAGAGTGGCATGTAGGAAGGATTGGAGTGGGCAAAGAGAAGCTGAAGACAGAGCAGTTCAGACCCCAGTGATATAGGGACTGAGCTAAGGTTGAGGCAACTGGAGGGACAGTTTCTTCATCCATTCAGGCTGCTATAACAATATGCCTTAGACCCAATAATTTACACACAACAGAAACTTAACTCTTCACAGTTGTAGAGACTGGGAGGTGTAAGATCAAGGTGCTGGCAGATTCTGTGTCTGGTAAGGGTTTGTTCCTCATAAAAGGGCTCCTTGCCGCATCCTCAAATGGTGGAAGGGAGGAACAAGCCCCTTGGGCCTCTTTTATAAGGGCAGTAATCCCATTCAGAATCATTTCCCAAAGGCCTCACTTCTTCATACCGCCACCTTGGGAATTAGGTCTCAAGCTATGAATTAGGACATAAACATTCAGACCATAGCAGAAAGAAAAGGAAGCATGGGCAGTGCTGAGATGGATTCCACAGGACTGTGCTAGAAGGAAAAGGAAGCATGGGCAGTGCTGCTGAGATGGATTCCGCGGGACTGTGTTTAGTTGTGCTCTTTCTTTTTCCACGGCAAAGCTTGCTGTTTAGGGAGTTAATTTCAGATTGGAATATGAGAAGAAAATTTATTTATGTGACTCTTTTCCTTTTTGGCATTTTCTTTGTTTACATGACTTTTTTTTTAAGAAAGTTAAATTTTAAATAATTTATGAAGCTAGAGTTTGGGGGATTTATATGTATAAAATTTCCTTCAAGCTTCTAGAGTATCGGAGTATTTGTGAATGATAAAAAGAAAGGTAGGGGAATGAGGAAGACCAGTTTATTACGAAGGCCAAAATTTATTGTATCTATTTCTGTGTGACCTTTGATAACAAAAATCAAGAACTTTTGTTTCCCTTTTAGGTGACAGGAGCCTGTTGCCTCTTTCTGGCTGGGAAAGTAGAAGAAACACCAAAAAAATGTAAAGATATCATCAAAACAGCTCGTAGTTTATTAAATGATGTACAATTTGGCCAGTTTGGAGATGACCCAAAGGTAAGAATGATAATAACTTCCTGCCTTCTGGTCTTGATTCCTTATGGTAGTATTGTACAGTTCCACATGTTGACAGTGCCTGTAGCCCTTGTGTCTGCCAGTCTCTTGAGTTCCTAAGAGGGCCTTCTGTAGAAGTTACTTGATGCTTTTGTAAGAAAGGAGGGAAGATCGTGTAGCCTACACTTACTCAGTGCTTCCTTATGTGCCCAGCAGTATTCTAAGTACTTTGGGGCAGTGGCACATTTCATGGATATGAGCAAAAATCCTCTTAATTGCCATTAGGACTCTGCTTCTTAAGTGCAGTGGTGATGGCAGGGTTACAACTCCAGCTAGCTTCTGGGTCAAACAAAAGTATGTATGCTGTATGTACACATACACATGCCTACATATGCCATGTGTCTTTTGCTTCTAAAGAATGTTGGAAGGTATCAACATTTGCAGCATTTTTATGCACCCAGAGCTTGATACTGGTCACACCAGCCATCCTATCTTTTCCATACAGCTCACGCCAGTGTCAGCAAGTGGTGCTCAAATAATTGTACATATTTTGTTGTGTTTTTAAAATACCACTTTTAGGGACCCATGGCAGTGTTCCTCCACTCCCATTCGCATCAAGTTCCCCTTGTTGCAACCTCAGTAACACCTGTTAATTATCCTTCATAACATTTATCACAGTTTGCAATTAAATAGATTTTCAAAAATACTTTAGGCCAAGCCGGGCAGATTGCTTGAGCCCAGGAATTCAAGACCAGCCTAGCCAACATAGCGAAACCCCATCTCTACTATATAAGAATAAACTGGCCAGGCGTGGTGGCTCACGCCTGTAATCCCAGCACTTTGGGAGGCTGAGGCGGGCGGATCACGAGGTCAGGAGATCGAGACCATCCTGGCTAACATGGTGAAACCCCGTCTCTACTAAAAATACAAAAAATTAACCGGGCGTGGTGGTGGGTGCCTGTAGTCCCAGCTACTCGGGAGGTTGAGGCAGGAGAATGGCATGAACCCGGGAGGCGGAGCTTGCAGTGAGCCGAGATGGCACCACTACCCTCCAGCCTGGGCGACGGAGCAAAACTCCATCTCAAAAAAAAATAAATAAACTAATATTACTTTAAAAAAAAAAAACCTTTATTATTTTTTGCTGGGCATGGTGGCACGCACCTGTAGTCCCATCTACTTGGGAGGCTGAGGCAGGAGAATTGCTTAAGCCTGGGAGGCAGAGGTTGCAGTGAGCCAAGATTGCGCTACTGCACTCCAGCCAGGACGAGAAAGCAAGACTCCACCTCAAGAAAAAAAAAAAATGCTTTTTTTTTTTTTAGAGCAGTTTTATGTTCACAGCAAAAATGAGTGGAAAGTACAGAGATTTCCCATATACCCCCCACCCAACACATGCACAGCTTCCCCCATTTTCAGCATCCCCCCGACCAAAGTGGTACATTTGCTATGACTGATGAGCCTGCATTGACACATCACCCAGAGTCCAAACTTTACATTAGGGTTCATTCTCAGTGTTGTACATTCTGTGGGTTTGGACATACGTATAGTAACATGTAGCCACCATTATAGTATCATGTAGTCTATTTTCATAGCCTTAAAAATTCTCTGTGCTCCACCTGTTTGTCTCCTTCTCCCCGCTAACCTCTGGCAACCACTGATATTTTTACTGTCTCTATAGTTTCACCATTTCCAGAATGTCATCGAATTGGAATCATATAGGATGTAGCTTTTTCAGATTGGTCTCTTTCACTTAGTGGTGTGCATTTAGATAGTAGTATCCATTAGATGATTTTTATCAAATTATCACACACATAACTCCCTCCCCTTCTCAGCTGTAAGATGCATGAAAGCAAAGACTATCTGTTTTGTCTAATGCCTCATTCAGTGGCAGGACAGAGTAGGCATTCAGCAAGTACTCGTGGAATAAATGTCAAACTAATGGTCTGAGGAAATTTCTAAATCACAGTTAAAGCTAAAGCGATGAAGTTCAGCCCCATTCATGGTGTTGTTTTTCCTAACTAGCTTGTATTGTCTCACAATAGTTATCTTTTTCTCTGCCAAGCATTATGTATGTATATACAAAATGTATAGTCATTCTCCTCATTGCTTTGAGGAGTTAACAAGGGCCCAGAACACTTTTATACATATTGTGGTTGTGATTAACACTAGTATTTTCTAAGTATTGCCAATGTGGGTAACTCTTTTGAACTTAATTATAAATCCATTAATCTGTTTATAAACATTTGAACCTATTAGGAACTCATATTAACTATAACCAAAAATGCAGTTTTATAGAAATAATTTCACCATCAGATAATGTTTTCAATGTGCATGGGTATTTGATTTTTACTGAGTAGTGGGGCCCTGTGTCCTAACGTGATAAGTCTGATTGTAGGAACATGCTGTGGTTCAGTCACACCCCCGTCACAGGGGCAGGTGAACCTTGTGGCTGGCAAGCTGTGCTTAAGGATAAGGCATCACACAGATCTGGGACCACAGCAGGGCATGGACTCGTGGCAGCTGCTGGTTTGTGCCATCCCAGGGTGCCTTGGAGAAGCCCCCTTTACTTTTAGCCTTTACCCACTGTACCATGAAGTCAGGAAACCAAGCCCCAGTCCAGGAACAGTGAAAGTAGAAGTTCTGAAGCTCCTGTGCCCCAGAAAATGGGAAAAGAGGGGTCACCATACCAATTAGGTCTGAATGGGGGAGGGGGCTTTGCAACCTGCCCCCTGCCTCTCTATCTCGCGCAGTCTTCCCTGGTCGGAGTCGGGGCCAAAGGAAAACACCTGGAGCTGGGAGCAGTGAAGACATTGGGGAAGATGTTTTCCTCTGCAGACAGGAGGGCAATTCTTTAGTGGAGGCAGTATAAGTATTTAGGAAAAATAAGATCATGAGTCCCATGGAACATTTTTTGCCTTAATTAGCTTTATTTTAATTGTGTGGCTTTTCTCTGTAATATTCGTTTCAGCCTTTGTGTTGGGCACTAGACATGAGGCACGAGGCAGAACAGACATGGTCTCTGCTCTCATGGACTCTGCAGTTGAGTGGCAGGATAAATTTTAATCAAATGAGTATATAACTATTTGATGATGAGTTGTGGTGTACGCTGTAAAAGGTCATTTAAGGTGCTGTGATAGCATTCCACCCAGGGACCCAGGCAAGTCCCCCGGATAAATAGGGGCTGAGGGAAGGCGTTCCTGAGGAATGATGTTTGCTCAAAGACCTATAATGACCCCATTAATTGAATATTTGGAAGACAGAGGGAGGGCAGGCCCTGGGCTATCCTGTAACAGTATGTGGGCTACAGCCTGCAAGCCAATTGGTACACTTGGTAAAAAGAATTGTTTCTAAATTTAGAGGAAGTGTTGAAGCTTCTGGGAAGCAGGTGGTGACAATGACATTCAAAGAAAAAAATTGTTTTGTTTTGTTTTTTGAGATGGAGTCTCACTCTTGTTACTCAGGCTGGAGTGCAGTGGCACAGTCTCAGCTCACTGCAGCCTCTGCCGCCCAGGCTCGAGCGATTCTCCTGCCTCAGCTTCCCAAGTAGGGGACTACAGGCGCCTGCCACCATGATTGGCTAATTTTTATATTTTTGGTAGAGGTGGGGTTTCAGCATGTTGGCCAGGCTGGTCTTGAACTCCTGACCTCAAGTGATCTGCCCGCCTCGGCCTCCCAAAGTGCTGGGATTACAGGCATGAGCCACCATGTCCAGCCCAGTTTTTTTTACACTGTGTGAAAGTTTCTAAGATTTTAAAAAACTTTCATGAGAAAATGCTTGGGAAACTAAGATTGAAAAACCTTAGTCTTGCCATGTAATTTGGAATAATAATTATAGAATCATCTCTGTATCCTATAAAATAATACCATGCTTCTAAATGAAAGCCAGTGACCTGTGGGTCTCTGCACCTGTTGATGAGATTTACAGTCCTCTACAACGCCCTGTCTTTGATGCCAAACAAGGAATTCTCTCAAATTGTCCTCCCCGCACACAGTGTCTTGGTTGTGGTTTATGTTGTCTTTAAGCAGTAGGTACAGTCGGCTGTACAGGGGCTGAGTTCAAGACATTAGTTAGAGAGTATCATCAAAGAGGACATTCCATTAACGATAGCAACAGTAAAATATCCAAGGTTAAACCTTGTGGAAACCTCGTTAGTGGGGTGGAAAGGACTTTAAAACAACTAAAGGACTGAAAAGATATTAATAAATTTTTGGAAGGAAACTTCAATATGGTTAAAAATCTCCATTCTCCCTAATTATTCTATAAATCCTCTGAGTTTCCAATGAGAATATTAATAGCATGTATGTTTTCTGTAATGATACTAAGTAAAATGGTTACTAAAATTTGAGTGAGGGGGACATGCAGAACCCAGAAACTGTTTGAAAAAGAGAAGTAATACTGGAGCTATTGTATCCCACCCAAATCCCTTTGATCCTGGTCCAGGAGTAGACAGGCAGATCAGTGAACAGAAAAGATAGTGTGTGTGTAGGCAGACATACACACGTAGTTTAGGAGGTGATTTAGGTAGCATTTTAAATAAAATTGGAAATGATCATTTATTCAGTAAGTGTTGTTGGGATGATTTATTTCAAATAAATGAAAGATTTAAACACAAAATTGATTTGCCCCCATTTGCACGTAATACACTATATGTGTACATGAGTATATATACACACACATACACACACACTGGTACAATTTATCTCTGAGTTTTCATGAGGCTGGCTATCATAAACTCTTTCTTGCTTAAAATGTTTTCAATGAAAATTCCTAAAAGATTGCATTTTTAAAATTTGAGGTCTTGAAAGAAATTACAATTTAGTCAAATTATCAATAACGTAAAGATCTGTTTTGTAAAGGGAGACTCATGTATGTATTGAAAATAATAATATTTTTAAGGATCTTTTGTTTTCAGTATTTTTTTTTACATTACACCTCTGCTTTGTCTTCCTGTTTGAGATCTTTTCAGAATTTATCAGTGTCTCTGAGCATGTTAAAAGTCTGAGTGGGAGAGAAAGGAAGGAAAGGCAGTTGCTAAAATATAACTTGAAGAGAGAATAAATAGACAGGAAAGCTCACTTTTGTAATGCTGCTTGAGACCTGCAATTGTAATTACTGTCCTAACATTTGTGATTGATTTTTAGGAGGAAGTAATGGTTCTGGAGAGAATCTTACTGCAGACCATCAAGTTTGATTTACAGGTAGAACATCCATACCAGTTCCTACTAAAATATGCAAAGCAACTCAAAGGTAAGAAGAAAGTTTTCAGAAGAATTTTTTCATTCTGAAATCAAGTCTTTATAATTTGATGACACTCAAATTACGCTTCTCAAAAGCGGAAAACAAAGTTTGATGTGTGAAATACCAAGGGCATGGCTTGCTCAGTCAATTCAGCATTGCAGCTGCTAATGCTGTTTCCTTTTATGTATAAACAGGCTCTGTCATCCAGTTGCCAAGTGATGGGAGAGGCAGGAAAATGAGGCAGAATTTTTTAAATGGACTAATAAACTTAGCCTTGGAGCCAGGTTTTCCATACATGGTGGTTCAGCGTAGGTCATGAGGAGGAAGAAGGGGTAGGATGTGGACCCACATCATTCATCCTTGTTTCCCACGCAAAAGCTCTTTGCTGTGTATTTGAGTGGTGCTGAACACGTGGTAGGTTTTTAATAAATACTTGATGCTGCCTGTGAATTTTTCTATTGCTATTAATTTACCTTTTTGTCCCCATTTCTAGGTGATAAAAACAAAATTCAAAAGTTGGTTCAAATGGCATGGACATTTGTAAATGACAGGTATACATGTTCAAATGTTGATTAATTACAGTATTTTAAAATAGGCAGAGACTTTATGGACCATTTCATCTAAACCCCTCATTTTGTGTCAGAAGAAACTGACTTGCCCTGGCTTGAGGAGCCAGTTAATGGCAAAGCTGGGGCTGACGTCCAGGTCATCTGCTTCCCGGCAGAGGGTTTCCTTCTGCCCTGCCGTGTCATGGTGTTGTGAGGTGCTGAAATTTTATCACCAGTCTGAAACATAAGTCCAAAACAATACACTGGAGAATTTTGAAAACTAATTACTTAGAGCCCATTTGGTTTTGCAAAAATATACTTCCTGGTATAGTTTTAGAGCCTTAACACTCTTTTGAGAGGCCAGGGATCTAATGAGGGGCCGTGGTGGGAAACAGAATGCCTGTGAATGGAGTTGCTGCCAGCCCCATCCCACTGCAGTCAGTGAAGCTTCTCTTACATTTGACTTCCTCCATAAGATTTCATTTGAAGAAACAGTTGAGTGGCTAGGATTTCAACAGTTTAAATAACATAAGTCATTTTCATTGGTGTAGCAATTTTTGGATGTGCTAGAATTCTTCTGATTCTTTAAGGAATAGAGAAATTACTAACTATGGTTAAAGTAACTTAGTCGGGTACCTTTAGAAGAGTAAAGACTTGAGTTTATTTATTTATAGTACTTTAATTAAATTTAGGGGAGAATAAGCAAATTAATGGTTAGTTATGGCATCTCCATGCACTGGTTTAATCATAAATATTAGATCATATTATCTAACCTTTTTTTTTCTTGTTGAACTAGTCTCTGCACCACCTTGTCACTGCAGTGGGAACCAGAGATCATAGCAGTAGCAGTGATGTATCTCGCAGGACGTTTGTGCAAATTTGAAATACAAGAATGGACCTCCAAACCCATGTATAGGAGATGGTGGGAGCAGTTTGTTCAAGATGTCCCGGTCGACGTTTTGGAAGGTACCAGGCATGCTAAGCGTTCTCGTGAGGGTGTTCCATGTTGAGATGATTCTTCCATGTGTACCCTGAGTCCCAAGAATGGATTTTCCCAGATAGACATATGTGAGCAATATTTCAGAAGCATCATTAATTAAATTATCTAATAGTTTCCACTTTGTCCAAACACATACTTTTGGTAAACTAAAAATACACACCAGTGTTGCACACAACGAAGATGGGGTGAGTTGTAAATGTGATTCATGCTTAGGTCCTCGTAGGGGTATCATAACTGATTCTTTATCCAGGTAAAATTTTATTTAAAATACCAATTTGTGTAAAATGTAATTGTTGGCTATCATTTAGACATCTGCCACCAAATCCTGGATCTTTACTCACAAGGAAAACAACAGATGCCTCATCACACCCCCCATCAGCTGCAACAGCCCCCATCTCTTCAGCCTACACCACAAGTGCCGCAAGTACAGCAGTCACAGCCGTCTCAAAGCTCCGAACCATCCCAGCCCCAGCAGAAGGACCCCCAGCAACCAGCCCAGCAGCAGCAGCCAGCCCAACAGCCCAAGAAACCCTCTCCGCAGCCCAGTTCTCCCCGACAGGTTAAGCGAGCCGTGGTGAGTGGGCTAAAGCAGGCCCTGGGTAGAGCAGGCTTTCCAGGTGGCGGCAACACCTGAGCACTGTTCCCATTTCTAAGCGAGCACAGGGAACACCGGAAGCAGGGGGTGTTCGCCGAAACTCGCAGTCCGACTGCTTGTCGGTGGGGAGCCTGAAAACAAAGGTGCTCCAAGGACAGGCTGCCTCTGAGAACCAGGAGGGGGCTCTCTGCCCGGCTCCAGCCCTGCTGCCTGTTTCATCCCTGCCAGGGTTCTGAAGCCTGTCGGTGTCGTTGCCGTGTCCTAGCAGTGTCGTTGTGCATGCTGCTTCTGTGCAGCTGCCTGACCCCAAACAGTGGACCGTTTCCTGCACCCAAGTGGTCCTGAAACTTAGTGTTTACTCAGAACTCACCATTCAGGAAAGCTAGTCATTCTGTCTTATTTGGTAAATGGAAAGAGGAAGGGAGCAGAAATGATGATCTGGTAGGTGCCGTGGTTTGCCCTGAAAGTTCAGGCTAGAAATAATTTTTGTCCGAGGCTGTTCACAGTGACTGCCGTCGCTGATTCTGGTGGTACCTGGATAATCCATTTTTTTCTCATCATACTCAGGATCCCAGTTAACAATTGTGTATTTTCTTTTGTAACAGGTTGTTTCTCCCAAAGAAGAGAACAAAGCAGCAGGTAATTTCCTGTTCTGATGTTTTTTTAGTTTTATGTGTTTATATGCAAAACTTTAAATTCTTAGCCAACATTGTTTCTTTTCAGATCTAAATTGGCCTTAAATCTTAACTTTAGAGCTCATACAAAACTTTTCCATCAGCATTGTCTTTCTGTTCATCACCTGATCATAGATTCTAAAATTGTGCTCTTACGAAGCTATCAGTACAGAAAACATTACTGGCAATAAAAATGTACTCAGTAACATATATAAAAGTATAATTATGGCTGTAGGAGAACTGTTGCTGCAATTTTATTTTTAGAGACTATTTACCCCCATCACAGCAGCAGGAGTCCTCTCCCAAGCACCAAGCCACAGCAGATGCGGGGGGGCAGTAGGGGGTGGTGTGCTGCCCGGACAGCACCAGCCCGGCCCAGCCCAGCTGCCCTTGCAGGCAAGGCCTCTTTGAAACACACTTGGGTTGAGGTGCTGTCACATGTCTAGAACCCAAAGTTAGTTCATGTCAATATTGGAAATAAACAGAAGGAGTGAGCAAAATTGGAACAATTACAAAACAGAAAGTTAGAAATGTTTTGTCACAGGGTCAGTCCACCTATCATACTGAACTCTTTGAAGGCACAGACCCTATTGACTCATTTGTCTTTCTTTGTTACTTGGTTCTTAGTTCCAGTAGTTCCTGGTTCTTAGAACCATGTTCTCGGTTCTTAGTTCCATTCATTAAACTGCTGTGAAATCTTCCAGTTATGATAGAGCTACTTTTTTTTTTTTTCCAGTATATTTGAGGGAATGATGAGTTCAGTACAGGTGAATTTTTTTTTTTTTTTTGAGACAGAGTTTCACTCTTGTTGCCCAGGCTGGAGTGCAGCGGTGCAATCTTAACTCACCACAACCTCCGCCTCCTGGGTTCAAGCAATTCTCCTGCCTCAGCCTCCCGAGTAGCTGGGATTACAGGCATGCACCACCAGGCCTGGCTAATTTTGTATTTTTAGTAGAGACAGGGTTTCTCCATGTTGGTCAGGCAGGTGTCAAACTCCCGACCTCAGGTGATCTGCTCGCCCCAGCCTCCCAAAGTGCTGCGATTACAGGCATGAGCCACCGTGCCCAGCCTACAGGTGAATTTTTTAATTAGCTTCAAATTGACCGACATTAAATGTTAGACACAAGAACGGGCTACACTCCATGCCACATGAAATGCAATTGAGTTGACGTGCAGGTCTGTCAGAGGCAGGAAACAAACTATATATGACCTTGAAGGAAGAGTTGCATTTGAGCAGCGAGAGCAGAGGGGGAGGATGGAGCAATAAGTTGGAAGTACGCAAGTGAGCAAAGGAATTGAGAATCAGGGGAAATGGAGAGGAGTCTTTCTGGAATGTGATGAATTGAAAGGCAATAGCTTCTGATAGGATCTAAAATGTGGGTTAGGACCAGATCACAGAGTTTACCTGGAGGACTGTGAGTTTGGCAGAGGCAAGGGAAGCCATTGGAGATTTAGCAGGGGAATGGCAGAGTCTAAATTCATTTGAGAAGGAGTCCCCTGGCAGCAGTAAATAGGGCAAGTGGTTAGGAATGGGGAGAATCTTGCTGGCACTCATGGGAAACATGGTGGCCTCAGCATGCTGGCTGCGGGGCAGGAAGGGCAGATCCGGAGGAAGCTTTATAGAGGAACTCAGCTGCACTGTGCCATGCCGAAGGCTACTGGCTGCAGAGGGCTGCAAGCACTCGAAATGTGACTGGGTCAAATTCTGAAGCACTGACAATGCAAAATACACAGAGATTTCCAAGAAAGGAGAACGTAAGACATCTCATTAGTAAAGCTTTATATTGGTTACATGTTGAAATAAAATTTTCGATCTATCGGGTTAAATAAATTTTATCCTTTTTCCTTTTATTTCCAGAGTCTTGCTCTGTTAATGCAGGCTGGAGTGCTCCTTTTTCTTGTTAAAGTGGTTCCTGGCACACTTGTAATCCCAGCACTTTGGGAGGCCAAGGCATGCTTTGAGCCCAGGAGTTCCAGGCCAGACTGGGCCACATAGGGTGACCCCATCACTACACAAAACTTAAAAATCAGCTCGGCGTGGTGGCGCCACACCTATGGTCCCAGCTACTTGGGAGACTCAGGCAGCAAGATCACTTGAGCCTGGTTGGTTGAAGCTGCAGTGAGCCATGATTACATTACTACACTCCAGCCTGGGTGACAGAGCGAGACCCTGTCTCAAAAAATAAAATGGCTCCTGGAAAGTTTAAAATTGTAGATATGTGGCTCTCAGTTATATTGCTGTTGGACAGCCCTGATGTAGACGGCTTTAGCTAACTATTACCAGCTGTGGAAAAAGGCAGGAGGTGGGTCCCTGAGGTGAGAGTAATAGCAGTTATAGGATACAGAGGCAAAAGGTAGAGTGTGAGGTGCTGATTGGTGGGTCTAGGGATGGGCCATGGTTTTGGTGGCAAGATGGACGCTAGAAATGTAGGTTTGTAGTTGTCCACTTAGAGAGGGGCTTTGGACTCTGAGGAAGAGGGTGAAGAGAGAGGAAGTCCCTGGAACTTAAATTGAGCCTGTATTTGAGATGGAGGAAATCCAGAGAAAGAGGCCAGTGATGGCAGAGGAGACTCAGATCTGAGTGGTGTACAAGCCAGAAGAAAGTACATTTCAGGAAGAAAAAGCCTCAGCATGCAAACAGAAAAATAGGGTTCTTTTTCAGTTGTGATGTGCACGCTGCCTTCTTAAACGGATGAGATTGGACTTCCCTTGGGCTGCCTTGGAGACCTAGTGCTGTCATTGTGGATTCTGGCTGCGTGCCGCTGCCTGACCCCGGAAGGGTGGGCTGTTTCCTCCACCTCAAGGGGTCCTGACTGCTGGGCTTTTGTGAGCGGCACATTCTTCCTGCCATCAGTGTGTCAACCTCCAGAGCTCTGCTGACTCCAGTTAATGTGCTGCTTCTGACATGCTGCCAACTGGAAGTCAGTATTTGGGAAAGAGAGAATAAACTATGTCTAAGAATGAAAAGATAGAGATTCTCTTGTGGAACCCTCAGGGGACTCAGTGACATGATGTTGCTACTCTGGACCCTTCTTTGTGTCCTCTGTACCAGGGAGGACTCCAGATAGGTCATACATGCTCATGAAGACGTTGCTCTGCTGGTCTCACATGGTCGGAAGGACTTGAGTGAAGTGGTCAGCAAGGAAACTTAGGTAGACATGGAAAATGGGCTGCCTGTGGGAAGCTCGCAGGTCTTTTGGAGGGAGGTGGCATTTAATTTGTTAACAGGATTCATGCATAATGGTTTAGCTGAAACCTTCTTCAAGTTCCCTTAAAGCCTTGGTCATCTCTGTTGTTTTTCTCCCAAAGAAATCTCTGCCAGTACATTTTTCTTTATGACATGCTTATTCATGTGAAGAAGTATGAGTGGTTTTCTAATCTGCTTTTTCTTTGTAGAACCACCACCACCTAAAATCCCCAAAATTGAGACCACTCATCCACCGTTGCCTCCAGCCCACCCACCTCCAGGTAAGCATCTGCTGAAGCAGCTTGGCCAGCTGTGCACATCGCCTCTGAATGTTGGACGCAGCAGGTCCTGGGAACTTAGAAAAGGGAGACTGGGGCCCAGATTGACAATGTCAGCCACAGGCAGGAATCTTTGCAAAATTGTTCTTGGGCTGGGCACAATGGCTTGTGTTTTTGATCCCAGCACTTTGGGAGGCGGAGGCAGGAGAATCACCTGACCCCAGGAGTTCGAGGTCAGCCTGGGCAACAAAGTGAGACCCTGTCTAAAAAATTAGCCAGGTGTGGTAGCACACACCTGTAGTCCCAACTACTTAGGAGTCTGAGATGGGAAGATCATTTGAGCCCTGGGCAGTCAAGGCTGCAGTGAGCTATGATTGCACCACCGTACTCCAGCCTGGGTGAGAGGGAGACCGTGTCTCAAAGTTCTGATTTTGACCAGGTATTTTGAGAATGTTGTAAATTGTTAAGTATATCTGAATATTTTCCGACCTCTCACATCCAGAAATGCTAAACTACACATTGTATTAGAATCAGTTTTAGGAAAGAAAGCCAAACCCCGCCTTCTGAGATAGAGGCAGGGTTACTGTGGCTACTAGGCTCCGGCCGCCCCTACACCTGCTTCCTATTGGCAGTGTGTCGTCTTAGTGCATTCTGAAGAATAAGCAATTGTACAGAGAGTAAATGAAAGAGTGAAAAGTTCTCAACAAGTAGTACATGGTAAGCTGGAAAGCCTCTCTGATACCGCTGGCAATAGAGGAGAAAAGCTGTAAAGTAGATGGCATTCTTTACCTGTGGCACCATTTCAGAAGGTGATGCGCTAGAGAAGGCCAGAGTGACCTGTGCTTGCTCTCCAAAAGGTGGTCGATACTCCGGAGGCTTCCAAGCCTCTGTCAGCAGCTCCTCCAGCCTGCTACACTCACTGTTGGTCGGTGCACGTGGCTCACACTGGGGCTGACAGCACTGTGTGCCCGTAACAGATGTGCCACAGATTACATTTCTGTTCCTACTCAATCATGATAGTGTTTGTGCTTTGGGAGAACAGAGGCGTCATTTTCCACTTTGGGGCCAAATCCCAAAACCCCCAATTCAATATGAACCTTACTTAAATGCCTGTGGTTGCTCATGAAGCATTTATGGAGCACCTCCTCGCCAAGTGCAGTTCCCCTGGTCCGAGCCTGGGGCTGTGCCTTCACTGAGGAGATGGGTGGTTTATCTGGGGAGCCTGGGGCAGCCACAGGGGTGCTGCTACCTCCAGGGCACTGAGTAGCTGCTGTGGAGGCCTCAGAGCTCTGCTCCCTCCCCCATTACAGATAGCCAGGAGTAGGCCTGGGACTTGAGTGGGACCTGGGTGCCAGATACACTGCCAGGAGGCCATGGCTGAAGAGAGCAGGGCCTGGGAGGCGCAGTAAAGCTGGGCCGTGAGGAAGGGAGGGAAGTACGCTTCCTGGGAGGCCCTAGGCCATGGGAAGAGGCATTCAGGTCAGCAGTGATGTTTAGGGAGCAGTTTGGTGGCAGTGTGTGGGACTTGGTCAGGAGCAAGTGTACAGAGAGGGAATGGGGTGCCCAGGAGAGACCCCCACTTGCTGTTCCAGCTCAGTCACACAGCACAAGGGCAGGCACACTGGTGACTTGAAGATTCAGGCTACAGGGTCGAGTGTTGGAAAAGTTGATTTCTGCAAGGTGGAGGAGCAGGCCTGTGGGCCCAGGTGGCTGTGGAGTGACACACAGGAGGCATTGAAGGGTGTCAGCACTTTTCTGCACCTCTTTTTTAGTCAGCTCCTAGAACCACAGGGCATCTGGCCCTGACCTGGAGCCAAAGCCAGTTATCTAAGGCCAGGCACATATGACCTTCCTACCCGGTAGGCTGGCGGGGTGCTGATGTGGCACACCAGTGGCACACCTGTTACCGACCTGATGAAATCCTGCTCATGCTCGCTTTGGCAAGATCAAACGGGTTGTGTGCCAATGGCCACGTCTACCCAACCAGGATGTCGTGCTGTGCCTTGCCTAACCCAAGTGCCTGGGGAACCAGAAGCATCTTCGTGGCTTTGTCCTCTCTATGTTCTCTGGAACCAGAAATGTTGCTCCTGTGGTCTGTCTCCTGGGCTGCCTTGGGAAAGGACACTCATTCTGTGTGTTTGGCTACCTGTGGTGGGGTGTTGCGATGTCATTTTCCAGTGGTCTGACGGTGACCCGGGATCACAGGCCAAAACATGTTAAATAAGGCTTTGGCAGAAGGGGGCGTGAGGGCTCATGGGTTGGGAGGCGCTGTGGGAGGGGCCTGAGGCTGGTTCTGAGCACGAGTATCTTGGGCGTGCTCAACACCTAGTGCTGCCTGTCCCTGCTGCACACGCAGCACGCACACACACGCAGCACGCACAGACATGCAGCACGCACGCAGCACGCACACGCACACACATGCACACACTCCTCTCAAGGAGGCTGCTATCTGAGAGCACACAGTGGGGTTTGATGTAGCCTCTCTTGAGTAGAATAGAACCTGAATTGCTGCTTCGATGGGTACACCGGGAATGTCAGAGACTTGTACAGAATTGTTTTAAGTGCCATCACATTCATTTGACTAACTCTGAGGTTTTCTGCAAAATGCCACTGCTGCAGACAGGAGTTCAGTGTGGCCCTGACCCCTGGGGTCAGTTTCTGAAGGCAGAAAAACAGAGGAGCCCCCACACGTTTTGCACTAGGAAGAGGGGGCTGGGGCCAGGGCACAAGGGGGCTTCGGGTGCTGCCGAGACTGCCTGTAGGTGGTGTGGTCAGGGCTGAGGGAGGGAAAACCCCAGGTCGTCGCAGACAGGGTGGAGGGCCTTCTTGACAGATGGTGGGGAGACATCTGGTGGCATCAGGACATGGGGCATGGGCCCATGCGTTGGGCCACAGAGGAGGCGGGCAGCTGCTCCCTGCTCCTCTGTAAAGATGGCCCTGAAGGGCCAGGAGGCACTGAAAAAGCAACCATTGCTGGCGGAGGCCGGGCACTGATGCGTCTCTCTCCTGCAGACCGGAAGCCTCCCCTCGCTGCTGCCTTAGGTGAGGCTGAGCCGCCGGGCCCTGTGGATGCCACTGACCTCCCCAAAGTCCAGATTCCCCCTCCGGCCCACCCGGCCCCTGTGCACCAGCCACCGCCGCTGCCACACCGGCCCCCGCCCCCACCCCCCTCCAGCTACATGACCGGGATGTCCACCACCAGCTCCTACATGTCTGGAGAGGGCTACCAGAGCCTGCAGTCCATGATGAAGACCGAGGGACCCTCCTACGGTGCCCTGCCCCCCGCCTACGGCCCACCTGCACACCTGCCCTACCACCCCCATGTCTACCCGCCCAACCCGCCCCCGCCACCTGTGCCTCCTCCCCCAGCCTCCTTCCCCCCACCTGCCATCCCACCCCCTACTCCTGGCTACCCCCCACCCCCACCCACCTACAACCCCAACTTCCCACCCCCACCCCCACGCCTCCCGCCTACCCACGCAGTCCCCCCTCATCCTCCTCCAGGGTTGGGCCTGCCGCCAGCCAGCTACCCACCTCCTGCCGTCCCCCCTGGAGGACAGCCTCCTGTGCCCCCGCCCATTCCCCCACCCGGCATGCCTCCAGTTGGGGGGCTGGGGCGGGCAGCCTGGATGAGATAACGTGAGCCTTTTTTCCCTCTTTGTTTTTTTAACAAGATTTTCTAATCGACTTGCAGAGTAGTTGAAGTGGGTAAGCAGCAGGGTACCTTGTATAATGCACGACAGTTGCAGTATGGGAAGAATGGACCGGGCCCCTGGGATAAAATCAGAGTGGTCCTCACACCTAGAGGACGGGGACAACCAGCTTTCAGAGTAGCCTCATCAGTGCCCTTGCAGTCTGACTGTGTACACTTGGTTCAGCTAATGTCTGAGAGTCCTGCACTGGGTTACTTTATACTAGTGAGGACGTTAACCAGCCATATTGGCTCAATAAATAGCTTCGGTAAGGAGTTAATTTCCTTCTAGAAATCAGTGCCTATTTTTCCTGGAAACTCAATTTTAAATAGTCCAATTCCATCTGAAGCCAAGCTGTTGTCATTTTCATTCGGTGACATTCTCTCCCATGACACCCAGAAGGGGCAGAAGAACCACATTTTTCATTTATAGATGTTTGCATCCTTTGTATTAAAATTATTTTGAAGGGGTTGCCTCATTGGATGGCTTTTTTTTTTTCCTCCAGGGAGAAGGGGAGAAATGTACTTGGAAATTAATGTATGTTTACATCTCTTTGCAAATTCCTGTACATAGAGATATATTTTTTAAGTGTGAATGTAACAACATACTGTGAATTCCATCTTGGTTACAAATGAGACTCCTTCAGTCAGTTATCCAAATAAAAGCAGTTCTGAAACTATCCCTTTCTTTGTTATGGGTGGAAGGTGGGGCTCCAGGCCTTCGCAGTCTGTGGCTTATAAAATGTGCAGAGGCCCTCCTTCCAGACCCTGGGGACGCGGGAGAGGCCTGGCTGCAGCTCACAGCAGCCACAGCCAACCCCACTGCCTCCCAAGGCACTCTGGGTGGATCCGCACAGCTGCCTGCCAAGCCAGCCTGCCCCCATCCTGTGCCTGCCTTGGTTTCCTTTGGAGGACCTGGTTGAGTTCCAAACCAGTTTGAAACTTTGAAGCCTTGCTGCGTAGAACGCACACAGGAACCCGGGGGCTTGGATTTGAAACCCTTTCCACTTCTGGCCTGTGATGAGACAGAGGCAGCTGGAGGAGCAGCGGCCTCACTGTCCACCTTGAGGGGCCACGGCTCTGTCTGTGGAAGGGGCCCCGACTGAGCCCCCATCTGCGGTGCTTGAGGGGCCTTGGCCCTGTCTCTGCCTGCTGACCCTGCCACCCACGACAGAAACAAGCACTGAGCACCCAGCCAGGAGGCTCACAAAGAGGCCTTTATTTATCTAGCTCAAAGTAGACACTATCACAATCTTGTTTGTTACTCCTTTTACTAAAATAGTTCAAATCAATGTTTTTACCACACTATCAAAAAGTTCTATTTCTTCTTGTCTCCCCACGTCAGAGTGGTTGAATAGAAGGTAGAAACAGGCCGGGAGTCCACGGGCTCCCAGCTCTAAACGGCGCCAGGGCAGGAAGGGGTGGCTCCAGGTCTCACTGTGGCACCTTCTACAGAAAATAGACGTAGCTGCCGGGCCCGGGGACAGAAACCAGACGTTCCAGTCCATCTCCAAAAAGCAGCACAAATACTTTGCCCCACAGTATGAAAAATATACACCTCTACCGCTCTGCAGTCATGCATTTAGTTTTAAGAAAAAAAAAAAATCAGTAGTATGTATCTTGTTTCCTCAAGTTTCAAGAAAAAAAAAATGAAAGGTCACTTTTTTCTCTTTAAACACTGATGTGTAGCTAGTAACTTGGATAAAAAGGTGCCACCCTACAAAATGTGCTCAGCATGTTCTGAGGCCAGGATGGGCTTGGCCACCTGGGCTGGGGCGAAAGGAGACCTCCATCTGTCACAGTGGAAACTGAAGCCGAGTGCCAGTGCCGCGTCCGGCTTCAAGATCAAGAGTCAGAGCCTTTGAAATGGAAAGGGGGCATCTGAAAGGGCACCCCCACTGGGGGCTTTCAGAGCTAAGGCTCCAGAAGGAAGGGGGTCGCCCTGCTAGTGACGGAGCTGGGAGTCACCCTGAGCTACAGCATGCCCAGATTTCCCCTGTGGGAAGCCCCATCTGACCTTCTACAGCCCACGGCTCTGCAACTGCCACCTGTACTCAGGTACATGGCGTCGCTGCTGCTGGCTTTTAAAATCAGCTATTAGTTTGAGATGTGACAGTCGCCGACAGGGTTCTGTCCTAGAAAGCCATCCCAGTGCCGTGTTGGCTCAGGGGTCACCAGCTTTGTGCTGCCTCCGTAACAGCAGGAGGGTTCTCAAAGCAATGTTCCACTGATCCCTGGATGCCACTGCAGCATTAAAGACAGGGTCAGTCCCCTTGAGGGGAAAGGTGGCTTCAAGGCTGTTCTCTGGGCCTGTTTGCAGGAGATCCGCAGGTACCAGGAGCCCGTACTTATTGCTTATTTCAGTGGTGGCCACGCCAACCTGACCCAAACATGATGCACACGGGCTCCCAGACTTGGCTGCCACTCAAAATGGACCCACAGCCCTTGGGCTACTCTGCGGTTCTTTGGACTGCAAGACCCAGAGGGGCCTCTGCTCAGCTGCCCACTCGGGCAAGAATCACTGGGTACCATGAGCAGCAGGTGTTCACCCAACTTCACGTGTACACCCCTAGTGACCGGGAGCGCACCACCTGACCGGGCGACACTCCTTCCCAAAGAGCCTCCTGGCAACACCCACGGCAGGAGCGCCACACCATCCCATCACCAGCACCCACTTACCCCCCTGGGGCTAAGATGGGGGGCGTGAGCCTTTCCCCTGAGAGCAAACGGGCAGCAAGAACTGCTCAGAATAGAGCCGCCAGCTAGGGAGAGGGACAGGGCGGCCATCTCCCTCCTCTTGCCTGCATCCCCAGCCCTGGGCCTGCATGAGACCTGCTGGGTAGGAAGACAGCCTCTCTGGGCTCTTCAGGTGGGGCTGAGCAGCCCCTGGAAGAGCACAGGAGTCTGACGAGGACCTGGTGAGGTCCTGGACCCAAGAGCTAGGGCTGCTTACAGTGGCATGAGCGGATGTGGGGAAGCGGCCTGTCCCCGTGCTGCAGCTGTGGGATCAAAATCCCTGTCATGTGCCACACATCACCCCCTCTAGGCCTTACTTTCCTCACACACACAGTTTTCTATTGCACTTTACAGTTTATACATGGTCATTTACACTGAAGATCTCACTTGATGCCAGAATCCTGTGAGGAGGGCCTTATGCTGCCCATTTTACTACTGAGGACACGGGCTCAGAGTGGGGAGGCAACTCTCCACCCGCAGCGACTGCAAGGCAGCAGAACTCAGCTCCACCCGGCCCGCCCTCAGCCGTCGGCTGTTGGCTCACGCCCCCTCAGTGAGGACCCCTGCCCTGTGGCGCTGGATGACCTGGAGCCATAAGCATGGCCGAAAAGGAACCTCAGAGACCTGTTTCCACCAAGAGCCCAGACAGGCTGAGTGAACTGCTAAAGGTCACACCACAAACTAAAGGCAGAACCTGGCCAGACACGCTCCTTCCCAAAAAGAACAGAACTCTCATCTGCAGCCTACACAGCTCTGTCCACAGGGACCCAAGATGCAGCCAGGCCCTGGGGGAGGTCACAGCCAACCAGAGCCCCAGCTGTGGCCCAGTGCTGCCCATCAGGAAAATCACATGTGGCTCAGCCCAGAAACTCTCCCCAGGCCCTTCCTGTTACTGGCCTGTCATGTAAACCACGAAAAGGGACGTGCCTCAGGCATGGGGCAGGAGGAGCCCAAGAAGGGCATAGCCTGGACAGGGTGGCAGGGGGACATTGCAGAGACTGGGGGGGAGGGGGATGACCTCCAAAAGCAAGGAGCAGCGGGCATCGGGTGGCTGAGCACAGATCCCCAGGTGTGAGGGCACCCTGACCTCCAAGGCTGAGGGTCACAGGAAGGGCCCAGGGCAGCCTCCAGCCAGCCACAGATGTGGTGAGTGGCCTTGTCCACATGCCGGGGACCCAGTGCTTGGGGGGCCTGGGGCCAGGCCACGGCATTTGGGCAAGAAGTGGTGCCACCTGCGTCAAGACCCAGGTAGTGGTGGTCTCTGTCCAGTGTGGGTGGCAGCCGGGGAGTAGAGGGTTTGATGAGTGGCCCCTCCATCCCAGGCAGGACAGAGGAGCCTGGACAGTTCCCAGGCTGGATCTCAGAAGCAGCCTGCAGCCTCTTGCTCATGGAGCCCAGGGCCCAGAGGGGGAATGAGGCGTCCGGGCCGCTCTGCTGCAGGAACAGTCGCAGCGTCTCGTCTTCCCAGGTTGCTGGTGTATGAGGCGGGAGATGGCGGCTTGGGCCAGTGCATCGGACCCATGGCAGCTGGGCCAGGGCGGGCAGCGTCCTATGTACAGTTCACCACAGAGGAAGAAGACAGGGGCTGGGCTGGAGGTCCTGCCCGTGTCTGGGGCCTGAAACTCCCCCTGGGGACCCCCAGCAGGGCCAGTCCACGTCCACAGAAGAGTGGCCCTACAAAGGCCCCTTGAACTGGTTCCCAGACAGGTGCTGCCGTATGGAGGGCTTGGAGCTGGCTGCATCTCCCAGCTTTCTCCAGACCACCTGTGGAGAGGAGAGAGATGTGAGTGGTGGGACTCACCCGCGTCCACCTGCCGCCTATGCACATCCGCCGCCTCATCACGGCAGAATCACCCACGTCCTCAGAGCCATGGGGCCAGGAGGGACACGGAGGCCACTGCAGGCCCAGAGACACCCACACCAGGTCTTTGCATGCCGCGCTAACTATCGGGCCTGAGCAGGTCACTGCTGGGGTGTGGCTCAGCCTTGCAGCTGTCCAGTGGGGTCCACAGGCCCCACTAGGTGATGCGGGGGAGGGGCTGCACAGTTCAGAGCCTCTCGCCCCCCCTTTAAGTCCTGGGTTCAGACCCTATGAAACTCCTTCCCCGATGGCTCCTGCAAGCACCCCCAAGGAGACCGCCGATGGTGCTCAGCTGGGTCGAGCACGGAGCTCTCCTGGGCAGCCCCAGCCTGGTGGGCTGGAGGGTTCCACCTGGACCTCCTGCTCTGAGCACCATCTGCCCAGCCAGCAGCCACAGGGGGCACCAGCAAGCTGAGAGGCCCGGGGGCCAGCACCCAGGGAACACCTGGGGTGAACAAACCAGTCCCGGGGGGGTGGGGGGCTCAAGCTCTATCCAGAACCCCAGGCACGGCACTCCTGGGGAGGGCGGATCTGCAGACACCAGGGGCCCTCTGGGAAGGGCAGGGGGCAGCGAGATGACAACGGGCCAGGGCTCCTAGCACCTCTGAGGCCTCCCCCCAGCTATCCAAGGTCACCCAGCCTTCGCTGAGCATTCGAGAAATGGAGTCCCACATGGGGAAGGGTATGGCCATGCTGGGTGGCCCTGGTCGCACTCCCAGTGCCAAGCCTCTGCCCCCCACCCCTGGAAGCCTCACGTTGCACATCTCGCGAACGATGGCCTTCTCCTTCTCACTCAGGTCCTCCTCACAGCTGTCCTGGAGCTGCCGGTCCAGATTCTCGTGTACCTCCAGGACCTGAAGGGAACGGGTCTCGGGGTCAGGGGCAGAGGCCACCGGCAGACCTCGGGCAAGTCACCTGGCCCCTGATCCTCAGCCTCCCCTGCTGCGAACCAAAGCTGAGGACCCTGAGCCGCTGGGCCCCTGGGGACAAGCGTGGAAAAAACTGAGGGGCAGGTTGTCATCTCACCCTGCTGACACTGGATGCCCTACAAGGGAAGCAGCTCATGGCTGGGCCACCCGGGAGGAAGTAGACAGGCTGGGCAAGGAAGACCCTCAGACAGGTGGACTCACTGCAACCCAGGGCCCGCTGGAGATGAGTGGGCACTCGCCACGTGGAGGGGGTGTGAGTAGGCGTGGCCGTGCATGCATGTGGGATGTCATGGGGCACGTACGTAGGAGGAAGGGGGGCATGGGAGTGGGGACTGTGCTCAGGTGTGCACAGCCTGGAGGAACCGGAGCCCATCGGACTCACCAGTCTGCACCTGCAGAGGCTGGGCCTGGCAGACCTGAGGTTAGTTCTAGCCCCACTCCTGCCCCTCTCTCTCTGGCCTTAGTTGGGTGCCTGCCCTCCCCGACCCCAGGCCTCAGTCTTGTTAGGTGCAGTAGCTCAGGGATGGCAGACAGGTGACACACTTATGACTGCCACCTCTGAGTTCAACCTCACAGTGCTCCAGGCAGCCATGGTCACCCAGCCACCCACACACAGATGAAACCTCCCACCCCTGCCACTTGGATACCCCTAGGTGCAAAGGTCCCACAGTCTCACAGTGCACCCAGCATCTGAGGACTTCTGAGGGAGCGGGTAGTGGCCCTCACCTTCATGGCATGCACGACAGCCTCGGGCTTCTGTCCTGCAGGGCTGTAGCCAGCAGAGGGGGGCGAGGGCAGCTCAGGTGCGGGGCAGGCCGGGCCCTGGGGAAGGCAATCACACATCTCAGCTCACCCTGGCTGGCTCCCACAGGAATGACCGGTGGCTCAGACAAGGCCCCCATTCTGAGGGGCCAGGGCCCAGGCAGGAGGAAAAGGGGACCGGGGTGAGGCAGAGGAGGCAGGTGTGAGGATGGAGACCCAAGGAGCCCACAGCCAGTCTGGCCAGTCCCGCCCACCAGGTCTTCTGCAGATGAAATGGTCCCTGATAGCACAGAGGCAAGAGGGGCAGTCCAGGGCCCACCCACACCTCTCAGGCTCCTCTACAACACCCCACAGATAAGACCTAGCGTCTGTTTTGCAAGGAAAGTAAGTTCAGCCTAGGGAGGGCAAGAGACCCAGATCACAGCAAGACCAGGAAGGTCTGGACTTAACCCTGGCACCTGACTCCAAACTCCCTTCCCCTGCCCACCCTGGAGCCACCGGTGGGCGAGGCCGGCTTCGCCCTGAGCACTCCCTGGGGCCTGCCTCCCAGCTGCCACCTCCCAGCCCTGCGGGATGAATTGGCTGCCAGGTGCCCAGCTCCCACATCAGGCCTTGGGGAGGGGACCCAGCCTCTGTCAGAAGCTGCGTGTCTACCCAGGGGCAGGCAGTCCCACCCCCAGCTTCCTGCCTGGAAGGGTCCATGTGGCTGGGAAGCCAGGTGCAGGGCTTCTGCCTCGGGCTGCAGTGGGGACCACAGGGGCCCAACAGAAACCAGCAGGTCACAAGATGCTGGGAGAGGCTTGGGAGGAACTTACAAGTGCCCAGAGCCAGACAGAAAACACCCAGCGGTGCCCTGTGGGCCCTGGAAGCGGGGTTTCCAGGACATCTTCGGGGCTCCCACCTCTGGCAATCCTTGGGCCAACCATGGAAGCTGAGTCTGCCGCCCTCTCTGTAAATGGGGCCCTGATGACGCCTCCCAACGGCCTGGCAAGCTCAGGGAGCTGGGCTGGAATCCCACCCACCCAGGCCTGCATCATGGGGCCACCTAACACTGCAGGGCTGGGTTCTGCGACCCTCAGGACCTGGAACCCCCTGCAGGCCTGGCAGCCAACCCCTGGTGCCCTCCCCGCCCGCCCTGGCCTGGACCTGCTCCCAGGGCCTTGCAGGTTGACCGGCTCCCGCCTCCACATGGAGACCAGGCCCCACCCCTGAGGCTAGGGGGCCTGGGAGCTGCTACCTCCGGAGGCCCCCCGAGCCCTGGGGTCTAGGAAAGCGTCATTGAGGTGGGGCTCAACCCACGCTGAGCCTCGGTTTCCTCGTCTGGACAATAGAAAGGGTCCTCTGCCCCAGGGTGTGTGCAGACCCCTAACTCCAGCCCAGGCTGTTGGGTCTCTGTAGTGTAGGGAACCCAACAGGGACGCTGGGGATTCCCCCTGGGGCAACGCAAGGCGGCACTCCCCGCGCCAGACAGCAGGGGGCGCCAGTCGCACACATACGGCCCTGGGAGACCTGGGCACCTACACCTTCCTGCACCTTCCGCTGCAGAACACAGGCCATGTGCCAGCCGGCCCCTGGCACCTCTGGCCTCATCTGCACCAGGCCCCTGGGCTGCCTGTCCTGTTACAGCCCCCGGCTCTAGGGGGCTGGGATTTCTGCAGCACAGGCAGGAGGGAAGCCAGGAGCGTGGGGGTGGGCTGTGCAAGCCGCCCCTCTCCTGCCCGCCTCACTGGGCAGTGGTGGGTGCCAGCGAGGGCATGGCCCGGGATCCTGAAAGTGACACCAGGACTAGACAAAGCCCTAGTGTTACCTCCAGGGCATTCCCGGGGTGCAGGGGCCCCCACCTGTACTAGAACTCAGCCCCCTCGGGCCACACACACCTCCCACTGACTAGGTACCCACTTAGGGCAGATGGGCCCACTGAGTCCTTGCCACACTGCTCCCAGCAGGCACTATCTTTTTACATGTTCATACATGCCTTTTTTTTTTTTTTTTTTTTTTTTTTTTTTTTGAGTGAGAGGATCTCACTCTGTCGCCCAGGCTGAAGTACAGTGGCACCATCTCAGCTCACTGCAGCCTTGACCTCCCAGGCTCAAGCAATCCTCCCACCCCAGCTTCCAGCGTAGTTGGAACTACAGATGCACACCACCATGCCCAGCTTTTTTTTTTTTTTTTTGGTAGAGATGGGGTTTCATCATGTTGCCCAGGCTGGTCTTGAACTCCTGGACTCAAGCAATCCTCCTGTCTTGGCCTCCCAAAGTGATGGGATTATAGGCGTGAGCCACTGAGCCTGGCCTACATGCCCACTTTACAGACAAGGAGAGTGAGGCTAAGAGAATGGCTTGCCCAAGACCAAACAGCTTGTAAACAATGGGGCTGGGCGCCAAACCCAAGTCTGTGGGACTCCTGAGCTGGTGCCCAAAGTGAGGATACCAGTGTGCACCAGAGAGAACTGAAAATAGACATCCACAAAATACCTGTCGCCAAACGCTCAGAGCAACACCATTCATGTGAGCCCAAACATGGAAACGATCCAAATGTACAGCAACAAATGAAGGAATCATGTGTTCCACCCACACAATGGAATAGTATTCAGCCATGAAAAGCAATGAAGACCAATACAGGGTACCTGTGGCTGGACCCTGAGAACAAGATTTGGAGTGAAAGAAGCCTGACACAAAAGGCCACACGTCATGTGATTCCATTTATACGAAATATCCAGAATTGGCAAATCCGTGGAAACAGAAAGCACCAACCAGTCGGTGGTTGCTGGTGGCTGGGAGGAAGGGGGACGGGAGTGACGGCCGATGGGTACAGGGTGTCTTTCTGGGGTGATGAAAATGTTCTACTGTGATGACGGCACAAGTCTGAGTGTCCTCCCTTAGGAGGCTGATGGGTATAAACCACCTCCCACCCTCCACTGGGCACCTGCCCTGACAGCCAGTGGATGGAGGGTATGGGCAGCAGTGGGCAGGGAGGGGGTGTCCACCCCAGAGAGTCACCTGCTTTACCCAGGGACTCTCCAGCATGCCCTCAATGTGCCCATGACCCACAGGTAGCCTTAAAGGAGACTTGCCTGGGTCTGGAAGGGCCTGTGTGCCAGGCAGTGTCTGAGCCCGGAGACGGCCCTCTCTGGATAACCCCCTCACTCTCCCCGGGGGTCCAAGTGCCAGACATGGGCTCTCCAGGCCCCAGCAAGGGCCTCTGGCCCTGGCCCCTCCACAGCAGCCACTTCTCCAGGCTTCATCGGCCCCTCCCACGAGATACCTTGACCCCTCAACCCCCACTCCTGGGGGCCTGCCCGCCGACCAGCCCCGATCACGGCCCCTGCACCTCAGTTCATCCCATTCCTGGGGGCCTGCCCGCCGACCAGCCCCAATCACGGCCCCTGCACCTCAGTTCATCCCACTCCTGGGGGCCTGCCCGCCGACCAGCCCCGATCACGGCCCCTGCACCTCAGTTCATCCCACTCCTGGGGGCCTGCCCGCCGACCAGCCCTGATCATGGCCCCTGAACCTCAGTTTATCACCCGGCCTCCTGGCCTCATGGAGGAGCGACCCCTGCACAGCCCCCACGCTGGCCCCTGACCTCTAGGCACACACAGGCACCAGGACGCACTCACCATGGGGCCCTGGCCATCCACCCCACCCCTGTGAGCCTCACTTCCTCCTCTCCAAAGTAGGGGACACCCCTTCATGCACAGAGCAGTCTAGAGGAAAAAAGGAGGCAAGAGGAACAAACCCTTTCCCAAGGCTGCCTCCTCCAGGAAGCCTTCCTGAACATTCCTGAACTCTGACAGCATTTTATCCGCACTCTCAGGCCTTGAGGCTCGGCCCATGCCTGAGGTGTGCTCTCCAGAGGCCTGCAGGGAGACAGCATCTGGCGGGCCTGGTACATGTGAGAGCTGTGCTTGCACAGCACTTCCCAACCTGCAGGCCACGCGGAAGACTTCAGGACATAGCACTGAGTAACTGCTAGCTGCTATTACTCCCTCCCACGATCTGAATGAATGAGAGGCACGGGGCATGAAGACTAAGGAGCCAGCCCCGTGAGGGCATCCCTTGGCTTTTCAGAGCCCTCCACCATGAAACAGTTAGAGCCTCGTTCAGCCACGGGACTCCGGATAAATGCTTGGAATATCGGCCATTGGCGGGCTTTGCTGCCTGCACAGGCTCTACAGCTGCATTCCTGGAGAAGGTGGAAGGGCAGCAAAAGAGAAATCGCAGAGCCAGCAGCCAGCACTGAGGCCCAGCAAGCTCTGCACCGGGGGCCTGGGGTCAGCCTTGTGGGCAAGGGGTGCAGGGAAGAGAGCAGGAAGGGGCACAGCTGCTACAAGCGCACGTGCTGCCCAAGAAGCACCTCCATACACGGCTCTGCAGGTGCCGCAACGAGAACAGCCGATGCTTCCCAAGCATCCGCTACACACCCACCAAGGCTCCTGGAGGCGTGAAGTCCCACAAGGCAAGGCCCCCAGTCCTAGGAGGGCAAGTGGGCCTGGACTCCTGTGGCTCCCCACTGCCATCATATCTATCTACAGGGCACAGTCCTGAGCTAGGTTCCACTTCCCGGGAGCTGGCTCCAAGCCGCCCACCCCATTCCCTCCAGGCCAGGTCAGCCAGGTAGGGGCAGAGGATACCCCTGGAGGCATCAGGCTGGTCATTTCAGTGCAGAATCCACAAACCTGAACCCCAAGCTCCAGGGCTGGCCGGGTACCCTCTCCCCACCGTGGCCAAGGAGTGGCACAGGCTAATGAGCTGCTCAGAGGGACAGGGGCTAGGCACGGGCAGCCCTGCGCACGTGGCCTCTGGAGACTGCCCCGCACCTCCAGCAGTGTCAACCCACCTGGGGCTCCGCCTCTAACTGCCACACTGGATGGGACACGGACACAGGGCCTAGGGCTGGGGCTGAACTCAGGCACCCAGATCCTTGTGCCCCTCCGGGCAGGTCACTGGCCCGCCTGAGCCTCAGCCCCTCATCCAGAACATGTGGGCTTTTTTGGGGTGCACACTCACGTTCTGCAGGGAGTCCTGGTAGGAGGGCGGCAGGGACGCAAGCTGGGACTCCGAGTGGTAGGGCGAGAAGCCTTTCCGCAGCGTGCGGAACTCTCCGGAGCCTGCCTGCTGCAGGGGAGAGAAGGAGAGGGGTTAGACGGAGGGCCAGGCTGAGGAGGACAAGGGCCCTGGGCATGGCTCCTCACGGCAGCAGGGGCTGCTCAAAGGCACGGCCCCGGAGGACCCCTCCACCCTCCCCTCCACACCGCTTATCCATCCCCCGAGCCGGGATCAATCGATCTTCACTCTCCCCAGCTCAAATGTCAGCGATCCACTCTCCAACGTGGGCTTTGTAAACATTTGTTGGATGGCTGAATAAACAGAATGAATGAATGAATGAAGAAGAGCCAGTGAGAGCGAGTGAGGAGAGAGTGTCTCTCCCACCCCGTGACTCACCCTGGCTCCTCCGCTCCAACTTCCTGCCCTTGGGTCCCTGCACAGACGGCACCACTCACAGGGCCTGGGCCAGCCATCGGCAGCAGATGGGGCCACATCCACAGGCGAGGCCTCCCACCTCCCACGGGTTCGGGGCTCTCTCGGGATGCTCCGCCCAGGCTGCCTCCCCCATCGGATGGGCAGGGAGCTCCTAAAGCAGGTCCTGGGTGCTGCCTCTGAATCCCTGAGAACTCGTGCAAGCTGTGGGGTTGTAACTAACTCCTGCACACAGGAGGGAGGGAGGAAGGCTTGGCCTTAGACCCTTTGCTTAAGAGCAAAGCAAACACCACCGACCCCCAGAATTTGGGGCTGGGGCTGGGACCAGGAGCCAGAATGAATCCACAGGTCCCATAAACTTCTCTGGTCAGTCCCACAGTGCCCCTCCCCTGGCCCGGCCCAGCAGAAGGCCCGGCCTTTCTTTTCTTTCTGCATCACTAAAGGGTTTTGGGTGTTTCTGGCCGAAACACCCTTTTCTACTTCAAAGGAACTGAGAGAAAGTGGCTGGGCAGATAAAACCCTGCGGAATGTCCCATAAATCAGCAGGCTGTTGAGTTACCCAAACAAACTGCAGGGGCAGGGGAGGCCCAGGCTGGGGCTGGGCTGGGGCAGGGGCAAGGAAGGCAGGACAGGCTGCAGCCATGTCTGGGGTCCCAGTTCCACTCACCAGCCCCTCGGCCTGGCTGTGAAAGATCCCACACACACCCTGCTTGCCTCCCTCAAAAGCTGGACCTGGCCCCGCACTTCTCACAAGCCCCAGCCTCACTGAGGTCCAGCTCTTGTGTTCTCCCAGCCCCATCAGAGCCCTGGCCAGGCCCCCCACTGGGGCTGGGAGGTCTCAAGAGCTTGGCTCAAGGGCCAGCAAACAGCCGTGTCCTGCGGGGGTGAGGAGGCAAGTGGATGCTCTATTACCAGCTCCCACGGAGCCAAGACAGGAAAGCAGGGATCCGGCACTGACTCCCCTCATTAAATAGCCCACGCCCACCAGACGCCGGTCAGCCAGGGCAGCCGGGCACTGGAGGCTGGGAGCTGCTTCCTGGGCCTCAGGGAGGACCTGGGTGTGGTCCAAGGTCAGGGAGGGACATAAAGGAGAGACAGAGAAGTGGGAACCAACCTTCCTGCAGGGCCCCCAAAGTGTGATGGGTTTTAGATAACCCTGGCGAGCATCACAAAGGGGTCTCAGCACGGGGGCCTTGGGCACAGCCCTGAACCATCAAATGGGACTGCCATGCCCTGACCACGGCATTAACCCTGGCTGACCCTGCCTAGGTTAACTAGAGGCACTCACGGCCCGCAGGTGGAGGTCAGATCAAGGAAAGCCCCCTCCCCACCCACCAGGTACCAAAAAGAGGAAGAGGCTACAGCCCCCACCCCTAGGCCCAGCACTCACCCTCCCCCAACCATGAGTGACACCCCTCCCCCCACCCCATCAGAGCCACCCATGCCTCTCTGGGTCACCTCTCCTGAGAGATGTACCCCTAGCTCCACTTAAGGGCGAAAATTCCAAACCACCTGATTTTCTTGGCCAGGACTCTGCAACAGTAAGAGAGTTACAAAATCTTCTCCAATGGAGAATGCATTCTAAGCCAGCACACACTCTGAATGCGTGCGTGCACATACACACAGTCTGACTACTGGGCCACACAGCCAGGAAGGGTACACCTGGGATTGGAACAGCTGCCCTCCCCTTCAGCCGGCCCTGCCCTGCCCTGCTCAGCTTCTGTTTGGACTCCGGCGTCCCTTCCTCCACATCCTCTCTGGCCCTCGACCAAATGGGCTCCCACGTGCTGTTACCGAAAACGCAGGTTTGTGCTGCCGTCCCCTCCCCTCCCCCAGATAATTTCCCTGGGAGGAGATGTGTGTGCGTGAGCGTGAGGGAGGTTTTTAATTAGCTGCACGCAATTCCCACCCTTGCCTTCGGTGAGCCTCTATAAACATTTGCATGTCCATAGAACTTTATTAGCAAGCCACAAAGCCAGGCAGGAAAAACACACAATCTCTCATTAAGGGGCAATGTGACTAATGGCGCATCAAATGAGTAACCATTATTGCACTTAAATCCAAATTAAAAATCCTGCTATGAGACAGGTCGCTGCCTTTGCAGAATGAGATTCCCTAGGATTTCCCCGAGGAGGGGAAGCAGGAGCTGAAATCACCTGCTGGGCTTGTTCTGCACACAGAGAAGAGCCCCAGCTAAGGAAGGTGCTGGCCCTTCCTCAGGGGGAGGCAGGGGGTCCACTGCCGCTCCCCAGAAACACCCACCTGCCCAGTCTTCCTCGGGTGGCTCCCTCAGGACCCAGGGAGAAGGGATCTTACACACAGAGCTGCCAGCTCAGAGCTCAAACAAGATTTCCCGAATCCTTAACAGGGTGGGGCCAGCCCTGCCAAACACTCAGCGTGGCCCCTTCCACCCTGGCCAGGCCCAATCCGCATTACTCACTTCTAGAGCCTCCAGAGGGCAGCATGAGTGTCCTGGACTAGGGAGGAAGAGACCCAGGAGGTTGCAGGGCCTCCTTTTCCACTGAGGACCGGAGTTCAGGACACCTCCAGCCTGTATCCAGGGCCTTCACTGCAACACTGCCCAACTCAGGGCCCAGCGAGGACTCGCTGGGTGAACTCCAGTTGTTCCCCAGCCCTTTCTGGGCCTCTGCAGTGCGGCCCAGCCTTCTCCCCAGAGGGGAACCCCGTCCTGCAGCGAATGCCTGCCTGCAAAGCTGCAGGGGGCCTATGTGGGGCCACCCTGGGGTGACCCCTAGGGAGCATTGTCAGAGGGGATGCTGAACAGAAAGAGGATAAGACATGGAAACAGAGCCCACCCACCCCAGCCTGCCCACCTGAGGCTGCTTGTTTGGAAAGGATGGGTGGGGTGGCTGCAGGCAGGAAGCGCCTTTCTGGGCTGTGCTTAGGGGAGCTGCTGTCACCCTGCTTCCTGCTCCCAGAGAGCTTTTGGGCCCTCAAATGTGCTGCATCGGTTATGTGTCCGAGAGGCACAAACAGAGCGCCTCCTGTGTGCCAGGCACCACGCTGTGCCCCATCAGGGAGGCTGCAACTAAAGGGGAGTGAGGGCTGGGGGTGCGGGTGGAGGCAGGCACTGAAGAGGGGGTGCCCTGTGTCCCCACCTGGGCAGCCTGCCCGCAAGTGACCACTTGGACCACCAGACTCGAAGCCCCAGGCTGATTCATACAGAATGCCCTGGGAAGGAGTCCTCGTGGAGGGGCCACCTGGCGCGACTCTGGACCGGTGTCTCAGTGCTCGGTGCAGGGATGGGTGGGGACCTGCGAGGCTCCTCCCTCCTCAGCACCCTCCAGGATGGCTGACAGGTGAGCATGGGCCCTTGGCACCGTGTGGCACAGCACAGCTCGGCTCAGCCGGACAGCCAGGTGTGGCCAGGGTCCAGGACCACAGTGGACAGCAACGCAGCCACATCCCTCTCCCCCTCCCAAATTTAGGTCATGCCAATGACTGTGTCTGACTTGGGAGACACTGTGGGGCTCAGGGAGAGGACCCCAACACAGGCCTCCCCCAGCCCAGACTCTCCTGGGTCAGGTGCCCTCCTGCTTCTGGCCTGTGGGGGCTCCAGGGGATCTGTCACAAGAGGCCAGTTTCACCGCAGCTGAAGAGCTTGAAGGTGCCGTCTGCAGGGAGGGGCCTACATCCACCCTCAGAGCAATGGGAACCTGGGCAGGAAAAAGCCACATGAGCCCAGGCCCCGTGCAGCTCCTGCAGGCACTAACAATGCCTCTGCCCTGAGCGTGTGCTAAGATGGTCTCCAGGTCCCCGTGGTCACTGTGCAGTCCCCAGGCTGGGATGGGAGCCAGGTTGGAGGACAGGGAGCTGGAGAGAGCTCCTTCCAGTTCACATTTCCCACCAATCCCACTCCCACAGATAAGCCATCATCCCAGGGGCTACGGAGGCGAGAGGTGAGACCCAGGGAGCAAGGCCACGGCCCAGTGACCACCCCGTCCCCAAGACCTGGCGACCTCCCTCCAGGAAGAGGAAGTGGGGGCAAGGCCAGGGCCCAGGGAACACCCCGTCCCCAAGACCTGGCGACCTCCCTCCAGGAAGACGAAGCACTGTGGGAGCTCCCAGGGTTGGTCAGTGATGCGTAATCAATGGTCTGGGTGCCGAGTAATAAACGCAGGGCCTCAGTGGCCTATCAGGCTGACACCTCCACCCAGGAAGTGCTGGAAGACAGTGCACCCTCAGCTGGCTGGGCTGGGGGACCCACCTGGAAGCAGAGGCTCGAATGCGTGACTTGGGGAGACCATTCTCCCACCAGGGGCCCCAGCAGCTCCAGGGGCAGCTGGGGCCACAGACTAGCCTGGGCTCCACTGTCCGGCCCCAAACTAAAGCCCACCGAGATCCAGCTGTCATCCGTCTCGGAGATCCTCAGAGGGAGAGTGCAGAGAAAGCAGGGAGGATGCAGGACAGGGCAGGGGTCAGGGCTGTGCAGCGTAGCACAGAGGCCTCCACAGAAGACAGGCCTCAACTTGACCCCACGGGAACTGCACCAGAGTTGTTCCCACGAGGGCACGCAGGAGGTTTGTGTCCACACGTCCGTCAGTCATGCCTGTGGGCTGCTCTGGAAGGGGAGGTAGACTTGGCACTGTGTAATGACGTTGTTGGTTTATCGTCTGTCTGCATGGCTGGACAGGTGTGGTTCACCTCCCAGCCCAAGCCCAGGGCTGGCACACAGTTGGTCACTGGTTCTCAAATGGGGGTGATGCCCCCAGAGGACAACTCGCAGTGTCTACAGACACTTTTTAGTGTCAGCTCGGGCATGGGGTGGAAGACCCCCGGAGGGTAATGCGGGGCAGGTATTCTGGGGCGGGCAGTCTCAGGACGGGGAGAAGGGGACAGAAATGAAACCATGTGGAGACCTGAGAGCTGGCAGGAGAGTGGCCAGTGCCTAAAGGGCCTGGCTCCACGGGTCTCGAGGCTGGGCACAGGTGGGAGCTGAGTTCACCCAGCAGCTCCCCAGTCCCAGGCCCTGTCCAGCAGGGATCTGGCTGCAGCCCAGGGTGCCTGGCATGGTGACTCATGCTGACCCTCAGAACTGTGCAACCCACGCAGAACCCTCAGCCCAGTGCCCACCCAGCTCAGCAGCCCTGGAGACCTCCCTCAAGGACCCAGGCAGCTTCCCACCGGGAGCCACAGCTGGGTGGGCATGTGGGCCCCAGCCTCGTCTCCACTAACTCATGCAGACTTGCAAGCCTCTTCTCCCTCCGTGCACTGCAGGTGTCTCACTTCAAAGTGGGGATTAGCACCAGCCCTGCCGCCCTGCAGAGGCGGGAGGACCCCGGGCACCTGGGCAAGGTGCGTGAGAAGGGGCTCACACCACGGAGAGCCCTCGGGGGCGGTCGCTGCATCACTGTCTTGCTATTATTTTGCAAAACTGGAAGTTTCGCCAGTAATGCCAGCTCGAGGAGAGGGCAGATCCCAAGAAGACTCTAAAGGCAGGGCCAGCGCAGCCTGGGAAGGAAGTGCTCCCAGGAAAGAACGGGAGGGTGCTGGGGAGTAGGGGACAGAGCACACAGCAGCGCACAGCACACAAAGCAGCCTCCCGACCCCCACAAACACCACTGCAAACACGCCTCCCACCAGGCAGCTCTACCTGAAGCCAGCTTCTCGGGCGGCCGTAGGGGCGGGGCAGCTAGAAGGAAGGAGAACAGTGTCACCCAGTAAATGCCAACCATGCCCATCACTCTGCCCAGTGCCTTCCCTGGACATCTATTAGCCCAAAGCCACCAGGACCTCAGCTGAGCCGGAGTGGTTTTCCCACACCGAAGGCCAGGGTTGGGGCTCGCCAAGGCGACTCCAGGAGCTCCACGTCTTCAGAAACTCCAGATTCACAAGGACTCACTGAAGACCTGCCATGTGCCCGGCACTGGGTCCCTAGGAGCACCCACCACCCCCCATAGCCCACCCCAAAACTCACACCAGGGTGGAGCCACCCCAAGTGCCCTGCTACCCTCCCAGGGAAAAGCAAACCTTTGAGAAGCCCTGGGATGGGGTGCCCCGGCCTAGAGGCACCCCAAGATCCCAGCAGCTCAGAGAGGCCAGGTGGGGGATGCACGCCCTATCTGGCCCCCTGTTCTAGCCTCAAGGCAAAGATGACCTGCAAGGTCGCCCACAAGAGCTACACAGTCATACCAACTGGATTTACTTTCTTTTTCTTCTTTAATTTTGAGAGAACTCATTTGTAGGGGGGAACAACACACACTGGGGCGTGTTAGGGGGACGAGGGGAGGGAGAGCATCAGGAAGAAGAGCTAATGCATGCTGGGCTTATTACCTAGGCCATGGGCTGATCTGTGCAGCAAACTACCACGGCACACGTGTACTCATGTAACAAACCTGCATGTCCTGCACATGTACCCAGGAACTTAAAACAAAAGTTGATAGGGAAAAAAAAGGAAAATAAAAAAAGAACAAGGGGGCTGCCGCTTCAGCTGGGGGTCCAGAGACATATTCCCAATCTGCACTCAGATCAGGCGGTAGAGATGAAGGTGCGGCCATGTGTGGCTGATGTCACTTACCCATGGCTGGCACTGCTCCTCCCTTGGTCCCCATGTCATTTCACACCCGAAATCCCATTTTTCAAACTCACGTGTATGTGCCATTCAGGGTAACAGGCAGACCAGTCTTGTCCACCACGCAGACCATCCCTCCCTTCCCAGGTCCCTCTGCAGGCCCATTACTTGTTCCAGTGAGGTAAGTGAGGGACAGGCCTGTGGGAGCTTTGAGGTGTGCAGTTTTGTGTGTGTGTGTGTGTGTTTTGTTTCTTTTGTTTTTTTGTTTTGTTTTATTTTGTTTTTGAGATGAAGTTTCACTCTGTCACCCAGGCTGGAGTGCAGTGCTGCAATCTCGGCTTGCTGCAACCTCTGCCTCCAGGTTTCAAGCAATTCTCCTGCCTCAGCCTCCCAAGCAGCTGGGATTACAGGTGCCGGCCACCATGCCCAGCTAATTTTTGTATTTTTTAGTAGAGACGAGGTTTCACCATGTTGGCCAGGCTGGTCTTGAACTTCTGATCTCAGGTGACCTGCCAGCCTTGGCCTCCCAAAGTGCCGGGATTACAGGCGTGAGCCACTGCGCCCAGCTGAGGGGTGCGGATTTGCAAAACCAAATCCTACCTTGGCTGAGTAAGCCAGAGCAGCTCCTCAACTTTCTGGGCCTCTGTTTGTTTGCACATAAACTGGCATCAGGCGGAGGCTGGCGGAGGCTATGGCTGGCCCACAATGGACAGGAAAGATCACGGTGGTTAACCCGCCACCCTTACCGCCAACCGCCCGACTCCCAGTCCTTCCCACAATTTGCCTTTTCATCCTCTGAACAATGTATGTGTCAGACACCATTAGTGTCCCCATTTTGCAGAGGGGGAAACTGAGGTGCAGAGAGGTTAAGCGACCTGTTCAGTGCCACTCTGCTGGCAGGTGGCACTAGTGAGACTTGAACCAGGCCCTCTGGCACTGGCATCCTGCACTTGGCCTGTCAGCCCTGGTGACTCTCCCCCAGCATCTGGCTCACGGTGGACACTCCTTACACTGCTGGTGCTAGGGCACGGAGGTGGAATTTCCTGTCTCCATTCTGCCCACATTGCGAGACTGACCATCTGTTCATTGGCTGGAAGGCTGGAAAGAGGGGGTTTCCTCCCTGGGCAAGGGAGAGGCCAAACTGACTCTGAGGTTCAACTAAGGAAGCGTTTAAAGTCCTCCAGAGACCCAAAGACTACACTGCCTATGACAGAGGTGATACGGTATGGCGGCCAACCCAAGATGCCAAACACACAGGGCAGGGAAGGGCTTGGAGCCTGCTACCAAGGCATGGAAACGCTGACCAACAGAGATGCCCACGTGGACCACCGCGACGCCAGCATCTCCGGAGGAACCCGGGCTCAGGACAGCCCATCCTCCTAGGGACACAGAACTGAAGCGTTGGCCATGGATTCAGACAGCAGCAGATCGATCCCCTCTTCCCCGCCCCTTGAAGGGCTCAGAACTCAAAGGACAAAGAGCAGCGGTTCCTTGGGGATGGGCCAGGCCCAAGGGACAGCAGAGGGCACATGGTCAGCCAGACCTCGAAAGATCCCAGGCCCTTGGGACCGCCTGGGGTGCTTCCCAGGGGCCACATCACACTGCGCTGGGCATCACCTCCCAGGTGAGGACACTGAGACTCTGGGAGAGAGAGGATTTCACCTGAAGCCACACAGCAGGTGAGCGCTGGGGCGGGGGCTATTGGAGTTTACAGGGAGAAGAGCCTGTCTACAAGCTGAGGAGAGAGGCCTCAGAAGGAGCCAGCCCTGCTGATGCCTTGATCTCAGACTTCCAACCTCCAGGACTGTAAGGAAATAAATTTCTGTGGTTTAAGTCCCCCAGTCTGTGCAACTCTGTTATGGCAGCCCTACCAGACGAATACAACATCCATGTCAGGAAATCCACCTTCATCCAGACCTCAGTTTCCCCATCTGTGCCTAGTGTGAATTCTGGGTCTCTTTCAGCAGCCCTTTGGTACGTGGCAGGCCAGGGGAGAGGTGGGCACAGCGTGGGGGAAGAGGGGAGAGGAGGAGGGTGGGCTGGGGGCCCTTCAGTCACCAGCCCAGACCCCAGCCTCGCTCCCCAAGCTGGCCCTCTGGTCTAGGGAGAGAGAATATCAGGAGAGCTCCCTGCTCTTTTGTAAAGCTGGCTTTTTTGGCGCACAATGGAGTCTTCATTTATCAGCCCAGCAGGGGAGTTAACGAGAGGCCCCAGCGTCAATTACAGCCGCCCCCAGCCCAGCCCGGCTGGGCACAGAGAATCCACAGGAAAAATAAGAATGCACACGGAGTCTTGAGATGAATCATCGTGGAGGAAGCAGCTGTGTTGATGAAATTTTAAAGCCAACATGAGAAAGAAAATACGAACAGCAATACAGTAATTGAGTCTGTGAACATGCTGGCACATTTTTAATTAAACCTATTTTGGAGTTAAATAGAGGCCATGGGTGGGGGGGGGGGTGGGACCGCGGGGAGTAGGAATCCAGGGAGGCTCCCTACCCTCCCACCCAAACCCCAAAGCCACGTCACCTTATGCTATTCCAGAGAAGAGCATTCCTCTCTCCTGCTTTTCACCAACAGGAAGAGTCCCTGCTTTGCGCAGAGGTGGGGGTTTCTGTACAACTTGATTTCCCTGACAAGATTTAAATGCCAGAATCACAGAATCTCACGAGCCAGAGTCCATGAGGCTTAGGACAGCATCTCATTCAAGGCTGTGAACTCTTTCTTCAAGATTCCCAAACATAGTCACCCAGCCATCTCTTGATTATCTCCAAAGATGGTACCCTCACTACCTGCTGAAGCCCTCCCTTGGTTAAGTGGGCCTTCCTTATTCTGAGCAAGAACAGCCTCCCCTCTTGGCCGTGGAGACTGGACAGGGATCAGCCACAGGCTCCCCAAGACACATCCACCCAGTTCAACCATGCTGAGCACTGGAGACACCAATGTGGCCACTCAGACCCTGCAGCCCTGTCCTGGAGAAGATGACAGTCCCACAGGGGTGGGGGCCAGGATCCACAAGGGTGGGTCATGACACCCTATCAGCAAAGGTGGGCAGCCCAGGGACTGAGAGAGCTCAGGGCAAGCACCAGGCCACCTGTGGGTAGTCAGGGAGGGCTGCAGACAGGAGGCCAGGAGGATGGAGACTAAGTAAACCCCATCTTCCTGGCGCCTCCCTGAGAATGGGGCCACCACTTTCCTCACAGGCAGTGCCCTGCCACGAGCTCTCTTCACCTCCCCTATCCTCCAGGGGCCTCTCTGTGCATGTGGGTCCTGCGGGCTGGGCAAGGTGGTGGTCAGGCAGGAACAAGGGTGAGACTGGCCTGCCAGCCCTGCATCCCCAGGGCCACATACATAGTAGGTGGTCAGTTAAACACTGAGTGAATGAGTGCCCACTTCTCAGATGAGCAAACACAGGTCTGGGAGAGAAAGTGGCTCAAGGATCCCCAAAAAGCTGGCGCCACTGAAGCTGCCCCAGGAATCCAAAGGCAGGCTTGGGACCCACTGCTGCCGAGAGCCAAGGGCCCCTCCCTCACCCCGTCTCTCTGTCTCTCTCTCTCCTGCATGGCTCAGAACAGCAGTGCCTTCCTCCATGGCCAGCAGGAACCCCACCCATGATCCCAGCTCCTCTGGTTCTTCTTCTTCTTCTTCTTTTTTTTTTTTTTTTTGAGGTGGAGTCTCACTCTGTTTCCCGGGTTGGAGTGCAGTGGGGCAATCTCGGCTCACTGCAACCTCCGCCTCCCAGGTTTGAGCAATTCTCCTACCTCAGCCTCCCAAGTAGCTGGGATTACAGGCACGTGCCACCCTGCAAGGCTAATTTTTGTATTTTTAGTAGAGACGAGGTTTTGCTGTGTTGCCCAGGCTGATCTCAAATTCCTGACCTCAAGTGATCCGCCCACCTCAGCCTCCCAAAGTGCTGGGGTTACAGGTGTGAGCCACCACACCCAGCCGTGGCTCCTCTGGTTCTGCTGATGCCATGGGCTCTGGGGATGCCACCAGCTCCTGGAGCCTTTGTTATGAGGTTCAGGGGCCTCCACTGCAGCATGGGGACAGGGCACCGGGGCCAAGGCCCCAGCAGCATACGGCTGCCTCCTTTCAGGGTACTGGGTATGGCCCTGACAACACTTGCTGGGAGCCCCAGGGCAAGACCTCTGCCTGCTGCAGAGTCCATGCTGAGAAAGCAGCTAGGGATGGGCCCTGGGTGCCCTCCTGCCACACCACACAGAGATACAAGCTCCTTCAGCGACCACTCCAGCAGCATGGCTTGACTGGGCATCATTTGGTGAGAAAGCAAATTTCTGCTAAAGAAACAAAATACTTTGAACCCTTTCTGCACTGGATGATCTCTGAATTCCGCGCCCTGGTTGTATGTAACAACAAGCAGGCAACAGTGGGTTTCTGTCCCTAAATTCCAGTCCAACTGCCTGCAGCCAGCAAGCCTGTGTCCAGGCAAGGGTCAGCAGCTCCCCAGCCATCAGGATCTGATGTCGGTGCCCTGCAGACCTGGCCCACGGATGAGGATGTGAACAGAGCCCTGCTGCTACCCCCAGGGAGCTGGTGGGAGCAGGCCTGGGGAGGAAGAGGTCCCTGGGCAGAGCCAGCCCGTCCATCCTTGAGGCTCAAGGCTGAAGCTCCCATCTACCTCCACCTGTGCACAGGTGGGTGCAGGGCAGGTGGACACAGGTTATGGTGGAGGGCCCCCTGTGAGACCGGGGGGCACCCCAGGAAGGAAGGCAGGAAGAAGGGCTGCTCCTCCACAGCCCGCTTGGGCGCAGGTTTTCTGCAAGTCCGTGGTCAGGAACTGGGGTGTATTTTTCCAGTGGGACACTGTGGCCTGCAGGGGCCAAGGGATCAGGGACACTCCTGTCCTTATGGAAACAGGACCATGAGCTGCTCTCTGGTTGGACCGCAGAACACATTTCTCATAGAAATAACACTGCAGGGCCGGGCGTGGTGGCTCACACCTGTAATCCCAGCACTTTGGGAGCCTGATGTGAGAGGATCACCTGAGGTCGGGAGTTCGAGACCAGCCTGACCAACATGGTGAAACCCTGTCTCTACTAAAAATACAAAACTAGCCAGGCGTGGTGGCTCATGCCTGTAGTCCCAGCTACTCAGGAGGCTGAGGCAGGAGAATTGCTTGAACCCGGGAGACAGAGGGTTGTGGTGAGCTGAGATCACGCCATTGTAATCCAGCCTGGGCAACAAGAGCTAAATTCCATCTCAAAAAAAAAAAAAGAAAGAAAGAACACTGCAAACAGCATCCCAAATTCAGAGCTGGAGCTTCCAACCCACTTCTCCACAGGAACAATGAGACAAAGAAACTCCAGATCAGGGCAGACGCGTGAGGTCACTGACCCGGGGGCCCGAGCTTCAGCCACCAGAGCATGGTCCTGGCCCTTGCTCTGCAGAGCAGTAGCCCCTGCCACCACCCAGAGGCAGGACTGCCTCTCCTACACACTGCATGGGGACCTTCTCCAAAGCAAAGGTCCCTAAGCCATGACCTTCTCCTGGTGTCACTTCTGCCTACAGCTTCCACACACCCTCCTTAGCAACCACAATGGCCCCGCCAGGTCTGCAATGGAAGGCTGGCGTCTAGGGAGCCCCACTCCACAGACAGGTGAGACCCCAGCCCCTCCTGCCCTCACCAGCCCTGGGAAGCCAGCACGGCCTGTGGCCAAAGCCCTTCACCATAGGGCACCTGACAGCAAGGCATGAAATTACAAAAGCCAGCCTTGCCATTCAGAGCTTGGCTGTGCACTTGCGCCTGTATGGTGGTGGGGAGTGGGGGGCGGGGTGTGGAGGAGAGTTCACAAGAGGCCAAATGAGGAACGTGCACTCTGCTAATCCCACCAGGCCCTGGGAACCTTCCCCACAGCCCACAAAGGGGTGAGACGTGAGGATGACCTCAGTGGGAGCTGTGCTCCCTGCTGGGGCCGTGAGCCTCCCAGCAGCCGCCCAGTGGGCAGAGAGGGTGCCGTGGAATTCCTGAGCTGGGCAGTCGGCACCAAGCCTGGCTGGTCACCTAGCAACAGGGCCAGGCAGCTGAGCCATCCCTGCGGTTGGTTCCCAGAGAGACGCCTTGGGTATCCCAGGCTGACCGCTCACGGCGCAGTGGGAAAAGCAGGGAGAGGGAGACTGGGATGAAGCCAGGGATGCGCACGAGGGCTCGGAGGCTTGGGGGAGCGAGCGGCTTGAGAGGTCGCCAAGCCAGCTGGCCCCCAACACCCAAGCGTGACTGCCCATAGCCTCCTCTCGGCAGCCCCCACGCCTGCCCCACCTGCAGCAGGGAAAGCCCTTGTCCTGGCAGTCACACGTCCCCTCCAAGCTCCAGCCACACTCAAGAGGCACAGCCCCTCACCCAACCCCACCTCCCCCCTACAGCCAACCCCTCCCACGCCGTGCCCCTGCTGCCCAGCTCTGCACAGGGGTAGCAGCCTCATCTGTCTGTGGGTGAGGTCGGGCCCAGGAGGGAGGAGGGGAACCCAGCCCAGGGAGGTACCGGCCAGTGAGTCCAGCACGGCAGAGGCGGGGAGGCTTCCGTGTGAGTCTGCCCCATCTCCTGCCTGGATCTGCCCATCTGCCAGAGGAGTGAAGCAGCCCATTTCTTCATCAACTGGGTGTTGTCCACCCTCTCAGGCCCTGGGCCAGCCCTGAGGAGCTCGCATACTGGGCAGTCAGCATGGAAGGTTGGGCAGAGGGAAGCCCAGAGGTGTGGGAGCCAGGGTTAGGTCCCTGACCCCACTTTCCAGGAGGTGACAGGTGGCAGTGGGAGCAGTTGGGGGGACAGCCTAGGTCCCAAGGGGAAGGGTGCCCTGGGTGAGCTGGAGGGGTGGGTGCTGGGTCGCGGTCCTCAAGGCAGCGCCACCCGAAGCCGGCCTACCTGTGCGAGGAGCTTGTCACCCTCCAGCAGCCTCACTTTGCTCTCCAGTTGCCTGATGTAGGTGGATGAGGGATCTGGAAGGACACAAGAGGAAGGGGGACATTAGCCTCCAGCAGACTCCATCCCCATTGCGCAACCCCGACTGGCCCCAGACCCGGCATGGAAGGTTTGGGTCTGAGGAGTCCCACCCCACAGCCAGGTGACGCCCCAGCCCCTCCGAGCCCTCGCCCGCCCTGTGGAAACAGCACGGCCTGTGGCCAAAGGCTTCCGGCCATAGGGCACCTGACACCAAGGCACGACACACAGAGGCCAGCCTTGCAGGACCCGCTGCTGCCCTCGCTGTGGGCCTCTGAGCCCTTCTCAGGACCTTCAGGACCTGTAGAAAGGTGGGGGGTGTGGGGGTGGCCTCGCCAGCCTGCCCTGGAGCAATTCCTTCAGCTTCCAAGATGCTGCAGGCTCAAATGGAGCTCTCACAAACACAGCCAGGGCACAGCCCACCCCAGGGTCGGGGTCCGGGGAGCCCCCTCCTCTACACAGTGGGGAAACAGACTCCTGAACTTGCCAAGTCAGCATCTGGGATCCTTCCAGTCCACTTCGCCTGATCACCCAGGAACTTCTCACAAGCTATGTGTGCCCACAGCATATGCTGCAGGTGAGCAGCCACCTTCCCCATATGACAGTCGGGAACCCCGTGGAACACCCTGGTCATGTGTCCCCAGTTTCTGACCTCAGGCCAAGGGAGCCCTATCTATGCAGACCACTGGTGCAGGGTGAAATTCACCCACCCTCACCACACTGACCCTGCTTTCCAGTCACATCAGGAAAACACAAAAAAATCCCATCCCCACCCCCACGTCCAGCCATCCCATACCCCTGGTCCTGCCTCCCCCCAGGCTGGGAGTCAGCTCAGCTGCCAGGATGCCCAGGGCAAACCCTCAGGGCAGAGGGCTGGGGGAAGGGAGGAGAGGCAGGAACGGGACCCAGAACACAGGCCGGGGGACCACCCAGCAACAGCAGGTTTGGAAGGAGGAGGCAAGGGGGAAGCAAGGCTGTCCCAAGTACCCCTGTGAGCCACGAAGCCACCTGGTAAGGGATGGGTTATTAACATCTCTCGCAGAGATCACCTGGCCCAGATGCCAGCCCAGACCCCATCCACCCTGACAGCTGTCCACCCACCGGCCCACCCGACAACAGGACGCAGGGTCTTCCCAGATTCATGCCGCTCACCCTCGATTGCAGAAGCAGAGACATCAGCCCCTTTGACCACACACAGCCAGCTATCTAGTCCCCATCACCACCTCAGGGCTGGGGATGGACTCCACAGGCTGTTAACATGCCTGGGGGGACAGGGGCTTGGGTGCTACTGGGGACAAGCCAGGACCACCATGCCAACCACAGGACCAATGAAGCATCTGTCTGCCCCCAGCACACCAATAAAAGGATGCTTGGGAGCCCCCTATTCAGCCCTGGACCAGGCCTAGGGCCCAGCAGAGCCACTGGCCCAGCCACAGGCAGGAGCAGGTACTGGAGCCCGGCCCGGCCGCACTCACTGCTGGGGAAGAGCGCAAACCAGCCTCCCCTCCTCCTCCAGCCCAGTCACCTCCCAGGAATGTGGGGCCTTCTAGAGAGGAGAGAAGGGCAGCTCCCCATCCAGGCCCAGCCTCCCCGCCCTGCCAGGCAGACCACCCCTGCCCTCAGGGTGACCTCAGAGCCTCACACCTCACCAGCCCTGATCCCTCCCTCCCTGGCCTCAGTTTACTCATTACTCTATCAACCCCGACAAACAGTTCCCATGCCCACCCAAGCAAAGCGGTGTGATGGGAAGAGGCCTCAGCATTCAGGGTGTGCTGGGTCCCTCTGAGCATGGGGAGGTAGGGTGCAGCCTAGGCTCCCCAAACCTTCATGTCCTGTACCCTACTAACAGGAGGGCTCCCTGGAACACCAGCTGGGAAGCAGTGACCAAGTAAACTCCAGAGACCCTTCCGGCTCCCTCACTCTGACAGAGCTAGGACAAGAACGCACCAATGACTATGGACCCACGTGTGGGGTCTCCCTCTGGGTGGAGTCGGGTGGGGGGTACCCACTGTCCCATGTGGAACACGTGGTACCCCCTGCATCTGATGCCTTGCAAAGGACAAGCAGCTACCATCCTCATTTTCCAGGTGCAGAGGCCACAAGGAACAAAGTGTCCCCACCACCAGCAGGTGAGCCTTCCAGCCCCTCTCCCCACTACCCAGGCCCACGCCACAGGTCAGTCTTTAGGACCCAGTGTTTCTGGCCACCCTGGGCAGAGCTGACAGCCCCAGCCTTGGAGAGAAGCTGGCAGAGACTCAGAAAGAAGACGCCATTCCCAGTCACACCACTCTCCTGAAGGCTCTCCGCAGCGCAATCCTCAGCACGGCCACAGGGCCCCTGCTCACCACAGCACCCCCATGGGACTGTGCTCCCGGGGATGGCCCTGAGCCAGGGGGAGGACCCAGCCACTGTGTGTGACCAACAGCCCAAGATGGGCACTAACTTGTTCTCTGCCCTTCGCTGCCACAGAACCATTCAGGAGGTGGGTGCACTTTCAGCCCACCCGCCTCCCCCTGCTGGTTCCCACAGGGTGAGCGAGGAGCTCCCAGCACTTCCCTCTCCATGAGCCCACAATCGGAGGAGGGATGGGCTGGAACCCAAGTCCACAGCTGCCCCGTCAGCCTCAGCACCTTCGCTGGGTGACCCTTCTCCTGTCTGAGCAGTCCGCCCCCTCAGATACAACTGGGGTTTCACACCCACTTCCCAGTAAGGGTTAAAGACAGTGATCAGGCTGGCAGGTGGCATCCGGAGAAGGGATGCAGACAGGCCATCCCACAGGTCGCCAGCAATGCCCTGCCTGCCCATAGCCAGCACCTCACCTCAGAACCCACAGGCTACCATCCCCCACATCGGGCCACCTGTAGGCACAGACAGGTGGCCACACACCCACGGCCCCAGACCAAGGGGCTGCCCCTGACAGACCCATCTGTTGAGGTTTACCCCAAACCCCAGGCAGCTATGCAGAATAAAATACACTGCAGACCACCAGGCTTCATTGGGTTTTTCTTTTAAATTTCAAAATAACAACATAACACTCTTAAAAAATATTTTAGACCATCCAGTAATTCCAGTGGAATCTATCCTAAAGAATTAATTCTAGGCTGGGCACGGTGGCACATGCCTGCAATCCCAGCAATTTGGGAGGCCGAGGCAGGTGGATCACCTGAGGTCAGGAGTTCAAGACCAGCCTGACCAACATGGTGAAACCCCATCTCTACTAAAAATATAAAATTAGCTGGGCGTGATGGCAGGCACCTGTAATCCCAGCTACTCAGGAGGCTGAGGCAGGAGAATCACTTGAACCTGGGAGGCGGGGGTTGCAGTGAGCCGAGATCACACAACTGCACTCCAGCCTGGGTGACAGAGTGAGACTCCATCTCAAAAAAAAAAAAAAAAAAGAATTAATTATAATTATGAAGAAAGCAGACAGAGTGGCCAAAACTGGAAATAACTATTTGTCCAACAACAGCTGAGGGTTCTACCCTGTCATCATTAAAATGATGTTTAGAAAGTTTCTCTCCTAAACAATATGGAAAAACACTTAAAATGCCAGTGGAAAGAACTGGACACAAAATGACATGCACAATGGCTGCGACGTTTAAAAATATCCAGGCATTGACGTGAGTTCAGGAAGGAAGTCCACAGAAATCCTGACTGTGCGGCTGCTCAGATGAGGGAACCAGTGGGTTTTTATTTATTCACATCGTTTCTTGTTAATTTTCAAATAATCGACTTGTAGTCTAGTTCTGAAATCCTTCTTTCAGAAAAAAAGAATGGCCGGGCGCGGTGGCTCATGCCTGTAATCCCAGCACTTTGGGAGGCCGAGGCGGGCGGATCACCTAAGATCAGGAGTTCAAAACTAGCCTGGCCAACAAGGTGAAACCCCCATCTCTACTAAAAATATAAAAATTATCTGGGAGTGGTGGTGGGCACCTGTAATCTCAGCTACTCAGGAGGCTGAAGCAGGAGAATTGCTTGAACCCGGGAGGCAGAGGTTGCAGTGAGCCGAGATCACGCCACTGCAGTCCAGATGGGCGACAGAGCGAGACTGTCTTTAAAAAAAAAGGGGGGGGAACGGATTAAACTCTTGCACCTTCACATTACATGCATGGCCACCCAATGAAGCAATGGACATTTTAAACCCACCACCCTGACCCTCTCCCCACACTCAGCTCCCTAGAAGAGCTCTCCAGGCTGCCAGGAGCCAGTGAGCCGGGCGTCAGTCACCCTTGGGTCAGGAGCAGGCACTCTTCAGACAGGAAGAACAAGAGTGATCTGGGCACTCCCAGGCGGGGGCTGGAGGGCAGGAGACCCCGGGAAGGGCCGGCTCCCCGGGAGGACTGTCCTTCCTGGCAGCCTCAAAACTCGTGATCCCACTGGGTGCCTGCAAGCCCCAGCCTCTTGGAGATGAGCGGGTAATTAAGTTAATCCCAGGGTTTACAGTAATGAGTGCTGGAGCCACAGGGGAGGGGACATCATTTCCCAGCTTGGCTGCCTGAGGGCAAAATGAGGGAGGTGACCCTGGGCTGGCCTGGCCAAGGGGTCCCCTGGGGTGCTCCCCTAACCCGTCTGGGGGCCATCGGACCAATTCTGGGGGATTCCCTATCCAGCTGCCAACCGGGGAGGAGGGTGTCTCCCTACAACGTTCTTGTGTCCAGGAGCCAGACCTAAGCTCCCCTCACCCCGCCCTCTTCATGGATCCCTTGCTCCCATGAGGAGGGGGTGGGGGAAAGCTGTGCAGCATGGTGGGGGGAGTCACAGAGCCTGCAGGTCTGCCAAGCCCTCCCCATTGGCGCTGTGCCGGCTCCATCCCAGATACCCTGCACTGGGTCCTGCCACTGGGACCAGGACTCACTGGCCTTCTGGGAAGCTGTGAGGCAGGGGCTGGGTGGTATTCCCCCTCCTGGCCTGGTTTTCACACTGGCAAGATGATGTCACCTCCACCTCCCCTCCAGACTTTGCTGTGTCCAGAACAGTAAGAACTGGGGGGCCAGAAGCCATGTCCCATCACCTCTGTGACCTTCCTTCCCTAGCTCAGCACTTGGCACACAGTCAGCCTCCAGAAAAATGTCTGCAGCCCTAATAGGAACTCATCCCTGGAGGGACCTGTTCTTAGCTGCCTCCCTGGCTCCGTCCCACCATCTCCCACCAGAAGGAGTAGCTGCAATGAGCTCCTCAGGAGCGCTCAGCCATGCATGTGACACAGCACCCCGCACCCCAAGCTGGGGAACCCCAGACAAGGAGCTGCCGAGGCTACAGGGGGCAGAGCATCCTGGGCTCTGGGCACACGCTCCTTGCATCTGACTCTGCGGTGCCTGATGCTCCTGTCTCACACACGCCTCCCTATGATCTTATATCTCAGGTTGGGTGCAGACTGAGAGAGGAGGAATCAACTTCACGTGGGTTATGTGGGTGGCAACCCCAGGAAACCCAGGGAGAGGGGTAGAGAAGGGAGGCAGGGAAGGGAAGAAGCCAATGGAAGGGGTGTCCACTCTGCCGGTGAGCTCTAGGGCTCGGAGTCACCCCACCTGTCCAATGGTTCACTGGGAGTATTAACGTCCCAGCACTGCCCAAGAGGAGAATGGACAGGAAGGGCTCCTGGGCAGAGCTGCAGGTGCCAGCAGGCGATACAGCCGTGGGCTCAGAAACAGGAAGTGCCTCAGGGATCAGGGCTGGGCATCAACAGTGTCTGTGACCACTCAGGAGAAAATATGGTTTATCCTCTCTCCATAGAAGGTGGAGGCTGGGGGCGAGGGAGCTGCAGTGACACACAGGGACACATGGTGACACATGGTGACACACAGAGCCTGACTCTCCAGTTGCTGTGCACCCTCCCCAGGTCTGCCTCCCAGCCCCTCCCCCTGAGCAAGGCCCTACGGCATGGCTTCCCAGCCCTGGTCAATTTCTGCAAGGTCTGGGGCCAGGCAGGCTCGTGGCAGGTCATTAGCAGGAGACCTGGCCACTCCAAGCCGCAGGCCTCCATCGGGGCTCCTGCCCAGCACCTCCATGGGCCCTGTGCAAGACAGCTGATACCACCGTTCAGCGCAGCAGCTTGGCTGATTAAATCCCCTTCTCCTTCCACTTCATTAAGAGGAGTCAGCTGCAGCCTCAGGGCTGGTGGCTCCATGAGGTGGAAGGGCCTCATTAAACGAACACGTACTTCCCACAAAGTGCAGAAACAAGGTGCAAAGGTGCACCAAGTAACAGGCAGGGCAGGGCCAGGGAGAACCGGGCTCCAGGCTCTTAAGCCAGTGCTCTTGGTACCACCAACTGCGGGGAGCTCCAAGAACCAGGGACACGGACGGAGATGCAGATTCCAGAAAAACCCGTCCATAACCATATTCATCTACCGAACAGCAATCGTGTGGCTTACACACATTAGTCCTCAACATTCCTCACCATGAGGCAGGTGACCAGGCCCCCCCAGTTTACAGATGAAGAAACTGAGGGTCAAGGAGGCAAAGTGGCAGCCACAGACCCAGGGAGTGGTGGCCTAGAGGCTCCGGGTAGCAGCCGGCCTCCTCTTCCCAGGCAGTCCTCCCCACCCTCCAGCTCAGCACCACCCATCCTGGGCTGGAGGCAACAGAAGGGCCACACTGGCCACACATCCTGCAGTGCCCCCTCCTACCCAGCAGGCACTAACCCTTGGCCGCTGCTTCATCCCGAGGTGGCCACTGCCCGCATGCCAGGCCCAGCGGGTCCTGCAGCTGCATGTTCCTGGCCGCCCTACACCTCTGAGGCATGAGCACTTCGGGTTTCCCCCAGCGAGGCCTGGGGCGCTCTCCTTGTGTGGGTTCACCAAAGAGCCCTGTGAGCTGAGCCACCAGAGCCTGGGGACGGCCCCATCTTCTCGAGGGACTTGGGAGATACCGCAACTCCAGGCCTGCCTACTCCCTGGATCCCAGCATTCCAAAGGGTCACCAAAGGACAGAAATTCTTGGAGAGCAGAGAGAATCCTCTAATCTGAGACCCAAAAGGAGTTATCGATTTCATCACAGTCCAGGCTACCAGTGGGGTGGTGAGTTCCCCATCATAGGGGGAGAGAAAGCAGCGGCTGAACAGTCTTTCTTTGGGCAGAAGCCTCTGGAACAATGAAGGTTCCCAGTATGGCAAAGGAAGCTGCTTACCTACCCCAGTGCCAGAAGAGCTAACTCTGCTCCTCCAATCTCCACAGGACCCTGCCATGCAGAACCCCGTCTTACAAAGGAAAAAAGGAATGCTCAGAGTAGCCCAAGGTCACAAAGCCAGCCACCCACAGGACCAGCGGGGGTCGGCGGGCAGGGGCAGTATATTATTGGTCAAAGGCACATCCCTTCCTGTGAGGGACCCTTGGCCTAATGAAGGAGCTGCAAGAATAACCACATCTACTGCAACGCAAAGAGTGGAGCAAGGAGGCGCAGCCCAGGAGAGAGGGGCAGAGAACAGGGTGTGCTGACCAGGAGAAATCAGGGCCTCCTTCCTGAAGGAGGTGACACTCGAGCTGAGCACTGAAGAGCAAGCAGGACTCTGACAGAGTTTGTGAGGATGGGGAAGACGAAAGGCACATAGGAGCTGAGGGCACAGCCTGAGCAAAGGCAGGGAGGTAGAGCCACAACAGGTCCAGGTACACCTGTGCTGTGCCCCTTAGCATCAGTGGCCATGCCAATCCCAGCTGACACCAGCTCCTGGAAGGGATCACAGCTCTCGGAGGGGCAGGCTGAATGTGAAACGGGCATTATTTATGGATGAAGGCAAGAGGCCTGAGAGAGGGCATCGGGTTCCTGTGAGGACAGCTTTTGGCGGTGGCTGCATGGAGCCAGGCAGGCCTCAGTGCCCACAGCCCACAAATGGGCATGCAGGGTGTTGCAGGCCGAGGCAGCTGGCTGCAAGCTCAGCGATGCCTTCCAGTGCCCTGGGCGTGGAAAAGAGTTCTCCCATCCACTTGGGGCATAAAGAAGAGAACCATCTTTCCCATTCGCACACACACAGTTTGCTGAGTACCCACCATATGCCAGCACACACGGAGCACAACCCCATCACACCAAGCTGACGAGGGACATCCTGTAACTGCTACCACTGTGTCATCGACAAGGCGCCTGAGACTCAGCGATGTTAGGCAGCAAGGCCAAGGTCACCCGGCGGGAACCTTGCAGGGCTGAGATTTGAACCTGGGTCTGTCTACAGCCAAGGCTCTCTCCATCTAACTCGCAGCTTCCACACCAACCCCGGGGTTCTGGCGCACTGACCCTGGGCCTCTCAAGACATCATCACCATGGTTGTCAGGGCTGTTCATTCTAAGCTTTGCCTGGCAAGGAGGCACAGCAACTTTCACCTACTCCCCCAACAAAGAGACCGAGGTTCCGAGGGGCTCCATAACCACCCAGTCACAGAACTCATAAAAACAGGGCTAAAATTTGAAGGGTGTGTGTGTGTGTGTGTGTGTGTGTGTCTGTGTGTCTGTGTGTTCCCACACCCAGGACTCTTCTAGACAACCCACTGAGGCAGGGGATGGGGCTTGGAAGACAGCCTGACTCCCCTCTCCCAGAGCAGAAATTCTCTTCGTGACGCAAGGTGACTTTCAGGGCCCAGGCTCCAGGGAGCGTCACTCTGAACTCCATTATCCTTGACCCATCTCTCCTCCGAGACCTCGCCTCCAAGGGCACCAGATAAGCGCCCAGCCCCAGATGTGAAAAGACTTGATGTTAGTGAGGTTTTCAGTCTGAGCCAAAGACCCCACAGCCTCTGAGCCTCGCCAGGTCACACATGGCCTGCAGGCTGGCACCAGCTTCCCCTGAGATCCACCTCCATGCCCGGAGACATGGGATCATGGGAACCTAAAGTCCCACCTCGCGGATGCATGCAAAAACGGAGCTGCCATGACCGGAGCCCCACACTCTCCATCTCACACTTCCACAGCCGGATTAGAAATCAAACACGCCGAGGACACCCTTCCCAGTGCCTCCAGGGAAAAAAAGTAGCTAGAGAAGAGGAAAACGAACGGCTGCCCTAATGAGAATGAAATCTCCTGGTGCTGGCCGGTCAGCCTTCCCCAGTGAGTGCACGCCTGTCCTCTCAGTGTCATCTGTCCCCTCGTGGGCCACTCTGCTCTGGGCTGGGGACTCCCACACCGGCTGCCTGCCTCTCCCACACATCAGCTGCCTGCCTCTCCCCAGCTTCAGGGGCCACTGGGCACCCAGCATTTAATTCCAGGAAAAGCCACGAGGCTTCCCAATGACACTGCAATGTGGAGGGGGCAGCTGAATGGAAAGCCCCGCTCCGGCTCAGTTCATCTAGAATGTGCCCTACTTTGGATCTGCCTGGGAACCACCAGTGTTCTCAAACCAAAACTCAAACTCATTTCTCCATCCGCTGCTTGGGAAGCCTGACAAGCCAAATGAAAACTGTGTAATTGCTTCAAATATGGGGACAAGGGGAAAAGAATTCCTTCCCTGTGCCTTCAAGGGCTGCACGCATCTGGAAATTGACCTGTGTGTGTGAGACGGTGGTGCAGGTGTCGGCACTGTTAATGCCCATCACACTCCCCTACCAACCCCAACTTCACTGCTGAAGTTGGGAATCAGTGATAGATCTGGACTGTGTGCAGACATCAGCTAGTCCCGCCGGGGAGAGACATCTCACCACACAGCGGTCACATCACATTCAGCCTGCAGCTCCCAGCATCAGGCTGAAAGGTACGCCCTCCTGGCTCCTTGGAGAGCTTTTAAAATCTGATCTCTTCCCCTGAGACTAACTGGACACTCTAGGGGAGGGACCTGGGCATCAGTTTGCATTTTAAACGCCCTGTGGGTGATTCTAACATGCAGCTCTGTGGTCACTGTTCCAATCATCCAACTCCCAGCCTCCAACTCCGAGGGACCCTTTACCCTCCTGCCCCTGACTATTAATTAGTGGAGCTGAACTCTGAAGCAAAGGCAAAAAAAGCTAGAGGGATTATGATGCAACTAATCGCGCAGGACTGAAGTCTGCATGGGGGGGGGGAATAAACAACCCTTACCGAGCCCTAGAACGCAGGTGCCAAGCCCCCCGGTAGCATAAAGGGGAGAATTTTGCTGGTTTCAGGAGAAAGTGTGTGGGGGCTGCTTTCATCACTAGATGTCAACCAAATCTCTATCGAGTGCCAGGCTCTGTGGGAAGAGCTGGGGGGCCGGGATGATGCCCTGCCCCCACAGCTCTGCCCCGGAGCCTGCTTTCCTGCAGAGTTAGTAAGAACAGTGGGGAGGCGTGGGAGGGGTGGGACATCTCAGCCACATGCAGAGGTGGGAGGTGCAGCAGGTGGAGGCGGCTCAGGAAACAGGGAAATCCAGGCTTGGCTGGGTCATCACAGCCAGCACTGGGAGAGCGGCTCAGGGAAGGCACTTGATCTGCGGTGAGAGCAGTGGTGGGAATCCAAGGCCCTGCAGCAAGAGAAAGAGGGGGCTCTGGGCGGTTCCATCTGGCAGCAGCAACACATCTGGACTGTGTTTCACTGAGGCAATGAAAACAAGAATAAATCCTCACCAGCCAGGTGGTAGGATTCCTAGGGCGATGGGAGTTCAGAGAAGACAGCTCTATGTGCACCAGACTCTACAGGAAAGATAACATAGCCACGTGGAGAGGCAAGGTGGAGCCCAGAAAAGACCCACACACCTGGTGTGTGGCCACGGTGCCGGCGGGGAAAGAACAGAGCGCTTCATGAACAGGGCTGCAGTAGCAACAAGCTGTCCACCCAGAAAACAGTAAAACTCTATCTCAGCCTCACACCATATACAGAAAACAGTTCCAGGAAGGTCAGAGAGTTCTATGTGAAAAAACTATTTTGACCAGGCACAGTGGCTCATGCCTGTAATCCCAGCACTTTGGGAGGCCAATGTGGGAGGATCGCTTGAGCCCAGGAGTTAGAGACCAGCCTGAGCAACATAGCGAGACCCCATTGTGATTTCTTTTTTTTTAATTTTACACTTTTTTTCCTGAGGTCAGCCATGGTGGTACATGCTTGTAGGCCCAGCCACTCAGGAGGCTGAGATAGGAGGATCACTTGAAGCTAGGAGTTCAAAGCCGTAGTGTGCTATCATGCCTGTGAATAGCCACTGCACCTCAGCCTGGGCAACATAGCAAACTCCCGTCTCTAAAAATCATAAAATAATAAAAATAACAAAAACTTCGGCTTTTCTTATATTACAGGAAAGAAGTGAGACACCAAAGATCGTATACTGTACGTTTCCATTTATATAAAATCTCCAGAATAGGCAGATTCATAGAGACAAAGTAGATGAGTAGTTTCCAGGGGCTGGTGCAGGCAAGGAGGGGATAGGGGGTGACTGCTAATGGAAACGGGGTTCCTTTCTGGGGTGACTAAAATGATCCAGAATTAGATAGTGGTGATAAGTGTGCAACTCTGCGACTATACTGAAAACCACTGGATTGGCTGGGCACAGTGGCTCATGCCTGTAATCCCAGCACTTTGAGAGGCTGAGGCGGGCAGATCACCTGACGCCAGGAGTTCGAGACTAGCCTGGCCAACATGGTGAAACTCTGTCTCTACTGAAAATACAAAAATTAGCTGGGTATGGTGGCGGGCACCTGTAGTCCCAGCTACTCAGGAGGCTGAGGCAGGAAAATTGCTTGAACTCAGGAGGCGGAGGTTGTAGTAAGCCAAGATCGCGCCACTGCACTCCAGCCTGGGTGACAGAGCGAGACTCTGTCCCAAAGAAAAAAAAAAAGAAAACCACAGGATTGCATACTTTCATATATATTTATGGGTATATGTGTGTGTGTATATACACATATATATATACACACACATATATATACATATATACACACACACACACATATATACACATACATACACATATAGCATACTTTTAGTTTGTGAATTCTATCTCCATAAAACTATTATTTTAAAACAAAGAGAACATTTTAAAGAAAAATAAAAACTTGAGCTTTCAGGTAGAAAAGGATTTCTTAATCAAGGAACAAAAAGAACAAACCATGAAGGGAACGACCGTGAAACCCGACTATATGAGGATTACGAACGCTGCCAGAGAGTGGCTAGGTGAGCAGAGTTGGACAACAAGCTGCCATCTGGGAGGAGCCATGTGTAAGTCCCCTCCCAGATAAAGGATCATACCCAGAATCCCTAACATCAATAAGGAAATACATGGGAAGGGGCAGAGGTATAGGAAGAGGAGAGCCACAAAAGACGAATCCTGGATAGCCAAGAAGTCTGTGAGGAGACGCCCAACCGCAGGTGTCATCAAGGAAACCCAATTCCGACAATGAGATGCCACTGGATTGGCGGAGAGTAAAAAGTGGTCATGCTGTGTGACGGTGCACACGTAAGAACGGGCCACACAGGGGATGCTGATGATCGGCGCAGCGGATCAGAGAGCAGCCTGGCGCGGTTTCCTGCAGCTGAAGATGCTCACACCCTTGACAAAGCCCAGCACAAGCGCCCAACGAGACAGGCACAAGACCGTGTCTGCCAACACCAGCTGTACTAGTGAAAACTGTAAACCACCCAAATGCCCTCCCCAGGAGACCAGACAAATTGTCGTTTAACCCAACAATGAAATACTGTAGCGAGATAAAAATGAACAAACAAGAGCCAGGCAGAGGGGCACACTCCTATAGTCCCAGGTACTCGGGAGACCGAGGCGGGAGGCGTGCTGGAGCTCAGGAGTGTGAGTCCAGCCCGGGCAATCTAAAAAAAGACCACCTCTAAAAACTAAAAGCAAAAAAACCCAAAACAAAAACAAAACAAAAAGATGAACCAAATACATCTCAAAAACATGAAGAGGATGGGGGCAAGTCACTGAGGGACACACAGTGCGATGCCATTTCTACAAAGTCTGAAAATCTGCAAAGCATCCTCACATTGTTAGAGGCTTGCCAGGCAGGAGAAATTTTTAAAAACTGCACGAGAATGCTGAGCTCCGATTCTGGGCCTCAGCTCTCCCTGGGAAAAGTCGGGGAGGGAGGAGGATGACACACAGGGTGCCTCCGCTCCACCTGCCAAGCTTGATTTCTTAAAAGGCAAAGATCTGAAGCTAAAATGCTTATTGCTGACAGTGTGATAAAGGCGGGCTGTGGAGTAATCGCTGTCTCATTATTCTCCAAGCTTATTGCTTTTTATCTATTTCTTAATAAGAAGTAAGTTAAAGGAAGAAAGTCTGGGCGGCTGTTCTAGAAAAGATGCTGGAAACTCCTCATGTTGTACCACTTCCTCCCCGGGTCCCCATTCCTGGGCTGCATATGGAAATCCCACAAACACCCCCAGCAGTGACCTCCTTGGGTGCCACCCACTCCCAGAAGGAGTAGCCCAACAGCAGCAGTTGAGAGCCCCAGGGAGATGAGGGGTTCACAGGCGTCTGGCTGGAAGGTGGTGGTAGGAAGCCACCCACCAGCACACAGAGGCCAGAGCAGGCCCCCTCTTTGCCCCAACCTGCTCTGTGACCTTGGACAAGCCCCTTCCCTTTCCCAGGCCCCAGAGAAATGAGGGCAGGAGGCCCAGATAACTCAGAGGACTCAGAGGGCAGGACAGGAACGCAACTGGGTCTCCTGCGAGACACTGTCCCCGAAATTAGGCAGAGCGGAGTGGACCTGCCCGGTTAGAAGCGAGATAGACTCAGTTTGAGGACAGCAAATTGGGCTTCCCGCGTTTCACATAAAACTAACAGCAGGGTGATTGTTGACCGAAATGATCATCAACAAGCCTGGCTTAATAGTGCCATCCTCCCAGAGGTCCTGGGGAGGACACATTCTTCCAGCCGTGGAGAAGGACCAGCTCCTTTCATGCGCAGGGCATGTTGCAAGAGGAGATAATTGGTGCTGAGCAATGCAAACAACACAAGCTGTGTGCCCGTGAGGGCTGCTGCGATCTCTGTTCAGAAGAGGCAGTGTAGTGCGGGGGAAGAAACTGGGTCAGGAGTCCCAGCCCTGGCAGCGCCCTCCATGACACACTGGGCCTCAGTTTCCCCAAATGACAACACAAGGGCCTTGTTCTGGATAAAGTTCTCAGCCTGGGCTTGTGAACCGTAGTCAGCAGAATAACAACCCCTCAAAGATGCCCCCACCCTAATCCTCAGGATCTCTGAATGCTATCTGACCTGGCAAATGGGACTTTGCAGATGAGATCAAGGTTATGGAACTCAAAATTAGGAGGAGATTAGTCTGGATTATCCAGGTGGGCCCAATCTAACTGCATGAATGTTTAAAAACAGAGAGCCTTTCCCCGCTGAGCTCAGAGGGAGATGTGACCACGGTGGGGTGGCCACTGTAATACTGAAGATGGGGAAGGGGAGAAGCTGGACAGACAGGGAAGCGGGCTCTCCCCTCTGGCCCCTAGAAGGGAACGCAGCCCTGCTGATGCCTTGATTTTGGCACTTCTGACCTCCAGAACTGCAAGAGAATAAATGTGTGTTGTTTAGGCCACCAGGGTGTAGTCATGTGTGACAGCAGCCATAGGAAACCCACACAAGAACTACAAGTCATGGCTGTGTGACTTTAGGTTGCTTGCTTAGTCACTCTGAGCCTCGGTTTCACTTAAAAATGAGATAAAAACCCAACCTTAGGAGACTGCAGTGCAGACTAGGAGAAGACCAGCTCCGAAAGCCCTGGCATAGGACCTGGACTTAGCAGATACTTCACAAAAACTGCCCTGTTCCCCGACTGCTCACACTCTAACTGTCCGACCTTGATGGAAAGGAAGGGCCAGCTGAGGCCTGCACGCTGCCCTCTGAGCCGAGATACCAGCACCAGCTGACCATGGGGACAGCGGTACCATAACAGGCCTGGGGTGCCCAGGCCACACTCCTCCAATATACGACTGCTCACCTGGGTCCAGCTCGACCAAGCTGCTGGCACCAGCCTCCATCACCAATCCAGCAAAGGCTACCACATCACTGCCAACATTACCCAGTGCAGGCATGCACACTGCAAGGTGATCCAAAGCCAATGTGGTATCACCCATACAGCGCATAGCCTCTTCTCTATTCTAAAGTTGAGGTTTTGTAGAGCATGAAGTACTGGAACCACTAGCTGCTTGTGACATAATGACAAACCAATGCTAATTCCATATGCGGCAGAGGAGATGCCCTCCCAGCCCTAACGGAGTCCTGGGGTGGGGTGAGGGTCACAGCGTACACGGAGCACTGGGGCTGGACAGACACTAGAGATTGGCCACCAAGTTCACACCACCAGTATGCGCATCCTGCCAGAGGCCACACGGGATTGGAGGCAGTGGGGGGAAGGTCACATGAACAAGCAAGCAGGTGAACAGGTGAATGAGTGAGCAGGTAGGTGTGCAGGTGAGCAGGTGAATGCGTGAGCAAGTGAGTATGCAGATGAGCAGGTGAATGAGCAGGTGGGTGTGCAGGTGAGCAGGTGAATGAGTGAGCAGGTAAGTGAGCAAGTGGGTGTAGAAGGCAGTGTGCAGGTGGGTGTGCAGGTGAGTACGTGAGTGTGCAGGTGGGTGGGCAGGTGAGTGTGCAGGTGGGTGTGCAGGTGAGTGAGCAGGTGGGTGAGAGGTGAGTGTGCAGGTGGGTGAGCAGTTGAGTGTGCAGGTGGGTGAGAGGTGAGTGTGCAGGTGGGTGAGAGGTGGGTGTGCAGGTGGGTGAGAGGTGAGTGTGCAGGTGGGTGAGCAGGTGGGTGGGCAGATGGGTGAGCAGGTGAGTGAGCAAGTGAGTAAGCATGCAGCAGGCAGGTGAGTGCAGGCTGAGACCGGAGTCCACCAGCCAGGCTCAGCCTCCCACTCCCCAGCAAGCCCCCTCCCTAGGTCAGAGCCTCTAGGGAAAAGGGCTCAAGAGACAGCCCAAGCCAAATTCTAGCAGACAGGTGGGACCAGCGACAGCAGCCAGGTCCCAAAAGAAGAAAGGAAAGCAGAGGAAAAGTAAATTCCAGGCCCCGGGCCCATGTGGCAGTGAGGACCTGAGGCTAAGAGGAGGCCAAGGAGGATGGCCTTGGTCCCAGACAACCTGGAGGTCTCATCTGAAAGCCTCAAGGGTGGGCACTAACCCGGAACCTGGGGGTCCAGGTGGGAGGCTCAGGAAGGAGTGGAGGAGGCGAAGCTCCTCCCAGGCCCGGCTAGCCTGCGCCCCAAAAAGCCCCAAGGTTGATCAGGCTGTGAGCCCCCTCTAGCTGCCCCTGCACCACTGGGGAGGAGGTAGGCAGGACCTGGGCCACACTGCTAGGGGTGCTGCAATCCTGCCCTACGGCCCAAGCATTCTGCGGAGGCTGACACACCTGCCCTCCACAAGGGTCTCTGGGGGCCTTCATGAGACTGACCCCAGCAAGGCAGGACCAGGCCCTTGCAGGGAGGGGGAGGCGCAAACCTGAGCCCCACAGTGCTTCAGAGAGAGCCTGGGCACAGAGTCAGCAGGTCTGTGCTGGCTGAGTGTGTTGGGCAGGAGTGTCTCTGCCCAAGCCTCAGTGTCCCCTCAGTCCGGTGGGACGAGGTCAGACTCTCTAGACCTCTCAAAGGGAAGGCCAGGCACCCTGAAAGCCCCCTTCTGGAGAGGGTCCTGGCCAGCTGAAGGTGCTGGCACTGACGGAGCTGTTGCTGTCTGAGGTGTGGGAGGGGTTGCCAAGCCAACCTCCACCCAGGCCCTCCCCATCCTGTCACCACTTCACGTGCTCAGCTGCCAATGACCCATAGGCCAGGCTGCCTTTCACCCAGTAAGTGCAGCTGGAATCATCGCCCTTTGGACCCAAGGTTCTCCCCGCAAGGGGGCCACGAGCTTCCGGGGCTCAAGGGTCACCTGCTCACCTTGGGCAAGGCTTGGAAAACCCGGTGCTTCCTGCATGGCTCTTGGCACCGTGACATCACTGGGTGACCCAAAATAGGACTAACAGACCAGGAGCTCATTGTCCTGCTGGCCAGGGACTTGGTTACCCCAGGCCACCAGGGATGGCCTGGGGGTGTGGCCCTCAATGGGAGAAGGACCCTAGGCTTCCCCTAGCAGTGCCGGATAGAAGGGAGGAGAGGCCTGGGGTCAGCTGGGCCTCTGTAATCACAGAAACACTGGTCTCACATCACAGCTGTGTGACCTCGCACCAGTGACTGACCGTCTCTGAGCCTCTCATGTTCTCATCTGTAAATGGGAAGGATGAGGCCCCCTCACTGAGCCGCCGAGAGGATGCTGGATAGATTCCAGAACACCCAGGCCAGAGCCCTGCAGCTCAGGACATGGGGAGAGGAATGTCACAATCTTCTCACAGGCCCTTCAAAAGTCTTCACAAGCACAAACTCCGGGTTCAAATCTCACACGGGGGCCACTAATTCCCTGTGTGGTTTTTTTTTTGTTTGTTTGTTTTTGAGACAGAGTCCTGCTTTGTCGCCCAGGCTGGAATGCAATGGTGCGATCTCAGCTCACTGCAACCTCCGCCTCCTGGGTTCAAGCGATTCTTCTGCCTCAGCCTCCCGAGTAAATGGGACTACAGGCACGTGCCACCACGCCCGGCTAATTTTTGTGTTTTTAGTAGAGACGGGGTTTCACCATACTGGCCAGGCTGGTCTCGAACTCCTGACCTCATGATCCGCCTGCCTCGGCCTCCCAAAGTGCTGGGATTACAGGTGTGAGCCACTGCACCCAGCATGGCTCTTGAACACGTGGCATCCCTCAGCCTCGGCAGCGCCTCTGTAAAGGTAGGCTGTTCAATGACTGCATGCCGAGCCCCCAAGGGCACAGATGCAAAGCCCTGCACAGAAGCCCAGGGCTGGGCTGAGCCCCTGCGGCGGAGATAGGGCAAGGACCCGAGGCTGAGGGCAGGGTCCACCCACGGGAACAGCTCCCCTGAGCTGTGCTGGGGACGGTCCCTTCTCCCCATGACCTCAAGAGATGGGCTCAAACTTGGGGGACAGAGGGTCCAGGGTCCTGCCTCTCCCATCCCAGGAAGCCACTGATTCTGCACTCTGGGAGAGTGCAGGTTGCGGGAGGGACAGGACTGTGTCTTGCTCTCAGAGCTGCTGCAGACCCTCTCCCCGCCACCCAGTGTGGTCGGCTCCACTTGCTCTGTGAATCTGTCTACACTGCTTTCCTGCCTGAACTCTCCGGAGCCACCCACCCCAGCTTCAGTCCCCTGCCCCATGCCCTCAGCCCACACCCTCAGCTCCAGTAACTGAAGAGGACTGTGGCCATCCCAGCACACGAGCTCCCCCATGGCACTGTGCTTCTAACCAAGCCCGGGACTGTGGCCATCCCAGCACACAAGCCCCACCACGGCACTGCACTTCTAACCAGATCCTTCGTTTCTAGGGAGATACACCCCCACCCAGCCTTGGTCACTGTGGCAGGCAAGGCCTCCGCCTGAGTGTGCCCGCCCGGCACAGCAGAAAGCCTGGCACTGGAGTGTGCATGTCCCTCTGCAGGCTCCTGCAGGGCTGTGTCTGGCACAGCGTGATCTGCAGCCCCAGCTGTGGCAGGCGGGCAGGGGGTAAGCGCATGCTGGCAGCCCGCACATCACTGCATGCTGCCAGCTCCAAGCAGGTGACAGCAGGAACCGTTAGCCTTGCTGTCAAATGAGGACCCCGGTCAATGGGAAGCCACCACCCACAGGCCCAGGTCTGACCTGGTCCCCACCCAGGCTCAAGCTCCTCTTCTCGGGTTGCTCCAGCCTTTCTGCAGGATCAACACCTAACTGGGCTCTCAGAAAAGCCAACGGGCATGCCTGAGGTCCCACCTTGAAGCTCATCATCATAAACGGGGCACAGGGCACCCACAGTGAGTGGAGTAGAGTTCATGACTCCTGGTCCTACCACCTCCTTGCTGTGTGACTCTGAGCAGGTTTCTTTCCCTCTCTGGGCCCCAGAGCACCTCTCTGTACAAGGGAGTTGAGAGCTTCCAAGGACCCTTCTGGCAGCACAGGTGGGCACAGATGGACATAGGCCCATGGGGGCCTCAGGTCTGGTGCCTGCCCACAAGACTGTGTTTCTTTAAGAAAGGTATGAGCAAGAACAGACTTGAAGGTCAGGGGAGAGCCAGTGCCAGGATGAGGTCAATGTTTGGTTACTGATGAGAACAAACAGGCCTCAGTCCTGCAGAGGGTGGCCTTGCTGGAAGTGAGGCGGGCGGGACAGGGAGCTAGGGAGCCTCCCTCTGTGTAATCACGCCCACAGGTGAGAGGTGACAGCCCAGCTGCTGAGAACTGCCCCAAGCCAACTCCTGGTCTCAACAGGGAGGATGGCGTGGGCCCTCAGAGCCTCATGGGATGGGACAAGTGGGCCTTAAAGGTCAGCCTGTCCCCACCTGTCCTACCAGCAGGATGACCTTGGGACTCTAGGGTGTCCGCCGGCTTGTCCAAGGCTACAGGTCAAGTCAGTGGCATGGCCGGGGTGACAACACGTGCCCTGGCCCTGCCCCACAGCTGTCCTATGAGCACACACACCTGGGCCTTCAAATCCCTTCTCCTCCCTGGCACACAGCCACTTTTTTCTCCCAGGCCAAGTGGCAATAATGATAATAAGAGCCAGGGATTACAGCCCTGTTGGATGAAATAAAAATCCTGAGTCCACGCTGATAAAAAGGCATCCATACATAGCTCACTGAGGGAAAGGGGAAGCGGCCCTCCCAGGAGAAGGCCAAGTATTAAATGTGGAAGGAGGTGGAAGGACGGGAGAAGTTAGAAAATCAGCATCGTCCCCACCAGACAGCTAACTGTGGATGCTGAGACAAGTGCGTGTCTGCCTGCTGGAGACCAAGACATCTGCATGTCTCCAAGAGCCTCCCGCAAACCAGTTATTACTTACAGAGATTTGTATGCTCAGCTTACAATGGGGGACCCTCCCAAACCACGTAATCAAGTTCACACCCCAAGATGCACACCTCAGGTTCCCCTGATCAGACACACGTCCCTTGTGGGCTGTTCTTGCCCAAAATGCACAGCCTGAACCTAATGACACGGAAACATCAGACAGCCCGATCGGCTGATCTTCTACCAAAGAACCGGTCTGTACTGTCAATGCAGTTGGAAAAATGTCAATGTAAAGAAAGATTGAGACACAGCTCCAAATGAAGGAAAGCTAAAGAGAGAATGGACCACATATGATCCTGCATTAGAAAACAATCACTCAGGCCGGGTGCAGTGGCTCACGCCTGTAATACCAGCACTGAGAAGCCATGGAGCAAGGATCACTTGAGCCCAGGAGTTCAAGACCAGTCTGGGCAACATAGCGGCATCCCGCCTCCACAGAACATTTTTAAAATTAGCCGGGCATGGTGGTGCATGCCTGTAGTCCCAGCTACTTGGGAGGCTAAGGCGGGAGGATCACTTGAGCCCTGTTGAGGTTGCAGTGAACTATGATCACACCACTGCACTCCAGCCTGAGTCACAGAATGAGACCCTGTCTCTTAAAAAAGAAACTTGCTCTAGAGCATCATATTGGGACAAGTATTAATAGTATCAACGTTAAATGTTCTGATATTGATCATTTTTTGTCACTATGCTATATGAAAGTTCTCGTTCTTTTTTTGCGACAGTATCTCACTGTTGCCCAGGCTGGAGTGCAGCAGTGTGATCATGGCTCACCTGAAACCTTGAACTCTGAACTCCCAGGCTCAGGCAATCCTCCCACCTCAGCCTCTCAAAGAGCTGGAACCACAGACATATGTCACCACACCCAGCTAGTATTTTTTATTTTTACTTTTTTGTAAAAGTCTCACTATGTTGCCCAGACTGATCTCAAACTCCTGGGTTCAAGCAATCCGCCTGCCTCAGCCTCCCAAAGTTCTCGGATTACAGGTATGAGCCACTGTGCCCCGCTGAAGTCCTTTTTCTTAAGAAATGTGTACCAAGGTATTTCGTGTGAAAGGGGTGTGTTAACTCTAACGTCTCTAAAATACTTCAGAAAAAAAAAAAAGTCCAGAGAGAGAATGATAAGCAATGAGGTCAAAACAGTTGGCAAATCGAAATGAATGCTATATCAGCACCTTTTGTACATTCTTGCCACTTTTCTGTAAGTTTTAATTCATTTCAAAAGAAAAGAAAAATCTTCACCTCCATTTATAGAACCACGTGGGAGGTGTTATGCTGAGCACTTTACCTCTGTTACCTTCTCAGATCCTCACAGTAACCTTCGGAGAAAAATGCAATTATTCCTATTGAAAAGTGAGGAAACTGAGGCTCGCAGAGATGAAGAGACTCATCTAAGATCACAAAGCAGAAAGTGCTGTAGTCGGGATTTGAGCCCAAAGCCCTTTCCCAAGGCCCAGGCTCTAATTCACCAGGGCACGTGGTCTCAGAGATCGTCTACCAGGTACAGCCCAGGCTGTTCTCGGCTGGAGGAAGAGACAAGAGCTGGGTTAACAAGGCCAGCATCTGAGGGATGCTGGTCCCTTGGCCACTGCCTGGCTCACTCTGTGATCCTGGACAGGTGAGCTCACCCATCTCCCTGTCTGTGCCATTTCCCCATATAGAAACAAGGGTCATCTAGTGTCCATCTTTAAACATCTGCCAGCCCCAAGGCAAAGGCTGCATCTGGCTCTTCACCAAGTCACTCCTGGGCCCAGCAGAGGTGAAGCCAGGCTAGAAGGAGACAATGGCTCAGAGAAAGGAATGCCCAGGGTACAGGTGGCTCCCACATGGCTCACACATGTAATCCCAGCACTTTGGGAGGCCGAGGTGGGTGGATCACTTGAGGCCAGGAGTTCGAGGCCAGCCTGGCCAACATGGTGAAACCCCATCTCTACTAAAAATACAAAAATTAGCCAGGTGTGGTGGTGCACGCCTGTAATCCCAGCTACTTGAGAAGCCGAGGCACGAGGATTGCTTGAACCCAGGAGGCAGAGGTTGCAGTGATCCAAGGTCGCGCCACTGCACTCCAACCTGGGCCACAGAATAAGACTCTGCCTCAAAAAAATAAAGAAAAGAAAAAAGAAACAATCACTATTTTAGTCCGCACCCTTCCAAACATAACATAAAATAGCTGAAAGGATGAAATATCACAGAAGAAAGTGCGTGTGCAGCTTAATCTTAGGGGAAAAAAATATCAACCAGGTCTACTTCAGTGGTCTATTTAAGTCGATTCTGGAAAAACCTGGACAAACCTCCACAGTTTCTCAGGGTCTCCTTGAAACCACGAGGTTTCCAGTGTGGACTGATGGCAGAGAACTCAGCCGTGTGAAAGCCACTGGCCTTCATCATCTGCCCAACAGCAGAAGAGTCACTCCACCTCCCTGCCACCTACCGTAGCAAGCCGAGCAGTGTCCTTCCAAATTCATGTCCGCCCAGAACCTCAGAATGTGATCTTATTTGGAAATACGGTCTTTGCACATGTAGTCAAGGTAAGGTCCAGAGGAGACCACACTGTATTAGGGTGGCCCTAAATCCAGTGACTGCACGTGAGGTCAAGAGTTCCAAACCAGCCTGGCCAACATGGTGAAACCCCACCTCTACTAAAAATACAAAAATTAGCTGGGCGTGGTGGCAGTTGCCTGTAATCCCAGCTACTCGGGAGGCTGAGGCAGGAGAATTGCTTGAACCCAGGAGGTGGAGGTTGCAGTGAGCCAAGATTGTGCCACTGCACTCCAGCCTGGAGATAGAGCGAGACTCTGTCTCAAAAAAATTAAATAAAAATAAAAACAATTAATCCAATGACTGGTGTCCTTGTAAGAGACAGAAAAGGGCAAATGGAAACAGAGGAGGCCGGATGGAAAGAAAGGCAGACATGGGAGAGATGAGGCCACAAGCCAAGGAACACCAGGAGTCATCAGAAGCAGGAAGAGGCAAGGAAGGTGATGTGGTTTGAATCTGGGTCCTCACCCAATCTCATGTTGAATGTATCCCCAGTGCTGGAGGTGGGGCCTGGAGGGAGGTGACCGGATCATCCGGGTGGTTTCTGATGGTTTAGTGCCACCCCCTATTGCTGTTCTTGTGATACAGTTCCTCTGTGATCTGGTTGTTTAAAGTGTGTGGCTCCTCCCCGCACTCTACTCCCCTCTTTCTCCTGCTCCCGCCTGCAAGACGCACCCGCCTCCCCTTCGCCTTCCGCCATGATTGTACATTTCCTGAGGCCACCCCAGAAGCTGAGCAGGTGCTGCCATGCTTCCTGGACAGCCTGCAAAACTGTGAGCCAATTAAACCTCTTTTATTTATAAATTACCCAATCTTAGGTATTTCTTTACAGCAATGCGAGAGCAGCCGAATACAGGAGTCCCCCCGAGAGCCTCCAAAAGGAACTGGCCCCGCTGACACCTTGACTTTGGACTTCTGGCCTCCAAAAATGTGAGAGAACAAATTTCTGTTGTTTTAAGACCCCTAGGGTTTCCCACGTGATCGTTTGCTGTGGCTGCCATCACAAATGACCATCATAATGTGGCCATTCGTGGTAGTGCCGTAGGAAGCTATTACACCTTCTCTTATAGATTTTTAAGGGTAAACATGACATCACTGACGAGAGAAGGCTGAGCAAATTCCAGACACACTTCGTCACCCACCACATTTGCCATCCTGTGCAACTTTCTGCCTCATTTCCCAAAGTGACTTCCATTGAGGTAACTCGGAGCCACCTGCCACAGCCTCCAAACCGATCACAACTTCACCAGCCAGCAGTCGCCTGTTAACCAAAAACACTGCAGTGAGGAAGGCTGGCTGTCTCTTCCATCAGGGAGCAACGTGCCCATGTCTAGCAGCCGAGGAGCTGTTAAGGAAATTCTAGTTAACCCGCTTGCAGGGTTGTGATGTAGCCACTGACAGGGTGGCTGCAGACTAAGAGGAAAAATGCATCTGATGCAGCGTGGACTGAAAAAGCCAGATTCCACATAAACCCACAGCAGGTGGGCCCGCAGCCAGCACACCCCTGCCCGGGAGAGAACACACAGATCAATCTCAGGGGAAAGAAATCTTCCCAGCAGAGGCCACGGGACTGGGTTGCATGGGTCTGGGTTTTTCTTCTACATTTCCCCATCTTCCTAAGCTTCTCTAGGGAACACATCCCCTTTGAAATTAAAAAAAAAAATCAAACCTGCACCTAGGCCCCACTCACCCCCTGCACACAGCCAGGTGTTCTTTCCCTCCTTGTAGGAACCTACTCACACCAGCTGCCCCCTGGATAGATGCTCCCTGGACACCAGGGAAAGGGACCCAGGACCTTTCAGCCCAGAGTGGCCTCCACCAAAGGCTGCCCTCTTAGCAAGGAAGGGGGTCTGCCCACCCACACACGCAGCCCTCATGCCTGCCTCATGCCTGCGGGCACCAACGCTGCAGCCAGGGCTGGGTAGGGTGAAGGGGCAGCCAGGAGGTGGGAGGGTCTGGGCCGGGAGAGCCTAGGACAGCCCATGAATCTTCTGGGCCTCAGTTTTCCCATCTGTAAAATGATACAAACCACACACTCAACGAGATCCCTGGGAGGGATGACTGCTCACAGCACCATCAGTGGAACCTCAGGGGAGGCAGGAGAGCCATGAGTACCACACACAGAGACTCCAGGGCACCTGTATGCCAGGCGCCAGGCCCGGCCCCAGCACTGCTTCTCTATTCTCAGAGCAGCCCCCAGACCGCCAGCATCACGCCCGCCTCACAGGGAAGGGGCTGCGCAGGCTCTGTCCACCTGGGCATTCAAATGCCACTGGAGGAGGGTGCAGAGTGGGCTGTGCTCGCTGGGCCCGGTGTACTCAATGCACGCCTCCTCCCTGCTGCCCCAACCCTATGGCCTAGAGAAAGGTCTTGAGGGCAGGGAAACAGGTGAGAGAGTGGCCGCCTGGGCGGAGTCGCAGAACACCAAGCGAGCAGGTTTGTTCATCAACAGCCACAGACCACCTCTGCCCGATACCAGGGCCCATGGGAGCCAAGCCATCTCTGCAGAAGGGAAGCAAGGTCTGGAGAGGGACGGGCCTCCTCAGAGAACAGGGCTCCCACAAGGCCTCCACCCCCAGGCCCACAGGGAGCCTTGCCAGGGTAAAGCTGCCTGTGTCCACTAGAAGCCTGGGCCGGGCCACAGGACAGTTCCCCTGCCTCCCTCAGTCTCCACAGGGCAGGGCTGCATTTGCAGAGAGGGCTCTGCTGCTCCCTTCGGCAGAATCCACAAGCCACTGAGTGCTGAAGCCCCACCCACTACGTGCATGGGGGGGTGCCTGCTGCCACACGCCTCCAGGGCTCCCGACAAGCCACATGGCCGTAGCGGCCCTGGCTTCCTGGGACCCAAGGCCAGGAGGAAAACTCTGAAAGGTCAGATGTGAAAAATGCCACCAGACCCAAGGTCAGGCAGGGAGACCCAGTGTCCAGGAACACAGGCCTTAGGGACACCAGCTGGCACCTGGTCGCTCTAGGCACAGAGCATCCATTCCTACAAACCCATGTCACAGAGAGTGGACAGCCCCGTGACCAGCTGGACTGGCATGTGGCTCAGCAGGGGTGGGGCCTGGGCACCTGCCCAGCCATCCTCCACGGCAGCAGAGCGCTCTGCTGGTACTTGGTCTCCCTCCAGGGGACACCTACAGGGCAGTCCCTCCCCCACTGGAAAATCAGGTCATAAATCAGCATTACTGTCCTTTGTTGGGCACCAGGGGCGGGCGCCATGCAGTGGCTCCTGGCTCAGACCTTGCAGGACCTGCTCTGTGCTGCGAGCGGGCAGACCCTCCATTTCTCAGTCTGCAGATGAGGAAACAGCCCCCAGGGGCCCAGGCGCACACCACAGCCACCCAGGGCCCCAGCCTGGAGAACCCACAAGCTCCAGGCACTGTGCCCAGCACACATGAAGCTGGGTAAATGTGGGAAGGGGGCAGAGGAGGGATGCCAGGTGGGAGCAGGGAGACGGCCTTAGGTTTTGGAACCCAGCTGTGAAAGAATCCCCTGCGCTACGGCGTTGGTGAGATTAAACGAAACTCCACTCAGTAGGGAATGGCACCAAGGGGGCCTGGCCCTTGCCTGGCATGCAGTGACGTGCTTATCCCCTCCTTCCTCATCCCTCTTCCTGGGCTCCCCACGCGAGGACCTCAGTGCAGAGCCACTGACTGGAACACCTGCTTCCTTCAGCTCCACCTATTCACGGAAATGCCCGGTAGGGAGCCAGCCCAGTGTTACCCCACAGGTGAGGACATGATGATGTCATCATGGCCCACGTCTTCTGGGAAAAGGCCACCCTTCCACAAAACAAAAGCACAACCAGGCAGAAGAGAGCGACGCCCTCCAGCAAGCTGACCCTCTGCCCCCGGGCCTATGCAAACCCCCTGGCTACCTGGGGGTCCCCAGGTCCTGCTCCCCATTTCATCTCTGCCCATCACCTTGGCTCCTGCCCCTCCCTCCTCTGGCACCCCTGAGGGCAGTGGCCAGCCAGTTTCACCCTTCTACCTCCACAAGCCCTAACCAAGTGCCACAGAGCCACAGCGCAATGCCACACAATCACTGAGGAACAGTAACGCGCTGCTGGACATCAGGCACATGGTGCATGAGATGGACATGGCCACCCTCACTGTACAGGCACAAAAACCAAGCTTCTGAGGAAGGGCAGTTGGCCACAGCCACATAGGGCCAGAGCTCGGGTTTGAACCAGGGCTGGCCCACACAGGAGGCGATATCCGAAACCTGCCTAGGTTGGCCTGGCCTCTGGGTGAAACAAAAGTTAATCCAGGACAGGGAACCCCCAACCTGGGTGAGAGGTGTGTCCCAAGGGTTCTCACGGAAACAGAAGGTCACAAAGGAGCCACCTCCTCCTCCATCCCTCCTGCACACCTCACCCTCACACACACATGCATGCACACACGTGTGTACAAATGTATGCACATGCCCACATGTACACACAAAGGCACGCTCCCAGAAACATCCACACACAAGTGCATATTCACACACTCACCCTCATATGCACACACACACCCATATGCACACACACACACAGGTATGTGCACACTCACACACTCACTCTGTCTCTCCAGGGTCTTGACACTGCGGAAAGAGTATTGAGCTGGGGAACAGTCCAGGGGTCATTTATTTTAATTATTAAAACAGCAGCCACTTACTCTCGAGCCGTCTATAATGCCACTTAATTACCTAGTACATAAAACGGCCTTTGCATCTTAGCAGAGTAATAAATCAGCTCAGAACCAGAGTTTAAAGCATCCAAGCTGAAGATTCTGGAAGGGTAGAGGGGGATCCTTTGCCCCCTCCACTCCCCAACCCAAGAAGCAATAAAACAGATGCCTCAGCCATGGCAGGGACTGGGTGCACTGGGAGGCCAGGCATCCTCCCTCCTGCTTCTCCGTCCACTCCTCGGGCCTGGGCCCCTGCCCTGCCGCGTTCCATCCTTTGTATGGTCAACAATAGCCCCGCCAGATGGCGCGGTGCAGGGAGCAGCCTCTGCAAGGCAATCGCTCATGCTGTCAGGACCCAGCAGGGCTGTGGGCAGGAGACCTGGGAAACTGGCCCAAGCCACGCCCCCCTCACCCTGCCCTGGCCACCTTCTGCTCCTGAGCCCACAGGCACAGGCAGCTTCGAGCACAACTGGGCCATCTGGGAATAACTCGGGCAGGTACATCCCCCAAAGGGGGAGCCGGCAGAAGCACCAGATAATAAGGTGGTCACTCTGCATCTGCAAGATATAGGGAGGAAATGGGAGGGTGAGAGAGCAGGCAGGGAGATGTCAGGCACCATGCTTCCCACGAGGCGGGCAGAAGGCAGCGGCATGGCGCTCACCAGCCGGCAGACATAAATCACCCACTCCCGTGGGCCGTGCTGGCCTCCATGTGCCAGCATCCCTTGTGCCTCTCTGTGGGCAAGGGGACATGCAAAATGGCATAGGCAGGAAGGAATAAATTCACTGTGCCATTCCTGGGCACGAGCCAGATGGGCTAGCAGAGTCTGCCCTCTGAGCACGGCCTCCAGGGTATGTGGGGCAGGGGGTGGGCACAGGTCCTTGGCAATGGAACCCTGGGCTGTTCCCAAACTTGGCCATTTCAAGCATCGCTTCAAGTAAGCAGCCTGGGCACGGACCATCTGCAAGTGTATAAGCAGCCCGTTTTCCTGCAGGAAAAATTTCCAGCCTACATGTACACAGGTGGTGGGATTGCTGGTTGAAGGGGACTTGCCTTTGCAATTGTCTAGAAATGACCAGATTACGCTCCATAGAGGCTGGACCTCACTCCCATTAGCCATGGAAGAGAGCACTGTCTCTCCACAGAAGTTTCTTGTTTTGTTGTTTGTTCTGCGCAGTGAAGGGGACAGACAGGTGGAGACCTCTTCGCACCCACTGCTGCGTCCTTGCTGCTCTCTGGTCCTGATAACCAAGAAGCACCAGGGTCTTGCACTCTCCTCCTTGCACCCTCCCCAGACCCACAAGATGGAAGAGGGTGGAGAAGCCAGCAGCAGCAGGGCCCAGCTGACCCCAGGACATGCCCCATATGCCTGTGCCCACCTTGCAGCATGTTAGGGTTTTGGTCAGCAGGAGCACGTCCGCACTTTTCTGAAGCCTCCTCCTCCATGGAGCCTTCCTGATTTCCCTATTGAGTTGCACGACACCGTTTATCTGTCCTGGGCGCCAGCACCTCTAGTTCTTTTTTATTCTATCTCATCTTGTAATGTCTCTACCACCTGACTCTGAGCCCCCCAGGGGGGCAGGCCCCAGCTGGCTGGTGTGTGCATCCCCGAGGGCCTGTCATGCAGTCCCAGTGGCAGGAAGTATCTGGCTGGGGCAATCAGGAGGCTGAGACAGTACTGGCTGCTGGTTCGTCCAGGCCCATCTCACAACAGCAGGAACAACATCCAGCCTTTTAAGGCCCCTTGGCAACCGTCCAAATTAAATTTTCCTTACAGAAGGCTAGGAACCCAGCCAACCTGAGCCTTCTGGACAGACTGAGTTCAGCTTAGAGGGACACTGGACACGGGTGGGGAGGGCGTGGGGACAAGTGCAGAGAAAACACTCACTGGAGAACGTGCACTCGTCCATGGAAGCTCCAGAAGGTGCGGGATCTGCGTGGCGGCAGCTGCCACAGGGGGCAACCAACCGCCTTCCAAGGAGAGGGGACGCAGACCCTCTCCCGGCAGCCCGCGGCCTCTGATCATGCAGCCAGGCGGCTGCACTTGGCTTTTAGTCATGGGCCGGTGAGCTCACTGTCCCCCAACTGGTTTTCCACCAAGAGCTGCTGAAACTAAAGCATGGCCACTTGGGGATGATGGGACTTGGCCCTGTTCTTGGGCTCGCTGGAGCCCATCCCCCTGCATTAATTCCAGCTGCCCCTCTCACCTTCCACAGCTCGTCGTGTGCACAATCCCCTCCTCCTCCACCACCCCTGCGGGGCTCAGCTCTGAGCAGGCTCTCTCACGCCATGGAGGTCTGACCCCCAGTGCAGAGGGATGCCTGGGTTGGCACCCCCTGGCATGCAATGCCTGGCACAATGTGGAGAAGGGAAGGAGGAGGAGGAAAGCCTTCAATCCCTCCCATAAAAGGGAGACAACCTAGAACCCTCTACAAGAGATCATCTAAAACCTTAGTAGCACTGGCCTGGACAAATTCAAGTTCTAGAATAACTGGAAGCCTAAAAATTAGGTTGGTCACATGCTCCAGGTGCATGAACCCAGGGGCAGAGTGTGTCTCTGTGATTCATGCAGCCAGGAGGGAGGCTGGGAGCGGGGGCAGGCTGCATGGGCAGCCGGGAAGAGCTGCCTCCTCTCTCCCTGGTGCAGGTGGATACAGAAGCCCGGGAGGACACCGGCCCCCACCCCACCTGCCTAATAACTCATTGTCTGGCTGTTGGGTTCATGGAAGAGTCTATAGTGGACACCCCAACCCAAGCAGAAAAGACTCCAGAAGAGCAACAAACACAAATGGGTTTCCAGAAGGCCAGGCCAGGGAGGAGGGTGGGGAGACCCCAGAGAAGAGGCAGGATGATACACGAGGGCATGCCAGCAGCCTCCACCAATGCAGGGGACGGTGGCTTTCAGCCGCAGGGCTGCTGCGCCCGTCTGCTCCAGCCCCGAGCCCAGAGGCACAATGAGCTGTCGTAACGCAGCGCCGAAATGTCCTGGGCACCGCTGACCATGAGGCCAACTGATGGAGACAACTCTGACAGCAAACAGGCAACATTATGGAGGGTCACAGGAGACTAGGGAAGGAAGCTGCAAGGGGCTCTGTGCTCTCCCAGCCCTACGCTCCAGAATCGTACTGAATGCTACTTGAAAAGGAAACTGGTCTTTCCTGACCACCCACTCGGTGGACGACTCACTCCTGCCAGTCAGCATCACTGCCAATGTCTTGTTGGCATTTACCATGTGCCAGGCACAGGGCCAAGCACACTGCATGGATCATCTCAGACCTCCAAGGTAAGCACTATCAGTGCCCTGTTTTACAGGTGGGGAAACCGAAGCTCTGGACAGTGCTGTAAATTACGTACTCACCAAGAATGGTTCCTGGTAGCCTAAGATTTTGAATCCAGGGCTGACTGGCTCACAGCCGGGATCTTCAGGGATACACCCCTGGCCTCCCACCTCTCCTCCCCTCCCCTCCATCCGGAGAGGTGGGGCTTCAGGTTCACACTGACCTCCAGTGTGTGCAAGGTGCCAAGGTCCCTCGGCTCCCCCAGGTCTCAAATGCCTGTTCTCCCTGCCTGGCCCCATGAACTCTGCACCCATTTACATCAGGACAGCCTCATGGAATCAGTGTCTGGGCAGGCGCCCACCTCCTACCAGGCACCTGCTACCCTGAAAAGGCCTGTAAGCAAACTCTGCCCCACGTCCACTGGCCACCATGGCACCTGGGCAGCATTTGGCATGAACCACCCCATCACGTGGTCCCTCCCAACGAGGGGGCCTGCAGGAGGCAGGCAGCAGGGGCCTCTCAGGGTGACCAGGGCCTTGGACATTTCACTGTCCTGCACCCTCTACTGAAGGGAAGGGGCCTAGATGGCTTCCACTCTCAAGGTGGCGGCCTGCCGTGCCCTGGCTTCCTGAGGTGAGCATGCTAGCATAACATCCAGTACACCCAGAAAACCAGAAGGCAGCGCTCCAGCCTCAAGAGGGCCCGAACCCCTCTGCCCTTTCAAAGCCAAGCCAAGAGCCACCCAAGTTCCCAAGTAGTCCAGGCCTAGATTCCCCTCCAACGCGGCCCATCTCTGGGCCTCAGCCTTGCTTCCTCATGTGTGAGATGGGAAGCGGTCCCTCCCGATTCTCATCTGCGCTGATGTAGGAGGACAGATGAGTGCACAGTCACAGGAAGAGCAGGTTCACCCACACATTCACAAGTCACCCTAAAGCTCGCTCCAGCCAGGCACGGTCTATACACTGTGATAAGGATGTGGCCGCACAGAACAGACCCACAGGAACACAGCAGATGGGACTTCTGGTCGCCCCAGGGGGGTCACAGGAGGGACAGAAGTTTTTCGGGTGGATGAGTTGGGGGCGTGACAACCAGGGGAGGCATGGTGGTGCCGAGACCCCATCAGGGCACCTGCAGTTTCCTAAAGAGCTTGGTAAGGCTGTGTTCTCACCAGCAGGAGGGACCCCTGGGCCAGGACAGCCAAGGTGCGGCAGATAAAACTAATCTTAAGATAGGGCAGGAGGCCGGACACAGGGGCTCATGCCTGTAATCCCAGCACTTTGGGAGGCCGAAGTGGGCAGATCACTTGAGGTCAGGAGTTCAAGACCAGCCTGACCAACATGGTGAAACCCCGTTTCCACTAAAAATACAAAAATTAGCTGGGCATGGTAGCACATGCCTGCAGTCCCAGCTACTTGGGAGGCTGAGGCAGGAGAATCGCTTGAACTTGGGAGGAGGAGCTTGCGGTGAGCCTAGATCGCACCATTGCACTCCAGCCTGGGCAACAAGAGCGAAACTCTGTCTCAAAACAAAACAAAACAAAAAAGAAATGCACATGCCTGTCTCCAGCTTTCCAGCTTGCCACCTTGGGGCTGGGGACCTGGATCACACAGGGTGCTACAGCCAAACAAAGATGCCAGCACTCTTTTCGACAGCTGCGGATGACTCCAAATACACAAGACTGCCCCCCACTCCCACCCCCAGAGGAAATGGTTAAATACCCAGGAACTGAAGCAGGTCTAGATGCAGAGACTCCAGGGCACTGGTCCCAGACTGGCCTGGTCCCTTTAGGCAGAGAGGCAGGAGGGGCTCAGGCTGGTACAACTGCCCAGTTTGAATGGCCCTGGCCTAGCAGCCCCAGGCCCCGTATTGGGGAACAAATTCATGGACAGCAGGGAAGGGGAGCCCTGGGGAAGCCACAGACACTCTCTGGAGGCCACCTGCCCTTTATTTTTTTTTTTTTTTTTTTTGAGACAAAGTCTCACTCTGTCACCCAGGCTGGAGTGCAATGGCACGATCTCGGCTCACTATAGTCTCATGGGTTCATGCGCATTTCTAAAGGGCTGGAGTGGTGGGGCCCCAGGTCCCCAGACCCCTCCTAACTCCTCCTTCCTCCTTGGCCTTCCTCTCTCAGAACCTCTGTCCGAGGCAGCTCAGGGCATATCCCGCCTCCCCAGCTTCCTTGGGGGGTGGGAGGCAAGCCCTTGCACACCTAGAAGACAGCACCCCCACTACCACAGGCAAGCCTGCATGACGACCTGAGGACCCCGCTCAGGAAAGACGTGGCCGCTGGACCCAGTGCCAACCCCGAGGGGGCTGCAGAGGAGCTAACAGGGGGCGACAGGGTGAAACCCTCAAGGAGGATGCCGCTGGGCCTCGCTCGGGGCAGGAGGGCAGGGCCGCTGGGCTGCACATCCCACAAATGTGAGGAGTACTTCAAGTTGCTTTATTATTAGTGGTTTGGCCCAAAGCCAGACACAGGCTCTGAGAAAAGGGCAGATAAAACGTGACTTCAGTCAGCCTCTCCACCAGGCCATCAACAATGTGGAGAGTCAGCATGTCACAGACAGAAAGGGAACCGTGATGAGGGGACGCTCCAGCAGACTTCTGCAGGGTCCTTGCCTCACCTCACCTTGAACATGGGTTCTGGAGGCAGGAGGAACTTCTCTCTCCTGGGAGGGCTGGCGCCTGGCACAGCCCCAGGTCCATGGGCTAGCTGAGGGTTCCTGGGGACCCCAGGAGGCGTCACTGCAGACAGAGGCAGCTCAAAGAGGGGACATCAAATCCCCACTCCTGGCCTGTGTCCTCACTGTCTGCCAAGCCCCGTCCCCAGACCTAGCCACAGCAATATCCATCTTTAACCAAAGAATAAAGCAGTAAGGCCCACGTCGACCCATCTTCGTGAAGGAAGACCTAAATCCTCCCAACTCCCAGGGGTGGCCCTCCAGTACGAAGGCTGAAAACAAGGAACCAAGAAACAGAACCACATGACACAGGGCTCTGGTTTCTGAAGCACTGATGTCCCCAAAACAAACAGGCTGCTGGGCCAGTGGGGTGTGTGCTCGGCTCCACCAGACAGTATTCCAAAGGGTTCCCTGGATGTCCACACCTGGGCCCCAGCTCCGCCAGGCTGCCCTGCCCCACAGAGGCACCCACCACTGCCTGGGGATCTAAGCAGTTACGGCTGCCCCAGGGCTGGGACCAAACCCACAGCCACAAAAACCAATGCCACCTACCCAGGAAGGCTTTGAACAGACAAGAGACAGTGATTCAACGGTCCCAGGCCAAAAAGCCAGGACACTCCAGAGCCAAGAGCTGAACCCAGGCACATCCAGCCTCAAACCTGGATCCTACACCACCCCAGGCAACCTCATCAGCACTTGAGACATTGCTAGTTCTTTGCACCTCTGCTTCCCCCCAACATGTCACACACCCCACATTTCAGGTGCAATGCTCCAAGGCGACGCAGGGAGGGATCTAGACCCAGGCAGGACTGATTTGGAACATCTGCGGATACTGGAGGTTAGAAAGACCCCTGTTGTAATCCCAACTTTGGGAAGCTGAGGCGGGAGGATAGCATGAGCCCAGGAGGTCAAGGCTGCAGTGAGCTATGATAGTGTCACTGCACTCCAGCCTGGGTGACACAGCAACACACTGTCTCAAAAAAAAAAGAAAGAGCCTGAGCTCAGGCCCAGCGTTACCCTGAGTGGTTCACAGGTAGGCAGGACACGGACCTGTGGGGACAGGGAGGACTCCAGGAAGGAAGTGGGGCTTGAAATGTGCCCTCCTGAGACCAAATCCCCCTGCCAGGCAGGGGCATCCACGCGCAGCTTTCACATCTGTTCTGAGTGCCTCACATACCTCATCCCATCCAGCCCTCATTGCAGCCCTGCAATATGGAAAGTTCTAGCATCTCCCCACTTTACCCCTGAGGAAAGAGGCACAGAGAAGTTCACAAAGCCCAGGGCCACACAGCAACCAATGCTGGGGCCACTGTGAGCCAGGCCCTGGGGCCCTGGACAGGTGACCTCTTTATCCTGCCAGGCTCAGAATGGTCAGGATGGTGGGGGAGGTGCTGACCTCAGACAGCTTGGCAGCACCTGCGTGCCTGGCCCCTGCCACACCCTGACCCTTCCACACAGATGAACGGACACCACTCTGTGGATGAGGAGTCACGGCAGGGGCCAGAGGGGCCCAGGCAGAGCCCAGACGGCAGGGGCTCGGGGCTGGGCCTCGGATGCTTCTTTTTCAGGGAGGGGGACAGGAGGAGAGGGTCATGGGAGGGTGTGGGGCCAGGGATATAACCTTCCAGGCCAGGCAGGAGACATAAAATGCATTCCAGGACCTCAAGAGAGCTATCCTACAGTCCAGGGGGTCTTCCCGGCACCAGATTCTCCTTATCTAGATATTCACCTTCCCGGCCCCTGAGCAGAACAGAAAGTGTGGAGCTCACAGGCACGTGCAGCTTTGGAGGAGGGGCAGAAAGAGCCAGACCTACACACAAACGGTGGGGCATTAGCAGAAAAGGAGAAGGGCAGAGCCGCCCCGCTGGGTGGGCACAGGCAACCAACTGGCCTGGGTGGTCCCAGGAAATGGAAAGGGGCCTCCTTCCCTCCCAGTAGGCGGGGGAAGGCAACCCACCCCTGCCTCCCAGATCCCACGAGGGGCTTCTCCAACTCACAGCCAGCACAAAGTCAGCCCTGGAGCTTCCCCCACTCCCACCTACTGTCCGGCCAGCCCTGCCACCCCTGCCTGTGCCCAAGTGACCCCACCTGCCAGGGACACTCCCTCTTCAGCAGACCACCCCACCCTCACGGGAAGGAGGAATGAAGACAAAGGATGAGGAAGACAAAGGCAGTGCAGTGAGGGGCCAGCCGGAGACAGGGATCATGGGGGAGGGGCTGGGAGACAAGAAGTCCCTTCCAGAACCAACATGCAGGACTCTAACCTGGGCCTCACAAACTCCCTCCCCAGGCCATCTCGCCAAGGCCTGCCTGCCAGAGCTACTGGAACAGGCACAGCCACAGCAGCAATAGTAGTAGTAGTAATAATAATAATAATAATAATAATGGCTACCAAGTTACGATAACCCCCCAGCTCCAGCTGCTGTGATGACCAAGTGCCTTTTGGGCGTGCAGGTGCCAGAGGTGCACAGCCGTGCCGTTCTGTAGGCCCCACTGGAAGGCTGAGACGCAGACCAAAGGCCCACAGGCAGCAGCACTGGGCTACCCTGACGGGGAGGTTCAGCCACGTCTGCAGGGGAGCAGGCGGGCCCCTCCACCACTGGAAAGATCAAACACAGTCATGGATGTTAAATGTGCTTTGTAGAATCTCAGATTCTTTTCTTCCCCACTGTTTGCAGTAAGATTTACGATGCCAGCAACTCCTTAGAGAAAAAAAGTGGCTGGGAAATGGAATCACATGCACAGGGTAATTTGTGGCCTGTCCGGGCCTTTGCCAATGTAAATATTTCAGGCAGGTAGGTGCCCAGTTCAATGCCCCCTGTGACAAGAGCCTGTCTCCAGTGAGCTGATCAGAACAACAAATCCCACCTGCCCCTTTTCTTCCTGCTTTCTGGCACCTCTTGGCACATGGGTGGCCTGGGACATCACACCTATCCAGCCTCCTGCCTCATTGAGCTAGGCCCTGAAGCCTCAGGGGAAGGAACTGGAGGGGACAAGGAGTGAGGCATGTGGGCCAAGGAGCTGGAGACTGCCTGCAGCAGGCACCCTTCCACGGGGCATCTCAGAGCGTGATCCCCAGAGCCCCCAACCCTAACCCAGCACCCGCAAGTCTCTGGAAGGCAGCGGCAAGGGCCAGATTCCCCACATACCCTCCCAAGCCTGAGGGCTCAAATTCACAGGGTGGTGGTCCCTAGAAAGACCTCCAGGGTGGGCTTCAGTGGCCCTGGCCCCAGCAGCGTTAGTGAATGGCCAGGCTGTGGCCCTCCCCGAGAGTCCCTCCCTCCCCAGGGATGGGTCTTTTCATGCCATCACTGCCGTCTCCTCCCCGCTACTTTCCCCAAGGAAACTGAAAGCTGTGGCATGTGGCCTTCCTCACGGGACACTGCGGGCGCTGCGGGCTAGTGTCTCAGCCTGCAATCCCGGCTCCCACCCCCACCCCAAGGCCCTGCTCCACAGGGAAGCCAGAGGGCCTCACAAGTATAAATGATCAGGTATCACACCTCCGCCAGGCTTTAGATAAAATCCCAACCCCAATAGCTCCTCCTACCCTGCCCCCTTCGGTCACCAGAGTCCAGCCACAGGGCCTGGTCAGCTCCGGGAAAGCTCTGACATCTGTCCTTTGCTGGAAACCTTCCAGGGACGACAGCTGCTTATCATCCAAGCCCCAGGTGACCTGGCCCCTCCTTAAGAGGCCTCCCCTGCCACCATCTGTTTTCTGCTCTTCCTAGCACTCACCAGGATATGAAACTGTCCCATCCATGGATTTGTTTGCCAGTTTATCCATCTTCCAAAGGAGACTTCTGTCTGTCTTGCTTCATGGAAGTATCCCAGGAGCATGGAAACGGGGCCTGGTGTGCAACAGGTGCTCAGTAAACGGCTAAGGAAGGAATGTCTGCCCAAGTCCCAGGCAGGGTGGGAGGCACGGACCTGAGGCAGCGCCTTCTCTTAGCTCTGAGCCCTGCCTTCGCCTCCTACAAGATAGGATGGCAGCAGCCTCAGAGCAGAAGGCACCCTGGTGACCGCAGGAGACGCCACACATAAAGGCAGAGAACAGAGCCTGGTGCTAAAAATGAGAGGGGACAAGTGAAGCCTAAGCTGTTTCCGGGGCGCTCAGACCAGGCAGGGACTCAGGCGTGCAGCTGCCTGGGCACCGCTTCATTTCCCCCGGTGCCTCGGAGTCCCCGCGGGACCTGCTGCTCAGCGGTCCAGCGTCACTCAGCCTCCCGCCTAGAGCGAACAGGACCTCCAGGTGCTCCCTGCAGGGGATTGAGCCATGGGTGGCCAGGACTCTAGCAGGAACCCTCAGGGAGCCGGCTCTGCCTGGTGCATGGGTCGAGGTGCTCATCAGTTTCAGAAGCTGCTCCCAGGCCCCCATTTTCCCAATCCCCTTAGAAGAGTTTTGTTCTGAGCTCCACTGAAGGTCATTTAGTCTTAAATGGAAGCAGGGAACCCTCAGCTGTCACCCACGTGAAGGAAAACCAGCTGAGGCCATGCCTTTGAGGTCCGGCGCTCCTCCCCCACCCTGGGCCTCAGTCTCCCCATGGAGGTGCTGGCTATCCAGAGCCCTGCTGATGGCAGGCAGTCACCAGTGAGGCAGACCCGGCCTGGACGTTCTGGCTCAAAGGACAGGGTGCAGCCAGATGCCAACACTTCCCTCCAGGGCAGGGGCCTGCAGCTGCAGAGCTTGGCTCTAAATAACGCCAACCTCCTTGCTCTGCACAGCCCTGGGGTGGCCCTGCAGTCCCCATGACACAGGGCAGAGGTGCTGCCTTTGGGTGGGACGGCAGCCCTCCAGGAGATGCACCCCTCACAACCCACCCAATCCCTCTGCCCCTGCCCTGCAGAAGCCTGGTTAGAGCCCATAGCCTCACTCTTCTGGGCCGCCGAGCACTCCAGGGCCTCTATGCAAGTGAGGGGCATGCGCTGGGGCCTCCCACACCCTCCCTAGGTGCAATTCTCCTTGTCTCATCAACTCGTCTCATCCTGGGATGCGAAGGGTGGTCAGGGACAGCCGTGTTCATGAGCTGCCATTTGGAACTGGCATTTGGATCTTGATGGAATGTCCTAATTGACAGGAGGGCTCAGTGCACATGCCAGGGACGCGCAGGAGTTAAATTCTGAGACAGGAGTGCTGCTCTGTCCTGCTTCTGCTGTGCCTGCCCAGCCTCCAGAACAAGACCATGTGCTGCAAGCTGCCACCCAGCTGTGCTCTCTGACCCGCCACCTGCCCTCAGCACCAGCAACACTAGCAAGACCTCAGCCTCCCACCAGGGAAGCTCAACAAAGAAGTGAACATTGCTCCAGGGATTTTTTTTTGTCTGGCAGAAGCAGTTAGATCTGATCTCAGCTGGAATCCTTCCTGGATTGGAAGACACTGAGCCACTCTCCGTGCTATATCCCGGCCACAGCTCACTCTCCCCCAAACAGGTCCTGTCACACCCCATACGCTCCCCTCACCCTCCCACATGCTCCCCTCACCCCATCCCCACTCACTCCTCACAGGCCGAGGCACAGGGAACCCTGCCAAGTTCAATCCAGACCTTGGGCAGGGAGGCAATAAAGCTAAGGGAGGTGGGGAACTCCCGGCCTGTGAGGAGGGGAGGCAGGGTGGCCTGCGAGGAATTTAGGGAATGCAGGGAGATAAGGGGAGAGCGGAGAGGAGAGGCAGTGGTGCTGACAGCATTAGCCTGCTGGGAAGGAGCTTCATGAGCACCATCTGATTTACTTGGTCCTTGTGTCCGCCCGAGGGGCACCAGCCGGGTCAGGTGGCCTGACCACTCACAGCTATGACCCAGGCACATTACTGAACCTGCTTCCACATCTGCAAAAGAGACTGGTGGATGGCCTGCAGGGGATTCTAGGAGGTTAAGGAGGTCAGGGGCCAGATCCCCACCCAGGGACAGGCTGTAGAAGCCATTCTGTGGGACGCTGGCCATCCCATGGGTCACCCCCAGGGTTGCACCCACAGACCCTGAGAAGCCAGTGACTGGTCAAGGTCACAGGGCAAATGCCTTCAAGGAGGGGCAGAAAGACTTCCTGGAGGGTCGAGACTGCAGCCAGAGGGTGGCCTTTTGGATGGCATCTGGAACGGGGCTTGGTCCCAGCCTCCACGGGGATGGTCAGGGTGCTCTTCCTTCCTGCTGGCTGGCCCTGCCCCCAGGATCCAGCCCTGTTCCACCTGAGTTCCCGTACACAGGAGTCTTCGTGGGGTGAGGCCGCGTCCTGGCCCTCAGCCAGCGCAGGGCATTAGGATGCTTAGTGTGCATTAGTGACTGCGCCAGGGGAGTGCCAAGGCCCTCAGGAACCTGGGAGAGGCCCCATGACTCATGAGCGTGGCTCCTGGGTCCCCCTGCCGCCAGGGCCTCAGCCGCCTACTGTCTACCATCCAGAGCTCAGCTGGCACCAGCGCCCAGCAATCACTCAGCGACCCTCACCCCCTTCTGTTGGTAACACACCTCGAAGGGTTGCCAGAAAGACCTGCTGAGAAAGGGAGAAAACTCTCTCAAGAGCTCAAAGCACCACAAAAATGCAAGCTGCCAACACCAAAGGAAATCACCCACAAACATATGTGACCACTAACTTTCTTCCCCTTAAATGGACAACAGGGTGGCAGCCCTGTATGTCCCACCTGCCGGAGGACCCTGTATGAATTGTGCCTCTGCGCACAGCGGACCTGCATGTGCTGGGCCTGCAGGCTGCCAGGGATGAGCAGGCCATGAGGTCACCCCTCTCCAGGCTTCCACTGGCCTGCCCTGAGCCACCAGGGCCATCACCAGCTGTCAGAGATAAAACAAGACAAGTAGGGAGCTGGCTTCCAGGGCAAGGGGCCCACCCAGGGACACCCAGGCTGGAAGCTGGTGCGCTGCTACACGGACTAACCCCCACAGACCGCCTGTGGTTCACAGCTGCCTACAGGGGGCAGAGGTAGACATCAGGAATCCAAATCACCTACCAGGCCAAATCACACACGTGGGCTGAGATGACACCCCATCCACTCCCTTCCAGAAACTGAGCTGCAACAGAAAACCCGGGGGAAACCCGCTGCTGTGACCACCCCACTCCTCCAAACCTCACCGATCTGTGCCCGTCTAATGAGGGTGGCTCACACTAATGGCCACATCTTCCTCCATCCCCAAAAAGTAGCCACAATCCCACAAAGAGGGCCAGGGGTACATCCAAGGCATAAACAGACCACAAGTCAAACTGTGACCTTGGGTGAGGATTTCAAGAGCCCTTCAGTAAAACTCAGAGCATGGCTGCTTTGCACACAGGCCTCCCGAAGCCCACCCTCTGACCCCATCTAAAATCCAGGGCCAGGGCCCCTCGAGGGTGGTCCCAAAGGTCCCCAGGCCACACAGCTTAAGGCACCCCTTCCTGCTCTGACATGCAGGACCAAGCTGGCCCAGGAGAAGGACTGAGTCCCTGTGAGCAGCAGCTCCCGGGAGCCCCACCCTCAGCTCTGCCTGGAGACTCCTGACCTGTCTGTCACCTCCCAGCACAGGATGGTGCTGTCCACGCACTTCTCATGAACCACACCAGTGGGACCTGCCTCGCTGGTCCAGCAGCTTAGCTGAGAACCTGTGAGGCCCAGGGAGTCCACACAGGGATGCTAGGGGCAGGCAGGATGCAAATGGCTCCAGAGTTCCCCCACACCTGCCCCAACCCCCAAGCCTTGCCCTTTCCCACCAAACTTGGTAGGATCCGGGCTCCTGACTAGGGCTGCCTGGATAGCAGCAAACAATCGCATGGCCTTTTTCCAGGTTTACAATCTTCCTACCCATGACACCCTGGGGATTCAGAGGGTGGAACGGACTATCAGTCACTCTACAGGAAAGCAGAGGCTCAGAGAGGGTAAGCAACATGCCCAAGACAGCACAGCGGGGCAGCACTCTCTCCGGGTCACCCCGGATGCCTTCAGCACAGCTCCTACCCACACCCACTGCTGAGCTCTCCCTCGCCCCCAGGCTGCCTGGGGGCACGGTGGACACCAGCGAATGCCCATGCCCAGGACCCCTGCCCTCCCCTCCCTGATCAGTCCCACAGCTGGCTGGAGGCCTGGGGAGTCACAGCAGACATTGTTGCGGAACGGGGCTGCATGGAGCTGGGCCAGTTCCAAACCCCAGAAAACAACATCCCTGGGCTCGTCTCCTCTCTGGTTCCAAGTCGGCATCTTACTCCTCACTCCCCCTTCCCAGGCAGCCCTGCCCACGGTGCTTAATAAACACACACTGAATAGGCAACCATATCACTACCATTTCAGAACCGACTGCAGGCCACTATGCGCCTCCGGTTTCACAGCTCTGCAGGAGTGTCCTAGAGCCCACTTAGCAGCTGAGGAGACCGAGGCTCAGAGAGGGCTGACGGCGTGTCCAGCAAGTGGGCGGCAGACGTGGAGTCACACTGGGCTCCCTGGGCCCAGGACAGGGTGGGTGGGACAGACAGGGAGGCCCAGGGTGACTCCATGTCTGCCGCCCACTTGCTGGGCACGCCGCCTCACCTCTCTGAGCCTCAGTCTCCTCAGCTGCTAAATGGGCTCCGGGACACCCCTGCAGTGAACAAGACCTGTGTGGGGAGCTGAGGAGCTGCACTTGGGAAGGTGCAGGATGGGGTGGGAAGGAGTGAAGTGTGTGTCTGCGAGTGCATGTGTGTGTGCATGTATCCATGCCCATACAGCCCGTCCTGCATCCCCCATCAGTGTGTGTGTGTGTGTGTGTACACATCTCCACACCCATACAGCCCGTCCTGCATCCCCCATCAGTGTGTGTGTGTACACATCTCCACACCCATACAGCCCGTCCTGTATCCCCCATCAGTGTGTGTGTGTGTGTGTACACATCACACCCATACAGCCCGTCCTGTATCCCCCATCAGTGTGTGTGTGTGTGCGTGTGCACATCTCCACACCCATACAGCCCATCCTGTATCCCCCATCAGTGTGTGTGTGTGTGTGTGTGTGTGTACACATCTCTACACCCATACAGCCCATCCTGTATCCATCGGTGTGTTTGTGTGTGTGAGTGTACACCTCTCCACGCCCATACAGCCCATCCTATATCCCCCATCAGAGTGTGTGTGTGTGTACACATCTCCACACCCATACAGCCCGTCCTGTATCCCCCATCAGTGTGTGTGTGTGTGTGTGTGTGTGTACACATCTCCACACCCATACAGCCCGTCCTGTATCCCCCATCAGTGTGTGTGTGTGTGTGTGTACATATCTCTACACCCATACAGCCCATCCTGTATCCCCCATCGGTGTGTTTGTGTGTGTGTGTGAGTGTACACCTCTCCACGCCCATACAGCCCATCCTATATCCCCCATCAGTGTGTGTGTGTGTGTGTGTGTGTGTGTACACATCTCCACACCCATACAGCCCGTCCTGTATCCCCCATCGGTGTGTTTGTGTGTGTGTGTGAGTGTACACCTCTCCACACCCATACAGCCCACACCTATGTTCCCCGTCATGCAGTAGTTCTTAAATGGTAGTGATGTGGTTGCTTATTCAGTGTGTGTATGTCAACTCCCATCACTGTGTGTGTGTGACTGTGCACATGTCTCCACACCCACATGGCCTGTACCTATGTCCCCTGTCACTGTGTGTGTGAGCCTCCACAGCCTGCACCCTCCTCTTGGTCATGTTCAATGATTTAAAAGCATCCCTCCCCACTGCTTCTATTTTTGCTTTTGACCTTTAGTTGAATGCTCACAGCTGCTGGGCCGTTGGCGTGATGGTGAGTTCATCACGTGTAATCGGGAGACAGGACAATTTTATTTCCTCTAATACAAGCGCTGCTGCCCCAGCCCCCTTCCAAGACCGGAGCTGGCTTCTCTAAGCGCTTCCCTAGAGTGAGGATGTAATAATCTGCTGGAAGGCGTGACCGTGCCGTGGAAGGCTCTAGGTGACAGGTGGATGTGGTCCGTGTCACCCTGCTGGTGTTGACACACTCCCTGCCCCACCTCCATCCACAAGCCCTGCTGGGGCATGGAGGAGGGTGCTCTCTTACCAACACTTCGGGCTGAGAACCCACAGACTCTCTCCATTGCTCATGAAGCCCCTACTGCAGGTGAGGAAACTGAGGCACAGAGCCCAAGAGAGGTGCTCAGGTCACACCATGGAGGCCTGTCTGACCCAGGTGGCCCTGAGTCCAGAGGTGCTCGCCTGGGTACCCACACAGTCCCCTGGGCTCCTGAGTGCCTTTTCCCCCATGAAATGACGTCAGGGAAACCCCCTGTCCTGGGGCTGAAGTTCTGCCTCCAGCCTTGGTGCCAAACAAGCCAGAGAAGTGGCGGGGCTGCCCCAACAGGCACCGTCCTGGACGCAGTGTCCCTGTGCACACCTGTGGAACCTGCTCTGCCGGTGGAGGAAGAGAAGTGGGGGAGGGGGGCAGGGAGGCCCAGTGTGACTCCGAGTCTGCTGTGGGCTCAGAGATACTCACACAGTGAGTGGGACCTACAGGGGAGCTGGCAGGGGCCTGGGGTTGGGGGCTCCCCCTATCCTGCCCTCCCAGCCCTGGTCCTTCTGCCCAGATCCCAGGGCATGTGTTCCCAGCTGCCCCACTGACTGCCTCACTCCCAACTCTTCCTGGAGCCTTCTCCAGGGCGCAGCCCCAGACAGCCCAGGCAAGAAACCCAGAAGGAAGAGGTGGGGCCAGAAAGGTGAGGACTGGATTCGGGATTGAGGTGGGGGCTATGGTCAGCTCCCTGGGGGAGGCAGCGGGAGGCAGGGGCAGGCCTGGGGGAGTCCAGGGCAGCGGGGGAGAGGTCCCCACATGTCAGCTCCTGCCTGCTGTCACCTCTCCTGATTCCTTCCCCATCCCACTCAGGAGTGGGGATGGGGGATCCCATCTCACTAATGAGGAAACTGAGACACACACGGTTGTTGGTCGTTAGGCTGTCTACCAGAGGTCGCCCAAGGCCAGGCCACCCTGCCCACCCCCGTCTGGCTCAGTCCAAGACTTTGGGAGTCTTGGCCAGGGTAGGGCATTAATCACCTCAGCAGCGGACCACCATGACAAACCCCACATACCCCACATACCCCGGAGTGAGTCACATGGGCAGGGCTGGCCCCTTCCTCTTGGTCTCACATTCCTAAACAGTAGACACCTTCCAGGAATTCGGTCAGCAAAGTGGCTGGAGCTGCTGGGACAGACAGCCTGTGCAGGCCTGGCCCCCGGCACACCCAGAGGAAGGAGAGGCTGGGTGGCTCAGGTGTGGCCCCGGAGCTCGGCAGGCCCAGCCCCCAGGGACACAGCCCACGTGCACAGTGGGTGACAGACCAGCTAAGATATAGTGCTGTCCTAAGAGCTCAAGGCAGAGACTGCCATTAACACAGCCCAGCCCAGACAGAAGAGCACACCTCCCAGAGTCACCGTGAGTGCAGTGGGGGAGGCAGGAGGGGCTTTTGGACACTGAGGTAGCTGGAAAAGCAAGCAGAGGGCGGCATCTCAGCCACAGGCTGGAGACATGAGGGACGTCCCCAGTGAGGGGAGGGGGGGAAGGGGGCGGGGATGGGGGGAACTGGAGGCGGAGAAGACAGCCAGGGAAAGAGGGGAGGTATGAAAACGCCTGGCTAATGGTGTTAAGGAACTGCCACTCATGGCCGGGCATGGTGGCTCACGTCTGTAATCCCAGCACTTTGGGAGGCCAAGGTGTGTGGCTCATTTGACGTCAGGAGTTCAAGACCAGCCTGGCCAACATGGTGAAACCCCACCTCTGCTAAAATTACAAAAATTAGCTGGGCATGGTGGCGGGCACCTATAGTCCCAGTTACTTGGGAGGCTGAAGCAGGAGAATGGCTTGAACCCGGGAGGCAGAGGTTGCAGTGAGCCAAGATCGCGCGACTGCACTCTAGCCTGGGTGATAGAGCAAGACTCCATCTCAAGAAAATTAAAAAGGAACTGCTGTTCATCTTCTTCCAGAAGACATGGGAGAGGAATGTGGCAAAGGCATCAGAGCCTGATCACAGAGCACCTCCAACTTTATTTTCAGAATCCTGAACCTGATGCTGAGGGGTCCCCAGAGAGCCAAGTGCAGGGTAGGGGCTGTGTTTCAGGAAAGACAGAGTGAGGGCTGGAGGAGACCATCCTGGAGGCAGGGAGGCCAGCTGGGAGGCTGGTTCCACGATCGCTGAAGCAAAGAGGAGGAGTGGGAGGGTGAAACCCCACCATCAGCACTGGAGAAGGAATGGCAGGTGTGCCCAGTGCCACCCTACCCTGGCAAAGGCCACACCCATGCTCAAACCACTGGGCTCTCCAGGGCAAAGACCTGGGCAAGGCAGGATGGACAGGGCCTGGTCAACCCAGAGCCCCGTGAACAGACCACCAACTATGCCACACCAAGCTGGTCAGACCCACCAGATGCTGGACCCCGCCTGCAAAGAACACAGCCCCTGAAGACAACCGTGGAAGTTCTATCTTCCAGGACAGAGCTGCCAGGTAGGAGGACAGCGTATGAAGCCTCACACCTGGGGTCTGGCCTCGCTCCCCCCACCCATGGTCACTCACGGCCACTCCACGGGTGGGCAGAAACCCAGTGACCGGTGCAGGCCTGCCTGCCTGGCCTGGGGCGTCCATGACCCCTGCCTCGGCCACCGCACAATCGCTCCCTTTGTTCCCCGGCTCCCCATTGTCTGCAATTCTCTCGCCTGCCTGCGCCAGGCCAAAGGAGGATTTCCAGGGGGATTTCTCAATGGGCTCGCAGGGAAACAACCTGGCAGTGGGACCTGCTGCTCATGGCCTTCCTTGAAAGGCCACGAAGCAGGATGGGGGCTGACGACCCTTTGTAAATGGCCCCAGATGTGAGCAGCTATTTTAAACCGTGCCATCTTCGGGCTGCGTGGTGGATAAGGAGCTGGTCAGAAAGGTCGTTCCATCTTAACAACTAAAACCTGCGTCTTCCCATGACTGACCATTACCGACGCATCACGGCAAGTCACTTCCCGGTGTGAACCCCCCTTGGCTTCTCCCAACAAACCTGTGAAGGACATCAGAGCATGCCCCGTTTCCCCAGGGGGAAACCGAGGCTCAGGAAGCTGAGGCATATCCCCTTATGTGACCTAGTCTGAGCTGTTTCAGACACACATCCCCATGTTCACTCAGGATCAGCCATCTCAGGTGGCCACACCCAGCGGGGGCGGGGGGATGCTGGCAGAGGCCTGTGTGTTTCCAAGGCTGTCCTCTCCTGACATGGATGGGGGTACCAGGCCTGGCCCCCCATCACTGTCAGAAAGGGGTAGGCGCGGCCTAGCAGACACAGCTGCACTTCTGACGACGACCACCCTGAGGTCCCCAGGGTGACGTCCACACCACGGAACAAGCAAACAGCCACTTCGCATGAGGTGTACAAAGAACAGTCAGTGATGTGACAAGGTATTCTCCACCTGCGCATGTAAAAAGAGTTGGGATCAAAAATGGTAGGAATATCACGTGGCAAAATGTGTTTTTGAAAACGGATGTCTTGTCTATGGTCATACCACCGTGAACGCACCTGATCTCAGCCGAAAATGGATGTCTTGGATAGGATCCTGAACAGAAAAAAAAAATGTTAAGTCGGCTGGGCACAGTGGCTCATGCCTGTAATCCTAGCACTTTGGAAGCCAAGCCAGGTGGATCACCTGAGGTCAGGAGTTCAAGACCAGCCTAGCCAACATGGTGAAACCCCCTCTCTATGAAAAATACAAATTAGCCAGGTGTGGTGGCGCACGCCTGTAATCCCAGCTACTTGAGAGGCTGAGACAGGACAATCACTTGAAACCAGGGGGCGGAGGTTGCAGTGAGCTGAGATTGCGCCTCTGCACTCCAGCCTGGGTGATAGAGCAAGACTCCGTCTCAAAAAAAGAAAAAAAAAGTTAAGTAAAAACTAGGGAAATGTGAATCAAGAATGGATTCTAATTGATACCAATCAATACAGGTTCATTCATTGTAATGAATGCACAAGACCAGTTAAGAAGTTAATAGGGGACACTGGGCGCAGAGTTTATACGAGAACTCTCTGTATCTCCTCAATTTTTCCATAAATTTAAAATCTGCCCTAGGCTGGTCTGAGTGCAGTGGTATTTACAACTAATTGATCACAATCAGTTATAGATTTCTTTGTTCCTTCTCCACTCCCACTGCTTCACTTGACTAGCCTTTTAAAATATTATTTTTAAATGCCTTTTAAAAAAATTAAACTAAAAAAAATTTTTAAAAGATAAAACTGCTCTAAAAAACAAAGTTTATTTTTAAAAGTGTGTATAACTGGCTGGGCATGGTGTCACACCTGTAATCCCAGCACTTTGGGAGGCCAAGGCGGATGGATTGCCTAAGGTCAGGAGTTTGTGACCAGCCTGACTAACATGGTGAAACCCCATTTCTACTAAATACAAAAAATTAGCTGGGCGTGGTGGCACATGCCTGTAATCCCAGCTACTTTGGAGGCTGAGGCAGGAGAATCACTTGAACGTGGGAGGCGGAGGTTACAATGAGCCAAGATCGCATGATCGCACTCCAGGCTGGGCAACGAGCAAAACTCCTTCTCAAAAAAAAAAAAAAAAAAAAAATCCTGGGCACAGTGGCTCATGCCTGTTATCCCAGCACTTTGGGAGGCCGAGGCGGGCGGATCACAAGGTCAGAAGTTTGAGATCAGCCTGGCCAATACGGTAAAACCACGTCTCTACTAAAAAAATACAAAACATTAGCCGGGCATGGTGACAGACGCCTGTAGTCCCACCTACTCAGGAGGCTAAGGCAGAAGAATCACTTGAACCTGGGAGGCAGAGGTTGCAGTGAGCCGAGATCGCGTCACTGCGCTCCAGCCTGGGTGACAAAGCAAGGCTCTGTCTTAAAAAAAAAAAAAAAAAAAAGCACATATAACTAACATACACATGTGATAAAATCTCATAAAACACTGCACACACAGAGAAATGAGTGTGTGTAACAGGCGGGTACAATCTGAGCTCAGGTTTGCAGTCGAGGCTGTGCTGTGTCGCTGTCATGGTCCTGGCTTTGCTAATGTGCTCCTTATGTGAGATGTCACCATTGGGGGAAGCTGGCGGAAGGGTATGCAGGAGCCCTTTGTACTACTTTTGCAACTTTTTTTTCTTCTTTTTAGAAAAGGGGGGCTCACTATGTTGTTCAGGCTGGCCTCCAACTTGCTGGGCTCAAGAAATCCTCCTGCCTTAGCCTCCCAAGCAGCTGGGACTACAGGTGCGCATAGCCGTGCCTGACTTACTTTTGCAACTTTTTGTGAGGGTAGGATTAGAGATGATTTTTAAATCATAATTTTGAGCATTATAGTGTCTTCCAAGTGTTTCCACAATGAGCAATGGATTATTTAGGGGCAGTGATTCTCTGTACCTCCACCAGCGATAAATCACGTGGTGGTGGGGAGTGGAGCCAGTGGTCCAAGGACCAGGTGAGATAGCAGCTGGGAGGTGCTCCTGCCCCCATCCAGGCAGGGTGCTTATCCAGCAGGCCACTCGGAGCACACAAGCATCCTTGCCACACCATCACCACACGCTCCCCCTTGCACAGAGACCAAAGAAGGGGACTACCTTGCTCCCCAGGCCTGGTGGGGTTGATGTGTCATGTTACGTCAGGAGAGGTTCTAGCCTCCCTGAGCTCCTCTCAGGGGAATCTCAGGATAAATTAGGAAGGCAGAACTCAGGCAGGGGTGTACAGTGCATGAGAAGAAATCTATCACATGGCAGACACTGAAACGCAAATCCTTCATGGCTTTGCAGCCAGAATAAGTTTTCTTACCAGTGCTCAACTTTCAAGTCCACATAACTGCCCCACTGCCCACAGAGCGGGGGAAAAATCACACTCCAAATAAGAACTGCCTTGGGGCTGGGCGCAGTGGACGCTGTAATCCCAGCACTTTGGGAGGCTGAGGCAGGAGAATGGCTTGAGCTCAAGAGTTTGAGACAAGCCTGGGCAACACAGCAAGACCTTGCCTCTACAGAGAAACATTTGTTTTAAATTGGCCAGGCATGGTGGCACACACCTGTAGTCCCAGATACTTGGGAGGCTGAGGCAGAAGGATCTCTTGAGCCAGGGAGATGGAGGCTGCAGTGAGCTAAGATTGGGCAACCACACTCCAGCCTGGGCCACAGAGTGAGACCCCGTCCCCTCCACCCCCAAAAAGAAGAACTGCCTCCATACCACACCTGTTCAGTCCTCCCATGGGAAGCAAAGACACATGCCGATAACCAATAACATGTCACTGTGGGCCACACTCACAGTGGTATGCAGAGACTCTCTGGGTGCTGGGGTCAAAGGTAGTTAGTTCTTTTTCTAAATTTCCTACAATAAACAGGAAATAGTTTGGGAAGAAGAAAAAGTTACTAATGGGGAAAGACTGCTTTTATGTGGAGAGAGCACAGAGAGGTGGTGTGGGCAGGTGTCAGGTGTGGGGACCCCAGAGCCAGAGTGTAGGGTCAAACCCCCGCTCTGCCGCTTCCTCCACTGGGACCTTCTTGGGCAAGTGACTTCACGTCTCTGTGCCTCAATTTGCTCTTTGCTCAAATGGGGAACATAAGTGTCTTTGCCCTGCAAGGGTCAAATGAGTGAATGTGTAGGAAGTGCTGAGTGACTGTTAGCTATTATTATTCCTACTATTATTGTCACCACACACGCGTCTTGTTTGATCCTCAAGAGCCCATACAATGGGATGACTGGGACACCTCATTAACAGACAGAAAGGTGTGGCACGTGGGTCTGCTGCCTTGTCGGAGATCGCACGGGTGGATGCACGACTAGCGTTCAGATGCAAAGACCCTCCCTCTGGGCCCCCTTAGGTAGCACAGACCCTCGGGGCACCAGCCAGGTAACTAAAGACCTCCTCACCCAGGGCCCACCTGGCAAGGTGGTGTGGCTGTCCCAGCCCTTTGCCAAACACAGCAGGGAGGTTAAGACCAAGACCCTTCTTCCCTGGACCTTAGGCGTAAAGCTAGAAGGTGGCCCTGCTCTGCTGTCCCTTTCTGGGCAAGACCTTCTTTCCAGGTTGCCCTTCCCTGCCTTGGGTGGCACCCAGACCAAGCAGTAACAATGACCCCACATGACTCTTAGGCCCAGAATCAGGCAGGGCTGGAGGGGAGCTCAGGGTCCCCTTATAGATGAGGCTCCAAGGAGGGGGCACCTGGCCAAAGTCCTACCACGAGTGCAGGGCAACACGGGGCCAGGGCCAGTGCAGGGTGAGTGCAGGGCCAGTTCTCCCACAGAGAACTCTGCCCCCGCCCCTCCCTACACCCAGAAGGGCCAGCTCAGAGACGCCAGGCCCCATCTGTCTCCCAAGCACCAGCAAGCAGGGCATAGTCTGGGGAGTGGGGACGTGGCCATCAGCAGGCACCAGAGGCACAATCCCCTTTGCCACAAATGCCCCTCACAGGCAGCGGCACTGCTGAAGAAGATGGCCCAGCCTGGCATGGAAAAGGTCCAGGGTGCTGAATCACCAAAACCTCCACCTCCCCAGGCGGGAAACGGAGGCACGTGGTGAGGGGCACTTGTCTGAGCACCACACTAGGGAACCCACTAGAATATGCTAGAGTGGGGGCATGGATAGGGTGCATGTGACATGCCATGGGCTTGGGGGCTCCGCTTCCCATCTGCACATTTACAACACTCAGGCAGCCCCGAGGGTTCCTCCTCCTGAAGCCCTTTCATGATAAACGCGTCCATTTTTAGAAAGAAGGCTCTTTAATGAGGCATTATTTCCAGATGCCAACTCATCACTGTCATACATGAGCCTCTCCCTGTCTGAGCCACCGGAGATGTGGACAACAGCAATGTGTCGGCGGGGGACCCCCAGCCAGCCACTCTGCTCTGCCGGCCGCCCCTTCCACCCTATGCCTGCCACTGTCCATCAAGGCCCCCCGGCCAGAGGAAAGCCCTACCTATAGCACACCCCAAATCCCACCAGGCGGCCTCAGGGCTGGGCACCACAGCCAAGCCCGCAGCCACGGGCGGCACTCCCGCGCTCACAGAGGGCCTCTGCCCTCCTACCGGGGACCTGCTTGCTCCTGGGGGTGACAGTGGGAGGGACACCCCAACAGAGCAATAGCCAAGGTCCCGGCCAGGCCCACCAGCCCCTCAAGGCCCATCCCACCATCCTGAGGTTCTGGACAGCCTCTGCAAGGAGACCTCCCTCTTCCTCCCAGATTCCTCCCTAGGCCTGCCAGAGGTCTCACACCACCATGGGGCATTAAAAGGATAAAATCTCAGGACAGAGATACAGGGTGCTGGCACATGATCCCAGGCAGCCCCTGCCTCGGGAGAATCCCGGGTTCAGAGCAAGGATGAGTCACCATGGCCTGTCCCTCCAAGACCTTCCCCAACATCCTTGCAGGGCAATTAACTGTCTACTAAAGCCCTCAGAGCCTCATGACCAAAAAATAGCTCAGTGCCTAAAGTTAATGGTCAGAGCTAAGTCTCATTTAAGGCCTCTGGGGGAGATTTTGTTTAGGAAGAAAAGAAAAACCAAGAACAGGGTACATGGATTTATTCTATCCCCCTATGGGATGGCCCAGAGAGCTCTAAGCCAAGGGTCTACCTCACAGGGAACAAAGACCTTCCAAGGCTCCCAGCCAGCCCTGTCCCTCACAGCCCCTCCGCAAGGTCAGTCACTCACCCGCTTCTGGGCCACACTGCCTTGCTCATTGTTCCCAACTGGGAAAGGTCATGGGCCTGGCGTGGGGGAGAGGCCTAAGCACCTGAGGGCAGCCACGCATCTCAGGAGGCAGGCCGGCCAAGCAGGGACCCTGGAGCAGAACCCCCGTACAGTCATGCGCCTGAGGACCCCTGTGCCCCCTTACTGCACGGGGGCTGACTCTACCTCTCCCGCAGTCTCATCCCCGGGCGCTGAGTAAGATGGTGCAGCAGGCAGGGGGCCATTCTAGCCTGGAGCCCCCACATCACAGCCAGCCACAGAAATGTCTGCCATACAAATAACAGAGCCACACTGCCCTCCTGGCCAGCTTCTGCATCCCTGTTCTCGTGGAGAACGTGGCAAGCTCCAGTCCAGTGCCCTCTGGTCTCCCCTCAGCCCTTCCAGCTCGCCTGTGCCTGCCAGCCCTCACTTGAATCCCCTTCCACACCCCCAGGCCTGCACAGGCCTCCTGGGCCGGATTCCCCACTGGGTCTGTCGTCCCCAGTTCCTCCAGCTGCCAATCAGCAGACCAACAAGGGGCAGGTCTGGGGAGACAAGCATCTCAGCCGAACACAACAGTCACCCTGGGACAGTCTTTCCCACTACAAAGGAATGCCGAGTCCAACCTGCTTGGGATGCAGCTGGCATGGTGGTACACCAGCACCTTTCTGAGTTAAACATTGGTGAGGACACCCATCCAGGGTGGCTTCAGCCAGGCCGGCCAGTCCTGTGCACAAACCACCTTCTCCTCACCCCAGGCCCCGCCGGGTGCTCCTAAGCCTGCTGTTTCCAGATGCCAATGCCAGTCAATGCCTGTATATTTACCCAGAGAAAAGAGAGCCCACGGACCCATCCAAAAGTCACCAGAGGCCTGATGTGGGAGTATGAAGGAGAGATCAAGGTTGTAATTCAAAAGAAAATGAGATTTTCTCATTTTTATTCTGCTCCTGCTGGCGATGGCGCTGGCCCGGGAGGCCTGAGGAAGCGAGCTGGGGAGAGGGAAGCCTGGCACAGGTGGTGGCAAAGGGTCCCCTGGCTGCCCTTTCTGGTCTGGGGTCAGGTCATTCCCCCACCCGTATAAGCACTTGGAAGGTGGTCCTGAAGTAAGAAACCAGGCCACTGCAGGTCTTCAAAGCCCCAAGCAGCAGGAATACCCAAAAAAGCCCCCAAAAGTACTGGTTCTACTAGATGGAGGGAAGAGGCCAAGCTAGGAGCAGCCTTGGGCAAGGCTGACAAAAAGGATGGCCTGAGCTCCTACAGCTTCCCCAAGTTCCTCCGGGGTCTCCGAGCACCATGGATGTGAACCAACTGCTTCACCTCATATGTGGGTAAACTGAGGCCTGGGGAGACTGGTCAGAGACTGAGGCAGAAAGAAAATAATCAGGAGGAAGAAGTCCAGGAAGCAGATGTTTTCATGAAAACATCGACCCAACCCTAAAGCCCTCATATAAACAAAAACAGCTTCAGGAAAGAGGCCCAAGCAGTGTCAACAGAGTAAGCCCTGAGGAGAGCAGGCAGGGGTGAGCACAGAGCCACGGCCCAGATCAACAGAGTGAGCCCTGAGGACAGCAGGCAGCGGGGAGCACACAGCCACGGCCGGGATCAACAGAGTGAGCCCTGAGGACAGCAGGCAGGGGGGAGCACACAGCCACGGCCCAGATCCGCCAGACAACAGACACAGCCAGGACGGCTGGGCGCCCAGGGTAACCAGCACCCGCAGAACGCTGTTGGATTTTACTCGACTCTATGCCTTTGTGTTCTGTGTGGAGCTTCCCAACCACGAACGTGCATTCAGTTGTGGAGCTTCCCGACCACGAACGTGCATTCGGTTGTGGAGCCTCCCGACCACGAACGTGCATTCAGTTGATCTATTTTTATTTTTTAAAGGCTTCAGGCAGGAGCCTCACCAACTCTCCTACCTGGATTCTTCATCTTTCCTGAGTCATGGACCACTTTGGGCTCTGATTAGAGCTGCGGTCCCTATTCCAGGAAAAATGCAGGACTGCACAGTCATTTTGGGGGTTCAGGGGTCCCAGTTAAGGAGTCTGTAGATGCACTGGCTGATGGGTTGCAGAGGCCACTGCCCATGTGACCACTGCAGAGAGGAGGACAGGCTGCTGAGAGGAAGCAGGGGCTGCTATGGGGCCATGGGCGGCCCTGAGCTGGCCCAGGTATCTGCCTTCTGTCATGATCCCCAAAATAAAGCAACAGCCAGGAGAATCCCGCCACTGCCTACACCCCTGCCTGCACCCAGGGGTTCCGAGAGCCCAAGTGACCCCCTCCACCGCAGCCACGCCCACGGCGCATTTGCTGCAGGCAGGAGGGCAGACCCCGGGGATGGCTGCTCTCCCTCTGCCTCCTTCCTGCTCAGAGGTTGGGTTGCACCAAACAAGAGGTCTTTTCATCCAGGGTTTCGCACAACATTTCAGCACCACACACTTCACAGCAGATCATGTTGCCCACACCAGACCAGCCCTCATGGGGGACAAGCTTTTAACTCGGTGGAGAGGGATTAGAGTCTCTGCAGATCAGAGCAGCCCTGGGCTGGGGACGCCAGCAAAAGGGTGGGGAGCATCCCAAGGCCTCCTGACCACTCCTGGGGTCCTCCAAACTCCTAGTCTTGGGGACTACCCTCCAGGGTGGGGGCACCAGCAGGAGGGCAGGCAGCATCCCGAGGGCCTCCTGACCATACTCCCTGCGCTGTTCCGTCCAACCTGTCAGCAGGAGGAATGTGACAGGGCAGAGCTGGAGCAGGCAGAGGCATTGGTGGCAGGCTCACCAGAAACCCTCAGCTGATGGGGACAGCTCAGCAAAAAAGGAGCGGCAGGAGAAGACTGGGAGGCCTGATGGGTTGTCGGGGGTACCGGGGGCCTCCAGGGCCATTGACAGCAGAGACCCCCTTGCCTGCCACAGCTCCCCCTACCATCAACACTGCCATTGCATTTCCAGAATAAGGCAGTTTGGAAAGGTCTCCTTTCTTCCTGGTGGTCTAGTGGCTTAAAAAAAGAAAAAAAGAAACCAGAAGGGGCTTTCACGTGACCTTCCCAACCAACAAGGTAGGGGAAGCCTCTGTTTATGGAGGAAGCAAGTGTCCCAGCCAAGTCCTAGCAGGGGACAGGTTGGGAGCTGGGCTGGGGTCAGTCTGACCCAGGTCCAGTCTCCCGGTGCACTCTGCTGCTGTAATCACACTGATGCCACCCTGATGCCCCCCAACCCCCAACCAACACACCAGAGGCTCGATGAGTCATGACAGGAAAGCACCACAAGGCTGCAGTGAGCAGGGGCCAAGCCCAGAGTCAGAGCCTCAGCTGCAGTGCTAATGGCCTTATCCGCCAGGGACGGCCAGAGTAATGGCCGGCAGCTGGACACGGCGGCTCATTTAACCCCAAGAGGCACCTGCCTGCCACAGCCGCTGCCAAGGGAAGACGGCAGCACAGAGGACAGGAGGGGAGGATGCTCAAAGCCCTAGTGACAAGGCCAGGGCAGTCTGCAGCCTCCCTGGGAGGGAGGGGGTGCCTCGCTGGCCGATGTCCAATCTGTCCCCACCCCACCGTTTAAAAGCCACGTTCTTTGTTTTCTGATCCTGAAGCCTTTGCGGCCTCATTTCGAGAACAAGGTGCTGGCGGCTGGGAACCAGTTGGCTGGGTTCTGCCGGGGAGACCCCTGGAGCTGTGCAGCCCTCTCTGGGCTTAGGTTTCCTGCCAAGACACGTGGACCCCCACATGCGCCCGCTCAAGGCTACCAGCCTCTTCTGTGTGGGCAGGCCTTGCACCTACAGCCGCAGGACATCCTCCAAGAGCCTGGCCTGGGGCTGCGGAGGCTGCCACGGCTCCCACGGCTCCCACGGATGCTGAGTGCGCGAGGGCTGCAGGTCCCACATCCTGTAGTCCAGCCAGCTGCAAAGGCTGCCCTGCACCTCAGAGGAAGGGCAGGATTTCAATCTGCGCAGGAGGCAGGACGGGGGGGCCACCTGAGGGCCTGCAATGTGCCTTCTGCACAGCAAGTGGTCCTGGGGCCACAACTCCAGGGCCAGGGTGGTAAAGCGCTGCAGCCGGTGGGGAGGGTGGGGAGGTGGCAGGAAGCCCCGACTCCATACTCAGGTGTCAGGTTTCTTGGTTTCTTTTCTTTTTTTTTTTTTTTTTGGAAATGGAGTCTCACTCTGTCACCCAGGCTGGAGTGCAGTGGCATGACCTCCGCTCACGGCAACCTCCACCTCCCAAGTTCAAGAGATTCTCCTGCCTCAGCCTCCCGAGTAACTGGGATTACAGGCATGTACCACCATGCCCAGCTAATTTTGTATTTTTAGTAGAGATGAGGTTTCACCATGTTGGCCAGGCTGGTCTCGAACTCCTGACCTCAGGTGATCAGCTTGCCTCAGCCTCCCAAAGTGCTGGAATGACAGGCGCGAGCCACCACACCCAGCCAGCTTTCAGGTTTCTTTCCGTGGACAAGTAGGAGTCACAAAGCCCAAGGAAGAATCGTCTAGACCAGGGCTTCCCAGCGGAATTCCCTTTATGATGGAATTTTCCCCATCTCGCTGTCAGCACGGTACTAGCCCATGCGAAGGCAGGGTGGTCGGTACAGCTGCATGTCATTTAATTGTAATGAAAGTGAATTGAAGCAGCTACATATGGCTAGTGGACACCACTCGGGGTTAGAGCCAGGAAACCTTGACTCTGAGGGGTCGTGGGTTAGGCAGGGGAGCAGGAGTGCAGGGGAGAGAGGAAGGGACCCAAACCCAGAAGACACAAGGTGAATAGCATAGTCACCAGCAGCAATCTGGACACCTGAGCCTCAAGGCCAGGAGCAAGAGGTAGGGAGAGACTGCTCAGCCCAGCCCAGGGCGATGTTTTCCCTCTGGGCAGGAGGGGCTGGAGAGAGTGCTGGAAGTTGCTCAAAGAGGTCCTAGGTGACCAGCACACCACCCCATTCTGGAAGACAATCCCAGGGGGAAATCAGATGCCACCAGGAAGTTGAGATGAGAAGAGGCTGCTGGACAGAGCCAGAGCCACCATTCTCAGGGTTTGGGATTGCCCAGGGCCAAGGAGCAAACATGGGGAAGGAGGTGGCCTCAGCCTCTAGGGTTTATCCTCTGGCAAAGGGAGGAAGGCCAAGGGGCAGAGCAGTAGACAGGAGGGGCTCTGTGTTGCTTTGGACCAGGAAACGTGAGCCTGTTTGTGGGGAAGGAGCCAGAGGACAGACCCAAAAGGAACAAGAGAAAGGAGACAATGGCGGAAGCGGAGGGAGGTCCCCCAGGAGGGGCTGGGCAAAGGCGAGGGGGAGAAGAGGGGAGCCTTCCCCTGCCAGCCAGGACAGAAGGTGCCGAAAGAGGGAGAAACTAGCTTCTTAATTTTCTGGAGAAAGGGTGGCTGGGTGGGGGGAGCGTCCCATTGTTCCACCAGCCGCTGAGGGATATTAAGCAGCCGGGAAACAGAGCCTTGGCATGGGCAGTGTGGCCGGAACCCGCCACAAAGGGCCACTCCCAGAGCGGGCTCATTAGGGAGCCGGGCCGGTGCCGTGCGCGGTGACAGGCGGGCGCATTCAGGGCCCCACACAATCGGGCCCTTGTGGCGGGCGGGGGAGCACCGCGCTCAAAGGAGCCTCTGATTCCTAGACAAGAGCGGGCCTCCTTCTTGCCTTACAACCTGGGAGCCAACGGAAAGACAGATTTGGGAAGACAAAGAGATGCTTCCCCTGACAGTGGATGGTCTATTTTTGGAAATGGGTCGACTCTTCTCCATAGCTGCCGTTTCGGTGCCACCGGCCCTGCCTGCCTCTGTCCCCTTCAAAACAGCCTAGAAAGGCCTCTGCCTCACCTGTCCAGCCCTGCGAAAGTGGGGTGGCGGAGGCAGCCACCTCCATGGGGATGCCTGGCAGCTGATTCGAGCTCCTGGGGCAGGGAGGTAGGGGTGCAAGCCAGGGTGCATCCAGGGCCCAAAATGGCATTCCACAGCCTCGCCAAAGCCATCTCTCCGGCGTCTGTGCAGCACAGGTCAGCGAGGGGGCAACACAGGCAGGGCCGTTTACTCCTCACTGCTAACGTGAACTGACACCAGTCTCCCAACCCTGGCCAGCCAGGCTCTGTGGTGCCCAGTGTGGGCGCATCCTCGCCCCTAGCTGGCCTGCTGGAAGGGCCCATGGCTGTTCTCCGGGATCCTGGCTCTGGCCACCCAGCAGAACCTCCAGAGCCTTCACAGCCTCCAATGACACCAGGACCAACTGCACCCATCTCTGGGGCTGGGCACGGGCACTGGTATTTTTTAAAGTTTTCTAAGTGATAGCTAATATACAGCCACAATTAGGAACCACTGGTGAAAGCCAAAAGGTATATATTTTAGTAATTATTCAGGGGAAATGGGGAAGGTGGGGTTGTGTAAATCACCACCCTCTTGGGGAGGTTTGATTTTGCTGGGGGTGGGGGCGGGGGGCGGGGAGTAACTTATTTAACTCGGTGCCAAGTGTACAAATGAGAAAAGAAGGACAGGTGGGCAAAGTGGGTCAACCACTATCTGGCACCTGGTCAGTCCTTCCGGGACTGTTCACTCCTCCCTCCAACACTGACTATGCATTGCAACAACATTCTGGACTGGGAGAGAGACAGGACAGCAAGCAGAGGAACCTCGAGTCCAGGAACATGCAGCCTTGTCCCCAGCAAACCTGCACCAGGAATTGAAGCTCAGTGTTCTCCTCTTGCACTAAACCCCTTACTGAGTCCTTTAAGCAGAGGCAATCAGATAGGGGAGGCAGGTACTTCCACTGGGGCCCTGCAGGAGGGGAGGCTGGTCTGGGCCAGGGTCTCAGCCTCAAACAGCGTTTAGACAGGTCACCATCTCTAGGCCCCACAGTGGGACCCATGTGGTCACAGGTAGCCTCACCATCCCCACACCTGCCCCAAGGCAAGGACCAACCACGAGGCAGGTGATAAAACCCAGGCTGTAGGGCATAGGAAGAGAATTCCCAGGAATATAAAAGAGCTGGCTCATAGGACCACTGAGTGACCGATAGGAGGCAGGATGGGCAGGGGAGGCCACCCCTTCCTTGTGGCTCTGAGTCAAAGGGCCAGAAGAGATGAGGGTCCCTGGGACTCTCAGCTCAGCCCATCCAAGCTTCCTATTTTACAGATGGGAAAATGAGGGCCCAGGGAGAGGCACAGACTTACACATGGTTGGGTCTCAAGTGGGCTGAAGCCACTGGTTCTGTCTGGATCGTCCAATCCACAGAACACTAGTAATCTTCCAAGACCCCCAGGCAGGGAGCATGTCAGCTGACAAGGCCACTCAGGCCCAGCAGGTGATGTGTCTGCATATTTATCAGGTGGGGAGCAGGGGAAAGATGGGGATAAGCTGTAAAAAGTTTCCAGTTTCTAATAGGACTTCTAACAGGTAACTCTGGGTCCTCTTGGAAAGTCCATCAGAAAAGGTTAGAGCTAGAACTGCCCACACCCCGAAGGAAAGCCCAACCTAGGGACTTCAGGGACAGTAGAAGAGGCTTCAAAGACCCCACCGGCCCTGGCCTTGCTCACTGCCCCAGTGCTTGTCCTGGGTCCCCACTCATCCATCACCCCAGCTGAACCCAAGGTGCAGGCAAATGCCCACCGCATGACTTTGCTCGGCTCTTCTTTTTGTTTTGGTTTCGTTTGGTTTTGGTTTTGGTTTGTTTTGTTTTGAGATGAGTCTTGCTCTGTGGCCCAGGCTGGAGTGCAGTGGCGCGATGGCTCACTGCAACCTCTGCCTCCTGGGTTCAAGAGATTCTCCTGCCTACCAAATAGCTGGCATTACAGGCGCGTGCCACCACACCTGGTTAATTTTTGTATTTTTAGTAGAGATGGGGTTTCACTATGTTGGCTAGGCTGGTCTTGAACTCCTGACCTCAGGTGATCCGCCCAGCTCAGCTGTTCTTTCTGCGAAGCCTGGTCTCTCTTCTTACCTGCTCTCTTCTGCTTTTACTAACTCCATCTTCAAGGCCCATCTCAGTTCCCAATTCGGCCACCCCTCCTCTGAGCTCCCAGCACACCTGAAGAGGTTAAGAGCCCAACCTGGGCATTTCCTTGAGGGAAAGGGGCATGATGAATAATCACACCCACAGGGCAAGGGAACCGGGACATACCGGCTGGCACAGGCTCCGGGTTCAACTGGACGGGAGTCCCTGACCTGGCCCAGCCCCACCCTGCCCCTGCTGTAACTTGCCTCACCATCCTGGGCCTGTTCCTTAGATGAAACAGGGACCCCAATGGGGACCAGCAACTGTTGTGGGAGGCGAGTGAGAGAAAACCCAGTTGCTGTCAGCACAGTGCCAGGCACACGTTTGTTCCATCCAAAAGACTTTCAGAACCTGCCACTCTGTGCCAAGGCTGGGAGTCAAGAGGACCAGAGTCCCAGGCTCATAAACTCCCAGATGAAGAGACAGTAATGACAGAGGGCCCCAGGTGGGCAGGGAGGGCTCCAGCACCCATGTGGCTGGCCCTGGGGTGGGCCCCTGTCTTTCTCAAGTCTCTTAGTGCCTTAGGACTCTGTGAAGTTTGCTCAGGGGTTTCCGGCTCTCCCGGGCCTGGCATTTGTTCCACTCTCAGATACCATCAGCCGCAGACACAGTCTACTCAAGGGCTTTTCCAGGGGCAGAGAGGGGAAGACCTGCCAGCAAATGTCCACATGGGTTCTAAGACACGCCCCATATTACAACTGGGAAGGGAAAATGCCCAGCTTTGAACTGAGGAAATGGCAGAATGTCTCTGCCGTTGAGGAATCAGGAAGAAGGAAAGGGAATCAGACCCTCGCTTCCTCCCCAGGGCCATCTACTGTAGTTAAACATGCTCCACGCCTCTGTTTGAACAGTACACATAAGGCAAACCCAAGAACACTTACAGGCAGTCAATACAATCCTGATCTTTCTGCTCTGCTCCCCTCAAGAGCTGGAGGTCAGCGGTGACCTGCTGAAGAACAGGCACCCATCCCCGGCTGACCCGGCTCCAGGCCTGCCCAGAACCCTCTGCCTGTGAGGACAGGGGATGTATGAGTGTCCAATCCTGGGTGCTTGCCTAGGGGAGGGGGACCATTTCTGACATGTTATGATCAAAGAAGCATCAAGTCCCTTTAGCAGACAAGTTTGTTCCTCTATCCCCAAGCCTTTGGGGATGCCAATAGAGTCTCTTGTTGTTATGTAGCAGGGAGATGAGAATTCTGAACCCCAGAGTGGTCCCTGCCTAGATCCCAGACGCTGATCCCAACCACCCTAGATGTAGGGATGGGAGTAGCGGGGAGCAGCATCAGCGCTGGGGATGGAGGGCACAGCAGCCACCTGGGAGCGGCAGCATCTCCCACAGGCGCTGTCCTGCCTGAGCCCCACCCAAGAGCTCAGGACGCCTGCCCTAGAGGACAGAGGTCATGAGAAGGCAGATAGCAGCTGAGAGCAGGACTTTGGAGCAGACTCACCAGGTCTGGAACCTACAGAAGGCTCTCTCCTGTGGCCACTCTCCTGGCCAGAACCTCCTCCCGATGGAAGCCCTCAGCTTCCACCCACTGCTCCCCCAGCCCAGCCCACACCACAGTGGTCACCAGAGTGATGCTCCAGAACCACCACCCCCCAAGCCAGACTCCAAGAATCACTGCTCAGGAGGCACTCAGACCTCAGAGGCAGTAAATGCTCAGTGAAGTCCGCAGACGCTTCCCTTCCTCCTGAAGAGCAAATTACCACCTGTGAGGTCAAGTCCCGCTTCCCACCTGGCTCTGGGTTCAACCAGATTGGATTGAACACACACATTCAAAGCTGGGCATTTTCCCTTCCCAGTTGTAATGTGGGGCGTGTCTTAGAACCCACATCTCAACCAGATTCCCAGAGCTGTCTGGGGTGTCCACAAGCCCCATCCTCAGTGGATTCAGGAATGCCCCTTCTCAGTGTCCACGCAACCTCCCCTGACACAGCGCTCCCCAGCCCTGGAGGCAACACAGGCCACCTGGGCCACTCTTGCTTGTGGGCACTGAAGTCTGAAAAGCTGGGACTTTGGGGTCTGCCCTGTGGGGCTGCCCACAGCACTAACCCCCCTAAGAGTTATCTCCCCACACACATCCTGGGTCCACCTTGCAGGCCCCGGATTCTCAATGCCATGCTCCAGACCCCACTTCCAAACCTTAGCCATTCTTATTCCTGCCTGGAATGCTGGCTCCCTCCATTCAACTAGATGAGGACTCAGCTGCCTCCGACCCTACACTGGGTACCAGCGTGTGTCAGGGGATCTCCCACTCCCACCCAGGGAAGGCAAATCCGCAGAGGCCAGGAAATAATGAAAGGACATGGAACCCATCCTTTAAGGCCCAGTTCTAGGATCGAGACATTATTAGCCTCAGGATATAGATGAAGAAACTGAGGCTTAGAGGTTCAGTAAGCTGCCACGGCCATAAAGCAGGTGGCAAAGCCAAGATTCACCCAGGGCTCTCTGACCCTGGAGGCAGATCACTAACCAGAGGGCTACATGCCCCTCGGCATGCGGGGTGCCGAGCGCTGCAGCGGGAGATGGGGCCTTCGCACATCAGGGGCTGCCACCCGCCAGAGGCTACACGTATCACTCACTACACACCCTCCTCCCTCAACCCAAAGGTTAGTAACATTTTCCCACTTGGCAAAAGAGAAAACAGAGGCCCATGGAGGCTCAGGAACTTGCTTAACAGACTTCCAATTCTCTGCGCAAATGAAGGCAACAAGCATGGATTGGAAAATCCCCACCGGCGGAAAACAGATTAGGAGCAACCACTGATTTCCTTCTGTATCACGTGCTGGTCCTGGGAACTCAGAGGCCAGGCCTGAGCAAGAGGTCTGGTGGGGCGACTGCTGCGGTGGCAAGCCAGCCTCGTGCAGAGAAGTGAGGGAAGGAGAAACCAAGAGATGGGGAGCCACAGCCATCGTAGGGAAGGTGGCCCACCCTGCACCGCCTTCCCCCACTCCTCCATGCCAGGACACAGGGAGACAGGAATGAGGCCCCGGGCCTGGCATCCTGGGAGGAGGTGCCCTGTCTCTGTGGCAGAGGTCACCGCTCCCCTGGAACTCTCTGGGCAGCAGGCACAGGGCCATGGGCTCAGAATTCTGACACAGGAGACCCAAGACGCATCCCAGGCCCCCCAATCAGCCCCACAGGACCTAGAGCAAGTCACCGCACCACCACTCCAAGCCCTGATTTCCCCATCTAAGATATGGAGATGCTAAGGTCTCCCTCCTGGGACCATTTGGAAGCTCTGAACAGAATGGAATTGGGACTGGGATGCTGTTTGTGGCAAACTGTGAAGCACTGGGCACAGTTTACCCACCCCTGGGTCACCTGCCTGGGAGCCTCTCAAGGCCAGCCCTCCTTTCTGAGGCCCAGCATCCCAAGGCCATTGATGGATCCCTTGGGACAGGCTGGGGAAGGAGGGGGAAAGGCTTATCTAACCCACCCCATTGTCTTCACTGACCTTTGTTCCTGAGCTTGGCTGGGTTTAGGAAAAGCAGCCTTATTAGCCGAGCTGCTGCACAGAAAAGACCTATTCAGAGTTAGCGTGCTCTGTCTTTTTCTAAAGGCCCAGACCACCCCGTTCCATCCTCCCTCTTAAACCAACAAAAACACAAGCAGGAGAACAAACCTGTCTCATTTTGAGAAGCTCAAAATTTTAATCCGAACTTTAAAAAGTAAATGGGGCTCATGCACAGGCTTGCTAGAATCCTAGTTCCTCCAGGTTGGCTAAAGGGGAGTGGACCGTGGAGGAGCAGGTTATCAGGGGAGGGAAGGAAATGCCTGGCAATGGGCAGGAGGGGGGCATGGTGCCTGTCGTGGGGCACAGGAGACAGGCGGAGGGGCAGCTGGAAAAAGAACTGAAAATTCTTTTGTTTGAAAATCCTATCAGTTCATGAAGGAGAACCTGACTTTCTGGTGTTGGGGTTTACCTGTCTCAGTGTGCCACACTGGACTAGAGCAACGCACAGCCCAGTCCCAAGTCCAGTCAGCCCAGACCAGACCTCTACCAAAGGCAGCCAAGGCCAGGTGCAGTGGCTCACGTCTGTAATCCCAACACTTTGGGAGGCCAAGGCAGGAGGACTGCTTGAACCCAGGTGTTCGAGACCAGCCTGGGCAACATAGTGAGATCCAGTCTCTACAAAAAATTCAAAAATTATCTGGGCATGGTAGCACACATCCCAGGAGGCCGAGGCAAGAGGATTACTTGAGCCCAGGAGGTTGAGGTTGCCGCGAGCCATGATGGTGCCATTGCACTCTAGCCTGGGTGACCAGAGAGACCCTGTCTCTAAATAAATAATAAATAAATAAATAAGCAGCCAAGGAGAAAAGCCTATTTGCATGTACATACACAATACACAGGCCCACCAGGCCAGCCTCAGCCAGGGCTGCCTTGCATACAGATGGGCCACCTCCCACCTCAGCCACTAGAGTCTGCCCAGGGCACCCAGCAGGGCTGCAACTGCCACCAGCTCCCCAGAAAGGACAGCAGGGCCACTGTCCTCACTAGCTCATCAGCAAGTGCTGCCACACAAGAGGCTCAGATGCAAACATTCAGGTGAGCTGTCTAAGCAGCAAGCACTTTTGAAGAGGAAACTGAGGTCTGTTGGGAGAGCCCCAAGGACCCTAACAACAGGAGAAACCTACTGTGTGTAGATCCTGACCTCACTCAACCTTGTGTGAATAATGGGGCACTCTGGGTTCTGTCCATCTTACAGAAGAGGAGCACAGAGAGGCTTGGCCAGTTAATAACTTGCCCAGTATACATGGAGGAGCTGAGATTCAAACTCAAGTCACCCTGAGCCTCTGGGTAACGGGGTTATCAGCCATCTGCTCAATGGTCACTGATAAGGAAGTGACACTTCCCAGCATGGGAGAAAGAGGGCAAACCTGGGTCAGGAATCAAGAATAGGGAGTCACCAGTGTCCCCTGATTAACAGTAACAGCAAACATGACAACAGACCAAGGGCACAACAGATTCAGACCCAAGGCCTGAACACGAGATGATCATGGCAGCAAACCCACCCAGGACAGGTACTTCCAATGTCAGCCACCTTCCCAGACAAGGCTAGGAACCCCTCTAAGCCTCCACTTGCTTGTCTGTCAAATGGGGATAATACTGCTTCCCCAGGGTTCCTGTGAGAAGAAGCAAAGACCAAACACATAAGGCGCAAGCCTGGTGTCTGACCCCACTTTAGACACCACCCAGACAGAGACTCATTATCTCCCTCAGCTCAGGCCCAATCTTTGCTCAATTTAAAGTTACAAGTCCCAGAATAGAAAAGCCCAGTTTCACCAGGTGAGGTGGCTCATGGCTCTAATCACAGCTACTTGGGAGGCTGAGCTGGGAGGATCACTTAAGCCTGGGAGGTTGAGGCTGTAGTGAGCCATGAGTGTTCCATTGCACTCTAGCCTGGGTGACAGAGTGACACCCTGTCTCGAAAAAAGGGAAAAAAGAAAGAAAGAACAGCTCAGTTTCTAAGAGAAGGGCCTTTCCTGGTTTCCAAGCCTTCCATTTACATTAGTGGGACCACATCCCAAGGCCACACATGGCTTTAAGAGACAAAACTAAATAATAATAATTCCATCTGTAACCGAAATTTGTAATAATAATGCTGAATTTTCATTTCACCCCAAAGCAAGGTTTGCTGCCACAACATTTGCAGCAGTCCTGTGCTAAGTGGGCTTGGGGGAGGATGGGTTCTGTGGGAAACCCTATACTTCAACCTCCCACTGACCCCCAGTGGGGTGGAAAACTCAGTGTAGCCTAGTCCTCCACTCCTGTATTATTCACTGTCGCAGCTGACATGCTGAGCCAGACTGGGGCCGCATCTCCTTGCCCAAAACTCGACAGAGCCTTTCCTGCAAGTATGCTCTAAACACTCCAGCCCTCCAGTGTCCTGCAGAGAGGCACTCTTGCCAAGTGTCATTGATGACGCAGCTGAAAACCAGAAACATTTCACTTTCCAGCCACGAGACTGCAGCAATCTGCTCTTTGGACTGCACTTAGGGAAACCGAGGCCCAGATAACTGACCCCTCAAAAGCCCCCAGGACGGCAAAATCAAAGGGGCTGAGGTGCTCTGAACAGCCCCAGCAAATTAAACCACCTAACTTTGCGCTACTCCCACTGCCCTGAAGCAGCCTGTGGTGGGAGGTGGGGGTGGATACAGTGTTACAAAGAGAAACCTGAGTTGTAGCCATAGATTGCTAATCAGTAACAAAATATCCCTCTAAACCCAGTCCTGCCTTGAACCCACAGGCTCAGGATGGTAAATAAAGGAAAAACATGCTGCACTGCCCCTGCCCCACCTCCATGGGTATGTCTCCCACCCCAGCCCCCACCCCAACACGTCTGCAGAGGCCACTTGGCCACCAAACTAAGGAGAAAACGTCCCTCCCCAGCTCAGGCTGAGGGGTTCTGGGGAGGGCAGTTATTGCAGGCTTAGACACACTTTCTCTGAATTAGGAAAGGCTTTAAAGGGAACCAGAAAGAGCTGTTCATTCTCCACCTTCAGGCAAAAAGTTCAGGCAGTTGCAACTACCAGCAGAACTGGAAGCCAAGCTACCAAAAAACGTGGAAGAACAGGGAGGCCCCGGATCCACCAGCGAGGAGGAGAAAGCTGGCAGGGAGCAGAAGGGCTGAGCAGGGGGCTGGGAGAGGGAGCAGGCTGCAAGCTCCCACAGCCCCAAGCTGGGGCCACCCTCTGCACTGGGCGCAGCAGTAACATGGGCGTAGAAGACAGAAGCTGACAGAGGCCAAAGTTCCTCCCACCCACACCCTGGTCACGGATGACCACGGCACTTCCTGTAAGGCGATCAACAGTTTATAAATCCCTTCAGAAGGTTTATCTCCACCTCAAACCCACGAGGCAGAGGTCATCATCTCCATTTCACAGACAAAGAAACTGAGGCACACAGAGGAGAAAAGCTAGAATCCGTTCCAAATACATCTCCCTCGGGAAAGTCTTAGAGTCTCGGCTGAGAAAGGTCCCAGGACTAGAAGGGCGGAATTTATGGCAAACAAGAAAGGCTCTGAGCCCCAGGCCTCTCCCCAACTGCCTCTGGGTCTCAAGCGGCTGCCTGTGCACCTTCCCAATCCCCACACCCCACTGCAGAACTCCAGCCACCGCACACACGTGGACGCTGCTTGGTTTGGAGGACACCTGTTGCTGCAAGAGGGGAAATTCACTTGCGCTCAAGGGGCCTTGTATCCTTTGCTGTTTAGAACTTCCCGCTACTAGGCAAGGATTTCCAAGGCTGGGATGAGGCGCCCACCGCCAGCCCAGCAGTGACAGACCCTAATTTTGGCAACTACACCCGCTAGAAACTTTTCTGGGACCGGACCGGCAGCAGGTTCTGAGCTGGACAAAAAGACGCTCCACCACTGAACCGGCCCACCACCGCCCAAAGCCCCACTTTGGGTGAGTGCGGGATCCCCTGGCCCAGGATCCATGACAGCTGGAGGAGTCTGGAGTGGCGGCCGCATGAGTGGGACAGCCAGGGACCACCTCCTCTCGCCGCAGCCTGGGAAAAGGGCTGCAGCCAGGGAGACCCGCGCTGCCCGGCCCGTGTAGTCCTTACCGTGCAGGCCGTTGGGGATGCTGCGGTGGTGCGGCGGCGCCGACAAGTCGTCCAGGGACCGACGTGTGGCTCCTGCCTTGCCGTCGGGGGCCTTGTGCGGCCCGGGGGGCAGCAGCGGGGGTGGGACGTGGTGGTGGTGGTCGGGGCTGCCGCCGCTGCCCGCGCTGGACGTACTGCTGCCGTCGCCCACGTCGCGGGCCCCCGCGCCGGGCGCGCCACCCGACAGCGGCCCGCTCAGGCTGGCCTGGCTGTCGATGGAGCTGCGGGAGCCGGCGCCGCCCCCGCCGCCGCCGCCACCGCTTGCGGCCCCCGTCGCCGCCAGTGCCGCGCGCTCCTCGTCCAGCAGCAGCACCAGCTCCTTGAGCTCCAGGTTCTCGCGCAGCAGGGCCTCCTGGCGCGCCTCGAGCTCGCGCAGCTTCTGCTGCGAGCGGGCCACCTCGTGCCACACGGCGCCGGCCGCGTGGCGCCCGAAGCGCTGCCACTCGCGCGCCAGCTTGCGCCCCTTCTGCCGGTCGTCGTCGAGGAAGCAGCAGAGCTCGCGCAGCTCCTGGTTGTCGTCCTGCAGCCGCTGGTTCACGTCCTTGAGGCCGCGGATCTCCAGCAGGTGCTGCTGCAGCCGCCGGTTCACGTCGCGCATCAGGCCGCCGTGCTCCAGCATGAGGCCCACCTTCTCGCCCTCGGCGCGCCGCAGCCGCCGCGCCAGCTCCTCCTTGCTCCAGCGCAGCAGCTCCTCGTCCGGCACCTGGCTCAGCTCCTCCGACGCCGCCGCCGCCGTCGCCGCGGGCTTAGCCATGGCGGGGCCGTCACCGCGGCATCGCCCTCGCCCTCGCCCGGCCGGCGCTTCCCCGCGCCGGGGCTCCGCTGGGCCGGTCCGCGCGCGGGCGGGGGGCGGCCGGGGGCGCGTGCGGCCCGCCCCGCGCCGCCTGGCGCGTCCTCTCGCCGCGCCCGCCGGGGCCGCCCGGGAGCCCGCGCGCCTCGGGGTTGACGAGCGGAGGCGGCTGCTGCGTCGGCGGCCGCGGTGCCGGGCGCTCTCAGGGTTCTGGAGAAGCAGGCGGAGGCCCGCCCCCGGCCCAGCTCCCGGAGCCCCCGCCGCCCCGCCCACCCCGGGCGGAGAGTGGGCGGGTCTCCGAGGCCCGGCCCCGCCCCCGAGGGCGACTGGGGAGCAGAGGCGCGGCCCCCGCCGTCCCCCTGCGCGGTGCGCCCGCCCGTCCAGTGCCCTCTCAGAGGCGCGTTCCGGCCGCGGTCCCGCCCTCCCGGCCGGGCGATTGGGCCGCTCCGGGGGTGTGCGGGAGGGGCGGGGCGCGCGCGGGGGAAGCTGCGGCGGTGGTACGGTCCATCCGCGGGGTTTCCGACCCCCGCCCGCGGCCGGCTCCCGGCGGTTCAAGTTTCTGCGCCCGGAGGACGCGGCCTTAGCCAATCCCAGGGCTACAGGGCGCTTTTAAAATGCAGGTACGGCTGCGGGGAGGGGGACGGTGGGAAAGGTAGGGCCGGGCTTCCCTTAAAGGCGACGCGCGAAAATAGCAGTCGAGCCCCCTCCCCGGCCCGCGTCCCCGGTCCTCTTCCCTCTCCCCAGATAAACAAATACCCACGATCCGGGCGACGGCGCCCCTTCTCCCTCCCGGGGGCACCAGAGTTCAGGGCAGTCGGAGACACAGCGAACAATAGGACTGTGACATGGGGGTCGCTCTTCCCCGCAGCAGGGCGGCTCTTTGTCCCCTTCCCTGCCCCCAGGCTCCTCCGCCCCCGTCCCCACCCGGGTCCCCTGCCGGAGCACGCGGCGGGGCTGCGTCTCCACTCCTAGCCCAGGGCTGAGCTAAACGCTGGCGTCCGCGCCCCTGCAGGGCCAGGGCCTTGCCAGCCGCGTCCCGCAGCGCGGTCAGTACTCTCTGCCCCGATGGGGCGAGAGCTCCGGGAACCTGCCCCCTGCCCGGAGCGGCGCTCGGAGCCCCGCTCCACCTCCGCTCACTCGACCGCTAAATCCCTGGGATTCGGGAGATAATCTGCAATTCGCGGGGTGGAAACCACTGGGAAGGGTGGGAAGGTCTCCCACTGGGGCCTGAACGCCGGGGTCCGGGGGCGCCGAGCCGGCCACAGAACTCCCCACCGGCGGCCTCGCGGGACCCCCGGGCTTCCCACTGCCTGTAAGTCTGTCTCGTTATCCTCCGGTCCCCAAAGCGCATTTACGGCGCGTCTACCGCCAGCAGGCGGGGCGGGGCGGGGCGGGGGGGGGTCCCTCCCCCGGAACCTGCAACGAGATCAAATCCGCGCACGCGACAGTGAGCGGCCCACGGCCTGGAGCGCGCGCCCGCGCAGCAGCTGATGCCCCATTTACAGTTGCTAAGCCGTTCATTCAGCTGTGTACTCAGCGCCTACTCGCCGCGGGGCCTGCTCCAGCCCCGGGGGATTCTGCAGGGCACCGAACTGCCCTCTGCGGGGGACTTGGCGTCCTGGGAGCAGGATGGGGAGAAGATAGACGAGCTAGATCAGGATGAGACTTGTCTTAAGTGCTGTGCGGGGCATTAAGTCGAGCTGCTGTCATAGAAAGCATAATCAGTTGCTTTAGATCCAGCGGTCAGGGAGGTGGGGAGGCACATCTAAGCTGAAGTCTGATTGGCAAGGTACAAAGATAAGGGGAAGGGCATTCCAGGCAGCAGGAACAGCCAGTGCCAAGGCCCTAGGGCTGGCCTGTTACAGACCTGTTCCAAGAAGGCCAGTGGGGCTGGGGGTGGGCCAGGGAAGAGGCGTGAGAGCTGAGGTCAGAGGTCAGAGGGGCCAGATCATGTATGATTCCAAGACAGCTGGGGAGGCAGTGGGGTTTTAGCAGGGAAGCAACATGACCTGGTTTACCTTTTTAAGAGGCTCACCCTGGCCCACATGTTGAGAAGAGATGGAGGGGAGTACACAGAGAGGTCCAGATTCAATATCTCATCTCCCACCCGTTCGCCACTCTCTCCAGACAGATGGTCAGGGGAGGGTGGTGGGGAGAGGATGGGCTGAGCACAGCTTCCAAGGTTAAACCCCAGGGATGCTGAGGGTCTCCCAGGCCCTGCCCAAGAGAACCAGCTCCTGAGGGGAGGGGACATCCTCCCCTCTGAGGCACTGCTCTGCTGGTCCAGCACAGCTCAGTTTGGGTTTAGAGAGGGAGGGGCTTTCAGCTTCTGCCTGGGGGAGCTGCAGGTCTGTCTCAACCCCCAGGAAGCCATATTAACTTCAAGGAGCTCCTTGCAGGCTCCCTGCAGAATGAAGCCTGTGCACAGAGTTGCTCCCTGGAGATCGAAGCGTAAACGTTGGATACACCATAGGAAAAACCCACCAGCTCACCAGGGAAGTTGCTGAGACAGCACTGTGCTTTGTGAGAACCCCCTCCCCGTTCGTGCATGGCTCCTGGTGGTTCCTGGGGCCTGTTATCTCTGCCCCCTGATCCTCCAGAGCTGGCAGCTTCCGCTGAACTTCCAAGAAGAAAGTGAAGCCTCTATCTAGGTGGGGTTTGTTTGCGTCATCTACAGGCTGTGTGGACCAAGGACCAAGAGTTCCTCTGTGGAGTCTTGATAGCTTTGCTCACATCCTCAGGGTAGAACAAAGACAAGGTGCTAGTGGTGGTGGTACTGGGTGGTTTGAGGGAGGGTCTCTCTGCTCCCCACACCAGGGCTGGGAATGCTTGGGCAGAACAGGACAGGACCAGAGGAGGTGAGAGGGCCCAGGGCTGAAACAGCGTCCTGAAGGAAAAGGGACTCCCCAGGCCAGAGCCCCCTCCCGGAGGGCCCATATCGCAGGGTCCAGCAGTAGGTGCCATGCCCCCTGGAGTACTCACAGCCCAACAGAACCAGGATCCCAAAATGTCAACGTGACTTTGCCTTTTTTTTTTTTTTTTTTTTTTTTTTGGCTAAGACAGGGTCTCACTCTGTCTCCCAGGCTGGAGTGCAGTGGCATGATCTTGGCTCAGTGCAGCCTCAACCTCCGGGCTCAAGAGATCCTCCCACCTCAGCCTCCTGAGTAGCTGGGACCACAGGCACCACCATGCCTGGCTATTTTCTTTTCTTTTCTTTTTTCCCCCATAGAGACAGAGTCTCACTGTGTTTCCCAGGCTGGTCTCAAACTCCTGTGCTCAAGCAATCCAATTCTCCTGCCTCAGTGACTTTGCTTCTTAAGCCCCTTGGTCATGACAACTCTGCTTTGTTATGAAAACAGTGAAACCAAATCATGGTGCACTAACAGTCATACTGTAGGTGCCCAGGGAAAGTAGCTGTGAGTCTTTTCAAAATAAAGGTGCCCCACCAACATTCTACCCCCCTTTTTTTAAAGACTCTCCCAGGATGTGTGTGTTCATTTAGAGCCACACACATTTGTGAGAGCCAGCAGGGGCTGAGAACCGGTACGCTAACACACGGTAGATGCTAATACATGGTAGACAAAATACTCCAAAACCTAGGGCCTGTGGGGGGAGTACTGGTACAAGCTGGTGACAAGCAGAGTGTGCCCCTCACTTTCAGGGGGAATGGACTTTCTTACTCTTCTCTATGGTTGGGGCTGTGAGCTCCAACCCCAGAGGCAGTACCATTTGGTGTTTGCTGAGTGAATGTCAAACCTCTCAGTACGTGACAGATTGAGTCTGAGGCTTCATTTTGAAGGTGAGGAAAAACAGAGCCCCAGAAGGGAGATGCCTGGCCCAAGGTCACTTTCATTCATTAGCTCACTGAACATAGAGGAAATCTATGAGTATATATGCATTTATACACAAACACATTTAAATGGGAATATATATATACACATTGCAATGCATTGTGGTAAGTACTGCAAATGAGAATGGGCAGAACACATCATTGTGGGAGCATGCTCAGGCACTGGGAGTGGCTTCCTAGAGGAGGTGAATCTTGAAGGAGTTTGTCGTCTTGTGGAGTGGGGAGGAGGCTCCAGGTGGAGGAAGCAGTACAAGCAAAGGCCCAGAGGTGAGCAGGCGAGGGGTGTGGAGAGACACTATTACACCTTGCAGCTGGGGTATACAGAAGGGAACAGCAGGGTGGGGAAAGTCGGGAAGAGGTTGAGCGATGGAGCTGGGCAGAGGAGGGCTTTGTAAGCCTCAGAAGGAAGCTGGACCCTTTCCCTGGGAGCTCTGATATCTAATAATAATGGCAATGACAATGACAATAACCAACACCACCTGCCGCTTATCCTAGACTCAGTATATGCCAATGATTCTAACCTGTCCTCTTTTGAGGGTTATAATAAACCTATGAGGAGGTGTCATTAGCCCTTCGAGGATTGAACATGGGTTCTTATTGGCTGGTTGTTTGCCTCCAAGAAGCTCAGCTCATTGGGCGTGAACTTACAGGCAGTGTTCAGAGGCTTGTGGACACCCAAGGACTCTGGTATGGCCAACAAAGTGTTTGGTGGTAGCTGAATCTTCTTCAGGACAGTGAGGCAATGGTGGCTGACCAGGTCTGGGCCAGACTATGAGGTATCATCCTGAAAGGCTACCAGCAGCAAGAAGTCAGGGTCCACTGAAAAGTGGTTAAGTGTTACTAATATGGACAATGTTGACTGGGCACTTTCTAGGTACCCAGCACTGTGCTAGAGTTCCACATAGATTGTCTCACTGACTCCTCACTGATGCGGTAAGAACCCTCTGTTCCCATTTTACAGAGTAAGAAACTGAGGCTCACACAGGTTAAGTCACTTGCCCAAGGTCACATGGCTAGCAAGTGGCTGAACCAGGATTTGAACCCAGGACCATCTGAGCTCCAGAGTGTATCTGACCCCATAGACTACTGTCTCCCACACCTCAGTTTCCCTTCTCAAGAAGGAGGAATGGGGTGGATGCTCTGCGATGTCTCTTCTGCTGTGACTCTGGTTCTGTGATGCTGAGTGTCTGCAAGGTGCCTGGACCCATGTTCACCACCCACTTCCTCCTGCTTCAGGCTTTTCCATGTTGTGACCAAGCCTCAGTGGCTCTGACGCCTCTGGATGGCACCTGTGGTCAGAGCTCTCCAGCTATTTCTACTGATAGAACACTGCATGTCATTAGCTCAGTCTCCCTGCAACTCTATCACTGTCTGGGTGGGTGACCCTAGACCAGTCCCTTGTCCTCTCAGAGCCCCAGTATTCTCATCCAAGCCCTCCCTGACAGAGCTAGTGTTAAGCACTTGGCAGAGCTCTTGCAAAGCTCTGGGGAGGGGAGCCACGCTTCCTTTCCCATCCTCTGCACCAGGACTATCTTCCCATGAGGATATTTCTACCCATTTTCCAGAGGCAAACACTGAGGTCCAGTGAAACAAGGATTGTCCAGGAAACCCCATGCTTGCCCCTGGCAGACTGGGCTACAAAGGATTCTGGGTATGGCCCTGGGCTGCCACCTTCTTCCTTTTGGGGTGGGGCCAGCCCAGAATATGGGGATCCTCAAGAACACAGAGTTCCGAGGTCATGTGTCTCAACTCCCACATTTATAGGTGGGGAAACCGCATGAAGCTGGGACTGCCAGTTTCCCTACATGCTGGACCGCCAGGGGCAGCAGTGAGAGGGCTAGGGGAGGATGGGTTCCTTCATCCCCACTGTTAACCATCGTGCCAGGCACCTTTCTGGAGCTCAGGAAGTCCGCACTGCACAGGACGGCTGCCTAGAACCGCTGATGTTGCAAGGCAAGGGTGCAGCTGAAGCCCAAAGGGCCTCACATGTTGACAAAAAGCCTCAAGTATAACCTGATGGCAGTGGGGAGCCACAGAAAGGCTTAGAGCAGAGGAGAGATCTGGCCAGACTTGTGTGTGATTAGAAAGCACTCAACAGGAGGTTTGAGGGGAGATCACTGAGACTAGCAGACAGTGAGAAGGCTTTGAGGCCAGGCAGGCCAGAGCCAGAGCCAAGTGTGATGGAAATAAAGAGATTGATGGGGGCTGTCAGCATCTGACCCCTCCCTTTCCATGACTTCCCAGCCAGAGCCATGGAAATTCTCCGCCTGCCCCTTTAGCTGCTGACATCTCCTCACACCATCGCCTGATGGAACAAGACAAGAGGGAGGCTCAACATACTGGGGAAACTGAGTCAGGGGAGTTCTTTGCAGAGCTGGCTATTGCCTCAATGCACTTAATATTATTCTTATGGTGAACTGGTTCATATTACAAAGAACACTGAGAAGCATATGCCTGGGAGCCCACCACCCAGACTAAAGTATTACCACTTCTGCTTTTGATGCTCCTGCAGCCCCTCCTGGTCACAGGTCCCAGCCTTCCCCGACCCAAGGGTATCTGGGAATCTCAGTGTTGTGTTGGTTATTCCTGTGCTTTCAGCTTACCATATTTCTCCCTTATAAGATAGTGTTTAGACCAGGCACGGTGGCTCACACCTGTAATCCCAGCACTTTGGGAGGCCAAGGCAGGTGGATCACTTGAGGCCCGGAGTTCGAGACCAGCCTGGCTAACATGACAAAACCCCCATCTCCAGTGAAAATACAAAAATTAGCCAGGTGTGGTGGCAGGTGCCTGTAATCCTAGCTATTCAGGAGGCTGAGGCAGGAGAATCGCTTGAACCCGGGAGGCAGAGGTTGCAGTGAGCAGAGATCATGCCACTGCACTCTAGCCTAGACAACAGAGCAAGACTCCACCTCAAAAAAAAATAGTGTTTGATTTTGCATGCTTTTGAACTCTTTCATGGCATGGTCCTTCATGTGTTCATTTGCAGCGTGCTTCTGCCCTCATTATGTTGGTACATGTAGCTGTAGTTCATTCATTTTCATAGCCATATAGCAAGGTTACTCAACCTCAGCGTGGTTGTGAGGGGCTACTGTGTGCATTGTAGGACATTCACCAGCAACCCTGGCCTCCACCCATTTGACGGAAGTAGTACCCCTGTCCCCCACTTTAAAAACTAAAAATATTTTCATACATTGCCGAATTGCCCTTGGCTAAGAACTACTGCTATCTTAGATCCATTGCATGCATATATTACCTTTACTTTTCTCCTGTTGAAGACATTTGTTTCTAGTTTTGTTTGTTTGTTCATTTGAGACTCTGTCACCCAGGCCAGAGTGCAATGGTTCAGTCATGGCTGACTGCAGCCTTAACCTCCCAGACTCACTCAAGTGATCCTCCTGCCTCAGCCTCCTGAGTAGCTTGGACTACAGGCTCTCACCACCTGTAATTTTTTTTTTTTTTTTTTGAGATGGAGTCTCACTCTGTCACCCAGGCTGGAGTGCAATAGCACTATCTCGGCTCACTGCAACCTCCACCTCCTGGGTTCAAGTGATTCCCCTGCCTCAGCCTTCTGAGTAGCTGAGATTACAGGCATCCACCACCACGCCCAGGTAATTTTTAGTAAAGACAGGGTTTCACCATGTTGGTCAGGCTGGTCTCGAACTCCTGACCTCAGGTGATCCACCCACCTTGGCCTCCCAAAATCCTGGGATTAAAAATGTGAGCCACCGTGCCTGGCCTTTTTTTTTTTTTTTTTTTTTAAAGAAAGATTGGTTCTCACTATGTTGCCCAGGCTGATCTTGAACTTCTGGCCTCAAGTGATCCTCCTGCCTCAGCCTCCTAAAGTGTTGGGATTTCAGGTGGGAGC